>NC_000003.12:77510000-78760000 GCF_000001405.40 Homo sapiens
TATGCAGGGATGCAAGAGACAGCCCGAGAATTCTGGGGTATAGTTGAGTGCTCGAGTATAGGAGGGGACTGGTGAAGTGGCCAGAGACCAATGAGGATGTCACATATAGACTGAGTTCAGAAGTTTGAATTATTCCCTGAGCCCTCCAGAGAGCCAGTCAAGAGTGAATTGGAGTTTTTATTAATCTACTGTATATATTTAAAGAAGACAGTAAACTGTTATATTAACATAAAATTGGGGTTTTGCCAGGCAAATGGAACATTAAAGCTATGGAACAAGATAACTGAAGATATAGACAAGCAACTTATGGACCACGACATCTAAGCAGGGTAGAGAAAATAAAGAAGATACAAAGGGTTGATAGACATGGAGGAAGAGGTTCAGTCTGTGAACTGAATAAGTGAGGAAGACACAACCAAGATTATGGCAGGATCCGACATTTGAACCTCAGATTTCAAAGGCAGAGCCATTTCAAAAGCCAGAGAGGTCAGTGGCCAAAGAGAGATGGAGACAATAATATCACTGGAGGAGGTTATAAGAATGAAGTGAGTTCAGCTATGGAAAATGTTAGGTGACATTTATTGAGGATTTACTATGTGCCTTGTGCAAATCTCAAAATGTATTGAGTCATTAAGTTCTTATAACAGCCCTGTGAGATAGGGCCTGTTAATTATCATTTTAAGGAAGAAGAAATTCTAAATATTTCATTTGAAAACTGGATGACATGATACTCAATGAAGCTGAATTTTGTTTTGGTTTGCTGTATTTTATATGCACGGCAGAAAATAAATATCTCATTCAAGTAATATTTATTGAGTAATTGCTCTATGTCAGACACGGAGTAATTGCTTGGAATGGTTGGAGGCGTGGTCTTCATTTTCCTTCTTCCTCCGCCTTTACTCCAGAGGGCAAACCCTCAGTAAAGACCCAGATTTGCATTAAGGCATGAAGAAGAAATATCTGAGAAAGACAGATAAGAAGGACACTTCACAAATCAGGAAACAGGTAGTTTAGCAAGCACAGTGAAAAATCCTCATGGAGATGACCACAAAAATTTTGTGAGGGGTTATTTTAGAGGAGATGAAACTCATTTCAGAGGAAATGAAATACAAGAGAATGAGATGACAGGAGAAGATGGAAACTTGGGCGATGAACAAAAACAACGAGCTGGGAACTTTACAGCTGGCCACAAATTTGCCAAGAAAATTAATCCCTGGAGCCTCCCATGTCTACCATGGGAATGTAAGATGGGAGAGACGGGCACTCAGAAGACAGCCACAGGCTACACTGGTTAAAACTTGAAAGGAGTTCTGGTTTAGGGTGAGCAGGATGCTTTGATGTCTGAAAGAGCCCAGCTGAAGTTTGGTTTCATTGCCCACACTCCAGAGAGAGGCTCTAGCTCCAAGGTGGTCAGTACCCAAATTCCTTGGCATCGGTTCAAGTCCTAGTCTTTTGGGCCTAGTTACCTTATGAGCTGAAATCTGCACTTCATTAAATCAACTATTGTCCTGTTGCGGTGAACATCTTTTTTGTTTGTATGTCTTCGCTTAGTTTTTTAGCTGGAAAATGCCTTGCTCTCTCAGCTGTGCTAAAGGAAGATTAGCATAGGGGTTTGCGTTTTTCAGTCAGGCCGAAGAGAGAGCCAGTGGTCACTGGAGGATGAAGGTAAGCAATGGTAGAATATGGGAAGTCAAGAGAGGCTAAAATATTGTTTGGTTTGGCTAATTAAGACAAGATAAGGATGCCATCATATTTCAAGTTTCATTTTGGTTTTCTGTAGAGGCTTTCAGAACAGAACAGCAAGTACACTTGAATGATAACCTTGCTTCTTACTATTTCCCTGCAAGTGTAACCTCCCAGGATTTTTTCTTTCTTTCATTTTACAATGAATGCTGTGAAAATTTTTATTTTCTTAAAAGGGTATCCGTCTCTCATACTTCTCTAAGGTGCCCTGCCCAGAAGTTGCTTGCAACCTCATCCCTAAGAGAACTGGCAAATATTCACCTCACCCAAACTGTGAACATTAGCCTGCATTATAATTATAGATAAAAAGAAAAGTGTGACCTGTGGTTGTCTAAAGATTAAAAACATAGACTCAGTCTGTACCAACAAAATAATGGCTTATTGTGTTCGTTTTGGGGTCTTAGACCTCAAAGGTGATTTAAGTAAGAGCTTGCCTTTAGAATACACCTTAAATATTGAAGATTAAGAAAGCATCATATGGAATTAGATTGCCGAGAAGTGCTTATGTGATTCTTAATAGGAGTTTCAAGTGTTGCCTGTGCAAAGATATTACTTGAAAAATTGTGAATGGAGAGAGCATTTTAGAAAAATTGAGCAACTTTTCCTATTTTCAGCTCTCAAAATTGAAAGAGGTAAAAGATTTAAGTTTCTGCAGGAAAGTTTATATTTCATAGAAGCGTGCCTTGAATAAATTTGTGAGTTACTAAAATGCATGTTTTAATGTAATTGAATAACACTGTCACTAAGTTCTAGATGGATGTATCTCCATGTCCATAACATGGTACAGTGGAACTGATTAGTTAGTTTGTATGTATAAAAAATCAGTACAGGGTTCCATAAGATGAATAAGTGATTTTCTCCTAAAAATTCTTCTGTTGAAAGTAAGACATTACACTATGTGACATTTTCATAGAAAGCTCCATAGTGAAATTTTCTTGAATTATGGAACTATGGAATGCCTATAATTATAGACCTTTACTTTCTGAAAGAGTCTGAAAGGTATAGGTTGACCTTCGGCTATTTGAATTGAGTGGAAGTGTTTCAAAAATTGAAAACAAACCTTTCAAGTCTCCTTAAAGGGAAAGAAACATTTACTCATATAGACATTAAATGTTTCCTGGTTCAATTCATAGTTTTTACTATTGGCCAACTTAACGATTAATACAGCAGATGCATAATAAAATTTTAAGTGCTAATTCAAAACACTTGTTCTAGAATTGGAGCCAGAAATCTTATAATAAGAAGTAGTAGGTGATTTCAAAAACTAAACATGTTGAGAAAATACATTTCCTTCCAAGAAAAACAAAGGTGCTTTTGAGATGAGAATGGCCAGTCAGGAAGTTTTATAGAGTCCTTACATAATTCAAACAAGGTGATGAGATACACAGGCTTGAACTGAGCATGATAAAATTCCAGTTGGTAATAAAAATTTTAATTTATATTTCTTAATTTTTTCCTCCTCCTAAATTCTGTGTTCATTGTGGAAGGCTTGGGAGTCCCTAAATTGTCTGAATTATATTCTTAAAAGCTAGAAAATCATGAGAAGTTCCTACCCTTGAGGCTTAATGTGCATCAGGAATTGCAAAGTATGAGTAATGAATGAAATGTGGTTATAAAATTTTGCCAGTTTTCAATTCCTGTTTGATATTTTAAAAATAAATTTAGCCATATAGGAAATCTTTCCACTAGGTAGGAAAGCAGGTATGTTTATGAGGAAAAAATAACATAGATTCTTTTATTTAAATTTGGAAATGATTTTAGAGTGTAGTACTTTTTTTCTTAAAACATACTTAATATTTCTCTTTTGAAGTGCTTTTAAGATTATTCATCAAATATAAGATCACACACAAACAGAATGTTGCATGCAAACTGTGGGTTTTAAGTATTAAAATAAATTTACTTTGTTTTGTTTGTTATTCAGCTGAACAGATGGTAATGATTTTGACACAATTCAGTTTTCGTTTTCTTTTTTTCTTCCTTGAGAAAAAAACCCTGCAAAAACACAGAGCTTCTTTTCCACTTTGTCACAGCTGGTTACCAATCAATCTCAATTCACGGTACAGTGATGATAGCACACGTTGTCCAGGGGCCAAATCTGATTGGGTTGCATTTTTCAGCAGTGTTTCATATCAGAAAAAATAAGGTATCTCTATGGTGGGGACTGTCGGCACACGATTGTACAACTCTCATTAATCAAACTTGGCAACAATGACTGCATTTATTTAAGTCAAAGACTAGCAGATTTCAAAATGAAAATCACCAAATTTCTGTTTGAATTTCCTCATCAGTAATGTTTTTTCATCTGTTTCTTTTTTTCTTGGTTTTAATTACAGCCAATGATACCTTCTACATTGACACTGATCATTACATATGATCAACCTCCTGTGTTGATCATATATAATATAATATTATACCATGTTACAAAGTAGCTGTTTCATACCAAAATAAACTCCACTTATTGAAAATTTATTCTAGACTTCTTAAAGAATGCTAAATGCAATTAAAAGCAAAATATAAATACCTTTGATTGTTTAATAGGAGAATAATTTTAAAGGAAATATACATCAGGAAAAACATTTATGAACCTCCCAGGGTTACATTTGGTGTTAGAGGAATATTGAGAAAAAATATTGATAAAGTTAGTTTCTGGAGGTTTTGAAACTGAACACAAAGTCGGCAGTACATAAATACCTACTTGCCCAATGCAAATGCACACAGAGCAATAAACACACACATCCAATAGAAAATGCATGCTGCTGTTTGTTAGAAAAATAAATGTACTTATAAAGAGTTCCAGTCACTTCATAACTTGAGAGAACAATGTCAGCATTTTCTGTAAAATTGTGTTTGGAAACAGACATTTTCTCTAAGTTATTTACTGCTGTGCAATTATATGTAAAGCCCTGTTGTACACTATAAAGATGTCTTTAAATGTAAGGAAATATTATTTATAACTTATTGTATCACTCTGTCAATATTTGCTTTGAAGGGAGAAATGCATATTTTCCCAATTTTCCAATGTAATGGTTACAATGACATTAATATTAAACATGGACCAATGTATCTTGAAAGAAATCTAAGAAATAAGGCCACATCTGTTAGACCTGGGAAAATACTTGAAACCTATTAGTTTTAGGGAGCAAATTATTGTCTTAGGGAAACCATGACCCATGAGGGAAAGCAGAGACTGGTAGTAGATAGTCACAAGAGTTTTTTCCCCAACTATAACTGCCTCCATATGTGGTTTTGGGAAAGAAACTTTGTCATGTTTTGCTTCAGATTGCCTACATGTGAAATTAGTAATGAGCCAACTATTTACATTCTAGATTTTGAAGTTACTTAGACATAATTTCTTTAAAAATAGTCTTTATATTTCTTAAGCTTTTGCAGATAGGAGTTAATCTGATCACAATTACAGGCCTATCCTTTCTCTGACCTGAGACACTTAAGGTAAATATTCATAAAGGTATCATAATTTGATTGAGTCTTCCGGGATTTTTGCAGGTGCTTAGCGACTGCCATAGTGGGTCGGTGATGTTGGGAGGAACAGTAGTGTCTGCATGGTGTACAATTGTATTAGGTTTGTTGAGTCAGCAGAGTGAGGAAGCCGAAAGAGCTTGTACTTTGGAGTAAGACATCTTGATTTGAAAATTCAAATCTGTATGTTAAAAATGTCCACGTTTTAAATTATGTCAATTGTTTAAATAATTTTAAAATATTACTAGGCCAACACGCACACACACAACTACAAATTTATACAATCTAAGATAAACTTCAGTACCCAGACCATGAGACCTGAATTCTAGTAACAACAGCCATTAAAAGCTTAACTGTGATGTTAACCATTTATTCTTTGAACCCATTAGGAAAAAATTCTGAGAAGCAGCTACTCTTTTGGTAGTATATCCCCTGCTTACTTTAATTTCCTTATATGGATTCATACATCAGGATTTTTAAAAATTGAATGCCTATATTGTCCCTTGGTAAAAAGCTGGGTAAAAATCTTTGTAATATAGTTGATGAAAATTGCGCCAGAAGACTTAGATTCCAATACGGTCTAAACCTTTGCTACCGATGAATTCCAGGGCACTGGATAACAAAGAACTATTTTTCTAATATTAAAATTAGGACATTAGACTAGGCTCAATAATTTTGAAATTCTTTACTATGTCTCAGAATATATGATCTGTTGGTGTCTTGAAATAACCAATTTTCATGTATTTTCTTATTATTGCATAATAAAAGAGTATTTTTATCTATTATCATAGAGGTACTTTATTTAGGCTCCATATGTTCTCTTTTAATATGAATAATATTGGATTAGCTGAATATTTTCATGTTCACTCATTCATATCTTCATGGTTTTCTAGACTTTAATGAAGTTCTTTGAAATTGTTATTTTTACACATGCTATAATTCCTTTGTTAAGAAACGAGGAATAAAATTGAAAATAATATCCCAATTTGTGCTATGCCAGATTTTATAAACATCTAAGAACAGCTATATGGTTTGCTTTCAGGTTGAATTTTGTATATGTACATTTTCTAATTTTTAAAATGGGGGAAATAATAGCTTCCCACTTTACCTACCAGAATTGTTAAAAGTATAAATGAAAGAGTATATTTGAGAATACTAGGCAAATATATTTTTATTGTCATATTTTATTTTCATAAGACATGTGACTTGAAAGCTCCCTGCCAAAATAATGAGCTTATATATTTGAAAGCATGGAACAAAACACAAAGCTTACATTGTTTTCTCTCAGTCTTCACATTTGTTTTATACATTCTGCTAAAATTATTTCATTTATTTTGGCGGAGAGAGAGAAATTATTTATTTGTTCATGTTACTAATTTACAGAGGGTAATTTATTAATGATAATATGTAAACCATATGTGTAGATTGCCACTCAAATTGCCAAGTTATCTCCATATAGCTAGTAGCATTAACGAATTAAATATTCCAAGTTCTTACATTTTCAGTATCATATCAATATGAATTTAAGTTACATTTCAGAGCTAATTGCTGGTATATAAACACAACATTACTATGCTTCTTGATACAATATCTTGTTATATTTCAAATTAGTTAATCTCTCAGTACTGCATATAATTGTTGCACTGGTAACCATGCTATAAAGAAGTAGAGGAGAATTTCAAGCATTTGCTGATGCATCATGATATTTTCAATAAGCATTCATTGAACGCCTCCAATATCTCAGGCACTGTTTGGTTAGACTTGGGCTATACAGTTTAAAGCAAGAGAGAACCAGTCCTCATTCCCATGGAACATACATGCTCTTGGAAATAAAGAAGACAAGAAATAAGGAAACAAAAGATGTGGTAAAGATATGTGCTTTGAAGAAAATAAAACGTATTAAAAAGTGACAAAAGAAAGATGAAAGCAAAGACTAAAAAGAAAGTAATTTTTTAAAAGTAACTGGATTGGTGGATAGCAACTAGAATTCTTAGGCAGGAAAGACATGTATAAGGGAATGATATTTGGGTCATCCTGAAATTCAAAAAGGGTCAGCCATGGAAAACACAAGGGAAGAACATTCCAAGAATTTGCAAAAGTACTACAAAGACACAGAACTGGCTTCTTACATTGAACAAGTAGAAGAGAAGCCATGTGACTGGAAAATAGTGAACATGAAGTTTGAGAGGGAGGCAAGGACCAGATTATCTAAAACTTTAAACACCGTAAATAAATAGGTTTTATTCTGAGTGACCAAATGAGAAGCCATTGGATAGTTTCGAAGAGTTCAGTGACATAATCAGATTTATGTTTATCAATCAGTAAATCTGTACTGAAGCTCTTAATTCCCTTTGAAACCCTTACATAAAATAACTGCTGTTACAGTCGTCCCTTCTGATTTGCAGTTTTGTACTTTCTCTTTGTGGCTTCAGTTACCCTTGGTCAACTGTGGTTCAAAAATATTAAATGAAAATGTCCAGAAATAAACAATTCATCAGATGTAAATGGCACAGCATTCTGAGTAACATGATGAAAGCTTTCACTGGCCAGCTTCATTCCACCAAGACACGAATCACACCTTTGTCCAGCATATCCACGCTATGCACACTACCTTCCAGTGAGTCACTTAGTAGAACTTCTCGGTTATCAGATTGACTGTCTCGTGTAGTGTATTTGTAGTTCAGTGCCATCTGTGGCTTCAGGCATCTACTAAGAGTCTTGGAACATTTTCCCTCTGAATAAAGGGGATTATTGTACAGTATATGGTTGCTGTTATTAGGAATAGTTGACCTGAAGATGAGATAATTCATAAGAAACCCAAAATTGAAAAAGCTGTCTTGTAGGAGAGAGAGTATACTTTTCTGTTTGGCACAAGGAGTAGTACTATCAGTAGTAACTTTGGGAAGAAAAGTTATCATATGTTATCATATATAGAAGATCTTCTAATAGAGATGTTCAAAGATAGAATAGACCCCTTGTCACAGGAGCAAGTGGGAGGACTGATTGGTTGCATGCTGCAGACAGGATTCAAGTGTTGATGGACAGTTGCAGAAGGTGAACTTTTAAAGATTTCATTTAGCCTAACGAGTCAATCACTTTATATATATTCAAAGTATTCTGATATAAATACATCACATAAACTGCTGATAATACTTGCAGACTTTCCTCAGGCAAAGATTCAGCGAGAAATGAGAATTTAAAAGATTGTGAGCATTTCAATAACTAAGTACTCAAAGTCTGTTTGTTTTTAAATTACAACATCCCAATGTGATGGGACATAACAAGACATGTATTGTAGCATTTACTTCTAGTTGGAGAAAGACAAGGCATGGCCCTGGGAAATGTGTGTTAGCTGGAGAGAGCCAAGGAGGTAGCTCTGATCTACCCTAATGTGGAGACATCATTTCACTAGGCTCTGAATCCTATCAAGTTGTGTATCCCCAAATTTTGGTGCAATGCGTAGATATGTCATCAGCATTTCTTGAATAAAATAATGAAATGTTTATTATAATCTTTTCCAACTTCAGTGATCCTCAAGGAGAAATTAAAAGATGACAATGATAATGAGCATCTACTAATTCCTAGGAACTATGCTGGGCACTGTTATAGGCTAGACCGTTAAAAATTATTACCCAAAACTTCTTTTTACTCCAAAGCATACCTATCTCATTGGGAATGGATTTAGTTACTTTCCGTACTTACATGTTTTCTAACAAACCTGGCCCATGTCACCAGACTATTGGCCTTGGCCATAGTTTTACAATCTGTATCTGAAAACCTGTTCTATAGGTAGAAAAAAAATAGATTTGCTGTTTTATTTTAATGGCACAGTCTCTTTGAAAGGTAGTCTCTTTTATTAATTGTTAAGATTAATTCATTTTATTCTTCCCAAGTAATATTTAATTTTAACTTTTCACAAGGAAGGTAATATGCAATCATAGAATGCACAATTACTTTTATCCCTGATCAACGTACCATTAATTAAAAAACAAACAAACAAAATCTTATTCCTATTCTTGTTTCCACCTTCCTTTAAAATGATAAAAAAATCTCAGGAAGTCAGATTTCAGACTTAGTTTGGGTTCAAATATTATGTATTTAGTAATTTTTAAATAAAAACTTTTAATTTTTTTTAAATTTCAACCTTTATTTTAGATTTGGAGGTACATGTAAAGGTTTGTGACATGGGTATATAGTGTGACAGTGAGGTTTGGGGTACAAATTGTGCCATCACCCAGAAAGTGAGCATACTACCCAACAGATAGTTTTTCAGCCCTTAACCCCCTCCTTCTCTCTTTCCTCTAGTAGTCCACAGTGTCTATTGTTTCCATCTTTACATCCATGTGTACCCAATTTTCACCTTCCACTTATAAGTGAGAACATGATTTCCTTCTTTTTTATGGCTGTGTAGTATTCCATGGTATATATGCATCACATTTTCTTTATTCAATCCACTGTTGATGGGCACCTAGGTTGATTCCATGTCTTTGCTATTATGAATAGTGCTGCAATAAATATATAAATGCTTGTGGGGTTTTTTGGTAAAACGATTTATTTTCTTTTGGGTATATACACGGTAATTGGATTGCTGGGTCAAATGGTAGTTCTGTTTTAAGTTCTTTGAGAAATCTCCAAACTGCTTTCCCCAATGTCTGAACTAATTTATGTTCTCACCAGCAGTGTGTAAGCATTCTCTTTTTTCCACAGCATCATCAGCGTGTGTTATTTTTTGACTTTTTAATAGTAACCATTCTGACTGGTGTGAGATGGTATCTCATTGTGGTTTTGATTTGCAGTTCTCTGATGATTTGAATAAACAGGTTTTTTTCTTTTAACTAAAGCAGGAGATCACTTTTACATTTTATTTAGCTTCCGTGTTGTCTTCTGTGTAATGAATGTCTCTAATGTGAAGTAAAATTTTGTCATATGCTATAACTAAATATTTGCTGAATATGAAATTATTTTTGTCCAAATTATGTACTTATGTGTCTTACTGTTTTAAGTTAGCATTTAAAAATTAAACTATTTTCTTGCAGAGAAGAAGTACACATAGAATGAGAAAAGTGACACATTCAGAGTCAGGGTTTTAATTCTGGTTTTTCTATTTATTGATAACATGACTTTGAACAGGTCATTTTATTTGCCTAAGTGTCAGTTTTCTCATCTATAAAATAACAATTTCTAATTCCAAATAAGGTTTTGCAGATACTATGAACAATGTGTGCAATAATTTTTTTTAACTGGAGGTAACATACAATTTTTTTCTCAATGACCAATCGAAATAATATACAATATAGGTATCTTTTATTAACTTGGAATCATGGCTTCACATATATATTGATCCAGAAAAGACTTTTTAGACCATTAACTTTATCTCCCCTCTTGTAGCTCTTGAAAAAACTCAGCTATAGGGCAATGTAGAGACTTCTGAAAGTCAGACAACAAGAATAAATAGCTAAACAGTGGTCAAGAATTCAATGTTTTTAGATGAATTGGAAATGGCTGCAAAATACAGTATTTAAATGTTTCTATCTTACAGCTAAGCATGTCATGCAGTTCATAGGCTAACTGTAGAAAAGATTATTTTTATTAGACATCAAATACATCACCAGTAACTTTTCTGAGGCCATTATCAAAATAATTGTTTTTCTCACATTTTTACTGGCAAAGTTAAACAGAAAGTGTTTATCTGCATGCATTTTAGCCTAGTACTTGCTCTAAACTATACTCAGGTAAAGTAATTTGAAATATTGAAGCCATTCACAGTTGGCCTTTATATCAGTAGGAAACAAGATATGTATCATGTATTCACCACTAGTGTTTCTTGAGCTCCTAGTAGTGGAATAATAATAGCTAACATGTATCGTGCTTTTTGTGTGCCTGTTTTAAGTACTTTATATGTCATTTAAAGCTCACACTCACTCCACGAAATAGATGTTATCTTTAGCACTTATTTTGCTAATTAGGAGATAGAGACCCAGAAAATTTAAGTATATTGCCAACTCTTACAAGCACATTAAGAGGCCAAGTCCATGAATACAACTCTGGCCATTTTGCTCCTGAGCCTGTGCTCTTAACCACTTGATTTTGCTACTGGATGTTAAAAACTCTATGTTTGGGAGTGTGGATATTGCAGTGAGTGAAGCAGACAAGATGTCTGCCTTCATCAAAATAGATAACAATACAAAATGTAACTAAGTGCAGAATTATTGCTGTAGCAATAAGTTTTCAAAAAGGCAGTAATTCGATTTTTATAGTATGGTAATGGATGGCTTCACAATGAAAGTAGTGGATAAAAAAGTAGTGGATAAGTTTTTTCCCTAACCACTTATGACATATTTAATAAGCAGAATTTTAAGGCAAAACTTGCAGACAGAAAAGTAACCATGATAATTAAAGGATGGAAGAGTAAGGGTAGTTAAGTTTAGTTGGCATGATTGGTAAATAGACAATGCTTTTTCTCATGTCAAGGTCTATAAATTAGGACTGTATTAGTTCATGCCTTAGCCTCTAATAAAATTAAGCTGGGTTATTCTTCTAGCTAAATCTAGAAGTAGAAGACATCTGGTTATGGCAGTTTTAAATGCAAGCCTAAAATGTTTGTATTTGTCCTGAAAACAATAGGAAGTCACAGCTAGTTTTGAGCAGACACAACCAATTAAAATGATATTTGGAAACATGGATCTAACTGTGGTATGTATGAGGAAGAGAAGCAAGGTGGCCAATCAGAAACTATTGCAAAATGTGTGTTTGAAATAAAAACCACAGGTAAATATCAGGAGGAAAGATCACATGTGAAAAAAATGATAGCTGGATTATTTAGTTTGTGTAATTATAATTTCTTAGAATTAAATAAGAACATATTCTCATGCAAGTACTCCCAAATTTTTTGGTGTTATAATGTTTTCTGACCCACTTTTTTAGTCTGTTTCATTAATGAAATGGAGGTAAAACCATAAATGCACGTGAACGAGCTGAGGATGTGCATTTCCAAAAATCACTCCAAGGCATGTTGATGTTTCAGGAGTTAATATTCCTTATTTAAAAATTGATTACATACCCTTAATTCTTTTAACTAATGCCCATTTTGTCAATTTGCCAACAAATAAGAGAAAAATTTTGTTCTTTAATATATTTCGGCTCTCTAATAGCCAAGGTGCCTAAAAATAAATCATAGTATTGAACACAATGTGACTAACAAACTAATGAAATATAACTCACCAAGAAACTGAGATGTATACTGTTTTCTTTAGCAGTCAAGAGCTACAAAATAAAGGTCAAAGTGCTAATTATGCCTTTGATAGTTGCGAAGTGGAAAGAATTCTATACATATGTGAAGTATAGGTAACTGACAAACAGCTAAAGATCAGATATGAAATTGAATTTATTAGCAATATCTTTAATCTAAGTAATTGCACTTTGTGGCTGATTTGTGTGTGTGTGTATTTGTGTTTAGGTAAAATACAGTATAAAAAGAAAAATGAAGATGAATACTTAATGTTATTATCCGTATAGCTACTACTATTTAATAAAACCAGTTCATTTTCTACACAGGTATGACATCAAAGACGATTACACACTAAGAATTAAAAAGACCATGAGTACAGATGAAGGCACCTATATGTGTATTGCTGAGAATCGGGTTGGAAAAATGGAAGCCTCTGCTACACTCACCGTCCGAGGTAAGAGATTTAAGATGTCAAAGATAATTGAACCAGGAGACTAATATTTGGTTAAATTGGTAAGTGAACTTACGATCAAAATAATGAATTATGCTGTTTTGTTGTACTAAAATGCCTAGATTTTGTGTCCTCTCTATCATTAGTTGAAATAAAATTACTTTCAATATTTGGTTCCCAATGATGATAATTTAAAAAGATTAATTCTTATTTAATAAATTGCTTATATGGTTTAACGTTAATAGTTTATATGGCTTAAAAGTAAATCTTAAAAATAGAAAAGATCTATACTACTCTTTCATTTCCATTGCTTTCAACTACTTACTGCTTTTAAATGTCATCAGTTTCAAAAGTACTCTCATGCTTTCTGTTTACTAGTTTGTCACTTTATACTAGTAGCATACTGTTTTGAAGTCCTTTTTAATGTCAGCATTCAAAACAGCAATCTGAAAAAACTAGCAATGCTTCCAAAGGTGAAAATGAATACAGAGGAGCTCTCCAGCCTTGAGATAATCTGATTTAGAGACTGATTTGTGAAGTTCATTGGCCTTAAATAATTGAAATAGTCAGTGCTGCTCTTGTAATAACTTTCACTTTCTGGGTGTCATGCACTTCCTCAGTCATGGAATAATGTTCATTTATAGACTCCCTGGAATTGCTTATAAGTGAAAGAAAGCATTACTTAACTTCACAGTGCACTAGAATAAATTAACTGTCTTTTCAGTGGGACTTGTTGATCACGTGAGGGAAATTACATAGTTCAAGGTACCAAGTAGTACCAAGTAGACACTCACACTAATTCTTGAAACAGACATTAGCCATGGCATCATCTACACTCCTAGAAAATCAAACAAAGATAGGCAAGCACATCCTTTCTCCCACTGCTAACTGTGCCTCCTTCTCTCATCCTTCGTGATAAAGAGATTGGCTGCATGTTTTCATCCAAGTCTCAGTTACATCTTACCCCATTTAGTCATACCTCTGACCCTTGTGCAGCTTTGCTCCCAAAGAGATTCAGAAGGTTAGGAAAAAGGTTCGGAGAAGTTTGAAGTTGCAGGAAAGGTGTGAGGGATTCTCAGGTTAGTCCTTCGCGTGGTAAGAAAAAGGATTTTTACCAGGTTTATGATTTGGGCTTCAAATCATACAAAACTCAACTACCTCCAGGTTATTATTAGGAGACAGGCATTTTGGGTACCTGGAAAAATATTGGTGCTTTTCATACTACTCAATATTTCACCAAATCCATTTTTTCTTCTGTAGATATTCTAGTGTGAATTTAGATACAAAACATATTTAGACAAAATTGACAGCTAGTTGCATAAAAACATTTTCATTCTTCATTAGTTAACAGGTCATAAAGGACTATGATCATATATGAATTGAATATATATATATATATGGATTATGTAGGATGAAAATCTGATAACCTTTGTAAGCCAATGAACACACTTTATTTAACCCACACTCTACATGGATAACTTCATACATTTGTCATATGTTTGCTAGGCAGCTTTTTGCAAAAACAATTCACTAGACCAAATTATCCCCGAAGTTTTCTTTTTCTTTTTTTCTAAAGTAAATGGAAAATAATAATAAACAACCAACCAATAAATGCTCCATCCGAAAAATATTTGCTGACTAAACAAATGGTGAGAAAACGTGAGGAGTTGTTTGTTTGTAGAAGCAGCAGGGTTTCTTTTATACTTGAATGCTTGGATGAGTGAGACTTGAAGTGGTCTGTTTGCTTTAAGACCTTTCCCAGCTAATTGTTTTCATAATTTGCTGAAAGTTTCAGGCTTAACATTTCATTTAACAAAGCATGCTCCTCATGCGGGGATGTTTGAAGCTAACTTACAAAACTAATAGAGAGCATTGTTTGTTTTCAATAGTTTTTTTTTTCTTAAATCAGCAAACCTTAAATAGCCTCTCCCCTAATCTGTATACTGTAGATGGATTAGAGTGTTTATTCTTTGTGGTATGAATTTATCACCTCTCTAAGACTGAAACCTCAAAAACTGGGTTTAAAAAAATCTCCTTAATGCAATATAATGTAGAGTAAAATACTGTTTAAAAACATTTATTTTTTACCATTAGGAAAAGCATTTGGGTTTTCTCATGCTAAGAGATTAACAGGAAAAAAAAGACAACACTGTTATCTACGACTTATTTTTTTTTCTTTGCTAATTTTTCTATGCACATAAATGAAATGTGCAGCCTTTCTTTGGATCGTTTTATTAGAACAGGGTCAACTGACCCAAGAGGCCATGCCCATTTTCATCCATTTAATGCAGAGACACAGTTGTGTTTAATTTGCTGATTTTGAAAACATCCACCTGCTGTTTTTTTTTTTTTTTTTCAAGATGAAATGTTGCTAATGTAACAAGGACAAAAAAATGTATTGTGATGTTTCTGCTAAAATTTTATCATAACATTCACATTAGCCAATTGGGGAAAAGGTAAGAGAGTTTATTGTCAAAATTTGAAACAGATCTACTCAGTTATTTCCCATTTCAAAAATATGCTTTAAAAAAAAAAACTATAAATTGAGGCTGAACATCAAGAAGCTCCCTTTGCTGACTTGGCAAATGTAAAATTAGGAAGAAATAAAGCCAGTCAACAACAAACCTCCTAGCATTTTCATTCTAATCAATTAATTTATTATTAATAAAACTTTTTAAATGGCTTAAAAATGACAACACAAACTGCGTATTTGTAAGCACATTTTACCCATTTTTAATTTTTTAATTTGCTTTGCATAAAGATCTCATTGGAAAAATCATATTGTTTCTAGAGCATTAAAGCCTTAATTTTTTGGAATTATTCTATAATAAAATAAAATAGAAATACATTTTATTTGTTTAAAACATGATTTCTCACCACAGTTTCTTTTTTTTTTTTCTTTTGTCAATATCCTACACTCAAAACGCCTTTTTGTTTCTGAAGGAAACATTATGTTTTAAATTCACTTGAGATGGCAAGCTGAAAAGTAGCAAATTCAAAGATGAAAAACAAAGTTCTTTTTCTACTGGACATTTTGCAAAATTAAGAGAAACTCCATCTGTTAGAATAAGCCACAACTTCACATTATTAGTCTGTTATCTCTTTTTGATAGTCAATCTTGTATTCTGCCCCTCACTCCCCTGCAAAAAGAAAGAAATCGTGGTACATTGGGTAACTCACTCCTCTTTTCCTCTGGCTATAGCAAACACACCCTATATGTTAGGCCACATTAGGGTTCCACTAAACCAGGCTTTTCGTACCACTGCTACAATTGCCTTATTGCCTATGGTCTGAAGCTTCCCTGTTTTAATTGTGAATAATATTATAAGACCATGGCTCTCATAGAGATGGATTGCACAAAGCTAGTATTACGATGTATCTGTTAAGTGAATATGTGTAAATATGTTTTCAATGGCTGTTCCTATCTTGCCCGAAGAGCCATCATCAACACGAAACTATTGGTATGTTCCAGAGTCACATTACATATGCACTAGAGCTGTATCTACTAAGGTATGGGCGAAACACTGTTGAAGAAATTCTATTTTTAATGTCAGATTTCATGAAATTTCATATACTACTAAGCATATTGTTTCTTCATTTGGATAATGGGATCACATGTTTCACAATATTTGTCTATTGCTTTTGTATAAAATGGTTTACCGTCTAAATTGATAGCGTGTTATTCATTTTTAAAAAAGGATTATGAAGCCCATGTGTATCTCTTACAATTTATTTGCATTAATAACAGGGGCAGCCTATTACCACTGATTTTAGTGATTGAAAGTTATGGTATAATAAAAAAATGATAATTTGTTGAAGCAGCAGTTTGAAAGCCGTTCTCAGTGTGAACAGGAATCAACTTGTCAGTCATTGTTTCCTGCCCTCTGCCAGAAGAAGAAAAAAGCTTAACAGTAGTTAGGGAGCTACTGAGTTGAAATCTCTAAGGATGTTCCAACCTATCTGTTATATTTTCATCCACCCTGTCCATGGATGAAAAGTGATGTAATCTCAACTTATTACTGACTGAAAAGCAGCGTCAGGGGCTTTTCTGCAGTCCTTGTAATGGTTCTGACTAACCATGCTTAAAATCCAATTGCTATTTAAATCAGACAGCGAGGCCTTCTTTTATTGACATGACATTTGCTAGTCTGTGACTTGAATAGTTATATTCATCAGGTTTTTAACTTTGGGGTAACACAAGACTGTTTAACTCAAGATCTTTGAAATAATAACTGCAGTAAGTGATGATGATAAGACTTTACCTAAAATATCTCTCAAATTGCTTACAGTCAGTTCTCAAAGTAATTATTTTCCTAGAATTATATTTATAACTCTCAACTTTATCAGACTCAGACATCTTGGTCATACTTGAATTGTGAGACTAGAAATCACTCTATTGTCCATACTTAAATGTAACATTACACATCATGCATTCTGATAATTTTTCTTTCTTTTTTTTAATTTCTTTTTTATGTTCTCACCACACCATTGTAATGTCTACAGCTCGCCCTGTTGGTAAGTAGCCATCCTTCTATCCACTAAGCATGGCTTTGCACAGTGCTTCATAACTCATGCATAGTAAGATTTGACAGAATGAAATATATTTATTTTACCCATGTTAAAATAATACTTGAGACTGTATGCTGTAAAAGTTGCTCATGTTTTTTTTACTCACTTTGATAAACAATTTTGTAGTGACTTTTGCTACATAGCAATAAGTAGGTAACAATTTTTATGTAAGAGAATAAATGAATGATAAATGTTTATGAACTGCTAGCTTTTCTTATAGGAGAAAAATATATTGTATTAGGATACAATAAGAAAGCATTGCTCTCCTTTTTTGTATGTATAAAATAATCAATTATTAGTTATGTTTGATGTTAAGAAAAAAGTTATGAACTAAATTAAAAAATTCTACGACTTTCCACACTTCTTTTAAGTTACTCCGAGTCCCAGTATTTTAGGGATATTTTTAGCTGCTGCATATTTATTGCCTGCATGCCTATTTAAACAAAATTAAGTAAAATGTTTTAAGTAGATGCTTACCCTAAGTGGGGGAGGGATAGTGGAGCTGTGTTCTTTGGCATGAAATCTGAGTGTTTGTGGTTTTAATATATCTTATTTTTCATTTGGCTTTGTGAAATCTAAGTAAGTTAACAGCTTGCTTTTGCAGATATTTAAGTGGTAATTATTTGTAAACATTTGGAAGATAAAATTTTTCAATTCATTGACTTAGTAAGCTTTCTGCATCTCTTTTAAGCTTAAGTTTAATTCACCAATAACTATGTTTAAATAAATTTTGGTAATTGTGTTACATGTAAATGAATAGATGGATGCATAAATGGATGGATGAAAGAGTGACCAAATTTAGTACACTGCTTCTTTAATATAACAAAAAGGTACTTTAATAACAACTTATTCAATTTTGAGGGCTTTATAAATTGTCCATCTAGCTTCAAAAGCTTCCTTCATGTACCAGCTTGACATCATTGACACCTGATATATATGTTGGTTCAGACTCACACATTTTTCCCCCTTCGGTTGAAAGAGTCATGGACTTTGTTGCTAGACAGTATGTTTTTACATTGTCAGCAAACACGGTAAATATACTTTGGTTTCCCAATCTGACTTTCTGATCTGGTGTTTCTGAGCAATACTCCCTTTTGATTAGTAATTTAATATCCCTTATCCTCAGTGACCTCCTCTATAAAATGGAGAGAATAATACTGACTTATCAAAGCTGTTGCAGGAGGGGACTGAGTTTAAGATTGATTTTATATGTGAAAGGCATTCTGTATGCCAATGTTGGTAGCTATCGTATGCCTAGTTTCTGAGGCATGACTTCACATTTCAATATTTTTTAAATAAAGCTATGGTTCACAATTAATTGAAACATAAACTGCAGGGTGTTTTTTGAAACTGATGAAATCAATTGTGGTTTGTACAATTGATGTTTGAAAATTGAAGAATATATTGTAATAATTTTTAAGCCTTATTTTCTTGTATTTGTAGGGATTCCTGTTAATGATAATTTTATGTATCTTTTGAATGACACACAAAATTAAGAAAAGAATGAGAAAGAATAAGATGATGCAGCAACAGACAAAGAAAGAGCTGATGGTAGAATACATGACCACTCTCAGATTTCTTTTTCTCAACATCTGTGAGCTAGTTTTCAGGTTCAGAAATTCACTCATTTATGTGTCAAATAAGAAAGCATGTTATTACATATAATAAAATAAAATAAGTGGAAAGATTTATATATAAATTATATACAACAATGATATAGATTATATATAAAATAAAATATATGAAGTGGAAAGATTGAGAACGATCTGACACTTTTTCAGATGACTATGGAATACAAAAACTTTGCAACCTTATTTAGAAGTTTTTTAAAGATATTAAGCATTACAGTATTTATAGGAGATATGAAAATAGATGAATGATTGAAAACATTTCTCAATAGAAAGGATGACAGTAGGTGTTAAAAAATACAGGTTGGTTTTGCATCGGCAGCAGTTGTACTTATAAGCTAATGACTTTTCAAATGAAAAGGAAAAATCACCATTTAAAGTACAGATCTTTGTACACAGAAACCTCATGCCAATATACCATGAGCACTTGATTTATGTTATAGAATAGTATGTTAATAATTTCCAATATATTTAAAATCTTTAAATGTAGGAAAAAGTACATTGATTTGAAAATGTGATATACACAGAGTATTGAGATGTATCTGTCATCTGCAAGATGTTTCCAAAGTTATTTCCATTTTTTATTCCCGTTTGAAATGATTTCTTAAATTCCCATTGGACTGGAACTAAAGAATAGCTTCTTGACACATTGTACTTTATTCTGGGGAAGTCTGTCATTTCATAAATCTATCTCAAATGACTTATGACAATGTTCAGAAATATAAAGAACTATACTTTAAACTTGACAACTACTATTAATTTTAAAAACTGAATGTTGGATATGTTTTAATTGGATTTCCAAAGAAGACACATAATAAGGCAATTAGCCTCATTTTTTTTGTATCTACTTCTTACATCAATTTTAATTCAAGAACATAGATATCTGAACATTTATTGTATGGTCAAAAAGTATAAGCCAAGTAAAATAATGATTACATATTAAAATCATAGAAAAACTACATTATTATTTATATTTGTTAATGCACTAAAAAGCACATTTTTCAACTTTGCAGCTCTTAGCAATAGCATAAAGGGCATTCTGCAAGGTAGAGGCCACAGAAAGGGGAGAAAAAAACAGCTTGTAGTTCCAATATAAATTAGATGAAGAAATATGTACCAAGCATATAACGTTTAGAGAAATTTCAGATCATAGTTTCTGCCTAGAGCTTTTGAATGAAAATTAGCAATCATTGCAGATTCTGGAATACTTAGAGATTCAGAAACCCTCACTACATTACTCACTGGATGAAACTTCTTGATGGTCTGTGTAGAAAGCCCCCTTTAGAAATCATTACAAACCCCCAAACTGAGAATTTTGTCTAAATGGATGACTCTTGTGCGATGCATTTGTGTTAAAGAATTTGCAACTCCTTGCAGTCACAGTTGGAATAAACACCTCTGGCCTGTATTCAGAGTTTTCCTCTAGGTGAACTTAGAGGATGCTCTAGTGTGGGAGGTATTACTGAAAGCGGACGTTCATATACTTGCCAACAGAGGAAAGTGTTTTACAGATTTCACTTGCTCATCTGCAGTGTCACCAGTGGGTCAGAAAGAGCTCTTTAATCTAACGTTCATATTTGCTGGTTGCCACAAAATCTAGGCAACTATCACTTTAATAATTAAAAATCCACAAGCCCTTCCTGTGGTTTTGACGTTTTACTATTCCAAAGGCATTCTTTATATGAAAAGAAAAGTACATCGTAGGATGTAGTTAACTATGAATGCTGAAATATTCATTTGTTTATTTGGAAAACTCTTCTGATGAGGAAACTGACAGAAGAAAATGGTCTAAATTGGGAAAAATATCTTGCTTCCTATACCCATCTGTCTTATTTTTCTATTGGAAGCCTCTCCCAAGCCTAAAAATAAAAAAAGAACATCTATTTTGGAGATGGGCACCACATTTTTTCCCAGCAGCAACTCAAAACATGATGAGTAATTTGGAAAGGAACTGTGGAATCTACCAGATGCCTTGCTTACGAAGCCGTCCTGTTCCGTTTGGTGACTTGTATACCATATGCTAGATGCTGATTGCCTGGAGTATAAAACTGAAAGCTGAGTACTTCACGTGAAACTTGTTTAAAATATCAAAAAACAAACTGACAATTCACAACTTGATGGAAACTTCTAAGTATTTTCTAACTTAGTGACCCAAAAGTATGCTTCCTTTTGATGGAAGAATGTAATTGGCCACACAAGAATTTAGAAGTAATAAGAAGTACACATGCTTTTTGGCAAAATTCACCATTTAAAAATTATTTTTTAAAATAAGCAGCCACTACTCTAAACAGAAATCTACAGGGACATTTTTTTTTTAATGTTTCAACTGCTTAACCACAGTAATTAAATATACTATTTTAGAAAGTTCTGTTTTATGAGTCGAAGCAAAGTTTTGTTAAAGCATGTTTGAAAGCAGTCTATTCTGAGGCCACCAAGAAGTCCAAAAAAAAAAATGGTTTGTGATTGAAAAATTCATTCAGCATGAATTATAAATCTGACATTACTTGAAGAATAATGTAACAAATATTTTGATACCCCCATCTCCCACCCCAACTTGAAATTTGGAAAATATAATGTGCTGTACATAATTGGATATTGGAAAATCACAGTTTTTTAAAATAAGAAAACTTAAAGGTATTATGTATGAACCTTTTCATGTTTGGATGCACTTTTTGCAAAAGATGTTCTAAGTGTACCTTGAAAGGAGACCTAGAATTTTGTTTCTTGCATCCCTTTTCTTTGGACAAGCTGTTACCCCATGACCTGAGGTAATCATCTCCCTCCTGAGAGCTCTTAATGTTTCCTGCACCTGGCACTAATTAGCTACTTTATGCAGAGTCCCATTTACTTATTATTAAGCATCAGGTTTTCCGTTGCTCCATATGTTTTGATTAAATGGTAAGTTTAAAAAAGGCATTCTGTTTTATCTTCTATATTCCAACTGAGTTTCCATAATGTGAAACGTTTAAAATATCTTAAGCTAATGTTCATTTCTAAAGTGAAACACAAGCGCGGGTTACTTCTCAGGCTGAGCTGGTTCTAGCCTTGTGTACTTGGCAATGTCTGTCCATTGAACAGGAGGAGAGGCTGGGTCTTAAATTACTCTCACACTTCTTTCTTTTTTTTTCCTCTCAGAACTTGGTAAAAATGTCCTATTGTCTTGGTATTGAATGGTATTATAGTGTAGTCTGAAACTTAACAAAAAATATATTTTTTTCTTGGCTGGGATTTTCTTTTACCATATGAATATGCATGTAGTCCTTTCTTTCAAGTAACTTTGCTCAGTTATATCTTGGTAATGATCATCCTGTAGGTAATATTTCTAGGACGCAACAAGCCACTTGAATCTGCCAGTTCTATGCTTTAACTTGCTTTATTTCAATAACCTTTTCTTCTGTTTTATCTTTGAATTTTTTTTCTGTTTTACTTTCTCATTTCTTCAAATTATATTTCTTCTTAGTTATATTGGCTTTCCTTAGTCTCAATTTCACATTTATCAACTTCTCTATAATAATTTCAATCATTTTTATTTCATATTGTATGATTTCTCAATGACAATATACCGCGTCTCTAACTTTTAAAATTGCAATCATTATATATTTCTTATTTCTAAAATATATTCTAATTTTTTTGTTTTTTGTTATTTTCTTGTTAAGCTCTAATATAAAATTCTTTATCTTTACTTGTCTTTTAGCCTTTGTAACCCTTTTTTCGTTTTTAAAAGAGAGATTTCATTGTATATAATTTCATTTAGACGATGCCTAAGTTATTTGTTTTAAATTGTTTCTGTGTTTCTTTGAGTAATTCTTGGAAGACACAGGTTC
Organism: Homo sapiens; assembly: GCF_000001405.40. Lineage (NCBI taxonomy): Eukaryota > Metazoa > Chordata > Mammalia > Primates > Hominidae > Homo > Homo sapiens. The sequence continues at coordinate 77,532,921 of NC_000003.12, forward strand.
TTTATCTCTCTTTAATTAATTATGTTCATTTTCTGTCATGAATTAAATAAGTAATTGGTTAATATACAGGTTTTTGTTAAATTTCGTTTTGCATAGATTTTGTTTTGGTTCCTATCTGATTATTCATTTTCTGGTTAGCTCTGAAGACTAGAGTTTGCATATTTGGAGAAGAGAAAATGTGAAGTAGCAGGGTAATTCAATAACCCTTATTTAGAATGTTGTTTTCAATATCTTACTAAAAACATACTATGTTCTTCTCAGTATTGTACTAGGCCTGGTGATACAGAATCACCCTTTTTAAGTTATGAGGGGTGTGCATTTTCCTATAAGACTCTCTCCTCATCCTCCTTTATACTCCCTGCTTCATAATAAGGATGGTTTTCAGGTGTGTCAGTTTTCTATTGTTGCATAAAAATGACCACACAATGAGCAATTTAAAACAATGTCATTCTATAGGTCCCAAATGCAGGCAGTCTCAACAGTGTTTTCTCCTAAGGGTTTCACAGACCAAAATCAAGATATTGGCCAGGTTGCACTCTCCTCCGGAGACTGTCCAGAGGAATCCACTTCAAAGTTCCTTGGGGTGTTTTTCGGAATCTGGTTCCTTGTGGTTGTAGGACTGAAGTTCCCATTTCCTTGGCTGTTGGACAGGGTGACTCACTGTGTTAAGTGGCTGCTCTTCAGCCTTCGCACATTGCTGCCACCACAACCTTCATAGCCAGCGGGGGCACCCTGAATTCCTCATGTGCTTTGCTTTGTAGCTCTCCGAGGCCTCTTTCTGATTTAAAGATCCAGAGTATTAAGTAAGGCGCAGCTGATGAATCAACCCATTCTGAGGTCAACTGATTAGTAACCTTAAGTATATCTCAAAATATTTTTTGTAACCTAATATAATCATGAAAGTATTTCCAGGAAGGGCAAGCCTGAGGTCATGGGGCCTCAGAATGCTGCCAACTACAGTAGGCTTTTTTTTTTTCTTTCTGTCAATACTTCTTTCTCCGCCTTCTGAATTTTAGCTTATTTTCTACAGTTATGTCTCATATTTCCCATGTCTCACTCTTGACTTTAAGTATCATTTTTCCCATAAAAGGATCATGGGATGGGCTCTCACAATGATGTTAGATAATTTTTGTGCAACTGGTATTGATAAAGGATTAAGGCTAGTTATGTTGGTGTCCAGTGTGCATCCTCAGCTTTCTTCAAACTTTGCTGCATTTGGCAGGGGTACTTCATAATTTGTGGTTTTGGGGCTATAGTAGTTTTTTCTTATTATTCATTTCTTTTGTTGTACTCAATACAGGAAAGTGAAGCCTTTACTCAATTATCTTAACCTAAACAGCAAAAAGTTTGAATAATCATTATTTTTGGAGCCTATTCAAATAAGAATAAAATAAATATTAAGTATTTCTAATTAGTACTTAAAATTAAAGTACTATAAATATTAAATATCAGAATAATATAAATACTTAGGCCCAAAACGGTATGAGGAGATTAGTATTAAGAAGTTTCACTGGCTGTGTCCAGAAAAAAATCACATTAACTTTGAATTATGTATTCGAAGAAAGTCAGAATTTTCATAAGTTGCTGCACTTTGTAGACAGGGATGTCATGATACATATACTGTAAAATATATCTTATGATGTGTGTTACACCTACATATGCATGATATTTGAATTGCTACACTATTTGCTTAAACATATTAAATGTCACTCAAGGGAATAGTACATAATTAGATTTATTAAAAATATATAAACTAGCAAACTATATTACATTTTTATTTCAAATATATCTGAATGCCTTTTAAAATCTCACTTATGGCAAGTATTGCTTTCCAGATTTACTGAGGTTATTATTTTCATCTCCCCTACAAAACTGTTAGCTCTTTGTCAGTAAATACATTGTTATATTTATCTTTCTGCTGCCTCTAGGTCTAGCATAACACTTACATGTGGTGGGGGCACACAAATGTTGGTGCAGTTAATTGATACACGCATATGCATACATAGGTAGTACTTGCCTAGAAAATGTTTATGCAAGCAGCTTTAAATAGTGCTATAAAAAGATTAAGCAACATTAATGGTAACAGGCCAATCACATATTCCCCATTCTGCTGGTAGCAGATAAAATACAACAAAAAGAAGGCACTAATGAGCTAGGATGGTGACTTACTAAGCGTGTAATTAATGTTATTAAGAAACATTGCAGTTGCATATTAAAATTCCGTTAACTAAGCAACCCTTCAGCATCAGTACATTTGTTCCTTGGTTTCAAGTTTTTCTTTTTCTTTTTCTTTTTTTTTTTTTCTGATTGGCATCTTCATGCAATCTTTCTCTAAAAAATGAGATAATGGGATGTGATCAGCCCTCGTGGTTTAGCTGGAGTGCTGACATGACAGTTCTGGCAAGTTGACAGGTTAAGTGAGTGAAAATGGATGTCTTGTCTCACCATTTACTTGAAGAGCCATTTTAAGCTATAGTTTCCCTCTCTTTACTCCCACACTTACAACTCCTTCTATCCCAGGTATGAGAAGTCAAGTTTTCCCAATTTAGGAATTTAGGATCTTGAAAGAAGTTTTTCACCACTTTAAACTAGTCTTCTTCTGCTGGTCAAAAATGAGATCATTTCTTTACAAACAAAGAGTTAATTTCTCTAATAATGAATTCGTTTTTAAGTTAATAGCACTTTTTATTTCATATTAAGAGTCCCTTAAAGAAAACAAAATTTTATTGTTTTATTTTTAGTATTTTAATTATAAAGGCAGGTAGAAAAGCAAAGCTACAAACGCACTGGTAAAGTACAGAATAATATGGGACAATGGAATTTAAAAGTTCAGAACTTGTTTAATATTTTGACAGATTTTCCTAGGGATCTCTCAATTTATACCTATGTATAATTTAAAAGTTCTGTGAAACTTGCATGGCGAATCTCATAATGATTTCCACAGTTACATGATTTCCTATAGTTACCTATAATTAAGGAAATCTATTTTAGTAATCTGAAATATAATAAAGTTTAAAATTACCTGCAAATGTACCCACCTTATTTACAGTGTGAGTAAACTATTACTATTGATTGCAATGTAGAAATATTTAATATGATTATAGGATTAGAGTGGACTTGCTAAACCCAGTAAAGACCATTTAGATGAAAAAATACATGGTTCCACCCCTACAATCCCTCAGTTTAATTTCTGCCTGGCAAACTCGAACTATGAGCAAGTTCATAGTCGAACTATATTACTTGCCGGAGGCCTTCAAATACCTAAACTGACTCAAGGAGCACACCCATCTAGACTGCCACAGGCCACAAAGAAGCAGGTGGGGGGAATGTGCCTTAAAGCAGTCTGCAAAATTCCTGTCTCTAACATACTGCCTTTGTTTTCCCCTCTGGGAGGAGCACTCTCCCACCCTTCCTTCCTTTCCAACTTAATCTAAAAGAACAAATCAAATTTGTTTCTCTCTCTCTTTCCCTCTCTCTCTTCTTTTCTCTCTCCTTCTTTTCTTCTCCCTCTCTCCCTCCATCTCTTTCCTCTTTTTCTTCCTCTCTCTCTTTCTCTCTCTATGGTTTCTCCAGCTGTAGAAGGCCAACTGAGTCAAGTTACTCTTTTGCTTAGTATGTATTGTATTACAACCTTCATTGTATTGTAACATGTCACAACACAATTGTAAAATGTGTTGTAACATGCTTGATTGTTTCCAGGAATGTCTCTTGTGGTAGGAGGTGACTTCCACAGGACAGAGATCTTAGTACCCTCTGACAGAAAAGAAAACCACTAATGTTGTTTAAAAAAATAATTGGATAGTATTATGAATTGAATTGCCATGCAACATCTGAATTCATTTTTGTAGAAATTTATTACTGTGGTACGTTCCAGTAATATTTTGCCTTCAAAAACAAAAATATAAGTGTGAAGGCACTGGCCCAAGTATAAAATGGCTATGTGCTTATAGCTGTTCATTACAACACTGTTTTTATGTGCCTGCTTATGAGATCTAAAAATGCAAGACATTTTGAACTGAGTTAACTCTTTTCAGAAGCATTCTTTCCATTCTAGATTATTGTAGAATTATTTCATTTTGATATTTACATTGTGGCATTTCAGGCAGGAGCACATTATGTGTGACTCTAAGTGAAAGCAAATGGTTTGAACCACTTTCATAAAACATATACATATTTTGTGGGGGGGGGGTGTATTACACTTACCAAAATAAATCCAATGCCTCCTTGGAATTGCCTTTACAGTTGCAACACATGGCAATTCAGAAGCCACTTCTGTTATTTTGTCGTCATACTATGTAATTATTGGCTGACTTCACTGCCTTTTTAAGTAATCAGATTTTGAATAATTGAGAGTTTTTTTTGTGGGGAGGAGGTTCTGATATTATATGAACCCTCCAAAATTAATCTCACCATCAACAAATTCCAAGACTGTTTCTAAACTGTAAAGAGTAATAGCTGCATAATAGTAACATGTTTTGCTCATACAATGAATGAATGTAATTTGTATGTATATGTGAGACCTCTCATGGGTGTAGAGTAGAATATGAAGTCTAAATAGATGAGGAATCTAAGGATTATGACTCATGGTAGTCATTCTATTCTCTTTGATTATTTTTTCATATTTATGAGAGCAATATATCATTTAGTGCTTTTCCTTTTCATTTTGACATTGAAGAAGCACATACATATATATGCTTATTGTTGAAAGAAAAGGTATTATTGTATTAGTCTGTTCTCATGATACTAATAAGGACATACCCAAGGCTGGGTAATGTATAAGGAAAAGAGGTTTAATCGACTCATAGCTCCACATGGCTGGGGAGGCCTCACAATCATGGCAGAAGAGCAAGGAACATCTTAAATGGTGGTGGCAAGAGAGCCCTTTGTGGGGGAACTCTCCTTTATAAAACCATCAGATCTTGTGAGACTTATTCAGTATCACAAGAACAGCAGGGTAAAGACCCTGCCCCGTGATTCAATTACCTCCCACCGGGTCCCTCCCAAGACCCGTGGGAATTGTGGGAGGTACAGTTCAAGATGAGATTTGGGTGGGGACACAGCCAAACCATATCAGGTATAGACATTGGTATTTTACTATGGAATAAGGATTTTTATTATTAGCTACAAGGAAGTAGCTGGTGGCAAAGAAAGTGTATCACTCATCTAAAGGATTTATTGCCATGGACTCAATAAAAAACAAAAAAAATAGTTAATTAGAAAGGTAGGTAATTTAGCAATTTGATCATTTACTTTTTTTTTTTTTTTTTTTTTTTTTTGAGACGGAGTCTCTGTCTGTCACCCAGGCTGGAGTGCAGTGGTGCGATCTCGGCTCACTGCAAGCTCCGCCTCCCGGGTTCACGCCATTCTCCTGCCTCAGCCTCCCGAGTAGCTGGGACTACAGTCGCCGCCACGACGCCCAGATAATTTTTTGTATTTTTAGTAGAGACGGGGTTTCACTGTGTTAGCCAGGATGGTCTCGATCTCCTGACCTCATGATCTGCCCGCCTTGGTCTCCCAAAGTGCTGGGATTACAGGCGTGAGCCACCACGCCTGGCCAATCATTTACATTTCTTGGAAATAGTGACAAATGAGTAAAATGTGATTAAGTAGTCTCTATAAAAGTGATTATTTTAAATCCTATATTTCTAATTTATATTTTCTATTATAAATACATTGCTTCCTCTGAGATGAATTATGTGTTAATAAGCTTCAAATCCAACATTTCCATGGCAGTGTGTATGCATTTCCAATATTATTAACAGAAAATCTTTTGAAATCAAATGAAGCATTACATAGTAAAAATTAAATAAAATTAAATAAGTTGAAGAAACAATCACGTATCAATTAGAACCCAAACTGAGTTGAATATAAATTGAGTAAACATTTATCTCTTACTACTGGTCTATAATTGCATTGCAAAGAAACGATTTCTCACTCTCTGTTTCTTGTTGGTGGAGGCAAGCCTATTAACTAATTTTTGCAGAAACTTTTTAATTTTTTTTCTTCTTTTTAGAGACGGAGGCTTGCTCTGTCGCCCAGGCTGGAGAGCAGTGGCACAACAATCTCGGCTCACTGCAAGCTCCGCCTCCCGGGTTCAAGCAATTCTCCTGCCTCAGCCTCCTGAGGAGCCGGGATTACAGGCGCACCCTGCCACGCCCAGCTAATTTGTTTTGTATTTTAGTGGAGACGAGGTTTCACCATGTTGCCCAGGCTGATCTCAAACTCCAGAGCTCAGACAATCCACCCGCCTCGGCCTCCCAAAGTGGTAGAATTACAGGAGTGAGCCACCGCCCCCCGGCCTTTTGCAGGAACTTTTAAAACCCATTGTTACACAATGTCTTTATTTGTCTGTAGTGCTTTTGTTACTCTGGAATGTTGGCTACTCATTTATAGGCTTTGGGTCATACATTTTCAACGTTGTGTAGCAGCACTCTCTACAAAAGGGCGTATCAGAATCGGTTAGATTTGTATTCAGGTAACATACTTGAAACAACACATATCAGAATCGATTAGTTTTTTTTCAAATCACATATATATTGTTTTCAAACACTATATTTACTACTGCAATAGTAAGTCACTGTCACTGGTGGGTATGTGTATAGGTATAATGGAATAGGTATAATAATGCAGATATATTATTCCTTAGGTATAATGAGATGGAAAAAATATTGAGTATTTGCTTTAGATCAAGAATTCTGTTCTTTTTAAAATGTACTATTCCGAGGCATTCATTTAGTGTTCACTGTTTTGGGCTTTTCTAGGTGAAAAAAATATACCATTTATATGCTAAATTGTAGACAGCACCCCATACCAGTAAAATCTTCAAACTGAACTAAGGAAGTCAGACATATAGGCTGGGGAAAAATAGAGAAGGCAATGCAAGCAAGAGCAAGTACCTTAAATTGGAAAGAACACAAGACAAGCACAAGGTCAGAGATTGTTCAGGTTAATCATTGTTGACAAAGAGGACCAAAGGATAATTGATATCGGGGTGGGTTAACCACAAGACCAAGCAAATACTAGTGATTGAAAGTAGACTGCTCTGCTGAAATGCTGGAGCTAGTTTGGGGACAAATGAGTGTCAGGATTGGAAAATCTTAGATCAGCTGATGGAAGCCAGAATGCTACACGGAGAAGAATAATTTGCAAGCATTGCTATGGTAAGTATTGTAGGTTTCACTGTGATGCGATGAAAAGCACTATAGGTTTATGAATAAAGAGTGACTTGAAGGAAGTGTGCTTAAGAAAGGTTATACTTACAGGTAGTATAGAAAGAGAAAAGTAATGGGTTTTATGCTACCCTAATAATAAAAACAATCATTCAGAAGAAACGTAATGTTATTATTTTGCAAATCTTTGTAGCATATTGGAAATAATAGCGTTAAAGTTCTATCATTCTTCTTCGTATTAGATATGACAAATTTTTAGTTAATCAGATCTTGGTTCGAACGGAACCAAATGAATCTGGCATCTCAGTGTTTAAGAGTTCCTACTGTGGCATTCGAATAAGCCAGAAGTCAAACCTGTCCTCCAATCTAATTTAACTAAGAAAGCTGTATTTCTTGCATGTTGTCACTTATAAGTGGAAGCTGAACAATGTGAACACATAGGCACAGGGAGGGGAACAATACACACTGGGGCCAGTCGGGGGCAGTGGGGGCGCGCAGGGGGAGGGAGAGCATCAGGAAAAAGAGCTAACGCATGCTGCGGTTAATACCTAGGTGAGGGGTTGGTAGGTGCAGCAGTTCATCATGGCACACATTTACCTATGTAACAAACCCGCACATCCTGCACATGCACAGGGGAACTTAATAAACCAAAATAAATTAATAAAGCTGTGTTACTCATGCCCTGAGTAAGATTCAGTTTACTGGTTTTACATCATTATGATAGTAGTTGAAACATAAGGCTTTTCAAATATTAATTGAGATAATGCCTGTGGAGGGTTTAACACAAACCCTAGCACATAATAAGCTCTCAATGAATGTTAATTATTGCCATTCTACTAAACAGTTTGTGACTAAGTGAAATTTTAACTCAAGCATATGAAGGAAGAGAATGCTTCTTAAATATGCTTATAGAATATGTTAGTATTTAACAAGTAAATATATGAAATAGCAAAAAAAATTCTACTTGAGTTTGTCAAAAAATTCGAAATGGCAATTATAGAATTAAAAGTTTATTCATTCAGGCATAAAATTATATCCAAAGAAAAAGAGTGGCTGAGCATGACTGTATTCACCCTGTGCCACATATGAATGTACGTAGCTGTTGCATGACTCTCTCCATGCTAATGCCTGCCATAGGAAGTCATATTTTCCTGTTAAAACAACTCTGAACATGATGTGATTAACCTTTAGAGTCCCCCATCCCCTCATCTCAAAGCCCAACTCATGCACGGCCTGTGCTTCCTACTCATGTTCAGCCATCTGATTTCCATGTCACCCACTCACTCTCACCAGCAGGCATTAGCATAACAGAGCTGCAGCGTGACTTTGATTGAAGCCAGCTTGGGCTGAATGCAGTATCAAAGCATCATTTAGCAGAAATCAAATCTAATTTACTGTGCATTGTATTTAAATTCTCAAAACACAGTTTCAAGTGAACTGTCCCAGACCTCTAATCTTAATTGACCTTTTTATATTTGGGTCTACTTCTCTGGAAATCACACAACATACTTTCCTTATAGAGCTATTGTTTTTCAGCTTGTAAGTGTTGATTAAACACTAAATTGTGTCATTCTGTTTGCTTCGTCTCATTTCTAGTTATAGCTGAAGCAATAAGGTATAATCACGTGACAGATTAAGCAAGTAGGATATTACATCATAGTTAACAAAAGATTTTTCCAATGCTTTCAGGTTTTAGACAGAATATAAGTATATATTTTATAGTCTTCTGTCTCAGAGACATATAGGAGAATTGCCATTTTTATAACAGGCATATTCTTCTGGAGTTTATAACTCAATCTCTTTAATTCACATTGGGTTTAAGCATGTGTTTGGAATTGTCGTCTTGAGGACCTAGTAGTTTTTTTTTTAATACTTAATGGGAGTCATTATAGAAAATCTATTTTATGTATAGCACACTTTGTGCTATTGTGCTGTGTTGATAAAATGCCACATCTGTCTACTCCCTCTCTTTGGTGCCATCAGCCAAATACTGTCTTTTCAGACCATTTTCACTGCCACCTGGCAGAGACACTGAAACTGTGGAGGGTTATTAGAAGAATTATTGATGCAGTTTTTCATTTAAAACCTCAAAAATAAATTCCTTCAGCTGATATCCCTTCACAGAAGATTGCAATATAGATCTAGGGCAGACAGAGAGTCTACAAAAGTAAAAGTGATTGATGCAATTTGTTTCTTTGGTCCACCTTCAGGTGATAATAGGAAAGGATGTGTATTTTCACAGACTTGAATACTCTTCAAATTTTTTGCTTTGATAAATGTTTCCATTTTTTCATTTTTTAAAATTAAAATATGATTAGATGATTTTAGTTCCAGCAAGATCAATGTGGCATAAGTTCTGGTGACAATAGTCTATTGAATGCATTTGAAATACAACACATTTCCGACTTGGAGTAAATGTACAATATACATAAACATCACGTGATAATATATTTTATAGGATAAATAACAGATGCTGACAGTTTTTTGTTAGTGGTCTTTAAAATAATCCAGTATTGGGTAAAAGTTCCAGAAATTATAATTTCCTGTCCTTTTTAGATTATACCATCAGTGGTAAATATTATGTTTTGATTTTGCAGAATTTCTTTGTCCTTTAAAAGCCCTGATGAAATGGTATCTTTAGGTGCTACTAAAAATAAAAATTCTCAACTGGATTCTCTGCCCCAACTTGTGAAGATTTGCCAGCTCTTTGTCTTTGCTCTTTCTCTAATCCTCATCTACATTGCTTCTAAAGCACCCTTTCCAAAATATAAATCTGATTATATCTTTCTTACAAAAATGTCTTTGAACAGATCTTTAGAGTTTTCAGAATGAAATGTTACACTTGTTTAGCAGAAATCATCTGTCCCTATCTATATGACCACTGTGACCTAGATTTCTTTTATTCTCAGAATCTTTTACATGCCCCTAAAAATCCAGTTCAGTGGGTCTCTGCCTTATGTGCTGCTTCTCTTTGTCCCAAGTCACCTTACCACTCTTCGCCTAGTCAGCTCTTAGTTGTCCTCCAAAGTACAGCTCTAATGTAGCCATGCCCTAGCAGCTTTTCTCTTTTTTTTTCTCACAACATGGCCTGATTGGTTCTGTTCCACTCTTTCTCCCCCAGTGCCATCTGCATTTTTTCTGTTTTCATTGAAAAAAATCACATTTTGCTGTTTTTGTGTATTTATTTATATATTTACTTGTAAGCCTCTGCCACAGGGCAAGAACAATTTTATTTGGCTTCCCATCTCCTGTACCAACCAGAATGTATCATCATTTTTCGTCAATCAGTACATTTTGTGTGAATAAATGGATGAATTATGTCTTTTCAGAAAAGTGGATGCATAGATGCGGTCATTTGCCAGTCCTTATTTTGAGGACTATATTTTAGCAGTGGTGTTAAAATCGTATTATCTGGATGCCAAAAGCATTTTGCAAAATCACTCATCTACAAAAAAAATGTTTCAAAAGTTTGAAAATTAAATTCTTGGAAGTCTGTACTTCTAAAGTACACATGGTAATTTTAGTGATAGAGATTTGTAATTTTACTGGATAGATGAAGAATAATATGCTTAAAACTATGAAATACATAAATATATGTTGATATTTCATTGATTTCATTTGATGATTTCAATCACGTTTATTCTCAGTTAATATATTTTAAAAGTTTGTAAAGAAGGACTGTATAGAGTATCCAGGACTCTAAGGTTTTACTAACTACTTTTGTGAGGTAATTTAAATTCTTTCTGGCCCAAAGCAGTACAAATTAACTAATCAGCTAAATAGGTGATTTTTATTCAAATCTTTTAAGTGACTGATTTTGACCAAACTGAGTTTTGAGTTTTTAATAATTTTCGATACATGCTAAATTATTCAACACTCCTCACTTGGCAAGTGTCCATGTTGGCATTATTATTTTTCTTTATAGGATCACAAAGAGATAACTATATACTCATTCTTAACTTTTTCATAACAAATATAATTTTTCTACAAGATTGCAGATGACGGAAACAAACCTTAAGTGTTTTTTTTTTTTTTTGGCACAAATACCTGGTGGTTTCACATTTCTATTGAAAAAATGGTCACTGCAGTGTTTTAAGAGTTTTCTCTAAAATAATTTTTTAACATTGATTTACACCATCATTTCTATGAGAAAACATGGAACAAAAATCAATGTATCTGCTGATTCGGGAGAACTGTGTGGAAATAACAAGAAGATTGTAAGAAGCAACTAATCTCCTGAAAATACAAGGCAACCTATACCACGCTCTGTTCAAACAGATTCATAAATCTGGGTTTTCCATACTGCTAGAATGAGTCTTCTGTTAATCTATAGTTATAGAAGAAAATGTCATTTAGTAGATTTATCCCATCTGTCCCTGGGTTATGCGTTAGATGCGTTGAACTAGGAGGCGGTATAATAGAACACCAAAAAATAAGTCAATACAAATCCCAGGGAATTGTCTGGAAAAATGCTGCTGCTTTTTCTACGCTAGGATTCTTGTAAGGATGAAGAATTGGTTGCGTGTTTGGGGCTGATCTACGTTTACCCCATTCTTGGACCTGCACTTCTTTTCTCCTGAAGGACTGAAATGATTTCCAGTGACAGTTTTTACCAGACATCACTCATGGTTAGAGGGCATTAAAGTGCCACTAGGTTCTAAAAATTAGAGTTGATTTTAAAGTGTTTTCTTGGTCTCAGTTTTCTAGCCTAAGAAGCGAGTTAAAGTGGATATAGATTATTAGAAAAGTCATGGAATAAACACTGTGTTTTCTGCTCAACAAAAATGGATTTTGGTAGGGAGACGCCCTTGTGAAAACTTCCAATGATACTGCCTACTGTCTTTCACTTTATTCTCTCTCAAGATCATTAGACCACCATTTAAATCTGAACTTTCTTAGGATTTTTACCCCCATCCCTTTCTTTTATTTTCTGTCGGAGTTACTTATGTCTTGGTCTCATTAGCTTCACCTGTACCATTTTACTAGCCTCCCAGCCAGACTTCTTGTTTTATAGACTAAGTGGCTTCCTCTCCAATCCATGCTACATTCATCAGAGGGTTAAAGCTGCCAAAAATTACTTTTGCATCTGTCACTTTTCAGCTTAGAAAAAAATCAGAATAAAATCCTCAGTTTGACTTCTGAAACCCTCCTTTGTAGCCAAAAGTGTTTACATAACTTGGACCCTCCATCCTGCCAAATTACACACTGTATCCTAAGCTTGTTCTTGCTTCTTATACTTTGCTCCATAATCTCCTTGTTTGGAATGTGTTCATTTTTCCATTTACCTCAAAGCTCCCATAATGCCCATTTTCTACACAGAGCCTTCTGTAGGTTTTACAACACCAAGGGATTTCTTTCTCCTGAGTCTTATTGTGTTTCGTATATATACAATAACTTAAATTCTCTTCCACTGTGGTCTGAGATTACCTCTACCATTGCACTTACCACAGTCTTAGATAAGTGTTGATTTAATTTCGTTTTTGTTTTTGTCATTGTCATTGTGTTTTTCATTTCCCTTAGACTCTAAGCTCTTTGATGGCTTCAGGATAAAAGCTTCCCATCTCTGTATCTTTAGTGCCCAGTAGGGGAACATAGTAATTACCTGACTAACCTTTATCTATCTAAATGAAATAAATTAGATTGAGTCAACCATTTCAATACATTTATTTATATTGCTTATTACCCTTGTATATAATTCCCATCTCTTCAATTCTTCAATGTCTTTAATCTTTCAACTCTTGAATTCTAGATATAAGCACTTTTAAGAATAGGGGTCATATTTTATACCCTTTGGTATCCCTGTGCCTTATATAATTCTTGCAGTAACTACAAAAACTGCCAATGCTTATAAATAAATTGACTTTAGAGGAAGGAGATGGTTGAGTAAGAGAGTGATTCTTTTCTTATCTTTATTTATTTAAAAAGCAGAACCAACTTGAAAATCCATGTTTTTCCTTAAAAATGTTAAAATCATTTAAAAATCTAATTTTCTATGCAAGTATATGTAGGCCAAAGGATTACAATGTACAACATATAAAATACGTCTGCTAAAAAGTTTGCTTCTTTCCTCACATTGGATTGAATATAATGTCTTTCTTTTTGTGTTTTGAGAAATGTGTAAAAGTAAATAAAAAACTGTAGTCTCTCTCTGGCACTGAACAGTCAACATAGTACCATATTTTCTCCTTGACATATTTTTATTTGTCTATGGTTGATATTTACACGCTTTCTTTTCTTTTAAATTATAGCTCCCCCACAGTTTGTGGTTCGGCCAAGAGATCAGATTGTTGCTCAAGGTCGAACAGTGACATTTCCCTGTGAAACTAAAGGAAACCCACAGCCAGCTGTTTTTTGGCAGAAAGAAGGCAGCCAGGTGAGTGTGAGGCTTCACTGCTTTTCTGAAATCTCTGAACTTCTACTGTCTCTGCTGCTCCTGAAAGCTTGCCTTGCTTCTCTTGTTCTCAATGTTTGAATTTATTTTATTTCTGAAAAAGAGACTGGTGAATGTAAAAATAAGTAGGAGTCAGATGTTCTAGCAATAGCATTCTTTATTTGCTAGTATTAATCTTTTCAAAATTCTGTCTCTTACATAGAACAGCAATAAAGCAGTGTAACAAAATTATCGTTAAAAGTCCAACCAAAACCTCTGTAGCTATTTAAAATCTGTGAAGGTAAAGCTAATTTTGTTTTCTTGTATTGAGATACGTGGTGTGATAGAGTCAGGACATATGCAGTACTTAGAACAATCTCTGTGACATGGAAAACAGTCAAATATTTGTTTAATTGGCCCAGAATTTCAATCCTCTCTCTTATATACACAGCATAAATGACTTTTCTTACCCTTAATTAAAGCATGCTTCCATTTAAGAGTAGGATAAATCTTTTCCTTCTCCATTCCTCCTGGATTCATCCATAGTGGGGTTAGACAGGAAATAATACATAGTACACTAGAAGGAACCCATACCTGTCTTGTCTTTGTTCTGCCCTGGTTTGTCCTCTCCAGGGCCCTCTCTGGGCAACATGGCCTCTCAGAGTCTCTATGGAAAGTCAACTGGATACACTAGTTTTCTCATTTAGAACTCTGTCTAAAGTTGGACAACTGCTTAGCCTCTAGGTTCGTAGTCAATGAGTGAAATTTCCAGGTAAAACTAGATTAAAAATTGTGTTGTTTGCAAAATAATTTATCTGTGCATTCCCATGGGACCTGGAGATATTTTCCTTCTAAACTTTCTAGAAACATGCACTACTAGGCATATTCTGAGGAAGAGACCTACTGGTGGTCTTCCTCATCACATTCTGTTATTACTACATGTTCCAGAAGAATTTCCTTGGGAATAATGGAAATCATTATTAAACATCTCTGGAAATCTAAAACCTTGGCCAGAGATGGGAAATGTAAGTTGCATTAGAAGACTCTGTTGATTAAAGCTTACATGTGTTTATCTGCAACATACATGTGTGCAAGGAAGCCTGTAGAAGTTCTGTGCAGCCATTATGTCTAATTGTTGTGGGTTTCTATAAATTCCTGTACCAGCTCATAGTGAGCAGTTCTAACAGCTCAGTCTGGATGGACAAATGGCCTTTTATTCCTCACTCAGCTCTCCTTGGTGGAGTCATTCCTCTTGTGATTTGTGGAATGTAAACGTAGTGACGGGAATGTAAGGAAAGGTGATGGCCACTGCCTTATCCCACATCAGAACTGTTCCAGGCCTTAACTCTCAAATCTTCTTTCTAATTTAGTAATTACAAAACAGGTTTCTACACATAGAGTTCTTTAACTGTTTGCTTTAAAATTCTTTTCAGATGTTAGCGTCTCAGACTCTAAAGTAAGTGTAAGGCAGCATGACAATTAAACACATACACACACACTTAGACACACACACATATACACACACATGCAGAGACAGACACACATATACACACACATACCACACACATACACATACGCCACACACAGAGACATGCACACATATACACACATAACGCACATACACATAGACATACATGCACACACATAGACACACATAAACACACACCACTCACATACACATACACATACATACACATACACACACACACACACACAAAAAGGAGAGAATTCAAAATCCAGTTTCCTCCTTATAAATTGTACAACTTTTGTAGTGCTATTTAAATGTACTGGAACTCATTTTCTTAATCTAAAATACAGAGCTAACACATTTTACTTCACACAAACAAAGTTTAAATGAATAAGTTGCTTTACACATTATGAAGGTTAAGCAAAATGTTATGTCACTGGTAGTAAATATAATGATGTAAAGCAATTTGATCATTGCATACTCACACTTTAAATCCATGTATTGAGTGAAATCTCATTATAATGTGACTTGTTATTATATAGCTAAGACCATATCAGGTGTAAATCACATTCCCTAAAGTAGCTCCAAGTTGAATTACAAGGTAGTGCATAAAATGTGTATTGGCCTTGTAGCTTAATAAACATAGGATATTTAAATATGCTACATCTTTGTTAATGGTTTCAAAATAAATAACAATTAAATAGCATTTCAGTATTCCTTTTTCTGTATTTGACGAAGTGGCATATAATTCCAGAGATATTAATGTTAAAGATTACATAAAATCTTAAGTCTAGTTTTCTTTTCCTCACCTATCTCTCTCCCATCAGAGAGATAGAGGTAGAGATAGAGAGGGATGTGGTGGGAGAGAAAGAGAGAGAGAGAGAGAAAGAGAAAGAGATACACAGAGAGAAAATACTGTGAATGAGAACAAGAGAGAAGTGCTTGAGCAAATTATAAATTCTCAAATCATGAATTGGGATATTGGGAAAAAATAAGTCGGTCTTACTATTTCCAGTATCCAGTTTTTACAGTTATCTATGACCATCCATCAGTAGAAACAGTTAAAAGCCTGAACTTAATGGTCCATATTTCTCAATATATGCTGATAATGCCAATTAGCTCTAATAGGATACCCAGGCACTCTCCAAGGCGGGAAGAGCTGTGAAGTTCCCGGTTTTTGCTTGTAATCCATTTTCTTTTGCCTATGTCATGCAAGCAGAGAAGAAAAATGATGGGTTAACCTTCATATAATGCCATTTTCCATGTCAACGAATCATTTAGAAGGTGGACTGATGGTACATTGTAGAGGAAGCCATCCCGTAGAGAATAAAGCCCATCTGATATATTAGTGCTATGTAAATTAGTATTCTAATGGCTAATTGTGGGAAAGTGTGCACTTTGAGTTATTGTATCATTTTCAAGTGACTTCAAAATTTAGACTCTCTCTTTTAGCTCGTTTATTTTGATAATACATTTGGAATCTACAGTAGAATCAGCTGATTCTCAAATTGTGTTTCTATGCATGAAAATGTCTAGCCTTATATAATAGTACACATTTTATAAGAGGTCAATAGCATATTGAAATTACATTCCTGACATGCTAGCAAACATCACTCGTTTTAGACGGAGTTTAATAACATGGTAATGTTTATGTAAAGTGGGCTTATAGTGTCACACTTGAATCTAATAAAGTGGACATCCATCATGTTGCAATAAAGAGAAGAGCTTCTAATTAAAACAGGACATCATTTGCAGGATTAAAGTCATTGAGCATAATTGAAAAGTGTTAATACCCTATTTTATCCTCTTCCATTGGTATTACTTCAAGGGTAAAAACATTTTAAGGTGAAAATGTGTCCTGGGCCTTTAATTGAATGTTATTGCCTCCTGATTGCAACGTATTGAAACTGTTTAATTACAAACCTGGAAAATTAATTACTATATGGAGAAACAGATCCCAGAGGGTTAAAATGTCCTTTTTTGTAAGTAAATACAACATAAAAATTGATATCTCCTTATTTATAATCCAACTTGGAAACATGCCCCAATATAATTTATTATACTCAAATGTTTTTCTTAATTGAACAACAGTAAAGCAACACAGTTCATCCAAATTAATGTTACTCCTCTCATAGATGAACTTTCACAATTTGTAATTAGGCTATATGTATATATGAGATATAGAGTAAACTAAAGTAATTTTGTTTTAAAAAGAAAGTAATATTATGAAATTGTTTAAGGTAACACACTTTTAGAAACATTCTACATTTTCTTTTTATCTTCAGTAATTTGCTTACTCTTGCTTAAATTGTAGCATTTGTTTATAACCCCATTCAAAGCTGCAAAAACTTTACAGCAGAAGTACAGTCAGCTCTCTGTCACACACTTTTGAACAACTTTGGGAGAAATTCAGTTGAGTCCATCAAGTATTCAAAATGATCAACAGCAATCATATTTTGCATTCTTCAGAGCTGTGCGGTTTATACAACCCATACACAGTCAATGTTATGGCCAGATCTTCATGAGGCCTTAGTAGTTGAGTCAGATAAGAATTGTTTTGCCCATTTTCCAGATGAAGAAAAAAGCTTCAAAGATATTAAGTAACTAGCAGAAAATCAGGATGAGATAAAGATCCCCATTCTTTAAAAACACAGATGATTATTCTTTCAACTAGAAAATATTGACTTCTTAGAGGATATTATTCCACCATGATTTGGAAAACCTTTATCAGTGAAACCCACTGTGTGGCATTTAAACATTTCTGAACCATATATATTTTAATCTGTGTATTTTCTTTTTCCCACTGTATTCCTTAATTGTAGTAGCTTTTATTCACATAATTTTTTTAAGTGGAAAATGAATATTGATGAGATTGTGCTTGCTTCCACAGAACCTACTTTTCCCAAACCAACCCCAGCAGCCCAACAGTAGATGCTCAGTGTCACCAACTGGAGACCTCACAATCACCAACATTCAACGTTCCGACGCGGGTTACTACATCTGCCAGGCTTTAACTGTGGCAGGAAGCATTTTAGCAAAAGCTCAACTGGAGGTTACTGATGGTGCGATATCTTTACTAGATTTGTCTTATGAAAACATTGATTTTTATTTCTAGATACACGTTAACCATGTGGAGTTTGCTGATTTGTTAAATCATTTCTATGTATGCTTATCTTTTAAGTTTGAATCCAGGTCACATTCTTTTGGTAGTTTCTAATTCTCCCTGATTGAATACCACTTATTTTCCCCAAAGAAGAACTTCAGAGATAATTTACTTAATTCTTAAAAATAGAATAGTGCATTTTTTTAAATAAATGTCATCACACTCACTGCATACTGAAATGTAATCTGTATATTTTTATTTAGTCTTAGGCTGACATGATTGGCTCTACTAGACATTAATAATTTTATTTCACTCTAGGAGGAGGTCATACCACCTTTAATATTATCAGAGATGAGATTTTAGTTAGCTAATCACATTAGGACATTCCTATGATTTTAATTATGCATTCACTAAGTTAAATTAACTACCTTTCAAAGTGCTGAACAATGCTAAAATTATTATTTTTATTGGCACATATGCACTTTGAATCTTAACTGAGGCACCTACATTCATAGTGAAAGTTGAAAAGGATGAAGGGCTCTGCGTAATCTGGTTTTTTCCCAGCAGTTTATTTGTCACAATTGACAGCTAGCAAATTTGAGATATTTCATGAACCTCTGAGCGTGAATTTAATCCCTATTCTTTGATGTCTTAAACTGAAAATTATTTCTTACTCTCCTTTATTTGTGAGGATTTTTACTTTTGTTTTCTCCCCTAATGCTGGCTTCTGAGATACAAGTGCTTTGGTCTGTGGTGTCTTCTTGATCCCCTTCTTTCTCTGATGGTGAAATTTGATGTGCTTTTATACAATTTAAATTTACATGTAGATTAAAAGGTCATTTAAAATTAATAGAAAGGCAGTATTTTTTAATATCTGTTCATGGTATGGCCTGATTCAGTGACATGTCAGGAATGGGAATAAATAGAACAGACAAACATTGGCTGCAGGGACATTGAGTCGTTAATGGCTGCACCTGCTGATGCTGCAGAGATTTACTGCTATGGAACTGAAAGGAGAAGTCAGGTTCAAGGATAGCAGTGATGAGAAATTCTTCCTTAGATGGGCAAGGTCTTTGATTCTTTGTACCTCCATATTTCTTTAAAAGAATAAAAGATAATTATTAATCATTAAAAAGATCTTATGTTTTCACCTGTCAACAAAAATGTCCAGATACATACACTTGAAAAATAAGATATTCTGTCCAAAGCCTATGTTTTATTCTATATTCCTAAGAACACACCAAATGTAATGCTTAAGATACCGGCTATCATTTAACTACTTATAATATTTTATAGAAGATTGACTCTCAAATGTTTCTAAATGAAGAAATTGTTATGGAAAAGGCAAACCATATTTGTGGGAAGCAAAGTTGATGAACTAGAAGAGCCAGTTAATGTGACTGTTATCGTTCATAAAACAGGTGGATATTCAGAATTACGTCTGATACAATTAATGGAAAACCTTTGAGGCCTTACACTAGCTCATGCTATATTACAAAACAGTAGTTAGTCTAGCTTTCTTTCTGTGGTCAAAAATAAGTGATGACCAATGTTAAATCTTCTGCCAACTGAGATTGCTCTAAACATTTTGTTACAACTGGCTTGAGTATTAATTCCTATATTGATTTTTACTTGAGTAAGCAATTACAAAGTCAAGATCCTTTTGCAGAGACATTGATTAGAAGTTACAGTGTTGTTGATTTTGACAGTAAAGAAATGAAACTATAAGAACTAAATATGTACACACATGTTATCAATTAATCTGTCTCTAAATATGAAGTTGCCACATTGGCTGATGCCTTAAGCTTCTACCCATAGTTTTGATTTTTCATACAGGTTAATGATTTAATACTATCTGAGCCATTATTTCATTTTGAACACATTTATTTTGATATAATTCAGGGAATTGTAGAGCCATTTGAAATTCCATGGTAGAATGAAAACGTATGTCATGTTCAGAGAAAGAAGTGATTACAGGCATACCTTCCTTTGTTGTACTTTGCAGATACCATGGTTTTTACAAATTGAAGGTTTATGGCAACCCTGGGTCAAACAAGTCTGTTGGTGCCATTTTACTAACATCATGTGCTCACATTGTGCCTCTGTGTCACATTTTGGTAATTCTCACAGTATTTCAAACAATGCCATTATTATTCCATCTGTTATGGTGGTGGTCTGTGATCAGTGATCTTTGATACTACTATAATTTTTGGGGGGTATCACAAACTGCACCCATATAAGATGGTAAACTTAACTGGTAAATGTGTGTGCTCTGGTTTCTTTACCCACTGGTTTCTTTACCCCTGTTGTTCTGTCTTTCCCTGAGCCTCCCTATTCCTCGAGACACAACAGTATTGGAATTAGGCCAGTCAGTATCTCTACAGTGGCCTCCATGTGTTCAAGTGAAAAGTCACATGTCTCTGACTTTAAGTTAAAAGCTACAAAGGCTTAAGTTTAGTGAGGAAGGCATGTCAAAAACTGAGATAGGCCAAAAGCTGGGCCTCTTGTTCTAAACAGTTAGCAAAGTTATGCATGCAAAGGAAAAGTTTTTGAAGGAAAGTAAAAGTGCTACTCCAGTGAACACAAAAAATGATAAGAAAGTCAAACAGCCTATTGCTGATATGAAGAAAGTTTTAGAGTCTGGATAGATCAGTGAGTCACAACATTCCCTTAAGCCAAAGCCTAATCCAGAGCAAGGCCCTAACTGTCTTCAATTCCTTGAAGGCTGAGAGAGGTGAGGAAGCTGTAGAAGAAAAATTTGAAGCTACCAGGGGTTGGTTGATGAGATTTGAGGAAAAAAGCCATCTTCATAACTAAAAGTACAAGGTAAAGCATCAAGGGCTAATATGGAAGCTTTATCAAGTTATTCAAGTTATCCAGAAGTTCATTCATGAAAGTGGCTATACTAAACAGATTTTCAATGTAGACAAAGCATGCATATATTGAAAGAAGATGTTACCTAGGACTTTGATGGCTGAAGAAAAGAAGTCAATGCCTGGCTTTAAATGACAGACTAACTCTCTTGTAAGTAACTAATGCAGTTGGTGACTTTAGGTTGAAACTGATGCTCATTTACTATTTCAAAAATTCTATGACCCTTAGAATTATTCCAAATCTACTCTGCCTGTGCTCTGTAAATGGAAAAACAAAGCCTGAATGACAGCATATCTCTTTACAGCATGGTTTACCTACCGAAATATTTTAAGTACAGTGTTGAGATCTACTCTGCAGAAAAAAAAATTCCTTTCAAAATATGACTTCTCATCTACGTGTACCTTGTCACCCAAGCTCTGATAGAGATGTACAAAGAGATT
The DNA here is from genome assembly GCF_000001405.40 of Homo sapiens. Classification (NCBI taxonomy): domain Eukaryota; kingdom Metazoa; phylum Chordata; class Mammalia; order Primates; family Hominidae; genus Homo; species Homo sapiens. Next base: position 77,554,345 of record NC_000003.12, read on the forward strand.
AATGTTTTTATACCTGTTAACACAACATCTGTTCAGCAGCCCATGGATCAAGGAATAATTTCAACTTTCAAGTCTTATTTAAGAAATATATTTTCCAAGGCTATAGCTGCTGTAGACAGTAATTCAACTGAAGGATCTGGGCAGGGTTAATTAAAAACCTTCTGGAAAGGATATACCATTATAGATGCCATTAAGAACATTTATGATTTATGGGAGGAGGGCAAAACATCAACATTACCAGGAGTTTGGAAAGTTGGATGACTTTGAGGGGGTTCCAGACTTCAGTAGAGGAAGTAACTGCACATGTGGTACAAATAGCAAAAGAACTAGAATTAGAAGTGGATCCCGAAGATGTGACTAAATGGCTACAGTCACATGATACAAATTGAACAAATGAAGAATTGCTTCTTAGGGATGACCAAAGAAAGTGATGACTTGAGATGGAATCTACTTCTATTCAAGATTGTTGAAGTGATAACAAATGATTCAAAATATCACATAAACTTAATTGATAAAGCAACATCAGAGTTTGAGAGGATTGTCTCCAAATTTGAAAGACATTTTACTGTGGATAAAATGCTATAACACAGCATTGCATGCTACTGAAAAATCTTTCCTGAAAGGAATAGTGAATCAATATGGTAAGCTTTATTGTCTTATTTTAAGAAATTGGCACAGCTACCCCAATCTTCAGCAACCACCACCCTGGTCAGTTAGCAACCATCAGCACTGAGGCAAGATCCTCCATCACCAAAAAGATTACCACTCTAGGCTCAAATGATCATTAGCATTTTTTAGCAATAAAGTATTTTTAAGGTATGAACTTTTTTTTAGACATAGTATTATTCTACACTTAATAGACTCCAGAATAGTGTAAACATAGCTTTTATACGCACTGGGAAAAAAAATTTGTGTGGCCTTCCTTATTGCAATATTTGCTTTATTGTTGTGGTCTAGAACCAAACCTACAATACCCCTGAGATATGCCTGTATTCCGTTTAGAGCAGTGTATCTGTTGTCACATTTTTGCGCTTAGACTCATTTTCTGGAAATATTTATAATTCAAACATTCATAAAAGATGAAATTGCTAATGATGCTGAATAGTGCTATGTTGAGCAACAATTTTACTGATCATAGATTAAGCTAATATGTTTCAATATACTTGAGTTTCAATATATTTCTCTAAAAGACTTCCGCATTAGTTCACTGGCATTGTTCTGTATTTCTTCTTTCCTTTTGCTCTATCTTTTTCTCTCAGAGAATTAGGAAATTGTAATCAGCATTCTGTGAATAGAGCCAATAGAAGTTAAAAAGACTGGGGAGATAAGATGTATTTATATCTTGTACTGACAATAAATGTCACATCATGATCTTATATGAATGGTTTATTGAGTATTTATAATGCATAGTGAGAGAAAACCGTGGAGTTGTTCACAGATCACTGGAATCCCTAAATGTTCATTTAACCTTTGACTTAAGTGTCATGGAAACCTGTGGTCATCTTTCACCCATAACATCCTTGGAACTGAAAATTATGTCTGGCCAGGAGATTTTCAATTACTTTATTGATCAATTCATTCAAAAGGTGATGAGCTACTCATTAGGGCAGTAAAAAAACAGAAAGAAAAAAACTAATTAGATGACCTTTGGCTGCATCTAATGATTTCAGGGATATGACAATAAAAGCAGGTTATAAGAAGTTACCTGAATTCTGCATAGGTATTTAATTTGGAAAAAAAATCGTTTAAAATTTAATTAGTATGCTTTACTCTGGTAACACAGACTCACTTTCTCACTGCATTAAAAAATTACTCATAGTGTTTTGTTCATTGGCCTTCTCTTTTTGACCCATAAAAATAAGTCCCATGAAACTTTTAGTTTGAATTTCTATTTGCCTAATTACTGACAGATGTGCCAGAATTATTACAATATTCTACTTCAATATTTTCTTAAAATGTTTTATTTAGTATTAAAAGTAAGAATTTGATGAAAAAAGCAGTGAAATAAATGATTCTAATTTTTGTTTGTGAATGATAAACAGTTTTTATTGTTTTTCTTAGGTTTTATCACTGATAAAATAGGTTTAGGTTGACTAGAATCTGCAATGTCTTGATATGAAGGTAACCTGTATCATAAATTCTAGCTTCAATTAAATTTGGTTGGCTTTCTCATGATAGGTTCTGAAAAGGCTGCTTAACTTTAATCTTTTGTTCCCTAAAACTATGAACTCTAGTAAATATGATGCAAGTAAATTGGAAAGATAGTAATTTTAAGCTGCCATTTATAAAAGCTGGTGGGCAAAGGAAATTTGAACGTTAAGCAAACTGTTTTCAATTGTATACATTGCAATACAAGGTGAGTTTTTTGAGAAACAACAGTTTATCTTCACAGTTGCTTAGAAATTATTAGAATCCATCATTCATTTTTTCTTTTTTGTGGAAGTCTTTTTCATATATATTCTTTTATATACTACATGTATTTTATATGTTACATATAACCATACACAATAAAAAGCATATTTTGGATAATTAACCAAAGTCTATGCTGTCTATGCCGAAGTTTATAGAACTTTCTCTTTAGAAAGACTTCCCTGGACCTGGACATGTCCTTTTGATTATATGGTGATCTTCTAATGAATTCTAAATGAAATCTTACCTCCGGTCAACTCTATATTTTTCTTAACCATGTAAATAATACTGTACATTTTGATGTCCTTCTTAAATAATCATTAAATACTTCTAAAAGCACTGAAATGCTACTACGATACAGTTGTATTGTACTACCGAAATGCTACTACAAATACAGTATTTCATAAATAAAAAGCAATACTAAGCTAAACATTTAGAAATTATGGAAAATTTATCCAAATGAACACAACAATTGATATACATGTAAACACTGATTTTGCACAAGCACTGTTTTTGTCATATGATAAATATAATCTAGATGACTTTCCTTTGATCAATTATAAGCACTAATTAAATCAAATCATCCAAATGATATGACTGTAATTTGATGAGCTCATGTCACAATTTTGGAAGGAAATTATTTATAATCTAATATTTTAACATCAGCAGAAATATTTTAGCCTGTATAAATACAGCACATAACTGGTGCCATAAGGGGGAAATTATGTACTATATTTATGATAAATGCAAAAGTGAAAATTGGCTGTACTCATATGATACTTCACACACTTTCTTAAATATGCATATGAGATAAAATGAACATTTCATAGGTGACTGACTGCCATAAGCTATTCAAATTTTAATTTTAATACGACTAAGCCTTTTTATACAATTAAGTCTTTATAAAATGTCAGAATTTATCTCAATGCCATTTTAATTATAGGTAATGCAGAGGAAGTTATTGACAATAAATAGTATGGCCTTAGTATAGTATATATGTATGTACATATATAGATGATAGATATATGATAGATTTAGAATATACATGACCAAGAATATACATATTGCTTAGAATAAGTTATAAGTAATATATATTGTGTTGGGGCTTTAACCTTACTTTCAGTGTCAATATATCAAGCCTACTGAACTACATTGATGTTAAAATACCTGAAAAGAGCTTTATTCTTCAGTTTTGACAGATAGACCTCCACCTATAATTCTACAAGGCCCAGCCAACCAAACGCTGGCAGTGGATGGTACAGCGTTACTGAAATGTAAAGCCACTGGTGATCCTCTTCCTGTAATTAGCTGGTTAAAGGAGGGATTTACTTTTCCGGGTAGAGATCCAAGAGCAACAATTCAAGAGCAAGGCACACTGCAGATTAAGAATTTACGGGTAAGTAATATTGGACTTGTACATGAATTATCATCTACACATAAGTACTGCTCTATGGAAAAATTGCATAGTGAACTTAAAATCTTACATCCTAGTATAATTGCTGCACGTTTAAAAACAGTTAATGTTATTACTTATTTTAAAAATGATGAAATGAAATTAGAGGAAAGGTCACAGTTTTTACGTTACTCACACATTCATAACAGAATCTCGAAACTTTTATTCCTGTATCCCATTCCATATGTATACAGTCAACAAATCTAGAAATCTTAAACACATAGCATTAATATGAGTAGTAGGGTATTGGAAATGACAAAAACAACAAATGCTTCTGATTTACTTTCATTCGCAAAAGAAATTGTAAGGAAATGTAGATAAAGTGGCTTGGCCAAAGAGTTGAGTAGAAGAAAAATAAAGAGATGAGACTGAGTACATAAACGGCGAGTTTGCCTGGTTAGTGGGAAACCTTAGGTTGTAGGTTAAGTTGTTGTGTAGTTTAGATTTAAACCCATGGAAAGAACAAGGCATTGGTGGTTTTTTACTGACGTTTACATGATAAAAAATGAGCATTCCTGGCAACTTAACAAGTCAGTCCTGCTTCAGGAGCAACTCAAAATAAAATGTCTACTTCTGAATATTGTATCAGTTATCTATTATTATGGAACAATATGAACAAAAATACAGTGGCTAAAAGCAACACACATTTATTACATCACAGTTTCTGTGAGTTAGGAGCCTAGGCATGACTGAGCTGTGTCTTTTGCTTCTGGGTCTTACAAGGCTCCAGTTAGGTGTCATTTAGAGTTGCCGTCTCATCTGAAGATTGACACAGGATGGATTTGCTTCCAATCAACATTATTCTTGGTAGCACTCAGTTCCTTGTGGCTACTGGACTAACAACCTCACCTTATCAATGGCTGTTGGCAGGAGGTTGCCTTTGGTTCCTTGCCATCTGGATCTTCCCCATATGACTACTTGCTTCCTCCAAGTCAGCAAGGAAGAGAGTCTCCTAGTAAGATGGGCACTACAGTCCTGTGGAACAAATCACAAACATGACATACTGACACTTTTGCAATATTATATTGGCCAGAAGGGAACCAACAGGTCCCACTTACACTCCAGGTGAGGGATTACACAAGATACAAATACCAGAAGGATGTTATCATGGAGGGCACCTGTCCTCTATCAGTACATTCAACTCATTCAACTAGGTATGGTAAGTCCCTTCCTCCTACCTGCCATGTAGCAAGTGCTATGTGAAAGCTGGAGAGTATATTTTAGTAATCACAAGATTGGGGATGAGACCCAGAACTAAGGTAGATGATGTAATAGTGCATGAAGAAAATTTCAGTGGAGGAGAAATCTGTAGAATCTTGGGTCCAGGTTGAAATTCAGAGCCAAGATGAAGAAAAACAAAGCAAAACAGCATTTAGAATCTTCCCATTCTGGAGCTAAAAAGAAAGGCAAAAATTTTTAACTACACATATTTCCAAATGATCACAATTTGGCATATTGTTCTTTTATAATGGGAATATGTTTACAATTATATGTTTATCTGATTATCGCTATATCATACAGACGTATATCAGAAAACAAAGTGACTATTTTTGCTACATGCACACACATGCACACATAAGTTTTTACTTTATATATATAATATTTATCTTTAATTTTTGAGATACAGGCATTAATTATTGCTTTAAATAGAAAAAATGCTGCCAAGTTGAGTTTAAAAAAGTAAATTAATACAGATATTTTGAGCCTGTCTTTTTATTGATTGTAAATTAATTGTTAACCTTCTTTGAACAAAATGGAAGTTATTAAAAAATTAATGCCAACTCTCTTTGTGTAAACACTTTAACCTCTATTTCTGGGCTAAAGGCAGACTTGGGCCATAGAGGTTAATGCATTTTCACTGTATCACTGAATTAAAGGGTATGCTTGAGTAGTCAAGATTTCTAGTAGTGTTTGAAAGAAGCAATTAAAGGTGGGTGCTTGATGATGTCAAACAAACTTTGAGCCCTCTGACAGGCTTCTGAGTAGTCTCTCTGAGATGCCAGCTCCTTGGGGCTTGTCTGCAGCCAAGTGCACAAGGAGAAAAGTAGATGATGGAATTTGCCTGCACATTAATCTCATTTTAAAGCAATTTATTAAGGGTAAAAGGACAAGCATGGAAAAGATGAGAAGCACTCCTCACCAGAAAAAGACATTATTTAAAATTAAAGGAATAAAATTAAAGGAATAAAATGTGGTGATGATGGTAATACCAAGAGTGAGTTTTAGCAACGATATTTAGGTTTATGAGGACCCCAAAATGAAAACGTTGTTCTTTTCCTGTAACATGACTGTCCTTACAGGGAGACAGAAGTGGGCTTTCCAATAGTTCACTCATACAGTCAAGAGAGTTTCTGTAGGCTGTATTCCTTTGTGTCTCACTATTTTTTTTTCAGTACTTAATGCAAGGGAAAAAAATAATGTGATGAATACTGTGTTCTTCTAGGCCAGCTAATTGGTAACTGAATCTTTATCTTTTGAGAAGTAGAATATTCCAGCACTCATTAAAATATACCTACCGCAGCTAATGTCATACTTGTATCTCCACACAATGACAAGGAGATGCAGTTAAGAAGCATTACCTACATACTTTTCTTTTAGCATTTGCAAGTAATAACAAGTGCTACATTTTAGTTCAACAGCTATAATAAAATGCAAATTCTTTTACTCTTTCACAGACCATATTCAAATGAACATCCCATTAAAATCCAACCTCGGCTCATTATATTTAGTTTGTGAGTGATGCTTCTTAAATGCAAAGATTTCTAATGACTATAATGTGTGCACAGCCACATTTGAAAGAATGGCTCTTTCTACAATGGCTATCCCCATCTTCCCTCTGTGTAATAGAAGACAATTGTACAGAGATAATATGGCAAAGAATGTCATGCCAGAGCAATTTGGAACTTAAGTTAAAATACATAATGGCATTTAAAATCAATTAAGATAGTGAAATGGCAGTAACATCCAGGCACTAATGATTTACCTGAGAATCAATCGAGAAAGCTTGAGTCATCAACACACTTATAGTTTGAACCCAGCAGATATAATATTCCATGAGCGACTATATTTCATCAACAATTAGACTGATGTTCATCACAGAATATTAATTCTACATCTTCTGCCTTGTCTGACTTTGTTTGGTCATCAGTTTCTCTTCCCAGTGTGACTTTTCCTTTACTCCTAAATTGATGAGAATGAATGTTGTTTGCAGTGTAAGCCACAAGGCTTGATCACACAGAATTTTGGAGTTGCCTCTTTTATTGATCTTGGGGCTTTATTCAAAATATAATCACAGAATCTTCTGCTTCTTGCATTTGTAAAAGAGGACTCTTGATTATATTATCAACTTTTTCTGAAAGTCCTTTGCCACTCTTCTGAGAATAATAAAACCATTTTAAGTGATCGATGAAATGGCAAGTTTTTATTGTGATCAAAAAAGAGTTATGAATTATGATATATTTATGTTCCCTTTCAGCTTGAAATTGCAGTCACTCCATAGCCACATTTTTTTAATGATACTTTATTCTATTCATTTTTCCACTACTGCAATTTACATATAAGTGAATATTGAAGTTTTTAAATGAAGAAGTTTACCTTAAAAATATTTCTTTTTCTGGCTGGGCACGGTGGCTCACACTTGTAATCCCAGCACTTTGGGAGGCTGAGGCAGGCGGGTCACCTGAGGTCAAGAGTTCGAGACCAGCCTGACCAACATGGAGAAACCCTGTCTCTACTAAAAATACAATGTTAGTCAGGCATGGTGGCACATGCCTGTAATCCCAGCTACTCGGGAGTCTGAGGCAGGAGAATTGCTTGAACCTAGGAGGCAGAGGTTGCAGTGAGCTGAGATCGAGCCATTGCACTCCAGCCTAGGCAACAAGAGCAAAACTCTGTCTCGGGGTAAAAAAAAAGTTCTTTTTCTTCTTCACTTTTTTCCATGTCTTTCAAAAGAAAGAAAGTGTGATCCCTTATTGTCTTATTGCTTATTTACTCGGGTATGTTTTATTCATTGAAACATAGTTTATTTGAGACAGAACAGTTTTGCATTACTGCTTCTCTGGAATTTTGTGAGATTCTGAAAGAGTTCTGTTCTGAGTCATTCATAAACAACTTAGATATAGTAGAGCCCTGCCATAAAATGGAGTTAAGAGGTAAGAGTATTATCACAGAGGAAGAAAAAGAGAGGGGCAAATTGTTTATCAGACAAATTAACATTGAGGTGCATAAATATTATTTTAAAAGCCCTTTGGACCAATGTTATGAATAATATTATATGAGTTTATTTCATTATTTTATGTATACATATGATTGACTCTAATGCATAATTTAGACAACAAAATGATACATCTAATTTTAAGAAATTAAATATTGCCTGGCTGTCATTGAGTAATTATTCTGCAAATTGACTGAAACAATTTAATTCTCTCCCTTCTGTGCACACTAGATTTCTGATACTGGCACTTATACTTGTGTGGCTACAAGTTCAAGTGGAGAGACTTCCTGGAGTGCAGTGCTGGATGTGACAGGTGAGGACTTTGTGAATTAGGAGAAATCTTGGGCCCCTTTTCTGATAGCTCAATATCAAATAATAAGTTAAGGGGGGATCAAAGTGTTTAATTCACTGAATGTAAATTTTAGCCTTTACATTCAATGCCATTTTTTAATTCATGCATGAATTTGCACACACCATTACATTTGTGGAATTTAATACACTTGTCTTTGATAACCTTATTATTTTATTTCCTCTGAAGTGTAAGGAATTCTAATGATCCTATGTAAAAACACAGCTTACTTTTATTAACATGTAGGAGAAGCAAACATTCACTTACATACTTCTGATTCATGGAGATGAATTTCTCACTGTCTAGGTCAGGTCCTTTAGTAGACTGCTTCCTTCTTTTAGGCAGTATTGTCAACTTATGCAATCAGGAATGAAGTTTTTTCTGTCTGTCCTCTATAGAGTCTGGAGCAACAATCAGTAAAAACTATGATTTAAGTGACCTGCCAGGGCCACCATCCAAACCGCAGGTCACTGATGTTACTAAGAACAGTGTCACCTTGTCCTGGCAGCCAGGTACCCCTGGAACCCTTCCAGCAAGTGCATATATCATTGAGGCTTTCAGGTATGGGACAATTCCTTCTTTCTCCACTGGGTTTTGTCTTAGCTCCTTTATTCTAAAATGTCACCTGAACTATCCTGCTGTTTTATTAAAGACATGTCCAATCAATGCATTTTAAGAATTGATCTCTTCTCTCTGACTTTATTCAAGAACAGAGTTAATTTTTTTTAGTTTACAACTTAATTATAAGATTTAAATATGCATTATTCATGCCTAGGTCTATGGGGATCCAGTTCATAACATAATCACTTAGCTCCATTCTTTACCCAGACCATTGTAGGGATTTAAGGTGAGAATTTAGGCATCTGAACTGGGTAGAAAATATTTTAATTAGGCATAGGCACAGGCACTTTTTAAAGTTATGTGACATTTATTGAAGCAGAGGACTCTGGCATTTATATTCCTAATAATTAGAGCAGAACTTAAAATAATCCCAATATTTTTATACCATATATTACATACATCTATTAGATATGCCTGAGAGAAAATTAACAACAATAATTAATAAATTTATTCCATGTGCTTCTAGTTGCTTAATGGAAAAGATGTTTCCACGTGTTATCTGAAATAATTGTTGCCAATTTAAAGATTTAAATGTAAATTAGCAAATATCAGTATAAAATTGTCCTATGAAAATTTGATAAAATGCTTACACAAATGGTAAAATATGCTTTCATATTCCCTTTCAAATGTGCTTCTACGTGACAGTATAAATTTTAATGGATAACCACTGTTTTTTTTAAACATTAGGACAAATGATCACTTTCTTATAAGCTTCTCTAATCATTATTTAAGGTAATGCTAGGTACTTAATTTTCAAATTTCAAAATACTACGTTTCTATCATTCTTATGCGTGGACAGTTAAGCATATCAGAAAAATAAACTGACCACCCTGAAAATTACATTTGCCCTTTCTTCTGAGCAAAAGTGGCATTTGACCTTAGACAAACTGTTCTAAAATGGCATCCATCTGTGGCTGGCTGTAAATGGGTCCTCACACACAAATTCAGAGAGATTTCACCGTTCTGAGATGAGAAATCACAATACTGTATAATGTACAATTTTATTAACAATGTAACCAAGGGAAAATATTCATTACCTGCTTCCTCTCTTCTTTTACAGATATGTAGTTTAGAAGGCTCAGTTATAATATTGCATGTGGAAATGATGCAAAAGAAAACACACCTTGTAACAGGAAAATGTATTGGCATAATTTACTCTGTAGTCCATTTATTCTTTCTACAGGTTAATTCTTTTCAAGGTATATATATATATACATTTACGAGGACCATACTTATTGTATAAACTTGATGTTGTGATCTTGGCCTCTGTTCCTTTTACAGGTATTCATTTAGTGGGCTGCTGTGCATTAGCAAAGGGCTGTCACATCTCCTGGGCTGAGTTTAATTTTGTTGTGCATGGCACTTTTGTTAGGTGGGCTCGGCTTTGTTGTGGAATAAATTGAAATCATCCAAATGTTTCATTTATTGGGCTGAATACTTCAAGTGTTGTGTGTGTGTGTGTGTGTGTTTAATTTCCAGCCATTAACCTTTGTCATTGATACCCAACTCCATTTCCAATCTTCAAATGACTGTTCTTTAAATGAAATTTCTGTTCGCGTTTCAGCCAATCAGTGAGCAACAGCTGGCAGACCGTGGCAAACCATGTAAAGACCACCCTCTATACTGTAAGAGGACTGCGGCCCAATACAATCTACTTATTCATGGTCAGAGCGATCAACCCCCAAGGTCTCAGTGACCCAAGTCCCATGTCAGATCCTGTGCGCACACAAGGTACTTTCAACAGCTGTCAACAAGACTGGTTCTAGGCAGAAACATCAGATATTTAAGAACGAGGGGCTTGATGAGGAAATATACATGTGCCTGCATTGCTTTGTATGATGGCTCACTAGGCTTTATCCAGGGAAGGAGAAGGTAGCTTGCTGTTTATCTTGGTGAGATGTGTTCTCTTTCTGGAGTTTTTGGGTTTATTCAGCAAAAAATAAAAATAATTGGGTACCTCTACGTCGAATGAATTCACTAAATTAGAGCTTTACTATATTTCAAAGGGAGGAAAATGTTTCTCCTTCTTTAAAATTAATTACACAATAACAGAAAAGTGGTCTTTAATGAGTAGATGCCCAAATAGAGGTATAAAAATTATGTCCTATTGTTTCGGAATTCTGTTTTTATAGTGCAGTCGTTCTCACAGTGTGGTTCCTGGGTAAGCAGCATCTGCATAGCCTGCAACTGTTAGAAACACACATTTTCAGGCTCAAATTCAAACGCTCTGAGGTTGGGGCCCAGTGTTTGTTTTAACAAACCCTCCTTGTGATGCTGATGTATAAGTTTTACAACCACTGCTACAGTGAATTTCGTTAAATCAGATGTTTAAAGGAGCAATTTATTACAGACAGCAGGAAATCAAGTTTTCTTTCTAAAGAACTCAATTCTTTCGACTATAATGTAAAATACACACAGAGTATTAAAATATAATTTCAAAATGGAAGATTTCATAATTTTATCCTTATTACCTGTCTCTTCAAACTGAGAAGTCACTGGAGTCTGAGGTTTAATATACAATGCTACATTATAGTTTCCCTTCTGACAAGTAGGAAAAAGAAATTAATAAAATAGAAACGGTAATTTTATTATTTGTTATAACCTACTTCCCACAGGGTTCTTCAGAAAGGGTTAATTATTTCTTATTTGTAAAAGACTTTGAACAAGATATAATTCAAAGTAGTATTTTTATGCAATGAAAAGCACCATACAGCCATAAAATATTATTATAATTACAATGTAGTTCGGTGATAGTAACTAGCATGCTATTATAACGGAGAAGGGCACCTTAAAGGAATCGACTGAAATAAAGTCACCACGTGACTTTGTAACGTTGCTGACATGATGACAGTCAAGGGAGGAGGAAATGCCATTTTGCTATTGTTCTCTAAGCAGTAATGTGATTAATTTTCCATGGCGATAAAGGGCCTGTAGGTAAAGAACCTGTCTCTTGAGAAAGAAAAAGCACAACAAGGAATTTGAAAATCTGAAATTTGAACCTAGTCATATTTTACCTTCCTTAAATCTGATTGCTTTTTACTGTGTTTGAATTAAGTGTGTAAATTTTATTATTGAACTTAAAATGGAAAATGTGTACAATTTTACGTCAAGAAATTGTAGTACCGTGATCATTTATACCTTTGTGCATAGAAATAGTTTTTGTGTGTAGCCAGTGAAACGTAGAGAGAGATCAGAATGGGAAGATATTTGGTGTGATTGTATCTGGCAGACCTTTTTGATCATTCGATAACTATGCTAGTCACTAAATCTTGACTCATAAAATAACTCGCAGTGAAGAGGTCAAGAAAGATTAATGAAAAGTTGTTTGTGGTCTGGTTTGTTCCAATGGAAAGAATATATAGAGTGAAAGACTTCTGTGCTCTTAACAAATACTTAATAGGAAAACCCACGTGTTGTGTCTGAAGGTCAGGATTATTTTTGGGTACCATACTTTCAGCAGCTTTGCAATCTGCAAAGCATTTCTTTTTCAAAGAACACTTTGCACTGTGAACTCTTATTTTTCAAAGGTATTAAATAACAGAGAATCTAGAAATCTTTTATTTCATTAAAAGTACAAATACTTGGATTATCAGCATCAAAACAGAACATACATATATAGGCATAGATTAATGTTATTCACATAAAGGGACTTTTTTCAAATTAAGTAAAACTTCATTTTACTGTTTATGTTAAAAATGAAAAAAAAAAAGTAGAACTGGAAAAACATTACCTAAGTATTAGTCTCAATTATTTACGACCCAATTTAAGTTAGTGCTCCCAATTTAAGTAATAGCTGAGAAATGTTCTTAAAAATACTTTCGCGAGAGTGCTGCATGCATTGTAGCCTGAGATAATAAGAAAAAACAGGATTACGAAAATAAATAACTTTAAATTGGACTTCCTTTCTTAAATACAATAGTTGGAGAAAAACAATTCAACAACATTGTGTGCCAGCTTAAAAAGTTAATCTGAGTATGTGTAAAATTCAATGTTTAATATCAATTTGATGGACTTAGCTGCTTACGATTTATCATTTTTTCTTAATGGACACAGCCTATAATTTATCCTTTTTTCTTAATGGACCGAGAATATAAACCATCATATGGAGAAATAGAATAGTACTTAGGAGACTGATGAATAATGTGGCATAACAATGTGTGACTGAGGGTATAATATTTTAAACATGACCTTTCTTTCTTCCCTTCTCCCCACCACTATTCCTAAACATGTCTGCATGACCTCGTGTCAGGTATTAGAGTACTGCTCAAAATGTATTACTTTAGAACATGTTATCAGTATTATAACTATTTCTGTCAAAAGTATCTTTGCAAATTTGAGGAGCTGTTTCCCCTCTTCCCCCAACTCTATTTACCTTTAATGACAGAATTCACTTTCCTAGTCCACCATTACTTCTCCATCCATGCTCCCAGACTGAAGTAGGTCAAGAAGAAAACACAACCTGCAAATTGGGACAAGGGATTAACAGGTCCCTTAGCATCAGTTTTTAGATATATCCCAATTTACACATCCAGAAAATCATTCAATACACCAACATCTGTACAAAGCTGCTCTTTCTAGAGATCTTTCTAGACTTCTGTAGAGAAGTCTTACAGCACATACTTTATCCTTTAGTAATAAAGTAAGTGATCTTATACAACAGTGTGTCTGCATTTGAATGCGGATGAGGGATTACAAATACTCTTCTATTAGTATATTTTTAATAAAGATCAATATCATCTTTCATTATGTCCTACCACAGTGGTATATTTATATATATAGGCTTAAATGCTTTTTGTCACAAGAGAGTTTTCGTTTTGTTTCCCTGTAATTAGTTCTAAAGACATGAGGTTGATTTACATAAAATAAATTGTAATTTTAATATGAATTTTTAAAGGTGGGAATGATTCTCTTCTCTAACTGCAGATATCAGCCCACCAGCACAAGGAGTGGACCACAGGCAAGTGCAGAAAGAGCTAGGAGATGTCCTTGTCCGTCTTCATAATCCAGTTGTGCTGACTCCCACCACGGTTCAGGTCACATGGACGGTAAGCTTTCAAAGGCAATGTTAATAGTAATCTCTTCTCTTTCGGGAAAGCAAAACATGGAAAATGCAAATGAACAAAGAGTGATAATAAAAATTCCCGCCATTTAAAATCAAGGTGTAATCAATGATAGTAAAGAAAATCAACAAATTAAAAAGTTACTAGAATAACCATAGTAAGAATAGATTATTATATAAACATGGCATATCCTGTCTTCTGAATTTTCTAACAGCTTTCTTGCGATATAATTAGCATACCATAAAGTGAACAACTTCATGATTTTTAGTGTATTTAGAGTTTCTAAATTATCACCAAAATCTAATTTTAGAACATTTCATCATCCCCAAATGAAATCCTGTGCCTGTTAACATTGATTCTCTCATTTCCCCTACCGTAGCCCTGTGTAACACTAATCTACTCTATGTTTTTGTAGATTTGCCTATTCTGGACCTTTTATATGAGTACAATTGTGCAATATGTGGTCTTTTGTGTCTAGCTTCTTTCACTCTGCATAATGTTTTTGAGGTTCATCCATGTGGTAGCGCGTATCAGGGCTTTGTTTCTTGTTGTTATCAAATAGTATTCCATTTTATGGATACTTCACATTCTGTTTATTCCTTCTTCAGTTGATGGATGTTCGGGTTGTTTCCAGTTTTGTCTATTATGAATAATGCTGCCATGAACATTTGAGTACAAGTCTTTGGGTGGACACATGTTTTCATTTATCTTGGTATAAACCTACAAATTGTTCAGTAATATTGGTAACTCTCCATTTAATATTTTGATAAACTGCCAAAATGCTTTCCAAAGTGGCTATAGCATTTTCTATTCTCACTAGCAATGTTTCAGTGTTCCAGATTCTCTCAAATCCTTGCCATTTTTTTCTCACATCCTTGCCAACACTTATTATCATCTGCCATTTGGATTATACCCGTTCTGGTGAGTGTGTAGTGGTATATAATTGTGGTTTTGATTTGCATTTCTTTAATGACTAATCATATTCATCTTCTCATGTCCTAATTGAACTTTTTTTTTAGAGAAATGTCTATTCAAACTCTTGGTCCATTTTTGGACAAAGAGTTTGTCTTCTTATTGACTTAACAAGTGTTTATATACTCTATTTTGTTTGTCTTCTTATTATAGACTTATAAGTGTCTATATAGTCTAGATACAAATGCCTTATCAGATACGTAATTTGCAAACATTTTCTCCCAGTTTGGTTACTGTAACCCTGTTATGTATTTAAAGTTGAGTGGCATGAAGCCTCCTTCTTCCTTCTTTTTTGCTTAGGATTGCCTTAGCTATTCAGGCTTTTTTTGTTATTGTTCCATGTTGTTACTCCTTAAAGCAAACTACATAATCAGTCAAATTATTGGTTTATGAGTACAAAATTGGGTTGTATATATTTTAAAAATAAGACTAAGTTTATAATATTTTAAGAGTAATTATGATTATTTAGGATTACACTTTCTTATTCCAGTTTTGACATAATTTTGCATAGATTTATTCTATTTTCTGCATATATTGGTTTCTATTCTTCTGTTCCCATGAAGGGAACACAATTACGTTATTATTTTTACAGTGGCACAGTAGGGGGTATTATCTGCCATGCCTTTTCTATCTTTCAGTACCCTTGAGTAGATACAAAACTAACAAAGCCAAAATACTACGCTGTATTTTTCACAGCGTAGTAGTTTTCCTCATTCTCAATTGAAAAAAGTCTCTGTTCTGTTGCAAGTTATAAGGCGGATTCTTTTAAGCTGCATCTAAATGTGGGAAGTCTTTGGGTAAGAATCAAAGTCATTATGTTGATGAAGTTAATCACTTTAAAGTCACTTAGTTTCAAGAGTAAATAGCATTAGATCAAAATTGCATGACAGCAGACTGGGAGTTCTTCCAGGAGGGGGACGTTGTCTATTCATCTCTGTACCCCAAGAAGCTATCATTACTAGTTTGCACATCTATCCCCGTCATGGGCTGTAACTTCTGTGAGGCTACAGCCAATTTCTTTCATTTCTGTTTTTTTCAGAGCAGAGTGTCTATTATGAAGTACTCTTTTTAATAACTGTTTGTTGAATGATCAAATCAGTTGTTTTCATACATTTTACACTTTTTTTAATAGAAGAAAGAATTCAGTTAATATCACGGCATATTGTTCTCTATGACTTTGTAGTTGCACATGACATAAGTATGCATTTGAAAGAGATAAATTAAGTGAAATAAAGTCAGACTGGGGTGTGTCCAGTGGTCAAATAATTTGTGTAACTCTTTTATTGATGTAATATTTTTGATTTACTAAATGCATGTGTTATTTAAATTATCAAAATGTTAGCATTTGCTTTACAGAAGTGTTGGGGTTGAAGGGAGAAATAATTCCCCACCATGTGATTAGGTTTTGGGCCAGCTGAGGAAGTTTCCCAGTGGTTGGCAGGATTAATGACCAAAGGCACAAGACATAACTACTGTAGAGACCATTCGCTGTCCCCCTTCTCACCAGGCTAAACTTGAAACAATAGTTAGCAACAACTGCTTTCTAAAATGGCTGCTTTTAGAATGAGTGTGGGCAAAAATGATAAGAAACCTGCTGTTCCACAAAGAAAAATAGCAATAAGTCACTTACCGAAAAATGATTATTCTAGCTTTACTTTTTGTCTTTGTTTTGTTCAAGGACAAAAAGAATTACATACTCTTTGCCCATTAAGCATTTTTCCACAGAGATTGAAAAGAGTGCTTCGACAAACTAGAATTTCAGAAGTCTGCTAAAACCAGATCAGACCCTTAGCAGCTAAACCCATCAAAGAAAATTCACTTTGAATTTTTGCTTTATATTGAGTTGTTATGTTGTTTTGTTTTGAAAATGGAAAAGGTAAATATGAAGCATCACACTTAAACAGTTTAACTAGAATGCTGATTTTAGGGCCACATATAAGCCGTCTTCTTTTTTAGCCTGTTGCTTCCTTAACAATTATGTTTTATCATTGTGCATCTCTAAAGCCAGCAAAATGCTTTCACTTATATCAGTCACTTGATTGTTTCTGTGCCCTTGAGATATGGGTATTATGTGAGCAAATTAAGTAAACTGAGGTTCAGAAAGTTTAAGAGGTTGAAGCCTAATTCAAATTGAGACCTATGGCTGGAAGCCTGAAGTTCTCGTAATCATTTTATTTTTCCTTAAGACAACTCTTTTTTTATTCATGTTTCAGAAAATACTATTTTAAAAAAATATATAAACCCATGAATCTGTGGTCAGACTCTGATTGTAATCAACTCTAAAAGAAAATCCTCTTTCTTAGAATGTTAATAAAACTCGTAACAAACATATGGCCTAACTTGAAAATGACCACCTGTCAAAATGAGCTCCAAAATTTAGTGAGGTAGAACACACATCCAGTAAAAATCTCACCTATTTTTTTTAAAGTAAATGTTCAGTGTTTTCATTTCTGCTTCCACCTGTAACAACAAATTTCGTCCTGAAAAAAAAAAATGCATTGCCACTGCACACAATCAAGTTAAACTATTTAATTATTAAGCCCCATACGATATACTGGCCGATGATAGTGTACACTGAAGTGTGCAAGTGTGCAAAACAATGTTTTGTGGTAAACATTAGCTTCATAAAGTCCCTAAAACACTTAATTAATGAAAACCAAACATGGATAAAACCAATTTACCCTGATTTACAGACTCCCTTCATCTGGAAACAGCTGCTTAATGTTCTTCTTAAAAACACAGCTTGCTTCTTTCAGTATTAACAAGCTATTATTGTGAGTTATGTCTTTCTTTCAGTATATAAATTCACTTAAAGCAAATGCAGAGAAGTTTATAAAATGCAAACTTAGTGTTGTTTTAACATATACTGCAAGGGTTTTTTTGAACACTGACAGTTTTGATGAAAGTCATCTCTCTTTGGCTCTCATAAATTTAACTTTTCGCCTCTTGGTTGCCTTATTTCATAGTGTCAGAAAAACTCCTGCTTTTCAAAGAATGTATCCAATGGTAGAAACATAAACTGGTAGCATGAATGAGGACTTGCCGATCACCAGCTTCCATGTTACACCTGGGCTCACTTTTTTTTTTTACCTGACCTCATACAAGTGTAGCACTAATTTCAGAAAGTCTTTGAGGGTGAGAAAGCTTTCAGGTGGGTGAAGGAATTCATTCTTGTTGAGACTTATCTGGGAAACTGGAATTAGCCGTACATAGAAACACACACACACACACACACACACACACACACTCACTTAATTGAGGGAGTTTTCTCGTTTGGACATTCTAAGTATTTCCTTTTGTTCCACTGTATTTTTATTGAGGCTCTGCATTTTTAACTTTCTAAAGCCAATATTTTTAGCTAACATTCATTTGTTGCCCCCAATTAAAAATAAATAAAACAATACTGCAACTAAAGAAGGGATATTAGTAGTTAATACATGAAAGAATACGTTTTGTTTATAAACTGCCGACAAATTTCAACATTTCAACAAAAGTTGAAACAAATTTCAAATGCTGAACAAATTTCAAATTTCTTGGATAAAGAAATTTGTTTAAAGCTGAAATTAATAACCGTCTCCATAATTCTCTTTTTTATTTCCTCTTTCTCTACAAACTTCCTGAAATGAGGTTATTCCATTTCTTTTCCATTAATCTTTACACTTTATTTGATAGTGAAGTATGTCAAATTTAAGCCTTGTTAGACTATAGCTATTAAACTATGATAAGGGATATTAGTTGGAACATGCTATCATAGTTTGTGTTTAAATCAAGTGTTTCTAAAAACATGACAAAGTATTAAAAGATGCTTAATTTTTAAAAATAATTTTTAAAATCCATAGTTGTTTTCTCCCTGAAAATGAAACAACCATAAAACCCTGGTAAATATTTTAAAATAAATGTATACAGAGAAGAATATATTTCATTTTTTAATCTTGCATTTTTATATATTTCATTTTTAGGTGATTGTCAATAGCAAACAAAAACACTTTTTAAAAGTTCTATTTGGTATGAGTTTAATCTTAGATTATTATTTAAAATAGCTTCTTACTGTATCTTAAATAAATGAAGATATCAAAAAGTTGTCAAATTTTGTCAAGAATGGGACAATTGAAGAGTCAGAAGTTGGTAAATTAGTAAAAGTTTTTCATTTAATATTTGGTAATGGGCATAAACGTTCATATGCTTTTAAAACAAATGCTCTAGCTCTACAACTTTAATCTGTATTATATGCTTTTTCCAGCCACAGGGACTTTATACATGATGTCCTCACATTTGTTTTCCTGGGTAAATCCTGCTCTTCTTGCCTATCTAAGCACTTACGAATTCTTCAGGGATGCTTTGCCTCTGCTTCCCAACTCAGTCACCTTTCTCTCCACTATAGGCTTTCTTAGCTCTTGGCACCTCTCATTCTTAACATTTGTTTATGCTTTTTTTTTTATGATTGTAACTTGACCATGGTTCAGTCATTATTAGACCACTCCTACCTTCTACCTGGACTCCATCTTCTCACCTCAGCTCATGAGGGCAGGGGCTGACTCTATTTTCATTGTCCATTTTATCCCCAGAGCTCAGCAGAATTTCTGGCACCTATGAGTAGGAACCCAAAACATGTGTTTTGATTGAGTGATGATGTTAGTGAATAGACAAAGAATGAGAATGGAAATCCCTGACAAAGGGCATATTACATATAAAGCCACATAAAAGGGAATTGTTGGATGCAGAAAATGGGTAAGCAGAGGAGACATAAAGTTAGAGATACTGGCAGGTCTGGCCTTTGAGAGGCCCTTGTGCTAATCCAAGGCATCTTAATTAATTAGGTTGGTATCTTAGATACTGTGAGGTATTTTAAACAGGAGAGAGAGTTCTCCCAATCTTCATTTTGGAAACAATCTTAGGAGCAATCTGAACTCTAAAAGGATAGAAGTTATTAGAAGCAGAGAGATTAGCTAGAAAGTCATGACATCACTCAGTTGATAGTTATGAGGACAGAAATGGGACAAATGAAAAGAGGACAAATTCATTGTGTTGTCTAAAATACTTTCCTTTAGTTTCAAATGCCCTTAACTATGTTTTTCAGGTTGATCGCCAACCCCAGTTTATCCAAGGCTACCGAGTGATGTATCGTCAGACTTCAGGTCTGCAGGCGACATCTTCGTGGCAGAATTTAGATGCCAAAGTCCCGACTGAACGAAGTGCTGTCTTAGTCAACCTGAAAAAGGGGGTGACTTATGAAATTAAAGTACGGCCATATTTTAATGAGTTCCAAGGAATGGATAGTGAATCTAAAACGGTTCGTACTACTGAAGAAGGTCAGTATTCAGATTTCGAATATAAATCAAACATGATGAAACCAATTTCTGTTACAGTACCTATTTGTTATCTTCCTTAGAAGAATGGAAAGATATCACCTAAAAGTAAATTGAGGAAGTGTCGTTTTCTCCTTTTATTCTGAGAATTCTATAGAATCTGACAAGCAGAAAAAAGGACACTAATGTAATTTGAATTTTTCTTAAGTAACCATTTGCACCAAATCTTATGTTTAAGTTCACTTGAATTGGATTATTAAATATTCCCCTATATTTTGTGTAGATTTAGTTCATTTGGATCATGAAAGACAGACGACTGGAAATTTGAGAACACAGGCTGTTCATTGTGACTACTCTTCTTTTGTTATAGTTAAGTGTGACATTTTCTTTTATTAGCCACTTTTTCCTATGGGCACTGCCAGTCAAACCCATGATTTCTAATCAGGAAGGGCACTTGCGTATTTGCAGTAGCTTTCTTCTTAGTGAAGTTCCCTCGTTCTCCCCACTTTGGACCTTTTCTTACCTAAAGGTATGTTAAAGTCAATCTGTGATGAACACAAGCTTTCCACCAGTTCATTTAGTAGTATCTCTTTCACTAAACAAGAGGCTTATAATAAATGTTGTCATTAAAGTTAAAAAAAAGGAGATGCGAAATGAAATAAATCCCTCCATTCTGCTTTTGTATTAATTTTGTGCTCACAACTCTTGTAAAAAGCCCTTTCTTTAAACATATTTCATACAAAATAAGAGAAGCCTTTAAAAAATGTATATAGGTTGCCCACGTTAACATCTATGTGCTTGACCAAAGAGCTCTTAAATTATACATTTCTTACACAACATGGCAAAAATGTCATCTTCCCATTGTTTTGCAGTGTGATACACTGGCAGGGGCAAAAATGCATATTCAAAAAGGCATCATTAATCTATTTTTAGGATATGTTGAAAAGTTGCCAGTAATTATAATAGTATCTTTTCTCCTTGCCAACATGTTTAAAAATAATAATCATTATCATCATATCTTTATTCATCGTTAAATTTCACTCTGTGTTGCAAATTGGTAGTATTAATGAGTGGAGCAGGTAACCTTAACACAGAATGCTCTCTTTGAAGCCTGTTACCAAAATCAATTTCACTGCAGTTAGACTTTTCCTCTGGATTAGACATTTGTCCCTGTTGGGTATACATTCATCTCCAATTTCTGTGGCTATGTGATGGTAACAAATGGAACTCAGCTGGGCTGTGTCTGGGAATGATGAGCGGCGATTTGGGTTCTTTCACATCTGTAGAACGAAGCTGAGTCCTGGAATAATTGACCTGTCAGGAAGCAGGCACGGTGTTCTCGCCGAGCCAGCAGCAAGGTGAATGAGAAACCCATTCTGAAAGTCTTATTTTTCAATGCATTCTACTTAATAACTACAAGGCTCGTAGACAAGTGGTTGGATTTATTCATCATGCCATATTTTGGAGCAATATTGTCACAAAGAGGAATAGGAAAGACCAGTACTCTATTAACATGTTGCTGTGTGTGTCCTATATCTCAATGCAAATATGGCTATACCTAAGTGAAATATGTCATGACATATTTACAAAACATGGGATATCTGCTGTCAGGCTTTTAAAATATATTTTAGGATATTTAGGATAGTTTCAAAAAACTAAACCATGTAGAGCTATGTAAGCATTGATGATTCTACATAAAAAGCCATTAATACCACCAAATTATTTGATATTTTAAACTGTTAAGAACGATGTTATGTAATACTATGATTTTAACTACCCCCACCTTTGATTTTAATTCAGAGAATCACTGAGAATAGATGAATTTTTCCACAAAGTTATTATTTCTTAGTTCTCAGGCACATTAAATGAGAGATGTGGCATTCTAAAATCAGGAAGAGCTTCTCTCTTGCCTTTTCTCAGTATGGTTGTAATTAGTTATAGGAGAAACTATAAAGGCAGAGAATTATTGTAGGAAATCAAAATCTTCCCATTTCACATTTGACCCAACATGAACTGTTTTCATTTTTATCATCAGAGTCCCTTGCCCATCCATATAATATAAGTTTTCAATCTTAACTTGCGGGTCAATTTATAGCAGTCAATTATTTTTCCCAGTATGGGAAGAAAAAGAAGTTTTTTCTGTGTTGATGACATTTATAGTTATGTTTCTGTTTTTATTTAGTAAGCACAAGCTAAAAGCATACCAAAATAGCTATCAATAATGCCACCGTTCAGAAATAACATGTGATAAATACTGGAATATGTCTTCTCAGAATAATTTTGGTTAGAAGAAGTTATGGTTGTTTTTAGAAAGACAGTCTATTAGAGTAGAGTTCTAAAATCAGACATACACCGGCTCAAATTCTGACTTGCTCTTTGACTTTCCTAAGTCTCTTACAGTAACCTTCTGTTTCCTCATCTGTAAAACCGAGATAAGAGTTGTTTCTACCTCCTGAGATTAATGCAAGCATTAAACCTGACACTTAGCTCTGTGCGGGGTGTATAGAAAACACTTATTAGAATGTTAGCTGTAAATTTATTATTGAGAGCATATTACAAAAGCTGTTCCATTTGCTTTAAATCTAGATATTGTATTTAAAGAACATTTCTCAAAAAAACTGTCACTGTTGAACACCGTGTGCATTCAGAACTCCTGGAAGCCAGAGTCTCCTGCAACTTGTCTTTATACTCATATTCTGAAAGTAGCATGAACGCACACCAAGGCTTATAGTTTGCATTTATTCTAATTACTTCCTCTACAGCCCCAAGTGCCCCACCACAGTCTGTCACTGTACTGACAGTTGGAAGCTACAATAGCACAAGTATTAGTGTTTCCTGGGATCCTCCTCCTCCAGATCACCAGAATGGAATTATCCAAGAATACAAGGTAGGACCCGGGTGAAGAAGGACAGCTCTCATGTAAAGGTTCCCAGAGAAATCTCAGTGTCTCACGAATGAGACACATCTCTAAAGGTTCTCTTATTCAGTTTAAGTGTAAAGTTTTTATTTATATTTCTGTGTGACAGAGAATGAAACAAATGCATAGGTATTAGAACCTGAGTTCAAGGTCAGAGATCACACAAACCCAGTTGAACAATTAAACCACACCAGTGAAATGGTTTTCTGTATAGTGTGACTCTACAACCTCAAGGATTTAAAGAGATGGGACACAGGGTAGGTTGTGAAGCCTAGAAAATGGATTTTATCTTTGTTATTAGAATTCTGCATAAGAGGCTTTAAGGCAGCTGTTTTTAAACCACGTTCTCAGAAAAAAAGATGCTTCGGGGGTTAAAGAGGTGGAGTGGGTTGTGGCAGCACCGACTCTCACTCTAGATGCTACTTTTGTGTATTTATTGAGGTTGTGTAGAATATTTCACCTGAAAAAAAGCCACTGAACATATTTTACAAAATACTGACTTACAGAAAAAACAGTTGATTGTCTCATTTTTCAACTGATGAATTTTTGGCTGTTTAGAAACATATGTATCTATTGTTTCATTGCCATCATTTGGTGTGTAAAGTAGAAAGTATGTCTACGTTTTCAAAATAAGATTCTGTTTGTGTTGTGATTAGACCACATGTGAATGAAAAACCCCTCATTAATCTTTGTAAAATTCAAAACTATAATTTATTAATAAATCATCTATTGATATCATTTATTAATAAATATTTCTAGATTTCTGAAAATAGCATATTCTATACATCTAATATAATACAAAACTAGACACCCATTTCACCTACAAAATTCAGAGTTGGTATTTAATATTAAGCTGAATAAATTTACTCAAAAGTTTGCAGATTAAATTTTATTTCTAAGGAAATATTAATTTTTACATACAATTTTATTAAAGAATAACTTGCTAAAGCAAATGAATGGACTAAATGTATAAGGCTTTATTTTAAAATGATTTCTATCATGTTGTAAAGACACATGCTTAAGAAACATAAGAATAAATGCTTTTACAATACAATAATTATATAGATTCTAAGATTTTATAAGCATTAGGACATTGTTTTAACAGAGTAACAAATTATCTACTCTGTGTGAGTTTGAGTGTGTGTGTGTGTTTTAATGAGGTTAGGAATTTATTTTTGTACCATTTGGCACTAAATATCCTAAATTTCCATGTAGTTAAATATTGTTACTTTTTTTTACAACATGATGAATTTTTTTTCCATAAGTTGTAAATGTTCTCACTCTCTAGGCACTTGCCATATTTTGGTTTCAAAGCACATATGTAGGTAAGAGCTAAATATTCCTTCACTAAGAACACAGATACCATATATCAATAAAAGAAACACATGATTCACAAGAATTATTTTTTACTGAAAAATTCTGGGAACTTACCTGCTCCGAAACAAATCATATGTTTTCCTACATATGTGTCTACATGTAGATTTTTAAATATTGTATAATATGAATACAAATGTGGATACACAGTGGATTTCTTTTCATAACACATTTCATCAGAACAATTTCTATATCCAAGAAGATGCCCTAAAATTTGATTCCTACTTGAAATAAAAGCCTGACTTCCTTAACATCAATATCTAAAGACTTGCCACCACTTTGTTCTCATGAATGTGTATGTGTGTGTAGATATGTGTTGATCAATATTAGATTTATTGCTGTCAACGTAAATATTGGCTTTAATTTCATTTTAGTCAATACCTATAACTTAGGTCAATTCATCTTGTTAACTACTTCTGTGTAAGTTAATATTTTCTTAAATGAAATATAAATTACTTAGATGTCTACCTATATACCTTAGATATTACAACTTATAATCACCATATTTTAGTGGATTATATGCATAATAAATCTTGATAAATAAAACAGAGGAAATTATGTGTTTTAATCCATACAAAAATGCCATTTGCAACCAAAGACCACATACCAGAGGTGTTAAAGAAATCACTGTGCTTTCTAAATTACTCACTATGAGCATGCAGTGCTGAGAATAAGATATAAATGAACATGGCATAGTTTCAGCTTCCCTTATTGTTCTTCCTTTAATACAGGTGCATGTGCACACAAACACACTTACATATACACTCAAACTGCAGAGGTTGGGCTTTAGAAGATGTCATTTGCAAAACTTCTATAAGCCTAGAAGATAGACAGGTTATGATTAAAAAATATTTGATCAGTTACAGTAGTCTCGTTACCAGAAACGATAATCTTATATCCATGTGTTATTCACTTTCCATTTCTGTAGATCTGGTGTCTAGGAAATGAAACGCGATTCCATATCAACAAAACTGTGGATGCAGCCATTCGGTCCGTAATAATTGGTGGATTATTCCCAGGTATTCAATACCGGGTAGAGGTTGCAGCTAGTACCAGTGCAGGGGTTGGAGTAAAGAGTGAGCCACAGCCAATAATAATCGGTGAGTATCAAACTATGTGGTCTGTGCTTTAGAATCAGTCAGCTGACAAGGTGGATGATGATTTTGCATCAACCTACTAATAGTGAATATACACTTATGAATGATAGGGTACACATATCATATTGACAAATGGGTTAACTGACTAGAGTTTTTTACAAAAATACTTGGTGCAATTGATCATGCTCTTAAAAGTCCCAGAGCCTTATTAAAATTGCAATATTTAAGAGTTTAAATGCTGAAAGGTAGTTTAAAATTACTTTTAATCAATTGCCTCATTAGCAATTTTGGTGCCATTGAAATATAATAAAAATGAGATAGTTACTGAAGAGAGACCATCATGTTTCAAATCTGTATGCTTCCTCTTAGTCAGAGAAATGTCAAAAATTAACAAGAAACAGGTCAGAATAAGCTTTGTAATCTAAATATACCATCCCAAAGAAGAAATCATATTAAATCTAATATCATCATTGCATAAAATTGTTCCCTCTTATCATAGATTATGTTTGTCTGTTCTTGAGATGTATATAAATGGAATCATACAGAATGTGATTTTTTAAATCTGGTTTCTTTCACTAAGGATAATGTTTTTGAAATTCATCCATGTATGTATTATTCAGTTTATATGTTTTACTGCTGAGCAGTATTCAATTGTATGAATATGCCATATTTTGTTTATCTGCTTTTCACCTGACAGAATGAATATTACTGTGTAAATGTTTGTGTCCTTTTGGAGAAATACCTAGGGTCTAATGTCTGGGTAAAAGAGTTGTATAGTTTGAGTTTATGAGAAACTGCTAAACAATATTCAAATTGTTATATAATTTCGTACTCCCACCAGCAAGAAAAATGACTTCTAGTTGCCCTACATTGTCACCAACATTTGATGTTTCCAGTTTTTGTGATTTTAGCCATTCTAATTGGGATAACCTGTGATTTTAACTTAAATTTTCTTTTATGACTAATAATGTCAAGCAACTTTACATGTGCTTATTGGCCATTCACATAATTTCTTTTGTGAATTGACCACATGTTTGCCTTTTAAAAATTGGGTTGTCTCTTGTTACTGATTAGTAGGAGTTATTTGTACATTCTGGATACAAATTCTTTTCCATGTATATGTGTTACAAATATTTTCTCCCAGTCCATGACTTCCCTATTCATTTTCTTAATAGTGTCATTTGATGAACAAAAGTATTACATTTTAATGAAGTACAATTTATCATTTTTCTTTGATATTTAGTGCTTCCTAAGAAATTGTGGCTTACCTCTAGATACTGAGGATATTTTCTTCTAGAAGCTTTATAATTTTAGCTTTTATGCGGAGGTCTATAATTCATCTGATGGTAACTGCAATGTGGTTAAAGGAATGAGGCTTATTTATTTCCATATGTTTTTCTTTCATAGAGGTTATTTATAAGTGTATTATTTAATTTCCAAATGTTTAGGGACTTTTCCAGATATCTTTTTGTTTCTGATTTCTACTTTAATTCCCCTGAGGCCAGAGCCTCAGAATAATTTTTCTTTGTGTAAATTTACTCTATTAAATATGGAGACTTATTTTTTGACACAGGATTTGATCTCATTGAATGTTTCTTGTACACTTGAAAAGTATTTGCATTTCTCTGTTTTTTCAGTGGAAGGTTTTATCTCAGGTCAAATTATTTGTTAGTATTATCAGGTCTTTATTGATTTCTATTTGCGCTCTTAATTACTAAAAACAGTCTGGAAATCTATTGTAATTATGGATTTATGTATTTCCCCCTTTCATCTATAAGTTTGTGTTTCATGTTTTGGCTACTTTGTTTTACATGAGTATGTTTTAAGATTATTATATCTTCTTTTTAAATTTACCCTTTATTATTATTAAATGGCTACGTTTATTTTCTGGTGAGATTCCCTATCCTAAAATTTACTTTGTCTGATATTAGCATAGCTACATCATCTTTTGTAAGTAACTGCATGGATTGTCATTTTTTCATTCTTTCATTTTAACCCATGTTTCTCTGTATTTAATGTGCAGTTCTATTAAATTGCATATTGTTAGGTGATCTCTGCTCACTGCAAACTCTGTCTCCAAGGTTCAAGAGATTCTCCTGCCTCAGCCTCCTGAGTAGCTGGAACTACAGGCACATGCCACCACACCCGGCTAACTTTTGTATCTTTGTAGAGACAGGGTTTCACCATGTTGGCCAGGCTGCTCTCGAATTCCTGGCCTCATGTGATCCTCACACCTTGGCCTCCCAGGCATGAGCCACCTCTCCTAGCCAGTCTTGTTTTTTTTTAATCCAATCTAGCAATCTTTGCCTTTTTAATTGCATACTCAGAATGTTATTATTAATGTAATCATTGGTGTGTTTGTTTAGAATTACTATCTTGCTATTTGTTTGCTAACTTTGTTACTATCTTCCAAATTTCCTGCTTTCTTTTGATAAAATGAGAAAGGGTTAGTATTTTTTGGCTGCTCTTGGATTATTAGGTACACCTCATTTCTTTGCTGACAGTTGCTCTAGGATTTGACTATAAGTATCCTAGAGCAGTATAGTGTCACTCCTTTTCCTCTCATCTTTTTTTTGTTGTTGTTATTATTATACCTTTTACTTCTATGTAATAAACAGCAATATACAAATTATAGCTCTAGTGTTGTTTTTGCCTTAAACATCAGTTATCTTGCAAATAAATTCAAAATAAAAAGTGCAGTTCTCATATTTATCTGATATTCTGCTCCATAAATTCAGTCCCTGGTCAGGCGCAGTGGCTCACGTCTGTAATCCTAGCACTTTGAGGGGCTGAGGCTGGCTGATTACCTGAGCTCAGGAGTTCGAGACCAGCTGGGCAACATGGTGAAACCCCATCTCTAGTAAAATACAAAAGAAATTAGCCGGGCGTGGTGGCGTGCACCTGTAGTCCCAGCTACTCGGGAGGCTGAGGCAGTAAAATTGCTTGAACTTGGGAGGCGGAGGTTGCAGTGAGCTGAGATCGTGCCACCACACTCCAGCACTCCAGTCTGGGTCACTGAGCGAGACTCTGTCTCTCCAAAAAAAAAAAAAAAAAAAAAAGGAAAAAACATTTTCAGTCCCCTCAGCTTCCATGAGTGCTTCAGTCTTTTCAACTCAGGGATGCTGTTCAGCAATGTTTGGGTTAGTCTTGGCTGCATCATATTTTAAAGTTATCTGTAGGTACAAAGCTGTGAAAATATTAAAGTTGTCCCTGTTTCTTTCCCTTCTGTCTGAGATCACAGCCCTACTCTTTTCTTTCACATATTTTGCCTAGTCTTCTACTTGTTTGCAATGGGAGTGCATATCCCAATACCTGTTATTTCTTCATGGGCAGAAGTGGAAGTGTCCAGGGAACTGGTCATTTCATATATTACACTTTCCTGTTCTATAACTTCCATTTGCTTTCTTTTACACTTTTCATTTCCCTCTGATGTTTTCCATGTAATCATTTATTATGACCATATTAAGTCCATACACCTATTGTAATAGCTGCTTCAAGTTCTTTTCTCCTTATTTCAACATCCATCTTGTCTCATAGTCTACTTCTATTGATTATCTTTTCTGCTGACCTTGGGTTATATTTTTCTGGTTTGTTGCTTATTTATTTTCACATGCCTAGTAATTTTTTACTATACTGAACATTGCAGATGAAATAAAATTTTGTGATCTTTTGAAGCATGTTTGTGTCCTAGCAGGCACATACATTACTGTCTGGTCACCTTTAACCAGTGATGTCTTAGTTTTTACATTGGTTAGTATGGGACTTCTTATGTTTGCCCTTATTCTCAAGACAAAACCTCAGTAAAATACTTTCAAGGCATGATCCTCTCCTGGGCTTCCGGTGAGAAGCCTCATATGTTTATCTGGTCTTCCTAACATGGTTTGGAAGTTTTGCGGTGAACATGAGCTTAAACCTGTGCTTTCACCAGATCCTACAATCTTCTCTTTGCATGCACAGTTCAGGGTTCACCTTTGGATGTAAGGGGAGAGTATACACAAATTTGAGAGCATCACTCTCCACCATCTCCCTCTTTCATATGGTTCTCCTCTCTATTTTAAGTCACTCTGGCCTCCCTGAACTCCACCCTGAGACACCTCATATCAATAAGATTGAGTTTTTTCAGCTGAGGTCCTAACTGCCTCACACTGTATGGATTGCGGTGCTCCCTAAGGGAAAGAAAGCCTCACCCCTGCAGATTTCCTCTGGTAAAGCGCCGTTCATTCAATACATGCATCCCCTTCAGTTTTCCCTGCTTTTATTTGCTTGCCAGTGCCTTTAAAGAAAAATAAACAAATAAGAAATCTTCTTCCTAGAGTTTACATGTTTTTAAAGTGTTTGATATAAGCCGTTCTCATTTTTTTCTATTTATTTGCTAAAATGATGCATATAAAGCTGACTGCCAGCTTCTAGAGAATTCTTTCTATTACAAATAAGTATTGTATATGGACAGATTTAACATTCAGTCATAGCGTTAAAATTTTTTAGATTCTCTAGGTTTTCTTTCTTTTATATATTAAAAGCATTGTAGAGAAAAAGTTACAGTATTAACTTTTCTTTAAATTGTCTTCTCTTTCTTAATTAGTCATTCAGACTGAATTAATTCCTTAACCTGAGGGAAACCTACAATCTTGTCCTTCTGAGATTTTCTAAAATAAATTGGAATAAGAAAGAAATACAGGTATACCAAAAAGGATTTAACTTACATGTGTGTGTATTCATTTATAGTATTTAGAAATAAGCCCTTATTTTTTCACTTAAGAAGTTATATATATATGTATGTGTGTGTGTGTGTGTGTATACACACATACATATATATACATATATATATATACACACACACATATATATACACACATATATATATATATACTATATACTGGCATATATATGCCAGAAAGACAGTACAAAATATCTATATCTGTATATCTTTATGAAATGGATTGGCTGAATATAATTGTTCTAAGTGAAGGATAACTAAGATTGTCAAGTAACTGTCAAATAACGTATTTTCCTTTCATAGTTTTTTTTGGTTATCTTTAGTAATAAATACTAAATTCTTAAGTAGAGCTTTCTGTTTCTTTTTCTTCCTAGTGACTATCTGTTTGCCAGATATTTTATCTGTTTGCCAGATATTTGGGGGATTTATTTCCTTATAGGGAAGTAAAAAATTACAAGCATACGATATAACCAAGCTCATGTCATGACAATCACAGTTATGCACTGAACAATTGAACTGTAACTTAAAATAATAAAGTTAATGATTATTTTAAACCAAATAGAAAATTTCACTTAATTTCCCTATCATTTATAAAAGTCTGAGTCTTCAGATGGGTAATGAGTACCTTTTAATTTACTATTTAGCATTTCATACAAGTGTTTTCACATTTTTCTATGAGATAAAAGTAACCTAGAAAATAATATATCTATCTTTTGTTCAAATAGTTGGAATATGCTGTACTCAAAATGTAATTATAAAAATAGAATTACAGAAATTCTATTTTTTGTGTACACACACACACACAAATCACAATTCAACCTAGAAAAGGCTATTTGTTCTTCAGAGATTTATTTCTTTTTAATATCTACTCTTGTACTGAGAAGCCTTCTAATTGTTTCTTTAATTACTCCTTCGTATCTACCTTAACATCTTGTCTGATGCCCTTATCTACACAACTGTTATTCCTTAGTTGAGAAGTGATTTAGTGATGGCTAATCTTCTTTTCTGTTTCAATTTACACTTTCCCATTGTCTATTCAGAACTGGAAACGGCACTTGAAGTGACTCAAACTGTATCACATTTCCCCTTTGTTTTAATTAAATCATGTATTGGCATTTGATGTAATTTATGGTTGAGAATTTTAGATTTGTACTATGCCAGACCATGTATTGTTTCATCTATTCCTTCTCAGTTTAGCCTTCCTTCCAGAAAGTTCCATTAAGGAACCATTAATTAAAACATTGTAAAAATGTAACACGCTGCCTTACACTGGCGTAACATTGGTGTTGTTCTTTTCTGTGCAGTTTCCTATGGTAAGATGACTTTTACATCATAGTGTCCATAATTCTGCATCATTGCATTTACAGACACAAAAATGCAATCAAATACATTCAGATATATATCCATTAAGCAGCGTGTCATATAACCAATTTACATTGACTTAAGAGTTTTAGTTATCTTGCTTAATAGTATAGTTATTGCTTCTCTAATCATTTGGCTTTTCACGCTTACATTACATAGTTGGTTATAATATGTGGAACAGCTGCAAACTTTCACGGTAATAGGTACAATCGAATCTGATGTGTCTAATTAATTTTTAGTCCAACAAATTAGTTTTGTTCTTCATTACTCTCCAATGGGATGAAGACATTATATTTCATTATATTTTTTTGTCTGCAAGAACAATGGAGCATTACAGGTCACACACATCCCTTGTCTATGCTCTAATTAGTCCAACTGACAACATTGTTTCAAAAATACCAGCAGCATAAAAAATAGCAATACACCTTGAGTAACATAAATATTGCACCTTAATAAAAATGAAATATTATGGATCCTTTACAAAAATGAAGGCCAAATTTTCTTTTCTCTTTGTTCAAGAAGTTATTTGTTTTCTTTCTGATAATTCCTAATAGTTAAGGAAATCACCAGATAGGTGTATGTCTCATATTGAAAATATGAGCTCATTTTAAATACAGCTTTGACTATGTTTAATAATTATATGTATAATAATATATAATATTAAACATATAATAAATATATGTATAATAATTAAAGGCAGACATAGTGGGAAAATGAGCCAGATTTACTACATAAATGACGCTGGTTTTTAAATCTGAAATTTAATACAAAAGACCTTTCAGGAATGGATTATAAGTATGTATAAGGAAATGCTAGCAGCTATAATAAAAAAGCCTGAATTTTGAAAAGATTAACAAAATAAAATTTTATTTCTAATTCACAGCTCAGACCAATATGGGTCAGCAGAATGGGAAATGGAGTTTCTACTCCATACCGTTATTCAGGGGTTTTGGATCTTTCAAATCATAGCTCTGCCATTTCTTGGAAGCTTAACATCCTCCAACAGATCCCCTGTTTCTGTCCAACAGTGAGGAAAGAGAGTTTCAAGTCAAGGCAGTGTTACGGATCAGGCCTGGAGGGTCGTGTGCACTTTTTGTTCCTAGTTACCACTGGCTAATGCTCAGTTACTTTTTTGAACTCTGCTGCAAAAGATGCTAGGAAGTGTAGGCTAATTTTCTGCCTTGGAAGAAAGGAGAAGCAGTGAGGTAAACAAGTGAATTGAGATTTGCAGGATTCTCAAATCTAGATAATTTATCACTCATGACACTGAGGTTGACTGAGAAGCCCTTAAAGCAGCCCTTAAACTTACATGGGTCATAATTTTGAGTCAAAAACTACATATTAGCCTCCACTTCAACCCTCCCAAAATATATGAAGTAGACAATACTGGTGCCAACTAATTGACAGGGGCTCTAGAAGATTTAGTGCCCTATATAAGCTTACTGCTTACTTAGCTAGTAAGTGGCAGAGTGGTTTCATCAAAATCATGACTTCAAAGATCATGATCTTTTTAACATATTACAGTGCTATAGCTAAAACAAGGAAAATCCCACACATTCCTTTGATGTGATATGCTGAAATGTGCCATTTATATTTTGCTTACCATTTACCTTTTAAAAGTCTTTCATTAATCACTAATTAGGCATGATATTAACATTAGAAATCACTTAATTCCCAGCATCTACATTTCTTAATCTGCTAAATAAGCCAATAAATCTTATGATTCCACAAGTTTAAGACCTATTTAAAATGTAGATTGAGATTTTCTTAATTATCTGAGAGGCCTAAATTTTCCAAACATGACTAGTTCTAGAATAATCTTAGTTCAGATTTAAATGCATTTCTCAGTAATGGAGACCTCAAAGTTAATTTTTAAGTTGTTCTTTAAATTTAGCTTTCAAATGGATTTTCAAATTAGTTTCAGATACTTTAAGGGAATATATGAGTTTCATCTTTTTCATATTTTAATTATACACGCTGATCTCTGTGAAGGCTGTTTACATAATTGTCATTGTTTTGTATAGTAGTTTTAATACTTCCCAGAAAATTAAAGGATATTGGCTCAAAATAAGTTCTTTGGTAGAATATTAAGGTCAACATTAAGTTACATGTTCTTGTGAATTATGAACATTTGGAATATGGACCGTGCCTTAGCAGAAAAGCAATTTGCAAATACCCCATGTTAAAAGTTGTAATTGCTTTCTTAAAAATGAGAACTGTATTTAAAAACACTTGATGTAATTCAAGATAAGTTATTAATTCAACTCCTAGTACTTATTTTTATAATTTATAAGGTGATAAATCAACTACGTTGTGAATCCATCCATAGCAAACCACAACACAAGAGGTCAGTGTTCTTAATCACATTTGCAAACTCACGATTTGATTATTCTTTTGAAAATTATGGGCTATGCTTATCAATACTTGTGATAGGCTCAAAACTAAACAAGCATTTCCTGCCTTCAAATAATTTTTCTTCATTTTTGATGCACCATGTTTATATTCCTGTGCTTATTTTCGTTTTAATATATACTAATACTATGGTTTTTTCCATAGGGAGACGCAATGAAGTTGTCATTACTGAAAACAATAACAGCATAACTGAGCAAATCACTGATGTGGTGAAGCAACCAGCCTTTATAGCTGGTATTGGTGGTGCCTGCTGGGTAATTCTGATGGGTTTTAGCATATGGTTGTATTGGCGAAGAAAGAAGAGGAAGGGACTCAGTAATTATGCTGGTAAGTGACTATTTCCAGCTAAGAAAATCTCTTGTCTGTAGGAATGTAATGAAATGAATGGAAGGAACAGAAAGGAATAACAAATGAGTGATTTGGGCTTATTTTAGAAACCTGCACTGTAAAATGCAATTACACTCAACATGCTTTAATGCATTGCTCTTGACCTATCGCTTTATAACCATAAGGCAGTCTGTTTGCTTGTAGCTCCAGTGAAGCATAACAAGAGCACAGACTGATAAAAATGCTTAACTGTTTTTCTCAACTAGTTCTTTGAAATCATAAACTCAAACACACACACACACACACATGCACACGCAGACTATGTGTTACATGCTATGAAGCCATGTTTGAGAAGTGGATTTATGCATGAGCATTACTTCAATGTTCAGGAAAGAAGAAAAGTTTGAAATATAGCTTTTAGTGTGTCAGGATGCAGATTACAATAGGAAATGTCCCTCGTGAAAAATACTGACAAGCAAAAATCTCACCAGAATTGATAAGACTGATGAGGCATGAATTAAGTGATTTACTGTTCACTTAAATAGACTCTTATTACAATGCAAATGAACAGTATTTTAAAAGAAAAGGAAAACGAAGAAAAAGAGAAAGAAGCCGAAGCAGAACAATAAAAAGAAGACCCTAGATGGTCTACATCTTCACAACAATGTTTTCTTCTTAGACTCCAAGACAGAGTTTCAAGGGTGTCCTATAATGTGGCCTTCAAAATATCTCCATGGTAGAGAGAGAAGAGAGAGAGGACACACAAAATTGTAAAGTCAGTGATTGAGAGAATGAACTCAATACTGAAGCAATGTTCAATTACAATTTTAAGTGCACTTTATTTTAAATATTTTCTCCAACAACAATGATAAGAAATATCTCACAACATTTCACACTTTCTAGAATTAATAAGGGAGCAGTTTTAATTTGACATTATTTTACAAATATGTAAGAAGTTTTTGAGACATTATATTCAATCTTGTATTCCTAATATTAAATTTGGTAGGAAGCATAAATGTCTTAGTAACTGATTTTGACAGAGGCGTCATTGATTATTAAGCTTTTACGATGCTGTGGCTTGTAGGCTCCTAAACTGCTGAGAATGTGGAAATAGTGCAAAATGCTAAGTATAGCACTGACTTGGTTGCCTTGTTTGTTATTTGATGCATTTATATGTTTATGATCATTTGATTATAGCATTGTAGCTTGTGTCTATATCTTATGAAGTTAAAATTTATTAGTTACTTGTTAGAAGACATTTCCAGGACTAGAGAAAGTACTACAGCATATCCATTGACAAGAGGCTTCCATGTTTGGTGACATGCCATCATTTTGCCATTCTCATTTCTCATTGGTTGCTGCCTCTCTGCTTCCTCATAATTTGTCACCCAAGTGCTATATCACTTCAACAGTGAAGGATTCTTTGCAGAAAGGGGTGCTAGGCAGTAACTGAGTGTCAGAGTCTGGAAAATTAATGATACTTTAATGTACCTTCTTGTTATGCAGTCCGGTTCTCTGCCTTCATCGCTGAAGGTATTGCCCATCAACCTTTCTGTTTAATCAGCCACCATGTCATATTACATCTCTGTGATACACTCGTATAAATCATATGAAATATAAGGAAGAACTGATTTAATTCATGGACTATTTTGTGTTTATCCCTTTGCTTGATGTTAGCAATGATAATAAAAAATTGACTGTGCTGGTCAGTTCGGTGCAAAGTTCTAATATATTCACATTTGGAGTGTTGCATTTTTATCTTCCATACTTCTTCATTCACTCACTCCTTATAAATAAAATATCTCTCATAGTTGGTAAGTTTATACTGTTAGTAAAATTACACCAGAGAGACTTTTCTTCTTTTTTTTAACAGCAATTCTTTGCACAACCTATGCACTTAAATTGAAAATATATGTTGATCATTGAGCTTGACAAGAATAGTGCATTTCCTGTTACAATTTTTTATTGTTATTGCTACTCATCTGCTTGTAGACGAACTGCTAACTCAGAAGGTGCTATGCCCTTCAGGTGTTTTGGAGTAAGGCCAAGCCAGAGAGAAGCCTTTCAGAAGTTTTTTACTTAACTGATAGATGGCTCACTATGAAGATAACAGATTTTATGAAGCTCAGTAAATATAAACAATTTAATATGAGTGAGCAAATTATGTGAAATGCTAAACACTTCACACATAGGTCTTAAAATCATCAGTGAAATATACATTATTAGACAAAACCATCCAAGGCACTTAAAAGATTTGATGGATTTTTTATACTCTGATTATCTGGGCTGAGTTAGTGCTTATTAAAAAAGGATTAATCTGCATTCATATTTGAGAAACAGCTTATCGGGAAAGGGAATGAGGCTTGCCTGCAACAGTAAAGTTTCTATTTGGAGTAGGAAAATGTGACCTACTAAAGATAGGCACTCTGAAAGCTTCCTCACTCAAAATGTCAATTTGCCACAGTTATGTTTTCTCCTCCTCTACCCCAGTTGTAGCAGGCATGAGATTAGGATTCATCCTGTGAGGTAATATTAGAGTTACTTTTTGTATGTTATAATCTTGCGAAATCTCTTTACCTTATATTTGTGTAAAAATTGCAAGAAATTCAAAATATTTCATGCAATTCAAAAACATTTTAAATTGTGGTGTCTGCAGAACTTTTTGGAAACCTTAGCCCTATTCAGTTAGTGTAAGCTAAAATATTCTGTATGTAACTCCTTGAAAGTTCTTAATTTTAGATGCTAACAGAGACTTTTGATTGAGAGTCACAGTTATTCCATATGTATCTCTAATAAGCACAAAGTTACTACTCTGTGATTATCAAAATTGTGACAAGAGCAAGATTGTCTGACCACCCCAACCCTTCTTACAGCTTCAAGGCAAACACTTATTTGAAATGAGAACTACCTCAAAATAGCTTTCAATTTGCTCTGGAATTTGATTTGTATGTTCATCTCTCTGCACACAGACACACAAAATGCTGATCAAAACACCAGATATGATTTCCATTTTAGGAGTTCTAATTGTTCATAGTTATTTGTAGTCTGCCCTAAATCTCATGATCTAATAGAAGTTAGTTACTTTTGATCTACTTTTCAAAATAGAACAAATCTAAAAGTTTTGAAGCATAAAGTAAAAAATGAAACTTGAAAAAGTGTTCCCTGTTTTTCCCTTGCTTTAAAAACACAACTAAATAACCCATTAAGATAAGGGTTTTTAAAAAAATTCTGACAGAAACAATACAAAATGGAAATTTAGATTGTGTACTAAATTGTATGTGAACCTTTTTAAGGTCATCAAATATTTACATAATGTGTGAAGTTTTGCCTTTGTATACTTAATATGCAGAGATACAGAGATAAGTGTCTTTATAGAATATTTTGACACCCTATTAGCAGTCTAGAATCATTTGAAAAACATATTTTAATGATGACGGGAACAGAAACAGAAAATAGATTGTCCCAAATGCTTAATAAGAAATATTTTTAAATTTAAATTATTTTGCTCACAGCATTTAATTTTCAATTGCCAGATATGGGCCATACATACTATAGTGTTCATACTCTAACAAGTTTGCAAATTAACTTTAATGCATTATGTGTGTATATATATATAAATATATAATTTTTTCTTTTGAGAGAGAGTCTCACTCTGTAGCCCAGACTGGAGTGCAGTGGCACGATCTTGGCTCACTGCAACCTCCACCCTCCAAGTTCAAGCAATTCTCCTACCTCAGCCTCCCGAATAGCTGGGATTACAGGCACTTGCCACTGCGCCCGGCTAATTTTTGTATTTTTAGTAGAGACGGGGTTTCACCGTCTTGGCCAGGCTGGTCTTGAACTCCTGACCTCGTGATCCACCCCCTCCTTGGCCTCCCAAAGTGCTGGGATTACAGGCGTGAGCCACCATGCCCGGCCTCATGATATATTTTTTATAGGGTTTTCAGTGTTCTATTATAATACTTTAAACTTTACATGTCATGAAGAATTTGCCACTGGTTCATGTATTAAAGTTAAGGGCCACTCAATGTTTGTACCTCTGTGTCTGTTGTCCTCCTTTTCTCTAATATTATTTATTGCTCTGGCAGTAACAGAAAGTTTGAATGGGACAAAAGAGCATCTAAATTAGGGAAAACTACTTAGCTTCTCACATATCTCTTGAACAGCACATTTTGAGGTGTAACCCATGAGCATCTGCTTATTTGCATATTCACAATGATATTCACACCATTATCTTAACTCTCTTTTAACAGACTAAAACAATCACTTGATAGTCCATTAAAAAAAAAAAAAACACAAACTAGAAAGTCACATCAGATGGAAAGCTAATTAGCTATACTGTTTTCACATTGCATGTGTACTAATCAGGCATTTATTTAATATCTCCAGTGCTCAATTTTTTGCATTAATTATTTCAGATTAATTCTTTTTTGTTAAAAGCAGTTATTAAACGGGCACAATGTGGGACAGATGCACTGCTGATTCCTGATTTCCCGCATTTCAGTGAGCCTTTTCATCTTCTCTGAGCATGTGCCTATAGCCAGTGTTGAGCAGATGCAAAGGTTATGTCAGGATTGTTTTGCAATGCATTTGAGATATTACACATAAAATTGATAAGGCAGTATATTTCAGGTACCAATAAGAAGTTCCTAAAAGCCCTGATATGCTTTACTGTCTCATGAAGACCCTTGGAGTTTAGAGTCATATTACCTGATTATGATAGCATGAGAGATAATATTAGTAGATAACCTTAAAGGAGGGACTTCATTTGGAAATGTGTAAAATTTAAAGAGCGATCATCATATTTGATAGCCCAAACTTGAGAACAGAGGAGTTATGGAGAGTTATTCAAAGTAAGAAGTATTCACTATGTGTATATATATTAAGTGGCAATATATCCTCTATTTACTTACAGTATGAATCAACTAATTAAATTTCATTTATTTTCACCTGTACTCACCACAGGAAAAAAAATCATAGTAAATATAATCAACCCCTTCCAAAGATAGGGTTTATTGGGTTCACAGCTGTGAAAATAGTATTTTTTTTCCTTCATCCCGGTGATTGGTTTAGCCAATCCACATTAATTGTGGTCAGAATTGCAGGTTTATTGCACTTTTGCAAGCTGTACACTTCTAAACACCATGTTTCTTTTTAAAAATAATTTTCTAGTTAACTAATTTAATGGCAAAATTTGATCCAAACTAATGTGAAGCTACTTGTAGACTTTATCCTACTAATCATGGATATTCACATTCCACTGCAGAAAAACTAAATAACTTTGAATACAGTTTACTGTCTCAGAACCTCTTTGTAATATGCAAAGTATATTACTTTTCTCAATTCTGAATCATTCTGGAGTCCAGATCCATTTGGCTGCAAAGGTTTGGGTAATGGATGATGGACCTGAACTGATAATAACATTCTTT
Organism: Homo sapiens; assembly: GCF_000001405.40. Classification (NCBI taxonomy): domain Eukaryota; kingdom Metazoa; phylum Chordata; class Mammalia; order Primates; family Hominidae; genus Homo; species Homo sapiens. The sequence goes on from NC_000003.12 coordinate 77,594,363, forward strand.
GGCCAGTCCTTAAAATCCACTTTCATGTTGTTAGGTTTGTAGGCTTGAAACTATCGGCTGGAGAGAGTGGCTTCACTGGCTGTGGCTCTGGTGGATGCTTATTGGTGTTGCTAATAAGTTCCATAGTTACATGGAGGATTCAACTTTTCTGATCACTACATACAATTAGGAATATATTCAGTATCAATTATTTGAAAATTTCATTTTCATGAGCATGTTATTCTCTATTAATTATAGTTCACACCTGTTGTAATTATCACTGTTTATGAGGGTCATAAAAGGATTTGTGATGGTGAAAAATCTGTAGTCAATAAGTATTTGTTTTTCTTGTTTCATTAGAACGACGTAACATGTTGGAACTTTCCTGTTTCAATTTATATTATGAGTGTTTTGTCTTATGCCTTCTAATTAGGACACCTTTGTTTTAAAATTAAAAATCTTGATTTGATAAATTCACAATAATGCTACGTTGATCTTGCAATACCACTATATATACTAATTGTAACAGGTTTGACATTTAAATACAAATTAGTTCTTTAACTTAACCATGGATTTGGCTTAAAGAATTTGAAAATGTCCTATTAAAATTGGAGCAAATGATGGCTTTGCCTTGGGCCAAACCACTGCTTGTTACTCTCTGTACAATGATGTTAATTATATTTTGTTAAAATTCCCAGAGGCCTCAGCTCTAAACTAAGGGCCAATATGTAGTTGTTATTAATTGTAATTAATATTGACTACTTGTGTGTGCATGTCTTCCTTTTTTTCTTTTTTCATAGTTACGTTTCAAAGAGGAGATGGAGGACTAATGAGCAATGGAAGGTATGCTACGGAGATTGTTTCATTATTATTTTTATTTTTAATCAGGACTGGGGAAACTCTATAGTAAGAGCCTATTATTGTAATAAATGATCACTTAAAAGTCTGAGAATTCTAGGAGGAATTAAATGGCTTACCACAAAGTTTAATGATCTATCTGTTGTGCACTTTAGAGGAATCAAGTCCAGATGTTTCATAACTCCCAGATGCCCCTGAAGAAATTAGTAGTAAATATCACATGGAATGTGTTCATTTGTTAGCAGGATGTTTATTGCATTAATTAGACATTAGCAAATGAAGTTGCTGTTGTTTAAGACTCCTTATAGGCTCTCACTAAATTGCTGTGAGTGAACAATTACACATAATCGATCACAAAGTAAATGATTCATGGATGATGAATAGGCTATAGATTGATAGGACTGGATTCCACAACTTTGGATATTCAATTGAAATTGATAAAAGCTGATAACAAACTCATATATCCTCATCTATTTTCCCTTTGCCAATATGGAGATTGTAATTAGGCTCTGGTAATAACTTCCAATCTCCCATTTAATCAATATTTTAGCAAAAAGAGATTAAGTCTAATGAGAGTTTGTGGATGTAGCAAGAAAGCGGTTGGGTCTTCTTATTGCAGTTTCCATAGAAACACATGTTTCTCTTAGGGATTGTACCAGAAGGGGTCTATCAAAAGAAAAGTGCAATGATTATAGATGTTCTATTTCTGTGTAAATATGCTAGTAATCTGGAAAGGAATCAGAATCTCATCTTTTATATTAAAGAAGGAAGTTCTTTACTAAATATGACGTGAAGGAAATTTTACTTATAGACTATACTCACATGCTGGATCAGATCACAGTGTATCTTTTATTACCTTTAAAAAAAACCCTTAATATACCCCTGATATTTTGCAATTTAGAACTTGGAAATGTGCTATTTATGGAGCAGTATAAATACTGTTCATTAATTTCACTTCAGTTCCTTGCCTCCAAATCAAGCATGAGGGCTCATAACAAGGGTTACAGCCTAGAGGGAACAGATACGTAAGGTAGCTGCAGGAATTGAGGAAGGAATAGCCCAAAGTCTTAGAAATGGCTGACATAGAGCAGTCACTTTGAGCAGTTGTTCCCTTGTGGTGCCAATGTATCATCAAACCTTGTTTTGGGATCCTAGTATGTTACTGATTTCTACCAGTTTCAGGGCAGACACCTGAATTCATCTGGACATTGACAAAATCCCGGGCAAGGACTCCCTGCGTCCACTGTTAATGTATGTATAGCCTTAATGAATTGCTGGAGTTCTTTAATTCCAGGGAGTCTACTTATATTAATTTGAAGTCAATGAAAATCTTCCATTTCTTAACGCTTTATATTGCATGAGACGAGTGTCAAAATCTTGCATTGAGCTCCATGTGTTGATTTCCTTGTAATTTCTGTTTTAGCCGTCCAGGTCTTCTCAATGCTGGTGATCCCAGCTATCCATGGCTTGCTGATTCTTGGCCAGCCACGAGCTTGCCAGTAAATAATAGCAACAGTGGCCCAAATGAGATTGGAAATTTTGGCCGTGGAGGTAAGTTGTGTTTTTTAAAATAGTGTTATTTGAGTTCTCTCTCTCTTTTTTTTTTTTTGACCTTCCTGGATTTTTTTAAAGAAACATATCAGAGAGTATTTACTCCCATAATTAAAATCAATGAAACATATGCACTAACAGTGTTGTACATTTGCTAAATATTTTAATATAAAACGATTGTATCTTCATTACCTTGAGTAAAACCAAACTTTTAAGGAAGCTATTACTAACCAAGATGATAAATATTTATAATATATATGCTTTCAGGATTACTAGTACAAGATTACTGAACTCAGAGACTATTTTGTTAACTAGGGCTTATGGTTTTGGACTAGAGGTTTCCCTTCTCCATCTCATTTAACATGTATTTATTGAGCATCTCCTGTGTACTTGGCACTATGGAAGACCATAAGAATATAATAATGATATAAAAAAGATGGTTCTTGCCCTCATATAATATGTCATGTAAGAAATAGACAATTAAGTCAATATAACATGTTGAGAGAGAACTTTTCTGTAGTTCCACAACTAGTAACTGTTATCCAAAAATAAATAAATAAATAAATAAATAAATAAAAAAGACAAAAAAGTGCTAAGTAGCCACATGCAAGCCTTCAAAATTTGGTGCCAGAGTCCTCTCCCTGTGGGTTTGTAAGGAGACACAAGTAACCTACTGTAAATAACTACCACCTCCCCTGACTTCACCTTTTCATCCAGTCAATAGGAGAGAGCTGGGTTTAGAGAATGATGAGAGGAGTAGGGAACTCTCTGATCTCAGTGTGGCTTGGCAGGTTCATGTGAGTTTTCCGTTGGTGGAAGATTGTACAGACATTAAATGTGCTTAAACTGCCTTGCCAGAACCCCATGTGGCATGTCTACCAATTGGGAGTAAGAAAGCTCTATGAACAGAATATTATTTAAGTTGATACCTGAAGCAAATTTAAAAATGAGTCAAAAGTATGGAAAAAAAAAAGTGTTTAGAAAAGAAGTTGCTGTATTTTAAGTTCCACAAATAAAAGAGACATTGACCTACTTGAGAAATGGAGGAATTTCCTAATGACTTGAGTATAAAATACGAGGAAGCAGAAATGGTAAGAAATATAGAAGGATAGATAACAAAGGACCTTTTAAGCCACATAGAGAATTTAGACTTCGTTCAGAGGGTAATCAGAAGCTGTTGATGGATTTTTAAGAGGAGAATGCTGGGATCCAAGTACTCCAAGTACTGTTTTAAGTCATCCAGCCTGCTGCTGGATGAAGAATGGAGTAACGGTAGAAAATTGGAGTGATTAATTAGAATAGTGCTGTAATCCAAGCAAAGCTGTATGAATTCTCTGTAAGATTTCTGCACTTTTAGAATTAATGAAGGAGGCCCAGGGCTCTGTTAAATTTTTCTGAGTCCACTATAAGCCTTGATGGGTTAATTTCATATGTATGAGTATATAACCAGATTGACTGAGAACTGAGAAGGATATTCATAGCATGTTCTCTTTAAGAATGGATTACCACTATGTTTGACTATATTTGAAGTTGTATTTCAAATAATGAAGCTACTGATTATTGCATAAGTCTGCATTCTGTCAGTACCAACTATGAGAAGGGGAACTCCCTTCCCTTCTGCAAATAAAATACAGAAAATAACCATTCCTACTTCATAGGTGTGTAATGAGGATTAAATAGATGAATATATATATATATTTATTTATATAGAATATATATATTTATTTATATAGTGTGTATATATATATATATACGCACACACATATATATATATGTGTATATATATATATATCCCAAAGCTTGGCATACCATCAATCATCAGGCATCAGTGCAGTGAGTGAGAGAATGGAAAGTAAGTTATATGACTCCTCAGCTTCCTCTTCCGCTTCTGCAAGCCAACACACCCCACTTAGGACTCTCACTTGCCCAGATACTCTGGTAGTGGCTTCCTCCCCTAAGTGACCCGACTGTGAGCAACTGTCAGCTATCACTTTGCCATGGGTAGTTTCTGTGCCTGAGCACCTGCTCATCAGGAAACAAGAATGTCCCTCCCCCTGCTATGTCGACTGATTTTGTCAAAAGGAATTCTGTTCCCACAGCTTTTGTCAATGAAGGAATAGCTGACTCTTTTACCTCTTGTATTTTTATTGAAATAATATGACATGCTATTGTTACATGAAAAAGTGAATGCTTACAGATGGAGAAAATGAATATTCAGTTTCCACAGGCTACCTTAACGTCTAAAATATCTCAGTCAAATTTAACAAAAGGGTACACCTGGAGATTTGCAAGGTTTTTCTTCCATTTTCCCTTAATTTTCATGATGTGAAATATCTCATAGATGAACAGCAAGGCCAAGACAACGTTTTTGTAGAGTTGACTGTATCCCTTATCCATGTGATAGTCATTTTAAGCATTTACTATGTGCCAGAAATACTGTTAAAATTTTTTGTATATTTTAATTCATTTTGCTTGCATAGTAATATATGAAATAGTCATATTTCCATTTTAAGGATCAAGAAACTAAGTTTTCTCAAGATAAATAATTTGAGATCTGGTTGTAGAAAACTCTGCTTTGTATTGTAAAGGCAGATTCACATGTATGACTATATAACCATATTCACTTGGAAGAATAAGAATGGATACTGACATTTTCCCACACCACATGTTCTCACTCATAGGTGGGAATTGAACAATGAGAACACATGGACACAGGAAGGGGAACATCACACACCGGGGCCTGTTGTGGGGTGGGGGGAGGGGGGAGGGATAGCATTAGGAGATATACCTAATGTTAAATGACGAGTTAATGGGTGCAGCACACCAACATGGCACATGTATACATATGTAACTAACCTGCACGTTGTGCCCATGTACCCTAAAACTTAGAGTATAATAAAAAAATAAATAAAAAATAAATAAAATTTGGCAAAAAAAAGAATGAAATGACAATACGTTTGAATGTAATAAAAATAGTACTTAGAATAATAAAGTTACTAATTATAGCATAAATCCATATTTTATCAAAGGAAACCATAAAAAAAATTATTTAACCATTCAAGTCAGCAAGTGCTTACTCTCTTCAAAACACTGGGTGAGCAACTATGAAAATGCAGACATAAATCCCATATGCTCCTGTCTTCAAATGACTTCGTGATACAGTGAAGGAGACAGTCATTTGTACAGATAATTATATAAAACAAAAGGAAATAAATGTGAGTACAAGTATAACCAAGGTGCTGAAAAACTACAGAATGAATTACCAATTCCAAGTAGAGGAAGCATTTCCATAACTCATAGGTTTCAAACATAAGTGTTAACAAGCACCAGTCAGACAGCCTAAAACATTAAGGACTGGTAGGTGGGGACTGCTATAAATGGAAATGGAAAAAAGACCTGCTAAATATGACATCACCTATTTAGGTCTAGCCTGTTGGGAGGAAGGCTAGCCCAGAGTTCCAAATCATCTGGTATTATAGGACTCTCCTTAACATCCAAATATTCATGTGCAATATTCCAATATTTCGATGCTAGAATACAATTCAGTTTATTTTTTGAAAATGTAGGGATGATCAAATCATATTTGAAGACAATATGCAGCCTAAAAATCAATACAGAAGCACTTAGACTTAAAGGCTGACTATAATTTTATCTAGCAGGGAGAGGAGAGATTCAATTTCCAGAGCCATAGCATTAGTTGTATAGCAATATTATGTAGGATTAGATTCTTGGACCACTTTTCTTCATTGTTTAACATTTGAGCACACAGCCATTTGAAAAGCTTGCCATCGAAGTGGCTTGCAATCCACATCTAAAGCTTTGGAGAACTTTAAATTCAAGGTGTGTGAAATTGGAGCTCAAGTTGGGGAATCAAGTATATTCACTTAATATTCATCAGTGAAGGACATGGTAGAAGCGGCAGAAACAAAAGTCTGAAAAATCACCCAGAATGAAGGATCTATTGTGACCAATTTGGATATACTACATATTAAAAGTTTTTGAGAAATAAAAATAATACTAACACTTGAGAATGCAGTATGCTTAACATCAAATTTTGTAATTAGGACATAGCTCAAAGAAAGAAGGGCAAGAAAGTAGTTGTGAAGTTCTGAAATTTAAAAATAATGTTATTTGCTTATACAACCTGGTGAAATATGATAAGTTAAAATATGTTTAACAACTTCACTGATACACATTTAAGATATTTACTTCAATATCTTAAGTACATATCCGCTCAGCTGTAAAACAAGCTCCAAACTTCAAAACCTTCATAAAGACTTAAGTTATGCAGTGTACAAAATATAGTATACATTTCTTTCTACACTTGCTAAAGAAGACAATTTTTAGCTTATGTAAAATTCAAAAGCAAAAGTAATATTTCTATAAGAATTTTTATTTCAGGTACTATTGAGTATCAGCTAATCTAAAAGTTTTAAGATAGTTGAAAATGTCCTATAATGAAAGAATGCAGTGATTTGATGGCCTCAAGTCCCATGAAATGAAGCTTTCAGAAGATAGCTTATTTTAAAATGTACTATATAATAATTAGATTCATTTTAACGCTACAGGATTAAAAACAGTGTTATTTAGTGATTTCTATTTTAGATTCACTTAGTATCTTTCTTCCAAAAAGGGAAAATAAGAGCTCAGGAGAGAGGCAGCAGTTCTGAATTATAAAGCATCATGTAAAAATAATTCAGCATACCAAAATGAAAAATGGACTGATTGATATTCAGTGTTGCTCCTGGAGTTTAATTTTACTCTAGCTGTATTACAACATGAAACTGTAATTCTCTAGTTCGGAGTTGATAGCATAAATTAAACTCACCGATCACTGAGATTGCTTTTTCTATAGTTAAATTCTGCTATATTGTGAAAATGGCTTACACCTGAAAATTTTCCTTTGTTATACAAGAAAAAAAATGCACTCTCCTTTTCTGGAGCAATTAAATCACACAATAAGTGGCAAGTTATAGCTTCAAAAAATATACTTCATAGTCGGTATAGTATAATTTTTGAAATGTTAGCATGTATTTAGCAGTTGTAGTCCATGTCTCTTGGGATAAAGTGGAAAGAGATGTTTTTCATCTGTGAGTTGTGGATTCAGTATCATTGCAACTGTAAAGTGCTAACACTTTCATTGGCTCTAAAACAGAGTGAACAACTGAAAGCATTTTTCTGTAGTGAAGTATGCCAACCGTCTCATTCATGGTTAAAGAAAATAGGGGGAAGGGTGTTTTAAGCAGTGAGACGTGAAGGGCGAGCAGTAGGCCTGCCTGTCACTGAGGCTGATAGCTTGGCGATGGTTGTATATCATCTACCCTTCAGTGGCTCATGAAGCCCATCTCAGCTGAAATGCAAACGTGCAGTGTGACACACTTATTTTTCATCTTCAGTCCTGATAGTTTTGGGCTTCCGGTGCCTCATTAAATTGTTTCATTTCCCTATGTTCACCACAGATGTGCTGCCACCAGTTCCAGGCCAAGGGGATAAAACAGCAACGATGCTCTCAGATGGAGCCATTTATAGTAGCATTGACTTCACTACCAAAACCAGTTACAACAGTTCCAGCCAAATAACACAGGCTACCCCATATGCCACGACACAGATCTTGCATTCCAACAGCATACATGAATTGGCTGTCGATCTGCCTGATCCACAATGGAAAAGCTCAATTCAGCAAAAAACAGATCTGATGGGATTTGGTTATTCTCTACCTGATCAGAACAAAGGTAACAATGGTGAGTCAGGTTCTTGTGTCCTGAGGAGGTATTTTCATATCATTTGTGCATGAGATAGAAATTAGTATTTGTTGTTTGACTTAGTGATTCATTACCAGGTTTACTACCTAAACTAAAAAAAGATACCAGCATGTTTCCAGTAACTTGAGTAATTCCTACCACCACCACCGCCACCACCACCACCACCACCACCACCACCGCCGCCGCCACCACCACCTCCTCCACCACCACCACACACCAGTGCCAATCGGTTTCATCTTTTAGCTCTTTTTCAACCTAATGATCAACAATCCATCTCTACTTCCATTAGGGCAGGGTAGACAAAACATTCCTCCACTCTCCCACAACATCTGCTTCTGAGTTGCTAACTGCATGTTCTGCATGGGCTTGTGCTGTGAACTAATCACATGATGCCACTATGACCTCTGCCCTTTAACCCTTAGCCTTACTTTACATTCCTGACTACCGATTGGCTGAGGGATTGTCTAATAGAATGCCACACAACCAGTCTCAGGATTTCAGCACCACCAGCTCTCACAACAGCTCAGAAAGGAGTGGCAGTCTCTCAGGTTGGTCTCATCACAGTAAGGAGAAATATTTGTTTGTCACCAGCGTATGACCTGTGTTCCTAACAACCATGAAGATATACTGAATCACAGCTCACTGTCAGGCATTTATCTGTCAAATGACAACAGTTTATGCTAATGAAATCATGCCTTGGTGGGATAAAAGGGAAGAGAAAAATCACTGTCCCCTTTTATATACTAACTCTATGAGGAAATATTTAAAGAAAAATTATGCCATTCTACTAAATACTATTCATTAAAGAACGAGTAAAGAGAATTTTATAATAAAAAGATCATACATGAAAGTCAATTCCATGTTATAGATACCAAAAGATGAATTCAACTAAAATGAAAATGATTTTGGAGTAGTTCATAATATTAGTATATCATTGATGTGACCTCCTATTTTTGGACAAGATTTCGAAATACCATATAATAGGATTTTTTATCTATTGAATGATATTCTACTGCACTATACAAGAAAGTTAATATGGGAAATTAATATTTAATTTCCAAAAAACCATATAATCTTTGATATTGCTAATTCTTTTATGGTATAAATTTTAATATGTATTTGAGATATATCAGCTAAACTGACAATCTATAATGTCAGTATCATATAGCACAAATGGAAAGAAACACCCTTTACTGGACAAAAATATATACCTATTGTAATGACTTATGAATGAAATTTTCCTGGCCCAAAGATCCTTACCTGTAAAATGAGGAGGTTGTAGTAGACACACTCTAACTTTCAACCATGACATATACATTGTATGGCTGATGACTTTGTGCATTTCTAATTTATTCCATGACCCCACTTGTTTAATTTGTTTGGATTAACTATATGCTATTTGTTTGTACTGAGATTTTGTTTTATTTTTTTAATTACAGGTTATTTGTAAAAGACTATAGTGTATTATGGCATGTCACAGGCTACCAAGCATCAAAGCCATAAAGAGTTAAACTTTTTACATCATTAGGGTAACATTTTCTAAATTACTTTTCCTCAGGAGATGGAACCCTTTCAGTCTGAAAATGTTAATGCTCCCTCTTCCCTTCAAAATGGGTCATTTGCTCTTCTTGCCTATTGGTAGAATTAGCTATATTATAGAATCCAGAAAATTTTAAACATCTGTTATGAATTTAAACAGGTTTAATAATATAGGAGAACTTTTTGAATAACCTTATATGTCATTTAGACTGCCATTTATTTATAATAAGTCTCACAATTGTTCTGAATAATTAAAAAGTAATTTATCCTGGGCTTCCTTTTTATTTCATTAAAGATATGCAAAGTCACATGCAGTATGTAAAAATAAATCTATATACTATAATCCATGGATTACTTAAGACTTTTAAAAATCTTTCTTTAAGTATTCTATATGTGTTGATTGCCACCACCAAGTTTTAAAAGTTGTCTTTTGAGTAACTGTAAGCAGAACACAATTCACAATAGTACTTAGTGCTTTTTTGAATCCATTAATCTCCTGAGTGACATTTATATATATCTATGAATTATATTAACTACTTCATCTACATTTGAATACAAAATTACTTAAATTGATGATAGAAAGCATTCTTTAGTAGGTGAGAGTGATTATTCTCTTTTTAGTTTAGTTCAATTGAGTTTAATATTAGAGTTTTGTCTTATGCTTATAATCATAGGTATCTTTCCTAAGACTTAAATTTAAGATCAAACCACCTTGTGGATAACTAATCATATGGTATTATAAGATTTTCTTAATTTGTGGATAGCAATGTAAGCAATTTAAAATAATCACAGTGATAAAAGTGGACATTTCAGAATTATTTGAGTGTATTACCCTCTTTGAAACACTTAATATTTATTCAATATATAAGTTCTGAGCACTTCCATTAAAAATCTAACCATTAAAAATATAAAATCACCAGCCTGAGCAACATGGTGAAACCCCATCTCTGAAAAAAATACAAAAATTAGCCAAGCATGGTGGCACTCGACTGTATTCCCAGCTACTTGAGAGTCTGGGGTAGAAGGATGCTTGAGCCTGAGAAGTTGAGCCTGCAGTGGATGTGATCGCACCACTGCACTCCAGCCTGGGTGACAGACTGAGACCCTGTCTCAAGGAAAAAAAAAAAGTATATATATAGTATATATATACATATATATTAATATACACACAAATTAAAGAGTTTATATATGTAAGTCATTAAAATATGCTCCCTTAAAAGATAATATAAGAAATTCTCACCTTAAAGTGATTGAAGGTTCTTTGTTTGCAAGTAACAGCAACAGACTGTGGCTTACTTCACTCAAGGTTCAGATCTCAGAGAATGTAAGTGGCTTTGGTTCTATGTATGCTCTCCACCATGCTATGAACCTACCATTGCTCACTGCTAAAAGAAGTCAGGTGTGTTGATTTGTAATCCTACACGTACTGCCCATAATGAGAGAGCAGAAATTTCCTCAAAAGAAGAGAAAGTGATTGTTGGATAGAAAGCCCTCACATATTTCTTCTATGAATCACCCGTTTCCCAAATAGATTTTTAAATCTGTTTGGAAGAGTAGGTAATGAATGGCTTTCTTGAACTTTGGACAATGACTTCAACAGAATTCAGGGCTCTGGAAGTAGTAATTTCCAGTAAAGAAAGCTGCTACATTCTGAATTCTGATTTTTCTCTTACTGGGTGAATGTGGACCACGTAACACTCAGAATGAACCTCAGTTGCTTCATCTATAAAATGGAGATGCAAGAACTTGTCTATTTCTGTTACTCAGTTCTGGTGGTGACCACCTAACATTTCTAAAAGTACCATGGAAAACGAAAAGCACTCTCTCTATATATAAATAAATAAGGAATAAAGGAGGTGAAACTAGAGAGAAAGCTATGGAAGACAAGTAGCTCAGTCTGTTCCCCTTTTAATCATTGAAACCGAGTTCTGATACTACAACAGAAGAAATGGTTCCTGTCTGATAATTTTGCTGACTCATCAGGAAACAAAGGATTAAGGTTCATCTACCTTAAAGACAAACATTACAGATGTATATTCAAGCAAGTTTATTGTTATTCTGAGTCAGGCTGTTTGTGGGATACTCATAGGGCCTGGAGAAGTTGGGAGTAAAGAAAGCTTTAGAAATCAAGAGGAGCTGGGTTTGCTCTAAGATAGAGGATATGGGGGAAAAAAAAGAACACAAATGAGTGGCATTTATTGAATGTTCTGTCCATTCTGAGTAGTTGATATGCATTGTCTCTTGTAATTCTCAAAATAACTGAAAAAAGTAGTAACTTTATATCTGTTTTACATGTGCAAAAATGTAGGCAGTAACTATTGAGTAACTTATCCAGTAAGTGGGAAACTGGTCTGTAAACCCAGATACGAAACTCTTGTCCTCTAAGCAAAAGATGTCTGCTCTCCTTCCTCTTAAAATCTTTTATTCTACCAAACAAGTATACTACAAGGCAAGATGAAAGCAATTTGTGTGCAGGGATGTTCTTTGAAATATGTGTGAAGGTGTGCATGCTATGTGGAAAACACACACTATTTTATAACTGGCAATAAAGTATATATCCAGTTTAACAGTTTTATCACTTCCTGGTGCTCAAATATGTTCCTATTAAATTACATAATATTCAACGTGGCTGATGCAGATGAGTAATTGGTAGAAGTAAGGGGAATAGTAGGCTTCTAGTGATATTATAATACATTGCTAAATAGCCCTGCTACAAATAGTTTTTGCTCACAACTTGCGGTTCCAGAAAGATGAAGTCGAAAGAATCAGTAAGATTTTTGGCAGATATTGCTGTAGGCTGTGGTGGGAGCCACAGAAGTTATATAGTGTCCCCTGAAATGTCCTTTGTTATTCTGCTCCAAGAAGTACTCATTCCTCATTTAACTGTAGTCCACTTTTAAGGAAGAAGCTTTATCTACTTAATTTTGGAAGAGTAAAAACCATGGCACTGTCCAAATGATAAATTGTATTTTTTATATTTCATTAAGCTCCATGTAATCCTAGATATGGCTCATATGCTGCTAGCTTACTTTCTTCTCATATTTTGTGCATGAATTCATTTGTATTAGAATGCCACTGAAACTGATTACTGTATTAATTTTTCCTCCTTTTTGGAATATTATATGATGTTATGCTTAAAATAGCTAAGAACTATTCACATATGCAAAAATAATTGTGCCATTCATTAGTTAAAAAGTCTATAAAACGTATCTTCGCAAAATATTTACAGGTATTTTCCTGATTGTAGCTGATTGATTTTTATCAGTTACTTTTGGGATAAAAATTGTTACCCTTCCTGGATTAATTAAATTGAATAAATTCTAATGGAAAAGTTTAGCCTATATCCTTAGACCTTGCATTTTCCACTGAGAGAGATTATGCAAAAGAGCATTATAAGTGTACTAAAATTTGACATTTAAAAGAATTTGTTATGGCCCATTATTTCCTCTAACAATGAAAACATGAAGGCACCAGACGGGAATAAATCAATAAGCATGCTTTTGATACAGCAGCCATGTTTTTGGTTCATTCAGCTCTGCTGTTAATGCACTGGGGAAAAAAAAACAGTATCATTTTGAGTGATTTATAAAAATGTTTTTCTGATTATATCATTTCATTGTTTATAGCTTTTAACAACTCCAACATACTGATTCTGGTGTTTTGAAACATAAATACACCTTGCCATCTGATGTATTCTCTTTATTCTGCTATTTGGCATCTCTGAATAAATACGTTATTACTTTCAGGTGGGAAAGGTGGAAAAAAGAAGAAAAATAAAAACTCTTCTAAACCACAGAAAAACAATGGATCCACTTGGGCCAATGTCCCTCTACCTCCCCCCCCAGTCCAGCCCCTTCCTGGCACGGAGCTGGAACACTATGCAGTGGAACAACAAGAAAATGGGTAAAGATATTTTATATACTAGCAAAATGGCCAGGGCTCTCCTCTCCTCTCTGTTGTTCATTTTTGCCATCATCTTATGTTCTCTCACTGTTTCCTTTGCCCCCCACCACCATGTTCATTGCATTTCCCCCTCTTTCATTGTTTGCACTGTCTATATATTTTTAGCTGATAAATACAAAACAGCACATATTGAGGACTGAGAATCCTTGGCCTTCAAGTGCCTTAGATTGTCTGCAATCATGATAATGCAGCCTCCATTTATAATATTGCTTGTTAGTTTGAAAGCAAGTACCCACAGCTCTGTGAACTAAAGAGCCACTCCTGAGAAGGGCTGAAAAGGGAATTAAAATAACCTTCTTCATCATCCCTTGCAGTTCTCTAATGACTTGATGTCTGGCCATAGCAGGGCGCCACTGTAGAGCACCATCACAATGGGATAATTGTAGGGACCTGGCCAGTGGGTAGAACTTTAATCATCAGCTCTGATGGGAATTTAGGGGCCAGAACAATAATAGAGCCAATGCATACTCTGTAATGAAACCTTTTTAAGATACAAAATTTTCTTCGAGGGTCTTTAAATGGGACCAGTTTCCTTATTCTTTCCCAAATGTCTCACAAGAGTTAGTTTTCCTCTGTTACTTTAAGCTTTAATTGATTTTAAATACAAAGACACTGATATTTTTTATCCTCTAATTCCAAGAAAAACAAAAATTGGTCAAAAAATCATACTGTTTCCTTTTCTAGTTTAATAATTCTGAATGCTTTGTCTTCCTTATAATTCCCAGGTCACTATTTATTTTGACTGGGCCTTTATGTAAGCTAAAAATACAGAAAAAAAGCAGTTTTTCTTTTCACAGGATTTTTTTTCACTTAGAAATAGTTAGATATTAAAATAAATCTATTTATTTCTATAATGGTTGTTTATTTATTATCTTGGCTTAAAAAATCACATATACATGTTTATAAATTTCTTCTTCATCCTCTTTTCTTTGTACATAACTCCTGTCTTTGAAGTCTTCAGATTAATTTTTCTAACTAGAATTTTCTATGTCATAACATTGGCTTCCTTTAATGATATCATTTGCCTTTTTTTATAAAATAAAATATATATACATATATGCTCTATATATGCATTATATATGTATACACACATACGCGAATATTTTTTGTCTATGTCTTCCTTTCCCTCCAAAAGCCTTCATTTGTCTCTCTGAGACTGTAGCACTTATTATATATGCATATATTGTTATTTTACTTCTTTTAAGTTCACATTTGAAATGGGAAACTAAAAGTATATCCTGTGTCCTCCTTCTCTAACATAAAAAATAAAATTCTGTATATGATCTTAATTTATATTAATGTTATAAATGTGTCAGTGTCACATAAATCATGAGCAAAGAAAAACCAAAGATGTGTATTCCACAAGAGATTAATACAGAGCTTAGAAACCTGCATTTTAAAAGCTATAGTCAGAGACTACAGACATGGGGACTTGTAAAACAGGAAGAGAAAGTAGTGCTGTTAAAGCTTTATATGCATAAAGTCTTGAACTCATATCACATGAAAACTGTGGATAATTTGGAGGGTTTTTTTTCCCATTGAGTCTACTAAAATATACATAGACTATGATAATTCCTGTAACCCCCTGCAATAAAACCAATTAAATCAAAATCAATGCTAAACTTCTCACTTTATTTTATTATCTTGCAGTAGAATTGAAAATATTCATGAAATAGTAGATGGTGCAAATTTTTATTATTTAACACAAATTATTTTCAGTATAATTAAGATATAAAACACAAAATTGTTTCTACATATTTGGAAACTTTATATATACATATATATATATATATATATTTATATGTATGTATGTAGTTTGAGTTACCTTCAAGTTTTTGTTTGTCTTAAATACCTAGTATTTGCTAAAAAAAGAAGTTATCATTCTTACTAAAAATAGTGGTTAGATCTTAGCCAGTCAGTAATATTGACAACAAAATTCAATTTCCTTATTTTTTTGAGCTCAGTTTTTAAAAGGCTAACACTTGAAAATTATTATTTTAATTATTTGTAATAAAAACATATTTAAAGTTAATATAAAAACAAATAAAAATTAATAGATTGGGCATGATTTTGTCCATTTTTTGATATTCTTTATACTTTTATATTTTCTAATCGGTAAACCATATGATACTGAAAAAGAAAGATTATTGAACACAGTAGAGTATTCTACTATTCATAATATTAAGTAAGTCAAAAAAGAAATCTTCAGAATTGATCTTCTAGAAAATTTTTCTATAATTTAGAACCTTCATAATTCAGGTTTAAGCTTTTCTTGGCATACAAAATATAAAAACTTCAGATACTTTTTTGCTCTCCATACTTATTAGAGACCAGACACTAACATTATCCTGTTCCTGACACACACACATGCACACACACAAACACACACAATTTTGTATGATAAGCCCTAGCTGAGCAATGTGGAAGAACTAATAATCTCCCCACAGAAAGGGGCAATCATATATACCAGGGAAGCCAGGGGAAAGCTTGTAGAAGTTAAGTTTTGAGGTGAATCTAGAATCATTTACTCACAAATAATAGAAAAACATTTGGTGGCTGTTGGATGCCAGGCACTGAGCCAAAAATAAGGACAAAGATAGCAAGAAAACGTCTCTGTCCAAAAGTGGTCTAGCATTAGAATAGATTGTTAGTCAACAACTATAACAAAATTTTACTATTGTTGTGATTTTCTGTGCAAATGGAGACAAATTTCCCTGGCCAAAGACCAAAAAAAAAAAAAAAAAAAAAAAAAAGAAAATAAATATAATACAATGAAAGACGAGAAAACAGGAAATAGCAGATAGTCCCATTAGTCTTCCTTTGGAAACCCCACCCTCTTTTCTTTAAGGTTATCTGCCTTAACTAAACTGTTGTTTTGGTTATTCCTAAAGCTTGCTCCTCTATTGTAGTACTCCTCATATTGCACTTAACTGCTTGTCTGTGCCCTTTATCAATTTGTACCTGATGTATGAGGCTTGTTGAGTTTGAAAACTGCATAGGGTGGCTGGGCGCGGTGGCTCACACCTGTAATCTCAGCACTTTGGGAGGCCAAGGTGGGCGGATCACGAGGTCAAGAGATCGAGACCATCCTGGCTAACACGGTGAAACCCCGTCTCTACTAAAAATACAAAAAATTAGCTGGGCGAGGTGGCGGCCGCCTGTAGTCCCAGCTACTTGGGAGGCTGAGGCAGGAGAATGGCGTGAACCTGGGAGGCGGAATTCGCAGTGAGCCGAGATTGGGCCACTGCACTCCAGCCTGGGCGACAGAGCGAGACTCTGTCTCAAAAAAAAAAAAAAGAAAACTGCATAGGGTAGGAGATAATCTAAGAAGACGTTTTGAAGCCAATTGTGAAGCCTTGTATGTCATATTGGAGTTCTGATGTTTGAGTACAGATGATGGATTGGAGGATGTGAGGCTGAGGCAGGTAGATAAAGCATGGAATATTGCAGCAGAATGGCTAGCAGAATGGCTAATATCATGTAAATGATAAGGGAATAAAACAAAGCAAGGTCAATGGGTTGGAGGAAAGGTAAGTATTTAGGAGATATACCCAGCTAATGGTAATCATCACCCTGAAAATATTGTCTCTAGTTTTTTGTTACAATATTTAGTATTATTTCTAAAAGCTTAGCTATCATCAGTTTTCATTCTAAGCCTTTCCCCACAATATCAAAATAAATATCAAAATCAAATAAAAAGTATCAGAATATCAAAAGTTATCAAACA
The DNA here is from genome assembly GCF_000001405.40 of Homo sapiens. NCBI lineage: Eukaryota > Metazoa > Chordata > Mammalia > Primates > Hominidae > Homo > Homo sapiens. The sequence goes on from NC_000003.12 coordinate 77,611,742, forward strand.
ATTGCCCAAAGAAGAAAAGTATTTGTTAATTCAGGAATATAACAATGATGGCAATGTTTTCTCCTATCATTATTCTTCTCTCAGCTTGACAAAAATATGTCAAAATGTATTAATCCCTAGCTATAAATACAGTGCATTTTATTATACTCATATGATTCCAGGAAGAATTCTATGGTAATTAAATTGAAAAGTGGGGCTTTTCTTTGCTACTGCAGTTAGAGATTGGCAAGCTTCTGCCAGTGTTGAACTTTATTGTATTTTTATTAGTAATTTGGTATTTGTATCTGGCCTTTACAAGTTAATTCACATGAAACATTGATTTGTTGTCATCTTTATCATTAGTTGCCAGGCAAGACAGATAATATGATGCCTCATAGTTCACTGACAATAAGTCAAAGAACAAAACCTTCTCCAGGAAAGGTTGACCAAAAGATCTTTGGTTTGGCATTAGCAGCATTTTCACAGTCTTTTTCAATGTTACTACAAGAAAAAGTTGAAATTCTGTCACTCAAATAAGATGTATATCTGTAAAATGTGAAGGAAACTATAAAAACAGGGCTACACTTCATAAAATTTGTAGAGTCATCTGTTACTTTCTCATCCTTCTTCGGTAACTGCATGAAACCTAAGTATTTGTTGCTTGCAATGGATTAAGACGTGAACACCATAGAGATAACAGACCATTCTTCTCCTTCATATGATATACACCATGCCCCAACTTTCCTTCATTTATTCTTCCAGGTTCTTCTAGTCTTTTCTTTTATCTCATTTTCCATTTTTCCTCTTTTGGTACATGGTAGGTAGATGGATCTGTGGACATTTTTCAGTTTCGCTATCCCAAAGGGGTAAAGAATTTGCTCCTTCTTGTTCTAAATTATCTTCACACACACACACAAAATGACACAGAAAAATTGGTGATAACTGGCTAGGCGCGGTAGCTCACTCTTGTAATCCCAGCACGTTGGGAGGCCAAGATGGGCAGATCACGAGGTTAGGAGATCGTGACCATCCTGGCTAACATGGTGAAACCCCGTCTCTACTAAAAATGCAAAAAATTAGCTGGGCATGGTGATGGGTGCCTGTAGTCCCAGCTACCAGCTACTCGGGAGGCTGAGGCAGGAGAATGGCGTGAACTTGGGAGGTGGAGCTTGCAGTGAGCCGAGATCGCGCCACTGCACTCCAGCCTGGGTGACAGAGCGAGACTCCGTCTCAAAAAAAAAGAAAAAAAATAGAAAAATTGGTGATAACATTAATTCTAGTTAATGGGAATAGCTAATGAAATATGTTTTAGTTAATTAATGCATTAAGCAATGTATTTGACTAATGCCAAATACAATATTTATATGGTTAGGCTCTCCTTGGCCTGACATTATTTGATTAATAAAAATGAATTGAGTACACCAAATTATAACTTTTCTTATGTTTTCTTAGCACATGATGCATATAACACATATTTCTTCTAATATATTCTCTATGAATTTTTTTTTTTTTTAAATTTCATGTGTATATCCCCATTAGATTTTCAAAAGTAAGGATATCTTACTACCTATGGAGTTTCAGAAAAATCTTAGGAAATAACAGACTATTTCCATTTGAAAAATTGAATATGTGAACATTTTCGTTCTTTTTTCCAAGGTATGATATCCTTGGCAACGAACGAGTGTAAGTAAGGAAAGTCCACCCATTACTTTTTGGCAGAAAAAAGGACTCTTTTGTAGTAAGAGTTACAAAGTAAATTTAATTATATCTAGTTATGAAGCAGAACAGCACATTTCATATTGAAAATAGATAGTTCTCTTTTGATTAGCCTCCTCTTACGTATTTCTGTTTAACTTAATAATGTGGCTTAAGTCAGATAAATAAATTAGGAAAAAAGAACAAAGCATTCTAATTAGTGGAATGATATGTGTGTTTTCAAATCAAATCAATACATACGCGTATGACTTACTCTTTTTAAGGTGTTATATTAGATGTAACAAAACAAGAACAGTTCAATGTCATAACTATAATGCACTTGAGGAAAAGGTATTATAAACATGTGAAAAGTTAAATACTAAAATAAATTAGTCAAGAGTTACAGAAACCAGCACTGGAAATGACATAAGACTGCATATAATCAATTTTCAAAGAAATGTACATCAAGGAAACCTTCATACAAGATATGGGATTTAGCCTGCATCTTGATGGATTTATAAGATTAAGATAGGTAAAACTGGAGGAGTACAGCTTATTGGAAATAAGTTGGTTCTTATAAATAAATGCACCAGGATGGGAAGAAAGTACAAAGAAAGATGAAAACAAATTAATTTATTTGAGCAGGAGATTCTTGTTGTAAAAACTGTCTGAAAAGGTAGATTGCGGCTTAGACATATTCAATGGATGGAATAAAGAGAAGTAAATCTTCTTATTCAGACCATTCTGATATTTTCATAGATGAATTTGTAAGTGGTGGGCAGGATTGGTTAGAGGATGCGAAAAACTGAAAGCAGAAAATCCCACCAGGACAGTGAGTTACAATATTTTAAAGCAATAGGATCTTTTTTCCACATGAAATTTAATTGTGATCTCCAACATATAAAACAGATAAAAATGGCATCAATTTTTTAGAGCAATATGTTCTTTAAATTCAGATTAGCACTCATTATATAGTCAATTAAATGGGAATACAGTTTAAATGATGGTATTTTCTAGTATAAAAATTGCTATTTGTAACACACTAGTGTGTGTCTGTTGTTTATAATGTCTAATATTATAGTAGATATTTAGGAGGAAATATTCCTATCAAACCATACAGGGCTTCTGAAACAGGGTCTTGCAACTCACTTAGGTAGCCTCAGCAAGAGAATAAAATGGCCATGGAAATGAAAATAAAGGAGTTACAATTATAACTAACTTTGAAGGAAGAATCTTTGGAATTCGGGAAAAAGCATTTAGGGGTCTAAGGAAATTGAACATCCAAAGATGATATTATTCCCCCAAAAAACCAACCAACCAACCAACCAACCAACCAACCAAACAAACAAACAAACAAAAACCCTTTCTGTAACTATCTCTCACCCACAGGAAAATTTCAAACTCCTTGTAGGGGCTGATAAGGCCTTCAGTGACCAGCCTATCCCTAACTCTCTTGCCTCTTCCGTGGCCAATTTTCTTCTTTCTTTGCCAGCTCTTGGCATTTAGGGAAGTATTTGAACTCTTCAAATTCCTTTCTCTTCCTCCGGGCTTCCACACGTGTTGTTTAAAATGTTCCTTTTACTGGTGGTCAACATAGCCCTGCCCAACTCCAAAACTAGTTTAGACCTCCTGCTTTCTACTTTTATGGCATCTTGCATCACTGATTATTTGTTTAATATCAGCTTTCCCCACTGAATTGTATGCTCTGTGAAATAGATTCAGGACCCTGACACATAACTGTCCAAAAAAATAAATTAAGAGTTTTTTTTTAAATAAAGTTTATTTTTACATCTGTTTTAGGCTTACAGCAAAATTGAGCAGAAGGTACAGATTTATCCCAGCCCCCACATATTGATAGCCTCCCCAACTATCAAGGTTCTCCACCAGAGTGGTACATTTGTTACAATTGATGCGCCTACACTGACACATCATCATCACCTAGAGTCCATAGTTTACATTAGGGTTCTCTCTGTGTTGCACAGTCTATGGATTTGGACAAATGTAATACATGTATCCACCATTATTTTATAATACAGAGTGGTTTCACTGTCCTAAAATTCCTCTGTGCTCTGCCTGTCCATGGTTTCCTCTCATCTAGCCTCTGGAAACTACTCATCTTTTTCCTGTCTCCGTAGCGTTGACTTTTCCAGGGTGTCAAGTAGTTGGAATCTTATTGTGTGTACCTTTTTTAGACCTTTCACTTGGTGATATGCGTTCAAGTTTCTGCCATGTCTTTTTATGGCTTGACAGCTCATTTCTTTTTAGCAACGAATAATATTCCATTGCATGGATGTAATGCAGTTTATTTATCCATCTACCTACTGGGAGACATGTTGGTTGCTTCCAAATTTTGGCAAGTATGAATAACACCAATAAAAATATACACGTTCAAGTTTTATGATAAATTCAGCTTTTAAACAAAATAAATGGAAAGGCATTCAAGTGAAAATATTCAAGAATCATCCGGACATTTATAAGTTACTCTTTGTAAGAGAGATCAAGACTAGAGATGTACATTTCTGATATTTACTCATATCACAGTTTCCCTAATGAATATCTCCCATGTACCAGAAACTGTATGAGGTGCAAGAAGTAGATAAGAATGACAGCTTTCTTGAATTTAAGAATCTCACAAAATAGTGGGAGAAAAGAAACACAGAAACAAATAATCTCAATATAATATGAGGAGTACCACAATATAAGTATTATGGAATTGCAATTAATTCCATTTGGAGTGGGGAAGAGAAGACTTCACAAAACTGATGACGTTTGAAGTGACTGGTTGAAGGAAGAGTAGGCAGTTACAAGCAAGTGATTTGAGAACAGTCATAAACAGATGCAGACTTTAGAGAAAAATATAGTATATGGATGTTGAGGAAATAGTGCGAGATTAAGCTGGAAAGATGAGTTTATCAGACTAGGATGGGTTTTTTAGACCTAGCTAATGAGTTGGAAAGGTTTTTTTTTAATACTAGTTATAATCACTGAATAATTTTAGGCTTAAGCGTGATGTGAATGAAGATTTTAGAGATATAATTCTGTTGCACGTGTTTAACAAAGGGTGGAAGAGAAGATGATGATACCGGAAGAGTAGGAAAGCTAATGAGCTTGTTTACAGCAGGAAAGTGATGTGTGATTGTGGGAGTGGGGGTGAAGTTTGGAGAAAGATTCACTAGGTATTTAAGAGGCTGAATGTATAAGACCACTATATCCAATAATATTATTTATCTTTTCCTTGTCTGTGTTTAAAAGGATGTTATAATCCATTTGATTTATGAAAGTATTCAGACTACAGAGAATTGAAATAAAAAAGCTATTGATTTTGTCTCATGGTTAAAACTTTTTGGATTAATTTTCTATATTCACAGACCACAGTCCCTAAAAAAATATGGTTTTAAAATAATTGTCATATTTTATACTCAAAATTTTTTAAAAGGATAGATCTCGTGTTAAAGTTTTTTACTACAATAAAAGTATTATTTTTATTTTATAGGGCAAGGTTTTGAACTCCTGTTTTGTGATTTGCATTTGGATGACAAGATAAAGAGGACATTAGTTTCTACTGAGAAAATTAAGAGAATCAAAGAGATACTGAATGCATTTATATGATAGTCTTAATGACATATGGAATGAAAGGTTGTCAGATATCTAGAACAAGAACAAGTAAAATTCTCCAATACTTCTTAGATAATCAATCAGCGATATTGGCATGTAATGGTGCACAAGTATGAACAGGAGAAGGAAGCAGTTAAATCTACAAGCACTAAATTCATTAATTGTCTTTAATTAGCAATTTGGTTTTTCCACATGAGTAAGTTTGTTGGGAAGTTATTGCCTCTTGTAACTGTGGGGTAACAATTAGCTAAAAAGGTCTTTTAAGAATAAATTGAGATATTGAGATAACAGATGTAATTACAATTAGAAATTAAGATAACAGCCAGGTGATTTACTGTGGTGACACCAACAGCTTCAGGAAGAAATAAACCGAGAGAACATTTCAGATACCATGTGGTTGCTACTTATTGCCAGTATAATTGTGTGCATGTATGTGTATATGTATTTGTGTCAATGTGCATATTTTTCTCATTTAATTTCAGCTATGACAGTGATAGCTGGTGCCCACCATTGCCAGTACAAACTTACTTACACCAAGGTCTGGAAGATGAACTGGAAGAAGATGATGATAGGGTCCCAACACCTCCTGTTCGAGGCGTGGCTTCTTCTCCTGCTATCTCCTTTGGACAGCAGTCCACTGCAACTCTTACTCCATCCCCACGGGAAGAGATGCAACCCATGCTGCAGGCTCACCTGGATGAGTTGACAAGAGCCTATCAGTTTGATATAGCAAAACAAACATGGTAAATATCTTCATTAAGTCAAGAGACCCATGCTTTCAACACATGGAAATTTTTTTCAGAATAAATTCACAAGAGATTCTGATAGAACTACACAGCTAGGGTTAAAAGTGATTTTGTATGACTCCTTAATCATTTAGATAAATGTATCCACTGAGAAATGTTAAATAATTTGGCCAAAACTAGAACTAGAACTAGAACTAGAACTGGAACTGGAGCTGTAACTGTAACTGTAACTAGAACTAGAACTAAAACTAGAACTAGAGCAAGAATTCAAATCTGCTGTATTTCAGGCTAAAGTGCTCTTGGCTACACCAGAATCTTTTCTAATTTATGGTTTATCTTCAATTAGCTTATCATTGAACTCACATCCCATGATGTAATAAAAGACTCCTTTTAGATTCCTCAAAGTGCCTGTGATTAATTCTGTATGTGGTTGTCAATATGTAAATGTGAGCTTCTGCAAATCACATATGGTCAGTATTAGTTATTAAAAGACTCTCTTTACCTGAGTTAAGTGCAACAGAAAAAAAAAGACAATACTAGTATCAGTAAGTGCATAAAAAGCAGGAGTAAATCAAAAATTTCACATTTCTTTTTCTAATCTATAAACTTTTGTAAACTACAGGTGTCAGTTTACCTAGGTATCCTGTGGAATTAACACAGATATATAAATGGGACTAACGCTAACAGTTTTATACAGGATTTTTGTTATTCAATCTTTCTATTTTAATTTTCAAAAGCCCAGGCTTTTATATCACTATTTTAAAGCTCCATGTCATACTCCAATTTTCTTCTGTTGATTTACCCTTTGTGCTTGAAGTCTGAGTAAATTTTTTAAATAGTATTTGTTTTGTTTTTTAAATTGTTCTAGTCATGGGGATAAATAATTCTTATTCTCATTATTAATGAAGTATGTATTATTAAAATACAGCTAACTATACATAGAAAGAGATACCAAAAGGAAGAGTATTACTTAAAGATTATTACAAACAGCCTCTTTTCTTAAGATATTCTTGAACATTTTCCAACAGTCATCAGATGCTTTCTCAAAGGTCAAAGACAACTTACCGTTAAACGCTGTTATTTTTCATCAATCTGCTTTTAATAAAACATCACTATGTAAGTTGAAGCCAGCTGCTTCAAGAGCCACAGGGCTTCCTTCACGTTAACTAATGAAGCAATGCAGTTTGGTCATCTAAAGCACAGACTCAAGCTGAAGGGTTCTCAAATTTGCCACATTTTAGAACCATTTGGATAACCTTAAAATATATTGGTACCTGGGCTCCACTCCCAGAGAAAGATTCTGACTGCCATGATCTGGAATTTGATCCAGATCATGGGACAGCCAAGGTTGGGACCACTGCCGTGGAGATGAACCTGTCTTACTAGCTGCATGACTTTGGGCAACTTGCTCAACATTTATATGCTATAGTTTCCCCATGTGTAAAATGATGGTGATGATAATAGTAATTAGCTCATATAGGAAATTAGAGGGCAGTCCCCAAGACAACCTATATTTCTGATACCAAGTACAAGTTTCAAGGGTCCCCAAGACCACCCTGAAGTTTCAGAATTCTCTATAGTAAGTCATAGAACTCACCAAAAGATTTTACACTCAAAGCTACAGTCTATTACAGTGAAAAGATACGCATTAAAATCAGCCAAAAGAAGAAATGCATGGGACAAGGTCCAGGAAAATTCCAAAAGTAGAGCTTCCAGTTGTCCTCTCAGTGGAATCATAGCGTTACTTTCCCAACAAAGGGTGTGACATTACACACCATGGAGAATTGCCAGCCAGGGATGGGCACACCTTCCTTGAGGTCCTGCGACTTCATTTTGGCTCTGTCACACAGACATTGTTGACTACCCATATGGCTGACCTCAATTTCCAGCCCCTCCAGAGGCTGAGGTGACACCATGCAACTCCAAGCCCCCCCATAATCATATTGCGATGCTTTTTGGAGTAGCCTAAGGCCTCTAGGTAAGCAGAGAGACTTTTATCCACAGGACATTCTAAGGGCTTACAGATTACCTCCCAGGAGTAGAGGGCAAAGGCCTAACCTCTCTTGGGTCGAGGTTCAATTCTTTGTTACATATCCTAGTTTTTGTGAGAATGAAATGAGTATGAACTTATATACTACTGTCCCTGGCTGTATATTAGCTGTTATTAGTTAGAAAGGCCTAGGTTTTCACCCCTGAGTTGTTCACTTCTGTCTTCCCACACTTAGAAGAGTGTCCCACTTAGTAAATGCTTGATAGATATTTGGTAAAAGAATGAACAAATTAGTTCATCTCCACCTGCTGCAAATACCCATAGAGGACACCCTGTTTCTTCTTCTGAGTGTGTTCCTACTCAACCAGCAATCTTTCAGAATGCCTTGGCTGACTCCACATCTGGGAGTTATGAGCTTGCATGTGCTTCTGGTTTGGAAGTGACTCACCATCTGGGTAGCACATCAACATCATAGGACTGTTTAACAAATAATAATTCCCAGGCTCCACCTCCCAGGATCTGTTTCTATTGATTCGTGAAGTAAACAGCACAGTGCCTGTCACTAGAAGATATTTATAAATGTTATGTGTCCTCTTCCTGTATTTCAATTTACCTCTTAATTTTGCTTAAATAGGAGTACATTTTTTATTCCATCAAGGTATATTTGTTTTATCAAGAGGTATCAATTCATAAGCATATTGATGGCAACATTTATAGCAAGATGTGCTCATCTATCCTCAAGCTTTTCTGTACTAATACTTAGGAAACTTGCTATTTCTTCCTATTTTTCAACTAGCAGGCTGTGAGGAATGCTGAATACTAACTTGGGGCCTGAACTTTCTAATCTGTTAAAGATTGAAGATTGGGATCTGATGATATTGAGGTAGCTTCCAGAATTAGAAATTTTTTTAACATTGAAACATCTAGAATCCTGTTAACATTGAGGTTGGTTACAAGTTCAAGAAGCCAGTTGGGAGAGGAATATTAAACAAATTCGGGAAGATTAAAATATTTTCCCCAAATCATGCAAATGACAAAGAAAAGTAATCTAATGTCTTTCATTCACCAGCCAACAATAAAAATGCATAGTACTTTTTAAGATCTCACCTAAATAGCACAGCCTTTTAAATACCTTTTATATGAAGGCAAAGAAAATACTTACTATGTTAAAACATGTAGTACACTCACTTTTTAATGCTGGTAACAAATAACAATAAATTCATTTCATTTAGCATTTTATGGTTTAGAAGAAAATCTGAGTAGACTCAAAGCAAATCAACTGGACCCTACTGCCCAGCTTCACACTTTGTTAGCTACCTGATTTGAAACAAGTCACTTAAATTTGACCTTCACTTTAATAAATTCTAAAGAAGGTTGGGCCAAGCATGATAGCTCATGCCTGTAATCCCAGCACTTTGGGTTGCTGAGGCAGGACGCTTGCTTAAGCCCAGGAGTTTCAGACCAACCTAGACAACATAGTGAGAATCCCACTCTACAAAACATTTAAAAACTAATTGGGCATGGTGAAGCACACCTGTAATGCCAGCTACTTGGGAGACCAAGGCAGGAGGATCGCTTACGCCTGGGAAGTCAGGGCTGTAGTGAGCCATGATCGCATCACTGCACTCCATCCTGGGTGGCAGAACAAGACCCCTTCTCTCCAAAAAATTAAATAAATAAATAAATAAATAAATGAGGGTTGATAATGCATGATCTATTTATTTCATAAGGTTGAGATTAGAATTATTTATTCATTGCAAAAGGTTTATTTAACACACTAGTGTTCCAAACACAGAGAATCCTTAGATGAATTGTTTATGCCTTTGAGGAGTTTAAGACTTTGTTGGGTGAGACAGATACATAAATAGCTACTAGAGCACAAATTAGTTGTGCCTACCCTAAACTGGGTTATAGTGAAAGTGGAAATAGCCTTCCAGCCTTGATGTGAGAGAGATCGTGTGGGGAGGAAGCCTTCTAGGGTGGGAAATGTGTTCAGGGTTGGGAGGTAGGGGATATTAGGTCCTCATGTGACATCTTTTCTTCATAAGGGCCAGCAGGCAGCATGGGTTACACAGACTGAGTAGAATTTTGACACTAAACTGAGAACAAAAGTATAATATTTTTGGAGAAAAATATTCACTTTAAATAGTTACTCGTGGCGAATATTCCTAGTCCCCTCTAGATAACTTCTTTTCACAAAAATACTGGGCCCGTATTTTTTTTTCTCCGTGTGTTATCCTATAAATACCAAGTGAAGAGTTTAATGGTTTATGTTTTCCTTGTTTGGTGAGGCTCGTATTCGTAGCCATTGTTTCTGCTGAAAGCATTATGAACTCCTAAATTAGTTAATGGAAAGGAAGAAGACAGTATGAGTTACTATAGCATGCATTTAATTAAAATTATGATTTTGTTGCATGTTAATAAGTTGCTTTTCTTTTTTAAATTTCATTTGAATTCTAGGCACATTCAAAGCAATAATCAACCTCCACAGCCTCCAGTTCCACCGTTAGGTTATGTGTCTGGAGCCTTGATTTCTGATTTGGAAACGGATGTTGCAGATGATGATGCCGACGACGAAGAGGAAGCTTTAGAAATCCCCAGGCCCCTGAGAGCACTGGACCAGACTCCTGGATCCAGCATGGACAATCTAGACAGCTCTGTGACAGGTAACGGAACCAATTTAATAGGAAAAACTGACCTATTGGTAACATTAAAATGCATCAAAAGTCAACTACTTCCTTATTGTAAGATTTATTCCACTCCATCTATTTCTGTAACATTTTAAATGTGTTAATATTAAATACAAAATTCAAAAAGGATTTGGAAATACTTTTGCTTTGCTGCAAAAATGATAAGAAAATTCATGAATTTTAAAAAGCTTTAAAGACATGAAAGAAAACTCAATTATATCTAGGGCTTTCATGAGAAGTTCACTCTACTAGGAAACCAAGTCTATTACATTAAAAACCTTGACTTTTAGAAATGATCTTTTTTATATATATCAGGAATAACATATGAAGTGAATGCAATCTTAAAATGCTTCTTGATATTTCACTCTGTAAAATCATTCACTGATGGAAAGTAAGCACGTCTCCTGAATAAGCCACTTTAAGGTTGCACAAGGTATTATTTTTAGAATGAAGAAAATGTGTAGTGAGATAAACCATATGTTTATGCATTTCACATTGCTGCATCTAGTAAATGCTTCTCTTCCAAGAAATGCAGTTATTTTTTCTGTTTATTTCTTTGGCTTCCTCTTGCCTTGTTCATCAAACGAAAGAGTTGCATTGGTACTCTTCTATGATGATCCCAGGACTAAGGTATAACCTATTTTCAGGGATTTAAATGTACCAATTTTTTTAAAGAAAACTTTAAATCCTAAAATGGACACAATGAATTTGGAGAAAACTAAAAATTCAGTCTTTCTATTCAAATAGATATACACTGTTGGACACACAAGAAAATGCCTCTTACATGACTGTGTAGACCGAGCTACTACAAACTGAAGTCTGGTCTCTGCATTTCACTGGGTCTTCTCAGAAGACCACTCATATCTGTATTTACCGTGATGACATCTTTCATCCTAGGAGATATTTTACCACAATCCCGCTTAATTCATTTTTATGCCAACAGCTTCCAAACTTTCACAGATTTTACACAATGTGTTAGAGTTCTACAAACACTGATGGGAACTGGTTTATGACAGGATAAAGCAGCATCAGCGCCTATGATTTTCCTCTGTATTCCTCCCTGAATTACTCAATGTGTGATGCATGAGCCCATTTTTCAGTTTTTCTTCTTATCCAGGGGCTGGTCTGCTTGCCAGCCTAATTAAGATTTAAGAGCTGCAGATACACCGCTGTGATTTGAAATCCAGATCCAACCGAAGGTGACAGAGCACAAGTTAAAATCTTCAAATGCAGAGAGCTGACTTATTAGTGCACTATTATGTTAAGCCCCTTTGCCTGAATTTCCAGCATAATCTCCTTCAGGGTAAAATTCTGCATATTTTTGCATATTTCACTAATGATACTGAACTCTTTTCCATTAGGAATGCAGTAACAAATTGCAATAATGATGAAAAACAGTCAGCTATAGTCTGTGTAGTTCTTTTATTAAATATTATAATGTCAAAGATGATAAATACGTCTATAAATCAAGAGAATGCCATTTTGCACTTTTACATGCTCACCTGTGACATGTTAGGCTGCCTGATGTGACTGCAGCTCAAGCAGTCTGTATTTCTCCTGTAGCTAGTGTAATGTTCATTCCAAATGAAGCTTTTATTGCTGAGAAAAAAAGTCTGGTTTTCTCCTTGAATTCACTGCTTAATTACTGCCATATATAAAAACCTCAGGGTGTTTAAGTTTGTATTCCATGATGAGTTTATCCTATGAATAATACATCTCTTTAGTAAAAGAAGTTGTGTTCTACACAAAAGTAGCCAAATACAAACTCACTTTTTTTTTCCTTTCTCTTCCACAATAACTTTGTGGAGAAGGTGTGATCAAAGATTTAATTTGCTTTCTATGGTATGTGAGTAAGTGCTTATAAGTGTGTGTGTGAGAGAGTATGTGTTAGATGTGTGAGTGTATTAGAACGTGGGTGTGGGTGCTTGTGTAGGGAGTGAGTACGTGTATAAATGTGTGAGAGTGTAGATAAGGTTGTAAGTGTGATATAGTGTGTGTGCATGCATGCATGCAGACATGTATGAGAATAGCCCTGAGGTAGATGTATATAGAGACTGAATATTAGAGAAATCAGCATGCCAATGAATGTTGTTCTAACATGCTTATGTTTTCCTCAGACACTTAATGCTAGTTTAATGGCGCTGAATGAGGTGGACAATAAAACAGGCATTATTTCTATGAGCTTTTTATGTTTTTAACATGGTAAGTGCCCATACAGTGGATGCGGATCATACCACCAGTTACTTTGGGTTCTAAATATATTTGTGGTGTGAATAAATTAGTCATTACCTCCCCCTGAAATGCTGTTAGTTATTTTCACTTTCATGAAACTAATGACCATTTTATTAAAGAGATCTAACAGTTACAGGAGGCAGCATGGGTTACACAGTCCCTGAAACCCTGAAACCAATCAGAATATTGGGTTCCAGTCCCTGCAACTCTGAAGCCAATCAGAATATTAGTTCAATAACAACACTGGGATGGGCTGGTAAGCCTGTATGTAAAATTATGCAGGATTTTACTTGGATATATTGCACTTCACAGCTGCCACATTAGGGAATATATCAGCAGTTATCCAGGGACAGAGCCCATTTTTTTGTAAAGAAATAAGCATGTTAACTACAATTAGTTGTTTTTATAACAACTAATTTGTGAGGGATCTCTTAAATTTTGAAATGATGTTCTATGAGTGGAAAAGGCTAAAAAAAAGAAGAAAATATCAGCAGTTCCATATCCCATAATCTCAGTACTGGATAATATGTATATTTGCAGGTCTGCTGTTAATATTTCTTTCTTCCTACAACAAACACCTATCGAATGCCTATTACTTCTAATCACTTGGCTAAAAATTTAGATTCAGTAATAATAATAATAATAGGTAACACATATACAACCTTTACGAAGTGCAAGCCATCTTTCTTTCTTTCTTCTTTTTTTTTTTTGTCGGAGTCTCACTCTATCGCCAGGCTGGAGTGCAGTGGCACGATCTCGGCTCACTGCAACCTATCCCTCTCGGGTTCAAGCGATTCTCGTGCCTCAGCCTCCTGAGTAACTGGGACTACAGACGCCCACCACCATGCCCAGCTGATTTTTGTATTTTTAGTAGAGACGGGGTTTCACCATGTTGACCAAGAGGGTCTTGATCTCTTGACCTCGTGATCCATCTGCCTCGGCCTCCCAAAGTGCTGGGATTACAGGCGTGAGCCACTGCGGCCGGCCCATGCAAGGCATCTTTCTAAGCAGTAGCCTGTATTTTGTGTGGTCTCATTAGCTAAGAATGGTTTTTCACATTTTTGAAAGGGTTGTAGGAAAACAAGAAACTAACTAACAAACAAAAACTAAGAAGAATGTATGACAGAGACAGCAAAGCCTAAAATATTTACTATCTGTCATTTTACAGAAAAAAGTTTGCTGATCCCTATTATAAAGTTTTAATGTATATTAATTCATTTGATCCTCACAACCCTATTAATAGTATTATTTTCATTTAATAGATTAAAAACAGAGGGTTTTAAAGCCTTTGTCCAGGTTACCCACCTGATAAATGGAAGAAGAATGTTCAAAATCAATCAGTCTTACTCTAAAGACAAATTATCATGATCCCTGCTCTGGAAACACACAACTTTCTTCTAATCTGAGGAATAGGTATATTTAAGAGGAAAATAATATGCTGGTTTGTTGCTTCATATGTGGAACTGAGTGTGTGTGTATATAAACACACATGAATAAATATGTATACAAGCACAACATATAATTTTCTCTCTCGAAACATTAGTCCTTTTTCCTTATGCATTTAATCAAGATCAAGATATTAATTTTAGATGTGACTTTTGTGATTCATTTTTTTCACATTCAGTTCTATGTTTATTTAAAGTGACCCATGCTAACAAAATTCAACTGTATCAGCACTTTTTGCAATGAACCTCATTTTAATAATTTTCATTGTAATCTATGCTCATAATGCACACCTATTTGATTGTAATAAAATACAACATATTTATTTATTGCAGCTCATTGCACTCTGTTTGGGCTAGAAAGTAAACATAAAGGCTTGTTTCTGTCTTCAGGAATAAGCCTGTAATTTCTTCCTAAATGCCAAACCGTTGGGTAACGGGGAGGGAGAGGGCTACAATACTTCTTTCTGTAATTTCCATGGCAGGAGTCAATGGTAATTGTTTCCCAAATTTCATGACACCACCAGGAAAAAAGAAACAGAAGGCAGTAGGAGAGAGTGCAGGGGGAAAATGCCCTCAACGTGTAGCAAAGATTCTAACTGCCTCAGTGATCACAAAAAGGAAGACTGAGATTGTGTGCTGTTCAGTGAAACAAGTAAAAAGTTTCCTTGACTGCTGGACCCCACATGAATATCACAGCTGAAAGGAAATCATGGCTCTATATTTTGTGTTACGTTTTTGGAGGTTTGTTGTGGAACTCCCACAACAGATCAGTATGGAAACAATGAAACCTGGTGGCCTCACCATCTGACTCGACCACACAGCTTTTAGAGCCTCGGCCACTAAAATATTTGACCTGAAACTTTGCTTTTCTACAAAACTTAAAGGAAAATAAGTTTAGTATTAGGGAAAAGTTCAGGGATAATGCTACAGTAATCAAATTAATTTCTTAGACTACTTTTACAGGTTTGATGCCTTTAAAGAACAATTAAATGTGTATTTCAAAATTGAACAGATAAAAAGGGGAAGTGGGATATTACACGTGTAATTTTTATCTGAGTGAAACAAGGTATCAAGCATCGTATGTCCTAATGAAGATATTTTTAATTGCTTATTTTGCTTTCCATATATATTACACATTCCTTTTCTTTCTTTCTTTTTTTTTCTGAGATGTTGTCTCGCTCTGTCACCCAGGTTGGTGTGCAGTGGCACTATCTCTGTTCACTGCAACCTCCGCCTCCCAGATTCAAGAGATTCTCCTGCCTCAGCCTCCTGAGTAGCTGGGATTGCAGGCTCGGGCCACCACGCTAAGCTATTTTTTTTTTTGTATTTTTAGTAGATACGGGGTTTCACCATGTTGGCCAAGCTGTTCTCAAACTCGTGACCTCAGGTGATCTGCCCATTTTAGCCTCCCAGAGTGCTGGGATTACAGATGATTACACATCCCTTTCTCTCTGAGGCACGCAGGTGGAATTGTTGCACATTCAATATGTTTGAGTGAAAGAAGAAGTTCTGTAGATTTGACATGTTTTTCTACGTGTAGGCAAAGGTCAATATTTGGATTAATTTGTCTAAAGACATTTGTAGCTGCAGCTTTTACTTAATAGGTAGACAAATAACATTTAATAGGAAAAGTTCATAGATTAAATATTGGTTGAAAAAATGGAGAATGGCTAGTTTTTGTATCTCATAAAAATGGTAATGCAACAATTAGCAGGGTCATCTTATAAAGCACAGACTTTAGCTTAATGGATCTAAGGATAAGCATTTATCAGCAAGGAAAGATTTAGCATAAAATGACATGTAAATGAATTGATGACTGATCATAAATTAATTTTAGTGCTGAAGATGTAATAGAGACACAGCAAGATGCCACTTTATCATGATATTTTACTGCTCAGTAACATCTGAGCAACAACTTAATGTCCTATGTGCAGTACTACTTTAACAGCTTGAATACATTTGAGATTTTTTTTTGCCTTTTCTGCAATTTAAATCAGGGAAATTTGGAAAGATTGAAAATGTAAACACAAATAAATTTGGCTATCTAACATAAATTCATTGTTCATTAAATGTTTAAATATGTATTGATTATGTTTGGGGCTGAAACATGTCAAATTGGTATGGAGTGCTTATTAATTTGTAAGAAGCCTCTAGCCGAATTGGTTTTACCTGGTGTTCATTTTAATTTTCGTGTTTATACTTATGTTTGTGAAAGAAAATCAGTTATCACAAAAGTGACTTACTTTTAAATTTGTAGATTAATGTTTTTATTTTCATTCATTCATTATCTTTTCTTCTCTCTCTCTCTTTTTGTGGGGGGGGGGTAATTGTTTACCTAAATCTTCAGCTCATTGCTCTTGTTTAAATCTCAACATTTTTCCTTTTTTCAGAAAGGCCACTAGACGTAAAATCAGTAGATGTTCAATACATTTTAGCCATTTTACAGAAGGAATTCTAACATCTTATATACTATTTGATTCATGGAATGTGGCCAAATGTCTTTTAAAAATATTTACCATAAATATGCCCATTCCATACATCTTAACCAAACTGTAGAGGAAGGGATGTCGAAAATCCCAGACAGAGAGGCAGAGAGACAAAGAGAAGGAGAGAGAAAATTTCTTTCTATGTTCCTTGCCCTCCGTTTTGAAGGCAAACACAACTACACTAACGTGAGACACTTCCCTCTCTTCAGATTGGGTCATGAGATTTCCTGTTGCCCAATATGGCCAAGTATCTGTGGTCACATATCTTTAATTCTGAAGTCATCTATCTAGTCTCTTTGCTCTTACAAGAAGTACAAAAGAAAGAATAGCTGACGTTCTTTCTGTATTTACCAATACTCACTTGAAGCCCTGGCTTCCATGTGACTCTCTCTTCCCAGAGGGAGACAAAAAGCAGCAGGGAAAACTTCATGAATAATTGGGAGTTTTAAGGACATACAAGGAGCATTAAAGGCTGGGAGAAAGGCAGAGCAAAGACACAAAGGCTGGAAGTAGTCCATTTGTTTAGAGTATCACAAGTGTGTGTGTGGAAATGCTCGGATGAAGAACTGTCAAGTTACCACAGGGAGATAAACAGGGTTATCTGAGGCGGAAAGTTAGGCTGATTCTCTGCTAGGAGGTCTCACAGGATATCATTTCTTTAGTGATGCTACCGTGGTGTAGGATTTACTGGTTTCACCTGTCAATAGCTACACCACAGTCAGTTTTATAGGTTCAGAGACTAAATGTGTCACTATGCTAGATCCTCAGGCTGGAATTACACAGCAAGCAGACATAGACAGGAAACGAAAGAAACTCAACTATTTTTAGGCTGGTTATAGTGGAAAAAGAAAAATTTTAGAAAACAAATCACTGGGCCAAGTGCATTAAGATGGATAAATGAGGATGGAAAAGTTACACTCCAAAGAAACTTAGCTGCCACTTAATGTAAATTTTTTATCTTAATTTGAATAAGATATTGCTAAATATCAATATTCAAGTATATCAAAGCATAACCAATACACATGCATATATATCACATATATGTATACTATTTATATAGTGTCATCATATTCCTTATTTAATAAACTTTCTAAGAGTTCTTATAAGAAAATTCTTTCTATAGTTAAAATAAGGACATTGCTAAGAAATTACACATCAAATAATGTCATACACAGAATTATAGAATAATGAAAACGTTGAATGCATTTAATTCCATATGCCTACTGTTTATTGAATTTCTAATGTACAATGTCACTGGACAATAAATATGAAAATAAACATGAAATAGTTCCTAATCTCCAGAATTCCATTGTCTAGGAGAGGAAACACATGTGCAGTAGACCATAATATATAGAGAGAACTGATATGCGAGTTTATGTGTAGTGTTTGGAAACCAAAGGAGGTAGAGAGATTGATTCTCGCTGTAATAGGACAGAATCATGGTGATAACAGAAATGGCATTTAATTTAGACTTTAAAGTTTGTCAGTGGTTAATAGTGTTAGTGGCAATATCTCTGTCTAAAGAATGAAGGATGATGTTACATAAATGAGCAAGGAGACACACAGGCTGTAAGAGTGAATGAGGACTAATACACAGCAGGTATATTAGTCTGTTTTCACACTACTGTAAAGATATTACCGGAGACTGGGTAATCTACAAACAAAAGAGGTTTAACTGACTCACAGTTCCACACGGCTGGAGAGGCCTCAGGAAACTTACAATCATGGCAGAAGACAAAGGGGCATGTCTTACAAGGTAGCAGGAGAGAGAGAGCAGGGGAAATGCCAGAGATTTATCGAACAACCAGTTCTCATGAGAACTCCCTCACTATCATGAGAACAGCATGAGGGAAACCGCCCCCATGATCCAATCACCCCCCACAAAGTCCCCCCCTTGACACATGGGGATTACAATTCGAGATGAAATTTGGGTGGGGATGCAGAGCCAAATCATATCAGTAGGCTAGCCTAGATATGGAAGGGTTGCAAATATTTAATTAGAAGTTTAGATATGGCATTGGCTAGCTGGGTAAGGCTTTAAACAGAGGAACACATGTATGTAAGTGCTTCACAAAAATAATGTAGAAAGCAATGAGGAAGATAGAAGAGACTAGAGGGAAATCAGGTAGGAGGGGTTTAGGAGTAAAACAAGATGAAGATTAAAGAGATGCTTATTTGGAAAGTAAGAGCAGGTATTTAGAAATACAAGAGCAGGCATTTAGAAATACAGAAAACAGCACAGGGAAGGGACTGGGAGTGAACTTTCAAATGTTTTTAAACTATCCTCCGTTCCAGAGTTTCATATTCTTTTGTGACCCCCTCACTGAATTTCTTTGATTTTTTTCTTATCTAGTATAGCATTATATTGCAAAGCCTACTGCATTATTTCTTCTTTCATTTTGGATCGTTGGTCCTTGACTTGTGGTTATTAACCCAGAAATGATTCTCTCAGAAGAGGCTCAGTTTCTGGTGTTATCTCGGCTTCCTTGCAGTGGCCTGTGTCAAGGGAATTTGTTTGAAAAGTAAAAAGTGTATCTCTGTGCTTTTGGCAACCAGAATCAAAACTCTATCTTTCTTTGCTACACTTAACACCCTTTTAACTTCTCCGATCATTCTAACCAGTTCAGCTTCTGTTTTCTCTGTATTGAAAGTGCATGAATCCGTGTCATTGTATCCTGGCCTCTTGACTAAAATTACAAATACAGCATCAAGGCAACACTCCTAACTATTCTGTTGTTGCTTAAATATTACAGAAAAAAATTAAATGGTCTATAGCATTTGACTTTCATCTCTTTTATGTAAATATGTATTTGGTTTATTTAGAAATCTTAAATTAGTTTCTTACAAATATTTTTTGCCCCTCTTCTAACAAATTTAGGATAAGCAATACTTGGTAGTTTTTTGTGTCATGAATTAATGGTATACCAACATAAATCTTGTAATATTAATTTTATTAAGTAGGAGGTTATGTTCTCAGTCTGTTTTTGTCTAAGAAAACATATAAAATTGTAAATGACTTGCTAGAAAATTAAGAAAAAATGTTTCTGAGTATCCTCACAACTTACAGCTCTTTAAACGTAAAATTAAAATTATTTTCCTCTATTCTCATGTTGCATTTTGCAGAAAAAATTCATATTAATGCTGATGATAGTCCTTATAAGTGTTACTTTTTAATATAAATATCAGTATTAAAGAGAAAACTGGAGTTCTTAAATAACTTAAAAGGCAAAGTAAGCAGAAAGAGCATTTAAATTAATAGAACTTCTTTAAAATACATTTTTTCTTATGTTCTAAGTTCATTTGCTTTGATATTGTTTATACATTTTTTGTTTGTGAATTTTTGTTGTTATTTGTAATTAAGTTTAAATTTTAAAATCTTGAAATAATTTTTGCCCTTTTATGATATACAGTGTAGTTTCTATGCAGATTATCATTGGAGTCTGCGTTAAATTCAAAATATATTCACACTATTTCTTCAACTGAGTCTTTGATAAGTTTAAGTACACTAAGTTTGTTTTACTAAAAGTGTTAATTTCTGAATTATAGTAACTTAAAATACACATCGCAGCTCTCTTTTGGAAAACGATTGTGTAATAATTTAAACAATGTAAGAGTTGAACAGTGCAGCACATGCTTTGCTTATGTGCTGCAAACAGATACAGGTTTCAAATGAGCTTCATTCTTCTGCACAAAAAATGTTTAAAATGTACATGATACTTGCATTTGGCTAAAGAAATCATGATGAAACTTCAAGGAAGAAGCATGGACAACTTACTTGCTCATTAGTATAGTGTGTACAAGCAGATGAGATTTTCAATATATACAACTCACTAGACAACTACATTTGTTTTTAGGTTCAATGGTAAATGGATGGGGCTCTGCATCTGATGAGGATCGTAACTTTTCTAGTCATAGATCTAGTGTAGGTAGCTCCTCAGATGGCTCTATCTTTGCCAGCGGCAGTTTTGCACAAGCACTGGTGGCAGCAGCAGATAAAGCTGGTTTTAGGCTGGATGGAACCAGCCTTACAAGAACAGGTTGGTAGACTCCAAGTCAACACTCTTTGCATGAGAGAATCTTGTCCTTGGACACTGTCCTCTTTTCTCCTGTTCTTTCTCCTTAGTGAGTCTGACTGTAGGGCTTTCTTTAATACGCATGAATACAGTTTGGATGCTCCATTACCCAAACTCTCTTCTGATGCTAGTTTTGCAGAGCCAAGAATAGACTCCTCCTCAACACTTTCTCTTATTTTCCTTTCTCTTCACGGCTTTACTGATTAATTGGAATATGCTTCCTTTTTATATTACGGCAAAGCAGCAACTAAGATTGCCATTAAATTTTCAATAACACATTTTGCAAAATCCTCATACAATTAATAATGTACCCAGTGATTAAAATTACTCAGCTTTTATCTCCATTACTTTCCTTTGCCTCATCTCTTTCTGCAAATGCATTTTCTGGGAAGGTTTCCTTAGCATGGGGTGAATGGGTCTAAGGTTGTCGGTCTTACCAGTTCAAATAGCTTATGATCTTTTTAATTGTTTGGCTAGTAAGATTTTAATACAATAATTTATTATTTGTCTTAAAGGATGCTAATTAAAGATACACCCACTGCATTTGCAAGTTGAATAAAATAATGACTACATGTGTATTTCTCTTTAGAATAATTTAATTTTGATTTCTGAGAGTGATAAGTAATCATATAAAAGAACAATTATATAATTTTTCAAGTGCTGCTCATTCCACAAAAAAGAATGTGGGATTAATAATAGATCAGTAATTTGTAAACTTTTGCAACAAAATAACTTAGGCATGATGCGTGCTTTTACATTTGTATGTATAATTCTTAACTATACATATAAGAATATTCTAATATATGAATTAAACTGAATTACCTTGCAAAGCAAACTAATAAAACATTAAGTACATTTGCAAAATCTTAACTGTAATCAAATAGTAAAGAAAAAAGATTTTTACCCTTCACTAAACTCTCAGGTTATAAAAATGAGTCTTGGAAGTTTTCTTGGAATTATACCATCAATATTTCTTTTAAGCATACATTAGCTATCTTTAAGTGAAATAAAAAAGATCTTCTAAGCATTGCAGAGGTTTATTTTTCAAATAGCATCCAAACTAAAATACGTTGTAATAGAACTGTTATTTGAATTGTCTTGCATTATAAGGCATAAGTCTGAAACTTTATGTTGCTTGAGTGCTTTTTGCAGCATTAGCTGTAAACAGAGCAGTGAGAACGTGCAAGGAAACTAATACATTAGAAGGCACAAGTGCATTTCCTGCATGTATGCTAATAGCTAACACAGCATTAAGTAATATCATATCACGTCGTCGTAAGAAAATGTAACTACATATAATAATGTTGTATGAAATGAAAACATACACAGGAGAATAAATGCATGCACATAAACCAGGCCTCTGTTACTACAATAAACATGGTATTGAAATCATAAGTTGTTGAAAATTTATTAGCTAACCTTTTCCCAGAATAAATTTCCCCGTATACCTACTCTAAACCACAAGAAAAGGACACAGCACATATCATTTTTCAATGAGAATTTGGAGCCTGCTCAGATACAATAATATTAATCAGAAAATACCTATTGCATGCTGGATATACAAGGTGATTTTAACCTGCTATCCTCTACACAGATGTTGTTGAGTTTCTGCCAAAAGAGATAGAATTCATTGTGTATGTGGATAAGTGGTAAGGTCAATTTAATATATGTGTCTGAGCAGACCTTTCATGTAAAATTTCAGATGTAATTACTATATGACATTTTTCTGTGTTCAGAGAGATTTTGTAAGTTTCCAAGGATGAAATTTTATTAAACAAATACAACAGTATATACTTCATAAATAGCTTCTTTAATTTTAAGAAATAAAAACTGCATGAATTTGCATATATCTTTGACAATATCAATAATATTGTCAAGGTTAAATAAAAGTATAATCATGCAATATTGAGTTGTGGATTGGTGGATCTGTTTTATGTTCATTTGTTTGATTTTGAGGGGGCCAGTGGGGGTGTTGTTAGCTTATTAAAAATTGAACAAAATATGTGCAGCTGAGAATGTAGAAAATACATTTTTCTACAGAGATGCACCAATATTTGGTATCTTCATATGTTATCTCTAGGTAGATTTACAGGTTAGTCATAGTGCAGAAATATAGGACAGAATCAGTGTGCTATAATGTCATTCTCTAGAACCCATTCCCTTTATTTTCATTTTAGGAAAAGCCTTTACCTCCTCTCAAAGACCTCGACCTACCAGCCCATTTTCTACTGACAGTAACACCAGTGCAGCCCTGAGTCAAAGTCAGAGGCCTCGGCCCACTAAAAAACACAAGGGAGGGCGGATGGACCAACAACCAGCATTGCCTCATCGAAGGGAAGGAATGACAGATGGTAGGTTTCTTCCCTTTACTCTTGTTTCCTCGCTGAAGAGACGTGCTCCATGCAATCATTTACTTAGATTAATGTAGTCATGGTAGATTAGCCATTGCTTCATTACATAACAAGACAAAAACCTGGCAATATGGCCTTGTTTAAATAAAACACCATTTTTAAAAACAATCTAGAATTATTTCTATATTATTAAGCCTCAAGAAATACATTCCATGCAATTTTTTGAGGTTGATTTTTTTTTTTTTGCCATTCTGGCATATTTCATAAATGCTTTTTAGTGAGCATTTAAGAGTAGGGAAGAACATAAGCTGCATGTGCACTTATATGATCAGAACTTTTATCATATTAAATTACAATATCTTAGCTGCTATTTCACTTTTGGAAAAAAAGACTTTTGAAATGATTTAGTAATTTTTTAGTCACAAATTTCAGAGCCAAAATCAGGCTACAGTAGTTGAAGAGTGTCTTAGTCTGTCTGGGCTGCTATAAAAAAATAGAGTCATGCATTGTATGACAATGTTTCAGTCAATGACAGACTGCATATAAGACAGTGGTGCCATAAGGATGTCATACTGTATTTATGTTGTACCTTTTTTGTTTAAATATGCAAATATTTACCATTGTGTTATAACTGCCTATAACATTCGGTACAGAAACACGCTGCACAGATTTTTACCCCAGATCAATGGTATGTAGTCAGCTATACCATCTATGTTCGTGTAAATATACTACGTGACACTTGCATAACAACGAAATCACCTAACACCACATTTCTCAGAACTTATCTCCATCATTAAGTGACATGTGACTGTACCATAAGCTGGTAGATTCCAAACAACATAAATTTTCTCCACAAATCTGGACTCTGCAAAGTCCAAGATCAAGGCATTGGCAGATTTGGTGTCTGGTGAGGACCCACTTTCTGGTTCATAGAGGGTGCCTTTTCATTGTATGATCACATAGCGGAAGGGACAAGGTTCTCTCTGGGGTGTGTTTTATAGGGTGCTCATCCCTTCATGAGGACTCCACCCTCATCATCGAATCACCTGCCAAAGGCCCCACCTCCCAATATCATCACATTGGGGATTAGGATTTTAACGTTGAATTTTGGGGGTACACAAACATCCAGACTCTAGAAAAGGGTCAGCAAACTTCTTCTATTAAAGTCTAGATAGTAAATATCTTTGGCTTTTGGGACATAGGGTCTCTGTCACAACTACTCAACACTGCCATTGTTGTATGACTGCAGCTATAAGAAAAGTAGAATAGGCCAAGCACGGTGGCTCAGGCCTGTAATCCCAGCACTGTAGGAGGCTGAGGCGGGCAGATCACAGGGTCAGAAGATCAAAACCATCCTGGTCAACATGGTGAAACCCCCTCTCTACTAAAAGTACAAAAATTAGCTGGGCGTGGTTGCACGTGCCTGTAATCCCAGCTACTGAGGAGGCTGAGGCAGGAGAATTGCTTGAACCAGGGAGTCAGAGGTTGCGGTGAGCTGAGATCACACCACTGCACTCCAGCCTGGGCAACAGAGCAAGACTCCTTCTTAAAAAAAAAAAGAAAAGGAAGAAGGAAAATAAAAGTAGAATGATGGAAATGATTGACTTCCAATAAAACATCATTCACAAAATGGGCAGTGGCTGGATTTGGCCCATGGGCCATAGTTTGCTGATCTAGCTCAATATTTTTATTTATATATAGCATCCAACATTTGAATACTTGCTTAAACACTGTTAGTTTCAGGAAACACAATATTACTGGAAGATATCCATGTTCGATAATGAGTATTTCATTAGCTTTACAGAATATAGTCTATTTCCCGTATTTTTAATTTAATTCTTATAACTTTTAAAGAATGAATTAAAATATGTATCCTGAAGTTATATTCTAAGGATATGTAACACATATTTAAAGTGTGTAGTACAATGTCAGATTGAAAGGTGAATTTCTTTTTCCTTTTCAGCACTGTACCCTATAAGCACACAAACATTATCCTAACATAGTTCAATTAAACACCAAAAGGATAAACTTTTAAAAACTGCACATTAGAACCATCTGGAAAGCTCTTAAAATATACCCTAGATATTCAGATTTAATTATTCTGGGGTGAAACCCAGTTACAGGTAATTTTAAAGCTCCACAAGTGAATCTAAAGTATAACTACCTTAGAGAAGCTATGACTTAGTCCTTAGCACACTTACACTTATCATTATAGGACAGAATGAAGCTTAGTTGAAAAAGAAGAAAAGCATTGGTTTTTTATTAGTTTGGGGAAGGGAGTATCCAATCCTGCAGCCCTATTTGTGCTTTCTTTTGTCATCTTGCAAAGGTAAGAGGACTTAAAAAGCCAAATATATTGTTCTACATACTTTCCGGTTTACTTATCTTTCCTGCTTCCTTTGTTTTCAATAGAATATGAAGGTTAAGGGTAGAATTGAGATTTTTGAGTCTCTATAAATGTGTATCCTGTGGTGAGTAAAAATGGTCACCACTGCCTTTCTGCCTTATATGTTCAGAAGATTAGCTGAGCATTTAAAACTATTCGTAGTGTTCATCTAATTCTTCGTAAATAAAAAAGGACTACTTTCACTGAATTGCTAGGTATAAATCTAGTAATTGATAATTTTGTATATTTTTTCTGTTGTGAATATTGTGGAGAGAGAAAAATGTCTAGGTATAGAATTTTCTGTGGTTTTTCAGAAATGTTTGAAGATAATATTCAGAATATGTGGAAGATATAAAATATAAATCAACAAAATACAGATCTCTTTTTTTCTAAGACACTTTTATTGCAAGCTTTTTTAGAATGTTTCCTTAAAGCAAGCTACCTCCTAGTTTAAAGTATGATCAATATATTGCTTATCTTTCTAAAAAATAAATGTTTCTAAATTTTCAAAATTGCCAGCATTTCAAAAAGGGGTTATGGATTATGTGTTATTAGAAAATGATACATTTTAGAAGTAGTGATATAGCAAAGGAAATTTCAGCCCACATATCTTCCCAAGTGCTTAATCCAAAGCCATTTTAATTATGATACAGTGCAAAGACATTTATTTTGGATGGTGCTCTACAGGTTATCCTTAAGAACATTGTTATTTTGCAGCAAATGCATATGCCATAGCATTTATATGGTATGGATCCATATGTCAGAAATAATTTCATAACTTTTTATGTAAAAATCAAGTTGTTCTTTTTGGGAAGGCTGATACTTAGCAGCATTGATTGTACAGACATTTTACAATAAACCTTTTGCATTATAGATTTTACAACAGTGTTTGCTGTTTTCTAAGCAGTATTGTAAAGATGTAGGCCTTTTTAGCACTGGGATACCATCATTTCTGGATCAGACCTTTATGGTTTCTGAGGGGAAGACAGAACATGAGTGGTTGTTGGGAGGTTGTAATGGCAAGTGGCACACATCACTTCTATTTCATTGAAAACAACTCTGCCACGTGGTGTCAAACTAACTACTGGGGTGAGAAAGCTGCCTTCCCTGTGTCCCATAAGAGAGATTATGAATGGTGGGAAATGTCAGTCTGTATCCCAAAGACTGAAAAACCCACACACATCTTAAAGAGTGTTCTTCTCCCTTTTGTAAAGTTTCTCCAAAGCAGGCATTGCTGAGTCCAAATCTTGTATTCCATTTGTCTTATAAATCAAAGAATACCCTTGGAAGCCAATATATTAACCAATGCTAAAAAAGATAGATCTGTCTATCCATCAACCTGTTTCTCCTAGATAATTTATTTCCAGCCTATTCTCCCTTTCACCTAGCTTTTTTTTTTTTTTTTTTTTTTTTTGAGAGGGAGTTTTGTTCCTGTCACCCAGGCTGGAGTGCAATGGTGCGATCTCAGCTCACTGTAACTCCCACCTTCCGGGTTCAAGCGATTCTCCTGCCTCAGTCTCCCAAGTAGCTGGGATTACAGGCATCCACCACCACACCCAGCAAATTTTGTATTTTTGGTAGGTAGGGACAGGGTTTCACCATGAGGGCCAGGCTAGTCTTGAACTTCTGACCTGAGGCTCTCTGCCCACCTCCACCTCCCAAAGTGCCAGGATTATAGGCATGAGCCACCATGCCCGGCCCCTTTCCCCTAGTTCTTAATGTCCTGTTCAGAGAAGGGGCTCTTTCTCAGCTCTGCCACATACTAGCTTTGGCCTTTGAGCAAATAAATTTACATATTAATTAATCTATTCACTCAAATACTTATTAAGTATATAACATATAATAGACAATGGGAGCCAAACAGACAAAATCCCCTGCCTTTTTATATTTTAGTTGGGGAAGATAGATAAAGACCAACCTAAGTACATACATGAACATATAAGTAAGATGGTGATAAATGTTATGGGGAAAAAACAAAGGGAAGGGAGTTGAGAAGTATAGGTGTAGGGAGGAAGTATTTTTAAGTAGAGTGACTGGGGAAGTCCTCACCAGGAAGTCAGCATTTCAGAAAAGACTGGAATAACATAAGCAAAAAAGTAATGCTGATATCTGAGGAAAGGTTATTCCAGGAAATGAGAATGGCAAGTGAAGCTTGAGACTTATTTGATAAAAAGGAAAGGGAACGATATGACTGGAGCAGAGAGAGAAACAAGATAGAGTACGAAGTCAGGCAAGCAAACAAGGGCTAGTGTTTGTGAGACCTTTAAGCTACCATAATGACATTGGCTCTTACTTTGAATGGTAAACCACTGGACGGGGTGTGTATATGTGTGCATGCATGTGTGTGTGTGTAAGGCAGGGAAGTGACATGATCTTATTTGTATATTTTTTAAAAAGTCATTCTATTCTAGCTGCTGTGTTGAGATGTACTAAATGAGGCAAGGTGGAGATTGTGGAAGCTACCTAGGGAATAGATGACGGTGGTTCATACCAAAGGAGAATCAATGGCAGTGTTAACAAAGGTTGGATTTTGGAGGTAGAGCTAACGGGAGTTGTTATGAAATTAACATAGGCCATAAAGAAAGCAAACCACATTACTCTGAAATTTTGGCTAACTTGTAGAATGTAACTGTGACCAACTGAGAGAAGAAACACTGCAGAGGAAGCATTTTTTTTTTTTTTTTTTTTTTTTTTTTTTTTGAGACGGAGTCTCGCTCTATCCGCCAGGCTGGAGTACAGTGGGGCGATCTCGGCTCACTGCAAGATCCGCCTCCCGGGTTCACGCCATTCTCCTGCCTCAGCCTCCCGAGTAGCTGGGACTAAAGGCGCCCGCCACCACACTCGGGTAATTGTTTTTGTATTTTTAGTAGAGACGGGGTTTCACTGTGTTAGCCAGGATGGTCTCGATCTCTTGACCTCGTGATCCGCCCGCCTTGGCCTCCCAAAGTGCTGCGATTTACAGGCGTGAGCCACTGCGCCCGGCCGCATATTTTATATAGGATGATCTAGAGCTGAGTTCTCATACATGAAATTTGAGAAGCTTTCTGAACACCTAAGTGGAACTGTCCAGTGTAGCTCTGGTTACATGAGTCTGGAGTTCATGGGAGGAAAGATCCAAGCTGGAGATTTTTAATTACTTTGTGCCTTCATTTTCTTGTCTAAAAACAGAAGGTAATAATGGCACCTATCTCATTGGACTGTTGTGTGCCTGAAAAGAGCTAATCCTCGGTAGGCCAGTAAGAGACTTTATAGTGAATTGATTTAGTGGAAATGAATCAACATAGAAATGAATAATAAATTTAATTTAAGTAAATGTATTTGATTACATACTTTTATTTTTCAAAAAACCATTCTTAATCCCATGTCTTTTTCCAATTAGTTTATTTCAGTGTGCATGTAATGTCCTTTCTTAAAATATACAAACTCCAAGGATATTACTTATGAAGCTATATAATTTTAGGTTAAATTAAATAATAATCAGAATTTTAGCTGCATAAGCAGATGCCGTTTTGGCCATTTTAAAAATTAAGCTGCTCTGATGCAGAATAAAAATCAATGACAAGATAAGTTATTTTGGAAGAAAATACAATAATTTCTCCTCACTGGCAGTCTAAGTTCAATCAATCAAATGAAATAATTAATTTGCATTTATAATAACATATAGTGAAGGAAGTCAGTACTATCGAATATAAAGGAAACACCAAACTCATTGGATTATCCAACAAACAGATATCTCAATATTGGATTAGCTCTTCATTTTGGAAAAATATTCCAAATGCAACTTTATCCTCCGAAACAGAGACCCTGTTCCCTTCAGTTATTAGCAATTCATAATTTAACATGAGGACATACGTAAGAACTGGCAATGCTGCTCCAACTTAGGAACTCAGAGGAGATGCTCCAGAGACCAACATTATCAGTCCAATGCAGATTAGTATCACTTTGCTCATAAAAGAGAGTATAAAGGTTCTTGAAGTTTTTGAAAGGAGCGGCTTAGCTGACTGTTAAGGAAGCTATCTTTTGTCTACAAGAAATTTATACTTTTTCCTTCTAAATTTCACAAACAGAATATTATTAGAGACAACAGAATACATTTACAAAAATGGCATCAGAAATAATTGAATACATTGTGTACAATATCTTCTATTAATGAAATAAATGTATATTTTATATGATATTTGGTCTTTATGAAAAAATAATATAATTACCAATATTCTAAGGATGAACAAAGAAGTTTACAATAGCATGCAAGAAAAATGAGAAGAAAATGATACAAATTGATGTTCAGAAGATTTCAAAATCTTCAGCAAAGTAATTTCAGAACTAATACATACTTAAAAGAGAAAGAAAGAACTGTGATTTCACAGTCGAAGGCATACAAAATATAAAGGTATTATGATCTGAAGAGTTAATAAAAGAGAGATGAAAAGGGAGTTGATATTGGAACCTTAAATTTTTTCCTATCTGATATTTACTTTAAAGAGCTTTTCTGAAAAATTATCTCTTCTACTCTATCTCAAATTTCTGTGAGGCATTGTCTTCTCTAGCACCATAAAACACATTCAGTCTTTACTCTGAACATTGGTTATTACTTATTAAAATTAATACATCGGAAGATTGTAATATATTAGTTGTAACTCATTAGCTAACTCATGAAACGAACAGCCAGAATTGGTTGTCAAGCAGAATATTAATTGCATTTAATAAATGTTAGTTTAATGTTGTTAAATGTGCCACATACATGGGTAAAGGCAGTCATATGTTGCATATGACACGGCATACAGTTCTAAATTTCCCGAGGGTGACATTCCCTTTGGAGATTGGCAGGAGAGCTTTTGTTCTTGGGGCCTTTTGTTAGTACAGCTTCAGGAATTTCTAGTGATCTTATTTTGTGTCATGGTATTTCTACTTTGGGGAAGGAGGGTTGGACAATGGATGGAATATAAACAATGAACTGCCCTTTACACCTTGAATGATAGCCTCAATATGTAACTGAAAACACTTTCCACATTTAACTGTTGAATAAAACTAGTCAATTTTGTTTCAATGATGCTATGGCCAAAAGACAGCAGAGAGAGCAATAATATGAGCTTTGGAAATAAATAATTGACTTTTATTTTCCCCAAATTTTTTTTGTATGGGTAATACCTGTATAAGGGCAAAGATTTTCTTCAACTTGAACTAAAACCTGTATTTTTCATTAAATTTTAGTCCATTCTAAACATTATTCAAAATTTTTAGATCTTCCACCACCACCAGATCCCCCGCCAGGTCAGGGTTTAAGGCAGCAAATAGGCCCGAGCCAGCAGGCTGGTAACGTGGAAAACTCAGCAGAGAGAAAAGGAAGCTCTCTAGAGAGACAACATGCATCCAGCTTAGAAGACACAAAGAGCTCATTGGATTGTCCAGCTAGAACCTCCCTAGAGTGGCAGCGACAAACCCAGGAATGGATAAGCTCCACAGAACGACAAGAAGATATACGGAAAGCCCCACACAAACAAGGTGTCGGATCAGGTGTGTTCTGCACAGTCCCAAGAAAGTGTGGACTGTTACCATTTCTTTTCCTACCAGGTATTCTAGAAATGGCAGTTGTTTAAGGGCATCTGAAAAACATTTGCCTTCAATCGTAATGGAATTTGGAATTCCTTAGGAGATTTTACCAGTACATGCCTTAAGGCTGATTCCAACGGGCATTGCTCCTCAGTCAGCCTCTCCACAGGGTCTTTGATCCCAAGAGACTTCCAGGCTTCATCTAAACGGCTCAGTAGAAAATTTTATTTTTTGGCCTATTAATGTTTATATTGAGTACTTTAAAGATCGCTAAATTTAATCTTTTCTGTCAGTTTAATCTCTGCCTTCAGCAAGTTTGTTCATTTTGGCTGAAATAACCAGTCATTCGAAAGGAGAACTCACATCAAATATGTGAATTCATTAAAATTACAAAGTTGCAGAAAAATGCCCAATCACAGATCCTCAAATTAGATAAGGTTATACTGGGCTTGCACTTTCTCCAACTGTTAATCAGTTGATTGATTTAGTTGGTTGTTAATCTGTCTATGGGAAATGCTCTTTTTTATAAATCAAGCTTCCTGGAAATGTCACAGAAATAAATTTCATTGTTTGTAGTTAGATTTTTTTGGGGGGAGAGGTGTGGCGCGGGAGGTGGGGAGCCTGCTTTATAAACGCATTTTCTGAGACATCTCATGTCAGGATTCATTGAGTACTGAAACACACACATACACATACACACAATCTTTGAAAAAATGTCTTTTCACTTATTCATTTGGACTTAATGTGTTGTAGATAGGCCTCTCCATGCATTTCCCATAACTACATTTTGTCACAACTTGGTGCTCAAGTTTTTGGAAAATGTCATTTGTGCAAGGGCCAGTAGATGACAATTTTAATATCTAGGTTTAGTGAAACATTTAGAAAGGTTACACCATTCAGGCTGTGAGAGAAAAATCATGTGGTTCTTGTCATTGAAGACTATGTAAGGGGAGAAATAGTAAATTCAGTGAGCATTAATCACAAAATAATAGCCCATACATAGAAAGAACGTGAAAGACAGAGGGGATGGGGTGTGGAGAGGGAGCAATGAGAATAGAGAGGGAAAGAAAAAACAATTTTTGAACTATTGAGTGATTATTTGTAACATATGTCATGAGTTATTTGTAGAGAGACAATCTGTAAAAAAAAAAAATTAGCATATTATTTATTTAAATGTGTGAGTTTCTCTTTTACTTTTAAGGAAATACATAGCCCTTTAAATAATGTATTTCTGTCTCAAAAAGCAACATAAATTTTAAAAGCTTATTTAACTAATATATAGTTCTTTATCTAAATCAATTGAGAAAATGTTGCCATAATTTAAGCTGAAACAAAAAACATGTTTCTTTAATCTTAATGGGAAAATTAAATTGGAGCCTCATTGAACTTTAGAAATTATTCTCAGATATGCTTTTGTTAAACTGTAGTTCATTGTATGCAGCTCTCTTTTATAATGAATTTAAATTTTGCAAATAATATATAACATTGTGTACTTATCCCAAGATCTCTTTTAATTTAATTCTGCTTTGGTTCCTATTGTAGGAAATGTTGCTTGCACATAGAAATTTCTTTAATATCCGGTCCTGATTAAACTTCATAATTTTAATTTTATTAAAGAATGAAATGGTAAAGTAGGCCATTCACAGTGTTATATTCAAGAGTTAAGTTTAGTTTGCCTCCATGTTTCTGTTCAATTTAGCCTTTGGGTTTTTTTTCTTTTTCAGAGGAGGCCTTGGTGCCCTATAGCAAGCCCAGTTTCCCATCTCCAGGTGGCCACAGCTCATCAGGAACAGCTTCTTCTAAGGGATCCACTGGACCTAGGAAAACCGAGGTGTTGAGAGCAGGCCACCAGCGCAATGCCAGCGACCTTCTTGACATAGGATATATGGGCTCCAACAGTCAAGGACAGTTTACAGGTGAATTATGTAAGTGCTTAGGTCATTTAAAAGGCTATCGTGATTCAGAAAGAATCTTGGGTTAATAACATTGCCACATTAAACAAATTTCAGATTAATAGAAAACTTGCTCTGTTACAAAAACAATCAATTGCAATTTTCAACAAGTTTGGTCATAACTTAGGCCATTGCTATATTTATTGAAGTCCATTTTTATAAATGTTTCTGCTATTTCACGTTGGATTTA
Source organism: Homo sapiens (assembly GCF_000001405.40). Taxonomy (NCBI): domain Eukaryota; kingdom Metazoa; phylum Chordata; class Mammalia; order Primates; family Hominidae; genus Homo; species Homo sapiens. The sequence goes on from NC_000003.12 coordinate 77,645,122, forward strand.
TGCTATAAAAATTGTTTTAAGTTAGGCAAGTAGTCTTAACACTTATACATGAAATTAAATATAGAGTGTTTATCATTTTCTTTGCCTTTTTAACTGAACACAATAAAGAAATGGAGACACTGGCCTTTTGGTAGTTTTAAAGAAACTCCTAAGGAATGCTTCATTTTCAAGTTACTCTATATTTATTTTTTAAATTTGGGTAGTCACCCTTGAAGAGTTGATCTTTGATTGTTAATTAAATTGTAATGTTTTGACTACAATAACATTTTATAAATAAATTTCCATTTATGAATGAAAACTGGCATAGGTAGTTAGTACAATTAATTTTCTAAATGTAAAATACTAGGTAATAGGGAAAATTAAGAATGTCACAGCAAAAAATGTTGAACTCCTTGTGTTAATTTCCTCAGGAAAGTTACCAATACAGCTTTGCATTATCAGAAACATATTTGCTGAATATTTTTAACTGCCTCATCAGAAAAATAGCATTACCATTATCTTCACATCACAGATTGTTTGGAAGATTCTGTGAGATGATGAAAAGAGAAATAATTTCAAAATTATAAATTTCTTTATTGATCTCAGTTGTCATTGTTGTTGACTATTGCTAATCTATTATTAAGATTCATTTATAATTTTAATTTGATTCATAACTACTTGAATTTTTCTTTAACTTTTTTTTGAAGTAATGACAGACTCACAGGAGTACCAAAATAGTTCTACTGGGTGTTTACATTTCCAAATTCTATAGTGTTTTCTTTCCTTTTACTCTTTGATCATCTCCTTCAAGTAAAATTACTTAAATTCACAAACTCATCTATCTGAAGACCTTATTTTCATTGATTATCTGTTGGCTTTGCTTTTTGTTATGCTGGTCAGAAAAGCAGAATGCTTAATTTATATTTTATTTCTACTTTTTTCTCTTTCTTTAGAGTAAATGAGAGGAGACATACAAAGCTGCTCTGAAGGACCATCAGGTCCGGACTCATGGAAGTGATGACTCTAAACAGTGCAATGAACAATTTATTTATGTACTATTAAAAGAACTGTAAATGCAATGTAAAGACACACAGCCACACATATCCCACAGATATTTTCATTGTGTTCTTCTCTTAAGTACACCACCCACCTTAACTCTTTCTTGTCAGGAGTATATAAAAAAGAAAGAAAACAAAACTCGCCCTACAGGAAGAAAAGGATTCTCCTCTGTATATAATTTCTTTTGTGCATTGCTATGCAAGCTCACTCTTTTTAGCTCTGCTCATATTATTGTCTGTTCTTATTGGTCTGTTGTACTATATGTGAATTAATAGGCTGTGGTGCCATATATTAACTTTTAATTGTGTAACTTTTATGTTTAAATTTTGCACTGCAATTTTATTTGGTGATAAGCACAAATCTCTACTCCTCATGACATGAAGAAAAAGACTGAATGTGAAGGGAGTTTCTGTACTGTAAGCTAGATTGGATAATGATGGCTGTAACAAATCATGTTAGATGGTTTTCAGTTGGGGTGTAGAAATAGGAAGATGCAAAGGAACAATGGTGTTGGCAAAGTCTTCTTTGAATATCAGGGACTGAGTCAATAAAAAAAATAGTAGAAAGGTGGCTTTTACTATTGACAAAAGCCGGGGTCAAAAAAAGTAGTTTAAGTCTTAAGACTGAATATGCATTAAAGTATGCAGGTAGCAAAGATGTAATAAATTTGCTTAAAAAAAGAAATTAAAGTTTTATTTAGAATCAATTTTACCTGTCATTGTAATTGACCCATCTGAGAATTACAATAAGCAAGAGGAAATTAAGGTGTTTTGCAAGAGCTGTATTTATATTACAGTTTTTTAAAAACATTTTCTGAATTATCGTAATTAAGCTCTCCAACTCGTTAAGTCAGAATATAATATGAAGTTCCCCAAGGAAACGAACAAAATGAACTCTAGAATATCTAGCAAATAGTTAAAGAAGCAATTTATTATTAGGGCATACTCGGGCTGTTTCCAAATATAAACTCTATTGCAATATCTTATTTCATCTTTCTAATACATGTACAGTGCACACTAGAGGATAGAGCTGCATCACTTAAATTCATGACTTAAAAAATAATACAGTTTATATACAACTTGTTTTTTATTTGATTAAGAAGTGAAGTTTACGCCACCCAATGTATAGCCAAATTGTACGTGCTTAAAAAACAGTGCCGAGAGTATGTTCAGTTCGCAGTAAGTAGATTTATTGGAATAAATATTCTATGGTACATTCTCAGAAATTGGCTTCCAACTAAAATACGTTTGACCCATTTTGAATAAGGAAATTGAAAAGAAAAATTTAAAAGGAGAAAAAAATGCATGTTTATAAACTTTTTAAATAAAACCAGACCTTGTAAGTGGACATTAATAATTGTCCTGCCTCATTTGTTTTCACGACTTTGACAACAAGAAGTTCCTGAACATTAGTCATGTATGCTCAGAATAAATGTGACTTTGAAATATATGTTAGCTACTGTACATGTATAGTCAGTCAAGTAGAAGAGGACCTTCCTGAAATTCCCACTTGTGACATTTTCCCATGGGTTTCCTACACAATCTTAAATTTTATTTCTGTCTATACTTTCTCAAATTTTTCCTATGATAAGTTCAGTTGTTGGTACTCTTCTAAAAATATTCAACGTGATTAGGATCAGTTCTAAAATACGGGACCCCTTTGAGTGACAATTCGCACTCCATGCATTATTGGCTCAGTAGCCAATTTTTGTCACGTCGTTATAACAAGGAGATGACATAATTAAACATTTCCATCCTTTCTATTCCCTGAGACTGCATCAGCACAGGCAAGTATAGAATGTAATGTTCTTCATGGGCCCCACCAGCTTTTTGGTGCCATGTAATTTATTTCTTCGCTGAAGAGAAAAAGAATTCTGAGACACAGTTATTAAACCCTTTATCAACTTTCTACCATCAGTGCCTGAATTCTAATGCAGTGTGATTTCTCTGGGACAAAGAGACTGAGGAAGATGAAAAGTTTCTTCAAAGAGTGAATACATACTTATTCACAACTCTAGGATGTGAGGACTTTAAATATCTCTTTATGAAGTTCCCTGCCTAACCTCTTTCTATTTAAAGGCAAACAAATTTCGAAGAGGTTTTGTGTTCCCTCTTTATGTTTCTCTATGACCCAGTTTAGTCTAAAACCTTAGTTCATTACATATACAACACATAGCCTTTGATCCCTGGTAACTGGCAGGTGTTGGTGATTAATAAACCAAGGCTTCAAAGTGAAGTATGTGTGTGCAGATGACTTTTGGAATAACGTGGGCATAGCATCATACCTTCCTGATTGTCTTCAGCATATAAAAATTAACTGTTGTAGTTAAAATTATGTCAGTGCAGAGCTTGTGGTTACTTGGAATGTTCTTTCAGAATAGTCCATGTTGCCTATTAAACCTAGTTTTAAACACATTGGGCAGTCAATTTATGCACCCAAAATATCACCCTCAGGTAGATTGAGGGCAAGATAAAATGCTGTATGTAGCTATACAAAGGAATTCAGAAACATTACTGGAAAGCAAAGCCTTTGTCAGCTTGCTACTGACAAAGTAGTAAAAAGCTACTAATCAGTGTTGAGTCAGATGTCAACAGAAAAATACAAATACCTATGAGAGCCACAGCAGTTTCTCGTTTCATAGCCGATTCAATGAATATGATTAGAAATTCACTGAGCTCACTCTTGCAGGTTTAAATGGAGGCCTGCATAAGGACTGCAAGAGGAAATCTGGGTGGGAGAGAATGTAATCTGATCTTGCACTCATAGGCAATGCTGCAATGCAATCATGTCCAATACAAGCACAGCTTCATTCATAACAGGAAACGTCTTCTTTGGGAAAATAGCTCTATTGGTGCCCAAACTCAGGTATGCCAGTGTATGCAGGTGGAGTCGCCCTACCCCTCTTCCAAACATGTCCTGTGAGATTTTTAAAATAAGATGGGATAGTACAGGGGCATGAAAAGAATTGATTCCTTCACAGGATTTGAATCCAGTTCAAGGGAGAATGTAGAAAATTCAAAACCAACATATAAGGTATCACACAACCAAGAAAAGTAAAACCATTGCAAGTTTACTTGCGTTGAGTACAAAACAGATTTAATGGTGTTCTATGTCATAGTTTAATGCTCTGGGTATTTAAATATGTTTTCAACAGGATTTGAGTTGAAAGTTTGTAATGTGCTTTGATGGAACACCTCTCAATTTCTATTCAATAAACTTATGTAATTGTCCATTGACAATATAATGATAACAGTACCATTGAACTCTAAACTGTGGTTTATCTTCACTACTGGGAAGCAACTGTGCATCAGTATTAAAGATATGCAGAAACATAATATTCACTAATTTGTTCATCTGCTTCTGTATATTGTTTATGGAATTACATGGCAAGAACTGTTCTAAAGCAACATGTCTTTCCACATTATTTTAGAGGTGAAATTACTTTTGTTTTGCTTCTCTATAATGTGTACTTCAAATGAAACACCATACTTTTTTCTAAAAAAAGATGTTCAATTTACTAATTTTTTTAAATCTCATAATTTAAAAAGCATTTGTTGTGATTTTAAAGTGTTGCAAGAAAAGGGATTTTGTGGCCGTGGGTAGACTTTTTATACTTTGTTTTATAGATGGATTTTTTTTAACTGTAGTTTGTTTAAGTCACCAAGCAGCATCCAAAATCTTAATGTGTTTCATTTGATGTTGTTAGATCAGAGAAGAAATTGGCATAAAATCGGTTAATAGTATTGTCAAAGAATTGTGTATTGTGTACTCACTGGGAAAAAATAAAATATATTCACATTTCAAATTTGTAGAAAAGCCATTTATGTAAAACAAACCTGTTTGTAGACATGCTAAAAAAAGACCAGGTAGCCACTTTTAGAACTCTGCATTAATATTTTGTGACTAAATGCATAATCTCAGTTTTCTCACTCAGTTATGGTTTGAATAGTGATAAATAGGAACTGGTGTTGACTTTTAGTAGTGACTAACAGACGCTGATAAAGAATACAGCAAGCATTTGAAATACAGACCCCATTCTATCAGCACTGCTACTTTCCCCATACCATGAAGACCTTTAGATAGATTTAAAACAAATATCTTATTTTTGAAAGTATAAGTAAATATGAAAATTGAGAGAAAATGAATTTTTCTCAATTGCTTTAGAAGAAATAATTATGAATTTCTTTTATTTTGGATGTTTTTATACTGGATGTTGAAAAGTTATCTCAGGGACTGAGTAGAAAAGAAAAATGCCCCATTTTATTATATTTCATAAATATTGCATTCTTTTTCACTGCTAAGTACAACTATAGGCTCAATTTTTTTTTCCAAAAATAAAGAGAGGCAGTTTCTGTATTCTTTAAAATAATAATACTAGTGACAGAAAAAAGGAAAAAGATTATGGTTAAATCCTGAGACACTCATTGAAAAATATTTTTAAAAATACAAGGTTTAGGACAACACATTTTAGAGTTTCATTTAATTTATATTAATAAGGTGAGAATAAAATAATATTACTGTAATGACAAATGATGTTGCATTAATATAATACAGTGACAAAATATAATATATATGATTAAAGACAAAGTATGTCAATATGATAAATGGTAGGACAATTACAAAAACAACTGTTCCTTTATGGAATTTGTGTATAAAATGGCAAAAGTGTAAAATTATCAGAAAGGTTTATTAAAGTAATACACCACACTCTCTTGATTACTGTGTACATTAGCTGGAGAAAAGATATATTAATGTTGCACAAAGGCATTTGAACAAGAAATTATATTTAATGTCCTCCATTTTTTAAAATGTGATTTTATCTCTTCCACAGAGGAGAGAAGCAGAGTTCACACTAAACTTCATTTCATAGGAAAGATGTGAAATAAAACTGTACAATAATACAAAACCAAGTTTTAAAAGTTCAAAACAATACTCCAGTAGAAAAGCTAGCAGGGAGGAGAAAAGAATCTGTTATTTCCAAAAGTTTGTAAAGACTCTTTTTACTTCGATGAATTTAGTGTGGTGTCAGTTTTGGCCTTCAGCTTCTTAGGCACAGAGAAAGAATCTGACATGTAGGAGTGTGCAAAACTGTCAAGAATCCCAAAGACAGACGCAAGACAATTATCCAGCTGTGTGTTTAATATGAAGAACTACAAAGGTGACTAGTCTTTGCATTTTCCAGTCATAACATTTTCTCCTTGTGGTAGTCGAGCTATAAGAAAAAAAAAAAAAAAAAAAAAGGCTGGGCGCTGTGGCTCACGCCTGTAATCCCAGCACTTTGACAGGATGAGACGGGTGGATCGATTAAGCCCAGGAGTTTGAGATCAGCCTGGGCAACGTGGCAAAGCCCTGTCTTACAAAAAAAAAAAAATGCAAAAACTGGCCAGGCATGGTGGCACACATCTGTAGTTCTACCTACTAGGGAGGCTGAGGCAAAAGGATCACTTGGACCCGGGAGGTCCAGGTTGCAGTGAGCAGTAATTGTGCCACTGCACTTCAGCCTGGGTGACAGAGTGAGACCTTGTCTCAAATAAATAAATACATACATACGTATATACATACATACATACATACATAGAAAAAGAAAAAAGAGAAATACATGTATATTTCCAAGATATCTGATTATCTATTACCAAAATATTATCAAGTTTATATATGTATGTATTGCAGATATCTTAGTAATCAAGGAAAGCTACATTTGTGAGTCACATAGAATGACCTTTTGGCTTACGTCAATATTCATAATAGGAAATTTGCAGGCCACTACAGTGTTCTAAAACCATAGCACCATAACACCCTTCGCCTATAAAAGACCTTGATGGATATAACCTCTGGGTCATAGACAACATTTTTTGGACAAATTTTAGAAAATGTTTTTCTAGACAACACTTTGGAATAATTTGTTTCTAACAAATCTGGGTTTTTGTTTATTTATTCATTTCCTTTGCAAGCAAGTTTTGAGACACTGTGCTAAGAATTAAATATTCAGATTAGTAAAAACAGCAATAACCTTTGCCTTCATAAATAAATAATATCTTCTGTTAATTATTTCCCTGATTTTTTGCCTAGAAATTTTTGATGAATGTTTTGAAGCTAAGAGGAAAGAGCCAATAAGCAAGGTCTTCAAATAAATTTCCAAGCCGTAAAATTTGTATTAGCTTCATTCAAATCCTCCATACCCATCATAAAATCTAGTCTTTCTCAAAAATAGTCTACAGGATTTTAATAGTATTTTTAAAATGAATAAGACAATAATGGAATTGAAGTTCCATAGTTGAATATATGAAGACATTTCTTTACTACTTGAATCCTTTACAAATCTGTTCAAATCTTATATGACATAAAATCCTTTGTCCTGGAGCATCTTATGAAACAGTACTATGTACAATCTGCTTTAAAAAATAGTCTCCTAGGAAGTATCATACTTTATCCTGCCCCTAGACTCTATATTAGTGGCCCCAAAGGCTTTGCATGCCATGTCTTGCTGTGGTCTTTTAAAAATCAATATTAAGTCATGGGAAAGAATCATTCAAATTCTATGTATAATGTGCAGATGATAAAAGAAATGTGCAGTGAGAAATTCATTAATTAAATTATGTTTCCAAACCTTATTTGAGATCAGTGCTCAGTCCTGTAGCAACAGGTAAGATTGCATCATGTTCTTTAGTTTCTCTACAATGCTTTTGTGTATTGTCAGCTCTTGAAATCATTAGGCTAAAACTAAAGCATGGAAATACACCTACTGTCTCCTCCCACCCCTAGCTACTGACCTTCAATCAGATTTCAAAAGTATAATATATTTTGAAAGATTTCACAAAAGGATAATTTTTTAAAAGCTACTGTCTGATTATTAATAGTTTCTCCCTGAAGAGGTACTTTGCTTAAAATAGTAGCGAGTAATGCAAAATGTAGGAAAAGAGGGCTTATAATTTCTCATTAAGATAATACAGAGCTAAGTACCAGTGGAATTTGAAATACAGCTAACTAGTAATGATGAAAATTCGTATATCCAGAAATGGTTAAATATAGAAGTAACAAAGGGAAGATGAAGATAACCATTACGTGAACTTTCACTGGCTATGAGGACAAAAGAAGTGAGGGAAGTTAAAGTGGGATGTGAGAAGTAAGAATTTAAATTTACTTGATTAATTTTGAATGATGATAGACTGATGCAATCAATAGATTAACATGTCCCGACATAGGTAATATGAGAACAATTACGGATGGGCAATGAATGGTTATTCTAATGAAAAAGAGGGAACAGACAAATGGTGGCAGTCTGAACAAACGACACACTAGAATACTATGTATTCAACTTAAGAAAAGGAACTACAACATTTTCAATAACTGTGCAAGCATCTCTTTGCAAATAACCACCTACCAAGAATTAAGACACCGTTTCCATCAATGTTGGTGATGCTATTTTTTCCTATCTTATACAAGTATACTAAAAATGTATAAAACAAATCCCATATACATATGACAACAAAGTACACATTTAAAGAAATATGTGTGTTAAATGTCCATATCAACTAATTCCCACTAAAATCATTTGAATAGTTATTATTTAAAAGTTGAAGCTCACGTGCAAAGATATTTTAGATTTGTTCTAATATTCCAAGTAAAAATAATTATAAACCTTAAAATGTATTAAGTAGCCAAAAACTGTATTAGGAGCTACACACATATATGCATATTCATGCACATATACAAATATACAAATATACATACATAAAAATACTTTTCATTCATTAGAATCCAACCAAGATAGGATGGGGATTGAAAAATACCCATAGTCATAAAGTATGGAAAAAGGGAAACCTAACAAGAACTACGGGGATTGAGACAAATATCATAGGCTGAATAATACTTCAAATAATCTCTATTTCTCCTAGACAAATTACATAGGTGCATTTACATGTATACATATGTATACACACACTTATGTACCCATGCTGAGTCATCCTTCAAGATCCACAAAGAATTGGTTCCAGGATTCCTACCAAAATCAGTGGATGCTATACCTTAAATATAATGGTGTAGTATTTGCATATAACCTATGAACATCCTCCTATATACTTCAACTCATCTCTTCATTACTTATAGCATCTAACACAATGTAAATGTTATGTAAATCATTTTATACTATATTTTAATTGGTATTATTTTTATTGTTTTATTTTTATTTTTATTGTAGTTTGTTTTCAAATGTTTTCCATCTATGGTTGGTTCAATCTGAGGATTTGGAGCCTGTGAATGTGGAGGCCTGACTGTATATATTTCTATTATACACATCACATATATACATACATATATGCATTTATGAAGAAATAGATATTTTGTTGTTCAAATGGCCAAATGTTCCTTTTAAACAGACGAACACACATTGTATACATAGTATTGTGGTTGGCACAATGTAGTTGGGGGCAGCCAGTTACATTTAATGTGATCATGTTATAAACTAGTTGGGGTGACATAAGGCATAGAGTGAATATTATTTTACAAGTAGAAAGTGAAGAAAACCATATAAAATTTAAATTGTTGCAGAAATCAATTTTGGGAGATGACAAGTGGAAGAGAGCATTGAGGGTTGGTGTGGTCAGGTGAAATGTCAGTGATAAAGGGAATTGACTTTGGCCTTGAATGAGAACAATTAATAGAAAGATAATTTAGAGGAGAGGAAGCAGACACAATATAGTCTCTAGCCAATGGGAAACTGTAGTCTAATACAGGAACCAGTCATTTGAACCAACATTTGAATTCAGGAGTATCCAAGATATGATAAATAAGCAATATACTATTGCAGTAGGGTAAGGAAGGTGGACACCCCATTCAGACTTTAGGCGTCAAGCCAGGCATTACAGACTGACTAACACTGTAGAGAGTGTTATTTCACCCCAACGAAGAAGTTAAATGAAGGTTAAACTTCCCCTGTACAAAAGCACTGGTTCGTAAGGCAGCACAGCATAATTAACCAGTCAATAGCACACGTGTTTAGAAAACAACAGGAAATATAGTGGGGCAATACAATGAAGAAAAGGATGAATGGGTTAAAAAGAAGTAGACTAATAACACCTAGAGTGAATAAAGACCTGAAGGAATACAGGCAAAGAGGCTATTTTGTCTACTTTGCATGCTCCTGTTTTCATTCTGAGCAGATAAGGACATCTCATCCTCAAAGGGGATTTGTGCTTTTGGAAATGAGAACAGTGCATTCTACCTTCAAATTCTACATATCCACATTTGCCATGCATGCAGTAAGAGTCAAAATAAAGAACATTATAGAAGCCTAAATCTGCTTAAAATAAACATCTGCCTAAAATAAATAATCCATAATAGAGTGTGAAATATTTCCACTTACAAAGTATGCAGTTGCATGTGAACAACAGCAGGAAATACCAGACAAAACCAGAATGACACCAGTTATGATGAGCATAATCACAAATGGGTCACGGTGACTTTCTACACATGTGCAAGTGAATGCAGCAGAGCCAAACCAGACCCCAGGGCTGGAATGGGAACTTCATTAGGGAAAGTTAAGAACAATACACAATGATGATAAATCCTGCAACAATAATCTGTCTGAGAACCAGCCATATTCAAGGAGCACAAGTTCAAGGAGCACAAATGAATCTATATCCTGCACAGAGCAGATGAATGAAAACCAAGGTAACGGTGTGCAGTAAAACTTAGTAGACAAAAATGGAATTCAAAGCATAACTTGGTCTTTCCAGCTTTCCTCTCACCTATTCTGCCTTCTACCAGTACTCTAGTGAATTATTAGTTATCTATTATTAAAGATGAAGAACAGAACAGCTTAAAAATATGAAAAATAAGGCCGGGCGCGGTGGCTCACGCCTGTAATCCCAGCACTTTGGGAGGCCGAGGCGGGTGGATCATGAGGTCAGGAGATCGAGACCATCCTGGCTAACAAGGTGAAACCCCGTCTCTACTAAAAATACAAAAAATTAGCCGGGCGCGGTGGCGGGCGCCTGTAGTCCCAGCTACTCGGGAGGCTGAGGCAGGAGAATGGCGTGAACCCGGGAAGCGGAGCTTGCAGTGAGCCGAGATTGCGCCACTGCAGTCCGCAGTCCGGCCTGGGCGACAGAGCAAGACTCCGTCTCAAAAAAAAAAAAAAAAGAAAAATAATTAGAGCATAAGACTAAATATGGATAATTATGAAACGGCAAAATATAATTAATCATCTATTCCCTGCAAATGTATCTTCTGAAATGACCCCATAGTTTTAAAATGCACAATAACTTTAATTTTGTAACACCCGCCAGCTCTCATAGACATACACATACAAACTGCGCACAAAACTCCTTGCTGACAAAACAAACTTGTTATGAGACTTAGGGGCAATATTCAACGTACACTTGAACATGGATTTGCTAGATAAGTTCTCCAGGCATAAACTATACCTGCTCAACATTCTCTTTGACATATTTCTCTAGTTATAGCTTGTCATCAGGGATTTCAGGTTTTCCTTGTTTAAATTTAGTGCTATTATAAGTATTTTTTTCCCTTGAAGACATGTATTTTTATTTTTCTAACCTTTTGAGGCTTGAGAGAGAGCATTTCCTAATAAAGATTGCAGGGTATTTAAAAATATTCAGCACTAAAACGCCATCTCTTATACTCTCTTTGCAATTGCCAGTTTCTGACAGAACACTGAATTGAGGGGTTGCCGAAATATTGAACTGATTTGAATATACTGACACCCATTGAATTATTTTAGCATATTAAGTTGAATGGCATTGCAACTTTTTCTGTTAAATCATCTATTCCATTTGAGTAATACCCTATCTAAGAGCCCAAAGTCTAAACATATTGAATAAACTAGTAGCAGAAACAGAATAGAGGGCATCAAAAACATGTGTAGAAGCTACTAGGAATGTAGTTGTTGAATAGTAAGTTTTGGACTTAAACCCATGTAAGAGCGAAACATTAAAGCATCACTTTACTTTTTATGTCTAAGTAAATATGAAATTGCCCTGAAGAGGCAAACATATTTATTCTGCTAAAATCTCAAATAAAAAGAAATTTATCAGGAAAGACTTTGTAGAAAAGCTGGGTAAGAGAGTAGCACTATCTTCAACCACAGCTTTGCAAAAGTCTGAGGACTCTTTTTCAAATAGACCATTTTGTAATGCAAATCTTTTTGAAAAGCTAAGAATTGTAGTCGCAGTAAATATTATCTTATCCAAGGCAATCATATTGGTGGTGTTAAAGTGTGAACAGTAGACCAATATTTTTTACTTGGAATGGTCAATCCACTTAAGCAGCATATACTTAGGGAGTAGATTGAGTCAATATTTTCCTGGGAGAAGATACCTGGATCATCTTAAGCATTTATCAAAATGCCTGAGTGCTGTGTTTAATGAAAGAAATTGCCTTTAAGATCAAAATGGTTCCTGAATGTGCTCCCAGGAAAGATCTTATCTCTAAAGAAGCTCAGCTTATGTCATAGAATATGTACTTCAATCTGTTGAGCACACCAGAAATCATCCAATACACTCTCAAAACAAACACCAAAAAAAGCAGCTCATCAGTTGAATGAGTGAATCTAAGAGACTCCATTTAGATGTTGATAATTGTGCACACTAGGTTTGTTTGGTACAGCGACTGCTCAACAACAGTTCTCTGGAAGCAAGGCTACGCTCATTAACAATCATTCTGGTTTTATGCTTACTATAATAAGAGAATACACATCTATTTTTTTCTAATAATTTGTCCAAGTTGTTAAGGTTCATATTCAAAAAAGGTATAAGTTTAAAAATGTATACAATTTTCATTTTAAAATTGTCATTAGAATACTCCTTGTATATTGGTTAATACTTTGGATGCAAGAAATAATCTGCCCAAAAAGTACAGGTTTAAAAATACAGATTAATATAACTTAACACAAGCTGTCAGATATTTCCAGGGCGGTTGCAGTGAATGAGTTTGAAATGAAATAAATGTAATTAGTTATGAAATAATGTTGCCCAAATTTTACTCACCTCTTTTGACTAAATTTCTTCAAGACAAAGGCGTGGCATTGAATTTTAAAGCTATCTTCAATTTTTTCTTAATTTAGAGATATTGAAACGTTTTAGCAAAAAATATAACAGCAAGAGCATCATGACAGTGAAAGAGATCTAACCTAACTGGCCCCACCTTGCCTTTAACCTCTCAACTGCCCCTTGCTCATGCCCGGGCGTGGGCCACGTTAACTTTGGGAGAAATTCATTTTATAGTTTAAATGGTAATAGCCCTTCCCCAAACTAAACTGCCTTGTAAAACTAATGAAACACCATGAGGTTAGGAGGATGAAAGAGGCCTGAATACTGCTAAGATACAGGCATAGTTAAATGATTACCAGCTATTATTCCAGAGGTGACAAGATTTGCAACTTCTCATTACTCCTGTAAATATCATTATTGTAGAACCTAAGATTGGGCTATTTAGATATTGTATTAATCTGTTTTCACACTGCTGATAAAGACATACCCTAGACTGAGCAATTTACAAAAGAAAGTGGTTTATTGGACTTACAATTCCACATGGCTGGGGAGGCCTCACAATTATGGTGGAAGGCAAGGAGGAGCAAGTCACATCTTAACATGGATGGCAGCAGGCAAAAAGAGACCTTGTGCACAGAAACTCTCATTTTTAAAACCATAAGATCTTATGTGACCCATTCACTATCACGAGAACAGCACAGGGAAGACATGCTCCCATGATTCAGTCATCTCCAACTGGGTCCCACCCACAACATGTAGGAATTATGGGAGCTACAAGATGAGATTTGGGTGGGGTCACAGAGCCAAACCATATCAGGTGTCTTTTCAGGCTTTTGCATTTATGACAGCCAGATGGGCACACATGGACCAGTGACACCTCTTTGGCCTCCACCCAGAAGCAGACTCAGCACATGGTGACTGTTTTCCACAACCCTATGAATGCATCCCCAACCAATCAGCAACACCCATTCCCTAGCCGCTGCCTGCCAAACTATCCTTGAAAAGTCCTAGCCTCTGAATTTTTGGGAGGCTGTAGCTAGTGTTCTATGTGTATTAAACTCTTTTTCTACTGCAATTCCCTTGTCTTGCTAAATGACTCCATCTGGGTGGCAAGCACAATGAATCCACTGGGAAGTTACAAATTGGTCAAAGAAAACTTATTTGTGGTGGTTTTTTTCAAAAATTAGTGTTTACACAGATTCTTTAAAATTTCAGTAGAAAAAGATATCTCAAGATTTTGCCAGATATATGTTAATCATCACACTTAGAAAAGATGGAGTTAGCAGTTCCCTGATGAGAGAGGCAAGAAATAATAATGATAATGAATAAAGTGTATAATATAGATAACCCAGTGGTTTTCAAAGTATCTTTCCAGTATGCTAGGTGTTCTCAAGACACTTTCAGAGAGAACATGAGGGCAACAGTACTTTCATAATAATACTAACATCTCATTTGTCTTTTTCACTAACTTGATATTTGCAAGGATAATGCAAAAGCAGAGGTGAGTCAAACTGCAACTTTCTTAGCACAAATGAAGTTAGTAGCACTAAACTCTATGAATAATCATTGAAGTCTGCACTGTGTTAGTTTGTTAGGACTGTCCTAACAAAGTGCCACAGACGTAAGAGGCTTAAACAACATACATTTATCTTCTCACAGCTCTGGAGGCTACAAGCCCACGATCAAGGTATCTGCAGGATTGGTTTCTTTCGAGACCTTTCTTTTTGACTTGTATATAAAACTGGGTAGTGGATAGAGGCTGGAGGAGTTGTGAGGTACACGCTAGAAAAAGCTATGCTTGTTGTGGAGGGAGTATTGCTACAAATATGGACATTGGGGGTGATTTCAGTGAGAGCTCAGAAAGAAAACGAGAAGAGTTGAAGAGAAAGCCTCCATTTTCATAGAGATACATAAATAATAATGAATAGAATGTTGGTAGAAATATGGACATTAAGGGTCAGTCTGACAAGATCTCAGACAGAAATGAGGAACAGATTATTGGAAACTGGAGGAAAGGTGATCCTTGTTATAAGATGACAAAGAAATTGTCTGAATTTTGTTCATGTTCTAGTCATTTAGAAATCTCTATCTATGAGGAGCCAAGCTGCTCCTTCAACACTCTGCTTGGAAATCTCTTCAGCCAAACATTTAATTTCAACACTCACATGTCCTATTATTCTACTTTTCACAAAATGGTAGAACAATTGAGTGATGAAAGTAAGTGTCTGGCTAGGAGATTTCTAAGTAAAGTGTTGAAGGAGCAGCGTGGATCCCCCTTATGGCTTATAGCAAAATATGAGAGGAGAGAGAATAATTAAAGAAAAGATTGTTAAACAAAAAGGAACTAGAATTTGAAGAATTTGGAAAATTTTCACCCTCTTCATATGGCAAAAATGACAAAGTTTATTTTGAAGTTAACACTGAGGGTGTTGCCTAACAACAATTTGATAAGAAAATCAACAAGGGTTGAACCATGAATTTAACCAACTACTTCAGCAGAAGCCAGGATTACACCAGCAGAAATACTGCCTGCTGCAATTAAAGGAAAGAGAAAAAAATAGGATAGAATGAAGGAAGGTTGAGAACATGATTATCTTTCAAGAAAACAAAAGAATGACGCTGCAGGAATTTTAGAGATCATCAAGGCCACCACTCCCATCATAGACCAAGGGGAAGTCTGCTTTGTCCTGCATTTTAGTGGGCCAGGCGGCCACCATGAAAAGCCCCAGGGGCAGCACCCTCCCCAAATCATATGGGCAGGGTCAGCCCACAAAGCAAAGGGGAAGGGCTGGTGGGGCTATGCTGCTGCGTCAGTGGCCCTGGAATGCAGAACATCAAACCAAAAAAAAAAAAAAAAAAAAAAATGGCTTGCAAGCCCTAAGAGCTATTGGAATTTGTCTGGCTAAGTTTTGGACTTGTTTTGGACCCATCACCCTTGTATTCTTTCTGAGTTGTCCCTCGTGAAATGGGGTTGATTGTCCTATCCCTGTCCCACCACCATATGTTGGAAGCACCTAACTTGTATGCTTTTACAGCTTCACAGCTGAAGAGGAATTTTGCCTTAGGGTGAATTGTATCTCAGGTCTCACCCATTTAGATGTTATTTAGATGAGACATTGGGCTTTAGACTTCAGAGTTGACACTGGAACGAGTTAAGACTCAGGGGGCTGTGGGGTGAAATAAATGTATTTTATATGCAAAAAGAACGTGAATTTTAAGCTATGGACTAAATTATGTCTCCCGAAAATTCATATGTCAAAGTCATAATGTTGCTGTATATTGAAATAGGAAGTTTAAAAGATAATTAAATTTAAATGATACCATTTGGGTAGGAGTCATAATTTGATAGAATTAATGGCCTTACAAGAAAAGGAGGAGAAAGAAAGAGATCTCTCTTTCTTCACATGCAAGCACCTAGCAAAAGCCATGTAACAAAAAAAAGATAACCATAAAATGACCACTCTCTTTCTGACTTGTAGGGGTAAGTTACTGGTTGGTCACTTTCTGCCTAGCCCACTAAAATGAAGGACAAAACAGACTTCCCCTGAACCTGTGATGGGAGTAGCAGCCCTGATGGTCTCTAAAATGTCTGCAGGGTAATTCTTTTATTTTCTTGAAAGATAATCACGTTGTCAACCTTCCTTCATTCCATTTCTGATTTGCTTAGACAACCCTCACCAGAAACTGACCCTGTTGGACCTTGATCTGAAACTTTTAGCCTCCAGAACTGTGAGAAAATACACTTTTGTTGTTTAAGACACCCAGTCTATGGTATTTTGTTATGGTGGCCCTAGCTGACTAGTACAAGCCTCGTTTTAAAATTTTAGATACTAAAAAGAGAAAAAACAATTCTACATCTTCATCTTAATAGAGCCTATCTAGATTTTGCCTTAAAAAAAAAAAAAAAAAAAAAAACTGAATCTATTAGTTTAGGTCAGAAGCCTGGGTTTGAGGAACAGGGGAGAAGCAGGAATCAAATAACACAATGCACTGCTGTTATAATGCACTGCTTATCTCTCTTTTTCTTTAAGCCAGATGGCAAATGGTGCTACTGTAGGACTCTCAGTGAAGACTATTGTCATTATTCAAATGATTTGGCAGTAGCTTTTTTCCCCACCACCAGTTGCCAGGACAACTTGAGTATTGATTACTGTCTTTTTGCTTCTGTTAGTTTTCTTAGCTGTCTTTTCTGAGTTTGCTGAAAAATGTTCATAAGGAGATAATGTATATGAGTGGGTGAGTGGGTGTGGACATATGAAAGTGAGATGCTTTTTTATGTACACTAATCTTACCCATGATTATTTATTTTTTTATAGCAACCAGTAGACCACTAGTTCTGTTTGGATCTTACAAATTCTCTATAAGAAGCAGAGCTGGCCTCCACTGTAGGATTATCTATGGGCTTTTAAGTTACATGGCACCCCAAGATTGTTGGACAGAGCAAAAATTATGTATAGAAATTGATAACTCCTGTTTATGTCTTAAACTATAATACCTAGATTTAGCTGCAAGAAAGACATGTTTTCTTTTGTAAGAAACAAACCTATTCTTAATTTTCCAATTCTTATTAAAGAGTAATAAGTCCGGGCTTGGAAGACATAGAAACTTTTTCTAATTTTGACTCTACTACTAACTAGTTGGACAGCTTGGGACATTGTCATTTAACTCATCTCAGCCTTTTGGATTCATTAAATAAATATTAATCATGGACTCACTGTATGCCAGATGTTGTGGAAGGCAATAGAAAGAAAAATAAAACAAACAAACTAAAAACAACAACAACAACAAAACCTAAATGCTCCAAGTTTTAGAGGAACTTACAACCTTGTAAAATAAATAGATGTAAAACAAATACATCAGGGTATCCCAGCTGACATCAACTTGGGAATTGCAACCTGTCTGTATGTGAAATGTATGGTTAAATGATCACTACTCCAGGTGTCCAAAACATGTGGATTCTTTAGTGGTAAAGAAAAAGGATGAAAGATTTATGTTTGAGTTACAAAGAAAACAGAAGATAGAGGAGAAACATAAAGGGGTAGCTAGGCTGTATTGCCGTCTTGTTTCCCATATGACCATAGGACTGGATTTGTGCTGCAGTTGGAAGAGACTAAAGTGGGCAATGAGTTTTCACTTGGAAGCAAAGCACAATTTTGTCACTTTGATGCTTTGGCAGTTTTGGGCTGCACTAGATTTCAATACCCAGATTAGGACAGCATTTCCCCAAAAGGAAAAATGAAGAAACTTTTGTGGCAGGCAGAGCAGGCAGGCAAGATACTCATTAGAATCAACAGCCACTGCAGCAGATAGTGAAGTTGACCAGAAGAGACCTGAGGCTAAGACAGTCACACCGAGAGGCAAAGACTCATCCTTGCACTATGTAATGCCCGGTATATTTGAGAGATAGGTGGTTTGTCTCTCCAGGAACTGTCTTTATAAATGTGGTGAGAACTGAGGTAGCAAAAATGAATATTAACGTTAATACAACCTTAGAGTCTATGGAGCCCAAATGGGACATGCGGGTTGTATACAAAATTATAATTAACATATAACAAGTATCTGATGAATATGAATACAAATAGCAATGAGGACACATAATAGTATAGAATTAACTCATGGAGAACCTAAGGGAGGATTCAACAGGAAAGCTATGGCTGACCCTTCTCTTGAAAGTAGAATAAAACGTTTCCAGATAGTGAAAGAGAAGACATTCATTTCAAAAGGGCCAGAATATTTAAAAATGTGAGTATATAAAGATGGCCCCTTGAGAAAAATGTGTCAGTTAGAATACAATCTGTTACACATGACAGAAAACCCAAGGACAATAGCTTAAACAATGAAGAGTTGTTGTTGGGTTTTTTTTTTTTTTTTTTTTTTTCCGAGACGGAGTCTCCCTCTGTCGCCCAGGCTGGAGTGCAGTGGCGCGATCTTGGCTCACTGCAAGCTCCACCTCCCGGGCTCACGCCATTCTCCTGCCTCAGCCTCCCGAGTAGCTGGAACTACAGGTGCCCGACACCACGCCTGGCTAATTTTTTGTATTTTTAGTAGAGATGGGTTTTCACCATGTTAGCCAGGATGGTCTCAATGTTGTTTTTTTTTTAATCACATGGCAAGAAAGCTCATAACAGGTAGTTGTTGGATGTGGTTCAGGGGATCAGTCATGCCTGTCCTTCGTGGTTGCAGAGAGACTGTTACAAATGCAGACATCACACATATGCAGTTGACCCCTGGATAACCTGAGGGTACTGATACCCCTGCATGGTCAAAAGATCTGCATACAACTTTTGACTTCCCCAAAACTAATAGCCTACTATTTGCCAGAAGCCTAACTCATAACATAAACAGTATATTAACACTTATTTTGTATATGTATTACATACTGTATTCTTACAATAAAGTAAGCTAGAGAAAAGTAAATGTTACTAAGAAAATTCTACGAAAGGGAAAATATACTTACTATTCATTAAGAGGAAGTAGATCATCATAAAGATCTGAGGAGGGGTTAATCTGGCTGTCTAGGGGTAACAGAGGCAGAAGAAAATCCACATAAAGGTGCACTCATGCAGTTCAGACCCAGGTTGTTCAAGGGTCAATTGTACTTCCGGCAGGGGGAAGAGGAAAGACAATATGACCATGACAGCCAACATGTTTTATTTGGAATGATAGAGCTTTACCAGAGTCCTTCCCCCATGACTTCAGCTACATCTCAACCTAATGATGTCACATAAATCTTCTTGCCCTCCCATCCCACCTGATCCCCTCAATAAGGGGCTCTGAGAAGCAATTATTTACCTCGGAACATTACTGTATTGATAAACCCCCATAAAATTCTTTTGGAAATATTAAAAGGAAGGCAAAATTTTTTTCCATTTGGCAGGTTGTCTGTTCAATCTGATGATGGTTTATTTTGCTGTGCAGAAGTTCTTTCATTTAATTAGAACCCATTGTCAATTTTTGCTTTTGTTGCAATTGCTTTGGCATTTTTCTCATGAGATGTTTGCCCATGCCTATCTCCTGAATGGTATTGCCTAGATTTTCTTTCAGGGTTTTCATAGTTTTTAGGTTTTACCTTTAAGTCTTTAGTCCATCTTGAGTTAAATGTTGTATACGGTATAAGGAAGGGGTCCAGCTTCAATTTCCTGCATGTGGCTAGCCGAACTAGCATAGAAGAACTAGAATAGTTTTCCCAGCACCACTTATTAAATAAGGAATCCTTTCCCCATTGCTTGTTTTTGTAAGTTTTGTCAAAGATCAGATGGCTGTAGGTGTGCAGTCTTATTTCTGAGTTCTCTGTTCTGTTCCATTGGTCTATGTGTCTGTTCTTGTACCAGCACCATCCTGTTTTGGTTACTGCAGCCTGAAGTCAGGTAGCATGATGCTTCCAGCTTCGTTCTTTTTGCTTAAGGATTGACTTGGCTATCCAGGATCTTTTTTGGTTCCATAGGAATTTTAAAATAGTTTTTTCTAATTATGTTAAGAATGTCAATGGTATTTTAGTGGGAATAACAGTGACGCTATAAATTACTTTGAGCAGTAAAGATCTAATATCCAGGATCTACGAGGAACTTAAACAAATTACAAGAAAAAAAACCTATTAAAAAATGGACAAAAGACAAACAGACACTTCTCAAAAGACATACATGAGGACAAAACTCATGAAAAAAAGCTCAACATTACTCATCATTACAGAAATGCAAATCAAAACCACAATGAGATACCATGTCATGCCAATCAGAATTGTGATTATTAAAAAGTCAAAAAACAACAGATGCTGCTGAGGTTGTGGAGAAAAAGGAACACTTTTACACTGTTGGTTGGAGTGTAAATTAGTTCAACCATTCTGGAAGACAGTGTGGTGATTCCTCAAAGACCTAGAGGCAGAAATACTATTTAACCCAGCAATCCCATTACTGGGTATATACCCAAAGGAATAAAAATCATTCTATTTTAAAGATACATGCACATGTATGTTCATTGCAGCACTATTTACACTAGCAAAGTCATGGAATCAACCTAAATGCCCATCAGTGATAGACTGGATAAAGAAAATGTGATACATATACACCATGGAATACTATGCAGCCATAAAAGGGATGAGAGCATGTCCTTTGCAGGGACATGGATGGTTGGAGCTGGAAGCCATTAACCTCAGCAAACTAATGCAGGAACAGAAAACCAAACACCACATGTTCTCACTTCTAAGTGGGAGCTGATTGATGAGAACACATGTACACATGGAGGGGAGCAACACACACTGGGCACCTTTTGGAGAGTTTTGGGGAGGAAGAGCATCAGGAAGAATAGTTAATGGATGCTGGCCTTAATACCTGGGTGATGGGATGATCTGTGCAGTAAACCACCGTGGCACATGTTTACCTACATCATAAACCTGCACATTTTGCACATGTACCCCTGAACTTAAAATAAAAGTTAAAAAAAAAGAAAAGGATAAATCAATAGGGAGTAGAGATAAATAGTATCTAGTAGAATATATAGTCTGTGGGTTGGGGTGTGGGAGAGCTTCAAAACTACACCCAAAAGCAGAGGTGTGACCTGATTTAAAGATCTTTCTGGATATATTTATAAGGTTTTGTTTTTTGGTCCTCAAAACAGGGAATACATTGACTTGTTTTTGTTTTTGTTTTGAGATGAAGTCTCACTCTGTTGCCCAGGCAGGTGTACAGTGGAGCCACTTTGGCTCACTGCAACCTCTGCCTCTAGGATTCAAGCGATTCTCCTGACTCAGCCTCCCAAGTAGCTGGGATTGCAAGCACGAGCCACCATGCCAGCTAGTTTTTCTTTTTTTTTTTTGTATTTTTAGTAGAGATGGGGTTTCACCATGTGGCCAGGCTCTTCTCAAACTTGTGACCTCAAGTGATCCACCTGCCTTGGCCTCCCAAAGTGCTAGGATTACTGACATGACCCACCACATCAGGTCCTCTATTTTAAGTTAAGCTTTTGTAAAATCCCTTGTTAATAATCCCTGATGTTCTATAACATATCCTTGTTTGATCTTTTGCAATTTTTAAGCATAATAATAAACTTCCTGCTTACTCTACCTTCCCTTAAACTCAGTGAATCTAGAAATTGCCCCCTTTCTCCTCCCTCTCTTCTCTCATCACAATCAATGCTGAGATTTTGGCCCCGTAAAGATGAATATAACAGAAAGCAACTACTACTTAAGGAAATGGCATCTGTGGTATATTCAGCATTGAGGAGGCAGGATGGCATGAGCAAAAGACCCACAGGCAGGAAATCGTGTTCAAGTCCTGTCACAGGTGAGCTGTGTGGTCTCACATTACTCATTCTCTGGGCTCAGGTCATCAAGGATAAGCTAAAATAATGAATGGAACAAGTGACATTCTAGAATTCCTTCTAGTTTTATGATTATTTGTTGATTTATTTCCTTCAGCTTTTTCAAGCATGAGCAGACACTATGGCTGTATTTTCAAAGGACTGATAGAATAATATTTATTGGAGGAAAAATCAATGCAAAAAACCCTTTTTAAAATATTAGGAGATAAATAGATCTCTAACTTAAATTTATACTCCTCGTCAACTAACGATTCAGCCATAAAGAAACCTATTCAATAATACTCCCCTTAGTTTGAGGCCCTCTATTTCCATTAATTCAGTCTCTTATTCTACTGTCAAAAGTTTTTGAAGTTTTGGGGCTTTGGGTATCTCTCTTGTTTCCATAAGAGGACATTTCTACTCATTAAGCTTGGAGCTGCAGCCCTTATGTTCCTAGACAGTCACAAATATCTTTAAATGTCTTTCAGGCATGACTGTGCTTATAAGAATGAGGAGGTTTTACAATTGGGGTCAGGGAAATAATGACCTCTCTGCCATTTATCATCAATAAAGCCTTGACAATAGTCCATCTAGGCATGTGCTGGACACAGATGCCAAGTCAGGTTGCTCCACTAGCTTCCAGCCTTTGTTGTTGATTGTTTTTCTTGGACCATTTCTTTTATCTAATTTTGTCAAGTTACTAAAGTTAAAGAGGATATTTGCTGCTGTTATAGGTGAGATCAGCCCACTTGTCAAACAAAGGAGTTGTGAGATTTTGGAGGAAGCGTCTCAGTGCTGGAGACCAAACACAACAATGTTCACTGATGGAGGAAATCTTTATTACTGTGAGGATAGAGCACTCTATTGTTACAGGAGCGCTGTGACATTTTTCTAACTGGATTGCATCTGCACTTTTAAAAGACTGACAACCAGAGTATCACTGGAGATAATAGGATCTGGGACTAGAAAGCCTTCATATTTTATTAGGGCTACACTGATTCCATTTCTTTAAGTCACTGGAGTGTTATTTTACATTTCAGTGTCTGCATAACTGCATTGCCTTTGTTTCTCAGTTGCATTAAGAATTCCCTGGCATATCAAGGCTAGTGAATGTCAGTGAAGATAACTATCAACATGTAAAATACTTCCAACTACAGGAATGTGTGGCTTGAAAACAATTAAATGAACAGGGCTTCCTGTAATAAGTGGGAGCCAAGGGAGGACAAATTAACTCCAACTACTCGGTGAGTATGTCAGATTTAATCTGGGTTTTGATTGGGCATAGACATAGACATTCATTGCAGATGGTCAAGAAACTGGAGTGAGTTCCAGTGAATTATAAGAGCTACATAAGCCAAATGAGAGACTGACACCCTATATCACAGAAAGCCTTTGTATCAACCAGCTTCAGGATTATTTAAGAACTTGGGAAAGGACATAACCTGAATTGCAACCATGAACATATCTTACAATGAGAATTTAATTTAATAACTTGCTTGGAACTCTATTTCAGTTGTCTATTGTTATACAACAAACCACAGTAAACTGGGTGCTTTTTAGGCAACAGTTTATTGTCTTTACTTTTTCTGTGAGTTGCACATAAGATCATGGTCAGATGTGGCAGGGGCCTCTGGCTAAACATACAAGATATCATCTTCAATCACAGGTTTATCATCTGCCTGAGACAGACAACATTTAGGGCTCCTCGGGCATTTTTTCACCCATGCAACCTCTTCAAGTTGCCAGTTGGGGCTTCTAAAGAACATGGTGGTGTCATGAAGCTCGCTGTCCCTTGAGCAAGTGTCCATGAGACTGAAGTAGAACTACGGGGTTCTTATGACATAGCATCAGAAGTCATGCAGTTTACTTTTGTCACATACTATTTGTAACGAGTCACGGGGTCAGCCAAGATTCAAAAGAGAATTATACAAAGGCATGAATACTGGGAGGCTTTGTACTTTGAGATCCATCTTTAGAGAACAGCCACCAGAACCTTAGTACCGTGCTAGCTGAGTGAATTTTTATAGTTTACTATGAGCCAAACACGATATGCTAAATACTTTTACTTGGATTTTCTGTTTTGATATTTATAATGGTCCAGTGAATTCTGTGTTGTTATTACCTTTGTTTCATAGAAAGAAATAATGGATTCAACTATTTACTGCATAATGTGCTAAAGAAAGAAAATGGAGGCCTGGCGCAGTGGCTCATGCCGGTAATCCCAGCACTTTGGGAGGCCAAGGTGGGCGGATCATCTGAGGTCAAGAGTTCGAGACCAGCCTGATCAACATGGAGAAACCCCATTTCTACCAAAAATACAAAAAAATGAACCTCGTGTGGTGGCACATGCCTGTATTCCCAGCTACTCAGGAGGCTGAGGCAGGAGAATCGCTTGAACCTGGGAGGCAGAGGTTGCAGTAAGCCAAGATCATGCCACCATTGCACTCCAACCTGGGCAAAAAGAGAGAAACTCCATCTCAAAAAAGAAAGAAAAAAAAAAAAAAAAAGAAAATGACAAACTAAGCTTAACCAGTTACCAAACTCAAGGCATATTAAGAAAGTGAAAACACTTCCCTGGCAGCACAAGCAGAAACCATCATCATCTGTGACCAGAGAGTGGCCCCTGCTGAGGATCAGGCCTGGAAGTCAATGGTGAGTATAGCAGAGCTACGAAGAATGCTGAATGCATAGCCTTGGCAAGCTAAGGAGTGGGAGCCTGAAACCTCCTATGAAAATATTTGGGTGGATGTGCTTGAATGCACTGGACCAGAGATTACCAGAGCCTTCTGTGTCTAAAGAAGTGGCCAGATTCTTTGCTTAAAGATAACAAGATTCTAACAACACATGGAGGCATCCTTTTGCCTGAAGATTATGCTGAAACCTCTTCTGAGGAGTAGCCCTCCTAGCCAGGACCCAATAACTAGGGTCAAGTATTAGAATGGCCCTACTGGGAAATACTGACTCTGCTAAATGAGAGCAGAGATTATTCAAAAAAGTAACTGCAGGACCTAGATAATATGTAGCACCAAGGCTATGAATTCAGCATTCTTTGTAGTTCTGCTAGACTCACCATTGACTTCCAGACCTCGTCATCAGCATGGTCCACTTTCTGTCTGCAGAACTAAGGGGACATGAGTAAAAGTGGACCTTGAGCATACTGGACTAAGTGAGTTGTATATAAAGTTGGATTAAAAGAGTTTGATAAAATGGGGACTCGTTCCCATGATACAGATTTAATACCCTGGCAACTACTTGGTCTTAATACATTGTTGGGACGGCTCCTAGAAGGTCGGAAATAAATTAGCACCCACATTAAATTAACAGGAGATGACAAAATTTCTTTGGCAGAATGTTGAAGAAAAAGCAAAAATGCTCAGAGAGGTGTACATAGAAGAATGAATGTACTACATTAGATCAAACTACTTACCAAATAACTATGTTCCCCAGGAGGGCCCAGAGGATACTCCTCTACTAAGAAAAATACTTAGTGAGGGAGAAACCAGCAAAAGGGATGCTCAGTAATGAGTGATGGCTACCCACTGGAGGCCAATATTGAGGACTGAAAATGCTGTTGTGAAACTGAACACCCTGTTGTTATAGGGATGATAGGATTACAGAGTAACAGAGGCCAGGTGGCAGCATTCAACTATCAGACACAGAATTAGTGTATTCACTACTATAGGTAGTAAGTTTCGAATGGAAGTAAGGGGGTTCTGGCCCACATGTATGTATAGTGGTGGCTAATACACCATAGTATTTTTAGAAATCAGATAAATGGACAACCAGCAAGGTATAGCTTAGTATGAATAATCAAAAAGAGTTGAAGGCACATGGCCTCACATTAACAACCCCAGTGGAAAATCATTATCCCACATCTAGATCCAGTTTTCAGAACTGAGCTTGATTGAAGATACAGGGGCATTTGCGGAAGTTCCCTGCAATGCTACTGCAAGTGTAAACATCAACAATACAACTTATCCTTCTCTAGAAAGATCTGTGAGAGCAGAGATTATTCAAAAAAGTAACTGCAGGACCTAGATAATATCTCTAGAAAGATCTGTGTACATTGGGGAAAGGGAAATATCCAGAATTTTTAAAAAGCTGTGGGTTACGTCATCCAAGCTATCATGATACAGATGACCCCAAATCCCATGTGGTTACTTGTTTTAGTGGAAAGCTGGGCAATAAATGGAATCCATTTCCAAGACCAGAAGAAACACACTCAGCTTGTGGTCTTTCCCAGCCCCTGAATTACCAATTGGGGTGAATGTATTTACAGTCAGGGAAGACAATAGTATAAATTCCAGTCTTAATCAGGGCTATTTTAACTCTCCTGCTCTATGTTACAATACATTCCAAGGGGTTCCTGATCATCTGGACATTTTTGTCACATCAGAGCCCTGCAGAGAAGGGGTCCTGAGATAAGTGGTAATAAAAATTTTCCCAGGGGGCAGAGTTTGTGTAATACCTCTGGTCTGCCTTACATGGAGAAAAAAAGTGGCTTACGGTAAGGACATACTAGACATCTGGCCAGTGGTAAATGGCTTGGCTGGTTGATCAGTGACTTGGAAAGAGCAAGATTAGAGAGAAAGTCAAGAGAAAAGACATATGATGGATGGATGCATAGGAGTGGCATGAACTGTACAGATCTTCATATTCCACATTATTGCCAATCATAGGAAATACACTCTACAGGAGGCATTTAACAAGCAGGTAGACAGGATGAGTCATCTGCTACATGTCCACTACCCTCTGTAGTCACTCATGCCAGTGTTTACATACTGGATCCGTATATGAAGTAGCCTTGGCAAAAGAGATGATGCCTATGCACAGATCCAGAAGCATGGTCTCATTCTAGCAAGGCTGATACATCTACTCTTGTTGTTAAATATCCAGCTCACACAGATCCAAAAGCATGGTCTCATTCTAGCGAGGCTGATACAGCTACTCTTGTTGTTAAATATCCAACTCATCGGCAGCAGAGATTGATGTTGGACCCTTGATATGTTCTCAGTTCTCAAGAGAATCAATCAGCCACTTAGTGGCAAGTTGATTATACCAGGCAACATCCACTATGGAATGGCAGTAATTTACAGATATTCTGGTATGTGTTTTCCTTTCCTGACCTTAATGTCTTGGTTAGTATTTAAGGGCTTATAGTACGTCTGATTTACTAGCGTTTCATCCTCCATATCATTTTTTTCAGACCAAAGAACATATTTTTCACTAAAGTGGGTGCACATAGAGGGTGTGTCCAAGGAATTACTGGCCCTACTATTTTCTGGATCACTCAGAGCCTGCCTGCCTGATAGAATGTTGCAATAAGCAATCAAAGACATGGCTGAAGTTCCAACTTATAGACAACATTTTACTAGTTTGTAGAATTTCCCTTAGATGTGGTATATTACTGTAACCAATGGTAATATTTCCTGTGTTCCTGATAGTTAGAATATTTGAGTCTAAAAATAGTGAGATAGAAGCAGGAGTGGCCCCTGTTATCATTATTCCCAGTGACTCATTTAGAGAATTTGTGCTTTTGTCCTTAAAAGTTAAAATTTGACAGGCCTAGTGTTCTAAAGCTATGGCTTCCATTTGGTCATTTTGAGATTCTTAAGCCAATTGACCAACAGAGAAGAAAAGAGTTATATTGGCAAGTGTAATTAACTCTGATCATTATAATGAAGTAGAATTACTTCTTTATAAAAGAGCAGAAAGTAGTATGTTTGAAACTCTGCAGAGATACTATGGCATCCTTAGTGTTCTCAAGCCTTATTTTAACTATCAACAGACCATAGTCAAACAAGGGCTCAGTCACTCTATATATAAAAGTATGAGTCGCCCCACTATTTAATTGACCCAGAGCAACAGAAGTGTTGGCTAAGGGTGAGAAAAATCTAGAATCAATGGTAGAGGAAGGAGATGAAGCATTTTGTCTAAGTCTCAGGACAACTATAGAAGAGGTTATGCTATAGTGGAGGCTATCATTTGCTAATTCTTATTTTGAGTCTATTTTTTCTAGAAATGTTACCAGGTGTCATACTGAAACATCAGTACAATAAATTTTTGTGAAGGCTGGATGGACCTGACCATTGAAATGGTTAGATTACAGCAGACACTGTCTGCGCTTCACACACATTCCCTGGAATGACCTTACCAATTCCATTCACTCTAATTCCAGCAGCCAAAACCTGCATCTCTTGGTCATAGGGCTGTACTTAAAATGTTGAGCTTAGTCTACCTGCACAAATAGAGGGTTGGAATACCAGGTGTGGTATTCTGCCTAATAATTTATGTCACTTTAGGCACAGCCCTTAGATAATAATTGATAATGTAAAGATAAAAATTCTCAACTGTCTCACACCTTGATCAACACAACTCTAAAGTGTAATGTACACTGGCTACCTATTATCTTCTAGGGATAAAGCTAATGTTACTGTCTGTAGAACTTTGCCTACTATACCTATGATTGGCCTCCTTGTATGAGTCTGTTCTTATACTACTATAAGGAAGATACCTGAAACTTGGCAATTTATAAAGAAAAGAGGTTTAATTGGCCCATGGTTCTGCAGGTTTTACGGGAAGCAGGGTGCCAATATCTGCTCAGCCACTGGGGAGGCCTCAGGAAGCTTACAATCATGGGGGAAGATGAATGGAGAGCAGGCACTTTTCATTGCATGATGAAAGCAGAAGCAAGAGGGTGAAAGGGGAGGTGCTACACACTTTTAATGGATCTCGCCAGAATTCACTCACTATTGCCAGGACAGTACCAAGAAAGATGATGCTACATCATTCAGGAGAAATCTGCCCCATGATCCAATGACCTCCCACCAGGACCCACCTCCAGCATGGGCGATTACATTTCAGTATGACAGCTGGGTGGGGACACATTCAAACTATATCACTCCTATTCCCAGTACTAAAATTTCCTTGAATTTTAGACACACATCCCCTTACCCAGTAACTCTATCTTCCTCTTCCCTCTTGCTATGCTTTCAGTGTATGTCTGCCTTCAGAATTCATATGTTGAAACTCAAATCCCAAGGTGATATGATTAGAAAGAGAGGCCTTTGGGAAGTGATTAGGTTATAAAACTTTCAACCTCATGAATGGGATTAGTGCCCCGAAATGCTGATTGAAGGTGCACATGAGGTAAAAAAATATATGAAGAATTAGCCCCAAATTCTGTCATGGATAATTGGAAGAAAGAAATTACCATATGGTGAAAAGAGAGTAGAGACAAACTTTTTACACACAGTAATGCACTGGAGAGAGACTAAAAGCAGGTTAACCTTAGCAGGATAAAAGTATCTAAAATGTTTTTTCTTTCCTTTTCTTCTCTCATTTATAGTAAAATGAGGACCAGGGCATCTACCTTCTAGGCTTTCCCATATCATCACAGCCCATTTCCATTGAAACTAAAATTCAACACCCCTTTGATGAAGACCTTCTTGAGGAAAGGTCCCACTTTCATTACCAGTCCTCCTTGGCTGGAGTTGATGCTCTTTGGCATAGCAGCAAAATCATGTTTAGAGTCCAGATTCTGGGTTTAGTCTGATTTCAAAATTTGCCTCCATCACTAACTGTGATGGTTAATATTGAGTGTGAATTTGATTGGATTAAAGAATGCAAAGTATTGTTCCTGGGTGTGCCTTTGAGGGTGTTGCCAAAGGAGATTAACATTTGAGTCAGTGAAACGGGAGAGGCAGACCCACCCTCAGTCTGGGTGGGCGCCCTCTAATTAGCTGCCAGTGTGGCTAGGATAAAAGCAGGCAGAGGAACATGGAGGGACTAGACTCGTTGAGTCTTCTGCCCTCCATCATTTTTCCATGCTGGATGTTTCCTGCCCTTGAACATCCAACTCCAAGTTCTTCAGCTTTTTCACTGTTGGGCTTATACCAGTGGTTTGCCAGGGGCTCTCAGGCCTTTGGCCACAGACTGAAGGCTGCACTTTATGCCTTGAGTTTGTGCCATTTGAATTCATTGTTGCTTTCTTCCACTAGACTGGGAGATCCATAGTTTTACTGGATACCTGTTGTTTGGTCTGTTCAACACTCTCCCTCTTCAGTGCAGTGCTTGCTATATGAAAGCTAATATGTAAATAAATACGAACTAAAAGGGAGAAAAGGGTGTTGAAACTTGCTCTGCAAGGAGATTAGCAACTCAAATCTGTCCATTTTTAATTTGTTATTTTCTTTCATAATTTTTTATTTTTATTTTTTTTGAGACAGGGTCTCACTTTGTCACCCAGGCCTAGTGCAGTGGTGCCATCACAGCTCACTACAGCCTCAACCTCCCGGGCTCAGGCAATCCTCCCACCTCAGCCTCCTTTTATCTTTAAATTATTGTTTATCTTTAAATTATTGTTCAATCTAGCTAAGCTTTCACTTCTTTTTTTTTTTTTTTTTTTTTTTTTTTTTGAGACTGAGTCTCGCTGTCTCCCAGCCTGGAGTGCAGTGGCGCCATCTCGGTTCACTGCAAGCTCCGCCTCCCGGGTTCACGCCATTCTCCTGCCTCAGCCTCCCGAGTAGCTGGGACTACAGGTGCCCACCACCACCCCCGGCTAATTTTTTTGTATTTTTAGTAGAGACGGGGTTTCACCGTGTTAACCAGGATGGTCTCGATCTCCTGACCTCGTGATCTGCCCGCCTCGGCCTCCCAAAGTGCTGGGATTACAGGCGTGAGCCACCGTGCCCGGCCAACTTTCACTTATTATATAAAAAAACCCTACAAATATTTTGGTGAACTTGAATAAAAAGAAAAAGGATAAAATAGTCTCTATTGGACATATTCACGTATAAAAGAGCTAAAATTGTGTTTGTGCTAATTTGTGTCACATTTAACCATGAAACACTCTTGGGGATTATTTCTCCCCTGCAGTATGGTTTATATAAATGATTTCGTTAAGGAAAAAATAAATTTAAGTCAATCCTAGACATACATCTGATACCATTATACAGATAGATAGATAGGTAGATAGAAGATAGATAGATGATAGATAGATAAATAGGTAAATAGATATGGTATGTGTGTATGCACACACAGAAACACACACACACATATATATATATATACATACACATACACACATACATACACCGCAGCTAGAAGACAATGCTGCCCTCCAGAATGTCTGCAAACAATTGACCTTGGAAATTATGTTAGTTGGGACTTCTGTTTGCAGGTGACAAAATCTCAAGTTGAATTAATTAGACAAAACAGGAAATATTTTAGCTCAAAGAACAAAAGAACTAGATGAATATCCAATATATAGAAAGGTCATGGGTGCAGCTGAGGCTTAGGAACTCCTAGAGAAAAGGCTTAAAGGACGTCAGGACCCTGTGTGTTAACTGAGGTTCCATTTGACTATTTATATCATTTTTCTCGATATATAAAGTTGTAAGGGTTTCTTCCACATGGTAGAAGGGACGGATTTTAATAATGTTTAATAATGTTTTTCATCTTAATATTTCAAATCTTAGAGGTGAACTTACCATAATTAATCTGGTATGGCTGAGTTTCCAATTCTGGACCAACGAACTTCAGCCCGGAGTTGGGGAACTATACTTTTACTAGGTTCGGTCAGGTTCTCACCCCTGAACCAATGACGGTGCTTAGATGGGCTAAGTAAAGTATGGCCACTATTGAGGAAATTCTGAGTGGAGAGGGGAAATTCCTGAAGAAGGAGAGTATTGAACAAACCACATGATAGATACCCAGGACAGGAATATAAAGAGATGGTTTCCAGTTCTCACATCAAGTTTGCTTTAGAGACCCAGAAACCTTTTTTACATGGTTCATAATGATACTTGGTATCAAATATCAGATTGTAGCAGACTCTGTAAGCAGATCGGATCTACCCGGCATAACTCTCTATCATTTGTTATCCCTTCTCACAAAAGGAGCACTGTTAGTATTCACAACAATGCTTGATACAATGAAATCATCTATTTACTCAACACCAAAGGCAGTGTTAGATATTAATTAACTCTTATTTTTGCTGTAAAATAGCAATAGTTCTCTCTTCTTTCATTACTAAGATGGTAATTCAGCAGTAGTTTCATTTCTGAGTCTCTTTCTTTAACAGGCTAAGATCTTTCACAAATATCTACAAATAACACTAATGTTTTCCTCCTCAATTCTTGCCCTTTCCACTCATTGCCTTCATTCTGTCTCTCAAATCATATTGGGTCACATAGAGGACACATACATACTAGATGTTTGGATTCCAGAATTACAAGCTTCACAGCCAATTTGTATTTTCATAAATGCAGACTTTTTTTCAGACGTTAGACACGCACAGCAGCATTCAGTTCACCAACTTTATTGCTATTCATTTCACCATCCTACAGTAGCTCTTGCTGAGAAGTGTAACATGAATCTCAGCAGTATAAAGGTAGTATCTTATAATACTCATCAAAAAATAAGATATTATCTTATTCTAGGATACACAGCAATGAAGTGGTATTTTTAAACATTTTATGATTTAGAAACAAAGTGTGATAAAATCTGACTGAATATTTGAAACAGTTATTTTGAAAGATAAAAGTAGAAGGCAAGGAAAACTATATAGATATTTTATTTTGGGTGGGAGTGCTATGCTAGCAATACTGTCAAAATACCTGGGTATAAATGTGGCATCATAATGAAACTGCTTGGACAGGTAGAGACTATCCCATATATTTTAAAGCAGACAGACACAAACACACACCCTATATACAACATGTTCACATTCCAAGGCCCATTCTGTGACTTGCTGAACCAGCTAATAGTTTACTCCATAGTTGAAGACTTACTCTAAGCTTTTTCTTTCCAATTTTCCTTGTACTGCAGGAGTTACTGATTCTGATTGAACTCAGTGGCTCAATAAACAACTTCGCTATCTCAAAAAATCACCCACTTTGCCAGCAAGATGTTTGGAGTCATTCCAAGAAAAAGAAAAAAAAAATTCTGGTCAATGGAGAGAAGGGACCGCCTTGAAAAGTATGCACTCCTATTTTCACCCTGGTCATAAATCATTATCCACTCTGGCATTGATTAATTGGGCTTTCTCCAATCCTCCAGAATTCTTATGAAAATCCAAGATAAAGGACGATTACACTATTAGCAGCAGACACAAAGGGATACATTTTCGAAATGTTGTCTGAAGATAACAGTGCATTGACAAATACGTGCCATGTTCGAAGAAGCATTTTGGTTATTTACATTTTTAAACTGATTTAGTTCCTTTTGTCAAAGTCTTCATTCACCCCCTTTCTTATCTCAGGTCTACAACCAAGCCTGAGAAGGTGACGATGACATGCTCTACATACTCCACCTGTCAGTGTGACACGAGAGCATCGTGGCCCCATTGAAAATTTCCATGTTATGATGTCTAATTCTTTGGGGTTTACTGCTAATGATCAAGTTTTGCATTGAAAATGTAAGCTAGTTTCTTAAATAGATCAGAAATGGGCTAAAACAGCTGTCTGAATGTCACATATGGTCAGTCTCGTGGAGATTAGGCTCCTAATTCTAACAATGGTTTCACTTTAAGAATTAATAAGCTTTTACTGTGAGGACTAATGTTTGCTGCTTTCTCTTCAGACACATTTTTCTCCCTTCATTCCTCAATGGCTGCATTTCTTTCACTTTTTTGTTTATTTTAAAGAACACTTGTCATTACACTTTATAGTCTTGTAGTTACCATCCTAAGCAATATAAATTAGTCAGTAAATAATGGCTATTATTGTAAATTTGTAAAAGTTAAAAGCCACAGGAAAAAAATAGAAATAGAGCAACAGATCATTCAGGAGGTGAGATTAAGACCCATGTACATACAGATACTTGGTGTATTACAAAGTGAGTATGGTATATGGAGAGTTTAAAAGATGGTATTGAGAAAGCTGGCTGATTATGTGGAAACTAAGAAATCTAGATGCCCATTTTATACCTTATAAGAAGTTAGACATTTGTTTTCAATTTTTATTTTAGACACAGGGGCTATATGTGCAGGTTTGTTATGTGGGTATATTGCACCCAGCTAATAAGCATACTACCCAATAGGGAGTTTTTTGACTTGCATTTCCCTCCCTTCACTCCCTTCATCCCCTCCTAGTAGTCTCACTGTCTGTTGTTCCCATGTTTATGTCCATGTGTGCTCATTGTTTAGCTCCCACTTGTAAGTGAGCATATGCAGTATTTGGTTTTGTGTCCCTGTGTTAATTTGGTTAGGATAATGGCCTCCATCTCCATCTGTGTTGCTGCAAGGAACATAATTTCCTTCTTTTTATGGCTGCGTAGTATTCCATGGTGTGAATGTGTCACATTTTCATTATCCCACTGATGGGCACGTAAATTTAGGCAGATTAAAAATGAGTGAAAGGTAATACTATAAATATAATAAAAATTTAGAAAACATATTCTCACTCCACCCCTTGAGTGAATAAAGTTTTCACAAGATCTCAAAAGCAAAACCCCTGAGGTAGATATTCAATTTAACTAGATTAAAGTTAAATGAACAGTATAGATTAAATTTAAATCATTCTATTGTGATAGTAAACCATGTCCGTTATAAAATTTCAGAGGACTTAAGAAAGAAGAAAAGGACAGGTTACTGATATTAAGTCAATTCTAAAGCCTTTTATTCATCAATTTCTGAAGAAAATGTCAAGTAAATCCACAAAATTGGGCTTTTGAGGAATCACACAAAGTAAGAGTATAATTAAAGTCTTACATCTCCATATTTTAATTAACAAGTGCTTATATAGCACAACTATGTGGCAAAACATTGTTCTAAGTATTGTCTCAAATATTAACTGCTTGAACCATTATAACAACCACATGAAGTTAGTAATATTATAGTCACTCTCATTCTACAAATGAAGAAAGTGAAAACAGATTATGTTACTGACTCCAGGTAACACAATGAGGAAATTGGCTCACTGAGATACAAACCCAGGCAGTTTGGCTACTGATCTGCTCTCTTGACTACCACGCTTTATTGTTTTCCTTAAAATTTTGTATAGAAGTAGCATTTAACATTAGAATGCTCTTTTTGTTTTGATTTTTTTTCTTAAACAGCTCATATATTTTAGTCACAATGATGGAAAAGAAAAGCAAACATTCCACTTAGTAGCAGTTTAACTATTTCCAGCTCACCAGTGTAGCCTTGTGACAAAAATTCCTGTGTCTTTCTACAATTACAATATGTTTTTCTCCTACTTTTTTCAAGTTTTTAAAATTAACTTATAATTTAATAAAAATAGTGAAATAATTGTTACTTTCCTCAAATATGTAAAATTTAGCATAAAATAGAATGAATACAAAAATTGAATAAGATGAAAGTACATTTGGAGGAATATGGATTGGATGAGATGGAATTAATAGCCATAATATGGAGCACATGTAGGCTCTTAACAAATATTAATAAGATAATCATTGAGTACTTAAATGCATGATACAGCCCTAGTCTCATTGGGAAATAATTAGCCACTGAAATACTAGAATATTTAAAAGTATAAAAAACATAAATTACTAATCTGGGAGAAATGTAAGAAGTATGCTAGAGGGAAGACCCTTATTTCACATAGGTCTATGAACACCTCTTTTTTAAGTCATAGAATCGTAATATGTCAGTGTTAGAAAGGCCCTTGTACATTATTTAGGCAATAACCCTATGTAAGCCTTTACTCCCTTATACTAGACTCCTGACAAGTAAGGAATCACACTCTTTGAAGGGCCCTGGTTGTAGAAAACCCAAGGCTTCCCAATTAAAATAAAGAAAATGAAGCTGATTAAGATTCAGGCTTTTTTGGTTTAATTCTGGCTGGGCCATTATGGAGTAGAGGAACAAATCTTCTGACCTTGTTCAGTCCATGTTTCCTTCTCTAAAAAATAAGGGAATTTTATATGATAACCTTAGGCACAGTTCTACCAATATTCTCATTCTATGCTGTACCTTTACGAGATTTTCACTATGAAAGTCTTCTTATAATCAACGAAAATTGATTTTCATGCTATTATCACTAAAAATTTAGTGATAGCCCTTTAAGAAGTAATTGCTGTTTGTTCTGGATATGTCTCACTACACTACCACCCAAAAGCATACTGGTTAAAAAACAATATAAATTTTGATCACAGATTTACCAGTTGGTCAGTGCTTGACAGTTAACAACTTGTCTCTGCACTACTTGGCTTTTGCCGGGGCTGGGGCAGACCAAGAACTGGGAGCTGAAGTCTTGTTTAGTGTGACATGGAAACCACCTTTGCAAAAAGTATAACAGTGAGAAAATTATGACAGTGAAAGGGATATTACCTACCCAACTCCATCTTGCTTCTAACACCCAATCTATCCCTGTTCATCCTGGGTGTAGGCCAAACTAACTTGAGAGGAACTTAGCTTATAGTTTAACTTTGAAACAAAGATGGTAACAGCTGTTTCCCAAAACAAGCCCTCTTCTTGCCTGGGGACCAAACTGCCTTTGTAAGACTAACAAATTAGGCACAAAAATAAGAAATTATGGTTTAGGAATCATGCAGCTAGAGGTCACAAGATTCTGAGCCTCCCAATTACTCCTAGGGATAAAATCACTATTATAAAACCTAAAATTGGTGATCAAAATATTTTTAAGACCCTGTGTTCTGACTTACCAGCTGGTGCCACCCAGACCAGTAATCTAACTCAATCAGTTCTGCAGTCCCACCCAGGAACAGGAAACACCAAGAAGAATCCAGTTCGACTCTTTATGATTTCATATCCAACCCAATCAATCAGCACTCCCCACTCCCTGACCCCCTATCTACCAAACCGTCCTTAAAAAAACCCAGTCTCCAAATTGTTAGGGAGATTGATTAAGTGATAAAACTCAAGTCTCCTGTTCAGCTGGCTCTGCATGAAATAAAACTCTTTCTCTATTGCAATTCCCTTGTCTTGATAAATTGGTATTTTCTGGGCAGTGGGCCAGGAGAGCCCATTGGGCAGTTACAACATCTGGTGGTTGTTGCTGGTTGTTGACTGGACCTTAGCTGGGGCTGGAGGCCAGACATTTACAGGTGGACTCTCCTTGTTGAACTAAGCTTGTTTTTTTCATGAAATGGTGGCTGGGTTCCAAGAATAATTGTCCAAACAGACAATCAGGAAAGCTCTATCACCTTGAATAACCTCACTGTGGAAGTCATTCCGTGTCACTTCCTGCTCCATCAACTCATAAGAAGCAAGTCACTAAATTTGCACTGAATTTAATGTGAGGGAAATCATACTCCACTTTTTTATAAGAGAAGGCATAGTCTTCTATGTAAAGCCTTTTAAACTTTTAAGTATTAACATTATGTGTTAAATTTTTTTCTCTTTTCTATGTTAAATGCATTATTCAGTTTCTTTGAATTTTTCTATCAGGATACATTTTGGATTCCCCTCACCATTCTTGTGACTTTACTTCAAAAAACGTTTTATTTATTGGCTTTGTTAAGTAAGGGAACTCTTCTCAAAATTATGAAGCAATACTATGGTTCTGACATTTGAAATACGGTTTGATATTTGAAAATATCAAAATATATTCAGAAGTCTGCAAGGTCAAAACTATTTTCATACTAATACTTTGTTATTATTTTTCTTTTTCACTCAAATTCTCTAAAGCGTATACAGTGGAGTTTACCAATCCTCCATAACAAGAGATAGAACTGTTGAAAAAATATCTTTAAAAAAAGTAAAATCATGACTCACTTTGGATATAAAATGATCATGCATTTATAATTTTGCTCTACTCATTAGCTAAGAGAACCAGACTGATTTAATGGAAAAGTCAAAAAAGCTCAAATTTATATAAATAAATGTTAAAATAAATTGCAAATGGAGGTAAACCTGTTTTTTTCATGGGGCTTAAGGGAAGACACTTAAACCTTTACAGAGAAGACAGAATTTACACATTTTCCAGCTACCTACAACAACCTACAAAATGGTAAAATGGTAAAATGGCGCTTAGAGAATCAGAATTCAATAAAAGGAAAGGGTATGTTACAATGCATAGTATTCCATTGAAGCCCATTTTTTAAGTCAAAACAAATTTAATGCACAAGCAAATATGAGAATCCAGTAATTTTCCGTGAAGCCAAACACTAAAGAGATGTACAAAATGTAAAAGAGAAGTCACCTCTTCTCATTTTTTGTTATGAAAAACATAGCTATTATCATAAAGTATGTTAACATATACCAGATTTATTATTTTTATTTTAAATGAATTACTAAGCATTTAAACATTTTGTTCTAATTTCAAATACAATAAATATTGATAAATATAATCCACATGAACAAAAGGTGTATTTATTCTCAATAAATCTTAACAGTATAAAGAACCCTGTGACCAAAAATATCAAGAATTACTACTTTAGAATCTTTGGTTATAAAGGGGATTAGAATAGGCCACCTCGAAATATGCAACTTGGGCATAAAGATTATTTTGAGTCAAAGGCAATCAACGATCAACAGATGGAGGAAGGGTTCTCTGCCCTCTCCTTGTCTGCCTAAAAGCAGGGTATAAGTCTTTGTGAAGGTGTCCCTTCCCTATATTATGAAGGTGAGAGCACTCATCATCAGAGACACAGAGCTGATACTGAAAGTAATCTGCATAAACAGACCTTGCTAAAATAACCTTTATCTTCCATTAGTTCTGCTGTATATATTCTAGTCACTTCCCCACAATTTATCAATCTTTAAAGCCCAAACCTTCTTTGCTTTCTTAGAATAATATATAAGCCACTGAGTTAAGCCACTTCTTTGAGTTTCATTTCTTTTCTGTGAACTCCCATCAATGTAAAATAAGAATTTTAAATTATAATTATTTTTAATTATTTATAATTATGATAATTATTAATTATAATTGTTTTAAATAATTATAATATTATTTATGTTAATAATTCTCTGTTTACCTTAGGCATAACATTTCTGATTTAAATCTTTTGTATACTCTCCTTGGCCTACTGAGGTTGCCATCCTCATCTTTGATTATTTTATGTTATTTTTGTTATTGTTGTTTTCACTTGGAGTCTCAGTCTGTTGCCCAGGCTGGAGTCCAGTGGCACGACCTCAGTTCAACGCAACCTCTGCCTCCCGGGTTCAACCGATTCTCCTGCCTCAGCCTTCTGAGTAGCTGGGACTACAGGTGTGCATGCCTGGCTAATTTTTATATTTTTAGTCGAGACAAGGTTTTGCCATGTTGGCCAGGCAGGTCTCGAAATCCTGACCTCAGGTCATCCACCTACCTCAGCCTCCCAAAGTGCTGAGACTACAGGCATGAGCCACTATGCCTGGCGCTCATCTTTGACAATTTTAGACCTAGATAATTACATTCTCTATCACCTCCTGCCTCTCATTTTTTAAGTCCTAAGAGATAATGCTTGATATGGTTTGGCTATGTGTCCCCACCCAAATCTCATCTCGAACTACAATCCCCACCTGTAGAGGGAAGGGGCTGTAATTCCCAAGTGTTAAGTGACGGAGGTGATTGGATCATAAGAGGCGTTTCCCCCATGCTGTTCTCGTGATAGTGAGTGAATTCTCATGAGAGCTGACGGTTTTAAAAGTGTTTGTAAGTTCCCCCTTCACAGCATTTCACTCTCTCCTGCTGCCTTGTGAAGAAAGTGCCCGCTTCCCCTTCCCCTTCAGCCATGATTGTAAGTTTCCTAAGCACCCCACCAAGCCATGTGGAACTATGAGTCAATTAAACCCCTTTCCTAATTACCCAATCTCAGGCACTTCTTTATAGCAGCGTGAAAACGGACTAATATAAAGCTTTGACTGGAGAATACTAGTTATTGAAGTGTGATCCAATTACTACCCATATCAGAATTCATTGTTTTGTTTGCTAAAAAATGCACATTTCAAGTGGTATAGGAATAAATGGTTTGCATTACATTTCTGTCATTTGTAACCAAAAATTTCTAACTAACAGACATTTTTATATTTGACTTTTTAGGAGTTTGGGCTATTCTACTTTCAGTTTTCGTAAAACCTTATTAGTCCAATGTTAATGGCTGAGGACACTGGAAAACTAGCTCAAGGTCACAAAGCTAGTAATTGTCAGAGCTGTGAATCAAATCAAAGCCTTGTTTATTTGTTTTTTTCCTCCTAATGTCTCATACACAGATTAAACACCTGAGGGGTACTGAGACTGGCTTGGTGACCAGAAATAACTCTCATTGGCCCTGCCTCAGAGTCTGAAATCCTTAGCATTCTCCACTTCTTTCTGTTAAAGGCAGCTGTTTAAATGCAAATTATATCTGGGAAGGTGTCACATTAATAGCTACTACCAGCTATTAACTCCTAAACACAAATCAATGTGCTTGTTCGGTAGACTAGACAGGACTCTAAAAGAATCTATAGTTTGAAGGAAATCTTTGAACAGAGAATGAGGAAGATGGGAAAGGTTGTGAGCATAAGGATGCTGTCACGATGGGGGCCTTGGACAAGTGACAGACCATAAGTGCTGGGAGGTGAGCAGACCATGACACATGCCGGTAGGACAGGGGAAGCAATCTGCAAGGGCTGTTAGGAGTGATAAAAGCAAAGACTGCCTGCTTTACATTTTTGCATACAACCATTTCAAATTCTGGCATCCATTTTGGTCATGTTTCAGTCTTTATGATAAAATTCAGGAAATTACCCTCCCCCTTGAGTGTGTAGTATGTTTTAAATATGAAGGATTAATCCAAGACTGCCAAACCTAATTCACATAAGGTTCTAGCATGAGCTCACATTTGATGATCATTAACATCTTTCACCTATTCTTCAAATTCTTTAATGAATAAATGTATCTTTTTTCCTTAGAATACAGGACAATTGGACCTTTCTTCTTCAGTGTCATATACATATATAATGTAAACTATGATGCTAAAAAGATTAAATCATGTGACGAACATTACCATGTTGCTTTGTTGTCAGAAACATAACTAATGGAAGGAGGTTAGAAAGGTATTACAGAAACAACTCTAGATTTATAATTTTTCCCATGAATTACTCATACAAACAGATTTCACAAACCAATAAAGTAATGTGGTGACTGCGTAAACTATTCAATTATTTGTTAAATTAAAATATAAGTGACAGAGCTATTTGAGCCTTAGTGGCTAATGTTGATGCCTAATAAATTTGTTATAAAATGTTACAGGGTTTTTTTTTTTTTAAGACCATCACTTAGGCTTAGATTAACAATAAAAAAGCAGGAGCTTTTCCTAAGGCTCTAGGTGAACAATGGCACTTGAAAATGAAACACTGGCAAATTGCCCATCTCCTGTGGGAAAAGGAGGAAGGCAGCGGCAGCATCTTTGCAAGCAATCACACTATAGAAGGCAGGCTCCTTCGTGGGACATAACAACATCTCAACAGGACTCAGAGATTTTTGTCAAGAGCCACAATTTACACAATAATTACACTCATTGGAGCAAATACTGATCCCAAATTCCCTCCTACTTCTTGTCCTTTCCACAAATCAAATGTTTTGTCCATGTCCCCAAGTTGTTTTGAAGAATTAGTTTTATTCTTGTATTCATTTAACAAATCTTAGCTTGCGTGTGTGTGTTGTGTTTTTCCAAGCAGTCAATTCAGAGAGCTGACACCATTTTCCTATTAATGTACTAAAAGAAAAAAAAGAATACAATTTTAGAAGTTTTGACATACCTAAGCCTACCTCTTCTATATTCTTAAGGGAAACAAACATTTTTTAAAAGTGTGGCTAAGTATGCTAATCATAATTTATTAAGAAACACAAAACCAAAGGCAATGAAAGACAGCTTGGATTTATGTGGAAATGGCAAAGATTATATTGTGCATTTTACAAGACAAAGGTAGTTTTTCCAGACTATTAGTTGCTGATTTTTCAAGGACAGATGTAAAGCTATTATTTTTCCAGATGAATAGAATGAAGGAGAGAGGTGCATTTGCTGTAGCTCATGCTCATGTACTGTTGCTGTTCACAAAACATCCTCCTGTGTCTGTCTTGACAACATGGGAATTCAGTGAGGCTATGATCAGACTCTGGCTTCATTGTGCCATGAAAGAGAAGTCGTTTTAGTTCACTATAGCTCAAACTATTGATGTCCAAACTCATTATGCATTATTAACTTCTTTATGGTGTTGGGACACCAAAGAGAGATCCTGTTAAGAAGCAGAAAGTGCAAAACAGAATCAGTAGGATATTGTAATCAGGTAGAGAAGAGACTAAAGTGCCTGGGAAAAGACCTCCAGATGGTGATGAAAAAAAGATGACCTCCAATGGAGATGCTACACAAACTCCTCGAGGGGAGCCTAGTGGCCACAAGCTGGGAAGGGAACTCGACGAAGAAGAAAGAGCAGCCAATTTCTCCTTCTAGGTAGAGATCAGGTCAAAAGCCTCCTTGGGGATAACATGCAAACCCTTCAAGGGAGAGAAGCTTGTTGATTATCTGTGGATTTCCATCACTTATGCACAGAGTTTATCTTGTCATAGGGTTGTGAGAATAAAATAAATTAATATGTGTTTTAATATTGAAAATTATATACGAATGTTATTTTTATCATCTCATTGACATTGAAATACACACACTATCTATTAAATTGATGTAGAAATTTCACTGGGAAATGATGAGACCAGTGCTTAATATTGGATACTAACACTACACTTTAGATTTCCATCCTTGTTTCCATCCATAGGTCCCCAGAACTGTAAAATGGGGTAATTATTTTAAAGTGAAATTAAGAAAAATTATTAGGTAATGGTGAATAATGGTTAACCATCAGAAGCATTTCCCCAACCTAATAGAAATAGTAAATAGTGACTTGGGAGATCTAAGGACATGGTCTCATATTTTGTTTGAAGCTATTTATTAACTAACACTTAGTTTTTGCAAACTAAAGCTCTAATATAACGTATCCTATCCAATTACAGATACACAATTGTATGCAAATGTGCAAATAAGAACAAATTCAGAAATAAATACATTTTAACAGGAGCTATGTTATAGGCATATGATTTAGAGACTAGGATGTTAGATAGTAAGAATATGTCTGTATAATTCAGCTTAAGGCAATGACACGGTCCTATGATCTGGTAGTCTTAACCATTTCTATTATTTTAGCTGGGCTTGGATTATCATATTACTTACTTGAAAAGAGAGCGAATGAATCATGAGGTCAAAAAAATAATGTAAATTTCACTAGTCCTTATTATCACCATAATGTATACATGGTAATCTCACAGAGAGCTCAGTTAGTGAGACTGTAATATGTGTTGTGCTGTGTTGTGTGCGGGTTCTGTGTGGGGGTGTATGTGAACAAAGAAAGGGCATGTGTGGTGGAAGTAATTTTGTCCATTTCATTAAGTAGTGTTCTCTGGGAAAATTAATAGGCAAGGGAGGAGAGGCATGGAGCATCACGGGATATTTGGAAGATAGGACCATTCTGATTTCACTTGGAGCATTAGCTGTGAGGTACTGTAGAAATGCAGGAGAGGAGGAAAGCAGCCACATTTCACCTGCCTGGAGAAGCTGGCTGGGGCTGTTCATCCCTCACAAGCAAATCTTACTTTCCACCTTTAGAATATATCTCTTAATTCAGCATTTACCTCTGTGGAAGACTGTAACATGCCACTCCAAAATACGAAAGATTGTTGAGCTGAAGGCAATTAAAAAGAATTAGATGCTGAGAAGCTCTCTGTTCTCCTCTATTTGCCTAAAAGCAGGACACAGATTTATAAAGATCAAAGATAGCCTACCTTCTCTTCCACCAAGGGGAATAAAGGTTAACCACTAAGATCAACTTTAAACCCTTCTCTGCCTTGACACGGTACCAGAGGAATCTACATGAACAAGGTTTATTAATTAGCTTCTCTCTGCCATTCCTTTACCTTCCCACAAGTTGCTGGTCCTAGAGACTCAAAGTCCTTTTCTTTTGTCTTGTCACCACCTCTTTGAAGATTACTTATTTCCCTGGTATCATCCATGTATATATGAGATATATATATTAATACACTTCTGTTTGTTTTTCTCTTGTTAATCTCTTACAGGAGTTCTTTCCAACTAGGAATTTATGAGGACTGAATAAAAAATTATGTTTCTTCCCCTTCATCTTGTGTTACTGATAAATAGTTACGACTATTTAGTTGTTAGTTTATTGAGGGCAAAGATTTTCTTATTTATGTCAAATTCTCTCTTCATAGCAGGGTACTTGAAAAGACCTGGCACGCAGTGCATATGAGAAGTACGAGGAGTGAAAAGAAGGGAGGACTAAGAATCCGAGACCGGCATGTGACCTGCTGGTGGAATCTGACCTGATGCCCTCTCCCAGAACCCATGATGAAGATTCTCCTCTATCACCACATTCAGGGAGGTGG
Organism: Homo sapiens; assembly: GCF_000001405.40. NCBI lineage: Eukaryota > Metazoa > Chordata > Mammalia > Primates > Hominidae > Homo > Homo sapiens. The sequence goes on from NC_000003.12 coordinate 77,689,799, forward strand.
CTCTGTGGCAAAGAGGGGCAGCCTCAGAAGATGTGTCTTAGGAGTGCGTACGGGATTAGCTATTGTCCTCTGTGGCTGCCTTACATCAGCTTACAAGGAATATTGCACCTGGAAAAGAAGGTGAGGAAATGCTGAACTCAATGGTTTCTAAATCTCTGTGCTCCTGACATCTCTAACATTCCAAGACTATATCCAATTGTCTGTTGGTTAGATGCAGACAGCATTATTGATGCTTAATGATTTCATTAACAACAGAAGCCTCATTAAAGTGCTAAAAATAAAATGCACTATTCCTTAATAACCAGTAAAATAATCGGAAATAGGCTTAATTCAATTTAGCTTTAAGGAATTGTAGGGCTGTATAGCGAGCTGTGAATAATCTGCTTTAGATCACTGTAAAAGTGCTGTGTATTCAAATCGGGGAGAGAGAACATTTTAGTCTCATCAGTGGATATAGATTAGCGTGGTCATTAGCATGGCTTTATAAATCCACTGGTTTAGAGTTACAGAAGGCTAGAAGGTCACACGTTGAAATTTCTCGGAGTCCAGCCCATCAGAGCCATTGCAGAAACAGTTTCGGAGTTTCCCATTGAACTCATGTGCCTTCTGCATTAGACTATTTACATTTTTGACACACATTGTGTCAGTCAAGTGAGAGAAGATAGACATCAAGTGCTTGAAGGCCCTAATATACCATTTAGAAGGGAGCCTCCAGCTGTGGCAATGAAAATGTAAGGGAAGAATACAATCTTTTTTAAAGAACCCTTTAAAACATAAAAGAAAAATTACAGTGTGCCTCACTGCTTGATTGTCTCCTGTACAAAGGCAACTGACACGGACTAGAGTCTGTGGCCTTGCAGCCCACGTGCTTGCCAGATGATCTAAATTACTCAGGCTTGAAATGAGAAAACTGAGGCCTCATTTTCTATGTAGACGGGTTCAGACATTTGGTTGTTTTCAATCAAAGTTCCATGCATGTCCCTCAGTCCTCTGTTCTCCCCAGCACCTTAAAACAACACAAAATAAAATCTGACGTGAAAAATGCTGTCTTGATTCTTGTTGAGCATTATCAGTTGAAAATGACAATCCTGACTTTCATAAAATAAAAATTTGTATAAATATGTTCCTGATGCTCATAATAATATTAAAACTGAGCTTTGAAAGTATCATTTCTAAGCTTGTAAATGGGATTTGCAATCCTTTTTCAGAATGTCACCAAATCTGAATTTGACCTGGATGTAATCAAGTGCTGCTAGCTGAACATTCCTTGGGGACCTGACCATTCACATCTAAGTAAAACTTTTAGCTAGAGAGAAATAGCCCTACTCCATCCATTTAATGATAGTTGCCAACTTCCCTGAAGAAGTAAGATGCAACAGATGATTTTTACTCAGTGCACACTATTTTCAGGATGAGAGTTAATTTGTGTTACCAAATGCTATATTCCATCTATCACTTCCCTGACTAATTAAGTCCAGATGAGCCTTACATGTGAGACTTTTTTTTGTTGTTGTTTAGTGGCCCTGACCAATATTTGAAATAGAGATATTTTGTTCATTTCAATTCAAATGGGTGGGAAGCAGGTAACCAGCCTTCACTGAGTGCCTGTACAGTAATTTAAGGCATCACACTGTTGGCGGTTGATATGGCTTGACTGTGTCCCCACACAAATCTCATCTTGAATTGTAGCTTCCACAATGTCCACCTGTCTTGGGGGGAACCCAGTGGGAGGTAATTGAATCATGAGGGCAGGTTTTTCCCATTCTGTTCTCGTGATAATGAATAAGTCTCACAAGATCTGATGGTTTTATAAAGGGCAGTTCCCTGGCACATGCTCTCTCGTCTGCTGCCATGTAAGACATGGCTTTGCTTCTCCTTCATCTTCCGCCATGATTGTGAGGCCTCCCCAACTATGTGGGATTGTGAGTCCATTAAACCTCTCTCCTTTATAAATTACCCAGCCTCGAGTATGTCCTTATAGCAGCGTGGGAATGGGCTGTGTATTCAGCAGTGTTCTCAAAGTTCCATGTGCATCAGATCCTTTGGGTGTTTTGTTGTTAAAACACAGATGCTAGTGTCTCTTCTCATAACTACAGAATCAGAATGTCAAGAGGTGGGCCTGTAGGTAAGTTGTGAAAAGCATCCAGGGAATACTGGTGGATCTGGGTTTATATTTTGAAAACACTGGTTTATGATCTAAATAGAAGCTATCAGTGTGGAATAGTGAAAAAATGTACTGGTTTTAGAAGCAAATTACCTTGGCTCCATTCTCAGTTCCTTGGTTTGTTAACTGTTCTTTCCCGTTAAATGAGCATCTCTAAGCCTTAGTTTATCAGTAAAAACAAGGAGGGCCCAAAACAGTATGTCTTTATGTTTAATGATCCATCTAGCAATATTACCAACTCATTTTGTAATGTTGTGTTTTAAAATAATATTGGTCTATTTTTTTTTTACTGGTAATGTGTTTTAAAATAATATTATTCTTTTTTTTACTGTTTTTAGAGCAAAAAATCTAGATTAAGGTAGTATTGAGAAATTTTCATTGAAATAGTATTGTTTACCCTACAGTGCTCTTTGATATACTGCAATTCTAAAGTAGATAACATGAAAATAAGCTCCACTTTTGATTGCATAGATTTGAAGTACAACATCAACAGCAATATGATGTGAGCCAAGAATGGGCCCTATTACTAGTGAAATAAACAAACAAAAGAAAACAAACTGTCTTTGGCCCCAGACAGTATGGCATGGCTAAGAATGAAAACAAAGTGTGTTTCTGTTGTATACAACACATCTGGGGTCTAAACCTTGTTTAAGGACTCAGATCCTGGTAATTTCTACCATCTATTCCCAACCTCAAAGTTAAATGTCAAAAGAGAAAGAAATTTATAAAGATATGCCCTTCTTTTTCTCAAAATCATACTCTTTAAACTAGTCCAAAGCAATATTAACTCTAGAGTTAATAGCTTAATTTATTTTATTTCCTAACTGTGAACAGATTATTATTATATATTTAGCTGTTACAGTTGTTGTCAGAGTTAATGTCATGCATACCGCATTTCAAGAGGACTTAAGCTCCTTGAAAATTCCCTATTTGTAGATCCACTCCCCTTCCCAACACACACACATACGTACACACGATCACCACTTAAATAAAAAGAACATTCAGGAGAAAGACATTATTTGTGTATTATGTCCATGCCTGTCTATAGCAGAACATTTCATAATATGGATGGAATTTTATATACCATCTCTGCAAAGGTGACTTTCTATATGCAAGTTGGCAAGAGTGGATTTAGGAAGAGGTAAAGGACATAAGAATAATTTATGATTTCCAATGATCTTATCGATTTTGTTGACTCTCCTTTGTTCTATGATATTTTCTAGTCTTTATTTCTAATTTAGATCTTATCCAAAGGTAATACAAACGAGACCAATGACATTGTCTTCAGAATCAGAGGAGTGCAATACTAGGCACTTGGCAATTCATCTGTAGATTATTTTTGCACCTGCACAATTCCTTTCTGAATTACGCACTCACAGGCCTAATGCCATGCCTCAAGGGTAGATCAAGGTGTGCTCTGGCAGCAGTCATCTAAGTCAATTTCCCAGCACCTGCAAATATTAATTGTTAGTTGAATTTGGACAGCTGAGGTAGGCAAGTCCTTTTTTTCTCCTGTCTTCTTTTGCATGTGGTTCCAATCACAATTATGACTAACTAAATAATATCTGATATTAATCAATGCAAATTCACTTCTAGGTCGGGTTAGTTTCTACAGTATTGAAGAGGGGAAATAATATTCTTTTAAACTGGTGATTAAAATTAAGATTTATTATGGTTACCAAAGAGAAAAAATATTGTGTTAAACATCAATGATGATACAGTGTTTAAGAAGAAAATAAATAGTAAATTGCATACATAAATTCCTGACTAACACTGGTAACACTTTCAAATTGAGGGGGAGACAAAGGTGAGGAGGTCAGAAGCAAATTCTGTAAGAAGACTTGAAACGTGACATTCGTTTCCCTGGTGCAAATGGTAAACTTGGTGCCTGACAAAAGTCAGTAGATTTTGGGTGACTATATCTGACTAACACCTGTTTAGGGGCAGGAAGAAGTTGCACCTGAACCAACATCCCTTTTCTTAATTTTACTTTTGATTTTCAGCACTCAGCAGAGTGAGTAGTGCAAATTAGAAACTCCATAAATATTTGCTGAGTGAATAAATAAGTCAATAAAGCAGTTCTACACTTTATTTTCTAAAGAAGATAATGAGATAAAGCCTGAAAGTATGAAGATGGAAGGTTCTCCTTCACTCTAAAGAAATGAAAATATTCCTCAACCTTTGGCTAGTATTTACATCACTACCAATTCACATATAACAAGCTTTTTTTTTTTTTTTGAGACGGAGTTTTGCTTTTGTTGCCCAGGCCGAAGTGCAATGGCACGATCTCAGCTCAACAAAATCTCCGCCTCCTGGGTTCACGCCATTATCCTGCCTCAGCCTCCCAAGTAGCTGGGATTACAGGCATGCACCACCGCTCACTGCTAATTTTTAGTATTTTTAGTAGAGACGGGGTTTCTCCATGTTAGTCAGGCTGATCTTTGACTCCCGACCTCGGGTGATCCGCCCGCCTTGGCCTCCCAAAGTGCTGAGATTATAGGCATGAGCCACCATGCCCAGCAATATAACAAGCATTTTTTAAAATTAATTTTCAGTATGGGAAATAGGGTAGGGGACTGATATATTTTTCAGGAACCAGGCTAGGCATGCTATATGCACCGTTTCATGACATAGACATCATACCTCTCATTTTGCAGACTGTGAAACTGAGCACTGGAGAAGTGGACTAGCTAGCTAAGTGACACACTGCTGTTAAGTGACGAAACTACTTAATACTTTTTTAGGAATAGGACCCTTAAAAGGCAGGATAAGTAACTTTTAGAAATAACAGAAAAAACGTTTTTGAATAGCTCTTATATATATATTATGGTAAGCTACTGTATAATTAAATAATATATGCTTTTATTTTGGTTTTTGTTTTTAGTCCTAAAAATCCATGCTTTTAAATTAAATCAGGGTTCAAAAGTAAATATTAATGCATATATACATATAGATACAAGTAAAATAAAAAAGCAAATAGATTTTTAAGCAAGTCTAGTATTAAAACATTAGATTCTGCATTTCATTCAGAAGCATGCACTTAGTATCAAATTATGGAATCTTAAATGGATAAGACTCACTGACTCTGTTGGGTTTAAAAAATGAGGATGAGAGACACTTGGAAGGAACGACCGTAGTAGGTCATAATGACTACCATAGAAATATGTGAATGGTCTGTGTAACCAGGAAATAGTGAAAACCTTTCCATCAAGAGACAATGTGAGTGGGAAAATACAATCAAGAATAACCTGGAACACACACACACACTCCCACTGAGTCAACATTTTGTTTGTTTGGTAAAGTTTATTTCCTTCTTATTGTGCTCAAATGCATTAACTTGAAAACTGCAGTGCTCATTTATAAATACACCAAATGGAGTTATTTTATAAAAAGACCAAGGTAAATGAAAGTTCATAGAAAACTGGCAAGTAGTTACTATTTTATAATACTAAATTAAAAATTATTTTCCTACAAGGTAGTGAAGACTTTTTAAAAAGGACAACGATTTGATCAGTTTTGTATATTTAAAAGATTATTCTGTTATCATTGTAAAGAATAGTTTGGGAAAAATGCAATGAGTAGTAGATACATGGCAATATGTAATGATTCAAACAAGAGATGATGAAGGTCTCACGCAGAACAGACAGGAGGCAACTGTAAGGACAATCAGGAGCGAGGACAGTAAGAATGGGTCATGAGTTACAGGGCAGTTTTACAGGGAGATGGATAAAAAGAAGCCACTCCACTATTCACAATAGCAAAGACTTGGAACCAACCTAAATGTCCAATAACGATAGACTGGATTAAGAAAATGTGGCACATATACACCATGGAACACTATGCGGCCATAAAAAATGACGAGTTCATGTCCTTTGTAGGGACATGGATGAAGCTGGAAACCATCATTCTCAGAAAACTATCGCAAGTACAAAAAACCAAACACCGCATGTTCTCACTCATAGGTGGGAACTGAACAATGAGAACACATGGACACAGGAAAGGGAACATCACATACCAGGGCCTGTTGTGGGGTGGGGGGAGTGGGGAGGGATAGCATTAGGAGATATACCTAATGTTAAATGACGAGTTAATGGGTGCAGCACACCAACATGGCACATGTATACATATGTAACAAACCTGCACGTTGTGCACATGTACCCTAAAAAGTAAAGTATAATAATAAAAAATTAAAAAAAAAGAAGCCACTCCACAGAACAGAGCAAATTTTCTAAGACTGCATACAAAGACTTCAGACTTCACTATTAGAGCTTTCTATCTCGTTACTTTAGCTTGAAGAATCGTAAAAGAATAAGTTTTTAACATAGAGTGGTAACATAGGACATGGCCAGTGTGTTAGTCCATTTAGGATGCTTTCACAAAAATGCCACAGACAATGGGTGGCTTAAACAACATTTAATTCTCATCGTTCTGGAAACTGGGAAGTTGAAGATCAAGGCACTGGCAGATTGAGTGTCTGGGGAGGACCCTACTCCTGGTTCATAGATGGTGGCTTTTTTCTGTGTGAGAACATGGCAGAAGAGGTAAGGCAGTTCTCTAGGACCTTTTTTATAAGGGCACTAATCCCATTGATGAGGGTTCTACCCTCAGCATCTAATCACCTCCCAAAAGCCACACCACCTAATACCATCATCCTGGAGGGTAGGATTTCAACATATAAATTTTAGGGGGATACAAATATTTAGTCCATAACAGCCAGTTTGTAGAAACTTCTTCCCATTTTGTATACATGATGCATACTTTCTGTTTTCTCCTCCAGACGCACTTCTCTCTCTTTTCCTGCCACTCCCACCTCACCTTTCTGCCCTGTGAGGCTGCACTTTATGGACACCCTGGCCCTCTGCACCAGGCCCTGTTTCTGTGTCCCCAGATCTGCATCATTGCATTGCTTGTATTTTGTGCAGCCCTGGCAAGGACTAGCATTGTCCTGAAGATCGTGGACTTAGATATTGCTGATGCGTCAGGACTCTGCTGTGATTATCTGCTTTCTTTGAGATCACTCAATGGCACATCCACACAGAACCTTGGCTCACATTTCACATTTATCTCCTTGCACCATGTAGCTTCACAATTGCTGCTGAAAAGGTGATACCATGAAGCCGCTCAGCACCCATGCATAGCACAATCCAGATGGTCAGTTATCATACTTCACGGGGCTCTTAATAGCCAATGGAGCTTCCATACCACTTCTCTGGAGACGTTTCACAAACCTAAGCAATCTGCTTATTGTGAAGATGTGGCCAGCTTAGGTAAAGTACTTAACATTTTTTTAATCTCTCTTTTTTGCTTCATCCCCCTTTCTCTGTTTTGTTTTTATTGGATTATAGTCTCAGATAATATGATATCACAGGCTCTGTTTTAAAGTATACTTGGGCTAAGACACCTTATGGCTTCCAATTTGGAACAATCAGAGATATGGCAAGAATATGTTAATTCAGAAGAGAGTGAATTTGGGGTTTTTGTTTCCCCGACTTTATCTTTCCCAATTTCACTCCAGCCTTCTCCTACCACTATACATTTTGGGTTCCAGTATCTGCTCCTTCCCCTTGTCCCTCCAAGTCTAGGTGAGATAATGACTCCAAGATGGTGAACCATCTCTTACTGCTTTATCTTAACCTTCCTACACCTTTATAATTATTTGCTTTATTACGCATCCTAATTACTTGGTTGTTTTTTTCAATATCTCATTTATAAAGGCTTGCAACTGATCCAGAGAATATAGCACGTAAGGAAAGTTGGAAATTGACAGGTTGGTGATCTTAGAATAGGAACAATGTCCTTGCGATAGTTTGCTGAGAATGATGGTTTCCAGCTTCATCCGTGTCCCTACAAAGGACATGAACTCATCATTTTTTATGGCTGCATAGTATTCCATGGTGTATATGTGCCACATTTTCTTAATCCAGTCTATCATTGTTGGACATTTGGGTTGGTTCCAAGTCTTTGCTATTGTGAATAGTGCCACAATAAACATACGTGTGTATGTGTCTTTATAGCAGCATGTTTTATAATCCTTTGGGTATATACCCAGTAATGGGATGGCTGAAACACCACATGTTCTCACTCACAGGTGGGAATTGAACAGTGAGAACACATGGACACAGGAAGGGGAACATCACATGCCGGGGACTGTTGTGGGGTGGGGGAGGGGGGAGGGATGGCATTAGGAGATATAACTGATGCTAAATGACGAGTTAATGGGTGCAGCACACCAACATGGCACATGTATACATATGTAACAAACCTGCACGTTGTGCACATGTACCCTAAAACTTAAAGTATAATAATAATAATAATAATAAAAGAAGAATAGGAACAATGGAGAAAGCCAGCCAAGTTTATAGAGGGATCATGCCAGAAAAAGATTTGACCAACTTGATACAGAGGTTGAACTACATTTCTAACGTCTTCGAGGTTTAACATTCCATGATCCTAGTTAAGGAGGGCATACATCCCTTGCTATCAATCATATCTATTGAATGAAATAATAGAGGGAAAAATGTTGGTAGATTTTCTTTTTGAGTTATGTCAGTAAATGATAAAAAGTAAGCAGGAGAGATGCTTTGATATATTAAAAACAAACAAACAGAAAACCCAAAAAGCACTCAGCTTAGAATCAGAATAGAGGAGACTGTGCTGTCACTGAGATACTTATTAACTACATGACACTGAACAAATTATTTCCATCCCCCTAGTCCTAGTGTTCTAATATGTAAATTAGGGATGAAAATGCCAACTCACATGGGTCACATGGTTGTTATAAAACTTAAATAAGATGAAGCATGTGAAAATACGTTATTTTCATAGAACATTAGTGATATTATAAATATGGGTGTAAATATTTGCTCTTTGTTGAAACAGTCTAATGTGCATTAAGAATTGCAACTGGAAATTATGAAACAATACCTTGGACATGTCTTTGGGAAGACAACAGGCCCTGCACTTCACCTGCTTCACCTGTGAATTCACCTTTATAAGTCTTTGCCTAAATAATGCACTTAGATACAATATATCATATAAATATAGAAAGCATATCCATTTTATGTTATTTTTCAACCAAAAAATCATTTTTCTGGGTGTCATTTTACAAAGATGTTTCTCCAGTCAATATAACTGAATATTTTTTTCTGACATTTTTACTATTTATCCAGTGCAGTGAAAAAAGTCACCTTTCCAAAACAAACAAAAACAAGTGCCTTCTAGGAAGACAGCCACAGGCATAGATGAAGACTGAAGCAAATCCCGGTCCTTAGGTAAGGCTTAGAGCCAATTCCTCTGGTTCCACAATGCTTTGCCCCATTCTGTGGATAACACTGAGCTGCTTTAAACCAGCTATTCATGGTTTCAATGCAGACTCCGTCTGAAACTGCAGCATATGTTACCACAGACATTTGATTCTCTTGTCTTCTGAGACTGACTCAAAAAGGGCATTTATCAACTGTTCTTGTTTTCTTTGGTTCACATGTTGAGGTTTTGCTGACATCCACTGTAGAATTGAAATCAGATCCAATATCCCATCAATTTTCAGCATAGAAAAGCAGACACACTTCAGCTATGTCACTGCATCAGCAGTAAACATATTTAATAATATCAATTACTGACTGCCACACTTCCATGATCTGGAAAAACATACAGCCTCTTGGAGATAGAGTCTTCTGTGACTAAAAGAATAACGCATTTATTATAGAGTGTGGCACAAACATTTTCAGCAGATACTAGCTATGCAGCTAAAGGAATAACATAATCTTCTGTGATTATTTGGGAAATAGATACTAAATAAATAATCTAATTTCTCTAGATAAGATTCTCTAAGAAATCACTGGATTCCTTTAGAAGAACTGGATTTAAATATCCCAGAGAAATAAACTGAGTCTTGAAAATTACATATAGTTAAATTTGACATTGTGATAAATTGGTTGTTTTTTTGTTGTTCATCTTGATAATTGCTATCCTCCATTAGCTGCTCTATATGTTTTCTCATTTTATTATGTAAACAATCATGTGAAGTAGACATCAGTACACCCGTTTTATGGAAGAGGAATCAGGAACTTTGAAATGGCAAATAATTCAAGGCCAGCAGCTAGTAAATGAGAGAGACAAATATTAAACCATTTCCTGTTAATGTAGGACTAAATTCTTTCAACTATATTCTAATGCTGTGGGTTCTGTTCAAGAAGCCATTAGGGATTCATTTCTTTAAGATTTTGGTTTTTAAGTCTACAAAGATTGTTCTTTTTTAGAAGCAAAACTTTTTTTACTGTTATCCTTGTGACCTCACAGATAATGCTCTACTCGATTGAAAAAGACTTTTTGTGATATATTCCCCTAGATAGTAAGTTTGTGTGTGTGTGTGTGTGTGTGTGTGTGTGTGTGTGTTTTTAAGTGCCTAGTCTCAGCCTTTTGTAGGATCCAAGGTGCTTAGCTAAGGGTCATATTGTGAATGAATATTCCCTTACCTTATGGAGGCAATAATTAAATAAGGGCTCTAAAACTTTAAAAAGTTAAAAAATTTGAAGTTTCTAGGAGAGAAAGGATGGGGTCCTGATCTTGGAAACACTCACCCAGCCAAAGGAGGTAGGGAAGAAAGCCCTTTCCTCTTTCCTGTCATCCTCCTCTTTTTAGGTCTATGGAAAAGTGTTTCTGTTACCTGGGTAGACCCATCGGTACTGCACAGGCAGTGATGGTGTCCTTAGATTCTCATGGCCCTGGAGTGTGATGAGTCAGTTAAGTATCCCCAGATGGGGGAGCTACATACATGGGACTACTCCTTGGGGGACTATGAAACTGACATAGAACTTGGCTGGTCAATGAGAACACTTGGACACAGGGCGGAGAACATCACACACGGGGGCCTGTGGTGGGTTGGGGGGATGGGGGAGGGATAGAAATAGAAATACGTAATGTAAATGACGAGTTAATGGGTGCAGCAAACCAACATGGCACATGTATACATATGTAACAAACCTTCACGTTGTGCATATGTACCCTAGAACTTAGAGTCTAATAAATAATTTTTTTAAAAAAAAGAAGTTGGCTGGTTAAACTTCAGTTGGAAAAATGGTAATATTGAAAGCAAATTTTCCAAAAACTTGTGTCCAAGAGACAAGAAGAGCAATGAGGAATTCTAGCACAATGCTGAGGTGAGATTCACGGGCTAAGTCCTGGGCTCTTGGAGTAAGGCAAGCTCCATTATTGAAAAAGAACCTCCCCACTTTGTGAAGAAAACTGGGCTAGGGAAGAGAGTCAATCAGTTCTCTGCCTCCACATGAGAAGAAGGCTGCATTAACCCATTACAGTAAATTCCTTGTGACTAGCTACAGGGAGGGGCTATATTTTGGAGACTAAAACGGTAGGAATTTCTTCCGGATGATAGGGAATCTGTGAGCCACAGCAGAGGATGAGCACAAAGCCACTGTGCCTGGTGCCCCTGGGTTTCCAGATTTGCTTACTTACCTTACTACAGCAGAAGGAACTTTTCAGTTTCCTGCAGATTTTCTGTTCACTTTTCCCCTGCTCTTTACACATATCAATTAATTTAATCCCCAAACAGTATTATGAGGCAGAGAAAGACTTTACACACTGTCAAGATAGTGTTACAAACCCAGACATCTGGCTCCACAAGCCATGAGCTGAAACATTTCTTCATACTGCCAGAGGTTGCCCATTAATTAGTGCTAGAACAATTTTGTATAAAAATACAGCAGGGATAGTGCAGGGAAATTTTAGTATGAATGTATACTAATAGAGAAAGATTGATCTTGTTGCTACTCCATTCTGGAGAATCCAAGGGACTTTAAGCCTCTTTGTTTGAAGTCCAATAAGGATCTGTTACCATCTTTCCAGGCTGGAGCCAGGACCCTGCTGGAAGGTCCAAAAAGGTAGAAAGAAGCCAGGGCAAGGCAGGCAAAAAGAACATGGGGAGAAGAAGGCTAGGAAAGAAGGAGATACCTGATAACCATCTGAAAAAGACCCTAAAGGGACTGAATGTTTCCTGTTAGAAAAAGCAAAGAAGAGTTCTGTATTATATCCTTCATTTTGTTTTCGTTCACAAGGGATTAATAATGATATGGGCAGAAGGAAGGGAAATACTAGGCAGAAAAGGGTGGGGTTCCTGACAAATCCCTACCCTCAAGCCTGGGACCACAGCCCAAAGTGAGAACATACACTCCTGTTTCCCGCCTTGAAAGTTGCTTTTTGGCCCGCCCCGCCCCCCATCCTGCATGCATAAAAACTCCAGACCCCACTGTCAGAGCAGCAGAGAAAGAGAGAAGAGAAGCAGCAGCTGTACATTGAGAGAAGCAGCTTGGCTTCAGAGGGATGGCCTGACAGTGGGACTTCATGTAGAGTTCAGCTGGGGGATGGCTGGACTTCAGGGGAAGACCACCTTCCTGCTCCACCCATCCCCTTTCCAGCTCTCCACCCCGCTGAGAGCCATTTCTACCACCCAACAACATTCCGAGCATTTACAACCTTCAATTCATTCCTGTGACCTGATTCTTCCTGGATGCCTAACAAGGCATCACACTGCCCCTCCACTGAGCTGTTTAACACTTAAGCTGTCCACAGACGGCAGAGCTAAAAGAGCGCACTCTAACACATGCTCTCTAGGGCTCTGGGGGTTGTGGGCACCCCTACTAGATGGCATGGAGATCTACTCCTGCCAGCTGCCCAGAAGTGCTCGTCCTGGCCCCGGCACCCACTCACCTGCGTGCTCCCCATCCCATGATGGGGTGAGAGCTATGGGCTGAGTAAAGGAGCAACCTCTTTGCAAGTCTTGTGAAGAGATCAAGGGAACTATCGTGTTTCAACAGTAAGGCTGATTTCCTTCTGTTCACAGACTATCCCTTCTGCTCTTCCAGACAGTTCAGCCACAACTGAGGGGTTACATTTATTAATTATTGTAATTACAATAATTATATAATTTATTATTGTAAAGTTCTTGTTTATGCATTAATCTCCATCAATAGACTCTGAGTTCCTCCCAGGCAACTCCACATTCATTTCATACTTGACCCCTGCACCCAGCTCACCGGTGCTGTTGAATAAATGAGAAAACAAATGTTATGTTTTTGTGTCCAGCTATTCAGCTGGGATGTCTATAGAACACTTTTGTTAGTAAATGATTTTATCTAACATTTCTCCAGTGATTAGAAAAATTTCATACCCTAGAGGACGTTATTCTCTCTCCAGAACTTTGAAACAATGGAGACTGGGGTCTTTGCCTGTGGGACTACAACCTCCGAGGGTATTGAAGGGGAGGAAAGATTTCTTGTTTCACACTTCACTAGGTTCATGGCTGAGGCCTCTATAACAAAAGACATATTAACAAGAGAAAAACATACAAATGTATTTGACATAATTTTTACTTGACATAGGAGCCTTCAGAAATGAAGACCTAAAGGAAGAAAACCTGTGTAATTTTATATTTAGATATGATGAAGTGTGGATAGTCATGCAGAAGAGTGATTGGACAAAGAGTGTATAATTTAATGGCAATGCATGGGACAACTTAGCAAGGACTGCGTATTCAGATTCTCCTCTGTGTCCCAGTGTGTTTAGAGATCAAAGGACATTCCTTTCCTGCAGCAATGTAACCTGCTTCAAGGGAAAGGGTGAGGAGGTAAACATGACTTTCCTGCTTCTGCTGCTTTCTCAAATGCCAAGGTGCCATATTTTAAAGTAGTGTGTCCTGACGGCATCAGCATAATCCAGCCACTGTCTCCTATCAGTTCTATGGGAGATTGATAACATACGTAGAAACAAAGTTGGGCCAAATTTCACTTCAGAATGAATATGAACATCAGTGAGTGGCAGTGAAGACAAAGAAAGGCACAAGGTTCAGACCCAGAGAATCGTGTAACTCCTGCATGTAATATGTGCTCAGGGCGTGCTGAGCTGTTGGCATATTTAGAAATCATATAATTAGTATGGATTTTTTTTTTAGTTTTTAAAAACAAACCCTATGGCTTGAATATTAAACACACTGTGATTTCCCAAAATAGAAACTGCTCTAATTTGTCATATTTTATTTTTAGGATGATATGCGAATATCAAAGTCAGAAAACAACTTCTCTACATTTATTTAAAATTTAGACCTATTAATGGCTTGTGTGTGTATCAAATATAAAGATAAGAGGAAAAAGTTAATCACTTTAAACATTTTCAGCCAAAGAATCAAACTGAAAAATTCTTAAAGGCTAAAATTATATTTATTATATTTATTGTAGAAGCCAGATTTATTCCATTTTGGTCCCAGAAGGAGAAGACTAAGAGGCCATTTAATGTAGCTATTGGGATGATATATCATCATATTTTTCTTACTTGATCAAATAGTCAACATGGGCCAGGCACAGTGGTTCACGCCTTTAATCCCAGCACTTTGGGAGGCAGAGGTGGGCGGATCACCTGAGGTCAGGCGTTCGACACCAGCCTGGACAACATGGGGAAATCTTGTCTCTACTAAAAATACAAAAAGTAGCCAGGTGTGGTGGTGGTTGCGTGTAATCCCAGCTACTTGGGAGGCTGAGGCAGAAGAATCACTTGAACCTAGGAGGCCGAGGTTGCAGTGAGCTGAGATTGTGCCACTGCACTCCAGCTTGGGTGACAAGATCGAAACTCCATCTCAAACAAACAACCCCACACATAACAAACAGTCAACATGGCAACATTATATGTAATAATTTTAATTTTTACTTATTCATTTGGATATGTATGGGGGGAGGGGATAAGTCAAAATGGCAAGAGAGTTGGGCGAAACTGGCCCCTTTCACCACCACGAAGACACACCTGTTGTTATTTGTTAATAATCAAAGAGCAAAACAGTTGTCTAATTGAATATATGTCATGCCAGATTAATTATTTAATTAACTGGGCAAACTTGCCACTCTTTTATTTAAAACTATGAGAGCAATGAATTCATATTACCCTCCCTAAATGTAAGCCTGCTTGTCAGCCATTTCTCCCCATTGCTGACCACTCTGTGATTCTGTGGTTTCTTCCATCATCTTCCTTTAGACCTCATTACTATAACAACTGAAACTTCCTGGTCCACTGACCACAAACTACCCTATACTTCAATGCCTCCACTTGCATTTCTTTCTCTGCATTGCCTGAAATCTAGCTCTCTTCTAGTGGTCCTCCTGAGCAAGGGCGTCTTATTCCTCACTAACCTACATATCAATGGACGTGAGGTTGAGATGGTACTGTCCTATCTTCCAATTGCAGCCGTGGCTATTACATGACTAGCTTCATCTTGGAGACTTCATTATCCATGTTCATGATTCACTAACATCGTCATCTCTTATCTAGTTGTGAAGACATTTACCAGACCTGTCATCATCTTGAAAGTATTTACATTTGGAAAATTAAATATCAGTGCATCTGAATACCATGTACAACACTTCGAACTTTTTTCATTTTGTTATTTCCATTAAACAGTTTATTTCTATGTAGTAACAAATATCTTGGTTTCTTTTTTGCTCCAAATATATTGGTCCCTTCCTCAATGTATGTGAATCCCTAGAACAGTGTCTTTCATGATGAAAGTATTTACTGAATACTATCTTGGTGTGATTGTTGTTGCTATTGTTCTTCTTACAATAATTAACATCCATATGGACCCGATGGTTTATCATTTTGGCCACTTTTTTTATTATTTCTTTTGATTCTGTGGCCTTGTTCTTTCTTCATTGTCCCAATCTGGCAAATTCTAACATGGGCTAATCTAACCCATTGCTTTTCCGTTTCATTCTCACTATCCCATTCCCCTCAGTAAATTGATTCTTTTTTCTCCCAGAGCTCCCGACAGCACACTTTTTCCAATTCTAACCTTGTTTCTAGTTCACATTAGGAAAGAAGAGATAGATGCTGACAGTGAAGTAATACTCAGCAATTAGAAGCAATTGACTAGTTGTTCACTAATCAGCATGGATAGATTGTGAAAACATACTGTGGAGTGAAAAAAAAGAAAGGTAAGGAAGAGAAGGAGATATATAGTACAATACAACATTTGTGTTGATTAAAAATACATGAACACAGGATGACACTAAATGTGATGGAAGAAGCTAAGCCTCGTTCATAATATCTACGTGGGTTTGTTGCTGTGCTCTACTGAATGTTCTTTCAGTTTTAGCCCTGGGGCCATTATAGTCAACTTGTTAAAATTCATCCAAAACTTCTCACAATACTCAGAGTAAAACCAAAATTGTCTAGTGGCCAAAAAAGCACTCCCTGATTGCCTGTCGTCCAGCTTTTCGCTCTGGGCTCATCGATCTCAGCCACAGTGGCCCCTTTGCTGTTCACTGAACAAGCCAGCCACTCCTTTCATCTGGTCCTCTCCCTGGGACATCTGCTTTCCAGAGATCCCACAGCATGTTCCCTCTGCTCATGTATATCTCAAATATTTATTCATAAGCCTACTTTGAATACACTTTTCTAGGTATTGCAGGGAAGGAGTAGGTGGTCAGTGAACACGTCTGTGAAAAGAGCAGAACAATTTCTGCCTTGCAGGAGCTTGTCTTCTAGTACACGGGGTGTGGGGGGCTGGAGGAGGAGGATGGAGATGTGATTAATTATCCGCCTCTGGAAGAGACAGATATTAACAAAATGAAAAATTTGTATAGCATTTTAGAAATGGATACACTTTATCAGTAAAATTAGTCAGGGACAAAAGAAAGATTCTGTAGGTATCGGGGTATAGAGGATATGTTAACGTTTTAGAAAAGTGCTTAGGAAAGGTCTTGTTGGGAAAGTGATAAGCAAAGAATAGAAAGAGGTAGTGAGATGAGCTGTCTGAATGTCTAGAGGAATTGGATTCTGGGCGAAGGAAAAGCAAGTGCAGAGGCCCTTGGTCCAGGAGGTGCAGGTTTTAAGAACAGGTTGCTTCTGCAGCCTGTGAGTGAGGGGAGTAGGAGATGAAGTTACAGAGATGTGGGATGGGCAGATGTGCAGGGCTTTGTAGACCTTTCTAAGGGTTCTTGGTTTTTGCTCTGAATGATGTGGGAAGCTCTTCAAAGGTTTTGAGCAGAGAAGAGACATGATGTTCAAATATCACTTTCTCAGTGAGGCTCCCTGTCTACCTCAGACAAGCTCCAATCTCACCTTTCCTGGTCACTCCCCATTCTTGTTCCGTGATTTCTTTTTTCTTCATAACACTTATAAAAACCCAAGTTACAAGTTTTACTCATTAATTTTATTTTATCTTATTTTTCTCTTGCTTCCTCTTCTCATGTTAGAATAGAAAATCCACAAGGGCAGAAACATGTTTGTTTGTTTGTTTTTCTATTTCTTTCACTGACATATTCCCCAGCCCTATCCTTACATGCAAGGTGCTATGAATAGTGCGCTGTTGGATAGATAAACATCACACATAAAAGGTATTTGGTAAGTGCTAATAGAGACAGAGTAGATAAATGAGAGTGGAATTAGGGATACAATGAATGAATAACTTAAAAAAAATAGAGGGAACTTAAACTGTTTTGATAGAGTGCCAAAAAATGTTGAGTAATATTTTCTCAACTCTTGGCAAACAGATACAAATACATATATACATGTCTAAATGAGAGAGTCTCTCAGAAAAAAAAAAAGAAAGAAAGAAAAACACTTTAAAGTTTATGCTCTGTTATAAACTTGATTCCCTCTGTTTCCCTTTTCATATCCGCCCCACTCTTGTGTTAAAGACAGAAGCCTCTCTGTTATGCAAAGTGAATCCTTTCTACCTTTCTTCAGGATGGTATTTCTTTCATCATTTTTAGGAACATTCCTTCATAGTTGGTGCCTTCTCTTTCCAGACCTCTCTCTTTTTGCTCTTGACTACATTGATACTTCTGTCTTTTCCATCTTAAAAACCAAAATGAAAGTAGGCAAAGAAGACAATTTTTGACCCTGTAGATCCTCCTGAATGCTACTCTATTTCTTTTAGAACAAAGCTTTGAGGAGTGGCGTTAACTTTCTTCTTTCTTCATGGCAACTTCCAGTTCTCATAATCATTTCTCAATTGGTTCATGCTCTTGTTATATACCTAACACTCTTTAGTGAAGATTATCATTCAGTTGTTAATTTTTTTGATAATTTAAAAGACATTTACATATATGTAATGTGCCATCACTCTGATAGACATTGGGAGTGCAAATTTGGCAGTAGGCAGTGTTTTCTTCGCCAATCTAGCACCATCTTCTTGGGCATAAATTTATCCTCCCTTTTCTGGATGTCTATCAAAGTGAAATAAAAGATGCAGGCCTTTAAATAATAACTTGCAGAAAGAAAGAAAAAAGAAAAGCCTCTTTCTGCATAAAAACACAGTATTTATACTACAAAAAATATTGTTCCCCACAATGCAAATGACTGATTACCTATTGACATTTGATCCTGAGGCTGAAATAGTAATTCTTTCCTTTAAGATTTTTTTTTTAGTCTCAGAGATCCAAAACTTCTTAACTTCACTTTAAGAAAAATCAGACCAAAGGGAAAGCTTGGCATCCAAAAGTGATGTTTGAGACAAAGAAAAAGAATCCTAGGGCAGGAATCAGGGAGCAAAATTCTTTAAAGGACTTGGGAACACATGGGAGAAAAGTGAATAATTTTTTTTTTTTTTTTTTACAGTAAGAAGCAACTCCCAAGCTCACTGTACTGAGAGATGAGAATAAGAAAGGATGAAGTTCTGTCACATTCAGGAAAAAATATATAGGGTGAACTGAGTGGTGCTTATAAGCCTTTTCCCATCCCCTAGGCAATATGGAGTTTGTCTAGCGAAGACTTGGACCAGAAGCGAAGAACTCTGCACATCAGTCTGAATCTGGGTGCTTGCTTTATTGGTTAACAAAGACAGGAGACTTGATTCTGTAAAGAACTGTACTCATGGCTTCTTCCTGTGTTAATGACATGTAAGGAATAAGACACTGCCTAAGCCCTTGAGGAACTATGGCCTACAGCCGAGGAACACTTCCCAATAAGCAGCTGCAACTAAATGAGACGATTGCTGTAATGATGTGTATGCCAAGTGCAGTAGAGAGAGAAGAGGCACCTAAGTTTGCCTTAGGGGTGTCAAGTGCAGTGTCACAGAGAGTGCAGCATTTGAGCTGAGAGTTTAAAATGTAAGAAGTTGGTTAGAATCCCAAGAGAGGAGCATCCCAGGCAGTGCATAGAGTCTGTATATTGGATGAAAATATCGGGGAGCAAGGTTTGTCCTGGATCTATACATAGTTCAATAATGTAGGATTCAAAATAGAAGTTAATCTTGTTTTAGTCCATTTTCTGTTGCTATAATGGAATACCCAAGGCTGGGTAATTTGTAGACAAAAAGAAATTCCTCACACTTCTGGAAGCTGGAAGTCCAATATTAAGCTGCAGACATCTGCTGAAGGCCTTCCAGCTGCATCATCTCATGGCAGAAGGCAGAAGGACAAGAGCATGAGAGAACAAGAGTCAAACTCACAGCCACAAGCCCTTTAAAACGATCACTAGTCCATTTATGAGAGTGGAATCTTCATGGCGTCAACACCTCCCTAATTTAGGCCAAACCTCCAAATACTAGTGCACTGGGGACTACATTCCAAACATATCTGTTTTAGGGGACTTATTCAGACCATAGCGGCAAAGGAAGGAGAGAGGAGGGCTATGTGGTTGGATCAGAAAACAAGACTTAGATGTTGAAAAGCTATTTTATGTCCCATCAAAGAGTTTACATTTTTATCCTGCAGGTGAATGGAAATCCACTGACACATTTTGAGAAGGGGAAGACCAGGTAAGATTTTCATGCAGAAAAGATGACTCTTTCTTGTGGCAGGAGAAACATAGAAACATAGACTATTTCTCAAACAGAATCTTTCTTGTAGCTTGAAGAAACAAAAAACATTTCTCAAGCAGTCTTCCATGAAATACAGATCTTATGATTTTCCTCAGAGTAAGTATATTGTATTCAAATGCATTTGAGGAAAAACTTCACGCACTATCTGCTTAGAAGTTTACAAGGCACATTAAATATCTTAAAGTGTCTGTAGTAAAGAAAACTACGAAATCAATTTAACCTTGTGTTTCCCAAACTTATCTGACATATTTTTGGTCAATGTTCTTCATCACAAAAAGAAAAGTCACTCTAGCTGGTTTAAACAGAAAGGTAGTTATTGAAAAATATAAAACAGACAATTGACTCTTCAAGAGAGTCCAAGTGACAGAATGGTAAGCTCTACAGTGAGAAATAGTCCCAAGGAAAACCACAGGGCAGCTCTCCAGGAAAAGCACTGTTATCACTTCAGCCCATCACCTCAGTTCACACCAATAAGAATTGAGATGGCATGTCAGAAATTCTTCCACAGGTGCCCAGGCTAGACTGGCCGTTTCACTGCTAAGGTCTTCAAAAGGTTAACTCTGTATAATTTCACTCTATTCCCCTTTAAGAGTAATTATATCAGTATATCTGACTGGAAGAGCCCAGGTAAATCTCAGCATTCTATCTGCAAGGGAGACTGAGAACTTGAATTCAGACTTTGACAGAGAAAGCAGGGGTCATTTTGAAGGCATGTAAAATATAGATGCTTTAAAACATGGTGAGTAGCCACAATACAATACATAAGAAACAGGGCTAAAGGGCCCCATTACTACCTACTGCCTATTTGTTAACTCACACCTTTTTGGAACAAATACCCTTTGTAAACACACTTTGAAAAGCATTGAATCAGAAGCAAGGTGCATGGTAAGAAGGCCATGGATACACCAAAACCGTTAAGTCTTTGTAGGTTCTGTAACTCAGCATTTTCACATAAAATTTTCCCATCCTGGTTGTATTTAGCCAAAAATATGATCATTGTAGCATTCTATTTTATATCAAATATCTAACAACTTCAACATTAGTTAAATACATACAGTAAAAGTGGAACAGAAGATAATTTTTGGTAGACAAGGAAAATTTTTAAATGATTCTTAGCTTTTAGGTTAAAGAAATATTTCTCTGTTGCCAGCCACTGGTGAAATTCTTAAGGGTTGTGAGGATAAGGAGTATAAATGAAATTTAAACGAGTACATTCCAAAAGATGCTGTTTTTGTACCTCACTTGCTTCTGTTTTCCCATACAAAGAGTATGTGAAATGCAAGAAAAAAAATTAGGTAAGAGCTGAGTTGTGAAAAAAGGAGAGTGTTTCCGTTTCTTGAGGCTGCCATGACAAATGATCACAAACTTGGTGGCTTACAGTAACAGTAATTTATTTTGTCACAGTTCTGAAGGATAGAAGTCTGAAGTCAAGGTGTTATCAGGGATTCAAGGAGGATTCATTTCTTGCATCACTCGACTTCCGGTGGCTGCTAGCACTCCTTGATGTATGGCTTCATCCCTCCAGTCTCCACCTCTGTGGTCACACTGCCTCCTTTTCTTCTTTGTCTCAAGTCTCCCTCTGCCTTTTTCTTATAAAGACACTGATCCTTGGATTTAGGCCCCCCTTGGATGGTGTAGGATGATCTAATCTCAAAACATCTAACCTAATTACATCTGCAAAGACCCTTTTTCCAAATAAGGTGACATGCATAGGTTCCAGAGATTCTGTTGTGGACATACCTTTTTGGGGGCCACCATTAAGTTCACTACAGGGCAGGAAAGTAAAAGCCATGATCACTAACTTTTGTCCTCAGCAGGGTCACCCCTACAGCAGGGGGTGGGGTGGGGCAAAGACTTCTCTAAAATTTTTTGGGGGTGGGCTTTTTGGGTTCTCCAGAGAAACAGAACAAATAGAGTGTGTGTGTGTGTGTGTGTGTGTGTGTGTGTGTGTGTGTGTGTACATAAGGGGGAAGAGAGAGAGAACAGGAGAGAGTTTTTTTTGTGTGTTTTTTGGAATTGGCATTGTTTTATGTAATTGTGGAGGTGGAAGTTTAAATTCACGTGTTAGACTGGCGGGCTAAAAACCTAGAAAGAGTTACAGTCTGAGTCCACAGGACATCTACCGCAGACTTGCCTCTTGTTCAGGGGAGGTCAGTTTTTTTTCTAGCAAGGCTTTCAACTGATTGGATGAGGTCCTCTCACATTATGGAGGGTAATCTGCTTTACTGAAAGTCCACTGATTTAAAAATTAACCCCGTCTAAGAATACACCTCCACTGAAACATCCAGAATAATGTCTGGCCAAATATCTGGGCATTGTGTCCCAGTTAAGTTGACACATGAAATTAACCATTAAAGGTGGGGCAACTCTAAAATAAATAGTCCCTTCTCCTTGCCTGGAAATTTCTGATGGCATACTTTCAAGCAGAGATTGAGGAAATGTGTGTTTTGACTAGGTAGGGGAGCCTGCAAGACACACTCCTTCCCTCCTCTTTCCCCTCATGATGTTTGCCTTAGGATGTCAGAATGTAGGAATATAACTTACATGGCTCATGTGAACCTGAGAGAGAAGGGCTAGAGCTGAAGTTACTCAGCCAAGTGATGGAGTATAAAACTACCTGGGGATTTAGCACTTGATGCTGACAGAAGCCAAAAAGAGATAGGCTGAAGATCTTTTAAAAGCTGGGGGAAACTGACATTATCCTTGCCAAGTGCACTATAGCATTGCAGATCAAGGACTTCCGATCAAATTAAATTTAGAGTACAGGTACCGGTCTTCCACTCACCAGTGCCAAGTTAAAGATGTAGCCAACAATGGGCTGCACCAGCACCAGGGACCAGACTGCAGAGGGATAGAGATGGCAGGAGTAAGCAGAGGAAGACGGTCTTGTCCCCAGCACACATTCATCTGCCGAGCATAACCTTCCCCTAGTACACAGACCCTATCTTAGAAAGGAAAAGCAACCTTGAATGTGATAAAATTTTCATCCAAATAAGATTCCCTTTTCTTTCATTTTAAGATTAAGATTTTGCACCATCACTGAAAATTGAGGTTTCCTAATTAGATTGAGGTTGGTTTTTGAGATGTGTTAGCTCCTTAAATTTCAAATATCATAGAAAATTTTACCATAAAACATTTTGCTCCAGAATTATATTTAATTATGTTGTAGGACTTTCTCCTTAAGGTCCTTGTCACACAACCGTAAAACATTGGGCTCCCAGACACTTTGAAAGGTGAGAAGGGCAGGGTTCATTGGGTGAAAAGGAAAAAAAGTGAAACAGGGACTCTCAGTAAAACAAGAGTCCTGCTAACAGGCTTCCCACCACACGGATTGAATCCTAGGTACCACCTGGAACAGGGAGGCCAGGCTTCTCCCCACTGCAAGCGGCACGAACTTCCCAAGGCTCCACCCCAGTGCACAGTCCCCCAGTGTGCAGGGTGCTTGGAGCTTCTCCAGTGACCCCTTTATACTTGGCTGTCTGAATTACATGAAAAAATATTTATTATATATTATTCAATAAAAAATGGCAAGTTATAAAATAGCATATACAATAGGGCAACATGTTTCTATTATTAAAATATTGTTATAAGTATTACATAATATATGCAAATAATATGTACAATAATATGAAGTATGCATTAAAGGGCTGAAAAGACAGTTCAAAAAGCTAGCAGAGCTCATCTCTGGAGTGCAACTGAGGTTGATTTTCATTTTCCATTTTTAGTTTATCTGTATTTTATAGATTTTCTACATGAACTTCTCCTTGGTAGTAAGAGCAAAAAAAAAAAAAAAAAAAAAGGAAAATTATTGCCCCCTGCAAATGCCTGGGTGGAATTAAATTGACACCTAACTTTCATATTTAGTCTCTTTTGAGTTTGTTACATATAAATATATCTTTGAATCTGATCACTACTTGTGGATTGGTAAAATCCATTCTCTAGATATGATCAACTATTTTCTAAAGCGTCTCCTGATGATGAGTATACTAAACACCTGCACCTCACAGAAAGAAAGACAACCAGAGGAAACAATTTTCAAATCCTATTTTTAAGTTTCAGCTTTACCTGTCTTAACAACCATACAGATTCTCACTGTGCACCACAAGGCTTTGCCTCCTAGGAAGTTGGGTTTCAAGATTGCTGAACTGTATTTTTTAAAAGGATTTTTCCAATGCCTAAAATTGTCTCTCTCGTTTTTTAACAGTACTATTTTTAAGCTGTTCAAATATTTGATTTAGCATACTTTCATGTATGTTTTATTTTCATAGCTGTTTCCTTTATTAATGGGTATTGCTTTTTTTTTTTCCATTTTATCTTAAGCTTCAGTTAAGGACACAGCTGTATGATCTATTGTTCCTAGGAATGACTTCAAATTTTCTCATTACTGCAAGACATTAAGTTGCCAAGATATGATTTACTTTAGTAAGTGCCTTTTATGTCATCTACGTTGGAGAGTTTTTGTGACTGTTATTTAAATTTCATTTTCCTGGCAATCTGTCTCAGTGTTAAAAAACAAAGGAGAGACTCTACGTTGGAATCGACTAAGCAGCCTAAAACATTGATAACTCGTTAGGCAGACACCACCAGGACAGACCGCACACCACGTGAACCGAGAGCAGCCACCTGGAAAAGCCGAGGCGAGAGGTGCTCCTTGGCACTGCCTTTCCAAATGTGTTCCTATCAGCTGCACACATTTCTGAGTATGTGGAGGCAAAGAGAAGACTACAGAAGTGGAAAATTGGAAGGTGGAAAAAAAATCCCCTCAGGCAAAGATTTAAAGTTAATTTTAAAGAAAGTTTAGGTGGAGGATGCTTGCTGGAGTTTGATAAAGGTAAAAAGTAAAAGAGAAGGCTTCTGTTGTGATGCTGGGAACTGTGTTGAATTGACTGATAAGAAAATAAAATTGTGTAAACAAATTTAAGGCGATGATGAAGGAGTTCAGTCGTGCCGAGGAGTTGCTTAGCAAGGCTCAGAAGGCTGTCACCATATCTATCGGAGAATGTGACATTTTACATTTTGTACCTAATGTATGATATTTGGAGCAAAAAATTAGGTAGATAGAAATGGTCTTATTTAAATCATTGCTGCACTGGGTGGCAAAACATTTCAATATAATGCATTAAGCAAGAATGAATAATTTAAAATATTGGGCTAAAACAAATGTTTCAGGGAAGCAAAATAACATACTTTATATATAAAGTATTACTTTAAAAGTTACTAAGATCATTTTAATAGTCATATTTTATTTGCTGATAATGTCTAAGGCCATTATTTTTATTCCTTTGATTGATAGTGTGCACTTACTTTTAAGACCTCCAGGGACACGTAAATTGCAAAATCCTAAATGATTTAAACAATGGCATAACAACAATGGCACTTAAGGACTGTGTTAGCACCACCACATCACTGTTACTCATATCAGCAGAGTTTAGGTATATTAACTCAAAATAATGTTATTGAATTATTCCCATTCTTGCCATCATGTATATTCCTGTTCAATGGCGCTGACCTATAAAATCCATTTAATTGTAAAGAATAAAGCTCGTAAAGTATGCTTTCTAGAAAGATTTCTGATAATAATTTACAGCTAGTCTCAGTTATTTTTTCCTCTAATGATATCATCCACAGAAATTGCCTTTGTTTAAAAACAAACAAACAAAAAAGGCAAGATAGTATTGCTGTATTATGCACCTTACATAACAATCTTATCATGTAGGACTATTACGACATTAGTTTTCATGAAGGAAGTAAATCAAGGCATAAAAATGTTAGATAATTTTTTCCAGTATCAGTTAATAGCATACGACTGGACCACAATTCTCCAGCAAGGCTCAAACCCAAGGTATCTTGGCTTAGTTTTGAAACAAAGGAGAAATGCTTCTCTTTTCATTTCAGGTTTATTCAATGTATTTTGTTGTGATTTTCAAAGCCAATAATAAAAACTATAAAGTTTTCATTGCTGCTGTTCATGGCATGAGTTATTAATTGCCAAACACCAAAATATTGAGAAATTTTGTACTTTGGACCACATTTTTCAACTTTTTATTTGTATTTTCCTTCTTTTCTGTTGGCCAAGAGAGAACAATATAACAAAAAAAAAAAAATGAGGCAGAAAATTAGGAAAAATTTCCTAAAGCAGGAAATGGAGAAGTGTAGGCAACTAAGATATACTGCACTTAAAATAGCCAGATGTCCTGGCAGGTGACAGTTTGGTAGCAGTTGCCCATGAAGCCATTAGCATGAGGAAGATCTCATGGAAAGTATTGCAATCCCAGCCAAATGGTATTCAGAGGTTTGTGCTTGATCTTTACAAATAACATGTAAGAGTAGTGTAATTGAACAGAAAACGAAAGCAAATTAAATACTGGCATCCATTGAATAAGAACCTGAGATTTGTAGTATGGACTTATTTGAAAGAGGAACAAGATGTGAAAATAAAAATTAATCCTGATGATGATAAGACTGAAATATTCCTAAAGGAACATCAACAGTTTTCCAATAGATCAGGGACAAAGTTAACAGAAAACCATATTTCTAACAGAATTGTACCCACAGCCATACCTCACCTTTAAAATTACTAATAATCTTTTTTTCAGAGTGATTGCTACTTTCTTAGTGATGACATACCCAGCCCTATGTCATTTCTCCCACCACTTGAAAAAAGATTATTGAAATAGATAATTGCAGAACCATTGCGCTTCTCCCACTTCTGCGTTCCTCTTGGAATCAGCCAGCACAAGCCAAACCCTGTAAGAGGTCCTCTTCTCCCCATCTCCTTCCAAGTTGCCCCACAGTGGCTCTGCTGTGTGTTATCCTTGCTTCAGGAAACTAATGAGCCCTCCTTTATTTCACTACGTTTGTGCTCCTGGTCACCTTTGGTCAATGGGCTTTAATAAAAAAAGAGACCAGTTCTTAGAACAAACATGCTTGAACAAAGTAGATTTTCTGCTGCCATGAAACTGGCATATGGTAAATCTGACTAGACTCAGATTTTGGTCTAAAATCTTGAGAAGAGCTAATTAATAAAGTTAACTGGCCCTAGCTATAATGTTCAGAAAGCTCAAAGGCTAGAAGTGAAGAAGATAAATATAGACAAAAATTAAATATACCATAGTTCTCTAATTTTGTTTTTAAGGCTAGAATTACATATCCTTGAGATTGTTGATCTTTTAGGTAATACAGTATGGGAATCAGACACTTACTATGTTTGTTTGATTATTTAATCCTAATGTCAATTTGCAATGTATGTATTTAAAAAGACCTTGGTGTTTTCTATGTTAATGGCTTTTAAGTTTTGTCTTTGTTTTATTCTACAAAAGGAATTTCTGTGCCTATAAATATTACCTGAACTATTCAATCCTCATCCTAAGGACGTTTATATTTGCTATGAGTTTTTTAAAGCTAGGCTTTCATCTACTGTTTAGGGTTATTTTGAAGACAGTACAAGCAGAAGAGATGCATTGTTTTACTCCGCAAATTTCATTTTGAAGCATAAATATTCTACAACATTTTAAACCTAGAATGTAATCTACTACAAAGTTTAGTCTTAAGGATTTTTCTAAGCCTCCCTTTTTGTTTACCAAAAAAAAAACTGAAAAGAAAAGAAAAAACAGTACCTAAACCTCATTATAAATTCCTGACTGTGCAGTAAAGGTGCAGCTGTTAGCTATTCATCACTTAAACTTCGCTTTGTTTCTATTGACAGATCATTTTAATAACCACAATTCTCCAGTTGATGTAAAGTATTCCATATTTTTGTGCTTGTGCAATTTATTATTTGACTGCCTAAAATAGGAAGTTTTATTTTCTGCACTCCTTCTTGGTAATTCTTCTTCCTTGCAGTACATTTCTTTTTTCTCTTTAAAGTGCACTTGAATAACAATGATTGCCTTTTCAAAAAAAAATTTAGTCTGCCATTTTAGCGAGACTTGACAGATAATATGAAGCTATTTAAATAGAAGATAGAGTCATGTGACCTACCATACTTGGTTTCTATTTTCTATGTTGGTTGGCTGTAATTTTGATCTTTTCTGTCTGATTTTATAGAATGTTTGAGCTAAGTAATTTTTGTAAAAAGATGAAAAAACGAACACAGAAATCAGGGACAATGTCTAGTGTTGTATAGGATAGAAAAACTAATGTGTGCCCATTTGATTCCGTTTACCACTTTTCAGTTGTCCCTACTCACTCCCAAACTCTCTATCCTTTTTGCTTAACAAAAGGTGACAAACAGTGCTAATTCTTTTGGTCATGGTTGGTCTAAGAATCAATACAGCAATGATATTATTTTTAACAGTAAAGCACCTCTTCCATATTGTTCTCTAAGTTAATGAAGTGACAAAATCTAAAGAAAATACACTCTGGTTTCATTTATGACAACGAATAAGACTTGGGTTGTCAACTTTTTCACTTTATGTGTTGAGCTATGAAGCTGAAAAGTACTTAACGCATGAAATAAGAAATCATAATGCTTTACAGAGATGTGCTGTAGCATGCCTCTTTCATGCTGTTAACTAGCTGAGTGGAAACTGGTTAGAGAACAACCTGATAAAGCTTATATTTTTAGTCTGAGGAAAAAATAAATGATAGCTCAAAAGACTCTTTGCATTGCCCTTGATGATTTTGTTCTTCATTGCATTTCCTTATGTCTTGCTAAAGGCTACAATATACCAAGAATGAGAGCTAGTGAAGTGGAAGTAAGTCAGCTTTGAAGCTAAGTGGCCAGACTGCCTCCCTCAGGCAAAAATACCTCCTTATGATAAAACAGAATTCCTTTATAATGGGCCTGGTGAACTTCTAAGAGATTATCTAAGTGTCAGGACCAGTTTAGAATGAACTTAGGATGCCATTTTGAAGGAGGAAAAGACCACGTTTGTTCAAGTAAGCCTTAAAAATAAGACTCAAGTTTACTTTTCTTTTTCCCGCTGCAGGGCAAGGCAGGATGAAGCTAGGGATATGGAAAACCTATAATCAGCATCAGAGAAAGAGGTCATGACCACAAATTGTTGCAATTTAAGAAAGAATTTGGGGAGCTAATATGTCTGGCTTTACGAAATTCAGGTTCAGTATAAAATTCCCTGCCTTTTAATATCAAATCACTATGGATTTGAAGTTGCATCCTCTAAACTGAATCTTATTCTACTTCTCAGCTTCTCTTCCTAAGATACCCAAAACTCAGTAGAGTTAATTTTGAGTGAATCAGTCCTGGTTATTGTCATTGGAAAGTCTTGCCAGTCTGACGACATTAGCCACAGTAGACTATTGTCAAGATGTGGGCAGACTATGTGTTTGCTAATCATGTCTCTTTACTCCGTCATAATTCCTCAGGGCACAAGATTAATAATTGAAAATCAACTGCATACTTTGCTGGCTCTTTGCTATTTTTTTCAATGTATAGTATGAGTCCCCTCCATTCACAGAGACTTTCATTCTGTGAGCAGGGTAAACCATTAGTGGAATGGGAATTTCACAAAAAATTCTGTTATTTTTCCCAAATAATCTATGGTATAAGCCATCAACATTCCAGCTTACTTCCTTATTTATTTCAAGAAAAGATTTCATCATTTACAAGGTTATTGTGTGGATATAGATAAATCCAAATTCACATAACTATGCCAAACCCCTTAATAGTCCCATTCCAAATTAAAAAACTTGAAGTTCTCTTTCTGAATGAAAAGTGGGTATCACCTTATATGTATGCAACTGATATGGTTTGTATCTGTGTCCCCACCCAAATCTTACGTTGAAATGTAATCCCCAATGCTGCAGGTAGGGCCTGGTGTGAGGGGACAGGATAATGGGAGCCATTTCTAATGGTTTAGCACCATCCCTCTAGTGCTGTTTTCATGACAGAGTTCTCACGAGATCTAGTTGTTTAAAAGTGGGTAGCACCTCCCCGCTTTCTGTCTTCCTCTTGCTCTGGCCATGTGAAGTATGCTTTGCCTTCCGGAATGATTGTATATTTCCAAAGTTCTCCCCAGAAGCAGAGCAGATGGCCAGCTTCACGCTTCCTGTACCGTCTATGGAACTGTGAGCCAATTAAACCTCTTTTCTTCATAAATTACTCTGTCTCAGGTATTTCTTTATACAAGAATGGACTAATACAGCAACTGAAGGTCCCTCTGGTACCCTTCCCCAAGTAGAGGAAGATTAGTTGCGGAGGTAATTATATCTTCTAGAAATCCATATTGTTAGGCAAGGCAAAGAGGTAACTGGCTCCTTTATTTAAAATTAAAACAAAACAATAATTTAAACAAGCCACATACCTAAATTATTTTTGGTGAGTAATTGTCCAAATGATATATGCCCATTGTGTGACTTAGTGTTATATATACAGCACCCAGGT
The DNA here is from genome assembly GCF_000001405.40 of Homo sapiens. Classification (NCBI taxonomy): domain Eukaryota; kingdom Metazoa; phylum Chordata; class Mammalia; order Primates; family Hominidae; genus Homo; species Homo sapiens. The sequence goes on from NC_000003.12 coordinate 77,720,129, forward strand.
TATCATAATGGGGACCCTCCTGAAATATGTCAACCCCTAGCTGATTCCATTTAGATGTGGAATTTTAAAAAGGAGTATTTTTGAGTAATATGATTAATATATTCTGCTCATGAAACATCTTCACTGTTTTTGTTTTTTATCATTTCAGCTGGAAAAAACAGTTCCTTGATTATGAATGTTATTCAGCATTAGTGTCAAATGTTAATTAAATAAATTCAAGCTATTTAAGATGCTGTATGATGGATGCTTAAAATCCATACTTTTAATGTATTTGGTTCTGACTTCCCAGTTCTGATTCTTTTTTCTTTTTGCTAAACAGACACTCAAATGGGAACCAAGGCTCTCACCTTAATGTCAGACCTGGAGAATGAAACCAGTGGGTGTCATTTTTAGCTGCTTTGTGGGAATCAGTTAAGAAACACTCATGTTAGCTCTGTTCTTTCTTCTACTCTTTAGCATATTTTAACTCATGTTAGCTCTGTTCTTTCTTCTGCTCTTTAGCATATTTTAATAGAATTCCATTAAATCTTTCTAATTTTTGGTCCTCTGGGGCTAAGGAACTGACTTTGATGTTTTTATTCTTGCCATTCAAAACACTTCTCCATTGTAAACAACTCTCAAAATTTCTCTCTTACTCAGAATGCAGATGGAATGGGAAATTCATCAACTGAGAAAAACATTTTTGCATCATTCATGAGTGTGGATTTTCTAAGCTTACTGGATGTACTGTGGTTATTAAAGTGGCCTGCCAGGTGAGACAAGTATGTCACTAGGCTTAGGCTGTTTCATGGTTCAGACAGAACAACTGGGAGCTGTTATGTATGTAAATGCTCATTCTTTATCTGCTTGGAAGGATTTGGGACAAAAATGAGCCATGACTCCTAAAATCGCTAGATCACCTGGGGGAGAGAGGTTGAAAAGTTGTCTGTATTAGACAGGAAAGTTGATGCTAGTTGCTATAGCAAATCACATCCAAACCTCAATGGCTTAACATGCACCCATTTCTTTTTTTCTAGAATCATGCACTGTATGTTTGAATGTTGACAGAGAAGGCATTGTTACAAGAGGCTGTCTGAACACAAACAGAAATTACTAACTAATAAACTGTTGAAATAGGAAGTACATTTATTTTCAATTTATATTGCAGAGGTGATGTGAAGACAAAAATTGTATTATTATTTTGGCTATCGAACCCATTGATTTAAAAACACATTCGAACTTCGAGAATGAAGAATGTTAGTAGCATATCTCTCCCATAGATCTAGTTGCTATAAAGGTCTTACTTTTTCCTTCTTCTCTTCTATTGGTGACATCATAGTTTCCTCAATATTTTTGCCAAGAAATTCCCATCTCAGGACTTTTAACTGCTATTCTCTTTCCCTAGGATATTCTTTTGTTTTGTTTTCTTTTGAGATGGAGTCTCGCTCTGTCGCCCAGGCTGGAGTGCAGTGGCGTGATCTCGGCTCACTGCAAGCTCCGCCTCCCGGGTTCACGCCATTCTCCTGCCTCAGCCTCCCAAGTAGCTGGGACTACAGGTGCCCGCCACCACACCTGGCTAATTTTTTTGCATTTTTAGTAGAGACGGGGTTTCACCGTGTTAGACAGGATGGTCTCGATCTCCTGACCTCGTGATCCGCCCGCCTCGGCCTCCCAAAGTGCTGGGATTACAGGCGTGAGCCACCGCGCCTGGCCAGGATATTCTTTCTTAAGACAATAGCCTGGCTTGGTCCTTCACTTCATTCAGATTTCCAGAGAGCATTCTTTAGCGCCTTGTGTGAAATAGAATCTCTTCCAGTCACTCCTTATTCAACCTTTTTTCCCCAAAACCATTTATCCCTATTATTTTTGTTTACCACCTAGTTCCTCTGTTAGAATGTAAGCACCATGATGGCAAAAAATATCGCCCTTTTTGTTCACCACTATATGTCCAGTGGTTAGAGGACTATATCTCTAGGGCTTAGTTCCCAGCACATAGTAGGCATTCAATAAATATTTATTGAGTAAATGAATACAGTGTCCAAACTAATGCTACTACCCCACTGTACATTATTTCACACTCACATCTCAGTCTGAGGCATTTTGGGTGTCCCTTCTGAGCAAAGTTTTCCTCCAAGTTTGTCTTTAAAGGATTCTGGCTTTTTTCATTATATGACTCTGATATGGCTGGGATGTTTGCATTAAGCCTCGGGGCAAAGGAGAGAGAGTGCTGTAGTTGAATATCTCTGGGAGATTTTAACATACAAGCCAAAAAGAAGCAAGTATCACTTTCATTCATATTTCATTGGCCAAAATTTATCACATGGATTTCCAAGCTAACCTAAAAGGATGCTAAGGCTAAGAAATATTATTTCTGCATTCTTGAAAACGGAAAATAGACTGGGTGAGCATCTAACCAGGGTGTGCTACAGTGCCCTTGACAAAAGCCAGTTTCTGCTGCATTTTTGGTGAGTTTGTGAAGCTCATAATAGCAAACTTGGGGTGAGCAGAAAGACTATTGTGATGGCAAACCTCATCATAAATCCTGTGCAACTCATTTTAGAGACCTAAAGACACAGTAGGGTTTCCGCAAGTATTATAGACCATTTATTGAAGTTAGACTGCCAAGGCAGTCGGATCACCTGAGGTCAGGAGTTCAAGACCAGCCTGGCCAACATGGTGAAACCCAGTCTCTACTAAAAAATATACAAAAATTAGCTGGGCATGGTGGCGGGCACCTGTAATCCCAGCTATTTGGGAGGCTGAGGCAGGAGAATCCTTTGAACCCAGGAGGCAGAGGTTGCAGTGAGCTGAGATCACACCATTGCACTCCAGCTTGGGCAACAGAGAGAGACTCTATCTCAAAAAAAAAAAATTAATTAAACAAGGTTCCACAATAGGCTGTCTACAAGCTGAGGAGCAATGAGAGTCAGTCCGAGTCCCAAAACTGAAGAATCTGGAGTCCAATGTTCAAGGGCAGGAAGCATCTAGCATGGGAGAAAGATGTAGGCTAGGAGGCTAGTCCCATATCATCACTTTATGTTTTTCTGCCTGCTTTATAATTCATTGGTGGCTGATTAGATGGTGCCCACTGGATTAAGGTGGGTCTGTCTTCCCCTGCGCACTGACTCAAATGTTAATCTCCTTTGGCGACACCCTCACAGACACACCCAGGATCAATACTGCATCCTTCAATCCAATCAAGTTGACATTCAGTATTAACCATCACAATTGTCAGACTTCTCGCAGATGCTGGGAGACTCACTGAGGAACAGCTTGAAATAGCAAAATTTTATGTGAAGCAATTTGGTTGGCTCTGGCTTGGACCCCATCCTTTTCATAAACAATCACAAGACTGTGAATATTCTCCAGCACTAAGAAGTAACTCCCTGAGAAGGTATGTTGTCTGTGACATGCTTGCCCAACTCATTTCAGAAATAAAATGAAGCCAGTCTACTTCGTTATTGGTCATTTTGGATATCTTTGGTTTTCATGTCTTTCACCTAAATTAACTAAAATTAACCTAAAATTGGAGAATTTTAAACAAATTCGATACCCTGAGGTGGACCATTAGCTCCTAGGCATAATTTAGAAATTTCCTAAGCACTACCTGATTCTGATTGTCCCCGATCATTTCTGTAAAATATATACAAAGAGGCATGTTAACCATCATTTCCTGGGCAGAAAGAATTTGGAACTTTCTGCCGGGTGCGGGGGCTCACGCCTGTAATCCCAGCACCTTGGGAGGCCGAGGTGGGTGGATCACGAGGTCAGAAGATCGAGACCATCCTGGCTAACACGGTGGAACCCCGTCTCTACTAAAAATAAGAAAAATTAGCCGGGCGTGGTGGCGGCGCCTGTAGTCCCAGCTACACGGGAGGCTGAGGCAGGAGAATGGCGGGAACCCGAGAGGCAGAGGTTGCAGTGAGCCGAGATCGCGCCACTACACTCCAGCCTGGGTGACAGAGCAAGACACTGTCTCAAAAAAAAAAAAAAAAAAAAAAAAAGAATTTGCAACTTTCTTCCTGCACTCTTTACTTGCTGTAAGCTTAACAACAGATAGTATACTAGGGAGAAAGAGTTTCAGGATTTCAACCCTTATGGAACCCCAAGAATGGGGCTTTTTATGTCCTATATCTCCCTTGTTCTTTCCTGAACTTCTGACTGAGAGGAATGCAAAATGCAAAAAAGTCTTAACTTTTAGAATATGGTCAAATCCAAAGTAGGCTGCTCTGCCTGGCTAATACTAATCCTAGACCATCATTCTGGGGCCTGTTATAGACTGAACATGTCTCCCCCAAATTAATATGTTGAAGTCTAAGTTCCCAATGTGATGGGCTTAGGGGATGGGGCCTTTGGGAGGTGACTGGGCCAAGAGGGTGGAATTAGTGCCCTTAGAAAAGGGACCACAGAGAGCGCTCTCTCTTGCTTTCTTTCCATCATGTGAGGATACAAGAAGTTGTCAATCTGCAACCCAGGCAAGAATCCTCACCAAAACCCTGCCATACTGGCGTCCTGTGGTCTCCCATCCTCCAGAACTGTGAGAAATAAGTTTCTGTTGTTTATAAGCCACCAGTACTTCGATACTATGGTACTTCGATGCTAAGTACTATGGTACTTCATTGTAGCTGCCCTGACTGACTAAGGACTCAAAGTAGCCACCAGTCAATTGATGTCGGCTTGAGTTCTCCTACCAATTCTCTCTGTGGATTCCTTTTCTCCTTCTCAGTTAAAGATGTGGTCTCACTTGCTTCTTTACAGAACCTATCATCTTCCGGCATTTTCTAAGAGGTATCTCCTGTGAACTACCCTTGGAAAATTCACACAAATAGTTCTATCTTACAGTAGTGTTCTTATTCTGTCGTTTGGGGGCCAAGTTCAATTTTTCTCTTTCTCTTTTTTTCTGAGAGGGTAATTCAACAAATAGCACTTTGCAAAGATTTATTAAATAAATTCATGGCAAATACTAGGTACACTTTTTTTTTGTACCTTACAATAACACTTGTCATAGTAATGTCTTGCCACGTTTAGTTCTGTGGCATAATTTGATGAAGGTACAGCTAGATATTGTGTCACATATAATAATATTGCAACAAATTGCAACAACTCTAAGCCAGGGAGCTTATGAGAAATAGTTTCATTATAAGCAAAAAAATTGTAGTAAATTTAATTATCACTTTTCTTAAAGCAAAACACTAAATGTTGTAACTCAAACAACAAGTTTCACAAATGTTGATGAGACATAACTTGCTCTGTTTGTTCCTGGGCTTAGTCTGCTGATACAGAGGCCTTATTCCAAGGCCCTCAGAAGATACTGTGTGGATAGCACTATGCTCAAGAGAGAGCATTCCTGTTAAACCTTACTATTGGCCCACTCCCAGTATTTTTCCTTGGTCCTCTTATCTCTTTTGTTCATATTCCCCACCAAGTTTCTGCCTCCTCTAATGCCTGGCCTCTAGCTTGGATTATCAGGCTTTTTCTGTTTCATTCATATCTGCTTATCAATGGGGGCAGAAATAGAATGAAATGGAGAAAGATGCTCCTGAATGTTGGGAGAATCTGATAAGGTATCTACTGTATGCCAGAAGGAGAGTAATTTTTGCAATACAAAATGACTGATTTTCTCAATTCTTTTTAGTAGATACTTTGTTAGACCAAAAGAGTATCTGTCGCTTTTCCAACTTTGAGATACATTATATTAATAGAAGCTCCATTTCTATTACTTGAAATTAAGAAGGCAGCTAAGAGGAAAGCAGGTGGAAGGAAGAAGGAAGAAATCTGACTATCAAGACATTGTTATTTGTGCCTATTTTAATTGATTCAGGTTAATTTCAAGTGACAGATTCCTTATCCCCATAAAGAACTCTTATGGGGCCAGGCATGGTGGCTCACTCCTATAACTCCAGCACTTTGGGAGGCCAAGACAGGTGCATTGTTTGACCTCAGGAGTTCTAGACCATACTGGGCAAAATGGCGAAAACTTTTCTCTACAAAAAAATACAAAAATTAGATGGACATGGTGGCAAGAGCCTGTAGTTCCAGCTACTTGGGGAACTGAGGCAGGAGGATTCCCTGAACTCAGGAGGTGGAGGTTGCAGTGAGCCGAGATCGTGCCACTGCATTCCAGCCTGGGTGAGATAGTGAGATTCTGTCTAAAAAAAAAAAAAAAAAAAAAGTCTTATGGAAGGGAAGAGGGATTATAAACTTATAGAAGGAAAAATGTTAAATTGAGGTATCTTGGAAGATTGAGAAGTTTCTTGGTCCCAGACAATGTCCTTTGAATAAGATTACTAAAGATAAAATATAAAGTTTCAGGGGAAAATCAATAAATACAGTCAATTTCATTAAATAAGTCAGAGATAAGTTGAGCATTGCTATTCATTATTGAATATTTGATGTCATAAGAAAAAGGCATTTTTCTTGGCTACAAATTTTGGAGCTACTGCTTCCTCCTGGGAATGGCAGCCTAAGTGATTCAAAAAAGAACAATTTCCCAGAAGTTTCCATAAAATAATTTTTCATTATAATGATTTTGCTTGAATTAGACAATCTGTTTTGACTTCTCCCTAGGGTAGTGACATTACTAATGTGAGTTGTTCGTTTATTTTGGCAAATATTTTATTTTAGTTGCATTATTTCCCAGTTACTTTGCTATTCATTAATGTCCTCATCATTGGGTGGGGCAGGGAGGTTTGTACAGTAAAAAGAAGCAGCTTAGTTTGAATAAATCATGTTTGCATCTAATTATGAGCAAGCACAAATGTATAATTTTTTTTTAAAAAAAAGAGTAAGTCTGGGGTCAAAACAAGTAAAAAAACCTTTAAATCATATATATATATATACTCTTAGCTTGTCTTATCTTTCACAAGTATGTAGAAATACACCTAGATATGTCCTGACCTGCCATTTATAATATTCCTAATACTATAAAGTTTATGGAAACTCTGCTTAGAATTGTTTTATTTAGTAAACTGTCTCATGTGTATTCACAACTCTTAATGTAATTGCTTTAATGCCATGATGTTATGATTAGTGAAAAAGACATTTTATATCACCACTTTGGAAACATAATTCCATGAGTTAGTGATATTTGTGAACCAGAAATTAACATTACACAAACAGCAAGCACAAAATAAGTGGTAAGCATATAAAGTAGTGTTTTACTGGTACTTCAAATAGAGCATTTCCAAAAGGAACCTAATTATGTTTCCCTAAATTCTCACTTTTGATACTGCAACACTACCCGATGTCTCAATTTGGCTCATGATACTGTTTTCCCATAGTAGAACCATTACTGTATTTATGCTACCATCTCAGAAGTCATCAACCACCTCCTTCTTTCTTTCACCCTTTCCCTCACACATGCAATCATCAAGCCATCTAAATTAACCAAGTATATATCCACAATCACTTTGTGTTTTATTCCTTTTCCTCCTCTATGCTAGTTCAAGTTCATAATTCATGTATCTTTTCAAAACCACTCTAATATATATCTTCTTACTACTGTTAGTCCTACCTTTATTTTTTATCCATACAACTGACTGATATCAGAGTGGACATTCTAATGCAGAGCTGCAATGGCATCAGCCCTCTGCTAGTAAAACCTTAGGAGGTGACCCACTGCATCAGTCAGGGCTCTTGTTTTCTACTGTATAAGTCTGCAAGCTTAGAAACCAATCCTTGGTCTCCAGCAATGAAAATTGACAGTAATAATAGACTTATGGGAGGCTAAAAAAAACTAGATTTGAAAAATGGATGAGGTGGAAGGTCAACTGGGAGGTCTTTCCTGAAACACAGTAACTGTATTGTAGCAGAAATGGTCTGGCCAGGATACTGCTATTGCTGCTGCAGGGCACAATTAGTGCTAGAAAAGGGGAATCTTCTTTACTGTTGGGTTCTGTGATGTGAGATGTACTGCATCATGGAGACAGTGCATGCATTGGGGAACCCCAAGTCAGTAGGGAAATTGAATGCCGGAGAACCACTCCAGAAAAGTGCAAACAACAAACAGCAACGACCACAAATGTCAATTAAATACATGACTAAGGCTTAAACCTGTTAAAAATGCATTCAAATTTACTTCTAAGCTGACTTTACATTTTCAAAATGATAATTGCTTACTGAAGTGTTCCCTTCCAACGCATCAGCTATGCATTCTCATCCTGGACATCTGATCATTCTCTTAAACAGCTGCACACTGTTCATACTGAGGAACACATTGATTCCTCAACTCAGGGTTTCTCAACCATGACACTATTGACATTATTGCCTGGATCATTCTTTATTGTGGGCAGCTGAACTTTGCATTGTAGGATGTTTAACAGCATCCCTGGCCTCTACCCACTGAATGCCAACAACACCTCTGCAGTTGTAATAACTCAAAAGTCTGCAGACATTTCCAAATCTTTCCTAGGGAGTAAACTCACCCCAGGTTAAAAAGGAGACTAAAGAGAAGCACTCAAATGCAATATGAGATCCCAGAAAAGCACATTTGTGGAAAATCTTATGAAATTCAAATAAGGACTTTAGTTTACTTAATAGTATTGTATCAATTTTACTTCCTGGTTCTGCTTTTTATGCCATAGTTACATAAAATGTTACTTTAGGAAACACTGGGTGACGGATATATAGACATTCTCTGTGCCCTTTACAAATTTTTTTGGTAAGTCTAAAATTCATTCAAATAAAAATTTAAAAAAATATCTGAGTTGTCATCACCATTTCCTCTAGTCCTGTATTTCTCAACCTATTTTGTTGATGTTATTATACCTCCTTCGACTGCCCAAGAGCCTTTTGAGACATTTTTATCCTAATTGTCCTCCCCATGAATTTTGAATATTATAGAGAATATATCTGTTTATGCAATGAATATCTGTGCTTTCTACATAAAAAGACTTAGTTTTTTTTAATTCTCTCCACCCTCCAGAACCAATTTTTGCCTTTTTTGAAAATGCATGCTCTAGTCAGAAGCAGTAATAGTCTCCTCTCAGCTTCCAAAACTTTCCTTACATCAATTATACAATTATCAAATGTTACTTTGCTTTCTAATTAAAATAAGTACATGTAATATGGTTTGGCTCTGTGTCCCCACCCAAATCTCATCTTGTACCTTCCATAATTCCCACGTGTTGTGGGAGGGACCTGGTAGGAGATGATTGACTCATGGGGGTGGGTCTTTCCTCTGCTGTTCTCGTGATAGTGAATGGGTCTCATGAGACCTGATGGTTTTAAAAACGTGAGTTTCTCTGCACAAGCTCTCTCTTTTTGCCTGCTGCCATCCACGTAAGATGTGATTTGCTCCTCCTTGCCTTCTGCCATGATTGTGAGGCCTCCCCAGCCATGTAGAACTGTGAGTCCAATTAAACCTCTTTCTTTTGTAAATTGCCCAGTTTTGGGTATGTCTTTATCAGCAGCATGAACACAGACTAACATAACCTGTATGTCTTTTCTACCAGACTCATTAGCTTCTTAAGATCAGTGATGCTATATCCTTCACTTTATATGCCTTCCACAACAGCAGACACACGAGGCACTCAAAAGCCTGCACTGGTTTAAGGCAGAGATTATATTCAGCTGAGATGACTTATGTATTTAATAAATGTGGTAGAATTAAAATAGATAGAAAGTACTGGAGGTCAAACCAAGAATAAAGTTAATAAAGTAAAAAAAAAAAAAGAAAGCAAGTTTGTAAATGGTGATATCTATTATTTGAGTAGAGTTTTATTTGGGAGGAATAGTAAGGAATTAGGCAGAAAGATGGGTGTAACAAATTTGAGGTAACAAATTTCATTTACAATGTGATTTATTGAAAAGAATATAGAATTTTTAAAAAGCTACCAGTTACACAAACCATGGATAGAATTTTAACGTTTCCTGGAAAGATGTATGTGTAACCTAGTCAGTAAAGTGAGTTGGGCTCCATAAGATAACAGAAAGCAACTGCAGTCCTCTGTTTGTTGTTTCCTTCTCCTGCATGAAAGTCATTCAAGGTCAAAAGCTTTTCCAGTGAGTTTCAGGTAATAAAAAACGGTATTTTTTCCTTAATATTATAAGTCTTGTTCTGTATTATACTAAAACTCTGAGCTTTACCAATTAATATTTTTTCCTTCAACCAGGCTGGGAAACTTGCGGTGGGGAAAGAGTCATAGACTGTCATTCTTTAGAGTGTTCATGGGTGAGTTTTAGAGTCAGTGACCTGATCTTTATCTGTGAAACTTCAGGTCACGTATGTCATGCTCTCCCAGGGGTTCCCATGAAGCCACCCTCAGTTGGCTTCAGAGGAGAAGAAGCCTTCCCTGTTCCTGCATCTTGGAAAGGGGAAGACATACTGATCTCTGTCTCCAAATGGATCCTCACTACTATTGTCCTCAATTTCCTGTCACTCTTCTATTCCTCATGTAGCTGCTGGAGGTAGTTAATGGGCTAATGCTGGCAGAAAGAAGCATTATGCAAATCTTACATAGATAATATAGGAATCAATTTAAAATTAGGAGGACACTGGCATCTATTATATATATTTTTTTCTGGACAAAGATAGATGCTGGTTAGAAACTCTGAGATTATAGACAAGTCTTATGATCTGGTTGTATTTTAAGCCATGAATATTGTAGCTGGCACACAATAGGTACTGAGTAAATGTTGGTGCCCTTTGTCATTTTTCTCTTCTTTTCTTAAATCCTTTTCTGAATTATATTTCTTTGTAGCCCACAAATTCAATTCTATATATATCCTTTTTTATAAATACATCATATTTTAGATTCCTGTACATTTTTATCAATCCATCTGTTTCCCATATCATGGAAAAGAAAGGAGAATTGGTGAAGTGAATGCAATTAAAGAACGTTAAAATAATGAGTATATAGAAACTTGTAAGTTATTCCTTATGCTTTTAGAAACAATTTAGAAAAATTACTCTATATTGGAAGAAATGTCATTTTGTTATTCAGTTTCTTCAACTGTATTAGTCAGGGTTCTATAGAGCAACCAAACTAATTATATGTGTGTGTATATACATATATATATCATATGTATACATATGTATCTCATATATATATATATATATATATATATATATATATATATATATATGGGAGTTTATTAAGTATTAACTCACATGATCACAAGGTTCCACAATAGGTTGTCTGCAGGCTGAGGAGCAAGGAGAGCCAGTCCAAGTTCCAAAACTGAAGAACTTGGAGTCTGATATTTGAGGGCAGAAAGCATCCAGCATGGGAGAAAGATGTAGGCTGGGAGGTTAGGCCAGTCTCACCTTTGCACGTTTTTCTAGTGGATCGTATTCTAGCCTCACTGGCAGCTGATTCGATTGTGCTCACCCAGATTAAGGGTGGATCTGACTTCCCCAGGCCACTGACTATCAAATGTGAATCTCCTTTGGCAGCACCCTCACAGACACACCCAGGATCAATACTTTGTGTCGTTCAATCCAATCAAGTTGGCATTCAGTATTAACCATCACAAGCCCACCCCTTGTTAACTTGAACCCATACACATCTCTTGTGCTCAGACATCATTTTCAAGTAAAGACAATAATAATTACACCTAACATAATACAACTATCCTTCGCACAACCAGAAGCGCACCAACCCTCAACCCAAATACTATTACATAAAATTAACAATACTTAAATGTTGCTGTGAAGTCAATAAATCTTATGTCACATGATAAAGAGAAAGGAAATAAAATGAAGATATTTTCTTAGTATAAGTGTATGCATGCAAAAACATGTTTTTAACAAAAGGAGGAAATACTCATGAAAACTTCAGTCCTCATTTCTGCAGCCGGTCACGTGGTCATAGCTGGTACTGATGACTACCTTCTTCTACTACCCATTCTGTATTCCCTTTGCCTTCAGTAAGCACCTCAGCAGGTCATGGTGTTTTCCCTGGAGGAGTGACCCAAACCTTCCTGAAGGGTCTGGGTCATTTGTAGCCCTGCCTGGATTGGGTTTTTGTAGTTTTCCATTGACTTTAAATACAGGGCGTGGTAATACTAACAGACACCCTAATGGATCTCCTGTATTCCATGTGTAATCTTCCTTACCTCCACTGTGAATTAGTAGACTGATTTCATCTTGATAGTCTGGGTAAATCACCCCAGCCAACACTGTAACTCCCTTCTTAGCCTGTTGACTTAAAGGTAGGAGGAGCCCAAAGTGACAGGTGGCAATCTTAACTTCTAGTTTAATGGAATTGTTGTTGTGTCTCCTGGCAGCCGTGTTCCTCCCTCTGGAACTAAGACCTCTAGGCCAGCAGAACACAATGTCATGGGAACAGGTAGCAAAAATTTTGCTAGTGGATCACTAGGGGTGATGGTGAGTGGGGCCAATTCCACCCCTTAATTCCTGGACCCGTGAATCCTGGTTATGGGAGCAACAGCACTATATATTGAACGCTGATTCAGAACATACATGGCCTTCTGGAGAACTTTGTCCCAGCCCTGCAAAGTATTGTCACCTAGCTTGCATTGTAATTGTGACTTAAAAGGGCCATTCCACCGTTCTATCAATTCAGCTGCTTCAGCATGATGGTGAACATGATAAGACCAGTGAACTCCATGAGCATGAGCCCACTGCCCCTCTTCTTTAGGGATAAAGTGACAGCCTTGGTCAGAGGCAATGCTGTGTGGAATACCATGACAGTGGATAAGGCATTCTGTGAGTCCACAGATGGTAGTCTTGGCAGAAGCATTGCGTGCAGGATAGACAAAGCCATAACCAGAGTAAGTGCCTATTCCAGTGAGGACAAACTTCTGCCCTTTCCATGATGGAAGAGGTCCAATATAACCAACCTGCCACCAGGTAGCTAGCAGATCACCCAGAGGAATGGTGCCATATCGAGGGCTCAGTGTTGGTCTCTGCTGCTGGCAAATTGGGCACTCAGGAGTTGCCATAGTCAGGTCAGTCTTGATGAGTGGAAGTGCATGTTGCTGATTCCATGCATAACCTCCATGCCTGCCACCATGGCCTCTTTGTTCATTGGCCCATTGGGCAAAGACAGGGGTGGTTGGGGAAAGAGGCTGAGTGGTGTCCACAGAACGAGTCATCCACTTGATTATTAAAATCCTCCTCTGCTGAGGTGATCCATTGGTAAGCACTTACATGGGATATAACTATCTTCACAGTTTTCGACCACTCAGAAAGGTCCATCCACATACCTCTTCCCCAAATTTCTTTGTCACCAACTTTCCAATTATGCTTCTTCCATGTCCCTGATCATCCAGGCAATCCATGGCTACAGGCCATGAATCAGCATATAATCACACATCTGGCCATTTCTTTTTCCATGCAAAGTGCACAACCAGGTGCACTGCTCGAAGTTCTGTCCACTGGGAAAGTTTTCCTTCACTGCTGTCCCTCAGGGATATCCTAGAAAGGGGCTGTAGTGCTGCAGCTGTCCACTTTCGGGTGATGCCTGCATATCATGCAGAACCATCTGTGAACCCCAGGACCTAGCCTTCTCTTCCTCTGTCACCTGATCATAGGGAACCCCCCATGAGGCCATCGGTATGGGCTGGGGGAGAAAGGGTGGAGTGGCAGGAATGGAGACCATGGGCATTTAAGCCACTTCCTCATGTAACTTACTTGTGCCTTCAGGACCTGCTCGAGCCCTATCACATATATACCACTTCCATTTAATGATGGAATGCCACTGTGCATGACCCACTTTACAGCTAGATGGGTCAGAAAGCACCCAGTTCGTGATAGGCCTTTCAGGTCACATGGTGGCTTGATGGCCCATAGTCAAATGTTCAGTTTCCACCAAAGCTCTGTAACAGGCCAAAAGCTGTCTCTCAAAAGTAGAGTAGTTATCTGCAGAAGATGGCAGGGCCGTGCTCCAAAATCCTAGGGGCCTCCACTGTGGGTACCTGTCAAAGGCTCCAAATAGCATCCCTGTCTGACACTGACACCTCAAGCAACATTGGGTCTGTTGGGTCATATGGCCCAAGTGTCAGAGCAGCTTGCACAGCAGCCTGGACCTGTTGCAAAACCTTCTCCTGTTCTGGACACCACTCAAAACTGGCAGCCATTTGGGTCATTACATAAATGGGCCAGAGTAACACACCAGAATGAGGAATGTGTTGCCTCCAAAATCCAAAGAGGCCCACTAGGGGTTGTGCCTCTTTCTTGGTTGTAGGAGGGGCCAAATGCAGCAATTTATCCTTCACCTTAGAAGGAATATCTCGACAGTCCCCACACCACTGGACCCTTAGAAGTTTTACTGAGGTAGAAGGTCCCTGAGTCTTAGTTGAATATTTCTCAGTAGAGGCAGCTCTAATGGCTTCCATTTGGCCTTTCCTACCGTAATAGCCCCCACCCTACCAGTTAGGGAGCCATAGTGGGGATTCTGCTAGCTGCTAAGTATGTCTATGCCAATTATGCATTCTGGCACTGGGGAAATGACCACGGGATGAGTCCGGGGACCCACTGGACCCACTGTAAGTCAGACCTGAACTAAAACTCCATTAATTCCCTGACCTCCATAAGTCTCTATTTTAACTGGGGGACAACAGTAACATTTTGGGTCCCCTGGAATCAATGTCACCTCAGAGCCAGTGTCCAGTAGTCCCCGAAATGTCCTATCATTTCCCTTTCCCCAACACACAGTTACCCTGGTAAAAAGTCTGGAGGTCTCATTGGGGAAGGATGGAAGAAAGATTCACTGCAGAAATTGCTGGTAATGTAGTGGGGTCCTTCCTCAAGGGAACCTGGCCTTCCCTTCATTAAAGGGGTTCTGGGTCTATAAACTGGCTCAAGTCTTGACATTGATTGAGGGGCCATCATTCTTTTTTTATAATTCAAATTGGACTTTTGTCCATTTGACATAGAAGTTTGCTCTTCTTTATATAAATTAAATAGGAATACAGTAGGCTTCCTATCAATTTCATGTCTAGGAACACTGTGATTAATTAGCCAATGCCAGAGCTCTACATGAGTCAGACTATTCTGATTGCCACTTTGCCTCTGCTGTCCCTTATGTAGCTATGCTCACCTTGTCTTTAATGGTTGAGTGCTGCCACTTGGCCCCTGCCACCTTGGGATCCAATTATTCCCATTATATTTGAATTTTGTAGTTGAGTGACTGCGGTTCCCACCATTAGATATGGCATACAGAGAAAAGCCATTACAGGGCTCTTCAAAGATGCAAGTTCTGTCCTCACAAATCTGTTTCACAAAGCATTGGTCAAGAGTGTATCTTCGGGACACTTCCAGCTGTGATGAGTAGGTCCAACGTGACTAATCCACTCCACCATCCCAATCTCCCTAAGCCTTTGGATCCCTTGCTCTACATTAAACCAAGAGAGATCAGGCATTTCCAGCTGGCTCACAGTGGGCCATCTTTTAATCCATATTTCAGCTAACCAAGAAATAAACTATTAGAGCCTTTTTAATTCCCAGATCTGCAACATGAAATGCAGAGACCCTATTTAGTGTGCCCAAATCAATAAATTCAGCCTGATCCAACTCTATGTTCCTTCCACCATTATCCCACACCCTTAATATCCATTCCCATGCCTGTTCTCCAGATTTCTGTTTATATAAATTAGAAAATTCAAGCAGTTCTTTTCGAGTGTAGTGAACCTCCTCATGGGTCACGCTCTGAACCTCCCCTCTAGGGGCCTGCAGGGACTTTAGTCTAGTTATAGGTCTACAAGCAAACAGAGGTGTTGGGGGTGGCTCCTGAGGAAAGTCAACATTTTCTTGCCTGGCAGCTGCTTCAGGGGAGGCCATCACTGTTGCCTCAGGCAGTTCAGGGTTTATCTCCTCAGATGAAAGCGGAAAGGCTGATGGCAGCATAGGTAGTGGAGGGGATGTTGCCACTACTGGGGTTGGGGAAGCTGTTTCTTCTGACAAAAAAGGTTCATCAGAGTTTACAAACTCAGTGTCCCCAGCTTCATCAGGGTCCTCCCCCTTGTCCCCATCCCATGTTGCAGGGTCCCATTCTTTTCCAGTCAATGCTCTCACTTTAACAGTAGACACCTGGCGAGGCTGTGCATGCATCTTTTGTTGCAGGTCATCCACTTGCATGATAAGAACTTGTGTCTGTTTCTCCACAATTTCAGCTCTTTCTCTACAGGAGATAAATCTCTTACTCAGAACAATCTTAGCAGATTTGAGGCTCAGTATCTGCTTCTGAAGCCTGGAGACAGAATCCCTGAGTTCATCATTTTCTTTTATCACCTTGTCCACTGAACTTAGCAGCAACCAACCAGCTTCATTATGTTCCTTGGTTCTCCACATATGGTCAAAGGTATTATGTATAGAGTCACTAAACCCCTTGCCTCTTATGACTGATGAATCAGGAGTGTTCAAATGCATTTACTTTGCACAACTCTCTAAACAGTTTATGCCAAGGACTACCAGTGTTCTCCATACTAGTAGAAGAAGAGTCCTTAGAATTTTGGGGTTTAATCATATCAAGCAGCCAACTCCAGGAACACCAAAACCAATGAAAAAACTCCATTCTTAATATTCTGTTCCTCTAAAACCACTCCTGTTAGCAAAATCTGTATTAGTCAGGGTTCTCTAGAGGGACAGAACTAATGGACTATGTGTATATGTAAAGGGGATTGTATTAACTCGCATGATCACAAGGTCTCTCCATAGGCCATCTGCAGGCAAGGAGAGCAAGGAGAGCCAGTCCGAGTCCCAAAACTGAAGAACCTGGAGTCTGGTGTTCGAGGGCAGGAAGCATCCAGCATGCGAGAAAGATGTAGACTGGGAGACTAGGCCAGTCTCTCACTTTTCATATTTTTCTGCCTGCTTTTTATTCTAGCCATTCTGGCAGCTGATTAGATTGTGCTAACCCAGATTAAGGGAGGGTCTGCTTTTCCCAGCCCACTGACTCAAATGTTATTCTCCTTTGGTAACACCCTCACAGACACACCCAGGATCAATACTTTGTATCCTTCAATCCAATCAAGTTGACAATCAGTATTAACCATCACATCAATCGTAATCACTAGGTAATGTTGTTAAGTTGAAATTGAGAATAGAAAGATGTCAAACTGGGTAAGAACATATTGTATCTCCTAGTGCTCTGTCTCTGGCCACTTAGGGGTGTTTTATACAAGGTATTCCACCATATTAATCAGGAGTATTTAAGTCTTCTTTCTTTTATATATTCCCAGGGATTTTAATGTATAAGAGACATAAAACCTTCTTGAACCTATTCAAGTTCTATAGTCTACTGATATGGTTTGGCTCTGTATCTCCACCCAAATCTCACCTTAAATTGTAATAATCCCCATGTGTCAAGGGTGGGACCAGGTGGAGGTAATTGAATCATGGGGGTGGGTTCCACTATGCTGTTCTCATGATAGTGAGTGAGTTTTCAGTGGATCTGATGGTGTCATAAGGGGCTTCCCACATCGCTCCGCACTTCTCTCTCCTGCAACCACTTTCCATCATGATGTAAGTTTCCTGAGGCCTCCCCAGAAATGCAGAACTGTGAGTCAATTAAACCTCTTTCCTTTATAAATTACTCAGTCTCGGGCAGTTCTTTATAGTAGTGTGAGAAGCACTTTTAGGATACCTTTACTATTATATAGAGAAATACCTTCTGTTTTTTGAATGAAGTCACTGCCTTTAAGCACAAGGAGTACCCTCCCACCAGTCACCCTGAATCACTGACAGCAAGAGCTGAGGTGACCTGTAGGATTGTCAGAAGCTGACAAGCTGGAGATTCTTGGCAGTAAATAACCATTCAGATGAATCAAGCAAGAGACATCAAGAAAACATCCATATCAGTAAGCAGAGGAACGAAGAGTGTCTAAAATTCATCTAAATCATCCAAAACTACCGGCAGGCAGCAAAAGTAACTGATGAGAGCCCTATTGGAAAGAGGAGAAGGAAAGATTGGGAATGGGGATTGAAGCAAAGGAAGTTTTGAAACGGAGCCAGCTCACTCTCTTGGCCTCCACTACCTTTATATTCCTCTCACTTGGTTGAGATTCAGTCCAGACAGAAGTAAGAGGTAAGCCCTTGATAACTACAAACAGGTGGCTGGATGTCTGAGTAGCAGACACTTAATCTACACTTGCTATGGTAAAAGACAGATGTAGTTTTCCAGCATTGGCATTTCTCTGATACTAATATCGGTGAACATGTTCTGTACACCTTTCATGATTTTATAAACTTTGATCACCATTGCTTCATCTTTCATGCTTACAGACTGAATGATCCTTTTGCCCTCCCGCATGTGACCATCCCTCTCTCTCCTCAATAATTCAAGTTTATTAGTCTCCAGACTTTCTTCTTCATATATATATGATATTATTTATTTATTTATTTATTTATTTATTGTTTAGAGATGGTCTCATTTTGTCTCCCTGGCTGGAGTGCAGTGGCTTGATCATAGTTCACTGCAGCCTGGACTCCTGGGCTCAAGTAATCCTCCTGCCTCAGCCTCCAGAACAATATCTGGGACTACAGACATGTGCCACCATGCATGGCTAAGTTTTAGATTTTTTGTAGAGATGGGGTCTCCCTATGTTTCCATAAGCTTGTCTGAAACTTCTGGCCTTAAGTGATCCTCCCACCTTGTCCTCCCAATGTGCTGGGATTACAGGCTTAAGCCACCATGACTACCAGACTTTCTTCAACTTCATTCTTTTCTGAGGAGATAAAAAAGATCTGCATCTCATTTTCCAAATGTGGAGTCTCCATATTTTAGAACAAAGGCAAAATAATGATTTCTATATTTCCGAAACCTTTCTTTCTGATCCCAGCATTCTCCAGTCTCCAAATGCTCATTGAACAATTGTATTCATGGATTAATACAGCGTGTCTTCAATTTTAATGTGCATATGAGCTGCCTATGGATTTTGTTAAAATATAGGTGCTAATTCAGTAGGTCCAGTGGGGCCCAAAATCCTGCATTTTTAGGATGTTCCTGGATGCTGCTGCTGGAATATACACCACACCCTTAGTAGTGATACATTAGTACAATAATTGTTAGAGCCTTTCTCTGTGTCAGAAGAAAACATTCTGAGAAGACTGTATTCTTCCCATTCTATCCCCATCTCCAAAAACATGAATTCTTATTTTTTCACATTGGCATACATTTATTGATTTTTTTTTTTTTTTTTTGAGATGGAGTCTTGCTCTGTCTCCAGGCTGGAGTGCAGTGGTGCGATCTCGCCTCACTACAACCTCCGCCTCCTGGGTTCAAGTGATTCCACTGCCTCAGCCTCCAGAGTAGCTGGGGCCACAGGCATGCCACTACACCCAGCTATTTTTTTTTTTTTTCGCATTTCAGTAGAGACGGGGTTTCGCCATGTTGGCCAGGACGGTCTCAGTCTCCTGACCTCATGATCTTCCTGCCTCGGCCTCCCAAAGTGCTGGGATTACTGGCGTGAGCCACCGCGCCAGGCCAATTTCTTGTTTTTTCTAAGGAAATAAACACACAAGATTTCACTGCAATTTATTTATGTAAATTTAACATTAATAAAATTTGGATGAGTTTAATGTTTGCTGAATATTTTTAAATATACTTATTATATGTTTCTTGTGATAACCTGAAACTTGTCATCAAGGCATGTACATTATATTAGGCTGTTCTTGTACTGCTATAAAGAAATACCTGAGACTGCATAATTTATAAGAAAAAGAGGTTTAATTGGCTCATCTCTCTGCAGGCTATACAGGAAGCATGGCCTAGGCAGCTGGTCAGCTTCTGGGGCAGCCTTAAGGAGCCTTTAGTCATGTTGGACGGCAAAGCTGGAGCAGGCATGTCACATGATAAAAGCAGGAGCAAGAGAGAAGAGAAGGTGTCACACTTTACAACAACCAGGTAAGTCAAGAACTCACTCATTCTTGTGAAGACAGCAACAAGCTGTAAGAGATCCACCCCCATGGCCCAAACACCTCCCACCAAGCTCCACCTCCAACATTGGAGGTTACAGTCCAACATGAGATTTGTGGTGAGGTCATCTATTCAAACCATATCATACATCCATAAAATGAAATTGGCAAATAACTGAGATGATACCTAATAGGGGGTGACCCAAGCTAAAGACAAAGCTATCTGATACTATAAGTTTATTCAAAATGATACAAGTGGGGACCAATTAATTTAACTATCTCTAGTCACAGCTCTAGAAAAAGTTTGTACCAAGGGCTAAAAATCTGTGCTATCCCAATCTGTGATTGAAGAGATGGGAAATTTGATTTATCGTTAAAAATCTAGTCCTGGGGGTTAATGGGATATAAGACTTATTCTTATATTAAAGAGTTAGAACTAGAGACCAAGGTAAATAAATTCAATAGGCAGGGGAGAAAGGAGGACCACAATCCATTTAAAGCTAGACCTAGTTGGGAGATGATATTAAGTCTCATCTAAGTTGTTTTAGTAAGCTGCACACACCCTTCCTTAGATCAGTTTAAGAGATTTCAGGAAAAATCAGGTATGTTTCCCCTTACAGATTATTTTACTATACATCAATGGTGATTGCAGCTCCAGTATAAATAGGAGATTCCATCGAATCTCACTTGAATAAAATAACTATCTGTATCTTAGGGCTTCTATATTTCTTCATCAATTTTTATATCCTTTTGTGGCAAATGTGGAGATTTTATGACTTTTGGCAAGACATTTTGAAAGTTTAAACTGTATTTACATATATTTCTTGTCCCCATGATTATTTAACGTTTTTAGGGAGAAGAAACATTTCTTTCCCACTCCTGATGGTTTCTTCCACATAGCAGGGCAGCTCCACTAGTTGGTTACGCTGCCTCTCTCCACTTCCTCACACACCTGTTGGTGAGGACTGGAAAAAACCGGGCATGGAAACCTGGCTCCTTTTCTTCTTCTGTGTGAGGTCTGCTTGCCTACAGAAGTCATATGCTCTTAGGCATGTGACCAATTTAAATGCAAAGGCCCTGTCCCCTGGAGAGGCTTATGGTGGTCCAAGGCTGTAGGTGACCAGAGGGTTATGTCGTTCTGATTCTGGCATCAATCGTAGGAAATCCATTGTTGGCACATGCTCAAGCCGCATTCTCCAAATTTATTAGTGACAAAAGTGATATTTTGGTTCCTAACTATAGAATCTTTTGTCGTACTTCTCTGTTGTTTCACACTTCATCAGAGAAGAGTGGTAATATTTACTTGGCATTCCTTTGAACCTCAGCATTATTCATCTTCATTAACATTCAGAGAACTCCAGAAGGCTGGTTCTAACAGGAAATATGTGGTTTCTTCCTTATGATTATGTGTACATGGATTATAATATTTATTAATAATTGCCTCAAAATCAAGACTTGGGGAACTTGGCTTGAGAAAATTGAAATGCAACTTCCAACTTCAACTTTATCATTGAATAGACTTTAGAACTCAATCTCTTTGGATTTCAGTTACTTAACATATAAAATGGGATTCAAATGTGTACTGCCTATACTGAAGCATGGCTGAGGGGTTAGAATTGAATGTGAAAATATATTGACAATTATAAAACAACACAACAAATGTGTGTCATTATTCTAATAATTCATAATGTGTATGTAGCAAACACATATTAGAAAAGTAAGTGGCATTACTTTTGATTTTATTCAATTTGTTTCCCTTTATAGAAAGCTGGAATAAACCATTTTTTCCTTCTAGAAGCACTACTACTCTTTATTTATTGGGTCAGATTCTTATTATACACTATAATGTGCACTTTCTTCTAGGGTGACTTTTTATGTACGCTAAGAATGGATCATTTTTATATGTAAGTTCTAAGGTAGGCTGAAAATATTTCCTTGTCACATAAAGATCTTTAAAAGTGAATTATGTTTATACCACTTATGTAGTGTTTTTTAAATGATGTAAATATAACCTTGTTTTATTGTCAAACATTTTTAGACTTAGTACTTTTAGTTATATGAAGTGCTAAATGACATTTGTTAGCCTATTTTAGCATAGGCACTTTAAAATGTCAACCAAACAGATGTTCCACTATAAACCTGAATAAAAATGAGGGCATAGTAAGACTAAATATAGGCTATTTTATTAAGTTAATATTAATATTACTTAAATTTCAGTAGTGATGAAATTGTATATAATTAATGAAGATGACAAGAAAGACTTCCAAGTTTATAATTTACAAAAATGTTGTAGTTGGTTTAGTTATTTTTTAAAGTTAAAAAATAATTTGTTAATTTTTAATGGCAAGATTATAGGAATAAAGTTAAGCAGATATGGCTTACAGTGTTATCCTGATCATCTGATTTTGCTTCTAGTGTTATTCTGACACTCCTAAATCTCAGTACCATCTCATGTTCAATACTCAAATGGATGCTGTAAATTGATTATATATATATGTATTTATGTATATGTGTATATGTAATGTATAATAAAAAGTGGGAGGAAGACCTATGCTCTCCATATATATGTCATTTTCCCACAGTTTTGTATATATCATAGCCCCTACATACTTTGAGTTTTTAAAATGTGTAATTAATTAAAAAAAAAAAAACTATGTTAAGCTAAATTAAAATACCACATAAAACAAGTGTCCTTTAAAATTTTGACTCTTTGTGGCTGGATTAAAAAACTCTTGTGAATCTCTGTGAAAATGTTCATATAACATTTTGGCCCTTCCTGAACTGAAAACATTAATAATAGTGATATAATAATGTAACATCCGTGGACATTTTTATTTTACTACAACTTTTTTTTCTACTTTTTAAATGCCTGCTGTGTATCACGGGCTTGGGAAGGTGATGTATATGTATCTTATTTGACATATTTGCTTTTAACTTAAACTAAATTGATAAAAAAATTTTATCTTAAAACACATTTTTCCTAATTCAAAGTAGAAAATACATTTAAAGAGTGCTTAAATTTCAAAAGGTGTATGTAAAAATAATTCAGAAGTATAAAGCAAACAACTCTAAGATTATTAATAATGTGAATTATCATGAATATTCATTATGGGCTAAATAAAGCCCTTGTGTACATTATGGGACTTTCTTCAAAGTTAAAGAAAATGTATATACATGGAAATAAAATCAATTTTGTTCCAGAGAATTGTTCATAGTCTCAGCATAGCTATATAAAAATATCATATTATAGGCTGAGTGCAGTGGCTCATGCCTGTAATCCCAGCACTTTGGGTGGCTGAGGCGGGCAGATCACCTGAGGACAGGAGTTCGAGACCAGCCTGGCCAACATGATGAAATCCTGTCTCTACTAAAAATACAAAGATTAGCTGGGCATGGTGGTGTGTGCTTGTAGTCTCAGCTACTTGGGAGTCTGAGGCAGGAGAATTGCTAGAAGCCGGGAGGTGGAGGTTGCAGTGTGCTGAGGTAGCGCCGCTGCACTCCAGCCTGGGTGACAAGAGCGAGGCTCTAAAAAAATAAAAACCTCAAAAACCATATTATAGATACTTTCTATTTACATGAGTAATGCTTTCCTGCTGGTGGTTATTCAAAGAAGCCCTTGGATGATTCCTTTTTCAAATAAATGTTAATTCTCTAATTTGTCCAGTAGGTCTAAGATGTCATAAACTAAATTTCCTTAAAATAAGAAATGCCACAAAGTCTATCTTTAATTATCAATTCACATACAAAATTAGAAAAACACAAGCTTTTAAATTAGTTGACTTACTATATTTTGAAGCATTTTTGTATGATGGAAAAATATTTCAACTTTTTACTTCATACTTAAGAAGTAAATTCCAAAATAAAATAAAACCTCTTTCCTGTTTTTCTTTTCTTGTCAACAGGGGTTTAAACAATAATAAAATAATATAATAATAAAGGAATAGTAAAATAAGTTGAAAATAATAAGTGATTCACATTGTTACTATTTTAGATATTGCAAATGATGTTATTTGACTCCATAGTTATGTGATAAATTAGATATTATTACTATCTTTTTTTTACAAATTAACAATCTAAGCACCAGAGAATGTAAGTAACTTCCAAAAGTTTCTGACCTAAAGGAATATAGTGAAATTAAAAGCTATCTCAATTCCTATTCAGGTGAAAATATCTCATGTAAGACAGAGGTGTCTTACATGACACCTCTGTCATGTGAAAATATCTCATGTAAGCAAAGGTGAAAATATCTCATGTAAGACAGGATGTCGTCGCTGACTCCCTACTAATCCAGAATTTTTTTCTCTTTGTTGTCAGAAAAAAAATCTGTTAGAAAATGTTGATAATGGTTTTTGACAAATTTTCCTTATATCCAAGTTCTTTTATTTATTGTTTACAGAGGTCACCAAATATAAGTGCTAAAATTTTGAAAGTTTTAAAGCTGGTTTATTAGATTCTAATTGCTGCTGTAACAAATTACCACAAAGTTAGTGGCTTAAAACAAGACGCATTTGTTCTCTTATAGTTCTGAAGGTCAGAAGTCCAAGAGGAATTTTGCTATAAGATGGATTATATCTAGAGTCCCATCTGTGCTTAATTTAGAATATTGAAATAATGAGATTTGGAAAGTTTGAGCTGGTCAGACTTATATAAGATTTTGGATTTAAAATGATGTTTAATATTTAAGACTTGAGAATGGGGTGAATGTATTGCATGTGAGACAGACATGAAGTTTTGGGGGTCAGGGGGTGTCTTCTGCTGAGGTGGCACAGGGAATCCATGAGTCACACACCTAATTTCATCAATAGTCCTCTTTATGACTGAATAATTTGACCTTTTGATACTTCAGAGGCACAAGTAAAAGTTGTTCAACCACATCCCTGTCTCTCACTCCAGAGCCAAGTCACTTCTTGACAATGAATCTCCCATTTAGAATCTTTTGCACCTTTAGATAGGCTGAGAAATCTCCCAGTCACCACAGCCTACTTTATTTTTGCTTAAAAGTTGTTGCTTCAGTCTAATTGTTTCCTATCACATTTTATTACTAGTAGCAAGAATGAACTAAGCCACACCTCTTGATGATGTGTTTCTCATTTCCTTAGGAGATCTCATGAGCAGTGCTTTTAACATTCCTATTATTATTATTTATTTATTTTTTTTAGATGGAGCCTCACTCTGTCTCCAGGCTGGAATGCAGTGGCATGATCTCGGCTCACTGCAACCTCTGCCTCCTGGGTTCAAGTGATTCTCCTGCCTCAGCCTCCTGAGTAGCTGGGACTACAGGCAATCATCACCACGCCCAGCTAATTTTTGTATTTTTAGTAGAGATGGGGTTTTACCATGTTGGCCAGGATGATCTCGATCTCTTGACCTTGTGATCTGCCTGCCTCGGCCTCCCAAAGTGCTGAGATTACAGGTGAAAGCCACCGCGCCAGGTCTAATTTTCTTATTTGTATCAACAGCCTGTTTCTGATGATTTAGGGATTCTCTCCGAGGTGACATAGGCTTTCTTCACCATGCCCCTCATTTCCTTGTGCATTCTCACTGTCAGAATCACTACCGACCATATTTCTACTAACAGTCTGTTCAAGGAAATTTATACTTTTCCATCCCCTGCTTCATAATTCTTCGAGCCTCTTCCCATTACCAAATTCCAAAGTCATTTCCACCCTTCTGGATATTTCTTTCAGCAGTGTCCCACTTCTAGGTATTCGTTTTCTATTGCTGCTCTAACAAAATATTACAAACCTAGGGGCTCAAAACAACACAGAGTTATTCTCTCACAGTTCTGCATATTAGAAGCCCAAAATGAGTCTCTTCTTGGCTAAAATCAAGGAGTCAGCAGGACTGGTTCCTTTCAGAGGCAAGAGGAGAGAACCTGTTCTTTGCCTCTTCCAATGACCAGAGGCAACTGAAGGTTACTTGTCTACCACAAACCACTTCCTTGTCTGTTTCCATTGTCACATTACCCTCTCTTCAGTCAAATATCTCTGCCTCCCATTTACAAGGGCATTTGTGATTTCATTGGGAACACCTTGAATAACCAGGGTGATTCCCACATCTCAAACTCTGTGATTTAATCACCTCTGCAAAACCTCTTTTATTACATAAAGTAACATATTGACAACTTCTGGGGATTCAAATGTTAGCATCTTTGGGGATCATTATTTAACTTACTACAGTTTAATATCATCCAGTGTCCATTTTGATATTCTGGTTTTAGTCAGCTCTGAAATTCAATTATATTTTAGTTGCGCACAAACTTAAAACTATAATTTTGTTACTGACAATTTGGCCAAATGCTGTGTTATTTTTTAGTAATGTAATCTGATTATGTATAATACAGATAATTTGGGGTTTGAAATAAGTTATTATGTTAAGATTATGCAGAGATCATTCCTATTATAGCCAAGATGTGAAATCATCATTTTGAAAATGATTCATTATGTTGTTTTTGCAAGTACAACCTATCAGAATACACCATATTTTGTTAGATAAGGGAGAAGAAAGAAGATGAGGCCAAAAAGTGTGTGTTAAAAAAGAATTGCTTGCTCAATTATTTATCATTGAAATTAGCTATGAAAGATGATTGTGTAATCAAGTTTGATTTTTCATAAATTTGGGACTCACGCTTTGTATGTATGCACGTATTAAGAAAAGGACGTATCACTTTGGGAGACCAAGGCGGGTGGATCATGAGGTCAGGAGTTCAAGACCAGCCTGGCCAAGATGGTGAAACCCCATTTCTACTAAAAATAAAATACAAAAATTAGCCAGGCGTGGTGGCGGTCTCCTGTAATCCCAGCTACTTGGAAGGCTGAGGCAGAGAATTGCTCGAAGCCAGGAGGTGGAGGTTGCAGCAGTGAGCAAAGATTGTGCCACTGCACTCCAGCCTGGGCAACAAAGCGAGACTCTGTCTCAAAAAAAAAAAAAAAAAGAAAAAAAAAAAAGAAAGAAAAGGACATACTACACATTTACAAAGGAGTAGTTTGAGGACTTCCCCCCACCAGATTATAGGAAACCTAAAGCAAGTTTCAACAAATAGATAAAATGTAAAGTTGGCACTACCCTTAAAGGAAACTAGTTTTCTCTTATATACAGTACAACCACAAAGTTATGAGTCTTGTTCCACAAACTACAAAGGAATATCAGTTTCATTTCTTCATGGGCACTTGGTATTCAAGCTAGTTTCACTTCTCTTGCAATGGAAGCATCACTACCTCCTAAAACCTGCTCACCCTGTGCTTTAATTATGTTGGTGACACAGACAACTTTTAATCCAGCATCCTTAGAGTCAAACTCTGATTCCCTCCATACCCAATTAACAACCAATTTTTTTTCCATTAATGTCCACAGCCACTAAACAAATTCACTTCCATGAAACTGCTCCTCTTGTCTATTCATAAGCATTCCAGTTAGCCTTCCTCTTCACAATCTTGCTCAGCTTCAATTCATGTTGTATATAGTGGCTCAAATGTTTTTTCCTAAAATGCTAATTTAATCATGTCACTTATTTTTTAAAAGTCTTTCACAGTAACTTTGGGTTTAAGTCCAAAGTCTTTAATTTAATATACACAGATATCAGTATCTGGCTTGCCTGTATTTACCAGTTACCTCCTCTCAGATCCTTCTCTTTTGATCATCTTCAGGAAGAATGAAGTACTCTTCCTCGGGTCCTCTTCTTGACACTCATCACAGCTGGTCTGTTTTATGGACCTACAATGCTGCATGTAATTTTCATAAACTATCATTACTCTTGATGATACTCTTACAAGGTATGGATTAGAAATGCCCCATTTTAGATAAGGAAATATATCTATAGATGTTATATAACATTTCCTTAGTCAAATATAAGGTAGCAAAGCCAGGTGTGGTGGCCTGCCCCTGTAGTCCCAGCTACTTGGGAGGCTGAAGCAGGAGGATCACTCAAGCCCAGAAGTTCAAGGCTGTAGGGAGCTATGATCACACCACTGCACTCCAGCCTGGATGACAGAGCAAGACCCTGTCTTTAAATAAATTTTTAAAGGAATTTAAGTAGCAGAGTTGAGATGTGACCCTGTACATATTTAACTATTTACTGTACTTTCTACTATACTATAGTTCATGTATCACCAAAATATTCTGTGTATATCTACTATAATAGTCAGCATGGTTCTCAGCTTTCTCCACACTAGTTAGTGGCTCCTTAGGGAAAGAATAATATCTGTATTCTAAGTATATAATATTGTGTCTAGTACACAGTTCGGTCCTCATTCAATGTTTGTCGGATGTTTATTCCATTTTGATGACCTGTTTCTCCCTTCACGACATTGTGGCCAGACAGCAGTGATTTGTATGTATAGGAATGGAAAGGCATGTGAGTAGAAGAATTAAAATCAACAAGGAGAATCCAAGTCCATCACTTAGAAAATTTAGATATAGTAGGCAAGCCCTGTAGAGGCCATTTATTCCTAGATTCTGTGCTTTTGGACTGTATCTATGCCATTAGATGAGGAGCCCATGTGCCTTGAGGAGGTAGTGTGATTCAATTTTGGAGTGGCTAACTGAAAACACTTACATTAACACATTTTCTAGCCAATCCTGTGTCTGCGTGTGTTTAATAACATTAAGATCAAAACAATCATTGCTAATATTTTTAGAGCTAATTTAATTTGAAATTCCAAATTAAGCAATTAAAAAATACAGATACTGTTGAATTGACTTTATAGATTAATTATAGGAAGAGGAAAAGATATTTTGAGTAGTTAGCAAGGATAAAATAAGTTGTCAGTGCATCCAGAAAAAAAGGATGTAGGTTTCCAAGGATTTCGGGGAAAACAGGCAAAATAGGAGGCAAAGCGGGAAAAACTATGGGATGTCTTGTGTTTTTGTTTCTTTGTTTCTTTGACTGAAGCAGTGGAGTGACTCAAGAACACAATGGGGGTTATCCAATCAGGGTTAAAATTTCAGTAAGGGTTACATGAGCAATATACCTATTGTGATTATTAGATACAGGACCAGTGTGTTATGAAAAATATTATTATTGAGAACAACCAAATGAAATAAATGTATTGTCTAGCTAGTTCTGTCTTTGTTGAATGCCTGAAAATAATCTGGGGAGAGCTTTGTTCTATGGAATAGAATGTATTGTGTGTAAAAAGTCCTTTTGTTCTGGCATGCTTGAGAGTTCCCAGGTATAGTATATAACTATGGTTTCTCCCAAATAACTTTGCTAGAATTAGATGCAGACAATTAATCTTGTAGTTGTCTATCATATATCAAGTGTCCTATTCTACAGACACGATTCTTCCTCTAGAAGAAATTTGAGACTAGGAAATGAGCAGAGGCCCATTCTCCTTGTTCTTTGTGTTTAAGTTGGCTTATGATGAGAGTAACCATAAAGGCCAATGTTTAGTATTATCCAGGAGATTAGGAACCACATAGAGAGGGTATTGGATCTAAACCAGGGAGCCAAGAAATGACTCTTACAAATTAAGAATGGTTTGCCACTGTTTAAAATAATGCTGGTTTACTTTTTATGCCTAATTCAGTTCCACATCTTAGAGCCAGCAACCATCCAGATGGTGGTAGTTCTTTGGGACTTGACATTATTTTAAAAGGTCACCTCAGGCAAATTATAACTGGCACCTCTTTCTTATCAGAGAGCAAACATCTGTGAACTTGCTCCAGTTTTGAATCATCGGTGAAGCAGTTTCCCATGGCAGCTCCTTGCTGACTTTCTTTCTGGGTGAACTCTGTGAATTATTTATTTTTCCTATTAAAAATTGTCACATGCATTATATAGACAGTCCCATAATGTTCCTAAAATTTTGTCACTGAAATTTGAGTCAAGAGGCATTAGGTTTTAAATTCAGAGCTATACCATAGACTTACTTGGAATAACATTAACATTAAGGAAATGTCCCCATATAAGATGTATTTTTTTCACTGTAGTGTCACTACATCCCAGCTAACTTACAACATTTACTCTAGTGCCTCTATGCTAATAAAATAATAAAATATGTATAATTGCATTATATACAAATAAAATACTATATTTAAATTTTATGTTCCAGAAGTTCCTGTCCTCTTTCTCTTTTTTTTTAGAGGGGGAGGTGGGGAGCAAGTTTCACTCTCGTTGCCCAGCCTGGAGTGCAATAGTGCGATCTCGGGTCACTGCAACCTCCACCTCCTGGGTTCAAGCAATTGTCCTGCCTCAGCCTCCCAAGTAGCTGGGATTACAGGCGTGGGCCACCAAGCCCAGCTAATTTTGTATTTTCTGTAGAGACAGGGTTTCACCGTGTTAGTCAGGCTGATCTTGAACTCCTGACTCAAGTGATCCACCCACCTTGGCCTCCAAAACTGCTGGGATTACAGGTGTGAGCCACTGTGCCCAACCTCCTGTCCCCTTTCAATATTAGACAGGAAAAATGCATTAACATTATGAACCAGTTGTTCACATTTTCACATTATCCTTCAGTCCTCTCATCTACAGATTTAAAGAACTTCTGATTCTTCTGTTGTATACAGGCATTTGTTACATGGATACATTATGGAAAGAGGCAGATTGGAGAATGGAAATATATCTTTTATTTTACCACCTTGAAGTGTGTACTATTAGTTTGCCAAACCAGTAAGAATTGATGCTCATATTGAAGATACGGAGGCCATTAATTATGAATGAAAGTTTAAATTATGCTCAGTGTACTTTTTGCGTTTAGTGAATTTTATTTATTTTTTTCTTCCATACACCCACTTGAGTAATTACAAAGACTCATGCTCAGTAGTAGGGTCTTGTTCTGAATTCTAGCCCTATACCTAAAGTCTGGTTTCTTTGCTTGGTTTGGGTTAACTTTCCCACCACTTCTAAAACATGGTATGACTTACTTAGGCCCTTGTCCGTTTAGCATTCTTGATATAGGCAACTCATCCTTCTCCGTTTTGTGGATAACATGTTGTAAATACTTTTTGGTGTAACTTTTACAAAAATAAAAAATAGAAGTCCCAAATATTTTTAATTGTTCCTTGATTAAAATTAGGTTAAGAGAAACTTAATTGAAAGTTTTGAGAAAATACAAGTGATTTTGAAAATAAAAATTACTGGATTACCAATAAGCCCTTGTTTATGTTGATAAGACAAGAAGCTAACAAAGGTGTATATATCAGGTACAATGTATTTATGTAGAATCATACTCATTTTGTGTCTTGTCATTAGAAATCTTAACTTTTAAGTCTGATTGCCACAATGATAAAAGACTTTCCTATAATTTGTTGTTGTTGTTGTTGTTAGAAGGTTAGTTGACATAACTTTAAGGGTATGAACGTTTGATATAGAAAGCTAAATTCACAAGAACGTTATTTGTAGAAAACATGTTTACTTAGTTTAGGTGGTAAATTATTTTTAGCATATGAGGTTGGATTGTCTCAACATCATTGCATTAATTAGCCTGTGAACCACAACTCCACTGATCCAAATTAAAAATAAATTGATATTACACAATTCACTATAAATCATAAGGCAGAATATTGATTTTTTTTCTTTCGAAACTGGCCAAATTATGTCCCTTTATCTAAGCACTACCTCTAATACACACTCCTATTTACAGGGTAGGGTACCTGTAGGCATGCTTTTCTTTTATGACCATGGGTGATACAACCATTGATGAGCATGCGACACAACTAGCCAATCAAATTATCTTTCATGCATACATGGAACTGGGGTTTTGTGACATTGGTGTATCACTGTGGACATTTAAAAAGAGAGGATATGTCTTGGACATGGAGAAGCAAATAATACTGGTCTTAGAAACAAATAAGAGGCCACAAAGAAAGCAAAGAGAAGATGTTTGGCACTAAGAAGAAAAAGAGAATGTTACCCAAGTTCCTTGATTCTTTCTAGTTCTTCTTAAAGCCTGGCTACATATTGTCTGCCCTGTGTTTTATGAGATACCTTTTGATTATTTCTAATGAATTATCTGCTTTGGTTCAAACTACTTTGAATGGTATTCTATTTCCTGCAAACTATGACTCCGAATAAAAATAGCCTTGTGCAAATTTTTCGGATCCCATGTCTTATTACTGTTGGGAACCCTTGGTGTAAAACATTTATGAAAATGTTACTGAGGCTGTTGTATCTCATATACATCATCCCAGGTACACATGATTATATTTCTAGTACTAGCTATATCGATTCTCTAAGTTCCTTAACCACTCTGGTGTTTAGTCTTGGGCTTGGTTTGGGTTATTTGATGTCCTCAAGTAGCCTACATTTCTTTTAATTGTTCAAGTATTGTGCACTGGTATTATTCTCTGGACTTCCTTGGCAACTGTCATAATAGTTTGTTTTATATTAAAGTTACAGGGGCAACTCAATGTCCGTTATAGCAAAGACTGCAGATTTAGAAATCACCTGAATGTGTTATAGAAAAATATGAATGTCTGGAGTGGGGTTTGGGACTCACTTTTATTTATAGAATCCGAAGTGTAGCCTCATTTGACAACTGCTAACCACTCTTAGAATAATATAAGCTCCCTAAAGGGACACATAGGTACATATGACCTTCAGTGAAATTCAATGACCTTCCATTTCCCCATTTATAATTCTGGTTTGAAGGACATAAATAGACCATAGTGGTAGGTAGCAGAGTTTTCAGACTAAGAAAGAGGTCTAACTTCCTCATTAAGTGGCCATTTCACTGTTTAGACCTGTATTTGGTTTACTCTTCTCTCTTGAAACCCTTGAGAAATATAGTGCCTTTCTCCCATTTTGGAGGGGAACTTCAAACCACAACCAACTTAAACACTTGGAAGAAAGACCTGGCAGAATTAGAGCAGATTCAGTTGAAGGGAGGTGAGAAGTAGATTGGTTCAATTAGGTCTTTTGTAAACAAACAAACAAAAAAAACTATTTTCTTTCCTTTGTGACTGACCGTACTACTCATTAAAATGGTGGAATTTGGGGGGCCAAAATCATGTTGGAGACTGAGGATGTTGGTCTTTTTCTCTGTTCTAGTCCAAGTTCACAAATGGTGAAGCCCAGTGTGTTGAAGTAGGAAAGCACAAAGAAATTGCAGGCCAACTGCTTGAAAGAAGACATACATGTGGCCAAGAAACATATGAAAAAAACTCAATATCACTGATCATTAGAGAAAAGCAAATCAAAACCACAATGAGATATTATCTTGCACCAGTCAGAACAGCCATTATTAAAACGTCAAAAAAACAACAGATGCTGGCAAGGTTTGGGAGAAAAACGAATACTTTTACACTGGTGGTGGTAGAAATGTAAATTAGTTCAACCTTTGTGGAAGACAGTGGCCATTCCTCAAAGACCCAGAAGCAGAAAGGCCATTTGGCCCAGCAATCCCATTACTGGGTATATACCCAAAATAATATATAAATAATTCTATTTTAAAGATACATGCACACTAATGTTTGTTGCAGCACTATTCACAATAGCAAAGACATAGAACCAACCAAAATGCCCATCAATGATAGAGTGGATAAAGAAAATGTGGTACATATACATCATGGAATATTATGTAGCCACAAAAAGAATGAGATCATGTCCTTTGCAGAGACATGGATGGAGCTGGAAGCCATTATCCTCAGCAAACGAATGCTAGAACAGAAAACCAAACACCACATGTTCTCACTTGTAAGTGGGAGCTGAATCATGAGAACACATGGACACATTTTGGGGAATAACATATACTAGAGCCTATCAGGATATTGGGGGAGGGAGAGTATCAGGAAGAATAGCTAATGGAGGCTGGGGTTAATACCTAGGTGATGGGATGATCTGTGCTCCAAATATCCATGTCACAGGTTTACCTATGTAATGCATCTGCACATCCTGCACATGTACACCTGAACTTTAAATAATAGCTGAAGAAAAAAAAAAACACTGAATATAATTAGGGCCTAGGTCAATACAAAAAAAAAAAAAAAGAAAGAAATTGCAGGCCAAAGCCTGGACAGTAAGTTTTCCACATAGTGTCTTCCACATAATGCTAACCATTAGGAACTACCTGCACCTTTGTAGCTGCAGGGTGATTTCAAGAACCTAGGATACAATCAGATACAATCATCATTGTCTCTTTTAATTACACATTTAACTCATATTTAACATACTGCCTTATAATTGTGCCTATGCTTTAATAAATAGTTTTTGAATGAATGAAGAAAAATGTTCTTTATTAACTTCTTTTGTAATGTTTTTGAACTTTCAAAGGAAAATGACTTCATGCATTGAAAAAGAATGCAATCATAATTTTCTTCCTAATTGGGCTCATCCTCTCTGTAATTTGGAGACAGGTAAGTTTGTAAATATGGATTATGATAGTCATGCACATAGTAAATCTCTTTTAGTGTCTGACATCTAAACTAATATTTTCAAATCTGATTCTAAAAAGAAAAACTAGGATTATATATATATCTATATCTATATCTATATCTATATCTATATCTATATCTATCTATCTATATATATCTCCTAAACTCTTTAAAAAGCCTGGTCATAGCATTAATAAAAAAGATATCTGAGAATATTCTGGCAGAGTTCAGATTCTTGATTAAAAGCAGACATATTTTGTGTTTACGCATTGGTAATTATGTTGTTCACAGGAAAAAAAATGACTCACCATTATGTATAATTGGTAAACAGATGGGGAGATATTTGATTGACTTCTTTTTTGTTTGTTTTCTTTTTAAAGAAGAAAAAAGGTCATTTTCTTCCCCTAACTTAAAGTGGTAGAGAGCAGTATAACAGATGTGGCCAATTTCATTCTTGGAATGATATTTTTTGAAAAAGAAAGGGAGGAGGCAAAAATATTTCGGCATATATTATCTTCATTCTATGTGGATCATGGACAGATTTAAAACAAAATATATGTATTTAAAAAATCTAAAACAATAATTTAAATCTTTAGAATCCTGATCTTGCAAATATGTAATAAATAAGTAAATCAGAGTTTCACAGTACATATTTTCTGGAAATGTAGTTTTAAAATATGCCAATATTCATTATTCAAGACAAAACCTCTGTGATCAAGTAAATTTGGGAAAAACTAGTTTAAATAAGTCATACAGATTTCTTTATTGTAGTACTTCTCAGAACCATTAAATGCTAATGTGGACCGTGACTACATATATGTAGTGTGTATCTCTCTCTCTCTACACACACACATACACACACAATCTATTTTATAGAGAGAACAGTTTTCAAATGCATATTTGACTATAGAACTAGTTTTTTTTTCTCCTTGGCGTATCATAGAGAGAAATGTTCTGTAGAACATACTTCAGAACACTGAAATGAATGTTCCTCAATTCACCCATTAAGTCTTCAAGATTGCCATTGTTTATTGATTCACTAATGAGTAGACTAAATGGTATTTGACTGGTCTGATGATGTTAAACAATCTCAAATAAATGAATTGCGTACTGGTTTCTATCTATATTCTGGCTAACCTTTCCCTTTTGTCTAACCTGTGGAAGAAATTCATGATTAAAATATGCTTTAATTTTAACCAAGAAATCTTTTTCAGCTGGGGGAAAAAGAGCTGTATTTCTACCTTGAAATTATATCAAGCTGTAACTCTGGTTAATAAAATACTTAGAGCCTTGATGAAATAAATCATTGTAATAACAATATTCATCATCATTATTATTTCCTCAGAAAGAGAACTGGCTTCTGGGTATTCATAGACTAATCCCACCTGCCACCACAAAATTTAGACTTTGAAGCAAATGTATTAGGTATTTCCTGGATCACATCCCTAGATAACAAAGAGCTTCATTAAATATAGAAAGCTCTCCGTAGCCTTTGCCTCCCACTGGTTTAATATATAAAAGATTGAGCTAGATACAGAAATTGTATTTACATTCCTAAATCCACAAAGTATCATATTATGTTGTGTGAGAGAGACTGAAGGTCACTCTCTACCAAGCAGTCAACAAGGCCTAGTGTTTGGATTCAACTCCTCTCTTTGATTGATTTCAATAAAAAAAAAAACAAAACAAACAAAAAAAACAGCAGCAGTAATAACAATGACGCAAAAAATTTAAAGCCAGTTTTTAAGTGGTGATAGCCTGCAACCTCTGCAAGAATGCAAAGATGTTTCAACTGAATACTATGCTAACATCAGCTCTGTGCTCTTTCATATCCATGCAAGGCAGAAAAGAAAAAGCTACCTAGAAGAGCATATGCTGAAAAATGAACTGGAAACCTGGGAAAATCTGCTGTGGAAAATTACAAGATTGCATAATAGTAGTAACATACAAATATGATTTAGGTAAGATACTCAGGCCAGGCAAAAAGCTATTTTAATTTTCTGCAACTCTAGCTTTAGTTACAGTCTGTGTGACTTAAAGCCAAAGAACTATGTAGATGTCTCTCAGAGACAACTTGCCTGACAATAGTGCATATTTATCTGCATATTCTTTAATGGTAACTTTGAAATTGGCTTTTATAACTATTCTAATAATCTGTGCAATGGTTAAATCTAGTGTGGAAATTTTAATTATCAAAGTAAAGTGACAGTGACTGGCAAGATGGCTGAATAGGAACAGCTCCAGTCTGCAGCTTCCAGCAAGATCAACACAGAAGGTGGGTAATTTCTGCATTTCCAACTGAGGCCCCTGACTCATATCACTGGGACTGGTTAGACAGTGGGTGTAGCCACCGGAGGGTGAGCTGAAGCAGGGTGGGGCACTGCCTCACCCAGGAAGTGCAAGGGGTTGGGGAAGTCCCTCCCCTAGACAAGGGAAGCCATGAGGGACTGTGCCCTGAGGAACGGTGCACTCCAGCCCAGATACTATGCTTTTCCCATGGTCTCAGCAACCCACAGACCAGGAGATTCCCTCGGGTGCCTACACCGCCAGGCCCTGGGTTTCAAGCACAAAACCGGGCAGCCATTTGGGCAGACACCGAGCTAGCTGCAGGAGTTGTTTTTCATACCCCAGTGGCACTTGGAATGCCAGAGAGACAGAACCATTCACTCCCCTGGAAAAAGGGCTGAAGCCAGGGAGCCAAGTGGTCTAGCTCAGCAGATCCCACCTCAATGGAGCCCAGCAAGCTAAGATCCACTGGCTTGAAATTCTCGCTGAGAGCACAGCAATCTGAAGTCAACCTGAGATGCTTGAGCTTGGTGGGGGGAGGGGTGTCCACCATTACTGAGGCTTGAGGAGGTGGTTTTCCCCTCACAGTGTAAACAAAGCCTCTGGGAAGTTTGAACTGGGCGGAGCCCACTGCAGCTCTGCAAAGCTGCTATAGCCAGAATGCCTCTCTAGATTCCTCCTCTCTGGGCAGGGCAACCTTGAAAGAAAGGCAGCAGCCCCACTCAAGGGCTTATAGATCAAACTCCCATTTCCCTGGGATAGAGCATCTGGGGGAAGGGGCAGCTTTGGGCACAGCTTCAGCAGACTTAAACGTTCCTGCCTGCTGGCTCTGAAGAGAACAGCAGATCTCCCAGCACAGCGCTTGTGTTCTGTTAAGGGACAAACTGCCTCATCAAGTGGATCCCTGACCCCCATGCCTCCTGACTGGGAGACACCTCCCAGCAGGGTATGACAGACACCTCATACAGGAGAGCTCTGGCTGGCATCGGGTGGGTGCCCCTCTGAGACAAAGCTTCCAGAGGAAGGAACAGGTAGCAATCTTTGCTGTTCTGCAGCCTCTGCTGGTGATACCAAGGCAAACAGGGTCTGGAGTGGACCTCCAGCAAACTGCAGCAGACCTGCAGTGGAGAGTCCTGACTGTTAGAAGGAAAACTAACAAACAGAAAGGAATATCATCAACATCAACAAAAAGGATGACCACACAGAAACCCCATTTAAAGGTCACCAACATCAAAGATGAAAGGTAGATAAATCCATGAAAGTGAGAAAAAAAAAAAAGTGCAAAAAGGCTGAAAATTCCAAAAGCAAGAATGCCTCTTCTCCTCCAAAGGATCACAACTCCTCACCAGCAAGGGAAAAAAACTGGACACAGAATGAATTTGACAAATTGACAGAAGTAGGTTTCAGAAAATGGATAATAATAAACTCCTCTGAGCTAAAGGAGCATGTTCTAACCCTATGCAAGGAAGCTACGAACCTTGAAGAAAGGTTAGAAAAATTGCTAACTAGAATAACCAGTTTAGAGAAGAACATAAAATACTCAATGGAGCTGAAAACACTGCATGATAACTTCATGAAGCATACACAAGTATCAATACCTGAATCGATCAAGCAAAAGAAAGGATATCAGAGATTGAAGATCAACTTAATGAAATAAAGCATGAAGAGAAGTTTAGAGAAAAAAGAGTAAAAACAAATGAACAAAGCCTCCAAGAAATATGGGACTATGTGAAAAGACCAAATCTACATCTGATTGGTGTACCTGAGAGTGACAGGGAGAATGGAACCAAGTTGGAAAACACTCTTCAGGATATTATCCAGGAGAACTTCCTTCCCCAACCTAGCAAGGCAGGCCAACATTCAAATTCAGGAAATACAGAGAACACCACAAAGATTCTCCTCAAGAAGTGCAACCCCAAAACAGGTAATTGTCAGATTCTCCAAGGTTGAAATGAAGGAAAAAATGTTAAGGGCAGCCAGAGAGAAAGGTCAGGTTACCCACAAAGGGAAGCCCATCAGACTAACAGATGATCTCTCTGCAGAAACCCTACAAGCCAGAAAAGAGTGGGGGCCAATATTTAACATTCTAAAAGAAAAGAATTTTCAACCCAGAATTTCATATCCAGCCAAGCTAAGCTTAATAAGCAAACGAGAAATAAAATCCTTTACAAACAAGCAAATGCTGAAAGATTTTGTCACCACCAGGAATAACTTACAAAAGCTCCTGAAGGAAGCACTAAACATAGAAAGGAACAACCAGTACCAACCACAGCAAAAACATGCCAAATTGTAAAGACCATCGACACTATGAAGAAACTGCATCAATTAATGGGCAAAATAACCAGCTAGCATCATAATGACAGGATCAAATTCACACATAACAATTAACAAATGCCCAATTAAAAGATACAGACTGGCAAATTGGATAAAGAGTCAAGACCCATCGGTGTGCTGTATTCAGGAGACCCATCTCATGTGCAAATACACATGTAGGCTCAAAATAAAGGGATGGAGGAAGACTTTCCAAGCAAATGGAAAGCAAAAAAATGCCAGGTTGCAAT
This sequence comes from Homo sapiens, assembly GCF_000001405.40. NCBI lineage: Eukaryota > Metazoa > Chordata > Mammalia > Primates > Hominidae > Homo > Homo sapiens. The sequence continues at coordinate 77,759,084 of NC_000003.12, forward strand.
CCTAGTCTCTGATAAAACAGGCTTTAAACCAACATAGATCAAAAAAGATAAAGAAAGGCATTACATAATGGTAAAGGGATTAATGAAACAAGAAGAGCTAACTATCTTAAATACATACGCACCCAATACAGGAGCACCCAGATTCATAAAGCAAGTTCTTAGAGACCTACAAAGAGACTTAGACTCCCACACCGTAACAGTGGGAGACTTTAACATCCCACTGTCAATATTAAACAGATCAGTGAGACAGAAAATCAACAAGGATATTCATGACTTGAACTCAGCTCTGGACCAAGTGGATCTAATAGACATCTACATAATCCTCCACCCCAAATCAACAGAAATTACATTCTTCTTAGCACTACATCACACTTATCCTACAATTGAGCACATAATTGGAAGTAAAACATTCCTCAGCATATGCAAAAGAATGAAAATCGTAACAAACAGTTTCTCAGACCACCGTGCAATCAAATAAGATCTCAGGATTAAGAAACTCACTCAAAAATGCACAACTACATGGAAACTGAACAACCTGCTCCTGAATGACTACTGGGTAAATAACAAAATTAAGGCAGAAATAAATAAGTTCCTTGAAACCAATGGGAACAAAGACACAACGTACCAGAATCTCTGGGACACAGCTAAAGCAGTGTTTAGAGGAAAATTTATAGCACTAAATGCCCACAGGAGAAAGAGGGAAAAGCCAGACTAATAAAGAAGAAAAAAGAGAAGAATCCAATAGACACAATAAAAAATGATAAAGGGGATAACACCACTGATCCCACAGAAAGACAAACTACCATCAGAGAACACCATAAACATCTCTACACAAATAAACTAGAAAACCTAGAAGAAATGGATAAATTCCTGGACACATACACCCTCCCAAGACTAAACCAGGAAGAAGCTGAATCCCTGAAGAGAACAATAACAAGTTCTGATACTGAGGCAGTAATTAATAGCCTACCAACCAAAAAAAGCCCAGGACCAGACGGATTCACAGCGAAATTCTACCAGAGGTACAAATAGGATCTGGTACCATTGCTTCTGAAACTATTCAAAACAATAGACACAGAGGAACTCCTCATTAACTAATTTTATGAGGCCAGCATGATCCTGATACCAAAACCTGGCAGAGATACAACGAAGAAAATTTCAGGCCAATGTCCCTAATGAACATTGATGTGAAAATCCTTAATAAAATACTGGAAAACTGAATCTAGCAGCACATCAAAAAGATTACCCAGTACGGTCAAGTCAGCTTCATCCATGCGATGCAAGGCTGGTTCAACATGCACAAATCAATAAATGTAATCCATCACATAAACAGAACCAATGACAAAAACCACATTATTATCTCAATAGATGCAGAAAAGGCCTTTGATAAAATTCAACCTCTTTTCACACTAAAATGTCTCAATAAAGTAAGTGTTGATGGAACATATCTCAAAATAATAAGAACTATTTATGACAAACCCACAGCCAATATTATACTGAATGGGCAAAAGCTGGAAGCATTCCTTTTGAAAACCAGCACAAGACAAGCATGACCTCTTTCACCACTCCTATTTAACATAGTGTTGTAAGTTCTGTGTAGGGCCGTCAGGCAAGAGAAAGAAATAAAGGGTATTCAGCTAGGAAGGGAGGAAGTAAAATTGTCTCTGTTTGCAGATGACATGATTGTACATTTAGAAAACCCCATCATCTCAGCTCAAAATCTCCTTAAGCTGATAAGCAACTTCAGCAAAGTCTCAGGATACAAAATCATGTGCCCCAAAAGCACAAACATTCCTATACACCAATAATAGACAAATAGAGAGCCAAATCATGAGTGAACTCCCATTCGCAATTGCTTCAAAGAGAGTAAAATACCTAGGAATACAACTTACAAGGATGTGAAGAACCTCTTCAAGGAGAACTGCAAAGCACTGCTCAAGGAAATAAGAGAGGACACAAACAAATGGAAAAACCTTCCATGCTAATGGATAGGAAGAATCAATATCATGAAAATGGCCATACGGCCCATAGTAATTTATAGATTCAATGCTATCTCCTTCAAGCTACCATTGACTTTCTTCACAGAATTAGAAAAAACTACTTTAAATTTTACATGGAACCAAAAAAGAGCCCGTATAGCCAAGACAATCCTAAGCAAAAAGAACAAAGCTGAAGGCATCATGCTACCTGACTTCAAACTATACTACAAGGCTACAGTAACCAAAACAGCATGACACTGGTACCAAAACTGATATACAGACCAATGGAACAGAACAGAGGCCTCAGAAATAATGCCATACATCTACAACCATCTGATCTTTGACAACCCTGACAAAAACAAGCAATGGGGAAAGGATTTGCTATTAATAAATGGTGCTGGGAAAACTGGCTAGCCATATGCAGAAAACTGAAACAGACCCCTTCCTTACAGCTTACACAAAAATTAACTCAAGATGGATTAAAGACTTAAATGTAAGACCTGAAACCATAAAAACCCTAGAAGAAAACCTAGGTAATACCATTCAGGACATAGGCATGGGCAAAGACGTCATGACTAAAACACCAAAAGCAATGGCAACAAAAGCCAAAATTGACAAATGGGATCTAATTAAACTAAAGAACTTCTGCATAGCAAAAAGAAACTATCATAAGAGTGAACAGGCAACCTACAGAATGGAAGAAAATTTTTGCAATCTACCCATCTGACAAAGGGCTAATATCCAGAATCCATGAAAATCTTAAACAAATTTACAAGAAAAAAATAATCCCATTAAAAAGTGGGCAAAAGATATGAACAGACACTTCTCAAAAGAAGACATTTTTGTGGCTAAGAAACATATGAAAAATAGCTCATCATCAGTGGTCATTAGAGAAATGCAAATCAAAACCACAATGAGATACCATTTCACACCAGTTAGAATGGTGATCATTAAAAAATCAGGAGACAGCTGATGCTGGAGAGGAAGTGGAGAAGTAGGAATGCTTTTACACTGTTGGTGGGAGTGTAAATTAGTTCGACCAGTGTGAAAGACAGTGTGGCGATTCCTCAAGAATCTAGAACCAGAAATACCATTTGACTCAGCGATCAAATTACTGGATATCTACCAAAGGGATTATAAATTATTCTACTCTAAAGACATATGCACATGTATATTTATTGCAGCACTGTTCACAATAGCAAAGACTCGGAACCAGCCCAAATGCTTATCAAAGAGAGACTGGATAAAGAAAATGTGACACATATACACCATGGAATACTAAGCAGCCATAAAAAAGGATGAGTTTATGTCCTTTGCAGGGACATGGGTGAAGCTGGAAACCATCATTCTCAGCAAAGTAACTCAGGAACAGAAAACCAAGCACCACATGTTCTCACTGATAAGTGGGAGTTGAACAATGAGAACACATGGACACAGGAAGGGGAACATCACACGCTGAGGCCTGTCACTGGGTGCGGGGCTAGGGGAGGGAGACCATTAGGAGAAATACCTAATGTAGATGATGGGTTGATGGGGGCATCAAACCACCATGGCACGTGTATACCTATGTAACAAACCTGCACGTTCTGCACATGTATCCCAGAACTTAGAGTATATAAAAAACACAAAATAAAAATAACAACAACAAAAGTAAAGTGAAACATTTTTCATGACCTGTATAAAAACTATAAACTTTGACAAGATCCCATCAAATAATTTGAACAATTTGGCAGAGAATATATATGTTGTATCATGTAAAATTGTTAACATTCTGCTGTTTTTGACCCCAATATATCAGTTTTATATTGTTTGAGATTTAAAAAAAAGGAAACTAAATGTAATTGTGGGAACTATTACAAATAGAAATTTCATCTTTTGCTCATCTCTCCTTTTCTGAATCTTATTACATGCAACTATAAGAAGCCAATATACATCATCAGCACTCAACCTAGTAGTCTTCTCATTGAACAAATCAGCATATAGTCTGGTTATCATTTAATAATGAAAGAGAAAAAGTACTTTTTTCAGACAACAAAAACAAAAACATTAGTGGATATTTTGGTAAATTTTACCACGTTATATTAAAGCCATCTGTACTTTAAGACAACCATAATCTAAGTTAAGAGACAAGTGCTAGACGTAGAGATTTTTGCAATTCATATAACAGAAACTATAGCACAAGAGATTATTAAACAAAGTGTGTAAGGAACTACAGATTAATAAGCAAAATTCAACCACCCACTAGAAAAATGGTCAAATATCAACAGGTAGCCATGAAAAAGTAAATATTAATGTCAAACTTCTATAATTGTCATGACAAATTACCACAAAATTTATGGCTTAAACAAAACACATTTATTATCTTATACTTCTTGAGGTCAGTAGTTTGAAAGAGTTTTCAACACCCTAACATCAAGTTGTCAGCAGGCTGCATTGCTTTCTAGAGGCTCTATGGGAGAATTTGTTTCTTGCTCTTTCAGATTGTTAGTGAAATTCAGTTCCTTGAGGTTATGTTACTGCAGTCCCTGTTTTCCTGCGGGCTATAACTGAGAGTCACGTATAGCTTCTAGAGGATGCCACATTCCTTGGCTTGTGGTATTTATTTTCTTTTCTTTTTTTTTTTTTTTTATTATACTCTAAGTTTTAGGGTACATGTGCACATTGTGCAGGTTAGTTACATATGTATACATGTGCCATGCTGGTGCGCTGCACCCACCAACGTGTCATCTAGCATTAGGTATATCTCCCAATGCTATCCCTCCCCCATCCCCCGACCCCACCACAGTCCCCAGAGTGTGATATTCCCCTTCCTGTGTCCATGTGATCTCATTGTTCAATTCCCAACTATGAGTGAGAATATGCGGTGTTTGGTTTTTTGTTCTTGCGATAGTTTACTGAGAATGATGGTTTCCAATTTCATCCATGTCCCTACAAAGGACATGAACTCATCATTTTTTATGGCTGTATAGTATTCCATGGTGTATATGTGCCACATTTTCTTAATCCAGTCTATCATTGTTGGACATTTGGGTTGGTTCCAAGTCTTTGCTATTGTGAATAGTGCCGCAATAAACATACGTGTGCATGTGTCTTTATAGCAGCATGATTTATAGTCCTTTGGGTATATACCCAGTAATGGGATGGCTGGGTCAAATGGTATTTCTAGTTCTAGATCCCTGAGGAATCGCCACACTGACTTCCACAATGGTTGAACTAGTTTACAGTCCCACCAACAGTGTAAAAGTGTTCCTATTTCTCCACATCCTCTCCAGCACCTGTTGTTTCCTGACTTTTTAATGATTGCCATTCTAACTGGTGTGAGATGATATCTCATAGTGGTTTTGATTTGCATTTCTCTGATGGCCAGTGATGATGAGCATTTCTTCATGTGTTTTTTGGCTGCATAAATGTCTTCTTTTGAGAAGTGTCTGTTCATGTCCTTCGCCCACTTTTTGATGGGGTTGTTTGTTTTTTTCTTGTAAATTTGTTTGAGTTCATTGTAGATTCTGGATATTAGCCCTTTGTCAGATGAGTAGGTTGCGAAAATTTTCTCCCATGTTGTAGGTTGCCTGTTCACTCTGATGGTAGTTTCTTTTGCTGTGCAGAAGCTCTTTAGTTTAATTAGATCCCATTTGTCAATTTTGGCTTTTGTTGCCATTGCTTTTGGTGTTTTGGACATGAAGTCCTTGCCCACGCCTATGTCCTGAATGGTAATGCCTAGGTTTTCTTCTAGGGTTTTTATGGTTTTAGGTCTCACGTTTAAATCTTTAATCCATCTTGAATTGATTTTTGTATAAGGTGTAAGGAAGGGATCCAGTTTCAGCTTTCTACATATGGCTAGCCAGTTTTCCCAGCACCATTTATTAAATAGGGAATCCTTTCCCCATTGCTTGTTTTTCTCAGGTTTGTCAAAGATCAGATAGTTGTAGATATGCGGCATTATTTCTGAGGGCTCTGTTCTGTTCCATTGATCTATATCTCTGTTTTGGTACCAGTACCATGCTGTTTTGGTTACTGTAGCCTTGTGGTATAGTTTGAAGTCAGGTAGTGTGATGCCTCCAGCTTTGTTCTTTTGGCTTAGGATTGACTTGGCGATGCGGGCTCTTTTTTGGTTCCATATGAACTTTAAAGTAGTTTTTTCCAATTCTGTGAAGAAAGTCATTGGTAGCTTGAAGGGGATGGCATTGAATCTGTAAATTACCTTGGGCAGTATGGCCATTTTCACGATATTGATTCTTCCTACCCATAAGCATGGAATGTTCTTCCATTTGTTTGTGTCCTCTTTTATTTCCTTGAGCAGTGGTTTGTAGTTCTCCTTGAAGAGGTCCTTCACATCCCTTGTAAGTTGGATTCCTAGGTATTTTATTCTCTTTGAAGCAATTGTGAATGGGAGTTCACTCATGATTTGGCTCTCTGTTTGTCTGTTGTTGGTGTATAAGAATGCTTGTGATTTTTGTACATTGATTTTGTATCCTGAGACTTTGCTGAAGTTGCTTATCAGCTTAAGGAGATTTTGGGCTGAGACAATGGGGTTTTCTAGATAAACAATCATGTCGTCTGCAAACAGGGACAATTTGACTTCCTCTTTTCCTAATTGAATACCCTTTATTTCCTTCTCCTGCCTGATTGCCCTGGCCAGAACTTCCAACACTATGTTGAATAGGAGCGGTGAGAGAGGGCATCCCTGTCTTGTGCCAGTTTTCAAAGGGAATGCTTCCAGTTTTTGCCCATTCAGTATGATATTGCCTGTGGGTTTGTCATAGATAGCTCTTATTATTTTGAAATACGTCCCATCAATACCTAATTTATTGAGAGTTTTTAGCATGAAGGGTTGTTGAATTTTGTCAAAGGCTTTTTCTGCATCTATTGAGATAATCATGTGGTTTTTGTCTTTGGCTCTGTTTATGTGCTGGATTACATTTATTGATTTGCGTATATTGAACCAGCCTTGCATCCCAGGGATGAAGCCCACTTGATCATGGTGGATAAGCTTTTTGATGTGCTGCTGGATTCGGTTTGCCAGTATTTTATTGAGGATTTTTGCATCAATGTTCATCAAGGATATTGGTCTAAAATTCTCTTTTTTGGTTGTGTCTCTGCCCGGCTTTGGTATCAGAATGATGCTGGCCTCATAAAATGAGTTAGGGAGGATTCCCTCTTTTTCTATTGATTGGAATAGTTTCAGAAGGAATGGTACCAGTTCCTCCTTGTACCTCTGGTAGAATTCGGCTGTGAATCCATCTGGTCCTGGACTCTTTTTGGTTGGTAAACTATTGATTATTGCCACAATTTCAGAGCCTGTTATTGGTCTATTCAGAGATTCAACTTCTTCCTGGTTTAGTCTTGGGAGAGTGTATGTGTCGAGGAATGTATCCATTTCTTCTAGATTTTCTAGTTTATTTGCGTAGAGGTGTTTGTAGTATTCTCTGATGGTAGTTTGTATTTCTGTGGGATCGGTGGTGATATCCCCTTTATCATTTTTTATTGTGTCTATTTGATTCTTCTCTCTTTTTTTCTTTATTAGTCTTGCTAGCGGTCTATCAATTTTGTTGATCCTTTCAAAAAACCAGCTCCTGGATTCATTGATTTTTTGAAGGGTTTTTTGTGTCTCTATTTCCTTCAGTTCTGCTCTGATTTTAGTTATTTCTTGCCTTCTGCTAGCTTTTGAATGTGTTTGCTCTTGCTTTTCTAGTTCTTTTAATTGTGATGTTAGGGTGTCAATTTTGGATCTTTCCTGCTTTCTCTTGTAGGCATTTAGTGCTATAAATTTCCCTCTACACACTGCTTTGAATGCGTCCCAGAGATTCTGGTATGTGGTGTCTTTGTTCTCATTGGTTTCAAAGAACATCTTTATTTCTGTCTTCATTTCGTTATGTACCCAGTAGTCATTCAGGAGCAGGTTGTTCAGTTTCCATGTAGTTGAGCGGCTTTGAGTGAGATTCTTAATCCTGAGTTCTAGTTTGATTGCACTGTGGTCTGAGAGATAGTTTGTTATAATTTCTGTTCTTTTACATTTGCTGAGGAGAGCTTTACTTCCAACTATGTGGTCAATTTTGGAATAGGTGTGGTGTGGTGCTGAAAAAAATGTATATTCTGTTGATTTGGGGTGGAGAGTTCTGTAGATGTCTATTAGGTCGGCTTGGTGCAGAGCTGAGTTCAATTCCTGGGTATCCTTGTTGACTTTCTGTCTCGTTGATCTGTCTAATGTTGACAGTGGGGTGTTAAAGTCTCCCATTATTAATGTGTGGGAGTCTAAGTCTCTTTGTAGGTCACTCAGGACTTGCTTTATGAATCTGGGTGCTCCTGTATTGGGTGCATAAATATTTAGGATAGTTAGCTCCTCTTGTTGAATTGATCCCTTTACCATTATGTAATGGCCTTCTTTGTCTCTTTTGATCTTTGTTGGTTTAAAGTCTGTTTTATCAGAGACTAGGATTGCAACCCCTGCCTTTTTTTGTTTTCCATTGGCTTGGTAGATCTTCCTCCATCCTTTTATTTTGAGCCTATGTGTGTCTCTGCACGTGAGATGGGTTTCCTGAATACAGCACACTGATGGGTCTTGACTCTTTATCCAACTTGCCAGTCTGTGTCTTTTAATTGCAGAATTTAGTCCATTTATATTTAAAGTTAATATTGTTATGTGTGAATTTGATCCTGTCATTATGATGTTAGCTGGTGATTTTGCTCATTAGTTGATGCAGTTTCTTCCTAGTCTCGATGGTCTTTATATTTTGGCATGATTTTGCAGCGGCTGGTACCGGTTGTTCCTTTCCAGGTTTAGCGCTTCCTTCAGGAGCTCTTTTAGGGCAGGCCTGGTGGTGACAAAATCTCTCAGCATTTGCTTGTCTATAAAGTATTTTATTTCTCCTTCACTTATGAAGCTTAGTTTGGCTGGATATGAAATTCTGGGTTGAAAATTCTTTTCTTTAAGAATGTTGAATATTGGCCCCCACTCTCTTCTGGCTTGTAGGGTTTCTGCCGAGAGATCCGCTGTTAGTCTGATGGGCTTTCCTTTGAGGGTAACCCGACCTTTCTCTCTGGCTGCCCTTAACATTTTTTCCTTCATTTCAACTTTGGTGAATCTGACAATTATGTGTCTTGGAGTTGCTCTTCTCGAGGAGTATCTTTGTGGCGTTCTCTGTATTTCCTGAATCTGAACGTTGGCCTGCCTTGCTAGATTGGGGAAGTTCTCCTGGATAATATCCTGCAGAGTGTTTTCCAACTTGGTTCCATTCTCCACATCACTTTCAGGTACACCAATCAGACGTAGATTTGGTCTTTTCACATAGTCCCATATTTCTTGGAGGCTTTGCTCATTTCTTTTTATTCTTTTTTCTCTAAACTTCCCTTCTCGCTTCATTTCATTCATTTCATCTTCCATTGCTGATACCCTTTCTTCCAGTTGATCACATTGGCTCCTGAGGCTTCTGCATTCTTCACGTAGTTCTCGAGCCTTGGTTTTCAGCTCCATCAGCTCCTTTAAGCACTTCTCTGTATTGGTTATTCTAGTTATACATTCTTCTAAATTTTTTTCAAAGTTTTCAACTTCTTTGCCTTTGGTTTGAATGTCCTCCCGTAGCTCAGAGTAATTTGATCGTCTGAAGCCTTCTTCTCTCAGCTCGTCAAAATCATTCTCCATCCAGCTTTGTTCTGTTGCTGGTGAGGAACTGCATTCCTTTGGAGGAGGAGAGGCGCTCTGCGTTTTAGAGTTTCCAGTTTTTCTGTTCTGTTTTTTCCCCATCTTTGTGGTTTTATCTACTTTTGGTCTTTGATGATGGTGATGTACAGATGGGTTTTCGGTGTAGATGTCCTTTCTGGTTGTTAGTTTTCCTTCTAACAGACAGGACCCTCAGCTGCAGGTCTGTTGGAATACCCTGCCGTGTGAGGTGTCAGTGTGCCTCCCAGTTAGGCTGCTCGGGGGTCAGGGGTCAGGGACCCACTTGAGGAGGCAGTCTGCCCATTCTCAGATCTCCAGCTGCGTGCTGGGAGAACCACTGCTCTCTTCAAAGCTGTCAGACAGGGACACTTAAGTCTGCAGAGGTTACTGCTGTCTTTTTGTTTGTCTGTGCCCTGCCCCCAGAGGTGGAGCCTACAGAGGCAGGCAGGCCTCCTTGAGCTGTGGTGGGCTCCACCCAGTTGCTTTGTTTACCTAAGCAAGCCTGGGCAATGGCGGGCGCCCCTCCCCCAGCCTCGTTGCCGCCTTGCAGTTTGATCTCAGACTGCTGTGCTAGCAATCAGCGAGATTCCGTGGGCGTAGGACCCTCTGAGCCAGGTGTGGGATATAGTCTCGTGGTGCACCGTTTCTTAAGCCGGTCTGAAAAGCGCAATATTCGGGTGGGAGTGACCCGATTTTCCAGGTGCGTCCGTCACCCCTTTCTTTGACTCGGAAAGGGAACTCCCTGACCCCTTGCGCTTCCCAGGTGAGGCAATGCTCGCCCTGCTTCGGCTCGCGCACGGTGCACACACACACTGGCCTGCGCCCACTGTCTGGCACTCCCTAGTGAGATGAACCCGGTACCTCAGATGGAAATGCAGAAATCACCCGTCTTCTGCATCGCTCACGCTGGGAGCTGTAGACCGGAGCTGTTCCTATTCGGCCATCTTGGCTCCTCCTCCTTATTTTCTATCTTCAAAGCCAGTAACGATGGATGGAGTTCTTCCTCCAATGAATTTCTCTGACTGCTGCCATCTTTTAGGCTTTTAAAAGCTCTTATGATTACATTGGGAAAACCCACGTTCAGGATAATCTTCCTCTCTCAAGCTCTTTAACCTTAATCACATCTGCAAAATCCCTTTACCAAGGTATGAGAACATATTCATAGGTTCTGGGAACTAGGGCATGGATATCTTTGTTGCATGGGATGGGGAGCACATTGTTCTGCCTACCACATTCAAAACCATATGACATTTAGTTTAAAATAATTTGTCATCAGAAAATGTATATGTAAGCAATGACATGAAATTGAATCAAAACCACTGAACAGATTGTAAGTTGTATATTATTTCATCCATTGAATTGGTAAAGATTAAAAATTTGACCGTATCAAAAGTTGGCTAGGATATGACGAAACAAATACTAATGGTGTAGGTATACATTGCTATAGATAAAAAACAAATGGCAGATAGCCATGCCCACGTGTATAAATAAAATGTACATATTATGTATGGATATATTCTACATATGTTTATATTTCTATAAATTTGCATTTTAAATATTTTTAAAGTGCAAAAATATATCCATCAAAATTATCAGACTGATTGTCCTGAGGGAGGGTAAAGAAAATATGATTTGGGGTCTTAATCAAAAGGTGTGTTATTTTGTCTATAATTTATATTTCTTTTTCTTCTTTTTTAAGCCTGGAAAGATAATATGTAAAATTATAAATTTTACAAGTTTAAAAAGCTAACAGGTCTTTATTGCAAAAACTGAGATATAGGGTTAGTTTTTAATCTATCTATCTATCTATCTAGTCTATATGTTTGGATTTTTAAAATTTCTGAAATAAGTATATATTTAACCAAGAAAAAGGAGATCTCTTTAGACTATATACACACACTCATCAAAGTATCTTCTAATAACTGTACAAAACAGGAGTGGGCAATTTTGGGGGGTAAATCCTGCCTGATGCCAGGTGATATAAATAATGTATATTGGAAAATAGCCACTTTAAACATATTGTTTATGGCTGCTTTCCTGATACAATGGCAGAGTTGAGTCATTGCAGCAGAGACCATATGGCCCTAAAAGCCAAAAATATTTACTATCTGGACCATTTTACCCTTTTTGGTAGGAAGGGATACCTCATTAGAGCTGGCTAGAGGTTGTGTGAGACTAGAGTCCATTGCCTAAACACAGTTATATGGATTACAGAATTATTTAGCCTCAAGCAAACCAGGCAGATACTTAAAAACAAAGGTGATCCCACTATCTGGCTAAGAATAAGTGCTAAGGGAATTAAATGCAATAGATCACTGTGCCTACCATCTCACCATACCTGAATCCACCACTCTCTGCTAAATGCCCAATCCTTTTAGGTAAGATGGTTGATAGTGTAGGTTTTTATTTCTCTTTTGATAATTTTCTCCTATGGCCCCTTCTAGCCTGTCTTAAAATCTTGCTTCTGTATTCTCACCTCAATCTGAGAGTCATGCCAACTGTCTGAATCCCAACAGTAGACATGACTGTAAGCTACTTTTTTATACTCTGAACATGATTAAAAATTACCTTCCCACGACCCCAGAACTGAAAGTAAGCCTCAATTAAAAGGAAAATCAGTGCATATAGATATTGATATGAACCATTCTAACTCATTATGCCAAAATACTGTATCTCAGCTCCTTGCTTAAATATGAATGTAGTACTTTTATGATGTGATGGCTAATTTTATGTGTCAACTTGTCTAGGCAAGGTACCCAGATATTTAGTCAAACATCATTCTGGATGTTTCTGTGAGAGTGTTTCTCGATGAGACTGGTATTTAAATTGGTACAATTTGAGGAAAACAAATTGCCCTCCATAATGTGGGTGGGCCTCATCTGGTAAATTGAAGGCCTGAATAGAACAAAAGAATGACTTCCTATAAGCAAGGGCGACTTCTGTAGCAGACAGCATTCAGACCTGTGAACCACAGCACTGGCTTTTCATTGAATACTATGGCTTAAAGGTTTGTGTCCCCTCAAAAGTCATATGCTAAAATTCTAAGCCCCAAAATGTTGGTATTAGTTGGTGGGGCCTCTGGGAGGTGATTAGGTCATAAGGCAGGAACCTTTATGAATGGGATCGAGGCTTTTATAAAAGAAGCCCAGAGAGCTATGTGAGGACCATATGATAATCCAGCTAGAAAGTACCTTCTATAATCCAGGAATGGGCCCTCACCAGACAGTGAATCTGCCTTGATTTTGGACATCCCAGTATCCAGAGCTGTGAGAAAAAAATTTCTGTTATTTATAAGCCACTCAGTCTATGGTATTTTGCGATAGTAGCTTGAATAGACTGACACGGCATTCTGCATCTCCAGTCTGCCCGCCTGTGCTTGAACTTTCCAGCCTTTATAAACTGCATGTATTAGTCCATTTTCATTCTGTTGATAAAGACATATCCACCCTGGGTAATTTATAAAGAAAAAGAGATTTAATGGACTCTCAGTTCCATGTGGCTGGGGAGGCCTCCCAATCATGGCAGAAGGTGAAAGGCACGTCTTTCATGGCAGCAGGCAAGAGAGAATGAGAGCAATGAAGAAAGGGAAACCCCTTATAAAACCATCAGATCTCATGAGACTTATTCACTACCAGGAGAGCAGTATGGAGAAAACTGACCCCGTGATATAATTATCTCCCACCAAGTCCCTCCCACAACATGTGGGAATTATGGGAGCTACAATTCAAGATGAGATTTGGGTGGGGACACAGCAAAGCCGTATCACTGCATGAGCTAATTACTTAAAATCAATTTCTCTCTCTCTTTTTATCCATATATATATACACACATATATCCTCCTATATATATATGTGCATATATATATGCACACACATACACACACCTATTCTATTGGTTTTGTTTCTCTAGAGAACCCTGACTAGTACATATGACTCATAAAGTATGTGACTAATTAAAGATGCTTACTTTTAAAATTTCAGAGTAGATATAAGCACTCAGCAAACCCTTAGGATATAACACTTAACAAACACATGACATGCACTATTTGGGAAACTTTCAACCATTACAGTAGTCAAACTTCAAGGTGGATCCCAATGATCCCAGCTCCCAATGGTATTCATACTCCTATGTAGCCTCTTCCTACATGAAACCACCATTAGTCTGTTTGATCAATAGAATATAGCAGAAAGATATAGATTCACAGATTCCTTCAATCAAATAATAAGGCCTTTAAAAAGTTTATGGAAGTTGTCCTTTGGCTATTTTAATAGAAGCCCATAGTGGAGAAAGAGTTACCTCAAAGCAATTTGTGACTGTGACTTTTGTTTAATGGAGTGAACCTTAATAAGTTTCAAGGAGACAAAAATTATTTTTACAGAATATTATATTTAAAGAATCACAGACAGCTTAACTGAAAGGGACAGAGAGTAGAAAATTAAAGCCTGGAACTTCCAAATTTCTGCAAGAAGGAAACAGCTGCAAACACATACTTCCTTTTGTGAAAAAGAAAGGATAACTCAGGGCAGAACCAAGATCCCAGAGGGTGAAGCCCAGAACCGCAGTAAATCATTTGCAGGCAGCAGTTTGACTGAATCCCATTCAAAGAACTTTCAACATGTGCCTGGATGGATTTAAGCCTTGCTGTGGACCAGTAGGTGTAACTTTTGTTTTCTCTAGTTTGAATAGGAGTTCCTACTTCAGCTATTCTAAGCTTGTCCCACCATTGTACGTTAGTTGTATATGCGTTGGAGGGTGAGTGTCATCATCTCTTTAGCTCACAAGACTCCAGATTGAAAAATATCTGGACACAAGGTGCTTTCCTTAAGGAATCACACGGAAATAGACTCCTTTGCACCTGGAGTTGATGTAGATGATAAGATTCTGGGTGTCACACTGAAATTGAATGAGATGAGAATTTGGGGTCCCTAGGAGGGGATGAGAGTATTTTGCATGTAAGACAGACATAAATGATTGGTGAAAAGAAGTCAGGCTGTGGTAGCCATCCTTCAAGATGGCCCCCCAAATTCCCATATCTAGAATTGGGACTTTTTTTGTAGTTTTTTTCCCACATTTAATAGGGATAGGGTCTGTGACAAATAGAATATATTAGAAATGATGACATTTCACTTCTGAGGTAGATTACAAATGATACTGTGACTTTCATCTTGGCATTCTCAATCCCCTCACCACTCCTCAAGTTCATTCTGTCTCTCCTCTCTCTCTCTCCTTTCTTCAGAACACTTACTCTGGTGAAAGTCAGCCTGTTATATCATGAGCAGCATCACTGAGAGGCCCATGTGTTAAGAATCTGAGGCCTCTGATCCATGGTCAGTGAGAAATTGAGGGCTACTACCAATAGCCACTGAATAGTACTTGGAAATGGGACCTCCACTCTCAGACAAACTTTCTGCAGACTTCATCCTAAACCTCGACTGCAGCCTTCTGAAAACACTCTGAGCCAAAACCATCTGGGGAAACCACTACCTGATTCTTGACTCTCATAAACCATGTGATAAACTAAGTTTCTTGTTTTAAGGAGCCATGTTTTGTGGTAATTTGTTACATAGCAACTAACAGCTACTATACTCATTCAAGTGTTTATTAATATCTTACCAGATATCTACCTTATTCAAGGTGCTATCAGAGATAAAGCATAATATCCGACCTCTTTATAAGTCAGGTCTCAGTGCTGAAAACAAGCCACTGTAGAAATTTTTAACTGGAAATGTTTGATAAAGGGTTATAGACGTTTAGAAATATACTGGAAAACTTGAAGTGCATGGTCAAGGCAGAAGCCTTAGGGGCTACTGTTTGAGGCCATGATTGGTATCAGGAGTTCAAAAGCACACCTCTGTGAATGAATGAAGATGGCATAAAAAAGTGACCCACAGCCACTGCTGCTCCTACTGATACATATAGGTCTGAACATCTGGTAAAGTAGAGAATGGACACCAGAATTTCACTGCAGGAAAACAGCATATGACTACAACATTACTATCAGCATAATCAAAGAGGTGAAAAAAATGGCTTCTGCCTCATTCCTACCCTCCAATTCTTCTTCAAGTAAATCTAATCAGTGAAACCTGATTCTCTTCTGGAATCTTAGTAGCAAAGAGATCTGGGAATGTTTTTAGCTTTCTAATGTCTTCAACTTGAATGGAGTTAGAATGGATGTTGAGAGCCAGTTCTCACCCTTTACCACAGTCTGTGCACACAAGGGGTTTACAAGCTTAATAGAATGACAAGATTAACATAATGTGACAA
Source organism: Homo sapiens (assembly GCF_000001405.40). Lineage (NCBI taxonomy): Eukaryota > Metazoa > Chordata > Mammalia > Primates > Hominidae > Homo > Homo sapiens. The sequence goes on from NC_000003.12 coordinate 77,774,984, forward strand.
GATTAGAAATGGGGCATGTGCTAAATTGAGTGTTACAGTTTAAGTTCAGCAGAAGATCAGAGAAAAAGGAGATTAGAGTGCGATGCAGAATTCAGAGAAAGTTCCATGGAAGAACTTAGCTTTCAGTCAGGGCTTGAAAAGATGGAAAGAACTGAATAAACCTGGATAAAAGTAGAGTGTTTAACGCAGGTGGATGGCAAATGTGAAGGCAAGAATTAATGCAGATGATAGCAGGTAGTTAGCCTGACTCTTGCAAAGAATAAGTAATGAAAGATGGTCATAACAATGGACTATGAAATATACATGGCTGTGAAAATTGAGGTAATATCTAAATATATTGCATGTGGGTATATGTGTACTCAATGTTGATAACATACATTTATGTAATCATGTAAATTATGTGTGTATTGTCATTCAGTCGATTTCTTTCTTTGTCAGATACTAATGGACTTAGTCTAAGCTAAAGGAATACACAGGACCACAGATATCTCAACATTTCCTTCCTTCCAACCCTGGTCATGTTTGTGCAGTGACTATGAAAGTCTTTAACAGTTTTTTTTCTCTGATTTGTATGTTGGTTTCTTTATTACAGAAATCAGGCTTTCCCTGAACTCCTTAACTCTTTCCAATTCTTTCCCTATTGAGGGGCTAGACTTGTTCTCATATTTTCTTAGCCATTGACCATGGTTCTGCTTCTAAATGGAAATTGTTGATGATTGTTATGTGAAACTGGCTAATTTAGAATAGTGCATGTGCCTAGGAGTTGCCTGCTGTTATGTCTCCTCACTTAGGTCAGGTCTTCATCCATTTTGATATATTAATAGTAATCATAATGATCACGTATTGAGCATGTGTTTGTATGAAATGCTTGTTCCCTGGTGCCTTAAAGAAATAGCACTTGAACATAAATTTAATTTACTCAGCAAGGCCATTTTTACTTCCTGCAGAAATGGTGCAGAAAGGGTACACTCACCAGCAGTGTTGCCACGAGAGTACACTGATCAAAGGAGACAGGGTCATTTATAACCTGATGCGTCCACCCTACTGCTGTGTCCGGTTTCCATTGGCTGGAACAGGACCTCACATTCTGCATTTGTCCCGATTGGCGAGCAACTTAGAACTTTTTAAAAGAGACAAAGGCAGAGGAGAACAAAGGAAGGAGGAAGTAACTTGTGGAAGGCTGAGAAAGGTAAAAACACCTTCAAATGAGGAATAGGAACAGGCTATAACCTAATGCTTGCTTGGACCAGCATAAGCACGCCAGGGAAAATATTTAGGCTAAATTGTAGAAGCTAAGAACATAAAGTACATTGATTTTTTTTTTAATCACAATTAGCAGATATTTAAGAATGTTAGCACAGGTCTTTGAATCAATTTTTCTTCTAAGAGAAGTTACTATTTATTCCTAATTAAATGGGGTGGAAAGTCTTTGAAGAGGAAGCACTACTTTACAAATTTTTACATGTTTTATCCCAGAAAAGGTGTTAGGTATTTTCTAAAAACTATTTCCAATACAAATACACGTTTTTGTTTCCATTTTATAGATGAGAGAACTAATTTAACTCCAGAACCTGTAGTCTTTACATTATATCATAAAAATTAAAACACAACACATGATCTTTATATGATAGTATCTCAGACCTCACAGCTTACAAAATGTTGCTGTTGTTAATTATTTCATTTGATCCTCAGAATAAGATTGTGAGGTGAGAAAGGTAGGAAAATTCTGTCTTCTTTTTTTAATAGTTTGGAGAAGCAACTAAATTCTCAGTCACCTGCTCTAGAAAGTTGAGTACTTAATAAACATTATTAAATTTTGATCAAGTCTTATATAAAGAAAATTTGTGTCCCATGAATATTAGATAAATAGACACATAGAAAGGTAAACAGACTCATGTAAGGTTTTGAAGCTCAGAGAAGTTTGGAGATCCTTCAATATCACAAAGTACATATTTTGCCACAGTAGAAATTGGTAAAATACAGTTATGATAAAATTTCTTTCTTCCATAATTGACTTCATTTTGATCATAGCTAAGATTTCCATGTGCAGATGAATCCATATCTCTCATTTTGGACAGGGAAAATATCCAACATTGGTCATCTCTCTGAGTCTCAACCAAATCTCTAATGTCTTCTGCTAATTAATGCATCATTTTCAATAGTAGAAATCTCAAAATAGCATTGTTAGGTTTTTTCATTTGTTTGGCTCTTTACTACTGCAGACCACAGAAAAGTGATCTTTGGCCAATTTATATAGGTATGTTTGCATCATGTTGGAAGATGAGTTTACTATTAGGGTTCACTATCCACATAGATGTTTTAGAAAGTGCTAATGCATGAAGTGACCTCAGAAAATAAAGTTTAACCTCAAATTAAAAAAAATTGAATTTTAGTTATTTGTCAGGATATGGAAAAGAATCATAACTTCAAAATGACCTTCAGTTCTTAAATTTCATCTTTTAGCAATTAGACCTCACAACCAGCCTGCCCTTTTCCGATCAAGAAACAAAAATTTATGCCTATGTAGCATCAAAAATTCCTTGGTTATAATCAAGAGGAACATAAAGGTGAACATTTTCATTAGTGCATGTCATGAACATTGTGGAGAAAAGAATTATAACCCACCCCACTCTAATGCATCTTCTCTGAGGAGTCATTTTAAGTGAAAAAAAAAAATCCTCGGTTTTTCAGTCACTCCAACTACTTAAAATAAGTTTTAAAGTAGCACAGGGAAAGTTCTCCAGGAATAGAAAAGGCCGTTGATCTCAGCTAGAGCCATGTGAAAAATCTGTAAGCTAGAGACTAATGATTCTACATCAGGAATAATGCATTCAATTTTAAAATCAGGGATATTGATTGAAATCCAAGAGATAGATGTGAGTCTTAAGCCTGTGGAAAGAGATCTAATACATTTTTTCATATATTTAATTAATCATGGTCATTATGAGACAAAGAATTAAATATAATGCATCATTTGTCTGAGCTTTATTGAATACTTCATAATTGCATAAAATCTATGTGATAATTAATATATCTTGCTTTTAGATCACAGAGAAGGGATTTTGTAGTTTAAGACTAAAAATTAAAAGTTGTTGGGAAAGGATCAATTGTAACCTAAATAATAATCGATCACTATTTCAGTAAAGACCACAGAATTACCTTCTAGACTAATAAATTTATGAATAGATATCCAAGTGGCTATTTTTATTTACTCAAAGGAGTAAATTTTCAAATTATCAGCTCCCAAACTAATCATGCTGCAGATAATCAGATCTTAACTTGTTGTGGACTAAATTAATATAAATTTCATGTTACATAGGCAGATCATTTCAGATTAACATTTGCTTATACATGCTGATAGGCCCACCAAACTATGCAATTATGCCAGAATAATATTAAAAAGCTTAGAATTAATCTGTTTTTAAGCCCAAGGTTGTATGAAAAATATAGAACATTTACCGATTAACTTTGCATTAGGCACTTCACACATTTCTCACATTCTTATTTAATCCTTTTATTGCACAAATGATCTTCTGTGGTAGGCATCATCGTCTCTTCTTTACAGCTGAAAAACTGAACTCAAGATCATGTAGCTGGAATTAATCTGGGCTTTTACTGACACCCACCTTTGTGCCAGTCTTTGGGAGATTACACATCTGACTAAAATGTTCACACTTCTCTGAATCCACTCCACGTGTAGTGTCCTTCTACTGTGGCTTGGTGACCTAGGTTTACCCCTGGGGCTTGCTTTGACCAGTGGAACTTCAGCAGGCACTACACAAGAAAAGGCTTAATGGAGTCTGCATAATTTGACTTGATTTGTGCCTCTTTCACTACCATGAGACAAACATATCTTAGCTAGTTTCTTGGTTCCAGGAAGGTGAAAGAAAGGTGGTGCCGATCCTCACTAGAGAATTTGCCCAATGCAAGCCAGTAAAGAATAGAACTCTGTCGAGTCAGTAAACTGCAGAAGCACAAGTTCAGTCAAGCCCAACTAAGTTCAATCTTGATCAGCGTGGTCTTAGATGTTTCCAGATACTTGAGCTGAAAGGATAAATGATTATTTTTTTTTGAGCTGTGGGGTGGTTTGTTATGCTGCAGTTGACAACCAATACAAAATTGTAAACTCTTTCCCTTGCTTTTTGTAGATGATAAAATGAAACGCAATGTCTCACAGGAGAAACTTACAGAAGTGTTGAAGCATCTTTGCTGTCTGTGCATAAGAAAAGTGCAACACTAATGTTAAGAGGCAGGAAAGACTGGGTTTAGGTGGCTTGTCAGTTTTTCTATGTGAAAACGGTATTTGATGTTCTCTATTAATCTAGGACAAAAGATAAGATGAGAACCAAAAGGGAAGGATAGGATACCATCCATGAGGTACTATAGTGACACACCAGTATACTTTTGAGTGTATAAATGTCAAGAGGAAGTGTTCCAACTCACTCCTCTCTGTACGCCCTTCTGGAAGAGGTAAAATATAACAGGCAAGACTCACTTTTGTAGTTAAAGTAACCATGGAAATTTTAAACGTTCCATCATGGATTGACAAACTGTAGCCCATAAGCCAAATCTAGCCTGCTGCCACTTTTTATTAAGTTTCACTGAAGAAGACAGCCATATCTCCATTACATATTGCCTATTGCTGCTTTTACTCCACATTAGCAGAGGTGAGCAGTTGAGAGAGACATTACACACATAAAACTTAACATACTTACTATCCGGCTCATTTTAGAAAATGTTTGCTGACCCTTGCTGTAGAGTGCTGTAGGAAGGCATGGCTGGAAGATGTTAGACTAGAGCAGGAACGTACAGTTGATCATGTGAGGAAATCGTGTAGGTGTGGTTGTTGCTGTGGTTGTAATACTGTGGCTGTTCTTAATGAATGAGAAAAGGGACATGATTTCAGGGAATTCTCACTGGGGTCCATTGTGAAATTTGAGGTCAGTGCTTCTGTCATTCACTTGTAGAAAATTATTGAATGGCTTATCTACTTTTAAAAATCTTATTTTGATGCAGCATCTTTACAACATTAGTGTCATCCCAAAGATTTAACTTAATTTCTAGGTGGAAATTTGAACCAAGAGAAATGGGACACTCCAGAAATGTAGCCAGGCCAAGATATATTTTCTATAAAACGTGTGTGTGTGTGTGTGTGTGTGTGTGTGTGTGTGTGTGTGTGTTTAAAAGGTATCAGTCAGATATTCCCCCAATAATATGTATGTTTGGATCAAGCACAACGTGAAGACATAACTACAAGGCATATGCTGTCAGACCATTTTTCAGAGAACCCAAAATTGTTTATTTGTTGTGTGCATCCTCCAGCCCTGACAAATCCCCAAGGACCAAATAAATACTACACTCCTCTCCACTTCAAAGTTCCTCTGAGTTTTACTGTTCAAATTACAGTGGTGGCTGCTTTCCCCTTCTCTATTGCTTGTTCTTTGTCTGTTTTCACACTCCTCCCGGCTGTGTAATCACTCATTCTCTCTCATTTATCACAGCCTCTCCCGGTCCTGACTACGCTATCTCCCCATTTTTGTCATGGTGCACTGGTACATTACAAATACAATTAAACCTCTTATGATATTGGAGCTTTTGCCCAACACATCCCAGCTTCAAGGTTGAAAGATTTCTGATATTACCTCTGATATCAGTTCTTTCCCACTTATCGGCAGTGTCCGGACTAATGCAGTAGTGTTGCATTAATTAAAGGAAGCATCTAGTAATACTGCTGTTTTTGCCAGTCTGACACTGAATCAGGAGTCTAATGCCTGCTCATGTTTTAAGAACCATTTATCACCCATGTCATCCCAAAGCAGCCAGCTGTCTGAGCCAAGCCTCATTTGCATTTCATCAACCACAGGCTCTCTTTCCCCATCTCACTCTCAAGTCTTTGTATAGCAGCTCTAATTTTTTAAAGCATGTTTTTCAAAGAAGGAGCTTAGCTAAAATTACTATGCTCCATAGAAAGTTGATTTCAATACCAGACACAAGTCTCCATACTGATTGTGGCCAAAATGAGTAACACAGACTGTGCCTTGAATTTGTTCTTTCTCTTGGTCAGGTGATGGAGAGATGGGGAGAGCTGTAACCACTACCTCACTCCCAAAATTGGTACAGAAATTTTATTGATATTTTCATTTGATAGTAAATATAAAAATTCAATTTTATTTTCTGATTATGAAAACTATTACAGTAACAAATGAAATATATTTGATTTCATTTCATCATTCATTTTGCACTTGGCCCTCTGTTCTTTTTACTCTCTCCAATCCCATATAACGTAACCTTCTCTACCCACCAAAGCTATTTAGACATATCTTGACAATGGCCCACATTTCCCAAAACAATGGGAAACCAGCTAATGAAACTATGGAATTTGAAGCCATTTCAAAATAAAGTCAGCATTGGTCTTCATAATTTCAAAATCATCTGTGTAATTAATGTACACATTTTCTTTTGTACCTATATCTTTAATATATCCTCCTTTTCTATCTATTGATCCAAATTTTAATACCTCTTGAGTAAATTTAGCTTTTCCTTTCCAAGGCAAAAGTAATACTTCTCCCTTTCCTTGAATCATTTTCATAGTAAATACCTTTTCAGCAAGCTTATGCAGAATGTGTGTGTATGTGTGTGTGTTGGGGGCGTTGTTGGTTGAGGTTGTATGTACGGAGAGTGAGGTGGAGGAGATTATGTTAACTCACTGTGCCATAGACTTGTCCACCCTCAATGTTTGGCCTAAACCAAATCCCTAGAGATAATTTTTTAGAGGCAATCATCCCCTTTTATGTTCTTGCTTTTAAACCCAGATGGTCAGCAACAGTGGACACCTGTCTCCCACTGAGACCATTTGATAAAGGTCATTTAACAGTTTTTCCTGATAATACCCTTCAGTCACCATGGGGTTGGTTTCAGATTCCATTCAGTGACCCAGAAACTTGAAAGCTCTATATCCATAACTAATCCTTTGGGATTTCTGGTCCTCAATAGGTAATTATTTCAACAAGTTTCTTTTTGAAAATAAAATGATCTTTTGGAATTTTTATTAAATTGAATGGGAAAATAAGAATTTTGTATGTATTAAATCTAGTTTACATCTCAAGCACATTTTAAGATTAACATCACTTAAATTTTAATCAAACATTTAGAGCACAAGAACAAATACTTTCTAATAAACTATGTAAAAACATGTTTTAATTTGATTAAGTGTAATTTATTGTTATATACTTGATAACCTTCCTAATCCATTGTCAAAACACCTTACATTTTCAGAGCTGCAAAATGTGTTTCACTTATAAAAGTTATGTTCTAAAATCCCTTTTAATGCAGTCAGGATACTATAATTTATTGCATTAACACTATACGCTTATTTTCCACTGACTTGAAAATGCCATATTGGTACTTCTGAACTAACATTCATTTTTCAAACAGTAAACTGGTTTTCTGTAGCTTGTATGCTGTCATATATTCACAAAGATTCATAAAATAAACATTTATTCTTTTACATTTTTTCATATCTCTTAATGCCCTTATTTCCTTTTTATTTTCCTTCAGATTTATGAACTAAGACGTTAATGCTTGAAGCTGAAACTTTTTCCCTCAGCTTTTGTACATGTAAATCTCTTTTTACATTACAACTCTTCCTGCCATGTTCAAGGTTATTAAAATATGTTCACATTTTTGTAGATGGGTTGTTGTGTTAATAACATTTTTGTAAACACTTTCCATTTGACTACTTTAATTTGCTTTCATGTTTTTTCATAATCCTTACAATATCATGAATTTTGAAAACATGGAATAAGGACTTCTGACATTAAGAACAATGGGTTTAATGAAATCAGCTCATTTGGTTTCTGAGGATATTTTTCCCCTCTTTAGCAAAAACATCGTAAAATTGTGATAGAAGATGTCTGTTAGTTGTATGGATGGATCATGTTAAACACTGGCTGGGTATGTATATGTAGTCATTTTTTAAGATAGAATTTTAATTTTAGAATAGCTTTAGATTTCTAGAAAATTGACTATAAAACAGAGTGTTCTCCCATACACCACACCCAGTTTCCTCTCTTGGTAACTCCTTATACGGGTATGGTACCTTTTTCGAAACTAACAAACCAATATTGCTACATGATATTAATTAAAGTCCATACATTGTTTATATTTCCTTAGTTGTTATCAAATGTTATGAAGCTATTTTGATAGGAGAAAAAATTTATGGTATATATGTACAGATTGACCACATCCAAAGAAAGAAGGGAGGTGAATAATAAGAGACTCTGATGCTTTGCTGTAATTTTGACAATCACAGTTTTAAATCATGGCATTTTCCAAAATTGATTAGCTATGTAATCATAGTCCAGTTACTTTGCCTCTTTAAGCCCTACTTCCTTTGTGTAAAAGTGAGCAAAACAATAATATCTTTCTTATAGATTGGTGATGAGCATTAAATAAAATGTTGCAGATAAAGTTCTTAGTAAAGTATGGAACATAGTTCTTAATACATGTTGGCTATTTTTGTTATTATTACTAAATTTAAAGGCTGAGGAGCAAGCTGACTGATAGTATTCAGAATTACTTGTAGAATGTTTGCATTGCTTCAGACTGATAAATATTTTTACAGAGCCAATCACATTATCTCCAGGTACAATTTGCCCTATGAGATACGTGATATAATAAGTAGCCCATCAGATATCCAGCAGTAAAAACTAAATTAGAGGAGGGAAGTCCTGTTCCAACTGATTTGACATAACGTGGCTGAATTGTTAAATTTTAGTGAAAATAATAATGATGGTTTGATCTTCAAAGTTTTGTTTTACCATTTCCCAAATAGCTTGGGATTATTGTAGTGTAACCACTTAAAATTCTGATGAAATGTCGAATTATTTTTTCTAACTGATACTTTGTGAGTGCAACTACTTTGCACCGTGCAGAAAGAGGAAAAAAAATATATTCTAGGCATTCGCCAAATCTAACGTGGATGAACAAGTCTTTACATTTCCTCCTGTCCTCAGATTTGCACCATAGAATTTCAGACCAAATAAAAAAAATTGTTTTTTTCACTACTTTTCTTTAAGGAAATGTAAGAGAAAAAAAAGAAAGAAACACGTGTTTTGAAGGGTAGAATTTTGGCAATTATATCAGATTGAAAAATCCAAATGTGGATTAGCTTCAACCCATCAAAGATTCAAGAACTGCTACAGTTCTAAGAATGAGCCAAAAAAAACACGGGTATGCGTTGAGGGGAGGGAATTAGGAAGGAATTGATAGCCATTCAGACATTTTCCCAGCATTAAGGCTTCACGAATTTTGCACTGGAAAGAAAGATTTATAAACTAAGAAACTCAGTATCCAGTCCACCCTATGATAAATGCTGCAGTGTGCCCAAGCATTCCTATTTGAGTATAGCTTTGTGCTTTGCCAATCATAACAATGGGTGATAGAATAATAAGAGCCTGCATGAAGCACTGTGCTAATGATGATGTTCCCAGTAAGAACAAAAGAGAGGCCATTACTTTTAAACATCATTGAATATAATCAAGCACTGGGTAGGTAGGCTTGTCTGTATTTAGATTTTATAACTCTACATTTATAGCTATAAAATAAAAAAAGACATATTATGAAATTTCTGTGGTTAAGAAAACTATTTATTATTACAAATGTGAATTTCTCTAGACGGTAAATTATTTTGAATTAGTTGACTTCATGTAAGTCGATTTGTTCAGTAAGACGGTGTAGACTTCTTGTAAATAGGAATAAGGGTGCATTTGATTAAGATCCACTATTTTCTTATATGTATATCTCTTTTCTGTCCTCCCTCAGAATACCATCTTCCACAAAACAACACACATCTCTTCCACCAACTTCTGCCCAGAATACTGCATATTCAATGTCCACAAATGTTAGATACAGAATGTTCAATTTCTATTAGGTTGGTGCAAAAGTAGTTGTGATTAATGGCAAAAATCACAATTATTTTTGCACCAAACTAATAGTAACATTGAAAAACAATATTAGTAATTCAACATCAGAAAGGTCTTCAGGAAGAGTTATCACCACAGATGGGCCAAACTATTATTTGTCGGGTATTGTAGTAAGTTAGAATTTTATCAAATTCATAAATTAATGCTTATTTCATTAAAGGATATGAACAACCTGTAGTATAAATTTGATCTATACATCGTTGGGAGAATAAAATAATAAAATGCTATAATAGTAGCAATCACGTGGTGACCTTTCCATCACACTTACAATTTTCAATGCACTTGTCTATTCATTATTTCATGAGTGGATGGGGTAGCTGAGTGGTCGGGACAACAGATGTTGTATAGACAGGTGACTCCCTTCTATACCCCATTCTGCCATTAGTTGATGTGTATTTTACTTTTGCTTTTTTCTTCCCATTTCACTACTAGTTTAAAAATCCTAATCTTGAGTTCTAAATCACACCTAATTTTACTCATGTGTAGTTGTACCTGAAAAAGAATTACACTACATAAATTCCATCCATTAGAGGTATGGTGGAATGGACACAAAACCACTAACATTGATTACTTCAGTGCAGATGGGACTGCAAATGCAGAGGATGAGAAGGAGAAGATTTTTATTTTTTCTTTATATAAGTTTACATTCTTTATTCTAATACAAGACTCCGGTATCATTTATAATGAAACATGAAAACATTTAAAAAATTTTATGTGCTTAATGTTCTGTAAAGGAAGCATAAACTCATATATTGCAACAAATGCGGCAATTTATTTCATTCCTCAGATTAGTGATCCTGATATAAATAAAACTGTTCAGAACTTGTACAGAGATATTTAAACAAGGAAACAAACAAACAAAAGCTAGAGAAAAAGTGAAAAAAAAGGAATGCTTTTTTATTACTTAATCATTGATGGACTGAAAACATCCAACTTCCATCTTCTGAATTAAATCTGATATTTTCTTGGAGAGTAGTGAGGAGTGGTTGAGGGTAGATAGAAAACATCGAGCATTTTGAAAAATATAAAATTTAGAGAAGTTTAATTTAAACGCTCCCTGAGTGTCAAAGAGCTATTAAATATAATTTTCAAGATTTTAATATAAGTGAATCTGAACTACATATGGTCTAAGTTTCTTTTAAGTTGCACATGGATTTAAAATGTAGGGGAAAAAGATCACTTGGCAAATATGTTTTTGGTTTTGAAAAACTTCCAAATGTTTAAAAAGTACTTTTCAAATCAACCATAGCCATATGCATCCAGGTTTTCTCATCCTCACTATTGAAGGATAAAAAGAACTAGAATTAAGGCAAAATAAATGGAGATGTGATACATATGCTGTAAAACTAAAAATCAGTTGATTCTCTAGGGAATTAGATAAAAAAATAAATTTGGTCCTTATGGCAATTTAACCCAAAGAATCTAACACTTTTATTCTTAGCGACTTAGGATCATGGATGATATTAATCTGTCACAAAATGATCCTATGACTATTTCCAGAAGTGGAAAAGTGCAGAAATAGAAAATGCATATGATACTGCTATTTTATTTTGTTCCAAGTCTTGTTACTATCAGTGGAAAACAGTGTTCCAAAGGAATGAACATTTGGATAAATTATGGCATGAAATATAATTTTTAATCCCTTATGCATAGATACATTGATAATAACTGAACATCTTTGGCATCTGGCTTCCAGATACAGTGACAATTCCCTCACGGCATCTAGAAATTAAATAGATGTATATGAAAACTTTTTTTCCAAAAAATATAAAAACATTAAATGTCAATTATTTTGAAATAAGTTTTTTTTTAAATAAGAAGCATTTTTAACTAAAAATTACAAAATAGAGCGTTATATTTGGACAATTAGTTACTCAGTGTTTTTTCCAAATAACAGATGAAATACATTTTGATGTTTTGTTTTAAATAAATGCAAACATATAGATGCAAAACAAATCAAACATTGCTACAAACAAAATATGTGTGTTGTCTATAATTCTCAAACATTGAATAATATTCAGTGAACTTCAACAAATGCATTTGATGGCCCGTTAAAATTCATTATAATAAATTTTGACTTAGATTCCAAAATGAACACACTATTTTCTTATCTTTTAGTGTCTGTTGGTTTTTTCTATTTTCTTTCTTTCTTTTCTTTTCTTTTTTTTTTTTCTGAGGTGGAATCTCACTCTGTCACCCAGGCTGGAGTGCAGTGGTGCTATCTCAGCTTACTGCAACCTCCGCCTTCCAGGTTCAAGCTATTGTCTCGCCTCAGCTTCCCGAGTAGCTGAGGTTACAGGTGCGTACCACCATGCTCAGCTAATTTTTGTGTTTTTAGTAGAGATGGGGTTTCACCATGTTGGCCAGGCTGGTCTCGAACTGCTGACCTCAGGCAATCCACCTGCTTTGGCCTCCCGAAGTGCTGGGATTACAGGCATGAACCACTGCACCCAGCTGTTTTTTTTTTTTTTTTTTTTTCTATTTTCATTACTAAGACTAAATAATAGTTATGTGACTGAATACAGGTGATCATTTTACCAACTCTTTTTGGCATTTTTTTGTCATTTTTGATGAAGCACAATTTTTAGAAGTGAATAAATATAGATCCTATAGCACATATATTTCCCCAAATATATTATGTGTGTATGTGTGTGTGTGTGCGCGTGTGTGTGTTTGTGTATTTGGGAAATAAAAGCGTATTATATTTTACTCAAACAACATCAAACATGCGGTCAGGTAAGTTTGATGAGGAAGGTAATATTTTAGCCTAAGAATGAGAATTCTGTAAGACAATGTGTTACTTGCTAGTATCAGTTATATGACCCTTCCACACTGATATTTTGGGTGCAATTGCACGCTCTTTGCCCTATACTCTGAGGAGAATAGAAGGTTCTTCTTCACACTTTTCTATTCATCATAACTTCTCCTGTAGGACAACCCAAAAATAAATTTCCTGGAATATATTAAGGAAACAAAAACAAACAGATATAGAGAAAAAAATAAGGTAAGTGTTTGGGAGGGTGAGAAATCAAATTCAGTGAGGTTTAACCTATATCCTACAAGTACCCCAAAGTTGTGCTTTTGGATAAATTCACCTTGGATAGAGACATGGTCAAGTGATATATTCCCTTTACCTTTTCTAAAAAACAATACATAGCTCTATCCTTGGATGAGAGGCAAAGGGTGCAGTAGGGTGACTATCTTTGATTTCTGTTGGGGTTCAGAGGAAGTGTAACTTTCCTAAAAGATACCTTGACTTTTGTCACATTTAGCTATTCACTCCTTTTTATTTAGGAAGAAAGCCTGAGCCTGCTGTGGCTCGTGCTCTTATTACCTTTTCTTGGACTTCTTGGATCTCATAAATGATAACTCTACTTTTAGTGTTGCCTTCTCCAAAGGAATCTAAATACCAGCATTACCTTCATTATCCTGAAGCATGACTCTCTGCCTTAGAAAACCCCTATAGTTTACATTTACATTTACTTTATACCTCTCTTAATTTTTGAGGAATGCCTCTCTATCTATTCTGCATGGTAAAGTTCTAATTTATTACAACTATGAAACAGATATTTCCTTCTTTTCTTATTTTTTATATATTGAATTACTTTATTATTGCCAATCACAATCTGCTTTGCCAAATTATTCAATATAAGCTTGCCTCTTCAATTAGACTTTGGAATTCCTGAGATAAGAAATTATGTTTCATTCTGAAGGTGTGCTTAAATCAGTGGAAAGATGGTTTGTCCAAACAGGATATAGAGGAATAGAGTTATTCTGTACACAGCCACCTGTAGTTGCAACAGTGGCTAGAAATAGGTGTTATACTACTTTTTTAAAGACATGACCTCATCAGGCAAATTCTAAAAACTCGTCTACCCTTTGTGGTTAAAAAGTGAATTGCCAGTAATTTTATAAAATGTAATATAAAAATACGTTTTTAAAAAACAATTTAATGATTTTGAATACTTTCAGCCAAAATCATAATGTTCCCTAATTCTTGTGAAATAGGGCTAAATACGAAGACTTTGAAGAATATCTCATGCTGTCATCTCTTCTTTGCTGTAGTGTTTAAAATGTCTCTCTGAGAAATGAATGGACAAACCCAAGCCATGCCATCACATACTTTCCTAGAACAGTGGATCAAATCCCATTTTTCTCAATATGAACGAAGTTTCATCACATGGCAATGACCAAAGCTGCTCTTTAAACTGTAAGGCAGCAAAGTTCAAGCATTACCTTGTACAATCAACCATTTATAGTGCCATTCTCTCACTTTTATTATAGAAGTTACTGAAATGAGAGAATCTAAATCTTATAACTGAGATGGGCTAGGGATAAAGGGTGGAGATTAGGTTTGGTCATGGTGGGCACAGGGACGGGAGCAAAGAGGAACCCAAAAACAATTATTCTTTCTTTCTATATTAAATTTAAAATAAGTCGTTTTAATTGTACAATTGAGGTTGGATTTTCACTGAAAATGAAATATTTCAGTTATGAGTTCAATTTATTAAGAAAAAATACTTTTAAAAACCTAGTGGCCATCTTTTTCCATTCTATATCTATCTATCTATCTATCTATCTATCTATCTATCTATCTATCTATCTATCTATCTATCATCTATCTATCTATCTACCTTTGTCTATCATCTATCTATCTATCTATCATCTATCTAGAGGTCATGTCTATTTTTACTTTAAAAAGGAAAAAGAAAATAGGGACACTGATATTCATTCCTTAAACTCTGCTGACTTAGTGGAGACACTGCAATATATAGTCTATGAACTGAGAGCCCTTTCAGAAGCCAACGAGCTTTATAGGCGCTGACATTGACACTCCACTCTGCAATTCTGCACTTCACTATGTGGGCATTCTGTGCTGGTTACATATATACATATACATATATGTATATATAATATATCTTAAATGTATATATATATTCTGTTATTTTTATTTCTAAATGTTCAGTTTCTTTTCTAGAAGAAGATATGTGCTGCCTCAAATTTATTAATTTATGGTCTGAAAATTGTCCCTGACCTTCCTCTGGATGTTCTGAATGCAGTATACATAATGTTTAAAAACACATGGGCTCAAGCATGGCAAATGAAACCATGCAGTAATTTGTTAATTACAGGTGAAACTGGCCACTCACCTCTTTTACTAAAAGAACAAATGATAGTGACTAATTGCACTTCTGAGAACTCTAAAAGAACAAATTGTTACCAAGTTATGGAGTATATATCCACGTTTGTTGGATATGCAGAGTCTCGTGTGGAAAGAAAAGTCACGGTAACATGGATTTTGTATATATCCACATATCCACATATTACCTAGTTCTGCCTGCTGAGAGAAACTGGAAACAGTGACATCCCAATGGAAATGATAGACATGATACCAGGGCTGGGACAGGGAACATACAAGATGAGCCTGGCATAGCCTATTATGCCAGAAAGCAATGACATGCTCAAAGGATTATGGAAACACCAAAACTGTACAACGGCCAACCTGAAGCGTTCTCATTGAAGAAATATGCAACACAGTAGGTATCAAAACAAATAATGTTACTAATAGATTATAGCCCAATGACTATATGAGTAAACTACAAATCCATACTGATACATTAAATAAATGAACTAATTGAAAACTTTGATAAAGAATATGAATATAAGATATTTGCATAGTTTCACAATAACCCTCTCCCAAAACTCTTACCAATGACACAGAAAAAGGATGTGCAGTTTTATAGTGGAGAAGCTGGCAGATGTCATCTTAAACAAGTGAACAAAGTTTATCTTTAGCAACAAGGGGGAAAATTGAAATCAGATGACATCTGATGGAATGTAATGAAAAGAAAATAGCATCATTTCTATGATATTGCTGCACATAACATGATTTTTGAAAATGAAAATTACACTAGACACACCCAAAAGAGGAACATTGTGCAAAATAACTGGTCTGTAAACTTCAAAGGTATCAAAGTAAGAAATTAAATAAAAATAAATAGGTTGTTCCAGGCCGAAGGAAGCAGCATAAGACAACCAAATGCAGTGCCTGACTCTGAAATAGATATGTTGCCTGCAAAGACATTTTTAGGGCCATAGATCAGAAAATAAAGTGATTTTTACTGTACTTTTAGTTTTTCTATAAGTTTGAGATCATATAAGTCTCTTCTCATTTAACTGCCTTCCTTTTCTTTCTTTCTTTCTTCTTTCTTTTTCTTTCTTCTTTCTTTCCTTTCTTCTTTCTTTCTTCTTTCTGTCTTTCCTTTCTTCTTTCTTTCTTTCTCTTTCTTTCTTCTTTTTTTCTTCTTTCTCTTTCTTTTCTTTCTTCTTTCTTTCTCTTTCTTTCTCTCTCTCTCTCTCTGTCTCTCTCTCTCTCTCTTTCTTTCTTTGTTTTTTTCTTTCTTTCTTACAGGATCTTGCTCTGATGCCCAGGCTGGAAGTAGCACAATTATGATTTACTGCATCCTCGACCTCCCTGGGCTCAGGTGAACCTCCCACCTCAGCCTCCTGAGTAGCTGGGACTACAGGAATGCGCTATCATGCCTAGCTAATACACGTATTTTTTATAGAGACAGAGCTTCCTCCTGTTGCCCAAGCTGGTCTTGAACACCTGGGCCCAAGCTATCTGCCCACCTTAGCCTCCCAAAGTGCTGAGATTTCAAGCATGAGCCACCATGCTTAGCTTCTTTCCCTATTTCTTGACATTTAAAATGAGTGAGCAAATGTTAAAGTATTGATTATCTTGTCACTTGAACACATTAAATGTTTTAAGATATAATAAAATAATGCAGTATTATTTTATTTTACTTGAGGAAATGGAAATGTAAGTCTAGTTAGAAGATATAGAGCCTTTTTGGCTTAACTCTTACAATTTTATTTTTCAGTTTTAGAAATGGCATTATTCTAAAATTTAAAAATTATTAGTTTTGACTAAGTCAAGTAAGTAATGCAGTTTTTAATTTATTAAGGCTTTGTTATATTTGCATATAAGCTGAAGATTAATATTTTATTCATTAAAGAAATACTGACTGAGGGCTCGTTTGGTTCCAGGCAATGGGTCATAACATTTAGCAAAACGGATCCAAATATCTAACCTCATGAAGCTCTCACATTCTAGTGGGGAAGAAAGAAAATAAATAAGTTAGTTACATGTTTCAAATATATGCACAATGGAGGAAATTTAAACAAAGAAGGAGAAAGAGAGTGGGAGCCTCTGCACCTTTCAATAAAGTAGTGAGGAAAGATATTGCTGAAAGGGGGACATTCAGCAAAGACCTGTGGAAGGTGGCAAACTGTGCCATACACGTTCTTAAAGCCCAAGAGGAAGTACTGTTCGGTTTTAGTTAACATGATATGGTTTAACATGTTTCTGATTCAGGTGAATTTTCCAATGTGGAAGAGACTGTTGATTGGATTGTTCCATATATATAATAAGGAAACAAATGTCTGCTTCGGGGTTGAGCAACATTTTGAAAAATCACAGACAAAGACTTCATTTGGGTATAATAGATGTAAAAACCCTGCATAGGACAAAAGCATATGCAAAAGTCAGGGGAAAAGTTGGGGAGCAGCTTGTTACCATAGAAAAGGGAAAGCCTGAGAGAAACAACAGGAAGAAATGAAGAAAGAAAGGAAAACAGGGAAAGAGAGAAAGAGAAATTGCAAAAGAGAGAAAAGAAAGAAAGGGCAGGGAAGGAGAGAATCAATAGATCAAAAGAAAGAAAAGCCTAGAGCAGAGTTAGGGAAACTTTTCTCCAAATGACCAGATAGTAAATATTTTATGCTTTATGAACCAAAAGGGAGCTCTGTCAAACTGCTCAGCTCTGCCTTTGTAGTGTGAAAGCAGCCACAAGAAATACATAAATTAGTGTGACAATGTTCCCATAAAACTTTATTCATAAGCATTAACATTTAAGTTTTGTATGTCACAAAACATGTCACAAAATACTTTTTTCTTTTTACTTTTTTTAGCTATTGAAAATGAGAAAAACAAACATCCTCAGATGACAACTCTACAAAACGGGCCATAGTGTGCCACTCCCAGATGTAGGGACACAGAGACAAGTCGCATGAGTCAGTTTGATGCAGTGAGAGGTAGAAAGGAATCAGGTCAAGTATCTTGGCTTGACAATTGGTGGGTTCTTCCACTTCTCAAAGCTTCACTGTTTTAACCAATGAAGTGAGAATGTTACAATAAATGAACATCAAATTCTCTTCTTACATCAAATTCTCTTCTTACAGTCACTTTTATTTACTTTATTACTGTTCACTGTTTTAGTTCAATTATTTGCAATAATCTTAGACAAAATATGTTTCTCCCTGTGGGTGCTGAAGTTACTTATTTTAGGCCCTTTAGGACATTAGTGCCACTGTGATTTCAGTGATACTGTCCCAGAAAGACCCTGAAAAGAGTGAGCTCAAGTGCAATGAGGTAAGGTCGCAATATGGCCTGGCAAGATGCCAGCAGTTTGTTTCTAAGTAAGAGCCATTCCTAAGTGGTGGGTGAAAATTCTCACCCATAACAGTTTATCTCATTCATTCTAGTTTAGACATCTTTAAGGGGCCAGGTGCACTGAGGTCTGGCTTTGAAATGGTGAACACGTGTTCCCTGTTGAAACAGCCCTTGCCGCACTGCTTCAGGGCAATGGGGGTATAGACTCTGACTTCCTATTTAACTATTTTTGGTATGGTTTCAAATTTATATATTTAATAAGGAAATATCTGGGATATTTCCTATGTTTCAGGATTTAATGTTTGTGAGGTCTAATATAATTATTAATGCTAATTCTAGGAAAGATATGGCATCTTCTGGTAGCAAACAAAAAATATATTCAACTTATTTAGATTGTGTTTCTAAAGATGGCCACAATAATATCTCTCATTCCACTCCCACATCAAGCTTTAGGATCTATTATCCCACTCCTCTTGAATCTGGGCTTACTAGTGACTGGCTTTCACCAGTAGAATGCGGCGGAAATGACACTGTGTAACCCCTGAGGCCAAGTCTTATCTGCAGCTTGCAATTCAGTTTTCTTGGAGTTCTCTACCATCTTCTACTGGAGAGGCATAGAGAGTAAGAGGCCCAGCTAGCCCTGAGCTGTTCTAGCCATTCAAGCTGAGAAACCACAGAGGTGGCTGAATTCATTCACCAGTCAGCCCTGTATTCCAACTGAACCTGACGTCCAGCTGGTAACCCAGCCGAATGCAGCCAAATAAGTAAGGAAATACGACAAGGAATGGAGGAAATGCTCAGGCAAGCACACCCACCCCCTAAATTCCTGACCCACAGAATCTTAAGCAAACGAAATGGTTCTGGTTTAAAGCCATCAAATGGTAGGTTAGTCTGTTGAGCCACAATAGATAACAAAAACAAACATGACACTAATTAAATTCAGAATGATCAATTATACCACATGTACTTTAGGTAATCTATGCATGGCTTATCATCAACTAGCTGCGCTATGGTAAACCGTGCTGAAATCTGTAATGTTCACACTATATGCCTTCCTTATTTTTAACATTCATTGTTCTTTAGATCACCTTTCTTGCAGGCTAATCTAATTTATTCAAAGTAAAATGTAATTAATAATGAAGTAGCATATATAAAATTTAAAATTATCTACAATAAATTTAACATGAATTAATTCTGGTATATAATTATTAGAATTAGCCATTTGATCATAATGCCAATAAAAATTCAATTCTGTTGTTCTGTGGAATGTAGTGTTCACTTCTCTAAATAAATATTTTTTAAAATAACTAGTGCATTAGGGAAAGATGAAAAATTAATTCATATGCTGTTAATATTAAAATATTTTTCTTCTTAATGTGGAAGTGAAGTTGCACTACATAAAACTACTTGTAATGGCATGATACATCTGATATTTATTTTAATCATAGGTTATTTGAGGTTGGCCTAATGTTTTCTTGATGCTCCTTTTTTAAGACAAAATGAGAGTGTAACTACTTAAATGGTAACACAAATTGATGTTAATAAATTAGTACATTCATAAAAGAACTCCCAATTTTACTGTGTAAAGCAAAGCAATGTATGCAGCATTATGTAGTTTAAAAGGCACACTGATAAGTGCCTATATTCAAATCCTTTTCGGTGCCCTTTGTGTTCTTATCTTCCCCAGGCCAGCAGACAATCCTGCTTTTCACTAACCTTTGGCACGCCACCATCAGCAGTAACCTGTGTGCTCCTTCAGAGTCCCTGAGCTTCCTTAATTAGCATAACCTGTGGTTTTCCATTTGGAGCAGCCCCATCAGCCGCACACACCTGCTTTAGAGCCTGCAGGTAGAACAAGACTCAGTGTCGCAGGGCTCCCGGGAGTCCATCTGCATACCCTAAAGCAGCAAGTAAATACCTATCATCTCCAACAAGCTTACTGCAGCCCCTAACCCTGGTCATTGTGCCTCTGTAAGGTGGAAGTGAAATGCTACACCAGAAACTAAACAGAGCCACCATATAGTGACCCAAAAAATTAAGCAAAAACGTTTCTTTCATTTTCAAAATAAAAATATTTGATTTTGCTCAACAAATTATCTTTCTACCCTTTCAAGATAAAATATACTTATTTTTATATTGAGGTTTGTACTAAACCTTTTCACAAGCCACAGAAGTGGTAAACATTTTAATTTTTTGTCATAGTATATTTTAAGCACAAATTTTGAAGTACATCTTCAAACTCTACAAGGTGATGTTTTCTCTTAAAATGCTGTAATGGTAAAAAGCATTTCATGTGCAAGTTAGGAGGGTAAAATTGACACACATTTAAAATTAAAAAAATTTATAGCAATGAATCATACAAAGGTATAATGAATGTCTGTTACTGAACGATGGATGAAACATCGGTAGTTAAACCAAAGGAATTTTAAAAAGCTTAATTTGAGTTCTTCTCATGAACTCACACTTTTCTTTTTTATGCCTTTTTTCTTTGCCAAGAAGAATTTAGCTGTGACACATAATGGGTATATTTTGTTAAAGCTAAGTTCTTTCAATGTCAAGCTATTATATCTTCTACATACAGAGAAGAGTTGGTGCCAAGATTTCTAACAAGTAGGTACACATTCGTCTTCAAACAGAAAGGCACTAAAAAGCTTTGTGCTGGTAGATTGATGTGTTGAAAGATATGCAATGAAATTCTGACTCTATTAGACTAACGGCTGTTTTTAATTGGAAAAAAGCCTATAGATTAACACTCATGCTAAAAACAAAAGGCTTTGATCTCCTTGCCCATTTTGTAGTAAGCAGCACGTATATTTAACATATAATAATTTCAAAACAGGGCAAGAACATTGCCTTAATTATTCTAGGTGTCGCCAAACAGACTAATTATATATGTTGTTTATATATTTTAAGTAAAATTTTAGAAAAAAGGAAATAAAATTTTACTGTTAAATGACTTCCATTTGCAATAAGAATGTCTTATATATGTAAGAAAGGACTAGCCACCATAATTTAATTCTTATTAAGTTTCGATTTCCCATTTCATGCTCCAAATGCATGAATCATACACTTTTCATCTTACATATGAGCAACTGAGGACCTGGATGTATCTTTCTTGGGTTGTACTGTTATTAATGATTAAACCTTAGTTCCCTGATTCTCAGTCTAATACTGTTTCCACTACATAGGTCACCTTCCTTCACTGACTTTGAGTCTCTGAATGTAAAATGACAAGATGTATTTTAATAACTAACGGTCTAAATTAAAACTCAAGAACTCCTTATGCTTTTTTTTTTTTGAGATGAAGTTTCGCCCTTGTTACCCAGGCTGGAGTGCAATGGCGCGATCTTGGCTCACTGCATGCTCTGCCCCCCGAATTTAAGTGATTCTCCTGCCTCAGCCTTCCAAATAGCTGGGATTACAGGCGTGTGCCGCCACGCCTGGTTAATGTTGTATTTTTAGTAGAGACAGGGTTTCACCATGTTGGTCAGGCTGGTCTCGAACTCCTGACTTCGAATGATCTACCTGCTTAGGCCTCCCAAAGTGATGAGATGATAGGCGTGAGCCATTGCGCCCGGCCTACTTTTACAATTTGTAATGAGATGCATTTCTTTTAGAAAGTGGTCTGAAAACAACCCAGAGTTCTGGATTACAGAGCGGAGCCTATGCTCTTGTAGTTGTAAGGGAGTCAGAATACATTCGACATACGTCTTAGTCGCCAGGAGTCACCAACCGATTTAGAAGTTTTTCAGATAAAGAAAGGGACAACTCAGACAAAATGCTAATTCTATAAATCAGCAGAAGGGAAAGGACATAAAATATATAAACAGAAGCTTGTTCAGGTCATGGCATTGCATTGTAGCAAAACACTGACAATAATGCTTAAAATATAAGATCAAAGATGCTTAGTTATACGTATGAATGCAACATTAAGGTAGCATTTTTCAAAATACACTATGCAGAATGTAAGTTCCTCATTATATTAAAAGATTTTCAGTGAAAACAAAAGTGCCCAGTTCAAATATACAAAATGATAAGACTGGATTAAAAAAAAAGGTGGTACGTGCACACCCTGGAATGCTATGTCGCCATAAAAAAGAATGAGATCATGTCCTTTGCAGGCACTTGAAAGGAGCTGGAGGTCACCTTTAGCAAACGAATGCAGGAACAAAAACACAAATACCAAATGTTCTCACTTGTAAGTGGCAGCTAAATGATGAGAACACTTTGACACATGAAAGGGAACGACACACACTCAGGGCTATTGGAGGCTGGAGGGTGGGAAGAGGTAGAGAATCAGAAAAAAAAACTAATGGGTTGTAGGCTTAATACCTAGATGATGAAATAGTTGGTGCAACAAATCCCCATGACACAAGTTTATCTATGTTACAAACCTGCACATGTGCTCCTGAAATTAAAGTTAAAAAACAAAAAACAGAAACAAAAACAAACATGAAAAAATGGCAATATCCCTTCTTGATATTTGCAATGCCTGTGATCATATGAAAGGTTCTGTGAAGTTGTACAGTTAAGATATTTAACTCTGTTTCACAAGTGTTTCCCAAACTTGCTTGACAGCAAAACCCCATTTTCAAATATTAGCATTTCATAAAACACAATTGGAAATATTGAGTTAGTGTGTAGCTTGTGTTCTGAGAGCTAAGCGGAGTTCTATTATCCATTCTCAAGCAGAAGTTTCAAATCTCTTCTCCGAGAATAAAAAACGTACAAAGTATCATTTATGATTGCCAGTTCATCTTTAGTTTCATTTTTTTTTTTTACTGAGCCAAAAAATAAAAACAAATAAACAACAGGCAAATGATTTAAAAAATATCGAATGTAGCTACTTCAATATGTGAAAGATGAAACTCACATCTTGGTTTCATTCACTTTTAAAGGTCATCTGTCATGAGAACCAATCACTTTATGTAAGATTATAGATTATCTCCCATCCCTAATACACACACCACACACACACTGATAGTCTGTTGTGTGTCTATACAGTATAAATTAAGTATCAGGGCTGTATGCAGTGCCTGAACTGTATGGGCACCTGGAATGTCATTAGACTACTTTTTATGAGTTTTACTTTATTTTCTGTCTCTGCCTCTGTTAGTACGGAAGAGAAAGAGAAGGTTTCTTGCATAAAAGTTAAAAGAAAAAACCATACCAACTAACCAAACACAAACAAAAAATCCCCAGGGCTCCCTGTAGAACACAAATTTTTCATACAAGACAGATAAAGAAGAACCTGGCAAAAAGGATCTGTCAATTTGTTGTAAGAGCTGGCTGAGAAGTTTTTCTTGCTGGTGGCTAGTAATTCAGAGGAATTGCTAACAACTAGTGTTATCCCTTGCTGCTGCGAGGCCTTAGCTACTAAAGTCCTATTAGGACATAAGTGTTAAACCTTATTCTGTGCAGGGCATATTTCTATTAGACCATGTGCGAAAGTGTAAAGCATGGGTAGTTTGCATTTTTCTCTTCTGTACAAGCTGCAGAGGACAGGGGTGGGAGTGAGTATATAGCCCTGCATAGTCTGGAAATTCCAGGCTTCTTTTGTTAACAGATGGTGGAATGGACAGAAGAGCTAAAATTTGCTAGTTATTTTTTAACATACTAATTTAGTCAGTTCAAATTTAATATTGACTTGTGACAAGATATGTGGTGATCTCAGAAATGTGATTTAAGAAATTATCACCAAACAATTTAGCATTACCTCAGTATCGAATTACAAGCTTCAGAGTAAACCAAATCTCAATGATGAAACCATTAATGGTTTCCCTCTGTCCTCAAATATATATACTTACATTCTCAACAATTCACTGGCCATCGAGCTAGGGCTTTGTTTAATGCAAAATCTGGCCATGTGAGAAATACGGGCACTGAAGTGGAAAATATTTTTGCATTCTTCTGTGCCAGCGTTGCCCTTTTCTGTCAAGTTGCACACGCACGTGTCCACAATGGAAGCAATATTTACAAGCTGCAGTTTACATAATTCCAGGGAATGACTGTCTACTCTTCCACTGAAGAGAATTCCCTTGGCACCCCTGCTTGCCATTCAGTCCTGCTGGTTCGTTGGTTCTATTGTGTATCCTGCAGAGTGATACATTGCAGCATCTTTGCCTGTTGTAGCTGAAGTGGAGTCATCCATCATTGCAATCACAGGAACTGAGGACCTTATGGACTGGGAGTAAATTATGAAGCTATGAGGAAGGTGATCATTTTTGCAGAAACAGCTATTTTATGTTCCTGTTTTCTATACTATCCTTTCTTTCTTGTCTGGGATAATGAAAGAGTAAAAGCCTTAGGACCAGTTTTTTCCTTTGGATTCATGCTGAAGGAAGAAAATACAATCAATAAAAATGCACTTAATGAGCCTAAGATTGACTGGTCTTTTTCTGTTTATTTTGAATTTCAGGTGTAATTCTCTGTTGACCTGCTGTTAATGCTATGTAGCTGCGGATTTCCCAGATTTAAGTGTGTTATAAATGGATAAACTTCACCACGTGGGATGATTTAAAGTAACTGATTTGAGATCCAGGCTGGGCATGACAAAGGAAAAGTTGTCAATTACCTTTAGTGAATTTCAGTCATATAGAGTCAAACTAGATAACTCATTCTTTTCTTACCCTTTCATCTCTCCCCTTCTCCTGCAGTGAAAGCATCAATTAATGCCTGAAAATACAATCTGAATTCATAAGTTACTCCAAAATTTGTAATTTTTGCTTTATGTAATTTACGTAAGTCTTTATTGTATCCTAGTGAATTTAGAATCAGTTTAACATTCATAATATGGTAAAATATGGTTAGGTAATTTAAAGAAAAGTGACTTCCCAATACAATTTTAAAAATTAAAATGAAGATTAAATAATACAATTTATATAATGCCAATACATAACCAAGTGGACTGAATAGTTTTTCTTCCGTCAGTGATTCTACAGTTACACAGTTTGTTCTTGTAAAATCTATCAGTACTGATCTGCTTTGTCATTATTATACACTCAATGGCTATGTTCTAATAGATGAGTGTTACACTGTTACGAACACTTACTACTTCTTTCATACAATTTTTATATCTAAGAAGTGATTATTTGCTTTATTAGAGAAGGCTAAATAGCTTCACTTTGAAGACTGACTTTCTTTAACATAAATAATATGATGACTCTTCCATATAGTTACTTTGACATGGCTCTAATAGCAAAATTATGTCACGTATAAATCAACACCTAGTTAATGGAATCTAAATTAATATTTTAAATTCAGAAGGTACATTGTTTTTTACTGACAGTAAGATTTTAAGGCAACATTCTGATTAAATACTGCACACTGGAAAGAGACTAAACCTAGGTTACATCTGGTTGCTGTATATGAAAGATAAATATTTAATGCAAATGAAACTAGCATTTTTGAAACAAATATTTACCTTTTATTTAGATTGACTGCACACATACGTTTTTTGTAGCATAGCTAATGAATGTTTATACAAAGTGCCAACATACACAGTGGTAATAAACTATAATGAAAATAAATGTTGGAAAAGAAATTAAACTTTCTTTGTATGGGGAAAAGTGTTTTTTATATGAAGCATAGCAAAGCAAGCTAATCCTACCATGTTTAAATGCAAATTTTATTGAGATGAATCAAAGGCAATGAAAGGCAGGCATAGTAGTTTTATTCTATTTTAAACTACTTTATTGTCTACAGCTGCTGTTTTTGAAGGACGCCAGTCTCTTATGCTTCATTGGCAGCAGACTGTATCCAGTCAATCTTTTACTAAGGAACAGAAAGTTCACTACCCTGAAGAATCCTTCCATCACTTTGCTTTAACCACTTAGCAAAATAACAAAAGGGTAACTGTGTTAAAAAATTGTATTTCTATATTTTTAGTTAAAAGCTTAAAATTGGGGTGTTTAGAAATGTAGGACTTACAGGAGCACTAACTAAACAAAGATAGTT
The DNA here is from genome assembly GCF_000001405.40 of Homo sapiens. Lineage (NCBI taxonomy): Eukaryota > Metazoa > Chordata > Mammalia > Primates > Hominidae > Homo > Homo sapiens. Next base: position 77,801,375 of record NC_000003.12, read on the forward strand.
CTTGAAACTCTCTTACATGTTGCATTTGTCATTTTCAGTTGTGTGAAGGCGACACATCCAAGAGTAGTCTAGATGGAATACTTTTAAAAATTTCTAGAATGAGCCTAAATCAGACGCTAGATAGACCAAGATTCTAGGATTTCACATGTCCTTGCAATGAAATATTGAGACTCCTATTTCAAAGATAGATTTATAGGCGTGTATGTAACCTAGGTTCCTCAAATTTCACACGAATATCCAAAACCAGATTAAATTCATATGGCTTTCTATATGAGACAGAGAAAAGCTTTGGATGTCCCACCTTTGTATGTCTGCTTTTACTAAAAGCTAAGTCACATAATCCAAAGTTTGTGGCCTCTGATGCTTAGCAAGTGTCTTTACTGTTTTTCTGTAAGATAGTTTCCAGATCTACAGCATAATTTAAAAGCAATTTATGTAATTGACAGAGCGAGAGATTCACATGTCATATCTTAAACAGTCATCTGGCTGACACGCACCCTAACATGACTAAACTCTTCCAGTAGTGCATTAATTTGCTGCATGAAGAATTAATAAAATTCATTGTTGAACTAGTTGCAACTAGGGAGGAATGTTAGTTTAATCCTTGGCATATATACATTTCAAATACGTGGACTACAGAGTACTTCACCTTACTTAAATATAGTATAATTAAGTCACTGTTTTTGAGCCTTATCATTCACTTGGAAAATAATTTCCACATATAAACTAACATAGCTAATCAAAATTTATACAAATTTGAGAGAAAATACACATAATGTCCACATCAGAAGCAAACAAAAAAGTACTCAGCATTGTCTGACTCTACTATTTCCTCTTCAGAATTTGGAAGTTTCACTCGGTATGTTTCTATGCTCAGTATCTTTATATCAAAGCACAACTGTTCTGATATAAATGACAGGACCATGCATTGCTCTTCTTCCATCAACTCACTTGAAATTTTCTCACAAAATAGCCTTTAACTGTTACAAAACTTGATTTTTATGTTCCCAAGAGGAATCCCATTTTCTATTTGACGAACATTGGGATTATTGTTTCATAGGAAGGCAATCATTGTGGTGCCTTTCGCACCTGTGACTGATTTTCTCCATTTACATGTTCCTACATATTGTTAATCCTTCCCTTGTGTACTGAAAAGGCATCTGGCATTAGTCAGTAGTGAAGTAAAGATCTTCTGTTTGCTTCAAAGATATGTTTAAGGCCCCATATCTCTGATGTAGAAAATGCATGGTTATTCATTTTTAAAGCCAGTTGTGTAATTTAAGATTGTTTTCTAAAATCGAAACATTAAAATGCAGAAAACCAAAGCTTGAAAAGGGAAATTAACTTTTAGATAGCTGTATAATAGCAAAGGATTTCCACTTTCTGCAAGTTGAAATGATGCTTAATAAAACATAATTTTTGCAAGAATTGGTGTATTTTATCAGATATATACTCTATCCAGCTTGTTTTTGTATTTTATATAATCACCAAAAATATAATTACAAAACCCTTGTCAGAATGGGATTTTTACTGGGATCCTGGACAACAATGACATAAAAATACAATGTCAGAAGTGTAGGAATATCTCTAGGACATCTACAAATGATAAGGAAATTTCCAAATACCCTGTGTCCAGAGGTATGCCCAGAAAAGTCCTCCTTTTGATCTAAGTAACTGACAGTCTTTAGAATCCCAGGTTAAACTTCCCCCTGAATATTTCTTGGACTTTTCATGTAGTCTACTACCTCTAGTACTTTTTATCTGCTTCAACCCTAGTGAAATATTGAATAAACTTGTCTCAAGAATCAGACAAATGATCACCCAGCACTGCCTTAGTTTTAATTTCTGTGCAGTGATTTTTGCAACTTATGGAATTGGAACCAATGTCAAGACTTGGTCAACTGTGGTCATTTATTTACACCAGACAGGGCTAGAAGGCACAGTGAGAACAGCCAATGGATACCCTGAATTTAAAAGCTCAACTAAGAAAATCAGATCTGCAGCCATGAAGAAATCAAGAGTCTTGTTATGATTCAAGATATGGATGGAGTGTCCACAAAATTTAAGCTCTATGAGGGCGGTTCTATGAGTTCATAGAATTTAAGTTCTATGAGAGCAGGTATTTTTGTCTGCTTTATTCACTGCCGTAATTACAGTAGAACATAGTTGGTGCCCGATAGACATTTGTTCAATGAATGGGTGAATCAATATTATATACAACATGAGAACAAAAAACAGAGCAGATAGTAAAACAGAAGATGATAGCCAAGAAGAAAGATCAGGAACTAGAAGTCAAACTAGTTGGTAAAATATAAATCAAGCAAGCAGTCACACAGACAAGAATAAGAAAACCCCAAAATATGAGAGCAAGACAGTCAATGAAGTACTTGAGCATAATAAAGATGACCTTTTTGGGAGTACTTGCTATGTGTAGGTATTGCTCTAAGTATTTTACACATGCTACTTCTTTTTGCCCCTCACATTATCCTACTATCATCATGTTACAGAGAGGAATGTAAGTCACGAGAAGACTCCATCTTGTTTAAGGTCTCTATTTTAGAAAGTGGTAAAAATTGCATTTGAGTCAGAGCTTCTGCCCCTGCTATACTGCCTCCCTTTGGACTCCCTGAATATAATGAATATTAAATGGAGGCTGGCATAGGAAGCAGAGAAATGGATGCACAACAGTAGGAAAAGAACTTGATTTCTAGCCAAACATTGAGGCCAGCCAGGAAAATTAATAAATCGGATTACTGTTTGGGCAGACACGAAACCTAAGGCTTAATAGACCCAGGAATTCTTATTGGAACAACACATTGGAAGCACATGGTAAGATATGGACAGATTATGATAGCAGGTTGTTTTTGTCTTTTATGTCATACTTCAACCACTTTAATTTTCTTAGTCCAGTAAATTCCATTTTGTGACCATGAAACAATTTGTGGATTACCAAAAATCAGTATTTACATTTTAGTTCCTGATCTGTTGGTTGATTAAATATATAAGATAAAACACTCCTAAAAAGAGAGTAATTGTTTTTCTATTCACTTGCATTTTGTACTTTCTAGGAGAATGTGTATAATTTGAAAAAGTAAAACAAACAAACAAAAAACCCATACATTTAAGACATATTATTTACTTGATTAATTGGTCCACTGTTGTGAATTTGGATTGTTGAACCATTGGATGAAATCAGATGGCCACAGAAATGTAATATAAAGAGTTGACTTTAAGCTGTATTAGGATAACTACCACTCATTAAGTTGTCATTTGTTATCTGCTTGTATATTAATTAGCGCAGGTTTTCTCAACCTTGGCACAGTTGATATTCTGGGTAAGGTAATTCTTTGCTGTGGGGGACTGCATTTTAGGATGTTTAGCAGCATCCTGGTTTCTACTCACTAGATGCCAGTAGCAAGCCCTTATAATTATGAGTGAGGTGCTTAGGGCACAGAATTTAATGTTGTCTCGGATTGTACCTTACCTCACTGTGGTCCCATATGTGACAAAAAATGTCAAATGTTCCTTTAAGGGAAAGAAAAATTCTACTCACTGAACCACTAAGTTAGAGGAATACTAATAGTCTTATCAACTACATTACAAAATGTGTAAATGGGATCTATAATATAAAAGCTTATTTCTCATTCATATAATAGTCCAAATATGTATCACTTGCCATGAGAGACTTTTTCAACGTGAACATTCAGAGACCCCGGTTATTTGCACATTGTGCCTCCAATATATATTCTGAGCCTCTTATTTTCTGCTGGTAGAGGGGGAAAGAGATAAATGAAAGACATGATGTTCTGCTGGTCATTGAAAGGGCAAACACATGACTTGAAAGCTGTATCTCAGATGTATCAGACTTTGACTCAAAGTCATTGGCTACAACACAGTCACATGGCTATTCCAAGGAGATCTGCAAAATGTAGTCTAGCTGTGAGCCCAGTATAAAGAAGAAACACATATTTTAATGAACAGTGTGTTCATACACCCTAGAGAGCATAGAAGCAATGTTTGTGTGAATAAAGAGAGACAGAAGGGGAGCGGGAAGAAATATGCCTCCTAAAACTGGAAATGATTCAAAAGCACATTGATAGACAAATGAATAAATAAGTTGGAATGCATTCACCCAATGGAATATATGCAGCCGTAAAAAAAATGACCTATAGCTAAACATGACATCAGGGATGAACCTTTGGAAGCATCAAGACAAACTAGCAAGTCCTGGAAGATCACACTATTATATCTAACTATAAAATTTAAAAACAATCCCAAAATTCTTCAATATACTCTTTAGGCACATGATAAAACTAGAGCAAGAAATTGGTAAACACAGAATGCAGAATAGCAGTTATCTTTTAAAAAAGACACAAGGTGGGGTGGGATAGGACAATGGCACAATGGGAGATGCAAGTTATTGGAAATGGTCTTGTTTGAAGGCTGAGTGATGGGCTTAATGTTATGCTTCATATTATTTTCTTAGTAACTTAAGTGTATTATTGTTTATGCATAAATAATGCATTACAATAGAAAATATTAATACCAAAAGATCAAAACAGAACACATTAGTATTTATTTAGTATGGAGCATCATATATTTTCTGAGAATTTGCCAATGGCAAATTTAACCCAATTGTTAAAGCATTAGAACTTGTACTGCTAGTTATTGTTAAAACCTTCTTAAGACAGGACAAAGCAGTTAATTTCCAGTATGAATTTCTGGTATTATATTTCAGTTTAGCTTTAATCACTGTTATTTTGTGATTTATTTTGATTATGGCGCATTAGTTTTAATATTAAGATTTGTTATCACACTGTTTTGAATAACATGGAGGAAATTGTTTTTCACTCTGTTATGTGCTTGAAAACGTGATTTTATTATTTCAGAGAAGAGTTTTTACCTCGAATATTTTAAAATTTTAATGCTGTCTAAGGCAAGAGAAAAATACAGAAGTATGCTTTATGTTAAACTCTACTAGTATAATATACTTAACTTGATGAGGAACATAAAAAGAAAAAAAACTTTATTGAGTATGCTGTTGAAAATAGCCGATCTATGCACTGAAGAGTTAATTCATATTGGAATGAAAAACCAAGAAATAATCTTTTGGAACGCAAATATAGAGAAATTGCATCAATTTACCAAGATCAATGTTGTTTGTCTGTGGGCCAATTAGTTGACAAACCCTTATTATATTCAAATACCTTCAATTTAGTTACCAAATTAGAATGTGGGCTTGGATGCTGTCTAAGCTGAGGACTTCCTTTCACCTTCTCAGATCCCAGTTTGATGTATTCTTTCATTTTCAATTTGGAATCTATTGCTGATCATAAGTACTGATCACATTCTAGGGCCTCGTGGAAAGAAAAAAAAAGGTGCAAGAAATTCACTTAATCCTTCTTTTTCCTTTTCTCCTCTAATATCATAGGATACAGAATCAGAGAAATGTCTCATAATTTAATTAGCAATTTTATAAGACTGTATTAATGACGTAATATATGAGAGTATTTTAAAAGAGATTTCACATGAAGTAAAAAATACCCACTACATACCCATAAAAATTTAAAACACAGACTTCTATTCCCAGTAACATTTAGTTATCATTTAGGTTTGAGCATTCAAAGACATGCATATTGTTCAAGCATCCTTTTTTTTTTGGTAAAAGTACACACAAAATCTCAAGCAAATAAATTTGCATAGGGATGGTCATGATATTTTGACAAGTTTAGGATGGATAAATATAAAACTGATGCAGAAACTGTGATGCCTGACAGACGTTGGTGTTTGCTTCATTATTGTCATGGAAATTGTGTATAAAAATAAATTTGACAAGCTTTGTTATGTTTGGTGCAATTGAAAAAGTTGTTTGTGTAATTCCTTTGATGATTAACTGACTAGAGTTTTAATGATGCCATTGAAGAGAAAAACAATGAAGCATCATTCCTAGCAACTGGTACCCAGTAGCATAGAAAATGATCCACATTTGGCAAATTTACCTTGAATACAGCTATTGGATGAACATAAAATTTGAAGAGTTGGAAGAAAAATGAGATATGGAGTCTAGCATTTATAATGAATTATCAAATGTGAGTAATTGCACTCAGTTTAACCAAAACACTTAGATTTTTGAAGCTGACTCATCATTTTAATAATTTCCTTTTAAAAGCTGTTTTACGCCTAAAAAAATCCATATAACATCAAAGTGCTTTGAGACACAATCTCTGCTATTTCTTTCGTTAGATACGGAAAAAGTGAAATTTCAAGTAAAATATTCCCTGAAAAAAAAAATCTATTTTTGCATGATATAGTGATTACCACACTATTTATTCTGACTGTCTGAGTTTATGATCTGGCTCTACCTAGTAGCAATTGTGTATTCATAAAGCAGTTTTTGGAGAAAAATTTGGTTCACAGAAGCAACATTTGCCAAAGAGAAAGAGCATGAGATTATAAGCAGGATGGAGGTTAGACAGAAAAGGAAAAATCTTGATTTCACCCTTGCTAATATGCTAGTTGTTCAGGGCTATGACCCGGAGCCCATGACCTGTGAACTTAAACTCAACTGGCATAATTCTCCCTATCAGGGATAACCATGGTATCTGATTTTATCACTTCTACAGGGGAACAATATTACCAATACACACTATTGCTCTCTCTCAAAGAATAGATGGCATTCATAAAACAATTGCCTTTTCCTAGATTTATAAGAAAAGAGAGTACAATAAGGCACTTGTTTGATGTGACTCTCCTTTTTGATTTGCGTCTTCTAAACTTAATTTTGATTTCCCCTCTATGCCTAGTGTTTATTGGAACAACTATGTTCCATTAGGTAGAAAGAAAGATTTTTATATACTGGGATTTACAAACCCTTATATCTTGTTTTATTTATTTTTATTTGTTTAATTAATTAATTTAATTAACCAGAAACACTAAGAGATAGATAACAGCTGGGCATTAAAAAATAAAGTAATACATAAAAATTTCAACTGCACTGGGTGAATTTAAGACTTGGGCAATAGTAAACCAAGCTGTGAGGCATTTTGAATTTTCAGGATCACATTACGCAGTTGTGTCAGGAGACTATTTACTGGTGAGCAGAGACACCAAAAATGTAGGCCTTTTTAGCCTTCTAAAATTTGTGTTTATCATTCTATAGAATTTCAAAATTTTTACTGCATGTGTTTCTATTCTTAAATGTTTTGTTCAGTTTTGCATGTTTTTGAATGCATATAAATGAAATCATACTATAAATATTCTTCAAATACAGGCTTTTTAAATTAATTGTCTCTAAGATTTGACCATATTGTTCCATTTAGCCATTATTCACTGGTTCTCCTTCTAACTCGTATTCAATTTTCTGGATATAACACAATTTATTTATCATTCTTTGTTTATAGATATTTGAATGTGTTCATTTTTTCTTAATGCAAACAGTGTTACTTAAACATTGTCATAGTTTTCTCCTGGTTATATACAGGTAGCTGTTTCTAGTTATATACAGTTACTATGGTCTAATATTTGACCCCAACGCAAAACAAGAAATTCGTTTTACTTGGCAGTCAAATAAACCAAAATTTTCACAAACATCACAAGTAATCCTCATTCAATGCAGTCTCATATTTTTATTCTATTGTATTATATTTATACTCTATACCACGTTATTTTAGGTCGCTAACTTTCTGGTCACTCTCCAAAGGCCACAACCACAAAGCCAAGAGCGTAAAAGTTCTAGTATATTTAACCTGACAAATGAATTCAGTTGAAGGCTGGTTGACTTTTACACCCATCTATTTGAGAGTCCTCTTTTACTGAACATTACTGGACACTAGATTTCCTGCCAGATGGGCATCTTGTAAGTATGCTGCATATATACAAATGTATAGACACATTTTTACACATACACACACAGGATTACTTGTCAATTTCAGCAGGAGTGTAGTATCTAGTCTGCAGTGTGGCTAGAAATGGAAGTCCTCACTTTTTGGAATCTTAGGCAGTGAGACACACATTGGAATTTTGTATTTCCGGAAGTACTAGATGACCTTGTTTTGGAAAAATTTCCCATTAAAAACAAACAGAAAATAGACAAAATATAAAAACATAAAATTGTAGCTATTGGTAGAGATTAGAGATTTACCAAGGCAGCAAGAAATTAGAACACAATCCCACAGAGTAGCAAAGTCCAAGTTCTCAAGGAGAAACTATCTGTAGACATTTGCTACTACTTCCCCTGCCCCTAGTCATTTGCTTACTTAAAAGCAGCAGCTGAAAGGCTGAGAGCAATTCAAATGTAAACATAGGGGTAAATGGAAATGTTTATTGGATGTATAAGGCAATGATAAAAGAAGCATTTTGGCAATACACACATCACATAGTAATAATAGCACAAAAGATGGGAGGAAAAAATGAAATCAAAGTAATACAGTCCTTATGTTTTCTCAGAAGTGGTAATAGCATTAATAATATTAGATTTTAACAGGGCAAAAAACACATTGAAATCATGGGGACAATCCCAAATGGAGATTTAAAGAATATATAGCTTACACGCTAAGTAGGAGAATGGGATTAAGCAATAAAGGGCAGCTACCAAAAAACTACATCAATTATTACAGTTACTGGGAAAATAATAAATTTTTTTTTCCCTGAGAGCTTGGAAATGAATGAGAATATCTTCTATTACTATTTATTTTCCACATCATATTCAACACTATATTAGAAGTTCTAGCCAGTGCAATAAAGAAACAAAAGGTATAAAAATGAAAAGGAAGTAGAGAGCTCATTATCTGTAAGTGACACAACTGTGTAGGTAAAATATGTAAATGAATCTACATATGAACTTAAAATTAATAAGTATATTTAGCAAGGTCAGCGAACTCAAGATCAATATTAATTATACTTCTATATGCCAGCAATAAATAACTAAAATTATGTTTAAAATTTATACCACTTATAAAAGCATAAAAGTTATACATAATACAAGAAACTTAATGAATATCCACCAAAATGACTAAAATTTAAAATACTGGCCAGGCATGGTGGCACACACCTGCAGTCCCAACTACTTGGGAGCCTGAAGTAGGACTGTCACTTCAGCCTGGGAGGTCGAGGCTGCAGTGAACCATGATCGCACCACTGCACTCCAGCCTGGGTGACAGAGCAAGACCTTGTCTCTAAAAAAATAATAAAATAAAATAGGCTGGGAGGGGTGGCTCACGCTTGTAATCCTAGCACTTTGGGAGGCTGAGGCAGGCAGATCACCTGAGGTCAGGAGTTCGAGACCAGCCTAGCCAACCCCGTCTCTACTAAAAATACAAAAATCAGCCAGGCATGGTGGTGCTTGCCTGTAATCCCAGCTACTTGGGAGGCTGAGGCAGGAGAATTGCTTGAACCAGGAGGCGGAGATTGCAGTGAGCGGAGATCGTGCCACTGCACTCCAGCCTGGGTGACAGAGCAAGACTCCGTCTAAAAGAAAAAAAGTAACTAAAATAAAATAAAATAAAATAAAATAAAATAAATACTAACAATTGTAAGTGTTAGAGAGAATGTGGAGCAATCAGAAGTCTTTTAGCCTGTAGCAAACCCACTGTTAGTATACAGGCAAAAGAGAAGCTTATAGTTGCTTGCCAAGGGTTTGCAGCAGCATTATTTGTAATATCCCCAAATTGAAAATAGCCTAAATATCCATCAATAGTAGATGACTGATAATAAACAAATTGTGGCATATTCTAAAATACAACACCAAATAGCAATGAAAATTAACTTACTAGGGCTACCTATGACAATATGTGTGAATCTCACAAAATGTTATTAAAATAACGAGTCCTAACACAGATATAAATTTTTTGATTCCATTTTATAAAAGTTAGCAAAACTTATCTATGTAGATAGGAGTCAAGATAACTGTTAACATGGAGGAGGAAGGCTAGAGATAATAACTGAGTGAGGACATCAGAGTGACTTCTAAGGTCCTAGTAATATTCTATTTCTTAATCTAGGTGGATATGGGAAAGGCTAGAAATGAATTTTTATTAATAATCCTTATTTTTCACCCCTCTCTCTAACTGAGCCCTTTGTCATATGACTTTAGAGTTTCTCTGATAAAGGCAGAATGTAGCTCCTTATATGATGTGTTTTGGTTAACAGAACGAGGCAGAAATTAAGGTATGTCTGTTCAAAGCCTAGGCTTCAAAGGCCCTCATACACTTTTTAAAAATATTTCATTTTAAATTTTTGTGGGTATATAATAGATGTTTAAATATCTCATGAGGTACGTGAGATACATTGATAGAGGCAGGCAATGTATAATAATCACATCATGGGAAACGGGGTATCCATTTCCTTAAGCATTTATCCTTTGTGTTAGAGAAATCTGCAATGCTTCACGAATTTGTGTGTCATCCTTGCGCAGAGGCTATGCTAATCTCCATATCATTTCAATTTTAGTGTATGTGCTGCTGAAGTCAGCACCCTCATGCATTTCTATTTGCTTTTTAGCATTTCTCCAATCACTATGAGTAGAACATGTCTGTGTTAGCCTCCCAAAAGGAAGATGGATGGGCTGTAGAGGAGAGACGTACCAGATGTCTTACTTTGTGTTGTTATAACAAAATACTTTAGGTAATTTATAGAGAACAGAAATGTACTTTTAGTGGAGGCTGGAACCCATGATCAAGGCACCAGCAGGTTCAGCTCTAGTAAGGGCCTAATCTCTGCTTCCAAGTTTGTGCCTTGTTCCTGCATCCTCTGAAGAAGAGGAATGCTGTATCCTCGGCAAGTAAAAGAGGTAGAAGGCATGGAAGGGCAAAAGAGAGAGGGGCAAACTCCCTCCATTGAGTCCTTTCATAATGACATTAATCCATTCATGAGGACAGAACTCTCATGACCTAAATACCTCCCCAAAGACCCATCCTCCCAACATTTGCATTGGGGATTATGTTTCCAACACACGAAGTTTAGGGAATACATTCAGACCATAATACCAGGTAAGCTGCCCCAGCCAAATGCAGCCTAAAGTGAGTCCCTGTTGGTATTTGCAAATGCACAAGCAGCTAACTGCAAACACAGGAGTAATGCCAGACATGTGGGCTCTGCTGTTGGTTGGATTTGGCAGGTTTCATTTACATGGGAAAGTTCTGTTTCATGTGTTTTTCATTCTCTTCCACAGACTAATAGGCTAGACTAGGTGTGTCTTTCTCATGATGATGGCATCAGCTCATGTAGAACTGCATTTTACACAAAGTCTCTTAGATTCTTGACTTGGAACTAGCTCTCTGTAAGTTCCATTTTATTCCATTGGTCAAAGCAAGTTAGTTAGATGACCAAACCCCAAATCAGGGGACAGAGAAGTGTCCTCTTTTGTGGAAGAAAATGCAAAGTCTCAAGGCAATAGCTTTAATCAGAGTGATTGTGAAGTATTGGAGCCATTAACACAATCTATGACTCCTAGAAAGATGTCACACAGTTAAGTAATTACAGCATAATTCATTCATTAAACTTGTATTAAGTATTATGAAGAAGAAATACTGCATGGTAAGCTCTACATGGAAAACAACAGAGAAAACAAATATATTGTTAAGCATTTCTATTTCAAGATTACAATCCTGGATAATTATAATATTGACTATCACATTTCCATAGTAGGAGCTATTTAATAATGCACATGATATCTAGTCTGCATTTTGTTAAATGCATAAAATTGACATTAAGCAACAAAACTAATATCCTGGTTACGTAAAAATCTCTGATTATTTTTCTATTTAATTTTGAGAGCTAAGCAAGCCAGGCTATTTCCTTCTATCTCCAATGATTTCGCACAAAACTTTTACACCATTTGGGATTACATACTATGTGGTTTTATATCTTTAGGTTTGAGAAACATATATATTGCTTAGAGATTATGAGAGAGTGAGGCAGGGAATTACTAGGGAAAAAAATTGTCCTCAATGTGTTACCTTTGCAGAGAAAGAAAAATGCACCACCATTTATACTTTCTTGGGTATCTTGTTCAGGACCCTTCTCATTATTCTACCGTCCACTCCCTGACTCACTACTCTGCAGGAGGAGGAAGGAGTATCTAATTTGTCCACATAATCAGTTGGTGTTTCAAAGCTCTCTTTTCTCCCTTGACTGCCTTCATGCAGAGTAAATTCTTCTCTTTTTCCTCTTCCATGTAATAAATATTTTCCTCTTCCAAAATAAAATAATTTCCTCTTCCAATGTAATAAATATTTTGGGATCTATCCTCTCTTACAACAGGGTGGAAAAATGAGGAAGAAACTGCTGTTTTGAAATTTTATCTGCATCTAGGTAGGCAAACTCAAATAAGAGTGGGATAAGCAAAATATCCCTGCTGTATTTTCCAATCTAGTTTTACCAATAATGTATACTTAGATTCTGATTTGGCTTCTTCTGTCAGCTGTTAGTTGATTGGATTTAAGATGGCTGCAAATTCTATGACATTCCTTCCGTTGAGAATGGGGTCTATATCCCCTGCTCTATAAATTCAGTGAGGAAGTGATGCTATTTAACTTCCAAGGCTGGGACACAAAATTTCCATGCAGCTTTTACCTTGTTCTCCTAGAACAATCACTTTCTAGGTGCTGCCTCTTGGGTATCTCAGAATCCAGCTGCCATGCTAAGAGAAACCTAAACTACCTAGGGAGGCCCTGTGTGGGTATCCGGCTTGCAGTCCCAGCTGAGGCAGATTAAGTCAGGCACCAGACAAGGAAGTGAAAGAGGCTCCAAAATTATAGACCAGAGACCAGCTATTTTTGTTGGACACTGTCTGAATTCCTGATCCACAGGAGCAATTAACATAATCAAATAGTGGGTTTTTTTTTCAGGCCACCAAATTAGGGCACATTTGTTATATAGCGATAATGACTGGTACATTCGAGAAAAGAGCGTGGATGAGGGACAACCATGCATCCATGCAACAGATGAATCATACAAAAGAAAAGGACAATTCTTGGGAAAGAGAACTCTGAGAAATGTAAATCTGTTTCAGGAGTTCTTCAAGCCTCATCAGGATCTAACTGGCCAGAATTGGTTGCTTCCAATTAAGCCCCTAATATTCAAAGCCAACTATTAGCACAAGTCTGAAATGGCTTTAGGAATGTGATTTTAGAATGACTGAGGCCAGATTGTAATCACTGGAAACACAAGTATCACCCACCTGGTCAGCTCCATGCCAGCACCCTGGAATGATGGGAATATATATGTACGCGACCTTAATTACAGCAAATTTAAAAATACTTGTGTGTGCCTGTGTGTGTGTGTGGGTGGGTGGGTGTACTACCTTAGAGAAAAAGACAAATGACAAGAAAACAAATTTATATCAGAGTTTGAGTTTAGTCATAATACACTCATCTTCAGATATTCTTTAGATACACACACATACACATACACACACATACACATACACATACACACACACATACATATCTCCTGGATTTACAGCAAACCTTCATCACCTCTTCTCTTGTCTTCATTTTTATCTATATTTCTAACTATGAAATTACTATTTATTTGAATTGAAGATCCTAAGATAATTGAATATTTATTTTCTCTACCACATGTCAAGTATGTTAAGAATTTAAAATTTCAATAATAAGGATGAGACAAACAAATAAAAACCTTTAAAATAATTTAATAGCTGAGGTCATCAAAACTGTACTATTCCCAGAATTTAATGATCCAAGTTTTTTTGTCCCTCTTTCAATACTGCAGAATGGTTACAAAATTTATTTTGGAATTTTAGTATAAAACTTATACTATTTTAGTGCCTAATTCACATCCTTGGGAGAAAAAAATTAGCTTACCTTTGTACTGGTTATTTAGACTCAGTTTCAAATTACAGGTACTCACAGGCACTAGCTTAAGCAATATGGAATATTTATTACAATGATGCTAGAATATCTCATAGAATTGAAGGGTAGGCATAAATTTAGTTCTCTGGAATTGCCTGGAGACAGGAACTAGGAGGTTTTATGCCTCTCTTTGTGTCTGTTTCAATTTTCTCATTCTCAAGGATCAGCTGATTCCAATTTTCCTGACCACATAGCAAAACAACAACAACAACAACAAAACATGGCTGCTGATGAATCCCGAGTTGACATGTTGCTCCCTGGAGCAGACTTTTGTTTTTTCAGTCTCAACTTCAAATTCCTAGGGATTGAACCATGAATAGCTTAGGCTAAGTCACTGTCTTTGGGGAGTGGACTCTGATGGCCCTTCCCTGTCAGGCCTGGTGAGGGGACAGGGTTGTGTTGTACAAAACAGCTTCCCAGACAGACTATTGCCCTCCTGTGGTGAAATGGGGAAAGCAGCTCCCCAAAAAGGGTGGTATGAAAAGTGAGTTGAAATCGGTCACCTTAACATTAGAGTCAGTGCAGGTGCAGCAGGTTCTGCAGTAGTAGCTGGACATCAAATAGGTAGAACTATTTCCACAGAGCCCAGGCAATACCTGTTTTAGCAGAAGTGACTAGTAGAGATACTTCTGATTCAGCACATCCAGACCAATAGAGTTGGGGTTGTATGAGGTCCTGTAAGAAATGGACATTTCAGGCCCCAAGTGGCTTCTAAGGCCTGCTCTTGTATTTCCTTATTTACCAATATATTGTTAAAATATGTTCCCATCACCTGAGAAAACTGAATGTGATTCTGTGCTATGCAACTTAAACGAACCTATTTCATACACTTCTCAGGATGCAAACAATTGACACTGTTAGTGAGACTGAAAGGATGCTCAGATTAACAGTTAATAATTTTGAAAAGTGTTTTTTTGAAAAGTGTTAGTTTTATTGGTATTAAAATGAAAAATACTAGTGATAATAAGTGACAACAGTGCTAACTACTTTATATTGAGTGCTTACTGTGTTCCACTGAAAATACTTCACAGGCATTGTCTTAACCTAAACACCACATTGGTCCTATGAGGTTGTTTTAATGTTATCATTCTCGTTTTACAAATGAGGAATCTGAGGCTCAGAAAAGTTAAGTTTTCTGAGGTCCCATAGCCGGGAAATAATGAAGCCAAAAATATGACACAGAACCTCAGCTCTTAACCACTTTGCTGAACTGCTTCCGCGGGACTTTTAAAACATATAGAGTATTGAGAACGGATCGCGATTTCATTTTGAGAAACCAAGTAAAGTGCAATCTAAAGACACATACATAGAGGACTCCCAGTAGCAAATATGTGGTTTACCTTTCCACATATTTTCTGAAATATTTGCCCTTGGATACTAATCCTAAAGTATTTCAACATCTGGTTCAAATTACACATTTTGCTTTATCTATAAAACTGCAAAACGTTGTATCATTAGCACCAAGCAAACATGTGTTCCTCATTATGTTTTATTCTATTCATATTGAAATAATTATTAAATGACATCAGTTTCTCTATTTTCCTTATTTACTTGTACTATTTTAGTAGCAAATAAAGTGTTTTATTGTTAGTATAAAAAGCCATATTGAAATTTTTGGAAATTTTATTATTTTATCTTGTTTTTGCAAGTCATCAGTTGTGATAAAGTTTAAAAAAGTTATAACCCAGTTTATTAAAAATAACTCCCACTCTAATAAACCTACACTTCCAAATGTCACCAGTTATTGTTTAAGAGAAATTGAAAAGCCTTTTAAAAATGGCTTGTCTCTATTCAACATCCTAGGATTCTTAACACTGTGGACCACCTCCTTTTTCTAAACTACCACGAGTTTTAAGAGTGGGAATAGAAATGTGAAATGGGAAGACGAAAATACTATTTGGAACATTGATGTGAAGGAGAACAGTGATGCAGCTGTAGAAGGTTGCAGGTATGTAAAGATTAAATAAAAATTGTTATGTGTCTTCATTTGTTTTCTGAGCTCATAGAAATGTAGAGATGTTTATTTTGGACAGGAAAGACATAGAGTGGGAAATTTGGAGTCCCAGATAAGGTAGTGGATGACCTGTGAAGCAAAATCCATGATAATGAAAGAGATGGCAAAAGATGCCTCCCCATTGTTCCCTGTGAAAGGCTGAATATAAGATTTGGGAAAAATGTGACACATCCCTGAAAATGAAAGAGGGTAGAAGATAAAGATCAATACAAATCCAGATAGATGTACAGATTGAGACTGGGAGAAAGGGAGAAGTGAAGACCTCCCTTCTGATTTACCACTGATAGGACAACTACTATCCTCCTTCTGTCCCTTTATGGCCTTTTTCTTGTTCTTGTTTTTCTTCTCCTTTAATTGTTCTTTTAAACAAGCCTAAAATATTTGGTATTGAAGCACAGTTCATTTCTGAGAACACAAAGTTATAATTGGATTTTGGATTTCCATGAGGCAAAAAAAAATAATTTTTTATTATTTTTGAGATATCAAGAGAGAAAATGTTATAATGAATCAAAGACTAGGCTGAAGAAATCTTTGGCAGAAAGAAATCGAAAGCATGTATTTTCTTGGATATATAATATTTTCTTCAATTATATAAAAGTCAAAAAATAAATTAAAAAGACAGAACCCAATACCTATTGGCTGCATTTGGCCATAGCCGGGTTTATACTATATGGCCTAACTCCCTTCACCTGGGAATCTGACACCTGCACTCTGATTGAAATGATTATCTGTAGCATCCTCATTCTTTATTTTTGGAGGTGATTATGAATATTCATTTTTTTAGTAAAAACTTGCAACTGTCATTTGTTTTAATAATTGAGCAATTATTTCAATCATTTGTTAGAACTTTGCTGTTTTGAGGGTTGATTCTGAAAATAAAATGACCTGGAATGTTTTCATTTTAGTTTGGATAGGAAAAAACAAAGTGAATACCATGGTACATATGTTCACTGAAATTTTAAATTACTTAATTTTCATCCCATGTGTCCTGAGGAGAGTAAAAGTACCAATGAAAAACAATTGTAAGACATTTTACACACCATTAAAAAATAAATAAATTACTTTAGGGCCCATGTAATACTCTTTTGGAATTCAGTTTTATCTGAATAAGTTTCAGACCAAGTCTCTTTAGTTAACTTCATTATCTTTAATCCTGCATTAAAGATAATTACACTGATATTTTTTACATTTGTGGTCTTTGTTATCCACTCTTTGTGAATGCTATTTTTAACTTTTGCTACTTCTACACCCTCAAAGTCCAGAAAGAGCATAACTTTGCATGAAGGCAAACAAACTTTACGCATCTTCTGGGACCCCTCTCCCAGAAGGGTGATTTAGTAAATTCATCCCTTGCACCAAATGTTAAACCGCTATTTAGGCAACTGTTAGCAGAAAAATGAAATGTATTTTATTATTCCATATAATGCTAGATTTTAACAAACTATATTATGTTTGTAAAACTATCTAAAGGCAGCTAATGTATGTATAAAATGTGTTCAATATTACCTAGGGCTACTAAATGATATCATGATTCATCAAATTATTTGGTTATTTTTGCTATTGGAAACTCTTTAAATATGTATTCACACAATTTTTTCAAAGATTTTTCAGGATTAAATAATCACTTCAAATTAGAATGAGATGTTTTGAGAGTACTATAAATTGAGTCAATATTCATTTCAACCACTTTCTAATACAATTTTCTTTAAAAAAATCTGGTAAACTAAAAAGAAATGAACAAATTATTAATAGATACATAGATGAGCACATACATACATACATAGATAATTACCATTTTCAGATTCCTTTGCAGACGGACTCCCACACAGCTGTGGTTCCTCTAAGTAGTTATAACTACATCAAATCAGAGGAAGGAAGCAAGCAATGAATGAGAGGAAGCAACTATATCGAGGGATGTTGGCTTCTTATAAAGCATGTAGCACAGGTTCAGTGGGTTTGATGCCTTGTATTCTGGTCTAGTGGAAGTCCTAGCATGTAACTCTTAAAATCCTTAGTGCCTAGCACAATAAAAAATAGTGTTGGGGCTTTCACTTGAAGGTAATTAAATATGATTGAGCTTTTTCTTAGCTTCTGTTGTTACTGTCCTTGGAGATTCTTTCAGCTCTCTAAGACTCTAATAAATCTCTTTCTATTTAAGCAAATCACACAGATTAATAACGGACACTGATTTAGGTTAAAAACTACACTTGTAAAAATAGAGTATCCCAATTTGGTACCTAGTGATACGGGGGTGAAGCAGAGGAAGGCCAGCTCCTAGAAGGAAAGGAAGAATTAAGTAGGTGGGGAGAGAGAAAGAGAGAGAACCTGAAAGAAAGACTGGGGGCAAGCTGTGGGGAATGAATGTAATAGCAACAGTCCCAGAAATGTCAATGAATCTTTCCAAATACTTAACATTAATGGTGCTGTTCGTAAAAGTAGGCTGCCTTGAAATGCAATTTATCCCATGCTATTAGATCTTACTGTAGCAGCCACAGATACCAGCCAGATCACTTCTTTTGTCCATTACCACCTATGAAGATTAATATTGAGTGTCAATTTGATTGGATTGAAGGATGTGAAGTATTGTTCCTGGGTGTGTCTGTGAGGGTGTTGCTAGAGGAGATTAACATTTTAGTCAGTGGACTGGGGCAGGCAAACACACCCTCAATCTGGGTTGGCACCACCTAATCAGTTGCCAGTGTGGCCAGAATAAAAGCAGACAGAAGAAACTGGAGAGACTAGACTGGCTTAGTTTCTCAGCCTCCATCTTTCTCCCTGTTGGATGCTTCCTGCCCTTGAACATAGGACTCCAAGTTAGTCAGCTTTGGGACTCTTGGACTCTCAACCACAGACTGAAGGCTGCACTGTGGGCTTCCGTACTTTCGAGGTTTTGGGACTCAGATGGGCTTCCTTTCTCCTCAACTTGCAGATGGCCTATTGTGAGACCTCACCTTGTGATTGCATGAGTCAAAACTCCTTAATAAACTCCTCTATCCTATTAGTTCTGTCCCACTAGACAACCCTGACTAATACACCACCTGTTGTGTCAAATGTGTAGGCTACTTACCCAGCTCACTACTATCCTCCCTCAGGGTCCCAGAACTCCCCAAGAATTCGTACTCTTGATTGAAAAACAGCAGTTCCGGTGTAGACACATGTTCATCTAGGATAGTGTATACCTTAAATTGAGCAATTTTGTATTTATTTTCTGGACACAGGCATATTTGAGACTAATACATAGGTCCATATCTTACTATGCTTCTTTTTTTCATGAGTGAAAAATCTTGCCTTCCTGATCTACTTCATCCTATACCAGTGCTATTGTATCTGTTTGGTAGGCCTTTTCCTCTTCTCCTTTAGCTATTTCCTTTAGCTTTAAATGTCTATCCTTCACTGCAGTACCTCTTAAGATTCATCTCCTTCACAAAGACTTTCAAGATTGCTACAGCAGGGAATCTCCACATTTACTGAATAATCCTGTAACACCTATTGCTATATAAAGATAAGCTACTTTTTATTTTTTGACTGTTTTATTTAATTATGCTACTTTTAATTTTTTGACTGTTTTATTTAATTATTTGTTAAATTCCAACTTTTATATTAGACTCAGTGGGTACAAGTGCAGATTTGTTACAGGGGTATATTACATGATGCTGAGGTTTGGGATACACTGATTCCCTTACCCAGGTAGTGAGCATAGTACCTAACAGTTAGCTTTTCAACACGTATCTCCTTCCCTCTCCCCCGACTCTAGTAGTCCCAGTGTCTATTATTACCATCTTTATGTCCATGTGTACCCAATGCTTAGCTCCCACTTAAAAGAGAGAACATGTGGCATTTGGTTTTCTGTTCCTGTGTTAATTTACTTAGGATAATTGCCTCCAGTCACATTATATTGCTGCAGAGGACATTATTTCATTATTTTTATGACCGTACAATATTCCATGGTGGATATATACCACATTTTCTTTATCCATTCCACCGCTGGTAGCATTTTGGTTGATTCCAGGTCTTTGCTATTGTGAATAGTGCTTCAATGAACATACAAGTGCATGTATCTTTTTGGTCAAATGATTTATTTTCTTTGGGATATATACACAGTAATTAAATTCTGGGTTGAATGGCAGTCATGTTTTAAGTTGAGAAGTCTCCAGACTGCTCTCCACAGTGACTGGACTAATTTACATTCTTACCAACAGCATATTTACATTCTTACCAACAGCGTTCTGATTTCTCCTCAGCCTCACCAGCATCTGTTGTTTTTTGATCTTTTAATAGTATCCATTTTGACTGCTGTTAGATGGTATATCATTGTGGTTTTGATTTGCATTCTCTGATGATTAGTAATGTTTATCATTTTCCCAAATGTTTGTTGGCTGCCTGTATGTCATTTGAAAAGTGTCTTTTTATGACTTTTGCCCAGTTTTTAATAAGGTTATTTGATTTTAGCTTCTTGAATTGGTTAAATTATGTATAGATTCCAGTTATTAAACCTTAGATGCATAGCTTGTGAACATTTTCTTTCATTCTGTAGGCTGTTTACTCTGATGATGGTTTCTTTTGCTGTGCAGAAACACTTTAGTATAATTAGATCCCACTTGTATATTTTGTTTTTATTGCAATTGCTTTTGGGGATTTAGCCAAAATTTTTTTGTCAAAGTCAATGTCAAGCAGAAAAATTCCTAGGTTGTCTTCTAGGAGTTTTATAGTTTGAGGTCTTACATTTAAATCTTTCATCCACTTTGAGTTAATTTTTGTATATAGTATGGTGAAAGGTAGGGGTCCAGCTTTGATCTTCTTCATATAGCTAGCCAGTTACCATTTATTGAATAGGGAGTTCTCTTCCCATTGCTTGTTTTTCTTGGTCTTGTTGAAGATCAGATGGTCATAGGTGTGCAGCCTTATTCCTGAGTTTTCTATTCTGTTCCATTGGCTATGTGTCTGTTTTCTATTCTGTTCCATTGGCTATGTGTCTGTTTTTGTACCATTACCATGCTGTTTTGGTTCCTGTAGCTTTATAGTATAATTTAAAGTTAGGTAGTGTGATGCCTCCAGCTTTGTTCTTTTTGCTTAGGATTGCTTTGGCTATTCAGGCTCTTTTCAGTTTCACATGAATTTTAGAATAGTTTTTTCCTAATTCTGTGAAGAATGACACTGGCAATCTGATAAGCGTAGCACTGAATTTGTAAATTGCTTTGGGAAGTATGGGCATTCTAACAATATTGATTCTTTCAATCCATGAACATGGAATGTTTTTCCACTTTTTTGTGTCATGTCTGATTTGTTTCAGCAGTGTTTTGTAGTCTTCCTTTGAGAAATCTTTCACTTCTTTGATTAGCTATATTCCTAGGTATTTCATTTTCCTTTTGGCTACTCTAAGTGGGATTATGTTCTTGATTTCACTCTCAGCCTTGATGTTGTTGGTATAGAAATGCTACTGATTTTTGTACATTGATTTATTTCCTTTATTAAAGTCGTTTGTCAGTTCTAGGAGCCTTTTGGCAGGGTCTTCAGGGTTTTCAAGGTATAAAATCATATTATTTCTTTATTTCGCCTGATTGCTTTGGCTGTGACTTCCAGTCCTATGTTAAGTAGGAGTGGTGAGAGTGGGCATCCTTGTCTTTTTCCAATTTCAAGGGGAATGCTTCCAGCTTTTGCCCATTCAGTATGATGTTGGCCGTAGTTTTGTTGTAGATTATTCCTATTATTTTTAGGTATGTTAATTCAATGCCTAGCCTGTTGTGAGTTTCTATTTTGCAGGGATATTGGATTTTATAGAAATATTTTTGTGCATCTACTGATATTATCATAGGTTTTTTGCTTTAAATTTTGCTTAAGTGGTGAATCACATTTATTGATTTGTGTATTTTGAACCAGCCGTGCATCCCAGAAATAAAGCCTACTCGACTGCGTTGTATTAACTCTTTGACGTGCTGCTGGATGCAGTTTGATACTATTTTGTTGAGGATTTTTCTGTCTATGTTCATCAAAGATATTGGCCTGAAGTTTTCTTTTTTGGTTGTGTCTCTGTCACGAAATATGACAGAACGCATGTTTTCTGGTTGTTGTGTGAAGTGTTCTGTGAATGTCTACTAGATCCATCTGGTCAGGTGTTATGTTTAAGTCCAGAGTTTCTTTGTTAGTTTTCTGCCTCACTAATCTTTAATGCTGTCAGTGGGGTGCTGAAGTCTTCCACTATCATTGTGTGGCTAAGTCTTTTTGTAGATCAAGAAGAAGCTGTTTTATGAAATTGCGTAGTCCAATGTTGGGTGCATGTGTATTTAGGATAGTTAAGTTTTCTTGTTGGATTGTACCCTTTATCATTATGTAATGCCCTTCTTTGTTTTCTTAATTGTTAGAGGTTTAAAGTCTGTTTTATCTAACGTAAGAATAGTGACTCCTGCTCTTTTTGTTTTTTTTTTTTTTAGAGGATAGATCTTTTTTTTCAACATTTACTTTGAGCCTCTGAGATCATTACATGTGAGATGGATCTTTTGAAGATAGCAGATAGTTGGGTCTTGTCTTTTATCCAGCTTGCCACTCTATGTCTTTTACACGAAGCCACTTGTCCATTTAAATTCAAACTTAGTTTTAATAAATGAGATATTGATCCTGTCATCATGTTTTTAGCTGGTTGTTATGCAGACTTGGTTGTGTAGTTTCTCAATAGTGTCTGTGAACTATGTGCTTACGTGAGTATTTGTGGCAGCAGGTTTCAAATTTCTTTTGATTCCATGTTTAACAGTCCCTTGAGGACCTCTAGTAAGCCTGGTCTAGTGGAAACAAATTCCCTTAACATTTGCTTGCCTGGAAGGATTTTATTTCTCTTTCACTTATGAAGCTTAGTTTGGCAGGGTATGAAATTCTTCTTTGGGATTTCTTTTCTTTAAGGATGCTGAAAATAGGTCCCCAGTGTCTTCTGGCTTGTAAAGTTTCTGCTGAAAGGTTCACTGCCAGTCTGATGAGGTTCCCTTTGTACATCACCTGATCCTTCTCTAGCTGCCTTTAAGAGTTTTTCTTTGCATTGATCTCGGTGAATCTGATGACTATGTGTTTTGGGGATGGTCATCTTCTACAGTATCTAGGAGGGGTTCTCTATATTTCTTGAATTTACCCCTCAATCTCTCCTATGAGATTAGGGAGATTTTTTTTTGGGTGGACTGTATCCTAAAATATATTTTCCAAGTTATTCTCTCTCCTTCTTTTTCAGGGATGCTAGTGAGTCACAAAATTGGTATCTTAATATAATCCCATATTTATTGGAGATTTTGTTCATTTTGTAAAAAAAATTTATCTTTGTCTGCTTGAGTTGATTTGAGCTTCTGGTTGGTCTTTGAGCTTTAAGATTCTTTCCTTGGATTGGTCTATTCTGCTGTTAATACTTCTGATTTTATTCTGAAATTCTTGTAGTGAGTATTTCAGCTCAAGAAGTTTAGTTTGGGTCTTTCTTAAAACGACTATTTTGTTTTTCAACTCTTGAATTGTTTTATTGGATTGCTTGCCTTCCTTGGATTGGGTTTCAACTTTCTTCTAGATCTTGTTGAGCTTCCTTGCCATCCAGATTCTGAATTCCATGTCTGCCATTTCAGTAATTTCAGACTAAGAACCCACTGCTGCGGAGCTAGTGGGCTCATTTTTGAGGTAAGGGGATACTCTGGCATTTTGAATTGCCAGAGTTCTTGTGCTGATTTTTTCTCTTCTGTAGGGGGTGGGGGGGATTGTTTCCTTTAACTGTGGCACAAACTGAGTATAGTCAGCTAGTTTCATTCTGGAAGTTTTCAAAGAAATATTGTTTCTTTGCATGCTGTTACATTCTTGCTTTTGGTTTTGCAGGAGAGTGAATTAGCAATTTTTTTTTTATGCCATAGGTTGGGCTGTGATCCACTAGATGATGCCTGAGAGCAATGGACAGTAAATAGGCTCTTACTCAGCCATGTGGCTCCTTTGTGTATCCTCATCTTTGCAGCTGTGCTTTGTGGTGTGAAGTGGAGAGAGGTGACTCCTCCATTACTTCCACTCCTGGGCCTTGGGGGAGCTACCTCTGATCACTAACATTGTGCCCATGTTTTGTTGTTTTTGTTGTTAGGTGTTTTAGGCCATGCGACTCCCTCAGACAGTGGTTCAGCTGGGAGAGATTGGCCACACGCTTACCAGAACAGCCCTGTGGAGAGAGGCATGCCCAGTTCCCACACCAGCCCATGAACCTGTGTGACTCACTCCTCTCAGTTTTCTGAGAATGTGAGTTTCTCCACTCAAGTGCTGGGAACAGATCCTGGTTTGGCACTCCAGAGATATGAGTCACAGCCTTGGGGCACCAGGATCTGCTCATGGCTTCCTCCTCTGAACTCTCAGAGTTGGGTTCCAGGTGCATGGGAGATCTGAGGGGCTTCCAGGCTGCTGGAATGCACTGAGGTGGAGCCAAACACCCAGGCTGGGCAGCAGAGGCTGCACTGTGTACACACACCTGTGAGGCAGCCAGCCAGGAGCACTGGGAGGGGCTGGCAGGCAGGCCTGCAAGACAGATGTGCCCTAGTCCTGTGGGTAATTTGGCCCTGCTTTCTCCTGTTCTGGTGGTGAGCTAGGGCCAGAGCCTCTCAGAGGGAGATGGGCAGCCATGGAGGTTGGGCGTCTATGGCCAGGCTCCATCAGAGCTATCCTGTGCACAAAAGTCCCTGGCTCCATGCCTACTCAAGCCCATCTCCGTGTAATCTCTGGGGAGATCCTCCTTCAAGCTCAAACGTTTTTTGAGGGAGTGGCATCCCCTGTAGCTAAGATCCCAGAGGTTTATATCAAGAGTCAGTTACCTGGTCCCTACACTCATTCTTTCCCCAGGGGCTGTTCAGGGCTGGGAGCAAGCCCTAGTGTTCAGGCACCTCACACAGAGTTACCAGCTTCCTCTCTCTTCAGCTTCAGCATCTGCATCTCCATCCACGTTTGGTGTTTTCTCTCTGAAGATCTGTTCAAATTACATTGGTTTAGTTGAAATCCTGGTTTGTCTAAGTGGGAGTGGCACTTCCCAGCTGTGTCTGGTTGCCTATCTTGAAACTCCCCCATATGAATTTTAGAATAGTTTTATTTAATTCTTTGAAAAATGATGTTGGCAGTTTGACAGAAATAGCATCGAATCTGTCGGTTACATTGGGCAGTATGGCTATTTTAATAATATTGGTTCTTCCAATCCATGAGCATGGAATGTTTTTCCATTTGTTTGTGTCATGTCTTATTTCTTTCAGTAGTGTTTTGCAGTTCTCTTTGGAAAGATCTTTTACCTCTTGGGTTAGATGTATTCCTATGTATTTTACTTTTTTCCTGGTTATTTTAAGTGGGATTGTTTCTTTGATTTGGCTTACAGCCTGAACATTATTGGTGAATAGAAATGCTACAGATTTTGTATATTGATTTTGTATTTGAAACTTTACTGAAGTCTTCTTTATCAGCTCACAGAGCCTTTTGGTGGAGCCTTTAGCGTTTTCTAGGTATAAATCATATTGTCGGCAAACAGAGATAGTTTCAGTTCTTTTTCTATTAGGATGCCTTTTTTTTCCCTTACCTGATTGCTCTGGGTAGGACTCTGTAATTTATTTTTGATGTATTATCTCATCACAGATTGTAATCTTCTAAAGGGCAGGGATAGAAAATATTTTTTCTTTTCTTGATATACCAGCTTCATAAGGAACTGAAGAAATGTAGTAACATTGACAGAAATAACCCATTCACACGGCCTCTTATCATAATGATTAAAAACAAATATACCAGAAACTTCTATGTTTCATGCAACCATATTGTCAAAGAAATCACAATCCTTTGCCTCAACGAGGTATGACACTTAAATTTACAAAGGAATCTCTGGGCCTTTGAAATTGCAATGGTAAGAAGTGAGCCATGCATACAGGACAGCCCCCAAGAAAGTCACACTGTTCAGTGCTCATCTCAGATATGGCAAGAGATCTTAGGCAAGCAGAATTCTCCCAGGATCTCCTGGATCCTGAGAGCCAGGCCCTCTGAGGAAAATGAATAGGGGATTGCCTATCCAAGAAATCACTCAGGGACCCTCAGACTGGCTAATGAAGGAACATATTCCACTGCTGGAGCCAGACCTCAGGCGATTTCTATTAGGTGACATTTGACTACTATGTTTTTCTTATTCTCCTCTGAAAGCATTGAGTCTATAGGTCCCAGAAGCCACACCTAGAC
Organism: Homo sapiens; assembly: GCF_000001405.40. NCBI lineage: Eukaryota > Metazoa > Chordata > Mammalia > Primates > Hominidae > Homo > Homo sapiens. The sequence continues at coordinate 77,827,454 of NC_000003.12, forward strand.
ATGATATTCACCTACCTGCATGTAATGCAGAGATCCTGGGCCTTGAGCTCTAAGCAGAAACTGTATGAGACCTTGTGATTGCTTCCTTTAAGGGAAGGTTATCTTTCTTCTATATGTAGGTGGGAAAAAATGTGTATATTGTTTTTTGGGTGGGCAAAAAAGACAGTTGTTTGTCTACCCAATATTTATTCTCCTTTTCTTACCAATATAACCCTGTGCATTGTGCACAGATGAAGGTAAAGGCGGAACAAATTGACACTTAAACAGATGTTGTGTGGGTATTCGAGGTAAATATTTCACCCCCCTCCCTGCATTTTCCTTTATACTGTTTAAAGTGTGAATATGGTAGTATGTTGGCAGGCCCCAAACCACCCTCAGATTATTCGATTTGCTAGAACGACTCACAGAATTTAGAAGTTCATATTTTCATGCTTATGATTTATTACAGCAAAATGATACTATGCAAAATCAGCAAAAGGAAAAGGTGTGTGGGACTAAGTCTGAAAACAACCAGTCTCAAGGTTCCAATATTTCTCTCTGGGTGGAGTTGCACAAGATGTGCTTAATTTCTCTAGAAAAAAAAATGTGTAAAGTGTTTTCTATCAGAGAAACTCACCTGTGCCTGAACCTAAGAGTCCAGAGTTTTCATTAGGGGTTGAGCATGTACGCATTCAATGCCTCTAGGACTTCCATAGTCTCTCCAGATCCCCCAAAGAAAAGCAGGTGTTTAGCATAAATTACTTGGTTTGTACAGTTTATCTAGAAAAACTGGTACAGTGTAGTTAAAGGCAAAAAAACCCCAGCAGAAACAGTCATTAGTTAGAACAAGGAGCTCAATTTCCAGGAGAAGCCAATGGGGCCAGTCCAATCATAAAGACAGGTTTAGTATAGGGATGTGCACAGTTTGAGCAACGCAGAACAACCAGGTTAACTCTTCCCTGGAAGATGGCTGATGCATTAGCAGCCACTTTGTGATTTGGGGAATGGAAACTGAGGGTAACTGAGATGTCTTTCTGGATCCACCCATCCAGTCTGAGCCTGGCTAACTTTTCAAATTGTGTGTCTGCATGTGTGTGTCTGTGTGTGTGTGTGTGTGTGTGTGTGTGTGAGATAGGACAGAGAGAGAGAGACAGAGGGAAAGAGAGAGTCCTACCTGTACACCAAAGCTGCTAGTAATACTAGTCTCTGTTACCATTGACTAGATCCAATTATTAACTGACACTGAAGTGAGTGCTTATGCTATCTCATTTCCTCAGTTTAAAAATAACAAGAATAAAATATTATTTGAGTAAGGTTTTAGTCATTGATAATTATGACATAATTACAATTAAAGACATATTTGAATCTTCTAGGAGGCATTCCAGCAGGATGATCTCTAGGGCTCACTACCACTTGCTTTAAGTTGTGATAGTTCAACAAAGAGGTCAGGAGTTATTTTGTAAGGAATCTTGAAGAGCTCTAAATTTCAATTTTCTTTATGGACCAAGGTTAGCTAATGACAATTTCAGGTAAAGAGAAATAAAAAATTATGTTTATATGATTCTGAATGCCAGCTTTGCCAGTGTTCTCTTCTCTTCTCCCTTCTCTTTTCTTTTTTTCCTCTGTCCCGTGTCCTTCTTCATTACATCCCTCAAGTGCTTAGATTTTTCTTTCTTCAGAGAGCTCTGATGACCACAGCAATGACTTGTCTGTACCACTGTCTCTTTAATACTGCTGGAATTTAAGGCAAATATAAAATGCACTGTCCAATGGACCATTCATATCTTACTTCTTGTTTCTTAGACTGTGCTGTAAGAGTTGGATCATTATGAGTATCAACTCAAATGACATCGGGAGTAAATTGAGAGACAAAAGAGTAATGAAGTTAGAACCTCTTTGGGAGCTGTCTTGACAGGATAGTCAGAGGTTGCAAGCTACGTTACACAATTTTTGAAAGGAAGTCTATAAATATATTATTTTAAAAAATAAACTGAATTATTACACATGATAACAGCAATCTACATCATGCATCAATGTAAATATATTATATTCTATTTTAGTGATGCTTCTAATTTTAACTTCCATGAAAATTATTTCTAAGGTTTATGGAGTTTTCCTTTTTGAAAAACTCTTCTGATTTTGATTATTTTTTCTAACTTTTTTTGCTTCAAGTGTGTGTTCTTGAATATCACCAAGTTTGATTTTGGGGGAGAGGGTGGAAAATTTCCTCCTAAATTACGGAAAAGTAAAAAGAATAGCCTTACATTTTCCATTAGTTGAATATTATGTACAAAGTACCGTTACCATACAATATCTTTTATGTTAAAGCTCTACTGTGATATAATGGATAGATTTTCATCTGTAAGTCTCAGAAATATTTCACTATTGCGTCTAATATCTAAAACAACAACAACAACAACAACAAAACCTTCTTGTATCTAAACAATAGATATTCCAAAGATATAAACTAATAGTAATAAAAAAAAAACAGAGCTTAGCAAATGAAGGTACTTAATAAATGTGTTTAAATGAATGAAGAACCAGGTGGTTGAGACACTGTACCTCCAAGCAGAGTGCATTGTAGGTGGGTACTTCCTAGCTAATTAATACCCATGGCTAATATGGTCATTCAGAACATACTTTACTGATCTGCAGACATGCATTCTCAGTTTTCTACATTGCTTCATGACACTGGACATTGAACTTCTAGAAAATTCTACATAAAACCTACCTCAACATCTCTCTGTATTGGTAGCAAATAATTACTTTATGTTTCAGGTACCTTCCTGAATTTTTATTCAACTTACAATAGTTTTTTTCCTTTTCCTCATTTTTTTCTATGAACAAATGTCCTTAGTTTAACCACACTCTAAAAGATACTTTAGCCATGATCAAATAATATAAAGTATGTATTTGAACTACCTGTGTTCAATGACAACATTCAAAGAAAGTTCTATGCAAAATGCATGCCTCACCTTGTGTAGAGCTCAATAAAAGTCAAACATGAATGAGAAAAATGAAGTACAAAATATGGCTTTCAGCCCTGAAATGGCCCAGCTCCTCAGAAGAAAGGTCAAATTGTAAAGGCAAGCCAATATATTTTGCAAAGTATACTGAGGCTACCGCATTTAGAAAGCTAATTTGCCTGACTAAAATTGTGACAAGAACAGAGGTTGGCACAAAAGTCAATACGTTTCATGTGGCAGACACTGCAATAAATAATAGAAATGAAGAAGTGAGTGAATTTAGTCCAATTTTATTATATATTAAAGTCAGACTAATATCCTATGTTATTGACTAAGTGTATCATGCCTATGAAAATGCAGAAAATTACAAGCTGGATGTCAGATAATTTTAGTACTTAATCATTCTCAAAAATAAAAATTGAAAAATGTTTCTGACTTTCACTTTCATATGTGAGATTCGATACCTGTGCATATCTACAAATGGGCTGTTTTTTTCATAACATGAGCATAATTGGGCCGTAATGTGCATAATGAGGATTCACTCAGATGATACTTCATCATGGAAACCTAATGACAGCTCTGCCGCATGGGACGGGCTTTATTTTCACAGTACATTTCACAAATAAGGAAAGTGAGGCATAAAACAACCTATTTGGAGTAGATCACAAGGAAAACCTGTGGTAGCTATCAAATTATGATTCTAGCTACTAGAAGCTGAGAAGGATTCAAAGCCACTCAGTCTTTTCACCTCCTGGATTTTTATTTCTTGGCCATGTCACCATGGATATAAATGGCTGATGTACATAGGCCAAAAGATTTTCTTTCAGGACAATTTAACCAATAACTCAAGAGAATTGAGGCTATGAAAACCTAGCTTCGGTTCTTAGAATAGCATTTCAAAGGCCTGAGGACATGGGTATGTACGCAAATGTACACCTGTGCATTTTTCAAAGCTAAGGGAAGTCAAGTGCGTGAAAGAGAAAGCCCACATAGGGCAGTGGACGTTCCTTAGTGGATATGCAGTCACTTTGGCCTCATCATCAAAATCACCTATTTGTGCGCGTTCCAATATTCACATATTAACTTGCCTTTTAAATGTTCCCTTTGAAATGCTTGCTATTTTGAGAATAAAAACAATTCTACATCCAAAGTGCCTAGCAAAGAGACTAGCAGAGTGTAGGCATTTAATCAATAAGTACATGCTGTAGGGTTTTATTCTTAGACTTTTCCTTGAATATTACTTTTGTTTTTGCCTTTCCCCAAAACACTATATCTGGCTGATAATGTGCTCCCCAGGAATCCCCAGCAACAGAAAGCATTTGCACATTCTTTGCTCACTGCAAGTGGCCAGATGCAGTAATTTCATCCTCTTCCTCAGTTTTTCTTGACAGAATTTGCTTTCTGTCCTTTAATACAGTCATTTACTGAGCTACCCAGACATTCCTCCTCTTTCCTCAGTGATTTCAGCACCTGGTCTACATTTTCACCCTCTGCCTGTCTCCTGCAAAGTTTATGACTATAGGGTATAATTCAATCGCTTCACAGTTTTTGCACCTCCTTGACTCCAGTAACTTAATTTCTACCAGCCACAAGCATAACCATATAAACCCTCCAAGTTCACGAACACTGAAATGTTATATTTTTCTCACATGTAACATGCTCTTACTTTGCATCTAACCATGCCCATCTAAGTATTACTACATTTAGAAAGTAGTTTTGGAGATACCGTTAACATGAAGAGTGTTCAAAAGGGCTTCAATGATCATCTTACAATCAGACAAGCTGCAGTGGGAAGAAGATTTGACTGGAAGGACCTTTACGACAGTTCCAATGCCAGTGAGAGCTTTAAAACTGCCTTCAGATAGTGTTGTTTGACTTGTCATTTAACTCCCATCCTAATCTCTACACCCAGTGACTGCAAACTTATTTCCCTGAAACTTAATTCAATCCCACACATATTTATTGAGCATCTTTTATTCACGAGATACAGTTCTAGGAACTTGGTATAAATCAGGGAGCAAACAGATAAAGCTGCCTGCCATTTTGGCAATTACATCCTTTGCTTGAATTCTCTTGCAGAATGTATCATATATTGTCTTGTATATATTGTTGATAATTTCATGGAGTTTCTGTGTTCAACAGAATCTTAGAACCAGACAATTTATTTTGTTTTCTAGTTTATGCAAAGATTTAAATATCAGTTTCCTGTTTGTGGACTGGTTAAACAAGAAAATGTTTGGAGTGCCTTGGATGATGCCTAACATGTAGTAAGCATCATGTCTGTAATCCCAGCACTTTGGAAGGCTGAGGTGGGAGGACTGCTTGAGGCTAAGAGTTTGAGACCAGCATGGCCAACATAACGAGACTGCGTTTCTACATTAAAAAAAAGAAAAATTTTCCTTACCATGATTAGTGTTGGTATTTTAGAGATCGTAGTAAAAGTACTGCATTTAAAATTGTAAGTGCCCAATAAATTGCAAATGTTTGTTTTACCAATACTTTAGCATGGTACCTCCTTACTGAATAATAAGCTCCCTGAAGTCAGATTGTCTCTCTCATTCAATCTCTCTTTTTTTGCGTGATTTCCTATGTAAATAACACATCACTGACATTCAAAATGTTATTTGCTGCATTAAATTTAGTAAAAATACTATAATTTCATCTTAATTAACTTCCAGGTATTTATTTATTCTCAAAGTTTTCTCAAAATATTTTTAACACCTATCATTTTCAGAAAAAAAAAAAAACCCAAGGAACTAAATGATAAGATATTCTGGATCTAAATACGACTAGGTTTAAAAAATGTCAAATTTCACTCTTCTATTAAGAAAGTTGTATTTGATTTTCTAATTATAATTGAGATTTACTTGGGGGATAGACAAATTATGATACATATGAAAGTTTTAGCTCTGCTTATTGAACTGAAATGTAGAACATCTTATTGTCTAAAACTGGATTTTAATTGAAGGAGAGGCAAATCTGAGAAATGTACACATAAGAGGTCATGATGAGTAGGTTTTTTTAAAAAAGATACAAATAATCTAGTTTGAGGACAGTGAAATTCAGTTTCCAACATTTCCATAGCCCAGGTTTTCTATATTTGGTATGCTAATGACTAATCAAATCACAATCAGTATGCATTTTAAGCCACAATGCAAATACTCAACTTCATTTGGTGATGTAAATACATGATCGTAATTATGGAAATTTTATTGGGTGAAGGGCAGCAAATATTAGTACAACTACTGTGGTCCTTATTTGTGAGGTTCTAACTGCCTCAATCTGCCACAAGCTGCTAAGAAAGCTGCCACACCGTCTCTATTTTTTCATTGTCATTGCTAAAAAACTGGAAAAGAACACTCTTTGTAAATGAGCTAACCTACTTTTACAAAGTCCTTTGCTATGCTTTTCTAGATAACTTTATGATAACTTTATAATGAAGTGGCTCAGTCTATCTTGCTTCTGGGACATCAACATGAATATTTAGAAGTGTCTTACATATGAATAATAAATCATTTCAATAAAAAAGAATCAGATGGCCATTGTTGCATGGGATTATTCTTTAGATTTGCTGCGACATGGTAATTGAGCTTTTCTTTTGAAAGTGTGAGATTTATTTTTCAACACTGACTGATGACAATAGCCTGTCTCTGAAGGAGTTAAACCTAGCTGCTAAGGAAGGCAGTGTTTTATCTCTGTAAGAGCCATTTACTGCACTGTCTTCCACCTTGAATTAGAGGTGTGCAAGATAATCTTATCAATAGTTCAAAGCAAATCCATTTTTGGATTTCGAATTATGAGATAGCACTATATATTACAAAGTGGTCTCTCTTGCATTATTTCAAGTTATTTCCACAATTCTATAAAGTAGATTAGATGTTTGTTAGATGAGAAAACTGAGAGATATATAGTTAAATCACCTTGGTTATTTGCCTTAATAGACAAGCTCTCAAATTATTTTCTTCATTTTTAGTCAGAAGGTTATATTTTTTGCATAGGATGATATTAACATATACTATAACATACAATGTATTACAAAGTTTAAGCATTAGAGAAATACATAATACAGGAAGAGAAAGACCCACATAATAACCTTCTTCCAATAACTGTTTTCAGTTCTCTTTCTTCCTTTTTCTACACATAAGAGCTGTATATATTTTCATTCTTTTTACTATTTACAAAAACTTAACAATAATGGATTCTATTCTCCACATACTACAAAAAATTTGTTAGAAATTTTTTCTCCCCTTAGTAATAAGGGGAAAAATAATATTATTTCTGTGTGATTGTGTTTTTGTATATGTATTTGGATTATTTTAAGTTTTTTACTACTAATAAAAATGTTACAGTAAGAATTCTTGTTTACAGTTTTTTACTCTCAGGTAAACTTTTGTTTAATTTACAAAATGTAGTATGTATCAATAAGTAATATGTAGTTGAATAATTACATATGTATTTCATTCAATGCACTATGTGAAATAAATATATTATTTCATTCAATTCCTGACAATACACAGGAATTATTGACTAAATGTCAGATGATTTAAAAAAATAAGATCACATTTTTCTAAATTTAATCTGTGAAAATACCTTTACAGCTTTTTTGAAGTAAATTGGTCGATTTGTGTGTATTTAACTGTTTAGTAAACCAAGTAAAAACATATTTATCAAGTATTCACAATGGAAAACGTGTAAGCTACTCACTTGTGGAGGAAGGGAAGAAAAGGAGAAATAAGACTTATTTAATCTCTGCTATGCTCCAATCATTGTGTGAGACATTTTTTACTGCCATTCTAAAACCTACAGACCATTATGTACATTATGAATTACTATTAATTTTATTGTAGTATAATTTGATGCTTAAATGGTAAAATAAATGAATAAGCAGATAAATAAAACCCAAGTTTACAAAGTTTGTAAGTGGTAAAGTTGAGATTTGAATCAAATATCTGATCCTAAGATTAAAACTATTCTTATTTCACTATACTGCATGTGATATGAGGCAAAGATATGAAATGTTTTGTGAGTAAACAGTCTATTATCTACTTTGCTTCTAAGTGGCATATCTATACAGAGAGATATAGATATGATATATGGTTTCTTATAACGGTGTGGTTTCATGAATTTAATTATACGTTTTTTTTTTCCTGTAAAAAGAAACTTAATTCAGCTGATTGATTTTTTTCCATGGGGTACATTAGGGTAAAGGTGTCAATGTTGCAAACTTGGACAGAGACATCATTTTAGAATCCAAATATTAAGTTTCTATAAAAAGCTAAAAGTAAAAATGTAATCTCTTTAATAAGTCTAGGTTACTACTAACGTTGTGGAGAATGTTAACATGAACATTAATAAAACACTTTGCAGAGCAAAACAATCAAGAAGGATTTGCCAGGAACTAGAGCAACACGATGAAGCATAACAGACAAAAAAATGCTCGAGTTTATTTATTACAAAGAGCTCAGAGCGGTTAATGAGGACTCCTATCATATTCTGATACATTTTAAATCATCAGTTCAGCTCCTGCATATTCAGTACAACCCCCTCTTTATTGTAAGTGCATCTACCCTTACAATCACCGTGGCTGCTTTTTCTCCCACACTTTGAAATAGCCAGTAAATATTGAGAATTCATATTTACACAGAGAGATCTTCTGTGAAATCTTATATGTATTTATTTTGTCTTAAGAAATAGTGAAACAGTTGATCACATGTTGCATAAACTCCTCCACGACAGTAAACTGCACATTCCTATTAAGTGAAATAAACTATCCCAGATGCCAGAATCCCACTGAGGGAAGTTTTCTGTGAAAGCGTGCATTCGTTGCAAAGACATGGACAGCTTATTCCCCGGGAAATATTCATTTACTATAACCTCATGGTTTTTATTGTACCACCTGCAAATTTATTAGAATAAAATACTGTGTTTAAGGAAAGTTAACCCTAGCGATCATAAGGCAGAAGCAGTTAATGACAGGTGTCTTTTAAAAGAAAAGCATTGAATGTCATTAAACTGAAGCAAATCACATGCCTCTGATTGTGACTAAATGGTGTAACCATCAGTAATCATTTTCTTCCACCGTTTTGGGGAAGGGCTATCATACATTGAAAGCAAAGGGGTCAATGCCTGGGTAAAGTTTGCCTGCATCTTCGTTTCTTAGTCTTGCCTTTTTGAATGGTATAAAACATTAGCCCAGAATGTATACATTTTAGAAATGAGCTCATCCTGGTCACTGGTACGCATCTTGAGTGTTTTGCCAAGCCTATCACCAAAGGGACTCATTCGTATTTCAACAGGAACTGTTCTCACCCACGAAATCCTCTCGATTCTGGAAGATCTCACAATGTGATTGAGATACAGGGACCGTCTAACACAGACCAGCACTTTCCAATTGGTCGTGTAGTAGAAACTGATTGAAGAAGGAGGACACTGTTTGCATGGAAATAATCTTGTTTGCCTTTCTTTCACTCTTCACATTTTTTCAATTGAAAAATATACCAACTATAAAGCTTGACACTTATGTAAGGATGAGAAACAATGGGAAAGGTAAAGAGAAGAGATTTTATAGCAAAATACCTGGGTTCTGCCTCTGACCAGCTGTATAACCTTGAGCAATTCCTTAACCTTTGGAACTATAGTTGAGCACCAGTATGGGAATTAACAAGCTAATGTACAGAAAGTGTCTTGCACACATTTACAGATTCAAGTAGATTCTTAATCTTAAGAGGTTACAAACAGTTTCCAAGGAACTGATTTTTCATTACACTGTAGTGGATGAGGCCACTATGAACTTAGACAGTATAATACTCAAGTATGTGTTGGAAAATATCTTGAATGACAAACTTGTCCTTGGCAAAAAAAAAAAAAAAAAAAAAGAGCCCTGTGTGCTTTCTAGGAGGTCATTTTGTTAGGTCTGGGGATTGTAAAACAAGTTGCTTGAAATTAGGGCATAAATTATGTAGCAGAAAATTTGAATATTTCAGTGCTATTAAATTAATTGATGACACGAGCGCTTCTTCAGTTTATAACTCTCTGTTATTGCTCCTGGAATAACTCTCTGTTATTGCTCTGTTCTGCTCCTGGAAAATAACGTCAGCCAGAAGGATTTTGAATACACGAAGTAGATAGAAAGAGTTGCTAAGGACAGCATTAAAATTAAGGGACAGTGATCAGGTTTCTCTGTAGCTGTTGGTCTGGCATCAGGCCCCCTCTGAGAACATGCAGTTAAAGCCCTCAGGTGTCCACTACGAAGTGCCTAGGTCCAAAACAATTGTTAGGGTCACTTTGATGGCACTTTTGCATTAAGGTTTTGGATCTTTTCCTACTATGCTTTCTCTTTGAGCATACAATGATCACCCAGTGCATGAGATCTCAAGAGGCCAGAACAATCTCGCTAGATAATTTTTTGGCTCTGTGCCAAAAATCTTCATTTCTGGACCTGGGAGTTATGGGTGGTGGGTGGCAGTGAAGCAAGTGCATATGTTTAAAAATTGGCAGAGTTCATTGCACTCAGTACCCTACCATGCCATGGCGTGCAGGAGCAAAGGCAGAGTTGAACAGCCAGAAAACCTCTCTCTTCACTTGTCCCTTGGAAGACTCCCCATATAAGTGTGTAACAATACTATACGGCAAGAAACAAGTGGTCTGAGCTGAAGGAGAATCCTCTGAGGATTCAACATTGAAATACTTCTAACAATTGCTAAATAGAGTGCATCTTTAAACCAAATGTAATATTATGGTTTATGTTTACAAATGCATGTAAGCAACACAAACCTGACCTTCTCTGTGCCCCGCCTTAATGAGGAGAAACTGTATGTTTTTATTCGGTTCTATGCATTTTAAAAAATTGTTTTAAATATTATGTATGCATTACTTTGGTAATATGAAAAATAAAATAATATATAATTTATTATAAATCCACTGGAACTCAATTTGTCTCTAAGAATGTTTCACCCAATCTCCTCAAGTTGTGATTAAAGAAGAGTTTGGTAATATCATCAGCAGCACAGGATAAAATGGATGTTCATTTTAAATATTACTTAGCAATACAAGCAGTTGCTTTCCTGTCTGTCTATCTATCTATCTGTCTATCTACCATCTATCATTTATGGAGTGACTAAGATGAAAATAGGGCTTTTGTTAAAATGTAGCCCATCAAAGAGTGGGCATCACACTGCTGTATGAAAATGGCTGATGGGACAGGTGATGGGGTTCACTGGGTAATATGGTTTGGCTCTGTGTCCCCCACCCAAATCTCACTGAGAATTCTAATCCCCGTATTCTGGGGAAGGGGCCTCCTGGGAGCTGACTAGATCATAGCAAATTTCCCCCTGGTTGTTCTTGTGATAGTGAGTGAGTTCCCACAAGATCTGGTTGTTGGCAAGTGTGTGGCACTTGCCCCCTTGCTCTCTCTCGCCTGCCACATGTAAGATGTGCCTTGCTTCTCCTTTGCCTTCTGCCATGATTGTTAAGTTTCCTGAGTCCTCCTCAGGCATGCAAACTGTGAGTCAACTGTTTTCTGTATAAGTTACCCAGTCTCAGGTAGTATTTTTATAGCACTGTGAGAAAAAAGTAATACACTGGTCATGTCTTTTAGCCAACAGTTGTGCCCATACCCACTAAAATGTATTTGTGTAAGAGCTAAACAGTTCTTTTTTTCCCTTTTTATATTGCAGTAATTTTTTGACATAAGTGTTTGGAAACTAGTGGAGAACATTCTCATATACCATCACCAGGCTTTCCCTAATGTTAAAAACTTATAGAATCATTGTAAAATTATCAAAACTATGAAATTGACATTGGTACAATATTATTACACTACAAGTTATATCTGTTTCACTTTTTTACTACTATTTTTTTTATATTTCTGAAAACAATCCAGTGTTCTACACTGCATTTAGTTGCACATCTCTTTAGTCTCCTCCAAGCTTAGCCTCAGACTTTCCTGTCTTTCAAGACACTTTGAATAAGTACTGCCCAGTTATTCTGTAGATTGTCCCTTAATTTTGGGGTGTCTGATATGTACTCATGATTAGACTGAAGTTATACATTTTTTTAAATTATATTTTAAGTTCTGGTATACATGTGCAGAACACGCAGGTTTGTTAGGTAAGTATACACGTGCCATGGTGGTTTGCTGCACCCATCAACTACATCTACATTAGGTATTTCTCCTAATGCTATCCCACCCCTCACCCCCCCAACCCCCTGACAGACACCAGTGTGTGATGTTCCCCTCCCTGTGTCCATGTGTTCTCATTGTTCAACTCCCAATTATGAGTGAGAACTTACGGTGTTTGGTTTTCTGTTCCTGTGTTAGTTTGCTGAGAAGTTTCCAGCTTCATTCATGTCCCTGCAAAGGACATGAACGCATCCTTTTTTATGGCTGCATAGTATTCCATGGTGTATATGTGCCACATTTTCTTTACCCAGTCTATCATTGATGGGCATTTGGGTTGGTTACAAGTCTTTGCTTTTGTGAATAGTACTGCAATAAACATACATGTGCATGTGTCTTTATAGTATAATGAATTATAATCCTTTGGTATATATCCAGTAATGGGATTGCTGGGTCAAATGATATTTCTGGTTCTAGATCCTTGAGGAATTGCCACACTGTCTTCCACAATGGTTGAACTAATTTACACTCCCACTAACAATGTAAGAGTGTTTCTATTTCTCCACATCCTGTCAGGCATCTGTTGTTTCCTGACTTTTTAATGATCGCCATTCTAATTGGCATGAAATGGTATCTCATTGTGGTTTTGATTTGCATTTCTCCAATTACCAGTGATGATGAGATTTTTCATACGTTTGTTGGCCACATAAATGTCTTCTTTTGAGAAGTGTCTGTTCATATCCTTTGCCCACTTTTTGATGGGCTTGTTTTTTTCTTGTAAACTTAAGTTCTTTGTTGATTCTGGATACTAGCCCTTTGTCAGATGGATAGATTGCAAAAATTTTCTTCCATTCTGTAGGTTGCCTGTTCACTCTGCTGATAGTTTATTTTGCTGTGCAGAAGCTATTTAGTTTCATTAGATCCCATTTGTCAATTTTGGTTTTGTTGCCATTGCTTTTGGTGTTTTAGTCATGAAGTCTTTGCCCATGCCTATGTCCTGAATGCTATTGCCTAGATTTTCTTCTAGAGTTTTTATAGTTTTAGATCTTATGTTTAAGTCTTTAATCCACCTTGAGTTAATATTTGTATAAGGTGAAGGAAGGGGTCGAGTTTCCATTTTCTGCATATGGCTAGCCAGTTTTCCCAACACCATTTATTAAATAGGGATTCCTTTCCCCATTGCTTGTTTTTATCAGGTTTGTCAAAGATCAGAAGGTTGTAGATGTGTGACATTATTTCTGAGGCCTCTGTTGTGTCCCATTGGTCTCTCTATCAGTTTTGGTACAAGTACCATGCTGTTTTGGTTATTATAGCCTTGTAGTATAGTTTGAAGTCTGGTAGCATGATGACTCTAGCTTTGTTCTTTTTGCTTAGGATTGTCTTGGCTATATGAGCTCTTTTTTAGGCTCTATATGAAATTTAAAGTAGTTTTTTCTAATTCTATGAAGAAACTCAATGATAGCTTGATAGGGATAGCATTGAATCTATAAATTACTTTGGGCAGTATGGCCATTTTCATGATATTGATTCTTCCTATCCATGAGCATGGAATGCTTTTCCATTTGTTTGTGTCCTCTCTGATTTCCTTGAGCAGTGGTTTGTAGTTCTCCTTGAAGAGGTCCTTCACATTCCTTGTAAGTTGTATTCCTAGGGTTTTATTCTCTTTGTAGCAATTGTGAATGGGAGTTATTATTGGTGCATAGGAATGCTTGTGATTTTTGCATGTTGATTTTGTATCCTGAGATTTTGCTGAAGTTGCTTATCAGCTTAAGGAGATTTTGGGCTGAGATGATGGGGTTTTCTAAATGTACAATCATGTCATCTGCAAACAGAGACAATTTGACTTCCTCTCTTCCTACTCAAATACCTTTATTCCTTTCTCTTGCCTGATTGCCCTGGTCAGAACTTCCAATACAATGTTAAATAGGAGTAGTGAGAGAGGGCATCTTGTTTTTTGCCAGTTTCCAAAAGGAATACTTCCAGCTTTTGCCCATTCAGTTTGATATTGGCTGTGGGTTTGTCATAAATAGCTCTTATTATTTTGAGATATGTTCCATCAATACATAGTTTATTGAGAGTTTTTAGCATGAAGGGGTGTTGAATTTTATCAAAGGTATTTTCTGCATCTATTGAGATAATCATGTGGTTTTTGTCTTTGGTTCTGTTTATGTGATGGATTACATTGATTGATTTGCATATGTTGAACCAGCCTTGAATCCTGGGGATGAAGCCGACTTGATCATGGCGGATAAGCTTTTTAATGTGCTGCTGGATTCAGTTTGCCAGTATTTTATTGAGGATTTCCACATCAATGTTCATCAGGGATATTGGCCTGAAATTTTCTTTTTTTTGTTGTATCTCTGCCACGTTTTGGTAACAGGATCATACTGGCCTCATAACATGAGTTAGGAAGGAGTCCCTCTTTTTCTATTGTTTGGAATAGTTTTAGAAGGAATGGCACAGCTCCCTTTTGTACCTCTGGTAGAATTCGGCTGTGAATCTGTCTGGTCCTTGGCTTTTTTTTGGTTGGTAGGCTATTAACTACTGTCTCAATTTCAGAACTTGTTATTGGTCTACTCAGAGATTTGATTTCTTCCTGGTTTAGTCTTTGGAGGGTATGTGTCCAGGAATTTATCCATTTCTTCTAGATTTTCTAGTTCATTTGTGTAGAGGTGTTTATAATATTCTCTGGTGGTGGTTTATATTTCTGTGGGATCAGTGGTGATATCCCCTTTATCATTTTTTATTGTGTCAATTTGATTCTTTCTTTTCTTCTTTATTATTCTGGCTAGTGGTCTATTTTGTTAATCTTATCAAAAAACCAGCCCCTGGATTCATTGAGTTTTTGAAGGTTTTTTGTGTCTCTATTTCCTTCAGTTCTGCTCTGATCTTAGTTATTTCTTGTCTTTTGCTAGCTTTTGAATTTGTTTGCTCTTGCTTCTCTAGTTCTTTTAATTTCAATGTTAGTGCATTGATTTTAGATCTTTCCCACTGTCTCCTGTGGGCATTTAATGTGCTATAAATTTCCGTCTAAACACTTATTTAGCTGTGTCCCAGAGATTCTGGTACATTGAGTTTTTGTTCTCATTGGTTTCAAATAACTTATTTATTTCTGCCTTAATTTCGTCACTCAGTAGTCATTCAGGGGCAGGTTGTTCAGTTTCCATGTAGTTGTGTGGTTTTGAGTGAGTTTCTTAAACCCGACTTCTAATTTGATTGCATTGTGGTCTGAGAGACTGTTTGTTATGATTTCCGTTCTTTTGCATTTGCTGAGGAGTGTTTTACTTCCAATTATGTGGTCAATTTTACAATAAGTGTGATGTGGTGCTGAGAAGAATGTATATTCTGTTGATTTGGATTGGAGAGTTCTGTAGCTGTCTATTAGGTCCACTTGGTCCAGAGCTGAGTTCAAGTCCTGAATATCCTTGCTAATTTTCTGTCTTGTTAATCTGTCTAACATTGACAGTGGGGTGTTAAAGTTTCCCACTATTATTGTGTGGGAGTCTAAGTCTCTTTGTAGGTCTCTAAGAACTTGCTTTATGAATCTGGGTGCTCCTGTATTGGGTGCATATATATTTAGGATAGTTAGCTCTTCTTGTTGCATTGATCCCTTTACCATTATAATGCCCTTCTTTGTCTTTTCTGATCTTTGGTGGTTTAAAGACTAGGATTGCAACCCCTGCTTTTTTTTTTCTCTTTCTATTTGCTTGGTACATCCTCCTCCATCCCTTTATTTTGAGCTATTTGTGTCTTTTCACGTGAGATGGGTCTCCTGAATTCAGCACACTGATGGTTCTTGACTCATTATCTAATTTGCCAGTCTGTGTCTTTTAACTGTGGGATTTTGCCCATTTACATTTAACATTAATTTTTTTTATGTGTGAATCTGATTCTGTCATCATGATTCTAGCTGGTTATTTTGCCCATTAGTTCATGTGGTTTTGTCATAGTGTTGATGGTCTTTACAATTTGATATGCTTTTGCAGTGGCTGGTATGGGTTTTTCCTTTCCATGTTTAGTGCTTCCTTCATGAGCTCTTGTAAGTCAGGCCTGGTGGTGACAAAAATCTCTCAGCATTTGCTTGTCTGTAGAGAATTTTATTTCTCCTTCACTTATGAAGCTTAGTTTGGCTGGATATGAAATTCTGGGTTGAAAATTCTTTTCCTTAAGAATGTTGAATATTGACCCCCAATCTCTTCTGGCTTGTAGGGTTTCTGCTGAGAGATCTGCTGTTAGGTTGATGGGCTTCCCTTTGTGGGTAACCCGACCTTTCTCTCTGGCTACCCTTAACATTTTTTCCTTCATTTCAACCTGGGTGAGTCTGACAATTATCTGTTTTGGGGTTGCACTTCTCAAGGAGAATCTTTGTGGTGTTCTCTATATTTCCTGAATTTGAATGTTGGCCTGTCTTCCTAGGTTGGGGAAGTTCTCCTGGGTAACGTCCCTAAGTGTTTTCCAACTTGGTTCCATTTTCCCCATCACTTTCAGGTACACCAATCAAACATAGGTTTGGTCTTTTCATATAGTCCCATATTTCTTGGATGCTTTGTTAGTTCATTTTAATTCTTTTTTCTCTAATCTTGTCTTCATGCTTTATTTCATTAAGTTGATCTTCAATCTCTGATACCTTTCTTCCACATGATCGATTTGGCTATTGATATTTGTCTATGCTTCACGAAATTCTGATGATGTTTTCTTAGCTCTATTAGGTCATTTATGTTCTCCTCTAAACTGGTTATTATAGTTAGCAATCCCTCCAACCTTTTTTCAAGGTTCTTAGGTTCCTTGCATTGAGTTGGAACATGCTCCTTTAGCTTGGAGGAGTTTGTTATTACCCACCTTCTGAAACCTACCTCTGTCAATTTGCCAAACTCATTCTCCAACCAGTTTTGCTCCCTTTCTAGTGAGAAGCTGTGATCCTTTGGAGGAGAACAGGCATTATGGTTTTAGTAATTTTCAGTCTTTCTGTGCTGTTTTTTTTTCTTTCTCATTTTCATGGATTTATCTACCTTTGATTTTGATGGGGGAACCTTCGAATGGGGTTTCTATGTGGACGTCCTTTTTGTTTATGTTGACGCTATTCCTTTCTGTTTGTTAGTTTTCCTTCTAACAGTCAAGCTCATTTGCTGCAGGTCTGTTGGAGTTTGCTGGAGGTCCACTCCAGGCCCTGTTTGCCTGGGTTTCACCAGCGGAGGCTGCGGAACAGCAAAGATTGCTGCCTGTTCCTCCGGAAGCTTCATCCCAGAGGGGCACCTGCCATATGCCATCTGGAGCTCTACTGTATGAGGTGTCTGTTGATTCCTGCTGGAGGTGTCTCTCAGTCAGGAGGCATGGGAGTCAGGGACCCACTTGAGGATGCAGTCTGTCCCTTAGCAGAGCTCGAGCACTGTGCTGGGAGATCTGCTTTTCTCTTCAGACCTGGCAGGCAGGAACGTTTAAGTCTGCTGAAGCTGCACCCACAACCACCCTTTCTCCCAGATGCTCTGTCCAGGGAGATGGGAGTTTTATCTATAAGCCCCTGACTAGGGCTGCTGCCTTTCTTTCAGAGATGCACTGCCCAGAGGGAAGGAATCTAGAGAGGCAGTCTGGCTACAGCAGCTTTGTGGAGCTGTGGTGGGCTCTGCCCAGTTTGAACTTCAGGAGGCTTTTTGAGTTACTGTGAGGGGAAACCACCTACTCAAGCCTCAGTAATGGTGGATGCCCCTCCCCCCACCAAGCTTGAGCATCCCAGGTCAACTGCAGCCTGCTGTGCTGGAAGCATGAATTTCAAGCCACTGTATCTTAGCTTGCTGGACTCCATGGGGGTGGGATCTGCTGAGCTAGACCACTTGGCTCCCTGGCTTCAGCCTTCTTTCCAGGGGAGTGAATGGTTCTGTCTCTCTGGCATTCCAGGCACCACTGGGGTATGAAAAAAAACTCCTGCAGCTAGCTCGGTGTCTGTCCAAATGGCTGCCCAGTTTTGTGCTTGAAACCCAGGGCCCTGGTGGTATAGGCACTTGAGGGAATCTCCTGGTCTGTGGGTTGCAAAGACCATGGGAAAAGTGTAGTATCTGGGCTGGAGTGCACCGTTCCTCACAGCACAGTCCCTCATGGCTTCCCATGGCTAGGGGAGGGAGTCCCCTGACCCCTTGTGCTTCCCAGGTGAGGCAACGCCTCACCTTGCTTCTTCTTGCCCTCCGTGGGCTGCACTCACTGTCTAACCAGTCCCAATCAGATGAGCCTGGTACCTTAGTTGGAAATGCAGAAATCACCAGCCTTCTGCATTGGTCTAGCCGGGAGCTGCAAACCAGGGCTGTTCTTATTCGGCCTCTCTTACCAGCCCTGTCTAATATTCATTTTTTAAATTCCTTTTGTAGTACATTGGATAATGGTCATACACAGATATCTAGTCCTAATCCCTGGAATTTGTAAATGTGACCTAAATGGAAAAAGAGTCATTGCAAATATAATTAAGAATTTTGATGCGATATGAGGTGATTCCCTTGTATTAGCCAGATGGGACCTAAATACAACCAAATGTAATGGCAAAAACCATAATCACTTTTGCAGCAAACTACTAGCTTCCAGGAACTGTGAAAAAATAAATTTTCCTTATTTTAAGGCACTGGGTTTGTGTCAATTTTTTATAGTGGCCTCAGGAAATTAACACATCCTTCCTGGTCTTTCCTGTCTTGCTGGCTATTAATTTGAAATTGGGGATATTTTGAAGGACAGTCTTGTTTGGGAGAGAAGACATGCCTTTTCATGCCAATTCTCAATGTTAACTCACCCCTGGGTAACTAGTAATTAATCTATTAATCTTCAATGTACTTAGAAAAGCTTGGGTTGCCACATCATTTTATAAGGGTGGGTAAATATTTTGGCATGGTGAATTTTTCTTATATTACAGATAATATTTGATGACATGATGAACTAAAGAAATGCTGGGATTTAAAAAAAATACCATAACACACCGAGGAAAAGCAAATATTTGGCAAGGATGCTTTTCTCAGTAACCTGACATGCCTGTTCATCTACAACCCACACCATTTTACTGAATTATTCCTAATAGGTTAAAATATTTCTATTAGATTAAAATATTTCCATTAGGTTTACCAGGAGAATCTAGATAGTGGAATACACATTTTTATTTTTATTATCTAGTTTAATTCAACAACACATAATGAAGCACATAAGTGCACACACACACATGTGTATACATATATACATATATGTATGTATGCATGAGTAGCCAAAGTGGTTGGGATACAGATCAGGGAGATCCAGCACCTAATTTTAAATTGTTTCTATTCAACAGTAAAATAGATTTGAGTTAAATAATTTTTATGGCTAGAGATACATATCAAATAATTTTACACATGAAAAAACAGTATCAAATATGATTAACAATAATACAAATATTTTAAGTGCACTTTAGTATTCCTATTGTGATTTGGATCCAGAATTTTTAAAGAGCTTAAATCTGCTCAAACTTGAAAAACACATTTGTATACACAAGCAAAACACCAAACGCCCCTCACATCTCTTAATGTCTATGTCCCTTCATCACTAGGCTCCTGGAAATTTTATTTGTCATCATGCAATACTCTCATTTCTCTCCCCCCATGCACAAGAGGAAGTTGAAATCAGTCTTCTCACCTCACCATTTCAATGATACTGTCAGGCAAACGTCATCAATGACTGACTTGCCAAATTATTTCAGTTGTCTTTAAAGTTTTCTTTCACTGTTCCTCTGTTGCATCTGACACTGTTGACTCTTTTCGGCTTGAAACATTCTTCCCTTGTCTTCAATGAAACCACTGAGGTTAGAATGATATACTAGTTTATTACTTGCCCAAAATATAAACTCAGTAATGTTTGTATAAAAAATTTGATAAATTACTTGTCTAATTTTATTATCTCATAATTTTGTTATATAATCTGACATGTTTTTAAATGTAAGAGTATAATAAAATTTTTGCACATATTAATATATAGAAGAGGTCAAGTTGTATAATTTCAAGTTGTTTTATGTTACTTCTCTACTAACTAATGCAATATTTTTATAAGCCAATAGTATCTCTATTATTTACAACAAAATATTTCCCACATTTTCTCTTAAGAATATGTTGGAGATGAGGTTTATTAAACTTACATTATAAATTAATACCTTTTTGAGAGATTACTATTAATATGCTAAAGAAATTGGCAACACATCATCTTTAAACACTTATTATTTGTAAAACTATATATTTTTTAAAATCATGGAGTTTTATTCCAGTTGCAATTTTATGGTGTACTTTAGTACTTTTCATTTTATTACATTAGTATAAGGTGGTATTCATATGCTTTTAAATTCAGTTCTACTCTAAATGGTTTACATATTCCAAAAATATTGCTTCAGTTTCCTTTTCATTCTATTTATATTCCCAAACTAAGTTACCTTTAAAATATAAATATTTAGCTCTTTGTAACTCAAAGATAGAAGTATTTTTAAAATCTTGATCTTCATACTGTTTCTTCCATCATTCAATACTTTAATTTTTCAAATCTTAAGTGGAAAAATAATTATATTTTATTTTTAAAACTTGTATGAATACGTAATAGTTATACATACTTAAGGGGTACATATGATATTTTGATACAAGTACACAATGTGTAATGATCAAATTAGGGTAATCAGGAAATCCATCATCTAAAATATTTATCACTTCTTTGTGTTAGGAATATTCCAATTCCACTCCTTTAATTTTAAAAATACAGTAAAGTATTATTAGCTGTAGTCATCCTATTGTGATACCAAACACTAGATCTTATTTTTTCTAATTGTATTTTTCTACCCATTAATCAACCCCTTTTAATTCCCCCAGCCCCACCACTCTTCCCAGGCATTGGTAACCATAATTCTACTCTCTGTCTTCAGGAGATTGATGTTTTAGCATTCACTTATAAGTGTGAACATGTAATATTTGTCTTTCACTTTCCACTGCTTCATCTGACAGTGCTTCTTGGCTTATTTCACTTAACAAAATGGCCTTCAGTTCTATCTGTGTTGTTGCAAATAATGAAATTCCATTCATTTTTTATGAGTAAATAACATTCCATTGTATATATGTGCCACATTTTCTTTATCCATTCGTCTGATGATGGACACTTTGATTGATTCTATATCTCGGCTATTGTGAATAGTGCTGTAATGACCATGGAGTGCGGATATATCTTTGATACACTGATTTCCCTTTTTAAAAATGTATACTCAGTGGTAGAATTGCTGGATCATACAGCAGTTTTGTTTTTGGCTTTCTGAGGAACTTCCATACTGATTTTTAGAGTGGCTGCACTAATTTACATTGCCCCCAACAGTGTATGAATGTTCTGCTTTCTCCATGTCTTCATCAGCATTCATTATTTTTAGTACTTTTGATAAAAGCTATTTTAACTGTGGTGAAATTATATCTTAATGTGATATTTTTAAGGTAAATAACTTTATGTCAAGAATTTTTAAAAATGTAAGACTATCTCCCCAAAGTAGTCTGGGCAAATTTCCAAAATAAATGGGCTCTAAATGCAGGGTCAGGCCTTCAGGATCAATTTCATCTCTTCATTTCTAATTAAAAAAAAAAAAAGATTACCTAAATTCCTATATTTTAAGTTTTCTAGCATAAGCTGGATCAAATTCTTTGGGATTTTTGTTTAAAATTGTGAAATATATTGAACTTTTAAAAGGTGAATTAAATATATGTGTGTGTGTGTGTGTGTGTGTGTGTGTGTGTGTGTGTGTGTGTAATTTAACAATAATTAAAAGATCTTCAAATTTTTACCAATCAGATTAATAGAATATTACTAGCATGTTAAATTGCCACTGTGTGTCCTTCCATTTTTGCACCTACTTTTCTATCTTCCAGACTAAATATCATGCAGAATTTGGATTCCTGGCTCATTTGTTTTTCCATCATACTCCTGTTGGATTTTTCTCCTAAGAAACAGAAAGACATGAGATTGAAGAAGTTAATTGTTCAACCCAGGTTATACATGAATGGTATTCCCAAGAAATTAGAGAAAATATCAACAAACTCCTATAGCATGCCAGGAAATCAACCAATCCAAATTGAGGCAGAAGGCTGGCAATTCAAGGAAAGAGATCTCAAAAAAAAAAAAAAAAAAAGTGGATAGATTCCTTGGGATATATATTGCATGTTAGGGGAGTTTAAACTTCTGACAAAGATTTGAGGATGAATGAAAAGACTAAGTAAATAAGAATTAATTTAGTTACCAACTCCAACATGATAATGATAAAAGAAGGGAAATGTGATGAGGTTACATGTTACAGAGTATCTGTAAATAAAACTTACAAAGATGAAATAACATAAATCTCAATTATTATTTAAAAATAATAATGCAATAAATCTGGTAAGCTGTGGGACTCAGAGGATTTTGTGTGTTTATGTGTATTTGCGTGTTTGTGAATTTATTTTTGTGTACAAAATGTGGAGCATGAATAAGAGCTAAAGATTCTTCCTATATTTAGTAAGTCAACAAATTAGAACTCAGAAAGTAAGGAAAAACAATAAAAACATGACAGTTAATATCTATACAAATATAAAAAAACAGCTAAAGTGTTAAAAATAATTTGCTTCTCTAAGAGAGGCATTAAGGATGAATATTTGACTTTAATCCTTTGTCTAAGGATTCCAGAAAAAAATCAACATCTAAAATGATATACAATAAATATCCTATCCATAAATATTCTCATCTATATTCCATGTGCTTATTCTTGCTTTTTTCTTTTTCTTTTTTTGAGACAGAGTCTCACCCTGCTGCCCAGCCTGGAGTGCAGTGGCACAGTCTTGGATCACTGCAACCTCCACCTCCACCTAGGTTCAAGCGATTCTTGTGTCTCACCCTCACGAGCAGCTAGGCTTACAGGCATGCAACACCATGCCCAGTTAATTTTTGTAGTTTTAGTAAAGACGGGATTTTACCATGCTGCCAGGCTTGTCTCAAACCCCTCTCCTCAAGATTTGCTATCTTGAGTGAGAAATGATTTGTTTGCCTAAACTAGATTCTGTTAATTTATGTAATAATTAAATTGGTGTAATTTGGATCTTTTAACCTGATTTATTTTTTTTGACAGAATGGTCAGTAAAGACAACCATCATATGATATATATTTAGCCTTTACATCATTTTATGAAAATATTTGCATTTACAGTAACCTTACTGGCACTAAACTATAGACATAGAAATATTTGCATTAGTATCTCCCATTTATTTTTATTCTTAATAATCTATCCTTACCTCCCTGTATTCCAGGAACCAAGTATTTGCTGTTGATTCTCCATAAGGTAGAAACAGATGCAGACCTCCAACTCTACCTCCTTTTCATATTAAATTATGCTCTACTGTCTTCCTGGGCTACTTGGGAATTCAAGAAAATGGATGAAAATTACATCAGTTTTTGAGTAATATTTATAGTATTTAAATTATCTTCTTCCAAGTTTTATCACTTCTGGGCAATTGGCTATAGCTTTTATAGCTAGTGAATTTGTTCTCTTTAGAATTAGATTGGTTTGCCCTTTAGAAAAAAAATTGTAGTTTCATCTGTGATTTAAAACGATCTTTATTAGATTCTAAAATATTTCTGTTAGGTCAGTGTTTCTGAAGTTACTAGAGTCATATTTTTTGTTGCACCCACAGTAGATCCAAGATACAACCAAAGATATTTTCCACTAAAATGCTGTTGATATTTTTATAAATTTGATGACCGTATAATCCAATGTAAATAGTAATAGCATTACCTAACTTTCCTATTTTTAAAGGAATATGTTAAATCCTTACTTAAAGAATATTTTAAGCCCCAGAACTTATTATAATTTTGACTTAGCAAATATGTCATTAATTAGATGAATGGGTCTGTGCTCACTATTGATCTCTATAGCTTTGAATAATAAATAGCAATGGCATCTGCTTATATGCACCCAGAGCTTTGTGTGACTTCCAAGTATTGAATTATGTATTTCATATAAATGGATTTTGTATTTTATGGGTTATTTTCTTCCAATATAATTTCCACCTGAATTCAATTTTCATGTGAGGAGTCAGCTATCACAGCCTAACACAGACAACTATATAGGATATAAGGGAAAATTAATGCATATTGGTAATACAGATGACCAAACATCCATCCATATTTGAAGTAATTTGTTGGGAAAAGTATTCACTCATGTAGTTTGTGAATGTGGTAATCAAATGTGACCAAATTGCAATATGCTGTAAGGGACATTCATGCAAATAAAAGCACTTTCTAGTGTAATTTAAATCCATAAATATATAATAGATTAAAAGGGAAGTAAATGATTTTAGTAGGACATTCTTATTTTCTGAGAACAATCTTATTAAGAGAAATCAATTGCACTTACCCTATAAAATGTCTTTTTTTAAATGTAAAATAAAATATGGTATAAATAAACTAAGTCTTATACAGTATGGCATTTAAAGCTATTTTTACATATTTAAAACTCATGTCATACCAATTGTGAGATAAACAAATGAACATAATTTACTAAAAAGATTTTTATTTTTTATACAATTCTTCATGCACTTTTAGTCCCCAGGTATATAGTTTTAATTTCTGACAGGACAATATTCAGTACCTAGTTATGTTTTACCATCATATTTGAAATATTATTACATTGCAATAAAGGAAGTATCAGTTACCTTGTATGACAGGTTAGTAGTGCTAACTTAATCACTGTGTTTACTCCTTTGTCTTTATTAAAAAGTTATGTAACTGTCCCATTACATATAGATTTAATGAACCTTTACAAACATAAACAAAATCAATGTAACATTTAATTTTTTTAATATATACAAATTCTTTTTATCACCCTTTATATTTTAAAATCAGGTAACATACAAGTGAAAATAAATTATTTTTTAATAAAGTTTTACATATTGTATATAATATTTGTAGTGCATCAGTCAGAGAGATAATCCCCAGAGATGTGTATCAAGCATTATTGCTAAGTGAACTACATGATATCACTATATTTGCATGCATAAAGTTTACAGGTTATATCACTATATTTGCATGTGTAAAGTTTACAGGTTATATCACTATATTTGCACACATAAAGTGTACAGGTTAGTGGACACTTTGTTATCCTCAGAGAGAGGACAAAGTTGTTTCATCAGTATTGTGGATGTTTGACTCTGGATATTAAAGAGAAAATTTTGCTCAATTTTGCTATGCTGAAGAGACTATTTAATGAGTAAAATAATGCAGAATGCTTAAAAGATATTTTTTGAGCATATGGAAAACCAGTTTTATGAAACTTGAAGTGTTATATGAGATGCGTCCCCCATATGTGATATGGCATAAGTTGTCTTGGTACAGTGTTGAGTGGTTTCAGGGTACCCTTATGAAGGTTATACAGGAAAAATGAATTGCAATTCACATACAAAGTTTTCATTATAAAAAGAAAGAAAATCACTCTTTGTCGTGTCAGTAAAGGTATTTTTTTTTTTTTGAGACGGAGTCTTACTCTGTCACCCAGGCTGAAGTGGGATGGCTCACTGCAACCTCTACCCTCTGGGTTCAAGTGATTCTCTTGCCTCAGCCTCCTGAGTAGCTGGGATTACAGATGCACACCACCACGCCTGGCTAATTTTTGTATTTTTAAGTAGAGACGGGGTTTTACCATGTTGGCCAGGCTGGTCTCGAATTCCTGACCTCTGGTGATCCTCCCACCTTGGCCTCCCAAAGTGCTGGCAAGCATTTTAAAGGTGGCTAATTAATATGACAATATTAATAATTGACATTGATAGGCATTTACTATGTGCCAAATACTGATAAACACTATAAATTGTTCAATTTAGTTTAATTGATTATGGTGATGTCTACACAACAAATGTGTTAGCAAAATATTTTAATACGGCAAAAAAGTGACTCAGATGTATTTTTAGATATTTGAAAAGTTTGTGTGACTGTAACGTGTGGCTTACTCAATTGATTGTATACACGCAGATGGTTAAGCCTTTGTTTCCTTCCTTGAATCTCCCAACACTTTTTGATTAACAACAACAACAACAACAACAAATCCAAAATTTTAAATACTCTGTTACTGCAAAACCATTAGGAAATGTTTTTCATCAAGACAAAAAGAATGAATAAGACCTGCTATTTAATAGCACAACAGTCAATATTTAATAGACTATTTATTATGACTCAATTGTACATTTAAAAATAACTTAAAGGTGTAAATGGATTGTTTGTAACTTGAAGAAATGCTTGAGGGAAAGGATGCCCCCTTCTCCATAATGTGCTTATTTCCCATTGCACACCTGTATGAAAACATCTCATGCACCTCATAAATATATACACCTAATATGTACATACACAAATTATATAAAATGTAAGAAAAATGACAGTATAGTAAATTCAAGTGTGATACAGCTCTCTTTTCCACAATGATAGAGAAAATACAAGGAGAGAGTGAGACCCAAAATCAAAGAATGGAGATGAGTTACTTAACATATTCATGGCCCAATTAAGGAACAGAAAATCAGTATGAATACCTCTAAGACTAGGGAAAAATTTCATTTGTATATGACCATAGGAGAAACTGAATAATATGATTCTATCATTCTAGCTCAATGCAGTCATCTCGGCTTTCCTTGTGGTATGTGTGTATTGGCAGAGAGGAATAAAGAATCAAATAATAGGCAGCAAGGAAGGAAGAAAAGCACAGTCATGCATTTTTCCAGTTTTCCTGACTATACCACAGTTGCATGAATAGAAAGAGATGTATGATTGTATATGTAAATATTAAGTTAAAATAAAAAAGTACATTGCAGGATCAACATTTATTGGATGCTCAAAGAGAAAAAAGTATCTGAGAGAGCCAACCTGGGGAAGCCTGGAAAATTCAGTGAAAACTGGACATCTGATCCTCACGCTTCTAACCCAATTAACTTTCATCAATTGGACCATAAGCTTTTGTAAACAGTCTTGGAAATAATGGCAACAGAACTAAATAAAAATGGGCTTTTGGATATCATAAATCACACAAAGTTTGTGGGCTGCTAGAATCCCTCTTGGCTTTTACATTGAAGATCTCTGAGGGGCAGCTGATGCTGTCAGAGTAAGAAGAAAAATCACATATGTATGATGCGTTATGGTGGGCCATTCCAGTGGTGAATGTTCTTTCTGCTCTTTCTCGGAGTCTTTCCCTTTGAGATGAAACAAAAATCCTGCCTGGCTGCATATCTCTAAGGAGAAGTTTCTTTCACAGCTGGAGCAGGCCCTTTTCTAAGAGCCAGGGAAAATATCTCTACCCCCAGAAGAAATAAGAAATCACAAGCCTTCCTGAACTTCTTTGTGTCTCTTTGCTGCTCAAGGTCAAATGAAAGGAAACAGACCATCAGCTTTTAAGAGAAGTGTGTACAGGAAATGACTATTTACTTGACATGTGTCTGTACTGAAAATTCAAGTATCAGGAGACATCTAAAGCTGGTACTTTTTAAATTTAGGTTAGCTGTTCTAATTTGTTTATTATCTTGTGAAACACTGACATATTAAATGTGATTCTCTACTGGTTTGTAATGGGTCATATGAGACATGCAAAGCCAAAAAACTGTTACTCTTCATTACATCCCTTCAAGCAAGATGAAATTCTGAATCATAATTAGTTTTGTATATACTAATTAATAATATACCATGAAAACTTGAAAAATAAATAGTCAACAGAGAACCTTTTCTACCGATTTCATTTGTAAGCCAAAAGACTACACCAGCCTCCTAAATATTGGCAATACATTTTTTCTTGTTTTTTAAACAATAAATGTGAAAATACCTTGATTACAGGCTCTATAAACTTGAAGTATATGTTTTCTGGCTATTTCAACATACAATTTTTGTTGTCATGGTTGTGTGGCCCAGCACTAATGTTTATTTAGACCTTCACCTGACCCTTGCTGATGCATATTAGTTAGACAACTTTTGCTTACAAGTGATAGAATAAAATGATGCCTGAGAAGTTGCTGGTTGACTAACAATCAATGACTGGATAAGAATTCAGATGAAATTTGTTTTTACTTGCTATCTCTCTATCTCTATCTCTACCCCTATCTCTATCTCTATCTCTACCTCTATCTCTCCTTCTTCCTTTTCTCATTTCCTTCTACTGTGGATGAAAATTCCAAACAAGAGGGTAAGTTGGAAGCTAGCTGCCACAACTTCTAATTCTCCCACTACTGTAACTTCACCAACTCTAGTAGAAAAGTCCCAGAGAAGACTATGATTGACCTAACTACATCGCACGCCTACCCCCAACCAATCTCTGTAGTATAGGATTGAGAAGGTCTAATTGGTCAACCTGGGTCCTAACTCCACTCCTGTCATGGGGATGGAATACCAGCTTTAATAGCACCACTACCCCCATGATACAGTTAGACTTTGTGTCCCCACCCAAATCTCATCTTGAATTGTAGGTATTCCCAGGTATCAAGGGAAAAACTAGGTGCAGGTAAACTGAATCATGGGGTTGGTTTCCCCCACGCTGTTCTTATGATAGTGAGTTCTCATGAGATCTGATGATTTTATAAGGGACTCTTTCCCCTTTGCTCAGTATTTCTCCTTCTTGCCTCCTTTTGAAGAAGGTGCCTCGCTTGTGCTTCACCTTCTGCCATGATTGTAAGTTTCCTGAGGCTTCCCCAGCCCTGTTAAACTGTGAGTCAATTAAACCTCTTTTCTTTAAAACTTACCCAGTCTCAGTTCTTTATAGCAGTACGACAATGGACTAATATACCCCACTGGGACCAAGGCATTAAAGATGGGGTGTTTCCTCAAAGGAAAAGCTGCTGGACACACTGCTCATGTTCACTGTGGCCAGAACTTAAATTACAAGCCAGAACTAGAAATTACAAAGCAACCCTGAATGTATCAATATTAAAATTGTTATTTATTACTACAGTAACAATTAGGGTCCAGTCAGAAAGTGACACCAGTAATTATTTTAATAGAGAAAATTTAATATAGAGAATTAGTTAAATCAGTACTGAAAGGCTGAAAAAACAAAGGCAACACTGAAGTATCTGAGAGGGGGAACCGCAAGCAGCAGCTACCATCCCTAAGTCTGAGAAAACCCGCTTTAAAAATAAAAAGCTGGGATTCTTAGAAGCTAGAAGAGCCAACAAGTATATGAAAAAATGCTCCACACCATTAATCATCAGGGATACGCAAATTAAAGCCACAGTGAAATATCACCTCACACCTATTAAAACAGCTATGATCAAAAAGTCAAAAGATAAATGTTGGTGAGGAAGTGCTGGGAGGAACCCTTGCTCACTGTTGGTGGGAAGGTAAGTCAGTACAGCCATTATGGAAAAGAGCATGGAGGTTCCTCAAAAAGTTAAAATAGAACCACTGCATTATTCAGCAGTCCTATTACTAGGTATATATCCAAAAACCATAAAATTAGTTTGCCAAAGAGATTTTTGCAGACCCATGTTCATTACAGTATTATTCACAATAGCCAAGATATGTAAACAATCTAAATATCTTTCAATGCAAGAATTAATTTTTTAAAGTGTAATGCCCACACACACACACACACACACACATCATTGAGTACTATTCACCCTTAAAAAAGAAGGAAATTCTGTCATTTCCCATACATGGATAAACCTAAAGGATTTTTATGTTAAATGAAATAAACCAGGCACAAAAAGACAACATACCACATGATCTCACTTACATGTGGAACGTAAAAGAGTCAGACTCATGGAAACAGAGAATAAAATGCTGGTTATCAGAGGCTGGGGAAGGATGGAGGGGTGGGGAGAGGATTGTGGAGGTGTTGGTCAAAGGACAAAAAAATTCAGTTAGAAAGGAGGAATAACTTCAAAAGATCTATTGTACATCGTGATAACTGCAGTTAACAATATATTTTGTATTTCAAAATTACTGAGAGTAGATTTTAAGTGTTTTCATCACCAAAAAATAAGTGATGTAACAGGTATATTAAATAACTTGATTTTGTCATTTCACAAAGTATACATATATCAAAAGATTATGTTGTATATTTTAAATATATACAATTTTTACTTGTCAATTAAAGAAAATAGTTTTAAAAAGGTTAACTTATTCATACAAAAAAAAGTAAAATCTAGAAGATTGGGTCAGATGTAGAACCCAGAACTCAGGGGAGGGAGTATTAACCCACTAGTGCTGGTATCTGTGAGGGGCCACATCTGTTCTTGAGATGGGAAAAACTGACCTGGAAACAGATGTTAAACATTACTGTTGAAGTAACACTGAAAGGAAGAGAATGAAAAACACAGAGTAAGTTTCTTCTTCCTCTTCCAGCCTTCCAGTCCCTTTCTAATTCCCCCCATTGGCAGAGCCTGAGGTGATCTCAGGTGGCAAAGTAGAAACGTGGTTTATAATTCCCCAGACAGCACCACAAAGAAGGGCATAAAAGGGCGGCTTTGAAGCTGCGAGACAACAGCTTGATAACCAGCACATCAATGACGGCAACATCAGTTCTGCATCAACTGGAGAACATTCTGTGCATCCACAGTGGTTTTTATCTGTATCTATAGACACAATAGTAATTAGAGCATATACATCTATGGGCAAATTGCTACCGGCTATCTGTTGCACTCAATCCTTTCTCACCACTAGTTTCTTTAAACTTTGTAGTTGGACACCAAGTTCTTTCTATTCCGGTTGGATATTTCTGGAATCATATTCTACTTAAACTTTGGAGCATCTTCACCATGTTTTCAGAAACTGAAATTTCTGAAGCTTTTCTTTAGATTATAAATTTGGAACTGCCAGCAGTTCCTTCTGAGAGAACAGGTCCAACCAGGTTCATCATTTTCTTTAATAGTATTTTTTCCCTCTGCCTCAATGGTTTAGCTTAAAAAGGAGCTGTACAAGCCTCATCTCTGTACTTTGGCCTGGCAAAGAATACGTTGACAATTGGAGCAAAGGCTTCTTTTGTGGCTATCTTTCTTGGAATTTCTCACTCTAATCTCTCTCATATATCGGAGAATTTATTACAAAAACTGGATATTTGAAGTTCTCTGAGAATAGTGTTAAAATCTAGCATATTTAAACAGCATCAATTTTTTACAGGAATTTTGTGTCCTCTAAGTTCATACTAAACATTTTGTTTTAAAAAATACCAGTTTTTTAATTTTCAAAGAAATTATTGTTTGAATTTAATTCTACTTGTTTTCTTTTCTTCTTTTTTTCAATATACATTTACTTTCTCCATAGGATATTTCAAACAATGTATCAGAAATACTGAAATATTTGGATGATTTTATAGTCAGCCTTAAAATTGATAGATACAAAAAAATAGAAATTAGTATTTTATGACAATAAAGATATTCTGAATTCTATCAGGAGTACTGCAGCAACTTTGATAAGCCTGCATAAATGATTTGTTTTTGAAAATTCACTAAATAGCAGTGGAAAAGTTTAATGTGGAATCTAACCACAGCTAATTATACATATTAGCTATGTTGAGTAGTTTGCTAGCCCAGATAACCTTTAAACTTTGGCTGTAATGGTAATTTACCTAATGGAAAAGCTTAATAGAAATATTATAACAAATGTACCTCCTTAGGTTTATTGAGATTGAATTGGGAAGTCAGAAGACATGAATGTGCTGTGCACACATACTGACAGAAAACCATGTTATTTTAATGATTCATAATTTCTAATTAGCCATGATTATTCTGAGTGGTTGTGGATATACATTTTAATTGTATCACATACTGTAATTTCCAATTTCCGCAGAGACGCTGATGAAGTGAAAGTCGTATTGCAAAGTCATCATTTAAATATTTGAGAAATGGAATGCTTTAAGAGGGATAAATTTCCACTGCTTAATTATAATTTTTATTGATCTCAGAAGTCAATTTTGCCCTGGTAATACAGATGGCTGTCTTTCTTCCCTTCCCTAGCTCAACATCATTCTGGGAATTTGAAAATGTGTTGCCTTTCTCTCAGTGGGTGGATTGAATGCAGTGCTTCTATCATGCATTCAGCATTTTAAAAGACGAATGTTTAGAGAAGCTGAAACAGGGCAAGTGGAGCAATGAAGAAAATATCTTTTTTATAGTTTGATAGTATAGTTTGGGTTGAAATTGAATGCTGGAGTTTCATTAAAAGCCTTACCTTCATACTGATATTATACAAGAGTATTTGATAGAGCCACCTGAAGAATACTTAATCAAATTCAGCTTGTTTGTAGGATTTAAATTTGAAAAGTGTTGGTAGTTCTGCAAACAAAAGACAATTGCTTGAGTGAGACATGTCTCCCAACAGCTTGTGCTGTGAGAAGAGGAAATAAAGCAGGTTATTAAATGTGTATCTCCATGATGATTAGAATTATGTGAAACTTTTGGCTGCATAAATGTCTTCTCACACCAGTTAGAATGGCAATCATTAAAAAGTCAGGAAACAACAGGTGCTGGAGAGGATGTGGAGAAATAGGAACACTTTTACACTGTTGGTGGGACTGTAAACTAGTTCAACCATTGTGGAAGTCAGTGTGGCGATTCCTCAGGGATCTAGAACTAGAAATACCATTTGACCCAGCCATCCCATTACTGGGTATATACCCAAAGGACTAGAAATCATGCTGCTATAAAGACACATGCACACGTATGTTTATTGCAGCACTATTCACAATAGCAAAGACTTAGAACCAACCCAAATGTCCAACAATGATAGACTGGATTAAGAAAATGTGGCACATATACACCATGGAATACTATGCAGCCAGAAAAAATGATGAGTTCATGTCCTTTGTAGGGACATGGATGAAATTGGAAATCATCATTCTCAGCAAACTATCGCAAGGACAAAAAACCAAACACTGCATGTTCTCACTCATAGATGGGAATTGAACAATGAGAACACATGGACACAGGAAGGGGAACATCACACTCTGGGGACTGTTGTGGGGTGGGGTGGGGGAGGGATAGCATTAGGAGATATACCTAATGCTAAATGACAAGTTACTGGGTGCAGCACACCAGCATGGCACATGTATACATATGTAACTAACCGGCACATTGTGCACATGTACCCTAAAACTTAAAGTATAATAATAAAAAAAAAAAGAATTACGTGAAACTATTTGATGGTCTCCTCCAGATGTAAGGACATTTTATGTACTTTGTAGATCTTGGAATATATGGCACATATGAGCTGAAACAAGTCTATTTAAGACAGTCCTCTTGAAAGGGTAAACATCTCTGTTCATTAGAGGCCCAGAAACTCAATATAATAATTAATATCCACTAAGCCAACACAAGGAACAGTTTCTTAACTTGGGATTTTATGAAATCAACCAGGGGATTGGTTATGAACAAATACACCTGCATTTGGGTTGATAAATATGTAAAATTTACAATAGGGTTAACCAAAGCAAAAACTACTTATCTAAAGTATAGATGATATTCAGTGGAGTTTGGGGCGATTTTTCATGTCCTCTTTACCAAGGAAATGATGATAATACTTACCAAGATATAACCAAGAGAACAATCTCTGCCTTAGATTTTTCAGATTTGGATTTCTTTTTTTGTATTGTTTGATTTGATTTATACCTTTCATGTTTGTCTTGTGCAATAGCAATATGTTTAGTTACAGACCTTCCATATATAGAACCTAGTTACTAAATGCAAAAAAGATTGCTTGGAATTTACTTAAATTACTGTCACAATGCTAAGTAAAATTGTTATGAATTCTGAAAAATGCATTAATAGATTTATTTAGTTAACAAATATTCATCCATACATAGATCATGTATATACTATTATACTTACTTCAAATTACCAAAACATTCTCATAGCTATTGCAATTAAAAGAAATATAAGTGGAAATGTACTTAGTACAGTGCCCGAAACACACTTCAAATTCTATTATTTGTATTATCATTATGTATTCCCTAATAAGAACTATAAGTAGGGTAAGGCACTGACATTAAAATAGTGTATGTGATCCTTACCTTCTTGAAATGTACGGTTTAGCAGCAAAATCACACAATTACAAAATAAAATAAGTAAAAGTTAATAAGTACTATAATAGTCCAAGTTTAGGTAGCCTTGAAAATACATAACAAGATCAAGTTATCTAAACTAATGGGTGACTTTCTTTTTGTATGGCTGAAGCTCTTTATGCAAATAGTTTCCGTGCCCAGTAAATTATTTTTAAATGAAAGAATGGCTTAATTCTAGCTTTCTCTGTCCCATTTCCAATTTGTTTCCAATGTTTTCTACATTCCCTCTTTGCACATATATTTTACTTTCTAATCTTTTCATGGGTAAAAGCCCCTTTTATTTGGGTGAGAGTTGAAGGAGCAAGTTATGCTCCTTGCTAACTATTTTTAAAACCTTCTAATTATCTTCTCTACATGCAGCAACTTAGAGATTTAATTGTTTTGCCATTTTGCACCCAGTGCTAATTAAGTTAATTTCTTTTATATGTAGTATTTTATTACTTCACATAGATCCTAGGGTAGAGATATAGACAGCTACAGAGATAGATTAGCTTAACGTTAACCTTCCTGAGAAAAAAGCAAAAATGCCTATATTGAGGGTTTATCACTGGAGACACCAGTGATCAATGACCTTTCTACAAAAGAAGACAAGGTTATCAAAAAAGAACAGGTCTTCAAATTACAATCACAAGTCAAAGGGACATTTCCCAATTCCTCTGAAGTGAAGCCATTTAACTACCAGTTCAAGGACCTCAAAGATTCCATCACTGGACTTGGAGTGGATGAGGGTGATGTTTGTAAACATTGCAGACAGCTTTTGCCCTCTGTGTCCATCTGTGAATCTTTCTGGAGAGAGGATCTATACTTTTTAATCTATTTCTCAAATGGGGCCATGACTCTAAAATGGCAAGAATCCCTGGTCTCAAGGGTGTGACAAGTCAACTGAAATCTATAAGAGGACACCAAATGACCTCAGATGTAGCACCAAGTTGTCTCTTCCAGTTGGAACTAGATGACTAGTGGTGAGCCCCTGTTCTACTTTCTTTCAAAACTCAACAGGATTCATCACAAGTCACTTTTCAGTATGAGCCAAGCACCAAAAATGTCTCTATTATGACAGTTTCCTTAAAGATTAGCTGGTTGATTTGAAACATGAAAATCCTTCTAGCAGGTGGTTTTCTCCAAAGAAGTTAGTAGGAAAATAACATGAGGAGATTGGAAGGAAAATCTTTATGACATTCGATGCAGTCTGTGAGTGCTTTTCATGTTATATAGCGGGGACACATGGGGATATTGCATTACACCTGTTATGCCATGGTATATCATGTGACCTGGTAGCCTGAGGATACCTTGAATTTACAGGACACTCAGCCCTACTGGAGTGTCATCTTTATACATAGGTAGCAGAGATGTGCCGCTAACTTTGTTTGACCCTGTATAATCTCATAAGTGGCAGCATTTTGTAGTTACCAAAAGCTCAGACTTGAAGCCAGTTTTCCTGGGCTCAAATACTGGCCCTGGAATTTAGTTGCTCTCCTATTCTGAGCAAATTTCTTAATTATCTCTGCCTCATTGCAAAATAAGGAAAATAGTTATGTTACCTACTGGATGGGATAGGTTTTAGAATTAAATGTTATTATTTGTTAAGTACTTAGAAGGGTATCTGGCACATAGTAAGCAGTATTATGTTGAAAATAAAATCTGGTTCTCAAAGTCCACATTGCTAGAAAGGTAATATCTACATTCCTGGTGATACGTTTTGGCTCTGTGTCCCCACCCAAATCTCATCTCGAATTGTAATCCCCACGTGTCGAGAGAGGGGCTTGTGATCCCCATGTGCCAAGGGAGGGAGGTGATTGGATCATGGGTGCTGTTTTCCTCATGCCGTTCTCATTAAAGTGAGTGAGGTCTCATGAGATCTGATGCTTTTATAAGCATCTGGCATTTGCCTTACTTGCACTTCTCTCTCTTGCCACCTTCTGAAGAAGGTCCTTTTTTCACCTTCGCCTTTACTATGATTATACGTTTCCTGAGGCTTCCCCAGTCATGTGGAACTGTGAGTCAATTAAACCTCTTTCCTTTGTAAATTACCCAGTCTCAGGTAGTATCTTTATACCACTGTAAGAACAGATTAATAGAGCTAGAATTCTTCGTTTTTATTTATTTGGTTGCCAGATACCGCTGCTCTCCACTGAGTCTTTGAACCTCTCTACTGCCTGCTGCAGCAAAAATTTTTGGGTGAGATAAGAATGAAAAGTGGTCCCAGGGGCTAAACCAGATGTAGTCCTGGCCACTAGAGCAATTGTTATGAAAATATGTTTCAGACACCATTGCTTGTTGGGGTTAGGGGAAGGTTTGCTGTAAGGAGTAAGAAAGTGTCAGAAGAAAGAAAGGACACTCTCAAAAGAAGATGATAGGAATACGGTTTTGGGGAACTTATCAACGTTAGTGATTTTGCCTAGATTTTACAGTTCAAAAAATCTTGGATAATTCAAACATACATTGTCCCAAGGGTATCTTGGTGGTGGGGGTAAACAAGGGGGTCATGATATAATCAGAACCTGACTCAAGAGGCAGTTCCTTAACTTCAGAATGAACACTGTTTCCTAAACCTTGAGATATACAAATAAATGATACCATGCTTCATTCTTTAATCTTAAACCTCTTTATTTAAAAATGAATCACTTCTCAATCTCTTAATCTAATTTGAGCCAAAAGACACTGGGACGTTCTTTAGTAATACTTTTAAATTAATCTCTTTAAATGAAAGTTGTGAAAAATTTTTCTGTATGTTGTCATGCAGTGCTGACCTCAACAGTGAGATGTTGCAGCTGTAATTCCAACTGGAATCCCTCGCTGTACTGAAGATTTCTAGTTACTAAAGATTTTAAATTAGTATGTTCCCAGTGGTTAGTAGAGTAATATCATAAGTTCCATTGAAACTCCTTCTCAATCAAGTTTATCACTGAAGTACATTTTCTGGATAAATCAAGTCCCCTAATGATACTATTGATAAAATAGATTGTGCAAAGACTGATTATGTAAAAATTGTCCTTTAATTTATTTTGTCTCTGTTCACAGAATAAAGAGATGTGTGATGTGATGATTCCCAAATCCGGCTCATCCTGAAAATTATATGGGGAATTAGGCTATGGGGTTTTATTTACTTATTTATTTTTAAAGTAATTTTAGAGTCAGAAAACATATCAATGTAAAGTCAAAATGGTTAAAATTTACTTGAATATTTTGGGGAAGGTAGACAGTTGTGGGGGACTTATAAATATTCTCCTCTGGGCTTTATAATCATTACTTCTATAGATGAAAAAAATAAAATCAGGAAGCATGAATGAAATTAAAGACTGAAGGATGCAAGCTTTACAAACCAATTCTACTCAACAAAGCTGACATGTTTTTACATAATGAAAACAAAAACATAATTGAAAAAAATTATAGCTTTAATTCAAATCCCAAAACAATAATCATTTACCACCTT
This sequence comes from Homo sapiens, assembly GCF_000001405.40. NCBI lineage: Eukaryota > Metazoa > Chordata > Mammalia > Primates > Hominidae > Homo > Homo sapiens. Next base: position 77,865,007 of record NC_000003.12, read on the forward strand.
ACTTAAAAATCTTAAAATGTTAGCAGAATTTTGTGAAATTGACAACATGAGAGAAAAAATTATGTATTTGTTTAGTGAAAACTCACAGGAAAAATGGAGACTAATATAGCTTTAAATATCAAGTAGGATTCCTCCACAATAGTCGAACAGTTAAATCAGAAATATCAATTTATTGGCCGAGCACAGTGGCTCACGCGTGTAATCCCAGCACTTTGGGAGGCCGAAGCTGGCAGATCACCTGCGGTCGAGTGTTCGATACCTCCTTGGCCAACATGATGAAACCTCATCTCTACTAAAAATACAAAAATTAACTGGGTTTAGTGGTGCATGCCTGTAATCCCAGCTACTTGGGAGGCTGAGGCAGAGAATCGCTTGAACCTGGGAGGCAGAGGTTGCAGCGAGCTGAGATCACGCCACTTCACTCCAGACTGGGAGACTGAGCGAGACTCCGTCTCAAAAAACAAAACAAAACAAAACAGAAACATCAATTTATTGAAATTAGAAAATGGTAAGGGATGAGGCAAAGAAAATTTATGTTCTTTTTAAATTTAGGTTAATAAGACAGATTATGAAAACACATTAACCCCCAAAGAGTCCAAAGCTTTTTACCTATAATACAAATCAGTGAATCAGAAGTTACTCATACTTGATTCCCAATGTCAAATTCCATCCACGATACTCTCTACTGTCTAAACATAGTCCCATCACTCTGAATTCCAATACTAACATCTTAATTGATATTCTTGTCTTGCCAGATCAATGGCCCATACTTTTCTATAATTCCATCTCTCAGATTTTTAACCTATTTCACTTTTCTAGGTCTCAAACTGGTCTGTAACCTTGTTTTCTCAACACCTTATTTTATTAGACAAGGTACACACACACACACACACACACGTGGAGAGACAGAGAGCGATTATATAGATACTATATAATCTCTGTCTCACTCTGTGTGTGTGTATGTATATATATGATTTATTATGAGCAATTGACTCACATGGTTATAGAAGCTGAGCTAGAAGTCCCAGGATCTTCTTTCTGCAAGGTGGAGAACCAGGAAAGCTGGTGGTATAAATCCCAATCTGAGAGCAGAAGAATATGAGATGAGATGTCTTAGCTCAAATAGCAAGGCAGAAAAAAAGGAGTGAATTTCTTCTTCCTCTGCCTTTTGTTCTATTCAGGTCCTAAACAGATTCAATGATGCCCACTCATATTGGCTCATACTGGGGAAGGCAATCTACTTTACTGAGTCCAATGATTCAATGCTAATCTCAGCTGGAAACACCCTCGCAGACACACCTCCCACAAAATGTTTAGTTTAGGTACCCCGTGGTTGACATAAAATTAATCATCACACTTACCAACCCCCAAAATGTTTTATAAACTTAAAGGCTTTATGCGTGAATGCCAAAGATTATCTTTATAGAGATATTTTTCTTTAATCTCAATTTAGAGACTATTAACCAGAAATACACAACTTTCTTATCTCTCATGCCATAAATCTGCCCCCCACATTTGCATCCATCACCATCATCATCAATATAACTAGGCATTTTGACATGGTTATAAGCCAAACTGCTCTGGAAACATCATCACAGAAATTTTTCTTTCTCATTTCGATTGCAGCCTTTTTTCTCCCAGCATTTATGTCCCTGAAATGGGAGACATCCTCATTAAAGAGAATTTGAGAATGATTTCTAGGCCCTGATCTTTGCATAACGCTATACACTTAGTGACAGATCAGCTCACCATGGAGTAGGTGGTTCCATTTGTGCAAATTCTTGTTTGTTCTGGTTATTTTCACCATTTTTTCATACATGATCATATCATTCTCATTTCGTACTTGAAGACATGGCTAAGAGTCCATACCAGTAATAAAACTTGTTACAACCGTGATATTTTCTTTCTCATTTATGTTTACTTGCATATCTTCCAACCAGGCTGCTCCGCAGGCAACTATTAAACACTTGTCTACTTTTGCCACTATTCAAATATTGAAACACTCATAGCTAAGACTCTTAAGTAATTGTCTTATTTTGACACCGTTTTCGATTCATGCCCTTATTATTTCCTCTTTTGCATACTTAGCATTCCTGGAAATAATCTGGTCATTTAAATATCAATAGGTTAAAGTATACTACAAGCAAATAAGAAAATGTAGAGGCCACTTCCAAACCCTCCTGCCTGTCAATAAAGAACCCAACTCTGACTGATAGACACCATAACCAATGGTCTTTCCTTTACAACAAATTGTGTATCTTAGTTTCTTTGTGCTGCTATAACAAAATATCACAGACCGCATAGTTTATACACAACAAAAATGTATTTCTCATAGTTCTAAAGGCTGGGAAGCCCAAGATCAGGGTGCTAGCATCTGGCGAGGGCTTTTTAATGCATGCTCACATGGTGGAAGCAGAAGGGCAAAAATAGACAAATACTGTTCTTATATGGCAGAAGTGCAAAAGAGAGCGAGCCCACTCCTACACGCCCTATCTATAGAGCTCTAATTTATTCATGAAGAAGGATCCCTCATGGCCTAATCACCTCTTAAAGGCCACACCTCCCAATATTGTTGTTCTGGGGATTAAGTTGCAATATGAATTTTGGAGAGAATAAAAGCATTCAAACCATAAAACTGCCTCTTACTTATGGGGTTGAATTTAATTTTACACCTCATTTCTTTTTTGTTTTAAAAGTAACGGAGTATATAATAAAGATCAAATTCTGATTTGACTTACTGATGTGAAATCCTAGAATAAAAAATAATGCCCTTATTATATGTCATTTACTATAAGTTAAATAATGCCATTGTACATCATTTTAAAATAAGTACTATGGAAACTAGTAACAGAAATGGCACTACAATTTTTATGGAACCAAATCTACATAATCAATTTTGTTGAGTGACAGAAATCTACAGGTCAATCTCCAACATCTTTAAAAAGCTGGGAGTCTTTAACAATAAAAAATGTAATATAGTTTGTATTAGAATACCTTACAGTCTGACTGAAAATTTATCCATGAACAAGTAATGGGAAGAAAAAAACATGTATTTCTCATAAGACATGAGAAATATATCAAACACCTAATCAGAGCTTTTTGGATACACCAATAATTGATTTCATGTTTGTAGTGATATAATAGAAAATTTTTATCTGAATATTATCAAGAAGGGATAAATAGAAAATTAGAACAATGAATATGCTCTGATTATCCTTGAAAATAAATATAAAATTTTTATCCTTAATAAAACTCAGATATCCAAGTAAGCCTCCCACTCTTTCGTTTGAATGTTTTTCAGATAATAATTTGACACTATAAAAACTCAGAGTGAAACTGATTGTAACAGTAGTCAAATTAATAGAACTAATATAAAATCATATTTTCAATTATAATAAAATTCCTAATGCTGGTGATATTTTTTGGGAGCCTATATTATCCCAAGGACATCATGGCAAATTTAGAGCAAATGAGTTTATCAGTCTTCATTTGTGTAATATTCCTTGTTTAGTCTAGAAAGAGAAACACTGATTGTGCATTTATAATTTTAGGTAGAAAGTTGTGTTACAAGATTATTGAGATTAATCCTGTTGTTTTCATTCTTGTTCCTCAGAGCACTAAAACTTTGGCTTTAGCTTTTCCAAACCATCGCATATGACTAAAGGATTTATTCTCTACCCTGATCTTTTATGCTTACCCCTGTTTGGGATCTAATCTGCCTCCAATAATTCTTCCCTAACCTCTGTTCATTACCACATAAACAATTATTTATAATGATATATTCTTCCATTTAAGAGAGCAAGAGTAAAAGATTGGGGAGAGGGGAGATAGGGAGAATAAGAACATCCACACTTGCCTGAACATGACTTTATTAATGAGTTGATTCTACATTTTGAATATTTTGTCAACAGAGAGACTATGATTCATAGCCCTCAGCACTGTTCTGAAGCACTCCTGATTTCCCAAGAAGCATACCCCTGCCAAATTAATTTACAAAAAACAAGTTTCAACCGACTTTCTTAATATAATTCCTAATATAATCTTCACTTACAGTTTTATTCACTCATAACCCAGAGTTCTTTTTCGAATGAATACAGACTATTTTTGCATACTTTAGCTAACTTACAAATTTTTTTGAGAGTTGAAAATCATTCATTAGGCTCTGTCAATAGATCCTTTATTAGGTTGCTGTTAACACACATACATCTCTATGACTAGCCTTTCTTACTCTGATTCTGTCACTATTACTGTATTACTACTATATTACTATTATTATTACAGAACCTGGGCTAAAGCCCATATCAAGATATCACAGAAGTTTTTCTTTCTCATTTCAATTGCGGCCTTTTTTCTCCCAGCATTTATGTCCCTGAAATGGGAGACATCCTCATTAAAGAGAATTTGAGAAAGATTTCTAGGCCCTGATCTTTGCATAACGCTATACACTTAGTGACAGATCCGCTCACCATGGAGGAGGAGGCGGTACCATTTGTGCAAATTCTTGTTTGTTCTGGTTATTTTCGCCATTTTTTTTGTGCACGATCATATCATTTTATGATAAAGTCCATCAAGATATGGGTTTCAGCCCAGGTTCTGTCACTAATCACGTGACTATGGACAAATCCAAGGCATATTACTATGAAACTGAGGAAAGTCAAGTTTGAGCACCCATTACTTGTGCATGCTTCTTTTGTTACTACAAGGGAACTTATCAATATGATACATGATTATATGTCTTTGTAAAATTTATGGGAGTGGTATATTTCGATGATAATTAATAAGATTAAAGCTTCTTTTTGCTCCAAATTCCCCTTTGTTAGACTTTCCCCCTCACTGGGTCGCATTTTAGTGGTCATTAACACTTTTTGGATCTGCCTAGGGAAAGTTGAGTTGAGGAGGTATTTAATGCAGGTGTATGGGATATATTTATGTGGCTTGTAGTAATTTTTGTAAATAGGTAGGTAGCTCAGTGTGGAATGACTTTTAGAAATATGCTTCCTATCACTGTGTTGCTATATCCAAGATGACGATATGAAGGCACAGAGCCAGTGTGTCAGTTAACTGAAAAACAGTTTTTTACTTTCCTGATTTGTGTGGTGCTTGCAGTATTTAAAATTTTCAATTGTGGTAACCTAATAAGGGGAGTCATATCTCATCCTCTTTTTGCATTCTCTTTGTTAGAAGCAAGTGATAAATTCTACCAAATACAAGGACAAGAGATTACACAAAGGTGTGGAAAACAGCAGGCAGGAAATCACTGGGGGGTCATCTGGGGGCATTGACCACCACACACTTTCTTAATTCGTTTTTTTCTCCAACACTAATAGGATGCATTTGGTTGAAACTCAAATTGAGTAAGCTTAAGCAAAAAGTGTGTGTACTATCCTTAACGAATCCGAAGAAGCATAGAAAAATGATTACCTGGAAACATGGATGCTGCTAAACCACAAAAAAATAGGAATCTGGAAATCAGATGCCTCCAAGACCACTTCTTAGCTTTGCTTCCCTTTGCAAGATAACCCAGCTTAGATGGTTGCCCAGCTCTAGAAAATCAACCGTGGTCAAGGGACTGGGTACTCTAATTGGCCTAGATCAGATCAAGTACCCTCTTTGGACTAATAAAATCTGGTTAAGAGATTCCATTTTAAGAATGTATTAATTGAGCCTGGGAAGTCGAATCTGTGGTGAGCCATGATCACACCACTGCACTCCAGCATGGGCAGCAGAGTGAGACACTGGCAAAAAAAAAAAAAAAAAAAAAAAAAAAAAATTCAAACAAAAAAGAAGAATTTATTAAGTCTTAGGCAAGTGGGAGAGGCAATTCCCAAAATATGACTGTTAACTCTAGACCACATACAATTATCCTTTGATACACATGGGGATTGGCTCTAGGACCATTAAGGATACCAAAATTTGCAGATACTCAAGTTCCTTGTATAAAATATCATAGTATTTGAGTATAACCTATGCACATCCTCCCATATTCTTTAAATCAGCTCTAGATCAGTTATAATACCAAATTTAATGCCTACATATCACTTCATTCATACGGATACAACACAGCACTCAGCATATGTAAACTCAAGCTTTACTTTGTGAACTTTGGGGATCTCTCTTTCAGAATATTTCCACCCCCAGTTTGGTAAATCTACGGATGTGGCACCCACAGATACACAGGGCCAACTCTCATTTATACATTACAACAAATCTCTAAGAAGTGTTTTTGTTTGTTTTGTCCCTGGAGTAATCACAGGAATTGTTTATTTGTAGCAATGCCATATTGCACGGGAATTTATCTGCTAATACTTGTATATCTACCTAACATACTACCAGACCAAAAACTTCTTAGTAATGTGTATCCTAATCATCATTATAATTCCAGGATTTAGCAGAGTCTGGTACCTGGTAGGTGCTTAACATATAATTATATGATAAAGCAATCACTTATTGAAAAACTAAATCTAATGTTAATATTTAAAAAACTAAATTTAATGTTTCTCGATAGTACTAGACTGAGCTTATATGGCAGTTCAGGAGCTCACATGGTTTGAACTCTGTTCTTTCACAGTGGTTTCACATTTATTGCTTCTTGAAGCCAAGGTAAACACTGAGGAGGGAATTTCCATAGTTTCTTACTTATTAGCAAAGGCTGCCTGGGGTTAATGGCAGTCCAGTTATGTCAGCCACTTCAAATCTTTTGACAAAGTCAGGCAAATAGAGAAGAGTAGAGGAAAGGTAACTTTTAGTTACCTTAGATTCCAGCAATAATTTAAGATGGAGACAGGGCTGAAAAACAACATCATTGCACATGAAACTATAAACAAGATTTTTCTGTTTTTCTGGATTGGTTGCCCACCACTGGAAGAATCAAGGTGATTCTTGATTAATTCCAATCACAATTTAGCAACTGTTTTTAATTTCTTCTTTCTTCTTTCTCCTTTCTTAATGTCTCTCCACCTTTTCAAAATCTCTCTTTTTTAAAAAAAAATTATTATTATTATACTTTAAGTTTTAGGGTACATGTGTACAATGTGCAGGTTAGTTACATATGTATACATGTGCCATGCTGGTGTGCTGCACCCACTAACTCGTCATCTAGCATTAGGTATATCTCCCAATGCTATCCCTCCCCACTTCCCCCACCCCACAACAGTCCCCAGAGTGTGATGTTCCCCTTCCTGTGTCCATGTGTTTTCATTGTTCAATTCGCATCTATGAGTGAGAATATGCGGTGTTTGGTTTTTTGTTCTTGTGATAGTTTACTGAGAATGATGGTTTCCAGCTTCATCCATGTCCCTAAAAAGGACATGAACTCATCATTTTTTATGGCTGCATAGTATTCCATGGTGTATATGTGCCACATTTTCTTAATCCAGTCTATCATTGTTGGACATTTGGGTTGGTTCCAAGTCTTTGTTATTGTGAATAGTGCCGCAATAAACATACGTGTGCATGTATCTTTATAGCAGCATGATTTCTAGTCCTTTGGGTATATACCCAGTAATGGGATGGCTGGGTCAAATGGTATTTCTAGTTCTAGATCCCTGAGGAATCGCCACACTGACTTCCACAATGGTTGAACTAGTTTACAGTCCCACCAACAGTGTAAAAGTGTTCCTATTTCTCCACATCCTCTCCAGCACTTGTTGTTTCCTGACTTTTTAATGATTGCCATTCTAACTGGTGTGAGATGGTATCTCATTGTGGTTTTGATTTGCATTTCTCTGATGGCCAGTGATGGTGAGCTCAAAATCTCTCTTTAATAGAAATATTAGACCTCAAATTTTCATCTCAGGTTTGGAAAATTATGCAAGCTACAAGCTGTGGCCCTTATTTTTATAAGTTATGTACTAGAGATCTGTCTATTCCTGGCTCTTCCATCTTTTCTATGGCTGTGTCAACCTTTCTGAATGCTTTCTTTATGTAAAATGGGCAGGTGAAACCAGGTGCATAAGGAAACTTCTAACTCTAACATTTTGTGGTTTGATTTCTCTCTTATGTTAATAAAGCAGGTAACACCTGGTCACAGCATATGCCTTCACAATCAATTGTTTGAACTTTCTTTTCAAAATAGGATGAGGAGGGAAGTGTACAGAAGGAAAAACACAGTTCATGTGGCAGGGCATTGTAACCTTTACATTGGGATGCTCCTCGTTTGGTCTGTGAGTTTGTGTGCGTGTGTGCATTTGTGTGTGCGTGTGTGTGTGCGTGCGTGCCTGTGTGTGTGGTGAATTTTGCTTATTTTTAAAGTTGATGTTTTTTGTGTGAAATTTGAGTGACTTTATGGTTGCCAATATGAAGAAAGAAAAATTTAAAAGCAGGTAAAAATTGATTTTCATTATTAAGGTAGTTATCTAACAGGGGTAATTCTCGATCTATATCTGAAAAATGTATAAAAACATCAAAGTAATAATTTAAAGTTTCAAAAATTAAATAATACTGCTGTAGTGATAGTGGGAAAAAATTTCATCAATTTTTATATAGTTTATTATTAAAAGTTTTTTGAAACAGTGGTACAACAATGATTTAACAAGCAATGGTTTATTAAAAATTCTTTAGGATTTAAAGGAAGTATACGAAAACACGACTGACTTACTCTTCACTGTTTATTCAATAGTACTCCATTTCAATTTTTGTTTCTCTTTTTAAATTATCCAAAAGGAGAGTTATTACTCCTAATGTGAAGCAGGGGACATTTAAAGAAAAGACATCCCTCTTTTTTAGCCTAGTCATTTAATTCCCCGCCAAGGAAGCTGGACAGGACTCTATTCATTTGGAGGCAGGAAGACGGCCAACACGGGACACAAGAAGGTTTCAGAGAAATAATTTTCTCAGTTCTCCAGGGGCTGCTGTGTTTCCCATAGTATCTCCAGTGGAAAGAGTGAAGAATCAAACTCACTGGATTTTGATGCTGGTAATATTAAGATTTTGTTGAAATGAACAAATATCGATTGATTTTAACTTGATCTTCACCTCAGCAAAAATCAATGTTTATTATCTTCTCTCTAAACCATATGCATCTCTAGCTAATAGCATATTTTAGGACGGCAATTTATTTTGAGTTCTAAATAAAAGTGAATCAAGCATTAATACATTATCATTAAGGTCTACATGAATATTAGAATTAACTCAAGTAAGTTTTATTTCAAATATTTAATGCAATGTGAAATTACTAAAAATTTGAGTAAATAATAAGCTATTTTAAAAGCCCGTGATATTAACTCTGTCCTTTTGCCCTTCCTCCTCTCATTACTATTTCTCACCTTTGAATATATTTCCAATGTGGCATCAAGTTCTGGATCTATAAAATAGAGGTCATGCTTTTCCCAAAAGAGAACTGTGAAACTTTGACTAACCACAAAAATCACTTTCAGCTTTTTCAACACTGCAATTGTGCCAACTTGCTAATTTTAACTTTTTTTTTTTTCATTTAACTGGGAAATTCAGGAACTTCCTACAAATGCAAAAGCACGTTTCAAAAATGACACAATATTATATAAAGTAAGGTAATGTAAGGAATGATCTTTATGAGTAGTTTCCCTAAAAATGTGGCTATGAGTTTCTGGCAGCCATCGGCTTGATATGCATGTTCACTGAAGCTTCTGACCCGAACATGTAACAAGAGAAAGAGAAGGAGAAATAAGATCCCTAGGCAATTTTGGTATGTTATGCTGTTTGACTATGTTGAAGGGGAAGGGGTCAGGAGAAGTAATAGGTAGGCGTCAAGTGCTGACAAGGTGGGCATTTCTAGTCTAAGGTCAGGCTCAAACTCATCAAGTAGCACCACATAATTGTTTACTTCTGGGAGGACAGAAAAGCAGATGGGTCATGCTGACACAAATCAAATCATAGACAGGGCTGACTTATTTTGAGAAGAAACGTCATAAATGCAAGGAGGCAAAAAGGCTCAGCAGTAAATGAAGATGGGCCTGAAAGTGTTAGTTATTGCCACATCACTATGGAGAGCCTATATTTTATGGCAAGTGTTAGGGAACACGTGTATTATATGTTGAGCTTTCACATCTGTCTACGTCAGCAAGCATAGTTTCTTTAAAAACTGAGAACAGCAATTAATATTCTTTCTTGATTTAGCATTTCTAATAAGCAGTTGCCAATAATAACTTGTCTTATTCTGAGCTATCATTCTTAGCATTTTCCTGTCCTGTAAAACTTGCCCCCACAAAGGACAAAAAAGGCACAGATTTCCTCAAACATGGATCGATTTCATTGCATTTCCTTTTCATCTCCATCTTTTTTCTTTCTCTTATCACCTAGCAGTACTTGATGAGTCCATTTTACCACAACCACAGTTTCCATGTCTACTTGTAAAACACCCTACATTTTCTTTCATTTTCAAAATGTTTCTCGTTCTAATAGGCAAGTGATACTTCATAGAACACTTTTATAATACCTTCCCCACTGGGTTTTCAATTTGCCTAGTTACTTTTAGATGCATGCTCTAAAGTTTTGATGACTTCTGTATTAGTCTGTTTTCATGCTACTGATAAAGACATACTCCAAACTGGGTAATTTATAAAGACATAGGTTTAATGGACTCACATTTCCACGTGGCTGGGGAGGCCTCACAGTCATGGCAGAAGGCAAAAGACACATCTTGCATGGTGACAGACAGGAGTGAATGAGAGCCAAATTAAAGTAGAGAGCCAAATTATAAAACCATCAGATCTTGTAAGGCTTATTCACTACCACAAGAACAGAATGGAGGAAACTGCCCCATGATTCAACTATCTCCCATTAGGTCCCTCCCACAACACATGGGAATTATGGGAGCTACAATTCAAATGAGATTTGGGTGGGGACACAGCCAAACCATTTCAACTTCTATTACATTTAAGCTTCTTAATTTTTGTGAATAACCTCATGTGAAGCACCTCATATTTCTCCATTCATGGCGACTATCATCAAGATCAGTATGAGACACCTTTTATTTTACTCATTTATCACTTTTCCCCCCATTCCAAAGTTCAATCTCCTTTCTGTACCCCATAGTCAACTCACTCAAATGTGTTTGCTATGTATCTTAAAATTTGTTTGCCTCCCTGTATTGTTGTCTGATGTGGATTGTAGACTGCCAACTTTTCATTGTATTCTCACTTGGCAGAGAGCAGAGAGAAGTAAGCTTTCTCTGGACTCTTATAAGGACACTTTTCTCATCTGAGGGCTGTGCTCCCATGACCTCATCTAATTCTAATTACCTCCCAAATACTCCATCTTCTAATTCTATCAAATTGCAAGGTAAAGTTTCAAGATATGAATTTGGGGCATGCAATCATTCAGCCCGCAACACACAATATGTAAATACACGGGAGGAAAATGATAATCTCTGACCATTTATTACATATATATAAATGGTATAGCACATTGATTTGTACAGTTTAGCCTATAATATACATTTCTTTTTCCTACAAGGGGAAATGTACATTTACAGAAACTTTTCTTTCTAAGATCATATATATCAGGCTAATGAGTGTGGGCCAAGGCTGCAGGTATTACTTCTGGCCTGGTATGTTTAATTGCTGTGTTGGGCCTTTCCAAATCTCTATCTTTCCACCCTTCACAATGACTGACAATGATTGAGGTGGGTTATACTCCATGGGTCTCAGAAGAATACAACAAGCAGAGTCAACCTGAGATGGACTGGCAGTGGGAACAAAAATCAGACTTAAGTTGTTTCAAGTGTAAGGGATGTGGAAGTTACAGCAACATCACCTCATTTCTCCTGAGTGATACAATCATCATAAATGTTCCTTCCTTGTCTCGTGGGAGAATATTTTTGGGCTGTATAACCAGGAATAGTAACACTCTGTCATAGGATATATGCAGCTTTAATCTGAATAAGTACTGCCAAAGTGCTCTTCAGCAAGATTAAGCTGCTCTGGTTTTTCCACATCCCCACTAATATTATTATTATTCAACTTTCCAATTTCTGCCAATCAGATGGTTGTAAAGTGGTAAATTATTTTACTGTAATTTGCATTTCTCTGATTATAAATGAGCTTGAGGATCTCTTCATATATTTGATAGCTATTGGTTTCACCGTCTGTTTATCACCTGTTCATATCATTTACCCGTACTAGCTTCTTCTCACAGAATATATGTTGAATATGGTATATATAGCACATTGACTTGTACAATATAGCCTATTTTAATTTTTCTTCCTAAAAGGGAAAATATACATTTACAGAAACTTTTCTTTCTAAGATCACTAATAACTATTTCTTACCAAACTGAAAGGACTTTTTTTTTTATTATACTTTAAGTTTTAGGGTACATGTGCACAACGTGCAGGTTAGTTACATATGTATACATGTGCCATGTTGGTGTGCTGCACCCATTAACTCGTCATTTAACATTAGGTATATCTCCTAATGCTATCCCTCCCCCCTCCCCAAACCCCACAACAGGCCCCGGTGTGTGATGTTCCCCTTCCTGTGTCCATGTGTTCTCATTGTTCAATTCCCACCTATGAGTGAGAACATGCGGTGTTTAGTTTTTTGTCCTTGAGATAGTTTGCTGAGAATGATGGTTTCCAGCTTCATCCATGCCCCTAAAAAGGACATGAACTCATCATTTTTTATGGCTGCATAGTATTCCACGGTGTATATGTGCCACATTTTCTTAATCCAGTCTATCATTGTTGGACATTTGGGTTGGTTCCAAGTCTTTGTTATTGTGAATAGTGCCGCAATAAACATAAGTGGCATGGGCAAGGACTTCATGTCTAAAACACCAAAAGTAATGGCAACAAAAGCCAAAATTGACAAATGGGATCTAATTAAAATGAAAGGACTTTTTTTATACACACTCATCCTTGACATCACTGTAAAATCTGATATGCTGATCTTCCAGCATTGCTTGGAATGTTTTCTTCCTTTGAGTTCTTGGTACGTTCTACATTCTTTATCTATTCTATTCTTATTGCTACCTTTCAACTCCTTTCATAATTCCGTTTAGAGGTTTGTGCTCAGCCTTTTGGTCATATCTCCTTCTGTTCCTTCCCCACAAGGATTCATGAATTCAGCTATTTCCTTTATACTTAATATGAAATCTCCCACCTTAAGTTTTGCTGTTAAGGTTGCAACTCTGACTACTGACATAACGCCTCTACCTGACTGTTTTATTATTATCTCAAACTCAGCAAGTTAAGATGAAAATAAAACTGTCACCTGAAAAAGTATGTTGACTTCATATATACACCATTCATGTCACTTGTAAATCATCACTCCTGTCAAGATGGATACCTTGAAGTAAACTTTGATGTTTAAATTCTCTTTTATCTGCTAGCCTGGGTGATGGATTTGGATTTCTCCATTGCGGATATGCTTTTGCTTTACCCTCTTTTCTCTGACACCACTATTCACTCTCCATTACTGCTTCCCTACCAAAAAGTTTACCACCTCACACTCAGAGCAACGGAAAGCCTGCTGACTAGACACTGTGTCTAGGGTTTTACATGGTTTCACATAGATGTCACATTTATTACACTGTTGTTGCTTTATGTATTTACAGATATTTTTTGCTTTTTCTAATAAAACAATGCATAGCAATATTCTGTTATTAGAAGAATTAAATAATGCAGAATTGTGTAGAATAGCATAGAACATTCCACTTTATATTCACCCACCCCAGATTAGTCTTTCTATCTTTTTGCCCCAGAGGAAATCACTGAAACTGTTGGTGTTTCCAGGTACTTAAAGGGTTCATTTATCCATTTTTATGCATGCATACATAAAGGTTATTTCCGTTGTAAGTATTTATAAGTATTTATAAGTGGGCTGATACCTTTTTTTTACAGAAATGTGTTTTTTTTTCACTTAGCCTTTTTTTTTTTTTTTTTAAGACACTCTTGCTCTGTCACCCAGGCTGGAGTGCAATGGCACAATCTCAGCCCACTGCCACCTCTGCCTCCCGGGTTTAAACAATTCTTCTGCCTCAGCCCCCTGAGTAGCTGGGACTACAGAGGCCCTGTCAGCACCCCTGGCTAATTTTTGTATTTTTAGTGGAGAGGGGGTCTCACCGTATTGGACAGGCTTATCTCAAACTCCTGACCTCATGTTCTGCCTGCCTCGCCACTCAAAGTGCTGGGACTGCAGACGTGAGCCACTATGCCCGGCCCACTTAGCCTTTTATATAGGAGATCTTTCTATGCTAGGAGATATGGTCAAATCAGGTATAATTTCTGTCCAATGTAAATGACAAGAGGAGGAGAGGAGACTGAAGGCAAAAGAACTGTAGGAAGCTTTTACAGTAGTCAAGTTGAGGGTTATAAAAGTTTTCCCTAGGTGAGTACCAAGTAAAATAGGAGAACTGGACATTTCATTTAAGAGTGACTTAGGAGATGTAATTAGAATCATATTTGTGGAATGTGTAGTAGATGATGGTGAAAACTCCCAGCTTTCTAGTGTTACAGATGAGGGTATAAGTGATTAAAATAATTAAGATATGAAACCCAGGGGAAAATAAATCAGAAAGAAGAGGCAAGGGATATCGACTCTTGGGAGTGCAAACAACAGGCACATTGACTTCTTTAGACTTTAACTCATGAGGAATTGTAATTTCAGAATTTATATTCTCCCTGGGAATTTGATAATGAAGAGAGGAGTTTTATACTAAAATTGTGCAGCCTTTTTATTACTGGTAATTTATTATCAAAAGTTTATTTATTCAATGTATTATAGCAATATTTTCATAGTGTCTTTAATTTCATTGCTTATAAAATCTCAGATAGGCTATGTCAGACAGCTTGGCTAGAAACTTTTGGACAGGAAATAGTGTGGGGGCTGAATGTAAAGCTTTGGTCACAGAATACATTTAGAGTTAATTTTATTAATACATTGTTCTGACAAATTTTAAAGCCTTCTAGGTGTAAAACCCATCCTTTGCACCAGTGATCCCAAAAGGAGCCACAGTGGATTAGCTTTTTGTAATCAAGGAAGGTAGGGACAGGACTGTCCATATGATATTGTTTGGCTTTGCCCCCGCCCAAGTCTCACCTTGAATTGTAATGATCTCCACATGTCAAGGGTAGGGCCAAGTGGAGATAATTGAATCATTGAGCCAGTTTCCCCCATACGGTTCTCATGGTAATGAATAAGTTTCATGAGATCTGATGGTTTTATAAATGGGAATTCCCCTGCACAAGCCCTCTTGCCTGCCGCCATGTAAGACATGCCCTTGCTTCTCCTTTGCCTTCCACCATGATTGTGAGGCCTCCCCAGCCATGTGGAACTGTGAATCCTTTAAACCTGTTTGTTTTAGAAATTACCCAGTCTCGGGTATGTCTTTATTATCAGCATGAAAACAGACTAATGCTGTTAGTCTAATTGATGAAACAGACTAGTTAGTTAATGAAACAGACTGTTAGTCTAATTAATGAAACAGTCTAGTTAATGAAACAGACTAATTGATACCAGTAGTGGGGTGCTGCTGTAAAGAGGACACCCATGGCTGTGGTTGGCAATTGACTTATTGTTTAAAGCCAGAGGGTTAAAAAAAAAAAAAGTTGAAGGCTGAAGTGGAGTATTTCTTTCTCAGTCCTTCAATTCTCATGATTAAAAAACAAACAAACAAAAACACTCACATGTTCTTCCTGCTTCTGTGATTACTCCTCCTCTGGAAAGTAGGATTCACTTAGCTGATTGCTAAGTTATCATAAGAAAATGGCATAAAGAGCTATGACCCTTTCATTTCCTCCTCTTCGGGACATAACTTCTTAAAGGAAATATATATCCTACCTTGGTCTGTGACGTGTGGTAAAAGGGGCCTGCTCCCCAGAATGGGAGCTTATATTGCCCAGTACTTCTTTTGACATAATACACAAATATTCCTAAAATGAGATCCATTATTAGGAATTTCCAACAGCCCAAAAAATATAAGATTTACTCTCCAATGTTAGCTTTATTAATTAATAGACCCACATTCTTAGAATATCATTTGCTTTACTTTTTTATTTCTCAACTTGCCTAAAACTTGAGTAAAGGGGGAAAATGATCCTACTTATTGGGAAATACCTGAAGCTACAGCTGCTACATACTCAGGTCTGCTTTGGTAGTGCAACAGCAGCCACGGATAATACGTAATGAATTGTGGCTGTGTTCCAAAAACCTTCATTTATGGACATTGAAATTGATTTTTACATAATTTTCACATCGTCAAATATTGTTTTTCTTTTCTTAACCACTTAAAAATGTACAAAGCATTCTTAGCTTGAGGGGACCACAGCAGACCCACAGACAATAGTTTGTGGACCTCAGTTATAGTGTTAAATACAAGATTGTGGTTATATTATTTCTTCCTTAAGAATTTTCAAAGACTTTATTTTGCATGTTTCAGTCCTTCTTTCTACTACTGGCTTCCAGATACTCCATAACTTGGCCTTTCATATCGTTACAACACCAAAAAGCATATCATCCCATTGTAGTTTCTAGCACCCGATTGCCTCTCAGTAAATATTTTTTTAAAAAGTCACTAATTAATTTTTTAAAAAATGTACTTTCTTTTTGCTATGGTTTGAATGTGTCCCCTAGAAGTTCATGTGTTGGAAACACAATCCCTCTGCCCTCCTAAATAGATTAATGGATTAATGAGCACTCTGCCCTTATGAATGGATTAATGTTGTTACCACAGGAGTGAGTTTGTTACTGAGAAAGTAGCTTTTTTATAAAAAGGAGCTCTCTCTTGCGCTGTTGCCTTCTTGCCATGTGTTGGCCTCCACCATAATATGATTTACCAAGAAGGCCCTGATCAGATGCCAGAACCATGCTCTTACACTTCCCAGCCCCCAGAACAGTAAGTGAAATAAATTTCTTTTCTTTATTAATTACCCAGCCTGTGGTATTCTGTTACAACAACAGAAAGTGGACTAAGGCTCCCCTCTACGAAACTTGTTTCTTCAATATGCTTGTTCACTTTTTCTTTTTTAAATTTAAATATTATCTCTTCTAAGATACCTTATTGAACTACTTTAATTCCATAATATTTCTGATTTATGCTGAGAAATAAATTTTGGTAGAGGTTAAAATTGAGACTGTTTTCTAGTTACTATTTTATATTACGGTTTTGATAAGAAAGAGAAGGAATAAATACAAAATGAACTCCAAATTCAGAAAATGTGGCATTGACATTTAGAGAGTAATTTTTTTGGGGGAAGGGGGGCATTTTACCTTGTTGTGTTTTTATGTAGGAAGATAGTAGCCAATGTATTATTTTAGTATCTTTTTGTGAACAGAACAGAGAAAACATGGGAGATATCATTTATCTAAACTATTGGCTAAGCACACATTTCCATCACAACAATTCAGTCTCAATATGGTGGAGACAAACAACTTCAGAGGAGGCTATGGGACAGTAAAGTTAAAAAGAAAATAGAGCTAAGAAGGAAAAGAGAGGAAGAGGCACACCTGTTCGTTCATTCTTCCTAGTAGCCTGTAGCAAGCTAGTCCTTTATTTAACTCTCTGTCCTATCTGTGAAAGACAAAGTACATTTTTTGTAATGCATAGTTTTCTAGAGTTTTTTTTTTTTTTTTTTAAGGAAAGATGTATTGCAGTAAAAGGGGAAATTTTAAAAGAACTTTTACTCTGTATCCCTCTTGGGCAGCTATGAAGCTCAGTAATATTTTTAATACTCTAGATGAATCACCACTGCAGTTATACTTGTCATCTCAAAGGTGAAAATATTGTTTGGAGAGGAGATTACTTTATGAAAATATTTTCAATGGTTTTCTTTTTTGCATAGTGAGAAATATTCAGTTTCACATCTCTAGATATCTATTGCCAAATAAGGATCCAAAAATTGTACCAATTTATACTCTCATCAATTATGTATCAAAATAACACATAATCTTTATAAAGGGCATTTTAAAATTCCACTTTTATTTGTATTAAAGTCAGGTTTTTCTCACTCACTCCGCAACATTAAGCTGAAGTTGAAATGCTGTGTCTAAAATTATATTATTTCATTTTTCAACTATTAGCTTGATATTCCTTTTCCAAATTTTTGATTTGACATTTAATTGTTATTTCTTAAACCTAGGAAATCTGTCACTAATCCATTGAAAAAATATGACAATCTCATTTGGATTTTTATTTCCTTATGTCTATAAGTATCAATAATTATATAAAATATTTCTTTTCCTGTATCATCTATCTTTCCTACAAATATTGATATGGTTCTCTTCTGAGGTCCAATAATTTGTTCGGTACCTCACCTTGATTTATTTTACTAGTCACATTTTCTTTTGGAATTAAATTTATGGTCCATTTCACCTTCAATGCTTTTCAGGCAATGTTGACTTTTTTTTTCTGTATCTTTGTCAAAAAAATTTTTTTAAGTATTTAGAGAGTTTCTTCTAAGTAACTGCCTTTAATATAGCAAAGCTACTTCTTTTCTAATATTTCAATAGGAAAAAACTAAAATAGAATAATGTCAAATGAAATTCCTTCACTAAAATTCATCATATGTCCTATTCTCTCTATGTAACATCTTTGCTTCTGTCTTGATGCACTGCATGCATTTGCCCTTGTTGACAACACGTATAAACATAGCTGTGAGCTGTGGCCGTGGGCCAAGATGTCCTTGATTTGGTCAAAGCTGCAAAAGATGTTTGAAAAAGACAGCTATTTTATAAAGAAATGAGTTGGTTTACATTTGTTGGCAAAAGTAGCACATTTAATTAAAATATTTATTTTCAAATGGACATTTCTGAGACTAACTTAATGGTTAGTTGTACTGGAGTCTTTGTATTGCATACAAAGCTAATATGATAGCAGTTTGCTTAGATATAAAGACAGGGGTACCCGTTTAACCAAAAACGTGCATCATAAAGCTTCTCTTAGATGACTATGTCTTTACAGTGGAACTATGTCTAGTCCTGCTATATTACATTATTTACTATGCGAACAAAATCTTCATAAGAGTACAAAACTAAAATCAACTATACTATTACAAACGTGTATCTCTCTAATGTCAACATAGGTCTAGCTAAATAGCTATATGCTTGAAAATTAAAGGTATGTCATGTACATGTAGTTATCTTGCTGCTGTAATAGTTTTGCAACAATTATGTCTAAGTAATTTCTTTGTGTGTTTCTGTGATTTAACATTTTCACAGTTACATATTTTAATTATGAAAATCAAATGTAAAATATTTTTTTAAATTCTTGACTTTATAGAGATAGAAGAAAGTCATGATGTAGAGATTCAGAAACTGACAAAAGTCCTATAAGATACAATAATATCTGAATTAAGGCAAACTCATAAAATAGTTTTATTGTCATCTTTTCTGAGTTGCTTTCTAATTTGTTTTTTCTATAAACTCACTTCTCCCTGTCCCTTCTTGCTTTTCTCTGTCATTTTCTGCATAAACAAAAATTAGGACGAGACTTGGAAATAGGAATAAGACTGTATCTTGCTGATCAGTTTTAAATGGCAAAATTATTTTCTTGATGGTTTTATATTGTACTCAGTGAAAGGAGTTTTCATGCCAGGGCTAAGCAGCTAGTTAGCAAAGATGGAAGTAGAATGTAGACAGGAAACATGGAAGTCTAGGAAGGAATCAAGGCACAGATAAAGGCTCGAATTGTGATAAATCCAAGGACTGAAACAAAACAGTACTAAGGATCTGCGAACTATCCCGTTATGAAGAAATATGCATTTAAAATAAAATTCAAACACATAGACACTGAAGATATTTGGTGAAAAAGACTGAGAGGTCTTTGACCTCTTGGAACTCACAGTCAAGTGTGGGGTGTCAAATCAAACACGAGGAAACAAGTGAAAGTGACCATTTTAGATAGTAAGAAAATACGTCAAAAAGAAGTTTATGTGATACAGATTGCCAGGCGAGGGCTAGGTTAGGCCTCCAGCAAAAGTCTCTCTGAGGAATTGGTATTTGGTAGAGTTGAATAATCATGAGATGGAAGGTGGGAACAGGGAGTAGACAGGCACTGAAGAAGAACACAGCTTGTTGTGTCAGAGGAGTGGGAGGAAAAAAAAGTAATAAAGTGTGGCTGGAGTACATTGAGCAAGGAAAAGAGATAGGATGGCAGACAAGCAGGGCAATTTAATAGAGGGCTATAAAAGCCAAAGCAATGGATTTATATCTGATACTAATTGTGATGGAACCGAATGCAGGAAAGCATTAGGCAGAATTAGGAGACTACTGGAATGGACCTGACAAAAATAAGAGAGGCTTGGATTAGGAAAATAGAGGTAGCAAGTGGAAGACAGATTAGTTTAACATGTTTTCTGTGCATACTCTGTCAATAGGTTTTGTTGATGAATGGATGTACAAAGTGAGGAAAAACAAGGACTTAAGGTAACCTCTTAGGCTTGTTTCCAGAGCATTTCCTGGCTGATGTTATTATTTGCTGACTTGGGAAAGCTGAGAGAAGAGCAGGTTTGGTTGGGGGGAAAAAATGAGATTTTGGTTTTGTCTCCATAAAGTGTCTGATGCTTATTAGAAATACACATAGGAAAATAAAATAGATAGTTAAATGTATTAGTCAGGGTTAGTGGAAACGGTGTGGATTAGTCATAAATCTGGGAGCTATTAGCATATCTCGATGTTATATCAAGCTCTGGGATTGTATGAGATCATCTAGTTGGGAGCATGGAAGTAGACAAGGAGTCCCAAAACTGAGGCCAGTGGTCCAGCACTTAGCGATCAAGCAGAGAAGCAGAATCAATTAAGAGAATACTGAGAATGAGTTCCTGGAGGTAAGAGGAAATCTGAGAAGTGTGATGTGACAGAGGCCAAGAGAAGAAAAGTTATAAAAAAGAAAGATAAAATGAGTCAACTGATATTGAGATCTCAATTAAGAAAAAGCAAAAAAGTGACAAGGGGACTTTTCAGCATGGTGCTCTTTAGTTATGTTGATATGGATAGTCTCAACAGAGAGGTGGAATGAAGGCCTATATGGACTTAACTGGAGCAAGTATGTGAAAAGAGGAAGTAAAGGAATTACAGACAACTCTTCAAAATATTTACTGTTAATACAGATTGAAAATATATGTGGAGAGGAGATGGAGGATATTGGATATTTAAAGGCTTATAGGAATGATTGAGTAGAAGGAGAGAAATTTCTGATGCAGGAGAGAGAGAGGATATTTGCCTAGTGGGGTATCAACTTTTGATAGAGGGAAGGGCAATTTATCAGTAATAACAAAATAAAGGAAAGAGAGAGAAAAATGCTACTCGCATTTTATGATGAGAAGATGGAGGAGGTTTTGCTTCTGTTTGTGTTTACTTTCTTGTCAGCAGACAGTAAGAGGCTGGACAAAGTATATAGTGTTCGAGGTAAAAGGGAAAATAATAATTACTTACATAAAGTGTGAAAAATAGGCATTGCTGAGTTCTATTGAAATGTATTGTCTTGATTTTAATTAGATCAATCAGTAAATGTGTTTATTGTTTTGTTCCCCCTGATATTAAGGTTTAGGTACAGACAACGAGTAGGCAGAGAGGTTTAATAGCCTAATCAGTATTATATTTTCAAAATACATATAATAATAAAATAACCAAAGTAAATATTCCCATTCAGACAAGGGGAAAGGATGACATAATACAGACAGTGGAAGTAGCAATTCTGACATCCTGATGAATAGACATTCTGAGGAACCCCATCCTCTGGATGGAGAGTATCTTGAGTAGACCCTGAGCCACTCCCTGAGAGAGCTTTCTTTGTTTAGAGCTCTCTACAGCTCCTCATTTTGCCTTCTAGAAAACTCATCCTTTTCTGTTATTTTTCTGGCCATAACTGAAATAGGCATTGGCAAATATGACCATCTTGGCCCTGAGCTCTTCCTCAGCCCACTTTCTGAACTACATGGTTCACTATAGCTTACAAATAATCAGTCTCTTCTGTGAGGCTGCTAATTCTTTGTCAAATAAATAAATAAATAAATAAATCTCTCTCAAAAATCTTTTTAATAATCTTGTCTAGTATATTCCAGTGACCTCCATGTGTCAAAATCTATGCTCACTGTTCTTTCCCAAATAGTGTTCTTTCTCTAGACATTATTTATAATTTGTGATGTGTGTTTGCTTTCTTAACCCTATCCTCTCTCATTAGACTTAGTAATGAGTGGGTACCTTGAGCATAATGTTTTTCAGAGGGAAAGCCATAGGCTTTGTCAATTTTCCTAGAGCATTTTTTTTCCCAATTCAAAGTATTTGCTTGGGATTATATCCTGGGTCCTTTTTCAGGAATACCATATAACCAAATCTGAAGATGTACTAGTAAGGATATTGGCCATTTCCTTGATCAAATTCAGCTGCAACTCTAAAATTGTGAATAGGCCCTCATAGATCCATGTTCTTCTCATCTTTATGTTCTATCTTTTGGGGTTGAGAAGTAGTTGCCTCTTTCAACCCTGAAAGACCCTGATATTATCCATTCTCCCTATTCCTTTCAATGCCTTCTTGAGCTTACCAAGTCTTTTCTGGGCTTATCCGTTTCTTGAAAACATTGTGAAATCAGATTCTTTGTTTTCTGCCATTTTCTAGAGCTACAGGCTGATCTTCTTTCTAAGTTACAAAAAATAACAGTTTTATCCAATATTTTATTATTTCAAACTCTAATCTTATTTTGTCTACTCTTCAAATTTTTTCTAATTCCTCACCAATATATCACTAAAGACAATCCCACGTATTTTAGAATTTTTTCACATGAGCAACACTCCTCCATGTACAAAGTTTAGTATTTTTAGTAGCAGATAGTTCCGAAGTCTCTTACTCACACTGCAATTTCAAAGCAGGCATTACACGAGGTCCTAGGCAAAATTAGACTCTATCATTGCACACATGCTTTTAAAATCTCTGTGGCAGGAAAGAGGACATTGGGATTTCCTGTTCAGTTCTTAGAGTGTCTTCCTGAAAATAAATAGATTACTTTGTTTATACTTAGTTAGCCAAGGCAAGTCACATGGCCACACTAAACTTCAGATTGTGCAGGAGAATGCAATCCTACCAAACCTAGAAGGAGAGGAATCCCAGAATATTTGTGAAAAGCCATAACAACTAACACATAGACCATTAAAAATATTTGCTAAAAGAATGAGAAGTTGCTGCAAGGAAGTAAGAAAACCAAAATAAAATACATGGATATGTGTTTTTCTTTTTTTTTTTCCCTGTAATAAGAGGCAGTGGCAGGGTGCCTAATGATTTGGTTAGCACAGAGCCGCAAGACTGGAAGGAAATTATTTACCTGGGTAATAATACAAACATAACTTTTGGGTGATCTGTTCAAAAAAAATTGAATTCAAAAGCAGATGTCTAACAGCAACCAACTGGAGCAACAGATGATTAAAAACCTCTTGCTGAGAGTGAGGACATCATATAAAATAGTATAGTTACTTATAGCCTGATTAAAGAAGTATTTGGTTGTACAAAACACCATGTCATAATTGGATATATTAACTTTTCTTTCTCCTTCAAATGAAATATTCTCCTTGTATAGGCAGGGGCCGAAGCAGGTAACGCAATGGAAAGATGTCTGGATGGGAGTCATGAGATCTCTGTACAAGCTTCAGTGTACCATAAAGAAGTGTCTTTCAAACTTGAGTTTCTCACAGTCTCTGTTGTGGTTGTCACTTAGAAACAATACTAAATTCTTCATCCACTGCAGTCTGGCTCTGCCCCCAAGACTCAATTGAAAATGTCTAACTTATTTTTCTCTCTGTCCACATTGTATCTTTAGTATTTTATATGTTCATCACATCTCACCAAGATTATTGCCTACCAATTAGTACCTTTATTTCCAGAGTGCCTCCCTCTTCCCCAACTCCCCAAACTCACTTCCCACATGGCTTCAAGAGTGATCCAGCCTGCAGAAATGCTTGCTGTTTGTTTAATTGAACTATATGTTATTGAATGATGTTCTCTACCAATTTGGAAGGAGGTTGCGTGGGGATTCTAGGAAGAGAACAAATCTTTTTTATTTATTTGTTTTTGGAAGCCACACCTACATCTTCACAAGAAAAAAAAAATATTTTGTGGCGTGTTTCTATCCTTCCCATCAGGACCAGGTTTAACTGTTTTCATAAAGCTAATCTAATAATTAAAATCATACCAAATGATATGCTTCCAGATACCATGCCCTCATATATTGGTTTAATTCAGAAGACCTTCATGTTGAAAGTCTGAAAATATTTGAGAATAGAATGCCCACAACTCTCATTTGCTTCTGGACAAAGTGTGACACATGAGGAGGTATGTTACACTCCAAAAGAACTGCTGAGTTTTCTAATTTATGAAGGCAAATCCAGAAAATATGTGTAGGAATGGCTACTAGGGATAAAGAATAATAGTGGAAGAAACAAAAAGTTGGATAAGGCTGAGTTTATTGATATGGGCTCACTAAGCAGAGACTCTGCATTTAATATTGCAGCTCAGGGAGTTAGAATGGGCTTTAAACCATTTGATTCATTGGCTCAAACATGGACCAAAAAAAGTGGTCCACAGTGAGCAAGTTGGAAATGCCAGTCCTTTCTTAGTTTAATGTAGAGGAAGATTCAAAGGCATGGGGAGATTGGAATATTAGAGTAGATTTGTCATTTAAGATCTACCCCTCCACACTGGGAGGATCCAGAAGGCATACATTTCACTAACACTGTGAGGAATAAATTGGTGAGAGGAGCCCTGGCATCCTTGTAGAGCTCTGTGATCACTATTCTCTGTAGTCAAGATCTTCCAGTGGGAACTGCAGTCACTGAATTGGGAAACCTACATGCAATGGGAGCACTTGGATCCCAAGGCGGCCAAGTGGTACCACGCAGCTGCCAAAGGCAAAGAGGATGTGGTTACCATAGTAGATGGTAGAGTCAAAACAGCAATCAGAAGAGTCTGGCTCGTGTAGAGCTATCATGGCTGGTTGATCATAGTGTTCCTACAAGCAAAATATACAGGATTCTGTCTTAGTCCATTCAGGCTCCTATAACAAAATACTATAAACTGAGTAGCTTATAAACCACAGAAATTTATTTCTTACATTTCTGGAGTCTGGAAAATCCAAAATCAAGACCCTGGGAGATTTGCTGTCTAATGAAGGCCTGTTTCTTTACAGATGACTGTCTTCTCCCTATAACCTCATGTAATGAAAATGAGGAGAAATCTCTGCCAGTCTTTTTCTACAAAATAACTAATTTCATTCATAAAGGAGCTGTACTCTTGACCTAATCACCTCTGAAAGGCCCCACCTCCTAATATCATCACTTTGGGGATTAGAATTTCAATACATAAATTTTGGGGGTATATAACATTCAGTTCATTGCAGAAGCCTTCTAAATTCTTATTTCTTCTATATAAGCAGAAAAGTTCTAGGTCAAGTGAACAAAAATCTGACCTGAATTATACAACCAAGAGTCATAACCCCTCAATCAATTGTCAGACTTCAGTCAGAACTCATTGAATTAAGGTGAAGCCTTAAGAAAGAACCCTGGTACACTGCCAAAAATGCGTATTATTAGTCTTTCTCCCAACCCTCCCTAAGGGAAGCTTTGGTTTTAGGATGGTGTGTCAATTTCTAAGTACTTTAAATATTGAATTAGAAACTGGAATTTCTATAATAAAGAAATTTCTATAATAAAGAAATGTAGATATACTTAAGATGTTTAAATGTAAACACGCTTTCTTATTAATTATACAATTAGTAACACATTTTTTAAAATTCTATCACAATTTTAAAAGACTATGTTGTGTTTTCTATTAGATAGCTATGATAAAAAATAATGTTAATGCTCATATTTATTTAGAGCTCTGTTTTGCTATTTCAACTTTATTTGTGTTCTAGGTTATTTCTCAAATAAATGAGAAACTTAATTTGAGGTATGCATATTTGAATATTGGCATGATTGGACATATTCAAAATTATGATTTTTTCTCAATATAATTCACAATAACTATTATCCTGAATAGGCAATCAGCAACTTTTTTATTACCTCTCAATTTTCTTTAAAATTTTCTGTTCTTAATATAAAAATTAGAGCATAAAAGATTTAAGCATGAACCTATTACAAAAAAAATCCACACTCTTGGCTTTGATTTTTACAATAGTACAGATATGTACATGTATGCTAAGAGCAAAACATCCTAGTCAATTTCACTTCCATGATATGGAAAAGAAATGACGGGGGAAAAGTAATATATCTTTGATTTTGGTTCACTTGTTTTTGATTCAAATATATAGCAGCATATAATTTGAAAATCAATTTAAGGATTTTTCACAGTAAAATCATAATCTCTATTATTCAACTCTTAGGTGACTGAATTAGATAGAATTTCATAATTTGATCCACTTCAGAATTATAATGTGTTGTCAATAATATTTATGGTTAAATTTTAAAATTTAATAGCAGAAACACAGTGAGCCTGACAAAGCTTGCTAATAGTTGCAGAGTTCTGATGGAAGGATAGGGTATTTTGTAGAATCAGCATGCCAAGGAGAAATATCTTCACTTGTAAGCTTTGTCACAGGAAATTAATTAACATAGTAACATCATGTCTTAATAGAACACCTTCATATAATTTTGCAGAGCTGAGAATCAGTGTCACTAATATAAGGTAATTAAAAGTAAGTATATTATCAAAACTGACATATAGTCTGAAATGATCTAGCAAAAAGGCACATATCTTCCTCAAAAAGGGAAAAATATATTTGACTAAGTTTTTGACATAGAATAGAAAACTTTTTTGATAGGGCATGATATACACCTTGTTTTATAAAATTTCACTACTAGGTATTGTAAAGAAGCACTATATATAAGAAAATCTATTATTCTGAACCATCAACACTTGTATACTTGTTATTTTTGTCTGAAAAATGTAGCGAAATAAAACTCAATTTGTGAATTAAATTTTCTATAATATAACTTCTGATAAATTCTGTTAAAGTGTATTCTGCTTGGTAAATTTCCTTAATTTACATTATACAGTTTCAGAGAACTTTGGTCAATATTCTAAATCAGCTAGCACCCAACTATACACCTTTAAAAAGAAGCTTGAATAAGTTTATTTTTCTCAGAAGGAAAAACACGTATTTGTATTCTCAAGTCTTTAATAATTAAAATTATGATTCCATAAGACGACACTAGTATTTTTTTTCATTTAGTGCCCTCACAAGATAACATTTTCAATTTTTAATTGTTGACAGGACATTTTAAGCAATAAGTATCAGAAAACATAAAGAAAAATAGACACCTGTGACATCTATTAAAAAAACACTTTTTTCTTTTTATAAAATTGAGATAATCCAGAAAATGTTTCAATGATATTGTTACAGTTCAACTAGAGGTATCTATTTTTTAACTATTTTGCCTTGATTCCTTCATTAGTTATTAAAGTTTGCTTAGGCTCTGAGCATTATTTCTCTCTTAATATATACTATTTCCTATTATTGATGTATCAATTAACTTGCTACATTAAAAAATAAATCAGGGGAAAAAAACAGTGCTTAGGCAAATAAGCCATATAATTATTTCTATCTAGAAACAAAAAAGGTCACATAAAATGGGAAAATTCATGGGACTGAAATGCATGGACGGGGAAAACTCTAAAACTTTATTTAATATGAACATATAAAATGTAGTAATTTTGTTCTGAAAGGCACCATAAATCTGTAAGGTGAGCCTAATTGTTTTTTTATTGTGAATTTTCTTTTTAAGCAAAAGTGCATGTCCTTTTTTTCCCCTCATTCACTGTAGAATAAGGCACTTTAGAAAAAGCAGAAAGTATCCTGCTCTCATCTCCCATTTCTCTCTACAATTCTGAGTGTGCTCACTTTATTGCACAGGAGCTAGAAGATTCCTGCTTTAAAATATTTATCAATACCATGTGAAATAGCAAGTCTATTGACACCATTTTTCCAATAGTATGTGCTCACTCTGTATGCCTGTGTCATACTTTGGTCATTCTTGCAATCTTTCATTTTTTAAAATTATTTGTATATCTGTTTTGGTGATTTGTGATCAGAGATCTTTGATGTTAGTATTGTAACTGTTTTGGTGTGCCATGAATTGCACCCATGTAAGATGGCTAACTTCACCCATACACGTGTGTGTTCTGACTGCTCCATCGACCCGCTGTTTCCCATCTCTCTCTCTCTCTCTCTCTCTCTCTCCGCCCCCCACTCCCCCCCACGACTTGGGTCTCCATATTCCCTGAGATACAATGTTGAAATTAGGCCAATTAGTGACCCTACAATGACCTGTAAGTGTTCAGATGAAAGAAGGAGCCACAAGTATGACTGTACTTGCTCTTTCTTTTGCTCAGAGTGCTTTTGCTTTGGCTCTAGTTGGCATTCTCTCATCAATCAGCCCAAAGGCTGTCTCATGTAGGTCCTCCTTGGCTACCCAATTTAAAGTAACTCCTATACTCACTCTTTTTCACATTATTCCTCATAATACATTTTTAACATCTAAAATTATCTTGTTCATTTACTGTTTACTTCTACATTGTCTGTCGATCCTCAGTTAAGTTTCATAAAGGCAAAGAGCATGTCCTGTGTTGCACAGCACCGAGAATATGCCTGCCACAAAGTATGTGTCCCACAAATATTCTGTAATAAGTAAATGAATGAATGAAATAATTAATGAAGACTGGTCTTGATACATATTCTCCATGTTTCTAACAATATATAAACTGGATGATGCATTTCTCAATTCTTTAAATCAATTGACATGAAAATGAAAATAGGAGTTTAGTAACAGAAACCAGAATCAAAGCATAAGTTTGGACTTTGTACCTTACTTGGCTATATGATGGCAAATATCTGAAACCACTATTTCATAACAGAAAGAAATACCTTTTAGGATTTATTATGAATCTCAATTTCAATTGGAAATAAACAGTATTGCATGAACCAGCCATTCATTTACATGTAAAATTAAATTGCATGATTGAAATATTTTATATAAGAATTTAAGGGAAAAACACATGATGTCTGGAATGGATTATTAAATGATTTACAGAACTCACTGCAGAATTTAAATTTTTTTGTACTTAATCTGAAAAGGAACTAATTTTTTTATAATTCCTGAGATTATAGTGAAATCAAGAAAAAGTCAGAATGTTTAAGAAGAAAGTGGTACAGCTAGTGGGGTATTTGGCAGCAGAATATAATGAGATTTGTTTTATTGGTTTCAATTTGCAATGCTGTCTGAGTGCAAGTTATCATTGTCTTTTAAAATGCTTATTTATATGGTCAACACTAGCACTGAGCAAATGGGCTTTCGGGCTGGCTTGTTGTTCTACTTAGAGAAAATATAATTCAGGCTACAGCCATAGGAATAATTTATTTGCCAGGGTTAAGAAATTGCTCCAAGATATAGGGCCGTTGTACCAAATATTTAAGAGCAAGAATTCACTGCATTGTCTGCTTTTATAAAAGTTTTGCATTCGGAAAAACAGAGTCTAACTAGAGAAATCAAGTAGAATTAGCAATGGGAGCCAAAATATTTCTTCATTATGTTTTTCCTAAATGTCAAAAGTAGTCTTTAGAGAACTCCTGTGCATAAAGAACAAATTCTGCCATTTCTATAGTCAAGGCAATGAAGATATAAAGTTTGGAATTCATGTTTTAGGGTCTGAACTCTCAAGATATTTCAGAATCTCTTAAAAAGCTTCTCCAAAGCTATTCAACTTAAGGTTAGAGCAAAATTTTAAATTCTTTATAGTGATCTAAATCCATGAAATTATGGAAAAGATATATGAAAGAGTAAGTTAGAATGAGGATAATGATGATGAAGAGGAGTAGGATAAGGACCTTAGAACTGTAGAAGGCGAAGGAAGGTATTATAGCAGTGAAGAAAAACAAGATGGGGTACTATCAGATGGCAGACATTTTGATAAATGACTCCATGTCAAAATATGACAATAATATCATGGTCCTCTGTGACAACCTGAGTTAATTGATTAAAGAAAGAGATTACGAACTACAGAGAAGCCTCTCTTCCTCGCATCACATACGCCCAGCTGCTACAGCAGGAGTTTTGACTGAAGTCAACAGAATGGCTTTCTTAGCAGTGAGATCTTTTAGAGAAATGCCCATTTAAACAATTATTCATTCAATCAGGAAATATTTATTAATCTCTATGACCTAGGTATGGTGCTATGTGTTGCAGATAAAGTTATAAACACAACAGATAAGGACCCCTCCTTACAGATGAGATATGATTAATAGTAAACAAACTGAAAAAATATAAGGAATTATTATAGATCACATCAATGTCTAAAGGATATAAAAAGGTTGACGTAATAAACAGTAATTATTTACTCTGTCTGGAAAGATTCTGTCTGGAAAGACTCTTTTGAGGAGGTGATTGGAGGTTGTTTAAATGTAATACCAATAAAATGAGAATGAGCCTACCATGCAGTGTATGAAAGAGAGAGAAAAAAATTCCTGTATCAAGCAGAAAAAAATAGTATGTTCAATTAAGAGTGACCTGTATCTTTAAGGAACAGAAAAACAACAAAAGGTCCAAGTGGCTGAAATCTGGTCAAGAAAGCACAATAGTATGAAATGAGGTTGAAAAGGAAGCAGATTAGAAAAATCAAATCAATAGTGTTTGGATTTTATTCTACCTTCAGTGAGACTTTCCAATGAAAAGAGTGCTATAATGTGGTTTATACATTTAAAACATCACTCTGGCACCTATATGGAGATAGATGAATGAATATGAAGGCAGGGAGACCAGATAGAAGAGAATTACAGAGAACCAGAAAACATGGCATTGGCTTGCATCAAGAAGGCAGCTGTGGAGATGAAATGACATAAGACACAGAAATACATCAGATATGAGTAGGACTTCCTGATAAATTATACAGAGTTAGAGAAGGGAAATATTCAAGGTTACAGAAAGAAAATGATCAAGGATAAAAAGCAAGCTTGAGTAACAATGTAATTATCTGAGATGGAAAAGATTGAGGTAGGAAAAAATTTCTTATTTTGAAAGGTGTGGAGAAAGAAGACTAAAGCTTTCCATATAGATTCTTTAGGATTTTGAGATTGATAGTTACTGTGGAATAAATGTTTGTGTCTCCCAAAATTTATTTGTTGAAAATCTATTCCACAGTGTGAGGTGTATTAGTCAGTTTCCATGCTGCTGACAAAGACATACTGGAGACAAGGCAATTTACAAAAGAAAGAGGTTTAATGGACTTACAGTTCCACGTGGCTGGGGAGGCCTCACAATCATGGCAGAAGGTGAAAGGCACATCTCACATGGCAGCAGACAAGAGAAGAGAGCCTGTGCAGGGAAACTCCCACTTATAAAACCTTTACATCTTGTAAGACTTATTCACTGTCATAAGAACAGCATGGAATAGACCTGCTCCCATAATTCAATTACCTCCCACATGCTCCCTCTCACAACATATAGGAATTCAAGATGAGATTTGGGTGGGGACAGAGCCAAACCATATCATTCTGCCCCTGGCCCCTACCAAACCTCATGTCCTCACATTTCAAAACCAATCATGCCTTCCCAACAGTCCCCCAAAGTCTTAACTCATTTCAACATTAACTCAAAAGCTCACAGTCCAAAGTCTCATCTGAGAGAAGGCAAGTCCCTTCTGCCTATGAGCCTGTAAAATCAAAAGCAAGTTAGTTACTTCCTAGATACAATGTGGGTACAGGCATTGGGTAAATACACCCATTCCAAATGGGAGAAATTGCCCAAATGAAGGGGCTACAGGCCCATGCAAGTCCCAAATCCAATACGGCAGTCAAATCTTAAAGCTCTAAAATGATCTCCTTTGACTCCATGTCTCACATCCAGGTCATGCTGATGCAAGGGGTGGGTTCCCATGGTCTTGGGCGGCTCTGCCCCTGTGCCTTTGCGGGGTACAGTCCCCTTCCTGGCTGCTTTCTTGGGCTGGCATTGAGTGTCTGCGACTTTTCCAGGTGCACGGTGCAAGCTGTCTGTGGATCTATCATTCTGGGGTCTGGACTAGGCAGTGCCCCAGGAGGGATTTTGTGTGGAGGTCCAATCCCACATTTCCTTTCTGCACTACCCTAGCAGAGGTTCTCCATGAGTGTCCTGCCCCTGCAGCAAACTTTTGCCTGGGCATCCAGGCATTTTTATACATCTTCTGAAATCTAGGCAGAGGTTCCCAAACCCCAGTTCTTGACTTCTGTGCACTCACAAACTCACCACCATGTGTAAGCTGCCAAGCCTTGAGGCTTGCGCCCTCTGAAGTCACAGTCCAAGCTCTACGTTTGCCCCTTTCAGCGATGGCTGGAGTGGCTGGGATGCAGGGCACCAAGTCCCTAGGCTGCACACAGCATGGGTACCCTGGGCCCGACCCATGAAACAATTTTTTCCTCCTAGGCCTCTGGGCCTGTGATGGGAGAGGCTGTCACAAAAGTCTCTGATATGCCCTGGAGATATTTTTCCCCATGTGTCTTGGTTATTAACATTTGTATCCTTGTTACTTTTGCAAATTTCTGCAGCTGGCTTGAATTTCTCCTCAGCAAATGGAATTTTCTTTTCTATCTCATTGTCAGGCTGCAAATTTTCTGAACTTTTGTGTTCTGTTTCCCTTTTAAAATTGAACACCTTTAACAGCACCCAAGTCACCTCTTGAGTGTTTTGCTGCTTAGAAATTTCTTCTTACAGACACCCTAAATCATCTTTCTCAAGTTCAAAGTTCCACAAATCTCTAGGGCAAGGACAAAATGCTGCCAGTCTCTTTGCTAAAACATAACAAGAGCCACCTTTGCTCCAGTTCCCAACAAGTTCCTCATCTCCACCTAAGACCACCTCAGCCTGGATTTCATTGTCCATCAGCATTTTTGTCAAAGCCATTCAACAAGTCTCTAGGGAGTTCCAAATTTTCCCACATTTTTCTGTCTTCTGCGCCCTCCAAACTGTTCCAAACTCTGCCTGTTACCCAGTTCCAAAGTCGCTTCCACATTTTCGGGTGTCTTTTCAGCACTCCACACTCTACTGCTGCCAATTTACTGTATTACTTTGTTTCCACGCTGCTGATAAAGACATACCGGAGACTGAGCTATTTACAAAAGAAAGAGTTCTAATGGACTTACAGTTCCACGTGGCTGGGGAGGCCTCACAAACATGGTGGAAGGTGAAAGGCACATCTCACATGGTGGCAGACAAGAGGGGAGAGCTTGTGCAGGAAAACTCCCCCTTAAAAAACCATCAGATCTCGTGAGACTTATTCACTATCATGAGAACAGCATGGGGAAGACCTGCTCCCGAGGTTCAATTACCTCCTACTGGGTCTCTCTCACAATGTGTGGGAATTCAAGATGAGATTTGGATGGGGACACAGCCAAACCATATCATGAGGGTATTTGGAGGTGGGTCATTTGAAAGGTAATTAGAGTTAGATAGCTTATTAGGGTGAAGCCCACATGATGGTCTTAGTGACCTTAGTAGGAGTTGGAGGGATCAGAGCTTTCCTTCTCCCTCGTGTGAGGACACAGCAAGAAGACAACTACAGTCATTCATTGCTTAATGATGAAGATACAGTCAGATAAATGTGCCTTAGGTAATTTTGTTGTTATGTTAACATCATAGAATGTACTTACACAAACTGAGATGCTACAGCCTACTATACACCTAGGCTATATGGTATAGCCTCTTGCTCCTAGGCTGCAAAGATTTGTACAGCATGTTAGTGTGCTGAATACTGTAGGCAATTGTAACAGAATGGTAAGTATTTGTGTATCTAAACATGTCCAAACATAAAAATGGTAGAGTAAGAATACAGCATAAAAGATATAAAATGGTACACTTGTATATGGCTGTTACCATAAATTGAACTTGCAGAACTGGAACTTGTTCTGGGTGAGTCAGTGAGTGAATGGGGAATGAATGTACCCTACCGTAGACTATAAATACTGTACATACATGCTACACTAAATTTATTTAAATTTTTTTTCTTAATAATAAATTAACAGATTACTGTTTTTACCTTATAAAATTTTTATTTTTTAATGTTCTAGCTTTTTGGTAATAACACAGCTTAAAATACCCACATATTATACAACTTTACAAAAACGTTCTCCTTATTTCCTTATTCTTCCATCAAATTTTTTCCTTTTTTTTTTTTTTTAGTATACTTTTGAAACTTTTTTGTTAAAGCTAAGACACAAACACACACATTAGCCTTAGCCTACATAGGATCAGGATCATCGATATCACTGTCATCCTCGTCCACATCACGTTGTACTGGAGCAATAACACCCATGGAGCTGTCACCCACTCTGATAACAAAGCCTTTCTCTGGAACACTTCCTGAAGGATTTTTATATAAGTAGAAGGAACACATTTTAAAATAACAATACAGAGTATAGTATAGTATAGTAAATACATACATCAATAACAGAATTGTTTATTATCATTATCAAGTATATACTGTACATAATTGTATGTCATATATTTTTACATGACCAGCAGTGCAGTAGGTTTGTTTACACCAGCTTCACTACAAACACATGAGTAAGGCATTGTGATGTTAGGACAGCTACAATTCACTAGATGATAGGAATTTTTTAGCTCCATTATAATTCTTTGGGGCCATCATTGTATATGTGGTTTATCATTGACTGAAATATCATATTGCAGCACATGACTGTATCTGCTAGCCAGGAAACAGGCTCTCACCAGAACCTGACCATATCAGCACCCTGATTTTGGACTTGCCAACCTCCAGAACTCTGAGAAATAAACTTCTGCTATTTAAGCCACTCAGTGTATGATAGCCCAAAATGATTAATATATTAGTTGTTTTCAATTTTTCTTCTTCCATTTTCTTTTTTCTTTCTTTTTTTTTTTTTTTTTTTTTTTTTTGAGATGGTGTCTCACTGTATCACCTGGGCTGGAGTGCAGTGGCATGATCTCAGATCACTGCAACCTTCACCTCCTGGGTTCAAGCGATTCTCCTGCCTCAGCCTCCTGAGTAGCTGGGACTTAAAGCATGTGCCACCATGCCTGGCTAATTTTTTGTATTTTTAGTAGAGACGGGGTTTCACCATGTTAGCCAGGATGGTCTCGATCTCCTGATCTCATGATCCACCTGCCTTGGCCTCCCAAAGGGCTGGAATTACAGGCATGAGCCACCGCGCCTGGCCTATTTTTTCATTTTCTAAACTAATAGAACCTTAATTTTTAGCTATGTATATGGCCACCTGTAGAAAAATTACGTCTCCCCAACTCACTGACAGACATGACCATGTGACTTTGAATGCAAGCATAAATGAAGGAGTCCAACTCTAAGAACTACCTTAAATGGAAGGAATATGCTCCTCTGATTATTTTGTTCCTCTTCTTCTAATTTGGGCCATGATTGACTAATGACTGACAGATTCACTGACAGTTCATCCATCAAGAACAGGGGTCTATTTCCCCTTTTTTTGTATCTGTGCTAAATCTAATGAACTCCTAAAGTGATGCTGGTTATTCTGGCTCTTTGATCACACTTAGAGCAGCAAGGATGTAATGGTCATCATTATCATTCTTGATGACTTTTGAAAGGGGAATTTGGTTAGTGTGACAGGTAGTAATTAATACTGAAATGGACTGCAGAGTGAAATGGAAGGTAAGGAAGTATCAATAAATCATAAATCCTCTCTCTGAGTTTTACAATGAATACTGGGAATGAAATGCTAAGCTACCCAGAAGGAGATATGGGATAATGGAGGTGGTTTTTGATATGAGACATGGTGGAAACTGCTTTTATCTTAAGTCAAATAATTCAATTTAGAACCATGTAGATAGAAAAATCAGAATGAAATGGAAGAAACAAAGTCTTAGAGGAAATTGGCAGTTGAGGGAGGCATGTAGTTCAATATGGCCTGGCACAGAGTATGAATGATGGAATGATAGGAGAAACCTTATCATCTTCAACAACCCCTGTCCTCTGTGCACTCACTTTTCTTTTTGTATACCGTTCTATGTTGTTACTTACCCAGTCCGGAGATGAGATATTTCATTCTTTTAAAACATCATTTTTCTGCCTAAGAATATATTGTTAAATGAAAAAAAAAACAAAGGGCAAAAATGATAGGTGACTGGGTTGGTTGATGGATAGATAGATAGAAAAGAAGGGTAAATAATAGCAACTGCCCCTACGAGAATAATAAAGCAGAAAACTGAAATTATTACTGATAGGGTATGAGGAAGAAGAGGGAAAAAAAAAGGAAAGTGACGCTGTTCCGAAGGTATCTTTTTACATAGTTTTAACTCTTGGAAGCATGTTAACGTTTTACATATTCAAAAATTAAATATAATTCTAAACAATGAGAAGAAACAAGAATTAAATTGGAAACAAACAAACCCAACTTTGTCTCAAAAGGATTATATAGTTACAACAAAAAATAAAAGCAAAGCCAAGGCAAATTAAAGACAGTTGAATCAAAGCAACTTTTGAACATGGTATATATCCTAAGCTCTGGAGTGAGATGTGGGGATTGAGGGAGGAATGCAATGATGAAATCTTTTAGTAGATTTTTTTGTACTGGCACAGATGAAGCAATCCTCAAATTATGATAGGTGATTTGTAGGATTGACCAAGTAAATGTATTGATATTGGTGGAATCCAGGCTTCTTACTATGGTTTAAGCAAAATGTAAATATGGTATGAGGTGAGGGGAGAGAATAAAGAACCATGTTGGCGTGGATTGCAGTTGGAAATATCAATATGTGTTTATGTTGTAAACACTAGTTCTGTCTACTGCCAAGATAAAGAACAAAGGAACTCCAGAGGCAATGAGCATGTCTAGGACCCACATACCTCTACATTTTCCACGACCAAATAACAGCTATCCTCAGGGAATTTCCAATTCATATTCTAGAACAGGGTGTATTAAGATGAGTATGGAATAATTTGTTATACCAGAAACTTGAAATGTGACTAAAAAAAAATTATGGAGCCCTGTTAAAAGGGCACTTCCATCATCTTGAAGGTACACCCATTAGCCAAGACTAGAACAAGATGATGAAGCAGAGAGGGTAATGAACTACAAACCACTGGAGAAAAACTAGAATTGAGTGAGTCCATAAATATAATCAATCAATCAATAAGTAAATAAAGAAAAGAAGGAGAAAGGAGAGCTGTTCCTTAAGGTAGAATGCTAATCAATAAAGGCTGAGAAAATCCAGAAGTTAGAAAATCATTATATGAAAGTCATCAAATTTTTTTTCAGTGAAATATGGAGGGGCATTTTGATGAGAAGAGGATTTTGCACGGCCTTACAGGGTCTCTCCGCAGATCGCTTATAACATGCAAAAAGAAATATGGTAACTCTATAGCAGAGAAACCAGAAATCCCATTATCTGCTGATGCAAATTGACATTGACATTGAGGAATAGAATGATATTGTGAACCTCCTAATGACACCCTGAGGAGGACACAATATCTCCTAGATAGAATTCATATCCAGCATACATGCTCTGAACCTAAACATGAGAAAAGTTCCAATAAACCCACTAAAACACACTACTGAAAAGAGACAGGAGGGTTTGTATGCTTCAAAATTTACTACCAGGCTGAGCACAGTGGCTCATGTCTGTAATCTCAACACTATGAGAAGCTGAGGTGGAAGGATCACTTGTACCCAGGAGTTTGAGACTAGCCTGGGCAACATAGTGAGATGAGAACCCATCTCTACCTGCCCCCAGCAAAAAAAAAAAAAAAAAAAAAAAAAACATAGCCAGATGTAGTGGCAGGTGCCTGTTGTCTGAGCTACTCAGGAGGCTGAGGTGAGAGGAGTGCCTGAGCCAAGGAGATTGAGGCTGCAGTGGGCCATGATCATGCCACTGCACAGCTGTCTGGGTGACAGAGTGACACCCTGTCTCTAGACAAAGAAATGAACAAAAAGAAACTGTCACAAAAGACAAAGTATGTCTGAGATAATGTTCCAGATCAAAGAACATGACAACGAAATGCAATATGTGATTTTGGACTGTATCTTGGACTACAGGAAGGAAAGCTATAAAGAGCATTACTGACAAAGGTGAAGCATACCTGGTAGATTACATAAAGATTATGCCAATTATAAATTTCCAAGTTTTTAACTATACAGTGGTTATGAAAGCATATTCTTGTTCTTAGGAAATACACTGTGAAGCATGTAAGAGTAAAGCATTAAGAAAAAATGTGCAGATATACAGACATATAGATGCACACAATGATAAAGAAAATGAGGCAGAATGTTAACAATTTACAAATTTACAAATCTGGATAAAGGATACACAAGAGCTCTTTGTGCAATATTGCAGCTTCTCTATGGGCTTGGAATTATTTCCAAGAAAACAGTAAGTAATACAGCATCACTTTCTAGAAATAGGGGTTTTGTCACGTACTTCACAATAGACATCCAAACACTTGTGAAGTGGCTATATGAATGAGTTTAAAAAGTGTATACTGCACCCCAATGGCAATGCTTTTTCTCTGTTTCTAAATGTACCATCTTCATATGTTCAAAATGTAACATGATTTCATCAAAGAACAAGAAAGTAGACTGATATGCAAAAATGCAAGACAGAAAATAGAAAATAATACCAACCAAAAGGAAAATATTTTTGAGAAGGCTAGTAGATATGTGCTACAGGTTAGAAAAGCATGTATCAAAATTACTGTGACATTTTTCAATGTTTCTCAAGCATCATGCCTAGCTTAATTATTTAAAAGCTTAAAATATGTAAGTTTAACTCTTCAGAAGCTGTCACTCTCAGTCTCAGCTTGTCTTGACCCTAATATATCAAATTTACCAATGAAAGCAGATTTTATACTGTTTTCTCAAA
Organism: Homo sapiens; assembly: GCF_000001405.40. Lineage (NCBI taxonomy): Eukaryota > Metazoa > Chordata > Mammalia > Primates > Hominidae > Homo > Homo sapiens. The sequence continues at coordinate 77,903,792 of NC_000003.12, forward strand.
CCAGGAAACCTGCTATAAACTTCAAGAGACATAAAGTTTTGCAACCATACTTGTGTCAAAGATAATAAGAATATTGAAGCATTCTTATTGAGTACTAAATTCAGCTTATGGGTAGTTGAAAATTGATATCCATTACGAAGGGAAATTATAAAGAAATAAACATTCACTGGTATATCATTATTCTTCTATTATTGTAGTTGCATTGCTCATATAAAGAATGTAACAATATTTAAAGGCCCTTATTTTGAAAATTTTCTTTCTTTCTCATATCGTTCTCCCTCTACTCTGAAAATGAGTTCTGGTACATCATCTGCTTTCAAGTGTGAATAAATATATATTTAATTACTTTTTTTTTTTAAAAAAAGCCTACTTTATTGCAATTATGTTCTCAATAATTATGTATTACAAATGAGACAGATTGATCTTCATTGGTATATGATGTTTTTGGAAATTATGCTGAATGTGAATTAGATAGTCAGCACTTTGTAATGTATAGAAGACAAACTCTTCTTAAAAGTTTTGAGATTATTTTCTTGCATTTTGCTATGGTTTTGCTGCTTTTGCCTTATATCTTGAAATGAGAGGTTAGGCCAACAACTAGACAGGTTTTGCATATTTTAAATGATGATGTTTTGCCTCGAGGTTGTTTCACGCTAGCTGTTCATGGAACCTTTGAGGATTTAAACATTAAAAGAAGGGGAAAGTGCCAATTCTAATTTTATGCACTACCTTATTCTGTTAATTTGAAAAATGTTGGGTTGTCTTAGTTGGAAAAGGCTAATCTCAGGGGTCTGGCTCATAAAACCTGTGCAAACATAGATGACTAATTTGGGTAGTGAAGACAAAAAAAAAGCACATAAACAAATATATATGGTTGAAGGAAGTTAAAGAAAATTCTTTGGAATATTAGACATACATATTTAACAAAACAAATTTAAATACACCATAAAAACTTAGCCCAAAGCAGCGCATAATAGAATAATACTGTGACATTGTCAGTTCTATTGATGTTTATGTGGGAGGTGCAGGAACACAATTTATTAAGAGTAGGGAAGAAAAGATACTATCTTTTCCCACCCACTGCAAGGTTCATGGGCTGACAACCCTAGAACAAAAGACAGATTAAAAATAGAAAAATATAACAAATTCATTTAGCTAAGGTTTTAACTGACATGGGAGCCTTCGGAAATGAAGAATAAAAGATACAGGAAAAAAATCATGCTTAGATTCAATGAAGAATGGACAGTCATGTAGTATAATTGGGCAAAAGTAGTATATGCTCTAATGGCAATAAACTCAGGATGAACCCAGTGAGGCATGCCTGTTCAAATTCTTCTTGGTCTCCACATATAGAGCAAGACACCTGTCACATGAGAATCTTTTGACCTATTTTCATGGGAGAGAGGTCACATAATTTCTCTATAGCCAGCTTTCATACAGAAAGTCAGAAAAAGATTGGAGAGTAACCTTTCTGCTTCTGCTGTTTTCTCAATTTCCAAGATGCCATATTTTGGGGTAGTGTGTCTGAGCTCCAACATAAACATCTATGTTATTCTATAACTGATATGGTTGGGTCATGTCCCCACCCAAATCTCATCTTTAATTGTAGCTCCCATAATCCTGACATGTCATGGGAGGGACCTGGTGAGAGGTAATTGAATCATGGGGATGGGTTTTACCCATGCTGTTATTGTGATAATGAATAAGTATCACAATATCTGATGTTTGTCTACAGGGCAGTTCCCCTGCACATGTTCTCTTGCCTGCCTCCACGTAAGACGTGGCTTTGCTCTTCCTTTGCCTTCTACCATGATTTTTTGGTCTCCCCAGCCACGTGGAACTGTGAGTCCATTAAAACTCTTTTTCTTTATAAGTTATCCAATCTTGGGTATTTCTTCATAGCAGTATAAAATTGGACTAATACAGTAACAATGACAAAATTATAGATAGACTGGTTTCTTTATTTCTCACAAGCAAACTATGAGCTATTTTTTTTTCTTATTTTATACATGAAGAAATTTCATTCTAGGAATTGAATTAATGTATGAGCTCACACAGCTCAGAAATGGCAAAACTATGATGTACAATTTTGTTCAATTCCTCAGAAGAGATAAATTATAGAGTTGTATGTGAACAACGTTAATCTTAACTGATTAAGTGGCAATGTTTACTATGGCTGGATGAGAGTCATGGAACTTGCTGTTGTTTTACTTTTGACTTTGGAGTATTGAGAAAACTGAAGCTCGGTTCTATGCATGGTTGTGACTCTCTAAGCCCAGATGAACCACTGAACTCTGTGTCCCAACATCACCGTTTGCAAAACCAGAGTATGAATTAATCTCTATCTACCTTCACATTCCATGCACATTAAGCTGACTTCTTACTCTGTAGCTTATATGGGATTCCCTCTCAGAGACAAAGAGTGGCAGAAGCAATCTAGGAGCTGGAGTCATATGAGGAAATGCGTATCACTTGCTCACAGACTGCTGTGAGTAAAGTTCAGGATGGGTCACCTGGAAGTAGGAAACTTGTTAGCAGCTGAAATAATCATCCCATCTAATGAATCATCTACCTAAAGGGATGAGGCATTCAGAAATAATTCACGTACAAATATAGAAACAGAGATTGGGTGTCATTAAAAACAAAGAGGCTGGGAGCAGAGGGCAGCAAATATTAACCCATACAATTACTTGAGCAAAGTAGTAGGTAGATGGAGCAATGAGATTAATGGAGAAGGAGGCTGAAGAAGGAGGCCCAGACCTGGCTTGTAGTATTCCTTTTGCTGTATGATTATTACTACTACTTGTTGTAGGTTGAATTGTGTCCCCCCAAAAATATATGTTCAGGTTCTAACCTTCAGTACTTGTGAGTGTGATCTTACTTAGAAATAGGGTCCTTGCACATGTCATTAAGTTGAGATCATACTGGATTAGGGCAGAACAAACTAAAAATGGACAGTGGAACAGAACAGAGATCCCAGAAATAAATCCAAATATATAAGTAGTCCCCCTCTTATGTAGAAAGAATATGTTCCCAATCACGAGTGGATGCCTAAAACTGCAAATAGTACCAAATTCTATAATACTGTTTTCTCCTATACAAGTATACCGATTTAAAAAGTTTAATTTATTAATTAAACACAGCAAGAGATTAACAAAAATAACTAATAAGATAGAACAATTATAATAATATACTGTAATAAAAGGTATGTGAATGTAGTTTCTCTCTTTCTCAAAATACTTTATTAAATTGTACTGGCCTATTTTCAGACCACATTTGTCTGCAGATAAATGCAACTGCAGAAAGCAAAATTGCAGATAAGGGTGGACTACCATGCAGTTAACTAATTTTTGTTGATTGTACAGTAGTAAATACAACCACAATGGGAAAAAGATAGTCTCTTCAATAAATGGGTGCTAGGAAAACTAGATGCAAAAGAATTAGGAATCTTATCTTACACCATACACAAAATTCAACTGAAAATGGATAAAAGACCTAAATGTAAGAACTGAAACCGTAAAACTCCTAGAAGAGAAACAGGAGAAAAGCTCCTAGGCATTGGCCTTCACAATATTTTTTTTTTGTATAATACACCAAAAGGTCAGGCTACAAAACTAAAAACAAAGAAGACATAGATATGGCCAATAGGCATATGAATAGATTCTCAACATCATCATCATCAGGGAAATATAAATTAAAACCAATATAAGATATCATTTCAAACCTGTTAGTATGGCTATTATTAAAAAGACAAGAAATAACAAGTATTGACAAGAGTGTGAAGAAAAAAAACACTTGTACACTGTTGGTGGATTATAGATTGGTGTAGCTATTAATGGCAGTCAGTATTAGCGATCCTAAAGAAATTAAAAATAGAACTACTATACAACCTACAAATTCCTCTTCTGGATATATGCACAAAAGAGGTGAAATCACCATCTGTTATGGTTTGACTGTGTCCCCACCCAAATCTCATCTTGAATTGTAGCTCCCACAATTCCTACATAACATAGGAGGGAACCAGTGGGAGGTAACTGAATCATGGGGGCGGGTCTTTCCCATGCAGTTGTCATGACGGTGAGTAAGTCTTATAAGAACTGACGGTTTTATAAAAGTTCCCCTGCACAAGTTTTCTCTCTTTCCTGCCATCATGTAAGATGTGCCTTTGCTCTTCCTTCACTTTCTGCCATGACTATGAGGCCTCCCCAGCCACGTGGAACTGTTGAGTCCATTAAACCTCTTTTTGTTCATACATTACCCAGTCTTGGGTGTGTCTTTATCAACTGCATGAAAATGGACTAATACACTACCTTATATCTGCACTCCATGTTCATTGCAGCATTGTTCACAATAGCTAAGATAGGGAAACAAGCTAAGTGTCCACTGATGAACAAATGGATAAAGAAAATGTTATACATAGGCACAGACACACACACACACACACACACACACACATATTTACACACAAACAATGGAATATTATTCAGCCGTTTAGAAAAAAAACATGTTGCAGCATTTGCCACAAAATGAATGGACCCAGAGGACATTATGCTAAGTAAAATAACCCAGACACAGAAAGAAAATATCATATTATCTCACATATATGCAGAATCTTTAAAAAAAAGTCAAACATACAGAGATACAGAATAAAATAGTGGTTATTCACGGGCAGGAGTCGGGGGAGGAACTGGAAGATGCAATTCAAAGGGTACAAATGAGCAGATATGTAGGATGAATTAGTCTAGAGAGCTTATGTACAACATAAGAACTCCAGTTAATAAAATTTTATTGTATTAGGGATTTTTGTTAAGTAAGTAGGTTTTAGCCACTCCAGTCACAAAAATAACTATGTGAGATGATGAATATGTTGATTTGCTTCATTATAATAATCATTTTACTAATGTCTAGATGTAGCCCATATCATGTTGTAAACTTCAAATACACATGATGAAATTTATTTATTTTTTTTAAAAGTAGACCAGGCATGGTGGCTCACGTCTGTAATCCCAGCACTTTGGGAGGCTGAGGCAGGAGGATTATTTGAGATCAGGAATTCAATATGGGCCTGGCCAACATGGTGAAACCCCAGTTCTACTAAAAATACACACAAAAAATAAACTGGGTGTGGTGGCTCATGCCTGTTATCCCAGCTACTACTGAGACTGAGGCATGAGTATCCCTTGAACCTAGGAGGCAGAGGCTGCAGTGAACCGAGATCACGCTACTGCACTTCAGCCTGGATGACAAACTGTCTCAAAAAAAAAAAAAGTAAGGAATTTACACTCACTGAAGGTTTTAGTATAAAGATAATCAGAGTTCAAAATTCAGATATTATTTTCAAGGTCTGTAAATATCTTTTAAAACATAAATTTCTGCTTGCTTCTGTCCTTATAGTAATAGATAGAGCTAGAAAGCAGAGCAAAGTTTGGGCACACACAGGAAGAATGCCATGTGAAGACAGAGGCAGATATTTGAGTGATGCATCTAGGGGCCAAGGAATGTCAAGGATTGTCAGCAACCACCTGTACCTAGAAAGAGGCAATGAAGAAGGAAGAATGCTTCCTTAGAGACTTCATTTCAGACATCTAGGCCCCAGAATTAAGAGAAAATAAATTTCTGTTGCTTTAAGCAACCTGGTTTGTGGCACATTCTGATGGCAGCCTTAGGGACCTACTACATTACTGCCATCATCGTGGCTGCTTCATACAGCATGAGAAGCTGAGGAGTAGCTTTCTTCCAGTTATGCATGCAGGCACCGGGGTGAGTGTCCTAAAGGGGCTTAATATTTCTTTGGTTCATTGGTATCCCCCAAACCCAAAGTATGACTCCGCTTTGCTTTCCAAATCCACTACTACTATAGGAGCAGAAGCTAGAAGAAATTTTGTGTTTTAAAGAGTATTACAGACTCCTGCAAAAAACATGTGGATTCAGAATTCTGATTATCTCTATGCTAAAACTATACATTGTGACTGTATTTTCTCCCATTTTACTTTTTGTTTGTTTCCCCAGCTACAAACCCCACTTCATTAAGTAAGAATTAAAGACAAGATAAAGAAAGTCTAATAAGTAGACTTAAGAGTGGGGCAAAAGAGGAAAGGAAAATGAGAACAGGATTATCATAGAAGTTCAGAGTGATGGATGGGCCACAACTTTTCTTTCTAACAGCATGCATTAAAAACAACAACAAATTAAGTGTGTAATTTAGGAAGGCCATACAACAAAACCAATTACTAAGCAGTATTTTTTCTGATACTACTACCAAACAGGAATTTCTTTCAGGACTTTGTTATAAAGAATAAAATTCTTGAGCACACTCTACAATAGACTTAATGTCAAACTTTAGAGGGCTATTTTTATAATCATCCTCCATACAGTTTGAGGGTTTCTCTCAAACAACATGGCAGTACCATAATCATAGCTGCAAACTTCTGAGCTCAAGCAGCCCTCTCAACTTCTAGAGTAGATGGGGCTACAGGCATACACCACAATGTCTGGCTAATTTTTTAATTCTTTTTTTGATACAGCCAGGGTTTCACTATATCTCCCAGACTGGTATCAAACTCATGATCTTCCTACCTCCGCCTCCCAAAGCTCTGGGATTATAGGCATGTGCCACTGTGACTGGCCTTTGGCATTGTTTTAAAAGAGCTGTTTCAGCACACAATCTGAGGGTAACTGAATATAACTGACCAGGATTTGATCTATTGGATTGGGGATTCACATCTGACCATTGTCCTAAGAGGTTAATGTCCTAAGGTTTGAGGCTGATGTGCTAATCCACATAACCTCCAAAACATGTCCTCCTTTCTTTCCCCTTTTCTTCCCTTCCTTTCTGTTGCCACCTTGCCTCCTGTAAGAATAGTTCATTCATTCTCTCTGACGTCTTTGAATTTCCAGTGGTTATTTCATTTAGGTCCCGTTGTTGGAACATTCACTGCACTAAGTAAATAAATGTAGAAGGAAATAAATGACTCTATTTCATTTGGAGGAGAGGAGTTGCTCATACTATGTACTCATAAGGGGGGCACTAAAATGATGGCAATTACATGGAGGCATGGATCAAGGGTCCTGAAACCAAAGAAAGCCTCATAGTGGCCAATGAAAGAGAAATGAAGCAGGGGGAACTAACAGTGGCCTAAAATAAAAAGTTCTAAGTTTTGTTCCAATTCTTCCGCCACTGCTGAAGATTATTTGTGTGAATAAATTTAGGAATCTGGAATTTAACATAAGACTTCTTTGTGAATCGGAAGTTCACATTTTAGCTTTGGCTCAATGGCTATCATTTTACTTGTGAACATTTAGCCAAGTATGTAATACGCTTAATTTCTACATTTGTAAAATAGGAAATAATTGCCCATGATTACCTTTGGGGAACTCGGAAAACTTGAGATCGTAAATGTGAAAGTTCTGTGAACATCATGAAAACCAATAAATATGACACAATATTGGAATTTCAGTAATCAAGAATGTTGTAGGACCATAGTCACCATGTTGTGCTTTCATATACTAGAATTTATTCACCCTATCTTACTACATTTCAGTATCCATTAACCATTCCCACTTTCCCCACCCCCACTTCCAAGCCTCTGGTAATTGTCATTCTATTCATTATTGCCATTAGTTCGACTGTTTTCATTTTTAATTTCCACATATGAGGGAGAACATGTGAAGTATGTATTCATCAAAATTAAAAGTTAAAAAAAAAGAAAAATTTTGTAGGAATGTGGTAACAGAGAAAGTCAAATAAAGTGTGGCTGAGATTTCTCTTGCCAGAGTCTGTATTTTATCATGACATTTTAGGCAGAAACGGGCTAACTAAGTCTCCATTGGAAGTACCATATCATCTAAAAATTCAGTATTCTGTGCTGAAAAGTATTCTTCTCCTAAATAGCATTTTCAAATATTGTTTTTTAGGTACCATTTTTATCATTTACAAATACGTAAATCTAGAAAGAAGACACAAAATTACACTATATTTGTCATGGTAGGATTGTGAGTGGTTTATTTTATTTGTAAAAGAAATGGCAATCAATGAATATTACTTAAAAGTTGCCTGCATAGGGAAGAATTTCTGCATCTTGAACTAAGGATAAATAATACAATTTATGTAGAATTTTGCTTTTGGCACCATTCCAAAATGAAAACTTTTGATATTTTATTATTCATGAAATTTCATGAACAATACTTCACTTTTAGTTGGTCATCATCATAACTTATCATCAAATTATCCAATTGCATTCATGTGAAAGGCACTATACAAAATAAAATAATGAAGATGAACCCTGCCACTTTTTTATTCTGTGAAATAATTGTAGGAGAGAGATATATCTCCGGACTTTTGCTCTCCATCTGGGTTTATTCCTAAGGAAGGAGGGCCTTTCCTATTTTGCATCCTGAAAATGCTGTAATGCAGGACAGATTTCAGAGAAGACAGGCCACATTGCAGTGTCAAAGGTGGCCCTCTGAAAATGGGAACCATTTCCCTCATCTTTGCCCTGCAGACACCTAGAGATGCACATGTAAATGCGTCACTCCTTATACACATGAAACACGTTCAGTACGAGCAAACAGGGGGAGGCATCTCTGGCAAAAACAAGCCCTAATTCTCCATGAGTTTCCACCTTTTTTTCCGTTTCTCTTGTTCTTATCCTCCTTGTCACTTTTAGAAATAATATTTTAGAAATACAATTTAGCAATTATATTGCTAACTATAAATATAGAAATTATATGATTATATAATACATATATACAATATAATTACATATTACATAATAAATATAAATGAAATATAGCACTTATATCGCTACTGTTACAATGGATTAAGCACATGGCAATAATAACAATTACTGTTTTCCTCAAAGAGAAAAAAAATTATCTTTACTCATTACAAGTCCAGGGCTAAGAAGCCCTGAGTCTCTTCTTGGTGCTACCATGAAACAAACCCCCTTAACCAAGGTGCTCTGCTCTTGAGGAAACCTCCTCACCATTAAGACTGATACAGAAGAAACAACCATTGGGCGGCTATATAGTCATAATTATTTCTGAAGCATATGTGGGTGGTGTTTTTAAAAACAATAAGGTATGAAATGAAGCTCTTTGCAAGTACTTCACCTGCATTTAAACGTGAACACATATACCTGCGTATATAATTAGATGTAATTGGAATAATATGGGCCCTCCAGGAGAGATGCTATGTTGTTAAAGGGCTTTCAGTTGCTTTCTAAAGAGAATTAATTTCCTGGAAAATAGAAAGCTTTGTGAAATATGTATTACAAAGGATACATTTTTCCCAACCTCTACTTTTACCTAGTTAGCTAATTATCATTTCCAAATATACACATACACATAAATTCATTCATATATATTCTGCTCAAGACTATTTCAGGAAAAGCATTTTTTCAGGTATTTTTAATCATAAACTATATGCGAATCGAGATTTTTTTAAAAGGAAAGCAGATTTTAGTTATATCTAAAAAAAGAGTCTTATCATTTCACTGTCCAAGTAAACATCCATAAAATGTCACTAGATATGCATATTAGACCCACAGTTTACCATAGAGGTGGTGGTGGCATTTTGTTTATTTTGCTTCTGAGGGTAAGGATGGGATCTTTTTGGAGCCCTGACCCAGAGATATTCTTGGACTCATACTCTGTCCTAAATATCTGTACTTCTTTCCATCTGCTTTTGGTTCTTCACACCATTTTCTGTTTCGATTTTTGTTTCTCATCCGTATTAGTCAGGATTCTCTAGAGAAACAGAACCAACAGGATGTGTATATCTGTCTATACAGAGAATTATTTTAAGGAATTGGCTCGTGGAATTGTGGAGACTTGGTAGATCCAAAATCTGCAGGGTAGCCTGGCAGGCTGGAGACACTAGCAAGAGCTGCAGTTTGAGTGCAAAGGCTGTCTGCTGGCACAATTCATTCTTGCTCAAGAGAGGTCAGACTTTGCTCTATTAAGGCCTTTGACTGATGGGATGAGGCCCAACCACATTAGGGAAGGCAATCTGCTTACTCAATCAATATCCATTGATTTATACATTAATCTCATCCAAAAATGGCCATTACAGAAACATCCAAAATACTATTTGACCAAATATCTGGCTACTGTGGCCCAGCCAAGTTGATACACAAAATTAGCCATCACATTATCTACTGAAAATAGTCATCTTGCCATTGTCCTCTGTGATTCTTTAGGAAGTACTTTTCGAAAGACACAGTAGGGAATGTTTCTCTGTGATAAGACATATGAAGTAGGGGGAGAATATGCCTTGCAATTTAAATCCTAGTTGTGCTGTTCTCCGGATGATTTACTTTAGTGAAATTATTTACACAAGGCTTGCTTTTTTATCTGTGAAATGAGGATAGATCTTTCCATTAATTCGCATTTCATTGATTTGCTCCTATTTGAGATATACAGACTGAATTATTAGTTTTCTAATATCTCCAAGATTAAAAATATTTTCTCCAAGCTATGTTTTCTTGTTAAGTTTTTAAAATTTACATTTGCATAGTACCTGAAATTTTCAGTTAGATTATCTCCTTCCAATTCCACTGGATGTGGTGGGTTTTATGGAAAAAATATCTGGAATCCTTTCCTAGCCAAACCTATTTTCCTTCTGTTTATTTCCTTACTACTTAAATTTTAAATAGAGGAGGATATAAAAGAAGAATAAACACCAAGTAGCAATTACCTATAATAGTCTTAATAGTATAAAATTTAAAACTTTAATGAAAATTGGAGATTATCTTTACACTTAAAAAGTAAGTTAAACTTCAACAGTAACGAAGACCTACTACAGAAACAAATTCACTTACAAGGAAGTAACAGGAAGACAAAGTTTCTGATGTTTTTCTCAAATTCCAGTTTGATCATTTGGTGTCTCCTTAGCTCTTATCTCTTTCTAAGGGCAACCAGTTGTATTTTAAGTGAAGTTTTAATTATAGTTGTTTGATTAGTAAGTAGTTCTTGAAACTTTAAGACAGAGTTTAGGTTGCTTTGCTATTTAATTCATTCAAAATAGTCTTACATCTTACACTGTGGCTACCCTTTTAGTGAGAAGTGCAGTGATATGTACATAGGATATTACAAAAAAAAACACCCAAAACATTGTGACATTGTGAATGTGCTAATTACGGTGCTACCACTGTCATTATTTTAAGAAATTATTACTGGGAGAGAACAAAGTAGATTTTTGAATGGTTACTAAATAGAGAATTACTTTTCAAGGAAAATTTTGTTCACCTTCATTCTCCTAGAGGTATTAAAGAGGAACAAATGTATAGCAAGAAAAAAATGGTACATTGCTCAGTATGTTTTTCATAATTAAAAATGCATCTATGATTCAAAATAACTGTACTTAAAATCTTCAACTGATATGTAATATATTCACAAATTAGAAGACTATATAAAGTCCAAGGATAAAAAATGTATAGAATGCTTACTCATGTGTTCATGTATGCATATACACATACATGACATCATATCAAATGATGATGATATATATCAAATACATATCATTTTCCCTCCAGAGAACTATAATTTACTTTCTTTCTTGGTTAAACTTCATCACTATCTTAGGTTTTTCAATCACAAAACTTGTACAGGCAGAAAATAATCAACAGTTTTACTCCAGAGTGTGTGAAAATGTTTTCATATAGCTCTGTTATTAACAATAATGACCTCAGCACAATGGATTTCCAGGGGAATTAATGACGGGGGTTAATGGCCCGAGGCAAAGCCAGCCAGTCATGAATCCCTAAGAAATGCCCTGTGCTTTGATCATTATTGCTTCATTACAACATAAAAATAATCAGAAACAATTACAGTCAGAACTATGGGAACAGTTCAGCCTTGAAAATTAACTCTATCAGGCTTGAAGTTGAAGATTCCATTGCTTCCAGTGGATTTAATATAAACAATCCTGAAACCAAAAGAATTAATACAAATGATACAGAAACACAATGTGATCCTGAGTGGCCAATATTCCAACTGAAATCAGAACCGTGGCTGGGTAAGCAAAGAAAGTGAAATGAGCCTGTACAAATAAAACACCAAGCAAACAGACCTGAACTTAGAATTTTAAAGAGGTATATTTATCTCATGCTCAGAAAACAGGAAAAAATTATTTCTTCAATGGTATCGTATTTTGATGAATTCCAGTAAAATATTAAAAGGGAAGAAAAAAAAGAAAACATAATTCTTTAAAAATTTTTGAAATAAATTCCACTAGTGTGTGTGTGTGTGTGTGTGTGTGTGTGTGTGTGTGTGTATATACATACATACATATATTTAATTTGGGGGCAAAAATAAAAATTATTCTGCATTTGTACATAATGTAAACCTTTTGCAAAGCAATATATTGTTGCATTAAAAGATGTCTGGGTAAATTCTTGAAATTGAACATGCATATTTCATAAAACTAAGGTAACTTTTTTCCGCCATATTTCTCACTAACAATGTCCTCATCAAGAAGACCAGTAACCTTTTCCCGTACTTCCCCCACTCTTATATACTGTGGAATGATTACCACAATCAAACTAATTAACATAGCCACTACCTTCCACAGTTAACATTTTTGTGTGTGGGGGGTGTCTTTGTGTGTAATGTGAACTTTAAGTTCTACTCTCTTAGCAAATTTCAAGACTACAATACAGTATTATTAGCCATAGCTTTCATGCTGTACATTAGATCTTCAGAACTTATACATCCTGTATAACTGAAGTTCTGTACCCTTTACCCATCTCCCCATCGTCTTTCCCTCCTCCCTGCTCCTAGCAATCACCATTCTCCTCTCTGCTTCTATAAGCGTGTGCTTTTTGGATTTCACATATAAGTGAAATCATGCAGTATTTTTTTTTTTTTTTTTTTTTTTTTGAGACGGAGTCTTGCTCTGTCAGCCAGGCTGGAGTACAGTGGAGTGATCTTGGCTCATTGCAAGCTCCCCCTCCTGGGTTCATGCCATTCTCCTGCCTCAGCCTCCTGAGTAGCTGGGACTACAGGCGCCCACCACCATGCCTGGCTAATTTTTTGTATTTTTAGTAGAGAAGGGGTTTCACCGTGTTAGCCAGGATGGTCTCGATCTCCTGACCTCGTGATCTGCCCACCTTGGCCTCCCAAAGTGCTGGGATTACAGGCATGAGCCACCGCGCCCGGCCCTGTTTTTCTTTTTGTACCTAGTTTATTTCACTTAGCATAATGTACTCCAGATTCATCTATGTTGTCATAAATGACACAACTTTTCTCTTTTTTAAAGCTGAAAAATAACTCCATTGTATTATATATACCATATTTTCTTTATCTATTCATCCACTGGTAGACACTTGGGTTGTTCTCATATGTTGGTTATGGTGAATAACACTACAATAAACATGAGAATGCAGGTATCTTTTCCAAATACCGATTTTATGTTTTTAAAAATAAGTAATTCAAAATCTAGGCTGTTGGACCCTTAAAATATTTTGAGCCTTCAGGAAATATAATTATGGAACCTGGGTCCCCTAAGCAGGCAGCTGTAAACTAAGCAGCTGTAACCTTTGTTGCTCTGATTATAGATTAACCTTTTTCTTTACCTATATTGTTTTGTAAATTGTCGTAAAGGACTTAAGAACCCCAAGGAAGATGCATTCCCTCTAAACTGTTGGCCTTTACTGTAGATTAACTTCCCTCTTTTCTTTCTCACACAAAGAATTCACGAGTAGCACATTGTCTAAGACAGAAAGTTGCACACAATCATAAATTGAGAAGGAAATAAAAAAGCTGTAAAGAAAAGAGAACAAGCTGTAACTAATTAAATTCCTGTAACTTATAAACCATCCTCATATAGGAAACGTTATAATCCTACTAAGTTTCCTTGTTTTCTGACTAGTTAAGCAAGACTGTAACTTTTATCTTCAGATTACTGACCCTATTTTCCTGAAGTCTGTTTCCTGGATGACAATCCTCAATTTTTAGCTGAAAGAAAGTCTTTAAAACGGAATTTTGATTATTTCAACTACTTCAGGATGACAACATATAATTAGAAATGGGATTGCCGGGTTATAATGTAGCTCTTTTTAAAATATTTTGACCCCTCTGTAAACTTTCGCATAATGGCTGTACTAATTTATATCCCTACTAATAGTGTACAACAGTTCCATCCTTCCCAATATTTGTTATCTCTTCTTTTTGATAATAGTCATCTTAATAAATGCTATGAGGTGATGTGTTATATAAGATATGAGGTGATGTGTCATTATGGTTTTAATTTGCATTTTCCTGATGGTTAGTGACATAAAGCATCTTTTCATATACCTGTTGGACATTTATATGTCTTCTTTTGAGATGTCTATTATGGCCCTTTTCCTAGTTTTTAATTGTGTCCTTTTTTTCTCACTATTGAGTTGCTAATATATTCTGCCTACTAACCTCTTGATTCCATAGATTGTCTCTTTACTCTGTTGATTGTTTCTTTTGTTGTGGAGAAATTTTTAGTTTGATGCAATCCCATTTGTCTGTTTTTGTTTTGTATCCTATGCTTTGGAGGTCCTATCCAAAAATTCATCACCCAGGTCAATGTCAAGCAGCATTTTCCCTGTTTTCTGCTAGAAGTTTTATAGTTTCGTGTTTTAACTTTCTATCTTTAATCGATTTTCAGTTGATTTTTGTATATGATATAAGGTACAATTTTATTCTTCTATATGTGGATATGCAGTTTTCTTAGCACTATTCATTTATTAAAGAGATTTTCCTTTTCCTGTTGTGTATTCTTAACACTTTTTTCAAAGGTCATTTGACTGTAAATATATGAATTTACTTCTAGGCTCTCTACTCTGTTCCCTTGGACTATATGTCTGTGTTTATGCCAATATCATATTGTTTTGATTACTATAGCTTTATAGTGTATTTCAAATCAGGTAGTGTAATGCCTTTAGCTTTGTTATTATTCAAGATTGCTTTGGCTGTTTGGGTTGTTTTGTGGTTCCACATGAATTTTAGGATTTGTTTTTTAAGTCTGTAAAAAATGCCTTTAGAATTTTGATAGAAATTCCACTGAATCTGTTTAACACTTTGGTTAGAATGAACATTTAAATAATAATAACATTTTCAATCCATGAACACAGAAGATTTCCACTTATCTTTGTCTTCAATTTCTTTCATCAGTGTTTTATAGCTTTCAGTAAAAGATCATTCACCTCCTTGGATTCATTTATTCCTAAGTATTGATAGTGATAGGAGGTGGGCAAATTCTTAGGCAGACAGGAATGGATCCCCAGTGAAACTCAACCTTCGAGCCAAGGACAGTCTAAAGTCTGAAAACCAAGCTACAAGTTCCAGATAAATTTGTGGACCAATTGAGAGCTCCCATTCACATTTGGTGTGCTCTCTCCCAATTGGTCCTTATCCTTCACCTATTTTATATATATCTACCTATACCCTTCCTACACTATTATGCCTATTTCTGAATGGTGCTTTTTCTAGCATAGCCACAGACCAATCAGCATGCACTTACCCATTTCAAGCCCATAAAAACCCTTAGACTCAGCCTTGTGGCATCAACCCACCTTCAGGTTCCCTCTCACTGTTAAGAGCTTTTCTGTCACTCAATAAATTCTACTCTGCCTTACTCACTCTCTGGTGTCTGTGTACCTCATTCTTCTAGGCTGTGGGACAAGAACACAGAGCTCATTAAACTATGGGAGTAAAAGAGCTGCAACATTTCTTGGGGACTCATCTGGGATTGTTGGAAGGCTGAGTAAAAGCAGACTTATGGCTCTTTACTTTCACTTCTGAGGCTTCTCATCCTCAGGAATTTTCACAAACAGATAAAACACCAGGCATCTGTCAGCCAGTTAAGAGTGAATACCATGGCTGCTGGTCTGCAAGACTCAGAGGGTATACTTGTTGGGAAGGGCTTGGTCAATCCCCCTTAACCCTCAGGTGTTAGGAATGTTGGCCTTGTTCCAATCCACTTTCCTTTCATGAAAGTCTAGCCATTGCATGGGATCGGAATAAGGTCCTAGGGCAGGTGGAGGTATCTGGCTGAGGCTACATCTTGACATTACTCAAGGGCCCCTAGACCAGCCCCAGTCCATGGCAGCCCATTTGGGTGTCTGACAAAGACTTTCAATCTTTCCTATCATGTTTTTTTCCTACTGTTCTTCTGGGAAATGTTATGTTATGAGAAATGTTCATGTTTGTTAGTGTCTCTTTAAGAAATTGGTTCTTTTCGGGGCAGGATGCCTGGCTATGCCTGATAACGTTAAATAAGATGCCAGCCAAATTGGAATTAGAGGGAAAGCATATGCAGGGACTCCCTGGATCCACCTTAGTCTTGAGCTTAGACAGTGAAATCAAAGGCAGTTGACAAGGAGGGTCAAGGTTGAGCGCAGGTAAGTGCAACTGCTCCTTCCAGCCTGATCCTCCTCTGGTCATGAATGGCAGTTGCACATGCATCCATGACCAAGGTGAGCCTGAGGGATGTCTCGGACTCTAGGATAGCAGAGGGAAAGACTAAGAGACTCCTTTTTCTCCCTCTCTCTTTCCAGATGGTTAGCACAACACCTTCAGCCTGCACTTTTCTCAAGTACATCTTGAGACATTGGGAGTCATCTGATACTCAGACTCTGAAGAGAAAGTGCTTGGAATTTTTCAGTACCAAGGCTTGACCTGGCTATAATTTGGAAGACAGGGAGGCCTAGCCAACTGGGGGATGCATCAATTATAATACTATCCTACAGCTAGATCTCTTCTGCTGGAGAGAAGGAAAATGGTCTGAAATTCCACATATACTGGCCTTCTTGCCCTGTGGGATAATCCCAAGCTCTGTCAGCAATGTAGAATCGACCCTGCACTTATAACAGTGACATCTATCAAGGCAGATTCAAACCACACACAGGAGAAAAACCAGTCTGCATCTTTAGATAAGGAGTCAAAGGCACCTGCACCAGCCCAGGTCCCAGCTCCTCTTGGATCATCTTGTACCCTTTATGTAGGTCCCCATTTAGACCCTCATCCTATTAGAAGAGATCAATATGGACACGCTCTGGAGTCACTTCCTCCTTTACAGGAAATGCCTAGTGGATATGATTACTTCAGAGTACAAGTCCCCCTTCTTTACAAGATTTGAAGCAAATGAAAGGGATCTAGGAAAATTTTCTGACAGCCCTGAGAGGTATATTGAAACATTTCAGAACCTTACTCAAGTGTTGGAGCTTTCATGGAAGGATATTATGTTACTTCTCATTCAGGCTCTTAACAGCTTCGAGAAGCAGGCAGCCTTACAGGCCACTGAGACATTTGGAGATAAAATGATTGTTTATTATTGTGGCACCTCCGCAGAAGGGGAATAAATTAGGGAGCCCTTTCTGATAAGCAAGCAGGCAGTACCCACTGATGATCCTTGATGGGACTCAGACACTGTTCTAGGAAAGTGGCAAAGAAAACATTTTCATGTATGGATATGGGAAGGTCTGAGGAGAACTGCAGCCAAGCCCCTCAATTACACTGAGTTATCAACCATAAACCAAGGGACTGAAGAGAATCCCTCCATGTTTCTGAAAAAATTGAGAGAGGCTTCAATTAAACACACCTCTCTCTCTTTTCTGACTCTATAGAATGACAATTGCTTTTGAAAGACAGGTTTATAACCCAAGATGTTAGAATAAAGCTGCGAAAGTTATCTATTGAACCAGATAGTCCTCTACAGAGTCTCCTGAAAGTTGCTACCTCATTCTTTTATAATCAGGACCAGGAGGAAGCCCAAGAAAGGGAGAAAAGGAACTAAAAAAAGGTGGAGGCACTAATAGCCACCATACAGGCATATAAACCCCGGGATCCCCAGGGAGCTTCTCCTTCTATTAGCAACTGTTATTGTTGTGGCTTCTTCATTCCCATAGTTTGGTGAGTGGAAGGAAGGATTACCCAGCGGCTTTTTCACTCCCACTGCTTGGCAAATGGGAGGGTTGCAGCTCTTTTATTCCCACTTCCTGCAGCTCAGCAAATGGAAGGGTTACAGCTCTTTTGTCTCTGCTACCCACACCTCAGTGAATGAGGGTTCACTGAGGGTTATAACTCTATCACTCCTGTCACCCAAAGCTTGTCGAGTTTTGGATTCTTGTCCCACAACCAAGAGGAATAAGATATGCCGACACCAGAGAGTGAGTAAGGAAGAGAAGAATTTGATTGAGTGACAGAAATAAAGCTCTCAGTGGCAAGAGGGAACCCTGAAAGCAGGTAGCCATCTGGGAAGCTGATTCTATGATTTTTATAGGCTTAGAGTGGGGCAGTGTGTGCTGATTGGTCCATTGGTGGCCTTGAAAAGACACCATTCAACTGGTTAAAAGGCATCATCCAGAAGGAACCAATCATGGGAGAGTGGGTGAGACAAGGAGAGAGGTTCTCACTCCGGTCATGGAATCTATCCTAAACTGGCAGTTTGTTTTTCAGGTTCAGGCTGTCTTTGGCTTGAAGGTCAGGCTTCACTGGGGACTTGTCCCTGTCTGCCTAGGAATTTGTCTGTTTCCTGCTGCTGTCATGATCAGTGTGACCAAAGGGGCTACTATGAAAAAGACTGCCTTAGAAATCAGAAGAAGCCCCAACACCCTGTCCAAGCTATAAGGGAGACCACTGCAAGGTGGACTGTCTCTGGAGATGTAGGTCCCGAGGTTCAGAGCCAGCTTCTCAAAAGGTCTGAAAGGACTGATAAGTCCCAGAGCTCTCCTCCCCCACTCTGATGGCTCAAACTTCCATTACATAATCCAGGAGCCCCAGGTGACTCCTGAGGTATTAATAGAAGAAAAGAAGGTAGACTTTCTACTCAATACCAGAGCTGCCATTTCTGTTCTCCTCTCTAATCCAGGCCTCCCCTCCTCTCTTGGCATGACCATGAGGGGCATGTCAGGAAAGCCTCTGAACGATATTTTCCTCAATCCCTTCATTTTAGCTGAGGAGACCTTTTGTTTACTCATGACTTTTAAATCATACCTGACTGCCTGACTCCTCTGTAAGGTAGGGATACTTTAGCTTGTATGGGAACCACCATCCTTATAGCTCCAGGGAAGATTCTTTGCCTCCCCCTTGGTGGAGACTGATATTAATCCAGAAATTTGAGCAATTCAGGAAAAAATTGACCAAGCCACAGCAACCATACCAGTCCAAATCAACCTCAAGGGTCCCACTTCCTTCCCTAACCAAAGACAATATCCCCTAAAAACAGCAGCTAGGAAAGGGCTAGAAGTAATCATTAGTAACCTAAGGATTCAGGGCCTTGTTGCACCCTGCAACAGCCCTTGTAATATCCCAATATTGGGGGTACAGAAACCCAGCGGGGAATGGAGACTGGTCCAGAACCTCCACCTTATTAATGCGGCTGTGGTTCCAATTTATCCAGGGGTTTCCAATCCCTATACTTTGTTAATTCAGATACCCAAGGGAACTAAATCATTTACACCCTTAGATTTAAAAGATGCCATTTTCTGTATACTGTTACACCTCAACTCCCAATATTTGTTTGCATTTGAGGATCCCTCCAACCAGACCTTTACTCAGGTAACCTGGGTGGTGTTACCTCAGGGATTCTGAGACAGCCCTGATTTGTTTGGGCAGACATTGTCAAAAGATCTCTCTGAGTTATTTCATGCTCAAAGGTAAAGTCTTATAATATGTAGATGACATTCTCCTCTGTGCCCCAACTAAGGACATTTCTCAGGAAGGCAGTAGGGCTCTTCTCAATTTTCCTAGCTGACAATGCATATAAAATTTTAAAGTCCAAGGCTCAGCTCTGTCAGACTTCAGTGAAGTACCTTGGCCTGGTTTTGTCAAAAGGGACCAGGGTACAGGCAAGGAGAGAATTGAATCCATTTCCTCCTTCCTTCTTCCCAAGATGCTGTGGCAATTAATGGGATTCTTGGGCATTACTGGATTCTGCAGGCTATGGATAGCTGGGTACAGAGAAATAGCTCACCCTTTATACCAATTAATAAAAGAAACTTAGGAGTTAGGAACCCACTCCTTGATCTGGGAACCTGGGGCTTTATCAGCCTTTGACCAATTAAAGCAAGCCCTACTTGAGGCACCAGCCCTAGATATTAGAAGAATATCTGTCTGAAGCTGAGTAGGGTGCAAAACCTTTGGCACCAATCAAGTGAAAAGTTTGCTCAACTTTAATTTTTCAGAGTTGTGTAAGCTGAAGCAGTTGAGATGTCTATGGTGTCAGCTATTGTTTGTGCTATTAATCTTCAGTCCTCTTCAATTACGACACAAGCAAGATTATATTTTTTCTCATAAGTTGATGTGGATGGCCTGTCACTGTGAACTTCATTTTCAAGATTATCTTTTCCCTTCTTAAAATGAATTATCTATTTGTAAACTGATGATTTCATTGTTCCCATAAACTTTTTGTAAAGCATCACTAATTTCACCATTCTTCCACTCAAACTTCACTATACAATTGATGTTTGTCCTTGCTTCAATTTTAGCAGAATTTGTGTTGCTGTCATAGGGGCCTTTTTCAAATTGATGCCTTTTCCTTAGTGCTTCAAACTAGATCCTGTTCAGACATGTCATGACAAATTGTTGTGTATTTATTTTAGTATAAATAATTGAAAACCATGCACAGATTTTTATGATATGCATTTTCCATAAAATTTTGGCTTGTATCTACAAGAAACACACTTTAAATATAAACATATAAATAGGTTAAAAATAAAAGTATGGAAAGGGGTGCATACCATGCAAACACAATTAAAAATAAAGCCAGAGTAACTATATTAATATCAATGGAAGCAGACTTTAGGAAAACTAAAATTAAAGAAAGACAAAGAGGAATATTATGTAATGATAAAGTGGCCAGTCTTCCAATGAAACTTAATAAATCTGAATGTGTATTCACCTTATAGTATAATTTCAAAATACATGAAACAAAACCTGATAAGAACTGAAAATAAAATGTGTCCAATTCACAAAGACAGTTGAAGCCTTTAATAGTCATCTTTCAATAACCGATAGAATAAGTACACATAAAATGTTAGCATATAGAGAGACCTGAGCAGTACTATCAATCACCTTAACATTGATAGAATATTCCAACCAACAATAGTAAAATACACATTTATTTCATGAACTTCAAATATTCATCAAGATCTATGTATTAGGAGCCACAAAACATAACCTAATAAATATTAAGAATATAGATATCATGCAAAGTTATGGTTTTAGGCCATTAAGAAATTTAAAAGACTATAAAAGGATTAAACTAGAAGCCCATTAGAAAAAGATATCTAGAAAATTATCAAATGTTTGCAATTAAAAAAAATCATCTTCTATGGGTCAAAGAGGAGATCTAAAATAAATGTAAAAAATATTATGAAGTAAGTGGAAATAAAATTACAATATATTAGTGTGTGCGGGACGCAGTTAAAGCAGTGCTTTAAGAGAAACTTATGGCATTAAATGCTTACAAGAGAAAGGATGAAAGTTGCAAATCAGAAAGCTAAACATCTTTCATAAGAAACTGGGAAGGCCAGGCAGAGCGGTTCACACCCATAATCCTGGCACTTTGGGAGGCCAAGGTGGGCTGATTGCTTGAGTCCAGAAGTTCAAGACCAGCCTGGGTGACATGACAAAACCCTTTCTCTACCAAAAATGCAAAAATTAGCCAGGCTTGGTGGTGTGCACCTATAGTCCCACCTACTCAGGAGGCTGAGGTGGGAAGATAACTTGAGCCTGGGTGGCGGAGGTTGTGGTGAAATGAGATTGCACCACTTCACTCCAGTCTGGGCAACAGAGGGAGTCCACAGCTCAAAACAAAACAAAAGCTAGGAAAAACAAAATGAAAGCAAATTACACATTAAGCAAATAAGGAAATGAAATAATAAAGATAGATAACAGCAGAATCAAATACATTTAAAACTAAAAATAATAGAAAATTCAACCAAAAGTGACTTCTTTGCAAAGATCAGTTACAATAATAAACATCAAGATTATCCAAAAAAAAAAAAAGAAAGAAAAGAAAAAAGTCACAGTATACCAATATCAGGAATGTAAAAGAAATCATCACTACAAAGTCCATGGACATTGATAACAAGGGAACAGCATGAAAAACAAATAGATGAAATAACTATTTGAAAGAAACTGTAATGAACTGCATATTTGTGTCCCTGCCAAGACTCACGTGTTGAAACCCTAGTTCCAATGTGATAATTGAAAGTGAGACCATAGTTGATGAGAGTGGAGCCCTCATGAGTGGGATTAGTGTCTTTATAAGCAGAATCCAGAGAACTAGCTAGGTCTTTTTTCTGCCATATGTAAAAAAACACATGAAATCAGCAATCTATAATCCAGAAGAGGGTTCTCGCCAGAACATGGACATGCTGGTACCCTGATCTTGAACTTTTAGCCTTCTGAACAATGGGGAATAAATGTATATTCCTTACAAGCCACTCAGTCTATAGTACTTTATTATAGTAGCCTGAACTGATTAAAACAGATATGATCTACAAGACTTCACCCAAGAAGAAATAGATACCCTAAAGATTATTACAATAATTCCAAAATTTGGATTAGTACTTATAAATCTTCCAATGAAAGAAAATTTCATATACACATAGTTTCACTGATGAAGTCTACCAAACATTCAAGAAAGAAATAATTCAATTTCTATATAATCTTTTCTAGAAAATAGAAGAGGAGGGAATGCTTGTAAGTTTATTAAATTATTTTATAAGGCCATAGTTACATCAAAACCAAAGATAATAAAAAATTACAAATCATTATATTCATAAGTATGTATGAAAAATCTTCAAAATTGTTCTAAATCAATTCTAGCAATATACAAGTAAAGTAAAACAACACTTCACAACCAACCATAGTTTATTCTGTGATTGCAAGACTGGTTTAATATTTGAGTATTAACCAATGTATTTTATCATATTATTAGGTTGGTGCAAAAGGTATTGCGGTTTTTGCCATTACTTTCAATGGCAAAAACCGCAATACCTTTTGCACCAGCCTAATAGACTAAATAAGAAGAGACATACAATTATTTCAACAAATGCAGAAAAAAAAACTTGACAAACTCCCGATTTCATTAATGATTTAACACTCTCAGCCAACTGGGAATGAAAAGGATGTCCTCAGCATGGTTAAGAGCATTAACAAAGGACCTGCAGCCAATATCATATGTAAAGAATTATTTTTCTGCTCCTAAGATAGAAAACAAGAGAAGGGTGTCTTATCACTGCTCTTATCACTGGTCTTATCACTGCTATTCACCAACACACTGGAAGTCTTGGCAATAAAGCAATGAAAGAAAATAAAGGTATCCAGATTGAAAAAGAATATTCAAAACGTTCTCCATTCACAGACCATATCATTGTGTATCTATGTAGCCCCAAAGAGTCCACAAAAAAGTCCTAGAATTAAATGAGTTTAGCAAAATTGAAGTGTATAGGTCAATTTATTTAAAAATCTATTGTATTTCTCTATACTCACAAAGAACAATTGGAATTCAAAACATTAAAAAAATACAATCTTCAATAGCACCTTCCGTAACCATTATTCTTACCCCTCTGACACACACATGGAAAAAATACAACTATTGCCCCATCTAGCTATATATTTTATTCAATTTATGCCCAATTACTGCCAGATAATGAATTTCATATTGTCTTCTTCAACACAGCAGCCTAAAATTGAGTTGTGCTTGTAAGAAGATCAACCCACTAGAGACCCTTTTATTATGTATGAGAAAGGCCTGAGGACATAAGAGACCTGAGTTTCCTCTGGAGAGTTGCCCGTTACAATGCAGTCTCCAGCTACCTTATGCACATCTTACCAACAGGCAAGTCATGTTTTAGTTGGTTGTAATGTCTCTGAGTAGACAGACACTGGAGACAAGGACAGACACAGCAAGGCAAGCACAGCAAAACACGATATCATATTTTCCAAAGAAAAAATAATATCACTTAGGGAAATATAAACACAATATACACGCACATACAATATACATGCACAATCTCTCTATACACACAATATATACACACACACACATATATATACACACTATATATGTGTATATATATAATATATATGTATATATAAAACACCTTTTCTGTCTCTTCTTCACTGAGTATTCCTCAAATACCAGAAAAATAAGATAAAATAGAAGTGGAAAAGAATAAAATTGAGGAATGTTACAATGGAAGTCATAAAGGTAGCTAAGAGAAATTAGTATTTGAAAGACATCTACCTTATTATTTTAAGACGTATTACTATGATTTTTATGTTAGAGTGGCATTATCCATTTTACCTTTTTAAAAAAATAGAGAGAGTCATACTTAATTTTGTTATCAAAGAGTGTCACTGAAAAGTTGTATTCTCCAAGTTCATTCCAAGTTTGTGACAGTAGGGAAGGCTGCCACGTTGTGGTAAAACAGGATCCTCTTCCCTCAATAATATCAGTAAAATGTGTGTGTAATAGTATCCCACTAAGACAGATGTTATGCTCTTGACTTCCCTTCTTAACACCAAGATCTTACAAAATATACCAGGTTTTGTTTGTTTTACTCTTAGCTGTGTTCATTTATACCTCAGCAAAAATAAAACAAGTGTTTTCAGTATTATGTTTCTTGATAAAATCATTTACTTTCACAAAAAGATATTCTCTCTATATGACCTTTAAAGTACTTCTCTTTGAAGTGTTTGCAATAACTGTTCTCAAAATTACTATTCTCTGAAAATATTTATTTTTGTTCACATTCAAGATACACATACACACACAAATAAATCCATAGTGTATTTAAATGTAAAATACAAAGAATAGCTGAATTTCTTACACAATTGAGCAACAATTAATTTTTGAGCAAATATTATGTATTTGGCTCTGTGAGGAAAGAAAATAAATTCAGATGGTGGTTTATGCCCACTTCAGGCTTAGTATCTAATTAGAGAGATGTGTTTAATATGTCTTAAGCACTAACAAAGTAAATATGTGTGCCATCTTTCATACTGACCAAGAAATCGATGCATCAAGTTTCTTCCTGGAGGAACTTCACATAAAATGATATCCATAGCTTCTCTCTGACTCCAGAGGAAAAGGAGAAGGCTTGTCTGATTGGGGAATTTAGGAGAAGGAGTTCAGCCTCTTTCTCCTTGTCTTATCCTATCCATTCTGCCTGCTGGCCGACAGCATGCCTAATGATCAGGTCTCTGTCAGACTGTATGTTGTAGTTGTCCAAATTTGTGCTAAAATAATAAGCTAACAAACTCAAAACAAGCTGCAATATCAGTGCATCTTAAACTCTAGGTCAAAACTTCCAACTCAACATTTTCTTGTAATAAAGATGATATTTCAAGTCTTATTCGTCTCATTTGGTTCTAAATTTGTGTGGGAGGAAGAAACATTAACTTTTGTCACTCCAAAACACCACTTTTGACTATTAATGCAAAGAGAAGCAACAGAAACTGCAGAGCCCTAGGAAATGCCAAGAGAAGGTAGAGCCTGGAATGATTTCTACTGGGCCTGACACGGTTTCTACTGGGCCTGGAATGGTTTCTACTGGGCCTGACACGGTTTCTACTGGGCCTGGAATGATTTCTACTGGTCCTGACATGATTTCTACTGGGCCTGACACAGTTTCTACTGGGCCTGAAATGGTTTCTACTGGGCCTGACATGGTTTCTACTGGGCCTGGAATGGTTTCTACTGGGCCTGACATGGTTTCTACTGGGCCTGGAATGGTTTCTACTGGGCCTGACACGGTTTCTACCGGGCCTGAAATGGTTTCTACCGGGCCTGACACGGTTTCTACTGGGCCTGACACGGTTTCTACCGGGCCTGACACGGTTTCTACCGGGCCTGACATGGTTTCTACTGGGCCTGGAATGGTTTCTACTGGGCCTGACAGGGTTTCTACCGGGCCTGACACGGTTTCTACCGGGCCTGACACAGTTTCTACTGGTCCTGACATGGTTTCTACTGGGCCTGACATGGTTTCTACTGGGCTTGAAGGTTGAGCAAAACTCAGTTAAGTGTAAGAGAAAAGGAATTCAAGGCATGTGGATGACACGAAGAGGAAAAATAATCACAGAGGTAGAAATGAAAGTGCTTTATAGGTCGGCCAGGGAAGAAACTGACCCGGCTTTGCTGGATAATTCTCAGGCATTTGTATTGACCATATAAAAACGAAAGCCTTGAAAAAGTAGACCAAAGAATAAAACTTGATTCAACAGGTAACAAGTAAATATTTCATATACTGGAAAGGGGGAATGAAATGATGAAATAGTTTTTTTAAAGATAATTCTGTTCATGATATGAAGGAATTGGATGGGGGAGGGAGGGGAAATGGGCAGGCAGACCAAGAGTAAAAGTATCTGGCAGAAACCGTATGAAGTCTTAGACTTAAACAATCAGAGTGGAATGGAAAGAAAGAAGGACCTTCTTACACAAACTGCCTATGTTTCATGGGAAAATTTGCTCTGTGCACATACCACTTTTAGAAGAGCAGAGAAAATTAGGCCTATGGACTACGGACTTAATCTTTTTTTTTTTAAGACAGAGTCTCACAGTGTTGCCCAGGCTTGAGTGCAATGGCACCATCTGGGCTCACTGCAACCTCTGCCTCCCAGGTTCACACGATCCTCCTGCCTCAGTCTCAAGAGTAGCTGGAATTACAGGCACACACCACCACAGCCGGCTAATTTTTTGTATTTTTAGTAGAGGCGGGGTTTCACTATACTGGCCAGACTGGTCTTAAACTCCTGACCTCAAGATCCACTCACCTCGGCCTCCCAAATTGCTGGGATCACAGGCGTGAGCCACCGCTCCCAGGCGGACTTTGTATTTGAATAGTGTTAGAAATCATTCGGAAAGAGGATTGGATTACAAATGTACTGATCTGCAGCTTTGATTACCAAGGATTAATTTAGAGAAATTGAAATTTAAAAACTTAAATAGGTCTATGGGATAGTTTTGATCTGTCTCTACATATAAGGAAACTAGGTATTAAACAGAATTTGTTCAGGTTGTATAAGTTGTGTACAGCTGTGATGATACCAGGCATATGACTTTCTATGTCTAGTTCTCAGTCCACTAAGCCTTGCTGCTATGGGCTTACTAATGCCAATCACATGTTATGGGGTGAATACCCAAAATAATATACAAAATAATTGTGATAAATACCAGGATAGGTTGCCCCTTAGTAATAAGTAAACATATATGATACAGGAAGAGTTCAGGTTATTCAACGGTAATGCCATTGAGATGTAAAAGATTGATTTCATGTCCCACATAATAATCCTGGATGCCTTGGCTATTTTATATTTGTTCTCTCATTTGAAAAGGCTACATATTTAATCCAGAAAGGAATTTGATCAAGTTGCTTTGGTAGTGATCTGAGGTTTTAGCAGTCTCACCAAATGATACACAGGCTCTGTTATAGCTAATGCATCAGTGGAAATACCCCATATGTAGCTGGGACTAAAGCAGTGTAAACATGTTTGTGTAATGTTTCTAGACCCTCACACAGCAGTACAACTCGATTGCAAACATCATCCAGAAATCTGCAGCTCCTTTTAGTCGCTCTACAAAGAGCTGCTGTGTCTTCGGTTTTAGTGAACAAACAATTTGCTATGTGAACAGCTGAAGCAAGCTGTGTCAACAAGACAGAATTTGAATTATGACATGCTGCTGTGTCTATGAAAGCAGAAGAAGGGAGTACGTGATTACGGCCTAGAGCATGTGGTTAGGAAGGGAGTAATGGTAGCTCTCCAGCATCAGTTGCTGATGGAAAACATCTGCTTCTTCCCTGTCCCCTTGAAAGATTCTCTTGGAAAATAGGCCCCTGATGCTATCACTCAGAACCAGGTCAGTTCCCTCATTAGACTTCTGGGGCAATATTTGAATCTGTTGAGAAATCATTAAAAAATAATATGAATAACGTGTGATGGAATAAAAGGGAACGTGATAAGAAAATGTGAAAGCTTACTGCATTCTCAGCCTTAAAATATCATCTGTGCTTTAGCTCCTAATTTTCACACTTCACAGCTGCTAATGGATCTCAGCGGAACTAAAATAAGACTGTTGAAAGCAAGATAGGTCTTTTTGTCATCTCTGTCATGTTTCTTTTCTTGTTCTCACATAGAAAGTTCTTATTTGACTCCAAGTCCCTTGATATCAGCTTGGTTGCTTTTCTTTTCATTTTCTAACGTGAGGCTCTGTCTTCTTTTTGGAGGAAAAACAGTGTCTTCTGCAGCCACCAAAATGATGGAGATAGTAAAGGATGATGGTTATCGATTGCTTTCCATGTCTGGATTGATTGCTGCGAAAGTCATTGGAAACAAAGCAAAGTAGGGAATTTGGTGAGGTGACCTGATACCAAGAGCTTGAGGCAAATGTTTCAGGTGTTGGAAGACTCCATAGTCCCTCAGATTTGATATGTTTCCAGACAAAACAAACAGCATTCACACAGGCCTCTCAAGATGCTTAACTAGTGCAAGGAACAGAAAATTCTAGCTGATTCACTAATAACACAAGAGATATGAAATTAAAAGGAAAGTGAAGCAGAGTTCATTCTCTTTAAAGGCACTGATGGCTTTGCATAGCATCAACCTTTCTGAAAGAAAGACAGACTCCTGGGGTTTCTCAGACAAATATAGTCTCCAAAAAAGTTTTAAATTCCTTTGTTCATCCTTTGCATTTCCTGTTAGGAGTCTAGAGTTAAATGTCATTTAGATATAGTGACATAATCTCCTTTGAAGATTTTAGACCTTATAACTCCATGGCCACACTATCCTATTGTACAGTTTATCTTTCATATTTTTTTCTGAGGATGTTTCTAACTGCTAGAGTTGAATACTATTTCCCTGACCAGTTTCGTTGTTGTTGTTTTTGCCTGTATTGCTTTTCTTGTTGTTCTGTTAAGTTTCTCATTTGTTTCTTTATGTTAAGGATGAGGAAATAGTTTATTTGCACAAAATACAATAAGAAGTTTTTAATGATTTTCTTTAGCCTATTTCTATTTCCTATTTTTTCACATTTTCTACTAGGTAAACATTATAATGTCTCCTTTCAAAAGACCTTGTTAGTAAAAGGCCAACAACATTCATCTCATCCAAACAATGCTAGCAGGCATTCAAAATATTCTAGTTTTATTATTTCACTGTTTGTCATTATGACAGAAAATTTTTCTAGCAGGCCTTGACAGTGACTTATTATCAATAATTTGAACTTATGGCTTCTGCACCAAATAATACAAACTGTAACTTTGATTATGTGGAGCTTCTCATGTTGCAATGGCACTTTTGAGTAGAACAGGCCAGCAAAGATACTCACTGCCAACAAAAAATATCAGAAGAAAGAAGATTATTTTCAGAATGTAGACGCAAAGTTAGGCAGAAGGTTTATATATAAATACTTCACATCATACTCAACCAACTCAAAGTCTCTTCATTTAAAACAATCACTTCACAAGTATTTGGAATCTTTTAGGTATAATGGAAGGATTATGGGCTTTGTAAGTGAACATAGTTGATTTTGATTAGCTGTATGACTTTTGAGATTTACTTTCTCTGAACCTCAGCTCTCTTTTATTAAATGGATTTAATAACAACAACTGCAGAGTGTGGTGGTGAGGATTAAATGAATTTAGCATAGCATCTGGCAACCGGCAAACACATTGAATATCTATTTCAGGCACTGTAAATGTGCAATTAAAATATAAGTCTACTTCCCTTCTGTCAATAAATATTTTCATTTAATAAAGCATCTGACAGCAGGAATTTTATAATTTAGTTGAAAAAAGTGAATAAAACAACATTTGTGTCCAAATACCCAGTGACGGCACAGAGTAAAATTTACCAGAGAAAGAAAAGATGAGAATAATTGGAGAATCTTTATTTGGTGAATTGGGTCTTGAGTTTGGCCATGAATAATACATAGGATTAATAATGATGAAGACAAGAGGGAAGAAACGTCAAAGTGAAGTAAACCTCATTCAAGAAGGTGTGCTGACAGAAATTGTCACACTGCCTTGGGGCAGTGAAATCTATGTGATGAAAGGACCACATGTGCTGGAGTAAAAATAAGATTGATATATAAATTTAGTCCAATTTATGGAGAATTTTGAAAACTATGAAGAATAATTTAGAATTGATGTGGTATATGGTTGGGAGTGAATTTGATTCACTGGGCAGAAAGTAACCTGGTTGTAGTTTAATTCATATACAGTTGGCAAAGAAGAGTTAGAGAGCAAACAGCAAGTGAGGCAGCATTTGCTTAGAGTAGGCAGCTCTAAATTTTAGCTTCAGTTGATGGGGAATATTTGGTAGTGAGAGATGGGAAACCACAGTGATAAAATTCCTTGGACTTGTGTAATAGCAATTATAAACAGAAATAGCTATGGTATTTATGGGTTCTATGAGTCGATGAGGAACAGGCTTTGTTAATATACACTGAGTTTCTAATAAATTCCAGACAAAGAGTTCCAAATGAATTAGTACTAATATTTCTCTCAGAATAAAACAAAATGAAACGACATTAAAAATAAGACAATGGAAGATGCATATATAGCAGTACTGGGACCCAGATTTAGTAAGAAATAACCTTACCATTACCAACGCACAACAAACATATTGGAAATAATCGGATTACTTGGGTGTTATGGCCAAACATATTGCATAATTTTCTCAATTTCTATTGTCTCACAGATATATATATATATATACACATGCATATAAATATATACACACACATACATGTATGCCATTTTTGTGGGTATATATAGAAAAATATTATGTTAACCACCAGCAAATAAAATATACTTTATTCTACATCTTGAATTAATTTCTTCCTGAATTCTATGTAAGTTCTCATTACAAAAAGAATTTCATTTTTAGTAAAACGTATGTAAACTCGGTGAGCACAACTGCTATGGCTAGCCATTAACCCTCTTAAAAAGAGAAGCCAGATGAAAGAGAAGTAAGCAGAGAAAGTGGAGAAGGCAAATATATTAGTTAAAAGAAAAGTAAGGACAAAATACCACATAAAATGGAATCCAAGTAATGCAGTGGCATAGAAGCCATGTCAAAGATAACATTTTGAAGTAGGGAGTAAGAGTATCCCATACCTTGACAATTCAAAATGGAAGCAAATTGAGAAAAAAAGCAGCATTGATTTTGGTGGCAGGTTCCAGGTGGCCTTCCTGACAGCAGTTACCACAAATGGTGAAACTTAAGTGGTAAAGAAACCAGGAACTGTGAATGTAAACTTGGAGAAATAGAAGTGCTAAGTGCAGACTTGTCTCATAACTCATTAGAAAGAATAGTTTTTTTTGGGGGGGTACCATGGAATATATTGTTTTCAGGAGAAAGGGGTATTTATTTCTGAAGTAGGAGATCTGGGTAATCTTATGGGAAGAGGGAAAGGAGCTAATTCAAAAGATACTGAAAATGCATAGGGATGTGGGTCGGAGGAGTTACTGATAAAACCTAATCTTTTGTAGATGCCAAGATAAAAAGGAATCAAACATTAAAATATTATGCTAGAATACAAGAGAGCCATTGTTTTTCTCAGAAATGAAAGGGGATTAGAACAAAAGTTTGAATAATTTTTTTAAAAAGTCAGAATGGCTACCATGGAGAACAGAGTAAGAATGGAACAAGAGATGAATATAAGGACGATTGAGTTATAGGTAGGGGTCTCTGAGCTTAGTTATAGTAATTATTATATGTAATCAATTATATGTATGAACTTTATGTATCAACTTTCAACAAGGTGGAACAGAACAGAGGAAACCACAGGTATACACATGATTAAGCATTCAGGAATGCAGTGTAGGCCAAGGAGATGAGTGATACTAGGGTGCTTTAAAGGGGACCTTGGGATGACAGATCACAGTGTTCAGCCAAACCAGAGAGGTGAGTGGACTCATTTTGGTTTAACAAACATTTATGTAAGGTCTCCAGTTTCAAGACCTGGTGCTAGGTCCCAACTAAGTGAAGAAAGAAAAAGACCAGGAAAATGAACAGGTGCTGAAGGATCAGAGGTCACAATGAGAGTAAAGAGTCAAAAAAACACAGAGCAGATATGAAAGTGGAAAGTGAAGCGAATTAGAAACTGTAAGTCACAGAAAAATAATTCAAGTTCCAACTCTAGGCAAGGTCTGAGGGCTTTGTCAATTGGCAACTCTTGAAGTCATGGCAGTTAAGAAGGTTAAGAAACTCTGGTGCTAGGATGCCATATAGATATTCAAAGTAATCCATTAAACACTAAGTAGAAAGGTGTAAAATAGTCTGAGAAAGAAAACTTATCGATAAAATCAATAATTTACTTTTGTAAAACAGTCAAGAGTAGTAGGCACAGGAATTGCAGATAAGAAATATGGAGGACATCATGGACTTCAGGAAAGGAAGTTTTGAATAACAGCAATGATTTCAAAAAGTATTCGAAACCAGCAAGAAAAAATAAGATCTATACTGACCACTCCCCCTAGTTTACTCACTCTGAAGGGTCATAGAGTAGATTTGTGTTCAGCTTTGTATGAAATTGCCAGATAGTCTTCAAAAGTAGTTGTACTATTTTATAATATCACAAACATTAGTGAGAGTTGTAGTTGCTCATCAGCTTTATCAAAATTTGGAGTTTTTATTATTTTGAATTTTAATCATTCTAGTGGTTATGTAATGATATCCCATGGTGGCTTTAATTTGCATTTGCCTGATGATTATTGATTTTTAGCACTTTTTCATGTGCTAATTGGCCATTTACGTACCTTTGCTTTACGAAATATTTGTTTAAATAGTTTGCCTACTTATAATGAGTTGTTTGATGTCTCATTATTAAATTGTAAGATTTCATTATATCTCATTTATTATCGTATCTCTCTTCTTTCATTTAGGCATTCTTTAATTTTTGTCAGCAATATTTTGTAGTGTTCAGTGTAAAGCTATTGCACTTGTTTTTTAGGCACCTTATTTTTTATTACAGATTTAGAGGGTATCTGCGCAGGTTCTGCAGGTTTGTTACATGGGTCTGTTGTGTAATGCTGGGGTTTGGGCTTCTAGGGAACCCATCACTCAAATCGTGAAGAGTGAACAGAGTACCCAATAGTTTTCCGATCCTCACCCACCTCTCTCCCTCCCTGCTTTTGGAGTCTCCAGTGTTTATTATTTCCATTTTTATGTCCCTGTGTACCCACTGTTTGTCTCCCCCTTAAATGAGAACATGCAGTATTTGATATTCTCTTTCTGGGTTATTTCACTTGGGATAATGGCTTCCAGCTCCATCCCTGTTGCTGCAAAAGACATTATTTTCTTCTTTTTATGGCTAGGTAGTATTCCATGGTGCATATGTACCACATTTTCTTCATCTATTCTACCACTGATGGGCACCTAGGTTGATTCAATGTCTTTGCTATTGTGAATAGTTCTGTAATAAACATGCAAGTGCAGGTGTCTTTTTGATACAGCTTTTCCTTTGGGTAGATACCCAGTTGTTAAAATTATCCTTAAAATTTAGGTTTGTTTTGATGCTACCATAAATGCATTTTTAAATCCTTCAGCTTTATTTCTTATTTGCTATTATTTATAAATACAATTAATTTTACACCAACCTTGTATCTTGTGACTTTGCTAAATTCACTTGTTAGTTCTATTACTTGTTTTCCAGATACTTTAATATATTTTACATTAAAAAACAATGTCATCTGTGAATAAAGAGTGCTTTACTACCCCCTTTTTATGTCTATTTGCCTCGTATTTCTTTGCCTTGCTTTATTGCATCAGGAAGGACATGCAACACAGTGTTGAATAAAAGTGATGCAGGCAAATATGCTTTCCTCATTACTAATCTTATGGGAAAAGTGGTTAGTCTCTGACCTTTGAATATCATATTAGTCATAGTTATTCTACATATTATCTTCATAAATTGAAGGTCTTCTCTCCTATTCTTATTTACCAAGAGCTATTAGATAAATAATTATTGAATAGTTTCAGAGACTTTTTTCTCCCATCTATTGACTTGATAATATGATTTTCCTCTTCTTTCATAAATATGGAAAGCTATACTCACTTTTTTTTTAAATGTTAAACCAACTTTGCATTCCTTGTATAATTTCCAAGTTGGTCATTATGTGGATCTAACAGGTATTAATGAATTTGATTTGCTAATATTTTGTAGAGAACTTTTGCATGTATGTTCACAAAGGATATTGGTTTGTAGTTTTCTTTCCTTATCTCATTTTGTTATCAGGGAAAGTATCGTTTTATTAGACAAATTGCAAGGTTTTCCTATCTAAATTTCTTTAAAAGTTTGCAAAAGATTTGCATTATATTTCCTTTAAATGTTTGATAGAATTTACCAGTAAACCCATCCTGGATTGCAGATTTCTTTGTGAGAAAGTATTGAAAATTTCATGTGTGTGTGTGTGTGTGTGTGTGTGTGTGTGTGTGTGTGTTTGAATTTTTTCAGAATTTTGTTTTTGTGTATGCATTTAATTTAGTTAACTTTCTTTGCAGTATTTTCTAGTGGTTATTCTAAGGAATTGCAATGGGTATCTTTAACATTTCACCATTTACTCAGTGTTAAAACTGTACTACTTCATGTAAAATTTAAGAAATCCCTGCCATATAGGCCCTCACACCTTTCATCCTCTCTGCTTCAGTATTCTGCCATGTTACAGTTATATAAACCACATAATACATATTTATACTTTTAAATAAAATTACATATATTTTAAAGAAATTAAGAGGGTAAAGCCTTGTATTACATTTACCTTCATATTTACTATTTCCAGTGCTTTTTGTTCTCTTCTGGACATCTGGGCTTCATTTTGTTATCATTTCCCTGTCTTTTAAGGATTTTTTTACAGCCTTCCTTATAGTGCTTTTCTTCTGATGATGAATTAGATTATGTTTATCTGTAAAAGTCTGTATCTCCTTTTTTTTCTTGAAAGTTATTTGCAACAGGTATAGACTTCTGGGTTGACAGATTTTCCTCTCAGCACCTGAAGTGTCTTTCCACAGTCTTATGCACTCCATTACTTCTTATGAGAAGTCTGCAGTAATTTATATTTTGGAGCTCTTCTTTTTAATGTGTCATTTTTTTCCTCTGGCCAATTTCAAATCATTTTCTTTAGGTTTTTGTTCAGCAATTTTACTTTCACTAACTTTGGAGAAACTTTTGCATTATTTCTAAATTTCCCCTGTTTATTTATCTTCTCTCCTTTTGAAACTCCAATTAAATATCTGGTAGACCTACTCTATTCCTCCAAGAATAGATCCCCATTTAATTTCTGCCTTTGCTTGATTTCCAGTGCTTTCAAGTAGTGTTTTTATTTTTTTCCCAGGGCTTATAAGCTTTATTATATTTTAAAGTTTAAGTTAGTGGTAGCATGCATGCATTCTCTGTGGAATATTTTTCTTTTTAAATACTTAGTATATGCTATGAAGTCAAATCCCTACCCTCTAAAAAGATTAGGTGAGTTTATTTAATAATTTTACTAATTACTTTAGCACTATGGTTTCAGAAATTTCAGGGAGACTTCTCTAAGATTACATATATGCAAGATAAGAATAATAATATTACCCATCTCAAAGTATTGTTATTAGAATAAAAGAGGTTATACGTAAAACTTATATAACTGTGTCTTGCATGTGTAAGTTACTATAAACCATACATTAGGATTATACAATATTTACATCATCGTTAATATTCTCAAAAGGCAATGCTAATCTACTACTTAACAAAACATACTTTTTTACAATTATAGTTATACTTTAAAAAGGCCTTTTCCCTAGCAATACTTGAAACTTTTATTGTTTTTATCTCAGTGTGAATGAATTAATCACATTCCTTTCTAGAAGCAAGTTCTGCAGGGGTAGACCACACCAAGAGGACTAGGTAAGTTCTCAGTGTGTGTCAGAGAGACAGGGGTAAAAGCCAGGGAGCAACAGCTGGTTTATTTTTCTTTACTACACAGTTTCGTGTTGCCATATGACTCTGTAAGACACTATTCTTCATATAACAACCTTTCTCCCCTATTCAGATACACACACACACACACACACACACACACACAATCAACAACTGCTATTCAGAACACAGGAAGTGGCTAGAGTTTTATGTACTAGTGGGAAACTTTTATCAGAATGATGAGTTGGAGGAAGGTCATCAAATTTCATGACAAATTGCAAGCCAAGGACAAAGGAAAAAGAATGTGCTTTATACTAAATTTTATCTTATTCAAGTAATCTGGCAGAAAAAGCCACAGTAGACAGAGCCATTAATTTCTTGGTTTAATACTTTGAGGTGAATTGCTTCAAGGAATGTTCTGCTTAGAATCAAAGCTATTGTAGACCTTTTTAGGCAGCATAATTAAAGGCAGAGTGATTACCTCAGTGGTAATGACTGAATTTTGGATGTAACAGTGAACAAGTGATGTTGGGAATTGCTATCATCATATTTAAAAAGATAACTCTTTAGGCTAATGAGTTTATTAATGGTAAAAGGAACCAATGATCTGAAACTGGGTGGGGAGATTTAAAGGAATTAGTATTAAATGATCTAGCAGAGAAATAAAATTAATTTCAGACCCAAACAGCCTTGGGTTGTAGTAACCATGTTGTGAGACATTATAGACTAGAATAAATGTGACAGTTCTGCTCATTAAATAAGCAAACAGTAAACAAAAGTAGAAATTTCTTAGAATTATTCTTAATATTAGAGTCAAACGCATTTATTTACATAGATGGTCATAAAATATACAAAAGCTTCTCAACAACTGGATGTCTTTTGCATGTTTTTACAATACACAGGACATGTATTACATTATAATGTGTGTGTGATTTGTAATTCCAGTAAAAGTTATGATTTTATTTTAGAAACTCTTCTTCAAAATGCATAGATAAATTTTGGGAGGTGTTACTAAATGGAAAATGTAGACAAAATTTCTTTTACTAATTGTATGAAGGCATAAATACTAAGTGAAGAGCATGAAAATATTAGTCAGCACGTGTAGGATTCCAGTAAATAGGTGAAAATATGATTGAACAATGTATTTGCAGTTACAGCTTCTAGCCATTAGCTTCATAAATTCATGCTGAAATTGCTCTCACCTTTATTTAGGATATTTCATATAATGCTGGAAATTGACCAAGAATACAGTTTTAAAAAGTAATAAATGTCTGCTTAAAATAATCCCTCTGTCAACAAGTGATAAAAGGGGCTTGTTCATAAAAATAATAATATTAAAATATAGTAAATATTAAATGGTGATGAGTTAAACTACTACTGATAAGAAAATACCATTCAAAATATGAATGTTTCTGTGGTTCAGAACAGATGTTCTACAAAGCTAAAATTCACTAAATAGTAAATGTTTTTTAAGTTGATATAACCAAGTAATAATAATGGACATCTCTCTGATTTTGAACTTTGACAACATGCAGTCCTCAACAGCCTAGGCTCACAGAAAAAGAAAATTAAATAAAAATCAACTGATAAAATCATTTTAAGTTAAAATGTAATTTACACATGCCAGTGCAATAGGCTAAAAGTTTATGTCCCCCCAAAATTCATATGTTAAAATCCTAACCCCTGATGTGACGGTATTAGGAGGTGGAGCCTTTGAGGGGTGATTAAGTCATGAGAGTGGTGCCCTCATGACTAGATTAGTGTCCTTGTAAAATCAGCCTCAAATAGCTTCTCCTTTTCCCACCAGGAATACTAAAGGGATTAGCATTAAATAATCTAGCAGATAAATAAAATTTATTTTACTAACTGAGGACACACTGAGAAGGCTGCATTTTTAAACAAAAAAGTGAGGCCTCACCAGACACCAGATCTGCTACCACCTTGATCTTGGGCTTCTCAGCCTCAAGAACTATGAGAAATAGACGTCTACTGTTTATAAACTACCCAGTTTATGGCCTTTTGTTACAGCGCTCCAAATGAACTAAGCCGAGGAAAGCACGCTGAATAATTCAGAGAATGAGGCAACTACAAGCATCTTTTTGTTGTTATGAACCTTATCAATTAAGACTAAGTTAAAAATTGTGACTTTTCTCCTACATAATAGTCTCCATATTTGTTCCTTCCCCTTAAATACTAACCATCCCAAAATCCTAAACATATTTTCCTTAGGAGTCTGATATGGTTTGGCTGTGTCCACACCCAAATCTCATCTTGCATCATAGCTCCCACAGTTTTCACATGTCATGGGAGGGACCCAGTGGGAGGTCATTGAATCATGGGGGCAGGTTTTTCCTCTACTGTTCTCGTGATAATAAATAAGTCTCATGAGGTCTAATGGTTTTATAAAGGGGAGTTTTCCCACACAAGCTCTTCTTCTCTTACCTGTCATCATCCATGTACGACGTGACTTTCCTCCTCCTTGCCTTCCACTATGATTGTGACTCCTCTCCAGCCACGTGGAACTGAGTCCATTAAAACTCTTTCCTTTATAAATTACCCGATCTCAGATATGTCTTTATTAGCACCGTGAGAACAGACTAACACAGAGTCCAGAGTGTTGATGCCAACACACATACTGAAGGCATTAATATAAGGGGTGGGCAGACTCCTGTCTTCAAATACCAGGACAAGGAAAACCTTTAACACCTTCAGAAAAATCAGTGAATGTCACTAAAAAGCAAAAGCTGCTTAATGACCAGAAGGAAGAAGCAGGCATCATTTCAGAACAAGAGCCCTTATTTTAAGCAATAGAGATGCTTGTTTCTTTAAATAAACTTTTCAAAAATAATGATCAAACGTACACTAATAACAACCACATGATAAAGAATTTTTTCCAGGTAGAATTCAGATCTTCTTCTATTAGTAATTTAAGAGTATGTTGGTAGAATTTAGCAAACTTTAAGTTCACAATCTTAAAAAGATGCATGAATTATATTTATCTCTCTGTCTTTTCGTAGAAAACAGCATATTTCACTTATAATTTATCAATTTGTTCTTTTTCTCTTAGGCTATATGAATGAGATACTGAAAAATCCCACAAACATGAGAATATTGATGTTAGATAATTCAGGATCAAATTATCTGATGGTTTTCAGGCTTTTTGCCTCATTAGGAGGGTTTGATAGTGACACGTTCTCAATAAAGAACTTTAATTTTGCTGGCATAGACATAGCTTTTGTCATTATATCTTAGGATCTTTTACAACTCTTAAGAAGTTGTATCAAAAATTATTATTATTATTTGTATCATAATAGAGAACAGAAACATTATTACAGAAATACAAAACCAGGTGGCAGATATTTAACAATCATTTATAGAATTAGAGATTTTATCCTGTCTGACCCTAAGTTCATATCTTCTGCTCTCTACATCTAGCTCAGGGTGCCAACACCAAACCAAACACAGGAATGAACAAAGAAACCCGGGAGGGTTTATGCTCTCATTTTCCCAAATATCTGATCATAGTGTAGGTTAACTGGTAGATGATAACACAAAGGTGCTTATACAGGTTAATTGGTGATTAAATAAAACTATTAGAGGGTTTCTTAGTGAATTCCTGTCATTTTCAAAGTATTTTAAACTGGATGGAATCTCGCCAAGGCTTCAAGCTTATGAAACAACGATTCATGGTTATTAAGAGCAAATGCCCTAGAGAGATTAATCTGTGCTATCCCAACAGGCTGACCTTTTCCAAAGACATAGCAATTTAATTATCTACTTTGAAAAGCACAATTATAGTAAAATTCAAAACCTGATTTATAATCTCATCTATAATGCATGTAAATAAGAGACTTTGAGTTCCTTTTTCTAGCACTGCTATACATGTATTTGTAACTAATAAGTACTAAATAGTTCTTGCTTTTTAAAACTATGGCGTTTTTATTAAATATCAATATTTAATAAAAATATTTCAAATTATGAGTGCTTTTCAGTATGTCTTTATTCTAAATTTTGTATATTACTTGCACGCTGATAAATAAGAGGGTGCTTCTAAAATTTGTGAACGTGGATAACTTGACCTGGATAGGATTTCTGCTCAAGCACAAACTGATTAAATGACGTCACCCTTCATTTTCTACTTAATGATTCTGTATTTTATTTCATAGAAGCATAAATTAGAAACCACAGTAAGGTCTTGAAATTTGTGTCTCAGTATAATATGGACTTGTAAAAAACATAAATTGTGCTCTTATTCAGCTAATCAATTTTAAATATTTATTGAAGACCTATCTACTTACCACCATAACATCCCCTCCAATCAGAGGAGGGGACACACTTGAAAGCACACACACACACACACACACACACACACACACATCCCAAAGAACAACTCCTGTGGTACCAGTCTTCACTAAATACCTTAAATACTTCTACAGTGTAGTGTGTTTGAATATTGGAGGAAAAAAATTAAATGTGGTAAAAATAAGCAAAAGGATACAAATCTAAAATTAATTTAATTTTACCTATTTTCAAGTGCTTTATGAAACATTTTAGATACATGTTAAATACTCAAAAAAGGTAGTAATGATAAGTATATATAGTATTTTATATTTCAAAGTATAGGGTAAAATAACGATTCTGAGTTGTTTGGAGAAGGCAGATACAGAATGCTCTGCTCTTACTAATTTCCCAAAAAAAGTTTGTGGTTTTTTTTTGAAAATGCAGCATCATAAAGTACTTAATAGCATACATTTATTTTAAAATGAGATAAAGCATCAAAACAGGATATTTAACATATATCTAGGAGGTCTTCTAGAGGATGGAAGGGCTATGGCGGGGACTGAGAAAATGGAAATGAGAAAATGATTTTACAAATATGAAGAGGATTTTCCAGAGCTGAAAAAGGGATGTTTTAGACTAAAACATCCTACCAAGGGCCAAGCAGAATAAAGTTTTAAATGCCTTACACCATACACATCACTGAAAAATTTCAGAATACTAACACTAAATGAAGGTATAAAAAGCTTTCAGAGAACAAGAACAGGTTACCTCCAAAAGAAGGAAACAATATAATAGACAAGTGATTAGAAACAGTGGATTTGAAAGTCAGTAGAACAGTGCTATCAAAGATTTGATAGAAATGATTTCAAACCCAGAATTCTGCATGTAAGCAAGCACCTCATAATTTATGAAGGGAAAGTAAACATAATTTTAGAAATACAAGAAGTCAAAAAGTTTATATTCTTTGAATTATTTCTTTAAATAATTACTAAAGAATATTGCCTAGAAAAATGCAAAAGGAATACCAAAAGAAAAAAGCATAATATATAAGGAATGGCAGCTTGAAAAGGAAACCTGGAATAGTAGATGTTCTGCAGATAGAAAAGTTAAAAAGCAATTGGTCTAATTATAGTGAAATCCTGAAAATTATAACTGAATGGCTCAGAGAAGTGTGTCTTCAAGAAGGAAGTAAATTCCATTAAACAAACTTTAATGGTTAAGATGATGGAATATCTTAGCAACAAAGAAAAAATCTTTCATAAACTCTGGAAAAAACAACTGCACAAGAAATTGTAGGTCCAAATATGAAGCAAATTAAGTAGGTATTAAAATATGATATAACCTGTATTTCCGGGCTATGCTTTATTCTTATTCTTTTTAAATAAACAATTTGATAGAAGTTTCAAGACATCAAAAAACAGAGACCAGTCAAGTCTAACTTTTTTTTTCTAATAAAACAATGCCATATGAGTCAGGCAAGGCTATCGTATGCCACCTAATAAACCCTGGTTTCTCATGACTTTTAACATAATGCAAGTTTATTTTATTTCTTCGTTTCATCACAGATGAATAAACCCTGGTGTCTCATGACTTTTAACACAATGCAAGTTTATTTCTTGGTTTCATCACAGATGAATGTTGATCTAGTTGCTCTTCTGTGTACTTTCCTGTAAATTGTTACCCAGAAGACTATGCTCCTTCCGTTGTGTGGGTCTGCAATTCAATGTTCTTGATTTCTAGATGCACTGACAAGAGAAATAGTGCAAGATATTTGAGAGGTCTGTCCTAGAAGTGATATCTATCTCTTTCACCCACATTCCACTCAGTTCCATGGCCAACCCAACTTCAGGAGCATATGGATGTGGGTGAACATGACAGTTTCAACTATAATTGCCAAGCAACACTATGGTATTATCTGTATTGGTTGACACCTTTTAGTCTAAGGAGAGAAATCGCCAAGTGGCACAGTTCACTTGGTCTTAAAGAGACATGAGTTGGTCTTCACCTTGACACAGAGCCTTGCAAGATTAGCCAGTCAGCTCTGTGAAAGCAGTGCAATTATTTCA
Source organism: Homo sapiens (assembly GCF_000001405.40). Lineage (NCBI taxonomy): Eukaryota > Metazoa > Chordata > Mammalia > Primates > Hominidae > Homo > Homo sapiens. The sequence continues at coordinate 77,946,026 of NC_000003.12, forward strand.
ACCTCATCTATTATCCCCTGGAGCATTAATTATGAGCCATGATGGCCCCTAATCACAGCTCTATGACCTCATTTGAGATAGTGTCGCTGGGCAGATCCTTCTCTATTCTTAAACAGAAATCTTAAAAGGCACAAGCATAATATGTGAGAAGAATTAGATGTTTCACATGAATTCCACGTTTTAAAATCTTTCCCCCCTTAATACAAAATGCATAATATTTCTTCTGGAATGCAGAAAAAAGATCTTACTGAGACTCATATTTAAAATGATTGTTTTCAGTCCCAATCTTACTCTCTTCCATGAGAATGAAAAATATTATTAATTATAGAGAGTGCTAAAGAATTTCAATCTTCCAAATCAGGCATGATGTTGAGCAATGGAAAATATAAAATAAATCCATCTGACCTTAAAACGTGCAACAGTTTCCTTTGAATGCCCCAAAGGATAGCATTATTTTTTCTTCAGGTCCAATTACTCTAGTTAGCTGCAGAAATGGTATGTAAATGAACACCAAATTGGCATCAGGGTTTACTGAATTTCAATTTTTAGATCCTATAGGTGAAGCCCAGAATAATTAATTAAAGTGACAGAACAAAATAAAAATGCTATAAACTTAGCTGATGTAAAAGTGAAATGAGGTAAATTAGGTATTTAATTATTCAGGTTAAAACTGAAGAGTAATTTTTTTTAATTTATAGAACAAGGACTAGAGCTTAGAACCAGAGCAAAAAGTAATAAATACAAGTAATAAAATATAACACCTTACATGGAAAGTTGGTAGCAGGAGACAGGTAATCATGGTGAATTGTCTAGTTTTCTTGTTGGAGAAACAAGATAATGTACAAATGTACAAATGTAATAAAGAAAATATATAGATATAGTATGTTATTCAGATTTTGGTTGTTAGCCAAAAACCAAATAGCAATGGTTAAATCTGGCCACCTCTAGGAAATGAGAATGAGGCGATGAGGCAAATAATATTATTTTTTACTGAATAATCTCTTTATTGTTTAACTTTTTTACCATGTTAATATCTTACTTTACAATAAAAAGTAACAACTTTGTATTTATAATAATGTCATAAGGTATATACCACACTGGCCTAGGAACTCTTTCTTGGCATGGATTCAAACATGACCATGAAGTGACTGCATTCATAATTCACGTGAAATATTAAAAGGTAACTTGTTGAAGCCTCTTTGAGATAGATGAATCACTACTAGAAATATATTTCTTAACACTATTTTAACGCCTTTGATAAATGAAAGCTCACTATATTTTAAAGTTGGGATTCCACTTAGTATAACTCTAATCATTTTTATGTTCCTTATTACATATCAAAAGCTACCTTATTTCAATGTTGTCCATCTATTCTTGGGTTAATTACTAGCAAAAAAAATTTGAATTGGGAGGATTAAATATTAGAAATTAGACTTACAGAAATATTTATATTTCAAAAGTGGCAATAAAACACATTTATACAAATTATACCAGTTTGTTAACAATTCACTAAATCCCATTTAACCACTATAAATGAGCACCGAGGGATGCATCAGTTTTGTCATCTGGTGGAATCGCTCTCCCCTGCTAACAATAATAGACATTGTTATTAAAGTGTACTATGATCCGTGAAGAAGCGCCAACAGCATATTTTAATTCAATAGAAAATTACCTCCACTGCTACTTTAAGGACAAACAAAACTAAGAAGGGACTAATCTACATCTCCATGCTGTTGAAGATGTATGGTCATTTAGAGGAGATTTATGCTATTGAATATCTATTTTACAAGCTCTTCCAAGAACAGCATCAATCTTGGATTTTCTCTGTTATTATGAATTTACAATCATCTTTCCTTTGTTGTAGTTGTGGGGGTTTTGTCTCCTATTTAACTGCTCTTTAACTCAAGGACAAAAGAATATGTCAGTGATGTTTTCATTCTAATAATCCATGTTTACAGATTACATATATCCTTTATAATATGTGTTATAATACATCTGCAAGAAGAAATCTAAACATAGAATGAACTATAAACTGATAGCTCAGCAAAAGTCCTTTGTGCTCAAACATTTTACATTCCTTCCAAGGGGAAAGAGAGCAAATAGATTCAAAAGTTGGTAACATACCCTCTTGCTTCAATATTTAGGAGAGACTGTGGCCACAGTTTGTATGTGCCTACACCAGCACAGCAAAACCACTTTTCACTGCAGCTTTTGCCACCTGAGGAAGTGGTACTCACACAGGCCTGCCACCCTCTAGGTCCTGTAGTCCAGTTAGCTGAAGCCTCTTGACTCTTCCCTTTCAAAAGCAGCTGGATAGGACACATGCATGTGTGTGTTTGTTCACATTCACATGTTTATGGATGTGAAACTCTAAATATCATCAAAGCTTTCATATCTGGTGGTTAAACTTTACCTATCACCCCCCGAATTCCTTAAAATAATCAAAATGATATTTTCCTTTAGGCAAGCAAATATATTATAAGAATATTTTATCTTTTTCAAAAATAGACAAGGGGGTTCTGGATAGATTGTAGATGTAAAGAAGTAGTTTATTTTATTCTCTCCAATATCCCTATAAAAACGGATGGATGACATCTACAACAAACTCAGATCATCATTTATCTTCACAAATGAAGAAATGAAAGTAGCTAGAGCCAGGTGTTGAACCCCGGCAGGGCTACTCCAAAGCCCAAGCTCTTGCTGACCATGCTATGCTACAAAATGCGTAGGAGGCTCCCATCACAATGTTGAAAGTTTCGTGGGCTTACTTGATTACTTTTATATAAAGATGGTGGTATGATGACAGCAGAAAACTAGGATCACTTCCTTTTCAGTGTGTTGTAGGCAGGAAGAAAAATAAACTTTTACAAGGTAACTTTCTCTTAAAAATGTCATTGATGTACATGTGTTTGTTTGTTTGTGTTGTTCCCGTTACTTTCAACAGGGACCACTGGAATATGTTCTGTGATCATCTGGGATCAAGGGATTGCTCAGGCAGACGCCAGCACAAAATATCACCAGAAAGTATCCCTCATCTCTACAACTTCATGGTGACAGAAGAAGGAAATGGTTGAAAATGAATGAATCCGAGCATTTAGGGTTCCAATTCTATAATTTGCTGTACAGTGCAAAATTAGAAAATTTTTGTAAAATTTTGCAAAATTATGTAAGCATAATTACATATAAAACCCATAAAAGATGTACTCTCCATTTCTGGTATAAAGCTGTGGTGACCTGTTATCAGAGAGCTAGTGAAGGATTTTAACCAATATGAATGAAGGAATTGCTATGTAATTTTTCTTTGTTCCAGGGACTGTATATTTCTCATTGTTGCTTCAAAACTTCTATTCCTTGACTGGCAAGTCTTCATTTCAGTACCTTTATTACTTGTTCTTAGTCTACATTTCCACATTTCCAGACTTTGAATCTATTTTATTTATTTATTTATTTTTAGACCGAGGCTTGCTCTGTCACCCAGGTTGGAGTACAATGGCACGATCTTGGCTCACTGCAACCCCTGCCTCCCAGGTTTAAGCAATTCTCTCTGCCACAGCCTCCCAAGTAGCTGGGATTACAGGCACCCGCCACTATGCCCAGCGTAAAAATATAAATTTTTGTATATTTAGTAGAGATGGGGTTTCGCCATATTGGCCAGGCTGGTCTCGAACTCCTGACCTCAGGTGATCTGCCCACCTCGGCCTCTCAAAGTGCTGGGATTACAGGCGTGAGTCACCCCGCCCGGCCATCTAGACTTTAAATCTAATTCTGTCGTTATAGATGTACAAAAATAACTGCTGCTGCCTGCCTTCCTTATTACTGCAGAAATGGCATTCTCATTTTAAAATCTGAGCTCTCTTTGTTCATCTGTATTGTTGCAACAACAGCCTTCTCTTTGCTCCTGGGAGTGATGATGTTTTATTCTTGTGTCTTTGGCACAGAGAGACACACTTTTGCATCTAACCTGAACAAAGAATTTCCTTGAGATATTTCCTGTGTTTCTGAACCATTAAACATCCTCCTAGAAACACTACTTCAACAACTTTATTTTCCAGTTAATTCACTTGCGAAGTCATTAAGGTGAAATGAAAACATCAGCATGAGTTTTCATTCGTTCTTCCTTCTCACCAGACATGAAGGGCCTGGCCATACAGCTTGCTCAGGGGGTTGGCCACTATACTGGACATCAAAGCTTAGAGTTAGGGAACACAGAGCTGTTGAGGGCCAAATGCCAATGCACCATGTCAAAGAGTACCAGATTAAAAACAGGTAGATAATCACACTTCAAATCAATAGTGCAAATCAGGCAAGGAAAATAATGGTTCCTGGTTTGAAAAAAATGCAAGATAAATACCATGAGAACTTGGTGAAGAATTTCCAAAGCAGACAGTGGTGAAGAAACAGAAGAACATGAACAAAACAACACACAGCTAGGAGACTTAAGTCATTCAAAAGTGCCTGTACCTGGGAGATTTAGAAGTGTTTTTGAATGAGGACTGAAACAGACATTTTTGTTTCTTTTTTTTTTTTTTTTCCGACTCCTTAAGCAAGAAAACCATTTCAATAGTAAGAAATCAGGGTGAGACCTCTGTTATAAGAATTTAAATTATAATTTGGCAAGCCAATTGGAAAGTACATTTCAGTAATATGGATAGAGTCAATATAAAAATATAATAACTTTTCTGTTCTCTTGTATCAGCTGCTCTTGGTGAATTTAAGATATGTAAGAATTCCATAACCTTTCTGATGCTTTTTCTTCATTTCAAAAATAAATTTGCACATTGATGACTGGAGGAATTTGTGTGTCTTTCAAAATTTCACCTAGAATTTTCAAATATATCTAACATCTCATGAAAGGAAAAGTTGTGTATTATACCTATATAAACACAAAATGGAACATAATAATTACTTTTGTCTTTACACGGCAGAGTTAGTATATTTTTCAGGTATCATATTAACACCAAGAAATTTCAGCCCTTCCCCGAGCCTCCTAAACAGAATCTGTTTTTTTCTACTTGTTTATATTTTTAAGTATATCCCACTTATGAAACATTTGCATTTGACTAATAAAATTTACCCTTCTGCATTTGAGTAAAAAAGGGAGTCATTTAATTCAAAATATTTTTTAAAAATATATAAAACATGTTTCTTTTGGCCTAAAAATGTAGAAAAAATTAACATATGCCTAGTCTTCAAGCCTAGCTGTTCAAGGATAAAAATAATGATTTAATTGAAAATTCAATTCATTTAAAAATGTTATTTAATTTTATTTCTGAGGCAGAAAAAAACATTTATAGTTAGTTCTGAATTATCATTGAAAAGCTTACTCTTCTCTCTAAATTCTCATTAATTTTACCATCACTATAATGTCCTCCGATCCTGCTTCATGCAGGAACATAGAGAGCTACCAAGTCTACCAGATGGGACTCCTTCTTTAATGGTCTGTTGAAGGATGGGAATCACTCTTTTCCCTCTAGGATCTGAGCAGTCTGCTGCTCTGGGAGGCCCACATTCTGACAGCTAAGGAAGTGAGAGGCCAAGATCCAAATTACTTATGAAGTGTAAATCGCATACCTGGCACGATGGCACTACAAATGCCTGCTGAGCTATTGAGTCAGCTGTCGAAAAATAGTGATGTTGGAAAGATGAGTGCTTGACTTTTAATTGTGGCTATCTATACTGCTTTCACCAGAAATAAAGACTGCACTAAAAGCTTAGCCATTTCTCCACTCCCTACCTCCCACAAAAAGACAAGAAAGTGTAAAGGAAAAGTACAGAGCAACATAGCAGTGTAAATCCAGATTTGTAAGTTTACCAGGTAATAAAGCCACCAGAAGACAGAAGTGTAATAGGGAATGCTTTTGTACTATTGTAGACAAAACAATGCTTGAGGGACTAAAATGCTAATAAAAAACTGTGAGTTATGATTATTCCACATGATCATAGTAGCAGAGCTCTCCCAAAGAGATGCATTCATACTCCAATAGTTAGGGAGGAATATTTCTCCTTTCTTGTGAAAGAAGTACATATGACACTGCAAAATCATATTTGAGCCATAAATTCACCCTTCCTTGTCATCTTTTATAAACATTAAATAATTGTTTTGGGTTAGCACATTTAATAATTCATGCAGCCAAAACCTAAGTATGTCCTTCAAAAGACAAGTTCAAATTTGCTCAATTTCTATCTGCATAGATTTTTGTCTCTGTATCCTGTAACAACCAACTTATGTAATTGATGAAATTTCTAGATTGTCTCTGGATAATAACACAGCTACACAGCCCATGATTTTAGTTCTTATCTAGTCATGATTTGGTTATTTGAGTAAATCAAAGCAAAATTACACTTACTGTCTGAGAAGCAGTGGATATCGTGGAAAATATTCAGACTTTGAAATAAGTTAGAAATAGATTTTCAAATCTTTGCTCAATGATTACTTGATGACAGCTTTCTTTACATAAACCTTAATTTTTACATTCATAAATTTGGGATTATTTTGGCAGAGATATGTGAAAAATGAAATAGTAAATTTTAGGTTCCTAGCACATAGCAGATGCATAATATACACTACACAGTATCTTTATTATTTTGTAGTTGTGTTATGGCGGTAAAAGTCATGATAAGAGGGTTATTAATTTTTTATTGCTGCTATGACAATATCAGAAACTTAGCACATAAACCAACAGAAATTCATTCTCTTCCGGTTCTGAATATCAGAAATTCCACAGCAATCTCAGCAGGCTAAGGTCAAGGTATCATTAGCAGGGTGTATTTCTGTCTGGAGCCTCCAGCAGATAATTCATTTTCTTTGCCTTTTACAGGTTCTAGTGGCTGCCCACATTCCTAGGCTCATGGCCCCATCGTCTGTCTTCAAAGCCAGTAACGTCAACTTTGTCCTTTGCTGTTGCTGTCTCTCTGGTTCTCACCTCCACTTTTCTCTTCTCCTTCTAAGGATCTTTGTGATTATATTGGGCCCTGCAAGATCCTCTACCTATTTAAGGTGGGTTGATTAGCAACCTTAATTACATCTGCAACCTTAATTCTCCTTTGCCATATAACATAATATGTTCACAGCTTCCAAAGATTAGGCTGCAAACATCTGTGGGCCATTATTTTGCCTATTGCAGATGGCCACAGATATAAGCAATGTCTAGAATGTGCAAATACAAACAAAGCCAGATATGGGATTCTCATAGTCATACTGATTGTTTATGTTGTCTGAATTATTGTTGAGAAAAACAGTTTGGTCTAGTTATGGCCTGAAGACTTATAAAATTAAATTCCTGTTTTCTTTTTTTCATGACTGAATCATGATTCCATTTTCTAGTGATGCCTCTGTATTTGCTGCCCATCAATAATAGGCCTATTATAAACATATATACCCACCTAAACCAGCTGTCCTTTCTTACTGCAAATCAATATTAATTTCGTTTTGGGGCTTTCACCAGATCAAAAAGACGGGTAGAATATAGCTTTTTCCTTTCTCATTTTTTTGACCTTATCTTAAGGAAGCCTCAGGGAAAAAGAAATCCATTTGATTTATATATTTATGACATATGGTAAAAGATAAAGGGAAAATCAGTCACTATTCTAAGCATAATAAAAAACTAAATTTTAGTTTTCATTCCAGATACATGAGGCCATTCTCTTAATATCCAAATTTTTTTTCATTAACATTGATGTGATTCACAAAAGTAACTGATAGCGAAAAATAATATTTGTCACATATTTTCAAAAGTTAACTGCTTAAAAGATGTTATAGAGATATCCCATTTTAGCTGAGAAATTTCCCCCAGGCAACTTCTGTCTTCAGGCAAAGGACAGAAAGGAACAATTCTTAATTCTACGGCCTACTGCAAATAATACTTGGAGCCTCAGTTTCCATAGCTTTCTGGCAGCTGACCGGTCCTGATAAAGAAATGTCTTTTAGACAGCTTCACCAGATGACTAAACTGAGCAATCATAAGTCAAAAATTGATCAGACTCCAGGAACTGAATCTTGGGGTTCTGTGTAATCTGAAGAACTCTGTAGTCTATGACAACGACTGCCATTTACAGAGAAATTGAAAAAGTCTGGCAAATTTATTAATTTTCTCCCTAGCCATTAAAAAGCTGATAACCTTGGGTAAATTAGATTGGAAATTTTGTCATTCTCCTCTCTGGATTAACATGTGGCTTAGTATAAAACCCAAACAGATAGGGTTGCACCTTTGCTTCCTCAGTTGGGGCCTACACAATTGCTCTAGAATTCTTATAGCACTCTTTGACTAAAGGCTTGAAGTCTTAGTTCAGTGCTCATCAAAAGTAAATGAGCATGAGACTCACCCTGGAATCTTGTTGAACTGCGCATTCAGTAGGTGTGAGGTGGTGCCTGGAGTTCTACATTTCTGACAAACTCCCAGGAGAAGTTACAGCGAGAGCAATACTTAGTCCACTAAATCCACTGAACTATGGATTTCTCTACTTTTCTTTCTGTTAAATGTTCTTAATGCATTTTGTCTTCCTCAGTCTGTCCATAGCCTCTACAGTAATACAAGACATTTTCAATTTTGCTGATGGATTTCATAATTTAGAATAGGTCATAACCTAAATATGTATTAAATATTTGTTATATTTAACATGAAGAAAATACAGCTGGCATATACCCTTTTAAAGAAAGTTTTTCTTAAAATCTACTTTCCAAGAATCTCTGGTTTCAATTTCTAAACTGTTATTTTTCTATGTTTTAGTATCTAAGTCATTATAAGACACATTTGAACATGTATTATATATCCTGAGAATAAAAGATGAGCAAGATAATTTCATTGTTTTTAATGATTATAGATGAGAGGATGGGAAAAGGAACTCTGAATCATTGGAGAGAGCTAAAAAGATCTCCCAGCAAAATATGTTCCTAACATTTCTAGTTAGTGGGTGCAAGTCAACCTTCTACGACAGCCATCAGAAAAAAATAAACATCATGATTCATAATGATTGCCATAAGGACAATCTAGAGGTTCATGGTTCAAAACTGACATGATCAAGCCAGAGGGTACTACCTAAAGAGAACATGTATCCAAAATGGAAAGAGAACATAGCCTCACTAAGACTCTTTTCACCATTTACATTGACTTATGTGGGGACAAGTTCAGTGTTAGAGGGGGCCAAGGATGCATCTCTAAGGAGTTTAAAGACTTGAAGGAGAAAATAGGACTTGCACCCCCTAACTAGACTATGTTGTGGGTGAACCAAACACAAAAGACAGAGCCATATACGAGAAACTATTTCATGGAAGAGACGGAGAGCATGTCACAGAATAAGTAATATTTATATTGTGCCTTTATGAAGGATAAAATTTTGCCATGTGTCATTAAAGTAATTAAAAGTAATACAACTTAATAATAGTTTAATGAAATGTATAGTTAATTGAGATGTAACGTGGGCCAAGATACAATTTTGTGCAGGGACAATGTTAGAAAATGAATTTCTAAACAATGTTAACTACTCAACATGACATCTTTCCTTTTATAGTTAACATTATTATAATGTTGAAGAGAAAAACTTTCTGGGTCTTGCCACCACAATTTCTGATACAGAAACTGTCTCCATATTTACTACTAGATTTTGGATATCTCTAGAAAATTAGAATTGGGATCAAAGAACATGGATATAGTACAGAAAGCTTTTAATACTGTTCAGCATTGCCCAGTATGTAACAGAATTGAGTAGATGCTCAGAGTGTGCTGCTGGTCTTCAATAGGGTGGACCTTCAATAGGGTGGACCCCTTATTCATTGTGCAGGAAGATAAGAGTAGGATGTGTAGGTTCATGGTGCACTGGTTACCAACTTGTCTAAGTCTGGTAAGATAGAACACACTCATACACAACAAATTACAGGAAATGGATTTATTCCTTATAGAAAAGCAGCAAAACAAACAAACAAACAAACAAAAACAGAAGCCTAGAATTTATTAAGAGTCAGCCTCTAAAGCTCAGAAAAATGTCAGGGGCAGATAGAGCCTCAATTGTTTGTACCTCACAGCTGGGGGACCCTGGAAAGTAGCTTTCTCTAGGTTTTATACCACAGGGTCATGTGACTCACTGAGATACATTGTTGAAGGGCATTCTTTTTCTAGGGCAATGATGGAATGGATTCCAAGTTGTTCCTGCTGGTCCCTCTCAATCTCAGGTTGTTATATTCCCAGCACATTCTAGTTATTCTTGAGAACTACAAGTGAAAAAGAGAGGAGAACTGGGCTAGTCAAAAACTGCCCAGAGAACTGTCCTTCAGGTAGGTGTAGAAAAAGAAAGCCTAGTGGTAATCATAGGGACTTCACATCTTCATCAAGATTCATATCCCATGTATTAATCCGTTCTCGCACTGCTAATGAAGACATACCCAAGACTGAATAATTTATAAAGGAAAAAGGTTTAATGGATTCATGATTCCACATGACTAGGAAGGCCTCACAATCATGATGGAAGGCAGAGAAGCAAAGGCATGTCTTACATGGCAGCAGGCAGGAGAACTTGTGCAGAGAAACTCCACTTTATAAAACCATCACATCTTGTGAGACTTATTCACTATTATGAAAACAGTATGGGCAAGACTTCTCCCCATGATTCAACTACCTCCCACTGGGTCCTTCCCATGACACATGGGAATTATGGGACCTACAATTCAAGATGAGATTTGGGTGGGGACACAGGCAAACCATATCATCCCACCTCTGCAACTTATTAAGTATATGACCTCTGGTAAGTTACATTTTCTGTGCAATTGAGAATGATGACAAAAGTTCCCAAGGCATAAAGTGCCTACAGTAATTTTTAAATTCCAGAAAATGCATGTGCCCAGCATGTAGTCTGTGCTTTAAAACAATGCTAGGTATTATCAGGGTCTCCCATTGTAATGAAGGTTTTTCTTTTATTCATCTATACATCCCCTGTATTATCTCTTCATTTTCCTAAAGTGTGACTTTTATAATTCTTGGTTTTCTTTATTTATTTCCATTCTTTGTAAAAACTCTATTTGATGAGATTTGTTGTACAGAAGCAAAGTCTTCCATCTTGTTCTCATGCACAGTGACTAATTTGCATTTAATGCAAACATAGCTCTTTTCAAGTATAAGCATAAAGGCCCATATTAGAATGAACACATCTGTTTATCTGTCCATGAAAAGATTTAACTTTGGCTTAAAATATGGCCTGTTTGGTTTTACTATCTAGCTTCTTAAACCAATCACTTCTCTATAAACTGGCACAATCGATTATCTTTTGGCAGTTGCTTCCAGATTTAAAAATATTTCAAGAGCCATATTCTACATCCACAATTCTAAAGTTAACTGTGTTTCAGAATGAAGCTGAGGCTACGAACAGAATTATGTTATGTGACAGACCAATTGTTATTTACAATTTATTTATTACCATGTTTTTACAAGTTTGCTTAATTCTCTGTGGATTGACAACAGGACAAAGAACATGGAAGGACTTAGGCATAACACCTTTCCTCACCTGTTTTAGCAAGGACAGACTTTGGCCTGATTCATTTTTCAGGTAGTAGGATATATTTTTCATAAGACAGTGATCTCTGTGATTCCTATTCATATACCAAATTAATATCTTAGAAATCTGTTGGAAATTACCAAAGATAACCCATTCTGAAAATAATTACTTGCTATAGCTTTATGTGCAGGTACGTGATTAAAACATAAATCAAATGTAAACTGTTTCTTGATGTTCTTCAATAAAGTTAAAAAACACAAGCAGTCAACTATCTCGAGCTATAATGGAACAAACACAATATAATAATAGTAATACCAATCATAAATATATCAAACATTGAAACAAAAATTTTATCCCGTAGTTTAAAAGTCATTTCATTTCTATTTAAATATATGTTTAATGTCTCATTTTTCTCCTATACATTTCAAGTAAATTTTATTAAGGTTAATTTACCCATAATAAAATGAAACCATTTTAGAGTACAATTGTGTGAGTGTTGACAAATGTATACAGCTGGCTAATCACCACCACAACCTAGAACATTCCCATCATCCCAGAACACTTTCTCATGTTTCTTTTCTGTCAGTCCTTGCTTCCTTCAGGTTCACCCCCAACCAACAACTGATCTACTTAGGTCGCTATAGATCAGATTTATCTTTTCTAGAGGAACCACTTTACATTACATATACTCTCTTTTGTATGGTTTCTTTTCCTCAGACTAATGATTTTGAGATTCATCCGTGTTAAATGTTGTTAGTTTATTCTTTGTTATTAGTGAATAGTATTCCCTTGGGTGAACATGATATAACGTTTATTCATTAATTGATAGTGTTTTGTTTTGTTTTGTTTTGTTTTGTTTTGTTTTGTTTTGTTTTGCTATTAGGTGTAAGACTGTTATAAACATTCAGTACTAGTCTCTGTGTAATCATAGATTTTCATTTACCTTGAGGAAATATCACTAGTGAAATTGCTCAGCCTTCTAATAATTACATGTTTAATTTTGCCTTTTGCTCCACATCTTCACCAACACTTAGATTTTTTAAAAAAATGTTACCCATTCAAGTGAATATTTAATGCTATTGAACCATGGTTGCATTTTCCTGTTGGCTCTTGTGATGTGTTGACGCAAGTCTTTTGCCCATTTTAAAATTAGATACTGTGTCTTTTTCTTTTGAATTGTGCAAGTTCTTTACATGTTATGTACACATCCTTTGTCACATATATTTACTAGAAATAGTTTCTCCCAATCTGTTTTTTACTTCTCATTTCTTAGTGGTGTCTTTGAAGGGCAGAAATCATTAATTCTAATGATGAACAACTTATTTTTTTTCCTTTTGTGATTACTGTTTTTTGTTTGGTGTTTAAAGATTCTTTACTGACCTCAAGTTTAAAAAAATTTTCTCCCACATTTTCTTCTAGATGTTTTTTGGTTTTAGCACTTAACTTTAGGTATATAATCAATTTCTAGCTAATTTTATATTTGAAGTAGGCCAAAAGCTTCTTTTGAGGAAAAGAAGCCAAAAGCAAAAAATCATATTTTGAAGATGGATATCTAATTTTTCCACCATTTGAGGGAAGATAATCCTTTCCTCCACTTGTTATATTTGTTAAAAATCAATTGGCCATATAGATATGGGTCAATTTCTGTACTCTCTATTTAATTCCATTGATATATTTTTCTATATTTATGCTGGTATATCATTGATTTTAATTACTATAATGTCTTAATATCAGCTATTAAAAGTCCTCAAATTTGTTCTTACTTTTCAAAAAATTGTTTTGGCTGTTCTGAGTTCTTTGAATTTCTGTATAAATTTTAGAAGCAATTTGTTCATTTTTACAAAAAAAAACTGTAATTATTTTTTAAAATCTTGATTTGGGTTACAATACACCTATAAATAAATTGGAGAGAATTGACACGTTAACGATGAATTTCCTAATAAATCTTCTTGATATTTTATCTTCATTTATTTAGGTCTTCTTTAAATTATCCTAGCAGTATGATAGTTTTCAGTATACAAGTCTAACATATATCTTGCTAAATTCATACAGAAGTATTTCTTGATTTTAGATGTATTTGTAGATAGTTTTGCATTTTAAATTTTATTTTTCAATTGTTCATTGCTATAATAGACTTTTATATATTAATCTTGTGTCTTTGTGACTTTAATCTCAATATTTTTCAAGTTGCATAAAAGATATTTTGTAGCTATTTTAGAATTTTTCATGTATACAATTACATCATGTGCAAAGGCAATTGTAATTCCCTTTAATATACCTTCTAAACTTACTAGACACTCAAGCATAGTGTTGAATAAAAGAGGTAAAAATGGAATTTTTTTGTCTTCTTCCCAAGAGAGTGAGTGGGTGAAGGGAATCATTTAGTCTCTCATTATTAAGTTTGATGTTAGCTATAGGTTTTCATAAATGGCCTTTATCAAATGGGGGAAATTTCTTTCTATTCATAATAGGGTAAGAAGTTTTGTTTATTACCAATGAATGTTTAATTTTGTCAAATGCTTTTGCCACATCTATTGAGAAAATTATATTTTTTCTCATTATTTTATTAATACCATGTATTATTTTTTAATGCTTTTTTAATGTCAAGCCAATTTTGCATTCCTGGGATAAATCCCACTTGGTCATGATGTGTTAACAATTTTCTGTTTTGCTAGATTCACCTTCTTAATATTTGCTGAAGGGTTTTGAATCTGTTTTATAATTTTCTTTTTATGTGATGACTTTTTTGTTTTCATTATTAGGGTTATGTTAATCACATAAAATAAATCAGAAAGTGCATCATAATCTTATTTCTTGAAAGAACTCTGTACATTGATTTATTCCTTAAATGTTGGCTGGAATTGATCATTGAGGACATCTGGCCCTGAAGCCATCTTTGTGAAAGAGGTTTTTTAGTTATGAATTCAATTTCTCTAATAGATATGCGGTCATCTAAGTTTTGTATTTGTTCTTGTGTTAGTTATAGTAATTTATAAGTTTATTTATTTCTAGGAATTTGTCCATTTCATCTATTTTTTTCAAGTTTATTGATAAAAATTATTAAATTCCTTACTATGTTTTAATGACTTTTGGAACCATGTGATATCTGCTCTTTTACTCTTAATACTGATGACTTTTGTACATTTTTTGTTTCCTAGTCCATCTAGATGTTTATCAGATCTATTGATTACAAAAAACACAAGTTTTTGTAACCTTTTCAATTAAAATATAACATATAGTAAAATACACAAATCTTAAACATATTCCACAGGAATATTTTACAAATGAATATACTTTCATAACCACCACCCTAGTTCAGACACAGAATTTTATCAGCAATCAAGAGCCTTTATCTTATCATCTTCCAGCCCATATTTCCCCCAAAGTTAACCACTCTTTTAACTTCTACTACCTTCAATTACTTTACCTGTTTTAGAATCTCATATAAATAAAATCATATGAACTATACTTTATATACTTGGATTCTTGGTTAATATATTTTTGAGATTCATCCATGTTATTATGCATAGCAGTAGTTAAGTTGCCCATGAAGAAAAAAAAATAAGCAAAAGAATGAAAAATAGACCCTGGGCTTCCTGTGTCCTTGTGGAGTGTTCTTTCCCACCATTCTCACACTTATTTGTGTGTGAATATCCACATTCTAAAACTCTTGAGAATACAGACTATTTTCTATACTTCCCAAACAATACATTCACAGTCCGAATTTTTACTTTTTAATAGAAATGCATTGACCTAGATGGAATGGTCAAGATTTATTAGGATTTTACCAGCAAGTAGAAAAAGAACAAAGCTGGGCATTACAGAGGAGTACTGAGTCTTTTCAAGTTACCATCTTACTGACCTTGGATAAGTCACTTAATTTTTCTGAGCCTTACTTTGCTTCTCCATAAAGGAGGAATAGTATGACTTGCCTTATCCTATTCAAAGAGATACAGTGGGACTCCAGTAAAAACATGCGTAAGTACTTTGTCAAGAGAAAATAAACACAAAATGTTTTGTTAATATAATAAATGAAGCATTGAAGCTTAACACCCAAATCTTAAAAGCTAAAAAAAAAATTCCCAGCAGTCTCTTTCTGCCAAGTCTGTGCCTGTATTAAACTGGGTAGGTAGTGAGGAATGGCTTGGGCTGGGCTGGGTCCATTCCCTGAGACACAAACATGCTACAGGAGTTAAGTGCCAAGATGGGGCAAAGTGGAAAGATAGAAAGAAGTAGAAGTTCCAATATGGGGTTTGTTTTTAATTCATGAAATATATATTTCTATTAAATGCATTATCACAAAACCACTTCTAGCATTCCAAATTTTTATTTATTTTTAAGTTTACATACAGTAAAATTTACTCTTTCTGGTGCTAGCCATTGGTTTCACTAATTTTCTCTATTGTTTATCTAATTTTGAGTTCACTGTGTCCACTCTTATCATCATAGATTTCATCTTTTTATTTACACAGAGGTTGATTTTCTTTTCTTTTTTACTTTTCTTTTTTACCTTTTTTGGAAGGTGGGGTTAAAGCAGAAGCTTAGAACATTAATTTCAGACAATGTCTGTATTCTAATGAAGCATTTAAATATATCAGTTTCTCCCTCAGCACTATATTATTTGCACCTCATAATTTCTGATAGGCTGTTTTCAGTGCTATCTAGGGTAAAATATTTTCTAATTTCTCTTGAGCTATCATTTTACTTATCAGTTTCACAGACTTACAACATTTAATTTGTAAATACTTGAAAATCTTTCATATTTGTTTTATTTATATATGACTTAAATCTTTAATTTTTAGATATTATTACAGTTATTTGAAGTTCATTTTTTCTTTTATTGCTGAAATATAAAAATCTAACTGAATTTTGTATATTGATCTTTCTTTTTTCTTTTTCTTTTTTTTTTTTTTTTTTTGAGACGGAGTCTCGCTCTGTCACCCAGGCTGGAGTGCAGTGGCGCGATCTCAGCTCACTGCAAGCTCCGCCTCCCGGGTTTATGCCATTCTCCTGCCTCAGCCTCCCCAGTAGCTGGGAGTAGCTGGGACTACAGGCACCTGCCACCAAGCCCTAGTTTTTTGTATTTTTAGTAGAGACGGAGTTTCACCATGTTGGCCAGGCTGGTCTCGAACTCGTGACCTCAAGTGATCCTCCCAACTCAGCCTCCCAAATTGCTGGGATTACAGGCATGAACCACTGCTCCCAGCTTGATCTTTCATCCAGGGACTTTGCTAAACTCAAATATTTGTTCTAGTAGTACTTTTTTTTCTAAAAACTTGATTTTTTTTAATGTACACATTATGTTTCCTTCAAATAAAGAAAATTTTACCCATCTTTTCCAATCTGGATTATATTTATGTATATGTCACGTAACAGATTTGGTGTAATTTTCTGTCTTTTACATTTCTTGTAGTTTGTTTTATTGCTGTATATATATATTTTATGGGGAATAGTACTTGTGCTCTTGAAACTGATGTATATTTTATTGCTGTTGAATGAGGTGTTCTTTAAATGTCAATTGGTTCATGTTAAGTAATAATGTTCACATAGTTGAGATTCTTTATATTTTTTTTTACTTGTTTGCTCAATTACAGGGAGAGGAGTGCTATAGTTTCTAACTCTAATTGTAGAAATGTCAGTTTCTCCTTTCAGCTTTGTCAAGTTTTGCTATATGTGGTTTAAAGCTGTTTTCCATGCGTAATGTTTAGAATTCCTAGGTATTCTTGAAGAATTAATCCTTTGATCTTTATAAAATTATCTTTATCCCTGGTTATATTTCTTTTTCTAAGTTTCACTTTGTCTGATATTAATATAGCAAATCAACTCCCTTATGTTTAGTGTTTGCTTGGTATAGTTTTCTCCCATCATTTCACTGTTAACTTATTGCATGTTTGTATGTAAAGTGCATTTTTCCTTCCCTTAGTGGTTAATTTTATGTTGTTTCCCAATGTCTGAAAACAGTTGTTGCATAAATATTGCCCCCTTTGATTTTGTTTACAAAACAAAAATTTGTGTACAGTGGGATAACAAGTTCAGTACCATTATTCCCTCATGGCTGAATGTCTATACGTTTATACATTTTTATCTTCTGATTGCTGTGTCCTGGCATTTTTAGTCTATACACAGTGTTACCATCATGTTAATGACTACTGTACCTCCAGAACATAATACTTGTCTTATCTCTTGGTAATCCTCATTTACATGTTGAATAACAGCTTGCATTCTGCTTTATGATTCCAAGTGAAATGAGTATTGACTATATATAAATGGCATTTATCATCATGATGCATTTGGACAAACCTCAAAGAACGAAAATATACATATCTACACACTTTAAAATATGAGCCACAAAATGGATGATAATCTAAGCTCTTCCAATCATGACATATGGACAAAAAAGACATTCCATGCCTTAAGTGTAATGGTAAATACACTCAAAGGTGAATTACAAGTTGATGATAAAAAATTGCTGGCAACTAATTCCAAATGGAAAACATAATTAATTACTGAAATATTAAAAATTAATTTCTTTTTATTGATGATATTTAGATATACAAAATAAAATCTCAGTTATATTAAGAATTGCATGGAACTTATATTGAAAATCTTGTGATAGCAATTTTATTAGCAGTTGTGGTTTGAAAGGTCTTACACCACTATAATTGAATATGCCAAATTTCATTTTAGCATGTCAATATGGCTTCCATATTTGGGATTCTATTTTTTTTACTTGAGCTAGTGAATTTATTCTGTAAAGCTTACATTTTCAAATTTGACCCTTAAACCTTATGAAATTATATATTCTTAATTCTAATAAAAGTTCTTGGTGAATAATTCCCTAAATGTTCAAAAATTCTACTAATTTGTTTTTCATTCCTTTCATCTTTTTTATGTAATGATATAATACCTTCTTAATTATCTTCTTGGCACACTGTCTATAGCATTTTTTAAGATAAGTTGATTTCTTACTACTCTAAAATTGATTTCCAGGCTGGATGATAGTTATATTTTATATATACACACATATAGTTTTAATGTATGTATATATGCACACATACATGTGTATATTTAAACATATAGACAGCTATAGATATATAGATAGAGGTCATTATTTTAAAATCAACATGTTAAATCACACAAAAATTTTACAGGATGTGATCATTAGTACAAAAGTTATCTGCTATTGTAGGTCATCTATTATTTACTATCTACTATTAATGAACAGATGAACAGAATATGATATACAAAAAATAAGTAATTGCATCTTCTAATTTCACCCACAAAGAGCAGTTTCTGTAATATTTTAAAGTAGTTGACATAGAAATTCAAGTAAAAAAATCAAATTCTATGAGACCGAAAATTTCTTACATGTTCCCCTTTTTCCAGAGAGCCTATAATTTTATGGAACACTGAACTGGAGATGCAGAAATAAAAGTGTTGGGAATGTGGATTTTTAAAAACTAATATTTATTTTGAAATATTTTAAATTAGAGGAATTTTTAAAAATCACTATAATGAATACTACGTACAAATTCTTTTAAATGTTTTTTTCACTTGTCTTAGTCCATCTGAGCTGCTATAACAAAGGGCCATAGACTGGGTTGTTATAAACAGCAGAATTTTATGTCTTACAGTCCTGGAGATTGGGAAATCCTACATCGAAGTGCTAGCAGATTCCATTTGATGAGGGCCCAGTCCCTGATTAATAAACAGCTGTCTTCTCTCTGTGTTCTTAGAAA
This sequence comes from Homo sapiens, assembly GCF_000001405.40. NCBI lineage: Eukaryota > Metazoa > Chordata > Mammalia > Primates > Hominidae > Homo > Homo sapiens. Next base: position 77,965,246 of record NC_000003.12, read on the forward strand.
GCAAAAATTGACAAATGGGATCTAATTAAACTAAAGAGCTTCTGCACAGCAAAAGAAACTACCATCAGAGTGAACAGGCAACCTACAGAATGGGAGAAAATTTTTGCAATCTACTCATCTGACAAAGGGCTAATATCCAGAATCTACAAAGAACCCAAACAAATTTACAAAAAAAAAAAAAAAAAACCATCAAGAAGTGAGTGAAGGATATGAACAGACACTTCTCAAAAGAAGACATTTATGCAGCCAACAGACACGTGAAAAAATGCTCATCATCACTGGCCATCAGAGAAATGCAAATCAAAACCACAATGAGATACCATCTCACACCAGTTAGAATGGCAATCATTAAAAAGCCAGGAAACAACAGGTGCTGGAGAGGATGTGGAGAAATAGGAACACTTTTACACTGTTGGTGGGACTGTAAACTAGTTCAACCATTGTGGAAGTCGGTGTGGCAATTCCTCAGGGATCTAGAACTAGAAATACCATTTGACCCAGCCATCCCATTACTGGGTATATACCCAAAGGACTATAAATCATACTGCTATAAAGACACACACACACGTATGTTTATAGCGGCACTATTCACAATAGCAAAGACTTGGAACCAACCCAAATGTCCATCAATGATAGACTGGATTAAGAAACTGTGGCACACATACACCATGGAATACTATGCAGCCATAAAAAAGGATGAGTTTATGTCCTTTGTAGGAACATGGATGAAGCTGGAAACCATCATTCTCAGCAAACTATCACAAGGATAAAAAACCAAACACCACATGTTCTCACTCATAGGTGGGAATTGAACAATGAGAACACTTGGACACAGGAAGGGGAACATCACACACCGGGGCCTGTCCTGGAGTAGGGGGAAGGGGAAGGGATAGCATGAGGCGATATACCTAATGTAAATGACGAGTTAATGGGTGCAGCACACCAGCATGGCACATGTATACATATGTAACAAACCTGCACGTTGTGCACATGTACCCTAAAACTTAAAGTATAATAATAATAAAAAGAAAGCAGTAGGGACAAGGAGGGGAGCTCTCTGAGATCTCATTTATAAAGGCACTAATCTCATTCATGACCTCATCCCCTAATCATCTTCCAAAGCTTCACATCTACATACCATCACACTGGGCTTAGTAGTGAACATATTTTGGGGAAATAAACATTCAGTCTTTAGCAATATTCATATCATATTTTTAGTGAGTAAATTGTACAGATAAAGGTAAGCCCTTTATGTGCCTCAAACAGACTCCACTGCCTTTCCTTGCTCCCCAAAGGTAAACATTCTAAATTCACTATTTATAATTGAATACGGCACAACATATTCAAGAATCCATACATGTGTATGGATTCTTTGTATTATATTTTTAAATTTCTATAAGTGGTATCACACTATAGTCACAATTGTACAACTTGACTTTTTTTATTTTGCTAAAATATTTATTTGGGATTTGTGTAGTTTTAGTTTTTTACTTTAACTGCTATATACTATTCCAATTATATAAATGTACCCCAATATATGTATCTATTCTCCAGTTGTTAGACATTTAGATGATTTCTAATTTTTCTCTATTACAAAAAAATGTTAAAATGAACATTCTTGTAGGGACATCTTGTGCCATATTTGGGATACTCTCAGACTATATATATAAATATAAAAGTGGAATTGCTGGTCCAGGTTATGTCCATCTAAAATATTTCTAAATACAGACAAGTGATTGTACAAATTTTCATGACCACCAGTAGTAAAGGAGAATAAACAAATGAATCAATATTGTGCAAGACTTTCTTTTTTTTTTTTGGAGTCTCACCTGTCGCCCAGGCTGGAGTACAGTGGTGCGATCTTGGCTCACTGAAATCTCTGCCTCCTGGATTCAAGGGATTCTCCTGCCTCAGCCTCTCAAGTAGCTGGGATTACAAGTGTGCACCACCACGCTCAGCTAATTTTTGTATTTTTATTAGAGATGGGGCTTCACCATATCAGCCAGGCTGGTCACAAACTCCTGACCTCACGTGATCCACCTGCCTCAGCCTCCCAAAGTGCTGGGATTACAGGTGTGAGCCACTGCACCTGGTCATTTACAATATTTTTTATTGGAATATTTTCTTTATTATATGTAGGAATTTAAATACAATAAATATTTTTATGAGTCTTAAAGTATTTCAGAATAAAATTCGAAATTATTTTTTGGTACATGCTGATATAATTAATTAGCAGAATAATTCTTAGCATGTTAGTAATTCTTCATATGTTCAAAATTCTCCCTGATTCAGTAACCTTTATTTATTCAATTAAAGTAGTACAACCCCTTTCTCCAGGCTATATTATGTTTATTTCTTCTATAACAGTGTCAACATAAAAATTTTTTAGTGGCTACTCTCCACAATGAAAATACTCGCAGATCACTTCAATTTTTCATGGAAAGTTCTAAAAGCACTGAGTGGAATGTTTCATACTTCCTGCTGCACACAGCCTTCTGACTTCTCAGTATCATGCTGCATTTTCTTCACACTGGGCTGCCCACTTGATTTGTGTTTCTTTTCATCTCAGGTTACTCCTGTGCTGTCTTTGGTCTCCTGAGATGGATGACATCTCCTCTTTCCACATCAACTTCCTACAGTGTTCTATGTACTACAAAAGTAACATGATCAAAGGGACCTGAGGGCTTTATTCCTGATTATGATGTAATTATTTACTGCAGTGACATCTCATTTACCTGTATAATCCAGGTCCTCCCCAATCTGACTAATCAATCATTCACAAACTTAGATATTCTTAGCTACAAAGGAGATACACATTTGAAAAGTTTTGATCTAGCCCCAAACAACTTTTAAATGTGTTTGCTTGAGTTTTTGTTGCCTTACATTATCTTGGCTAAGAAATTGGATATATTTATATTAACATAATTGCAATTCAATACTTTGCTTCCTAAATATTCCAGCCAACAGAGACTATTGAAGTTTAAAATACCAGCAAGACAACTCACTATATTCTGTTCTATTTATATTTATATTCTATTTTGTATATTTAATTCTCTATGATTCAAAGACTCTATGATTCAATGTGTCTATATTATGCACATTAGTCCACAAATAATTTACTCAAGAAATTGTTATAGGGTGATGGATTATACCATCATCACACACTAAGCAATGAAGCCAGTCATTGTTATATTACTTCAACAATCTCACTGGAAAAAAGTGAACAGACATTTAAAAATATCTTGTATAGCTCTGCTGTTTGATTGTTTCTTATATTTCCAGATAAATAATCTTCTGTATTCAGAAAATCAAACCCTTTGTTCCTACGTATTTTATTTGATGGCTTTGAGCATTGATTCTGGAGCCTGACCTGGAAAGAATTTTGGTGATATGTAACAAAATAAGATACTATGCAATTATCTTTTCATCCAGCAATTCCACTTCAAAGAATCTACCCTAAATGTATGCCTCAAAGAATATGAAACTACATATATGCACATGGTTATTCATATCAACATTGTTTATAATCACAAAATACTGGAAACAATCTAAATACTCAGATATGGAAAAATCATTGGTTATGTTATACACACAAAATGAAAGATTATACAGACACTTTTTGTAAATTGGTATGAGATCATTTCCATGATATATTGTTAAGTAAAAAAAAAAACTAATTGCAAAAGAATAATTGTATCCTATTCTTCTTACAAGAAAGAAAGAAGTATAAGAAAATACATTTGATATGGTTTGGCTGTGTTCCCACCCAAATATCATCTTGAATTGTAGTTCCCATAATCCCCACATGTCGTGGGAAGGATCTGTGAGAGGTAATTGAATCATGGGAATGGTTACCCCCATGCTGTTCTCATGATAGTGAGTTCTCACGAGATCTGATGGTTTTATAAGGGGCTTTTTCCTCTTTGCTCAGCACTTCTCTCTCCTGCTGCCATATGAAGAAGGACATGCTTGCTTACTCTTCCACCATGATTGTAAGTTTCCTGAGGTCTCCCCAGCCATGCAGAATTGTGAGTCAATTAAACCCCTTTTCTTTATAAATTACTCAGTCTCAGGTATTTCTTCATAACAGCATGAGAACGTACTAATACATATTGATCTTCTAATTTATGCAAAATAAATACAGGAAGCACTAACCAGAAGCTCAAGAAATTGTTCCCTATAGAGGGTGGCAGAGAATGGAATAGAAAGCAGGGGGGAAATAGGAATATGGTAGTAGGTATGCAGTAGAAACCACACTTCTATAAGTACACCTCTTTGTTTGTGTTTAACTCTTAGACTTCAGTAATTTTTCACATGCCCATAATAACAAATAATTGAAAGAAACCAGGGTTGGCCAGGTTGCACGATATGAACAGCAAAAAATGGACCTAATTATATTAGAAATGAATAATAATATTTTCACACTGAAGAGGATGGAGAAGAAAATAATTTATCTAAGTAATTTTTGGGGACAATAAACATTTTTATTGAAAAGACGGAAGTCTAAAAAAAAAAAGGAAAAAGAATAACTGTACAAAATACTGTAGTCAGGTTAGTAAACCTTACAGAGATAAGGTTAACAATTATCTAACTGCCTGATGTGTATAATAAGATTGAACTCATAGGTAAATCTACTGTAGAAAATGAAGGCCCAGCAGTACACGGTGGCTCTTGCCTGTAATCCCAGCACTTTGGGAGGCCAGGAGAGGAAGATTGCTTGAGCTCATGAGTTTGAGACCAGGATGGGCAACACGGCAAGACAATTATCCCTACAAAATTTTTAAAAATTAGTCAAGCGTGGTGGTGCCACGCCTGTGGTCCCAGCTGTCTGGAGACTGAGGGGAGGGGATCACTTAAGCTGGGAATGTTGAGGCTGCAGTGAGCCATGTACATGCCACTGCACTACAGCCTGGGTGACAGAGCAGGATCTTGTCTCAAAAACAGGAAAAACGAGAAAAGAAACTGAAAGCCCACTTTATCTCTACAGTGTAGGACTGAAATCAGAGATGTAAATATGAATTCTTGGTTTATTTTAAACAAAAACACACACAGAAAAAATAGATCTATAGCTATGCATGGGTTAGTATACATATATTCTAACTCTGTTGAGAAGTATTAGGGAGTAGTGCTTCCTGATAGTGGTGAGAACACCTAGGTATGGTCTGTCTTCACATTGCCTTCTCTCCTGTGAGTGTGAAATCTCTCTCTTCCTCTCTCTAAGAATGCATGTAATCACACTTAGGATTCACTGAGATTATTCCGGATAACTTATCATCTCAATGTCCTTACTGTAATCACATATTTTGGCCTTGTAAGATATCATTTGCCTCCAGGGTGTGATAGTTGATTTTCACGTGTCAACTTGTCTGAGTCACAGGATTTCCAGAAAGCCGGTTAAACATTATTTCTGGGTTTGTCTATGGGGACGTTTCTGAAAATGATCAGGCATTGAATTGGTAGACTAAGTAAACATATGGCCCTCTCCAGTACAGGTGGGCATCACCAAATTTGTTACTGACCTGACTAGAAAATAAAGGTGGAGGAAGTTCAGATTAACTCTGTCTATCTTGCTGAGATGGGACATCAGTCTTCTCCTGCCCTTGGAGCTCCAGGTTTCAGGCCTTTGAATGATACCTCCAGCTTTCCTGGGTTTCCAACTTGCAGATGGCATATCATGGGACCTTCCAGTGTCCATAATCATTTAAACAAATACCTTATAATATATCATGTGAGTCAAGAAAAGATTCTGTGTGTGTGTGTGTCTGTGTGTGTAATTTCCTATTGGTGCTCTGTCTGTAGAACCATTCATTACTAATGCACAGGCATAAGGACATGGATATCTGTTTTTGGAGAAGAGCAAATTTTCAGCATCCCACCATATTCGCGACTCCATACCAATGTAAATAATTAAAATAAATACATAAATTTTAGAGAAGAAACAGCTCTTCATTAGAGATGAATTCATTTTTTTTTAAATGTAGAAGAAATGAAAGAAATAGAAAATCACCTAGGGAAAACACTATATTAATAAATATAACAGGAAAAATATCCAACTGGTAGATATGACATCAAGGAGAAAAAGTTCAAGGAAGACGTGGATATTTGCATAATCTAAAAGTATTGTAAAGTATTTCTTCAAAGGATATTATCAATTACAAAGTGAAAAATAACTTTATCTGGAGAAACCCAGCAGACACTACATAATGAACATATCAAAGCTAACAACATGAGTGAACTTCCATTCACAATTGCTACAAAGAGAATAAAATACCTAGGAATACAACTTAAAGGGATGTGAAGCACCTCTTCAAGGAGAATTACAAACCACTGCTCAAGGAAATAAGAGAGGACACAAACAAATGGAAAAACATCCCATGCTCATGGATAGGAAGAATCAACATCATGAAAATGGCCACACTGCCCAAAGTAATTTATAGATTCAATGCTATCCCCATTAAGCTACCAATGACTTTCTTCACAGAATTAGAGAACACTAGTTTAAATTTCATATGGAACCAAAAGCAGTGCACGTAGTGAAGACAATCCTAAGCAAAAGAACAAAGCTGGAAGCATCATGCTACCTGACTTCAAACTATACTACAAGGCTACAGTAACCAAAACAGCATGGTACTGGTACAAATATATAGACCAATGGAACAGAACAGAGGCCTCAGAAATAATGTCACACATCTACAACCATCTGATCTTTGACAAACCCGACAAAAACAAGCAATAGGGAAAGGTTTCCCTATTTAATAAATAGTGTTGGGAAAACTGGCTAGCCATATGCAGAAAACTAGACCCCTTCTTACATCTTATACAAAAATTAACTCGAGATGGATTAAAGACTTAAATGTAAGACCTAAAACCATAAAAACCCTAGAAGAAAACCTAGGCAATACCATTCAGGACATAGGCATGGGCAAAGAATTCATGGCTAAAACACCAAAAACAATGGCAACAAAAGCCAAAATTGACAAATGGGATCTAATTAAATGAAAGTGCTTCTGCACAGCAAAAGAAATTATCATCAGAGTAAACAGGCAACCTATAGAATGGGAGAAAATTTTTGCAATCTATCCATCTGACAAAGGGCTAGTATCCAGAGTCTACAAGTAACATAAACAAATTTACAAGAAAAAACCAACAACCCCATCAAATGTGGACAAAGAATATGAACACACACTTCTCAGAAGAAGACATTTATGCAGCCAACAAACATATGAAAAAAACTCATCATCAGTGGTCATTAGATAAATGCAAATCAAAACCAGAATGACATACCATCTCATGCCAGTTAGAATGGCGATCATTAAAAAGTCAGGAAATAACAGATGCTGTAGAGAATGTAGAGAAATAGAAACACTTTTACACTGTTGGTGGGAGTGTAAATTAGTTCACCCACTGTGGAAGACAGTGTGGGGATTCCTCAAGGATCTAGAACCAGAAATACCATTTGATCCAGCAATCCCATTACTTGGCATATACCCAAAGGATTATAAATCATTCTACTATAAAGACACATGCACACATATGTTTATTGCAGCACTATTCACAATAGCAAAGACTTGGAACCAACCCAAATGCCCATCAGTGATAGACTGGATAAAGAAGATGTGGTACATATACACCATGGAATACCATGCAGCCATAAAAAAACGGATGAGTTCATGTCCTTTGCAGGGACATGGATGAACCTGGAAACCATCATTCTCAGCAAACTAACACAGGAACAGAAAACCAAACATTACATGTTCTCACTCATAATTGGGAGTTGAACAACGAGAATACGTGGACACAGGGAGGGGAACATCACACGCAAAGGCCTGTAGGGGGGTGGGGGACTAGGGGAGGGATAGCATTAGGAGAAATACTTTATGTAGATCACGGGTTGATGGGTGCAGCAAACCACCATGACACGTGTATACCTATGTAACGAGCCTGCACGTTCTGCACATGTATCCCAGAACTTAAAGTATAATAAAAAAAAAAATTAAACAATGAGGGTTGTCCAAGGAGATGTGTATATTAATATTAATGTTCATAACAGTTACAGCAAACTGAAAACAGCCCCAATATCCATTATGAATGATAACTGGACATTGGACATTGAATAAACTAATTTGTTATAATCATATAATGAAATACCACTCAGTGATTAAAAAAAAGAGTGAACCACTGATATATCTGGATGAACCTTATAACATCACACTGAGCAAAAGAAGCCTGACACAATATTCATACCATATAAACCCAATTATATGCAATTCAGAAAAAGGAAAAATATACATACCATATATACATGCCATATAATTCCATATATACATGCCATATAATTCCAATTATATGCAATTCAGAAAAAGGAAAAATACATGAATAGATACAGAAATCAGAACAGGAAGCTTGAACAGAAGCAGAAAAGGAGATTGACAGAAAGTAAGTATGAAAAAACATTCTAGAATCATAGAAATGTTTTGTTTTGGATAGGAACATTGATTAAATGGACATATACATTTGTTCAAACTCAAAACTGCACATCTGAAATCAGCACATTTATTTTATGTATTTATACAATAAAGTGAGAGCAAGGACTTAACTGAGAAGTGGATAGAAGAGAAAGAGAACCCACCACCCCAATTCCATTGCAAAATAAATTTCAGGCTTGTGCCTCTGTGGAAATTCCCCATACTCCAGACCCTGGAGTATGCTCGCTGGCATATGATCAAAAACAAGGTCACTCCAATAATCACAAATACATCTGAATTTCTGTCTTACTCAACATTACACTGTTTTGCTTTCTTTAAAAATTACCATATCCCCAAAACATTCAAGAAAATATGTTCTATTGTTTTTACTGCTGGCAGTTTATGATACTACTGGCTAGCCACTACATACCTAGAGCTTATACGATCTGTTTGCAATCATTTTGGCAAAAACGATGACCTTGCTGCCCCATAATACTCTGGTAAATTATGGTTGTCTTATTTCATCCCTCTCCTCATCTTTCCAAACGAATTTACATAAAAATCCTATAGATTTCCAGTTCATAAAATTATGCTTTCAATACTCTGTACACCCATGTATACTTCCACCCCTTCCAGGTCATCTTAGTCCAATGACCCAGAATATGTTTTTTATTTTCTTTCATTTATTTTCATCATACGATTTTCAATTTGAATTTAACATGTTGTCAAGTGACCTTTATTTTTTGTCCCCTGGCACTAGTTAAATCAGATTCCTTTGTGTGTACAGTTACCATTTTTCTTGGTTGGTCTTCCTGAAATTATTATTTTATTTCTATTGAACAAATCAAGGCCTAGATTATTTCTCTTTTTTTAAGAAAAAAAAGTGATAAAAAGACTAGAGCTATACTGTTTTGTAAAGAAAAGAGTTAAGTTTACCTGTAACAAAAATAATAAGAAATGTAAATTATACTGAATTTTAAAGAAACCATATAATTTGAATAAGATTCAAAAATATGTTAGACAACATAATTCGAGAAACCAAAAGAGAATAAAAATTATTCCTTAAATGTAGGGGGAAAAGGATTATTGAAAGTGAATAGCTGACAAAATTTGGATTGAATTCCCTACAATAAATGCTTTATGGAGGATCTGGAGGCCTAACTCCCCAATAATTGTAGCAACATGAAATCTGTGTGAGTTCTGAATTATATACCGAGGAGAATCTATAGGGATTTAAGTTGGGTTAGTAAGTGTCAACTTCCTGGGACTCTGAAATAAGCTGGAAATAATTTGCTAAGAATTTTCCTGAATATGAAGTGCCTTTAATAAGATAGTTTGATGAATAAATGAATCAGAAAATTGAGGACTAAATTTTCCCTACATTTTATACATTTTTGCAATGATAGCAAGGTCAAAACATTTGGATTACAATTTAAGAACCATCAACTCTTTAGGTAAAGACTAGTAAAACCAAGTCATTGTCAGGCACTAAAACAAAATCATGAATCATAGTAATACAAATGCAGTTCATGGTCTTAGATCTCACATTTGCGAAGAAAAAACTGGGCTGCACTGTTGTGCATATTATGAAAATATGAAGATCGGCAGCAACATTCTGACATTAATTGTGAGGTGTGCAGAAAATCACATGTACTAATAATCAAATATGCAAATTATTTTAAAAATAATATCAGGTGAATTAAAGGTTTTTTATTAAACATTATATACTTCCTTTGATTGAATACAATAGAGTTACAGGGACCATTACGCATTTACACATGTTGGAAGCCTCTATTTTTTGTGCCAAAATCCTGTGTGGTTAATGTTTGCTATGATTACAACTTATTGTTATGTTTTACTTTCTTAAACATATTTTGATTAGCAATATAAGCAAATATCCAGAGCAAGGTATTGTCTTTATGAATGCCATCAATAAAGGTGTTACAGCTGAAAAGGACTTCAGATCATCATATATAACACTTTTTCAAATATTAATATTTACTCACATATTCTACATACGGAGTACTTACAACGTTCCATACATTGTTCTAGGTACTGAGCACACAAAGCAAACATGAGAGACAAGGCAATGGCCTTGACTTTTCCACTGGAAACATCTCTGCTCTCTTCTCAATAGACAAAATCTATGAAGTCATGTTTTTCATGAGGATGTTGAAAACATGCACAAACAAATCTTTTTTTCTATTTATCAATGTATTTATTTATATCTGATAATGTTATGGTGACTTAGCCCATAACCAGACTAAACATTTCTGAATCATCTCTGGTTGTTCACTGTACTGCAATACAGAAAGATTTTGTTTGCCCTGTGAAATTATTTATTATTATCTTCCATTTTCCTTCTGGATTACCCTGTGAGTGTGTAAAACCAGTATCTTCATCATTTATGCCCTCTTCATGTTCTAGAAAAGAATGAAACTTAGAGGTTACTCTACTAAAATCCAAGTTTATCAGCAGGTAATCTTAGCAAGTGCCTGATATCTAAATATAATTCTTATGCTAATATATAGCTCTGCCTTTCCTCTGGCCCACTTGCCTTCATTCCTGATGCAAATTTCTGCTGGAGGAGCATCAGGGTGGAACCAAAGGTTATAAAAAGTGAAGTAAATGCCCTAACATTTAATTTTACATAGTTGAAGGTTTTATTTGGCTCTCTGCATGTTTTATCTGCTGCATAAAAACAATTAATCTCTTTCAGACTAAGGCATCTTGCAATTTTGAATTTTATTTTGCAAAACAGAAAACAGTCTTTACTCTGTTGTTCTTTATTGGTGATTCATCAAGTTGATCTCCTCACCAGAATCTTTTATTTTAATATTTTATTGTAAAAATTAACAATAAGGGATATTGAAAACTCTGAGAAATTTTTAATCACCGATTATCATAACTAATTAACATACAAACATGGCCTCTTAAACCTTTAGATCACATAAATCGAAGTGCAGCAACCAGTTAGTTGCACATACATTAAAATAAAATTTTCTACCAAATTAATTGACTATTGAAAAATACACTAGTATATTTCATAGTATTAGAGAATTTCAATTTATCAAGAGTCAATATTATATTAAAGTTTCATTAAGGGCCGAAGAGAGTTGTCTTTCAAGTCTGCTCACATAAACATTTAGGTTATGTTTTATTTTCAAACCATAGCGTTTAATTGGAGGAAAGGGAGAGGAGAAGGAGGTGTCAGTAGGTTTGCAAAGAAGTATTAACTATTAAATCAAAAACAAGTATGTTTGGAAAGAAAACTTTTTCCTTTGCACTAAAAATAATAATGCACCCCAGAAAGTATATATCTACATAGCAGTAAATAAAGGCTTCCAGGTGGAAATGCTGTAAGGATTATCAGAATTTTTTTGTTTAAATTTTAACTGCCATGTCGGTGGGGAGGCTTTTTATAACAAACAGAATCTCCAGCGCAAAATGTATTAAAAATCATTAGCTTCCTTAACAGGAAGTCAAGAAGAAGACAGATGTCATGGATTGTGGATTCACTAGCTTAATGATGTTATCAGGGACTTCAGTTCTCTCCATCCCTTGGCTCTGCTATTCACATTGTTGGCTTCATTTTAAGGCTAGTTACCCTTGGGATCATATAAAGGATCTCAGCAGCAACCAAGAATATGCTTTCTTAGTAACATCCAGTAGAAAGGAATCTCTTCCTTCCTCAGAGAATGTGGCCCTTGCCATAGGTTGAATAGCCAGAATTTTAATAATCTGGAAAATGGCATATGCTTGTTGATTAAAGCAAATCAGGAACCACCCAGCTTCTCCAAAATAAAATGGGCTGATTAGTTTGTCACCAACATCTTAACAAATCGAGGTTCTATTAGGAAGGAGAAAGTGGGGAACAGATTCAGGATATGCAAATAGCTATGCTTTCTACAACTGTGGTTCTGTCCCCTCCATGTGATTCTAAGTACACTCCTGATATCCCTTCATCACGAGACTAGCACCATAGTTCACGTATGGTTGGTGCTCAACAGATGCTTTGTTGTCCTGCCTGATGGGGAATTTAAAGAAGCATTTTCATTATAGATAAGAAATGAGAAAGAAGTGAGTAGTGAAGAGTAAATATTAAAATGCTGAAAAACCTGACTTGCCATCTTGGATTTAGTAATGGCCATGCTGGGCATAATCAAAATGTGTATGAAAAGGTTTAGCAAAAAATGATGTGGTTCTGTCTCATAGAGGCACTGTGGACCATAAAACATAATCCATGCAATCAAAAATAATTTCAACATAAATCAAATCCCTTACTTACATTTGTCAAATACCATGAAGGAATCATAATCCCTAAAAATTCTTTATGTTCCCCTTGTTTTTCTCAGCCAGCCTCAGCCTTTATGTACTTTTCCATTCCTTTGTCTCTCGCATCAGACAAACTGAGCACTCTTTCACTTCCTTCAGTTTGTGGCACTTTAATTCCTTTTCTTCCTATCCAGACTTTCACACATAAAATTTTAGGGTCACTGCTTAGGAGGTGGAAAGGGCTGTTTATACTTGCACATTAATATTTTTGTCCTTATGACAAAAGAAAATTCAAAGGAGAATTGAATCATGGGAATGTGAGTAACCAAAAAAAACTCCCTGTTCACCAAAATTATTTATCCCCAAATAATAAGAACTGATGAAATATTTGAACCAAACTAAGTGCTATTAGATAAATTAGGCAGAATGAGCACGATGTCAAACTTGTGGAAATTATAAAGTTAGCATACACATATACATATTCTTATAACCACAGCTTTTTTTTTTCTTTTCCTTTTTAGTAACACTCAATTCTGGTGATGATACAGAAACAGCAAGCAGTGGGACAGGAATTCTCATACCCCAGCTGCTTACAAGGTATGAGACTATTTCTAGACTAGAGCCTTAAATTGTCAATGTCTTTTGATTCTGCACTTTCACTTCTTTGAGTCTAACTTAAAGAAAAAGAACCACAATGTAAAGAAGACAAGTCCAAATTTATTTTTCTTAATGTCATTGATAAGTACAAATAATTAGAAATAATCTAAATATAGAATACAAAAGTAATGGTTAAATAATTCTAGGTCATTCATGGAATAGAACAGCATTTGGCTATTAACAATGGTATTTACAACGTTGAGCAGGGCACAAGAGATGAAAATGAACTGAGTTCTTAACAATGTTGTTTAGCACTTAACTCACCTAATTTTTAGCAGGTCCTACTTGGACTTCTTGTTTTGTTTGAATCAATTTGTGGCTACTTTCAGCCTGAAGTATTTTAACTAATTCACAAGCCAAATCTAAAAATATATTAGAAAAATTGCACATTATATCCAATAGATTTACGTAGAAATTTGAGTCTTTAAAAATATGTGTTTTAAAATATATACATTTACATATACATTTAAATACACATTTCTCTAGACTTCATAAATAAATATTTATGAATATGCATGTAAGGGAGAAATAATCTCCCTTGTATTTCCAACATGTTCATTTTACGTATTCAATGCCTATTACTGAATAAAAAGTTAACTTAGTAATCTACAAATAGAAAAAGTTTTCCTGAATATGATAAATATACCTATAAAAGTATTAGATATTTCTTAATATTTTAAATATTTTCTAACATTCCCTAATTTATAATATTTAAAAGCTTAGAATAAAACAAGGATGTCTGCTATTACTTCTACTTTTCAACATTGTTTTTTCAACATCACCACTTATATCAATAACTAAAAATAGTCCTGAAACTCGTAAGGATTGAGATAAAACTATGTCTTTTATGTAATGTGATTTCCAACTCAATCAACTAAAAAAAACCAAGACAAATTAGGAAGTAGACATAGGTATCTAGATAAAAATACTAATATGTTTTGGCTTTGTGTCCCCACTCAAATCTCATCTAGAACTGTGGTCCCCATGTGTCTAGGGAGGGAGGTGATTGGATCATGGCGGTGGTTTCCCCTCATGCTGTTCTCATGATAGTGAGTTCTCATGAAATCTGATGGTTTTATAAGGTAGTTTTCCCTGCTCTCTTGCTTTTCTTCTCTCTCCTGCCACCATATAAAGAATGTCCTTGCTTCTCCTCCATTTTCTACCATGATCATAAGTTTCCTGAGGCCTCCTCAGCCATGTGGAACTGTGAGTCATGTCATCTCTTTCCTTTAAGAATTGCCCAGTCTTGGATATGTCTTTATAGCAATGTGAAAACAAACTAATACAAATAGTATAATAACAACACATCCAACAACAAAAAAAATCAATGAATCCACCTAGGAGATGTGTGTGGGCTGTGGAAATTAGGTAGTAAACTTCTAATATCAGTAAAGTAGAATACAATTTTAATCTACAAAAAGGCATGTTTTACTATATAAAAATTGTTATTCTTAATATATGGGTCTATAAAAAGGATCTGAAAAAAGTGGAAAGATACAACCTGTTCTAGAAAGGGAAGAATCAACAGTGTAAGGATATAATTTCTCCTCAAATTAACTTTTAAATTAAATGTCTTCCCAATCAAAATCCCAGTGGGAAATTAAAACACTGGTTCAAAAGTTCATCTACTGAGAAAGTGTAAAAATGTAATTTTTTTAAAAAGTAAAATATTAATTGTTAAATATTAAAAATAGATGAAAAATATGCTCCTATGTTAAAAGTTATAATCAATGAGTAGTAGGAGAATAAATGAATCTCATTTATTTCTTAAATAAATTCAGATTTTCTATAGTAGACACTTTTGAATTTTACTTGAAATATTAACAGAAATCTAAAGCAATAAAATATCTTTATTTCATGAGATAAAAAGATACAGATTCAGCAATTAACAAAAAGCATTTAATTTAATTATAAGACACAATTCATAATGAATGGTTAATGTAAAAGATTGTGAAGCATTCAAATTTGCTGAAATATTCTAGAGAACCTTCTCTGTATAAGACATCTTTATACTGATATGATACTTCTAATAACATTAAAATATTGACAATCTTTTATATGGATGAAAACTACAGATTTTCCTATTAAGAATAATTTCAAGTTCATAAGAAGTTATATCAGAACACATCTACATTAATGAATAATTATTATTCTCTCTGAAGGTGTAGCTTTAAGTAAAAAACTACTCAAAATTTATTCCCATGTTTCTTGATCTCTCAAATATTTCATGTTTGGACAATTTGTATAAATCTAAATAAATCAAGAAATTAATTCAGAATAACATCATATATAACAAGACCACTTATTATATCATTTGAATCCTCTCAAATCCTCTCTCTGCTTTCTATTATAATTAAATCTTCCACTATTTAGTTATACTATACATTTTTGGTATCACATTTTGTGACTAAAGATTTTTAAATTTTAGTATTACGTAAATATAACTAAAATGAGACACTCTTTTTAGTTATCTTTAGTATAAAATTAATATTCTTAGAGAAATGAGCAAAGAAAGAAAAATTGTATTATATGTAAATAGGAAATAAGATATATTTTTAATGAGGCAAAGCTAGAAAGCACAAACAGTGGTATATAACTCTGCAGTTTTTAAACATGTAGTAGGTTAATAGAATAAACATGACTCTAAAACTGAAACAAGCAGAGACAACAGGATATACATAACAGGCAAGGAACACTGAACTCCTCAGATAATTAAGACAAAACTATTTATTCTGTTCTAATTATATCTCTGTCTGACCTTGGGGTCTGGTCATGTTCCCTTGACAAGCTATTAGATTCCTTTTCAGATATTCCAAAGGGCATCCAGGTTTCCAAAGCTGACAGAGAAGAATATCAATATCAAGAACCAATAGAATATATCATAGCTGAATCATGTCACAAGATTTAGGAAACAAGATGCTGACAAGGGTGTTGTATTAGGCAGCAAACTGGATCAGATGCTTGAACTGAATATAAACCTTAGATTTTATTCAAATATCTTAGGAGACGATAAGTGTATCCTGGGCTGTATTAGTTCATTCTCAGGCTGCTAATAAAAACATACCTGAGACTGGGTAATTTATAAAGGAAAAAGGTTTAATTGCCTCACAATTCAACATGGTTAGGGAGACCTCACAATCATGGTGGTAGATGAAGGAAGAGCAAAGGCACATTTTACATGGTGGCAGAATGAGAAGTGAGAGCCAATCAAAGGGCGAAGCCCCTTATAAAAACCATCAGATCTTGTGAGAACTCACTCACTATCACAAGAACAGTATGGGGGAAACTGTCCCCATGATTCAATTATCTCCACCTGGTCCTGCCCTTGACACATAGGAAATATTACTATTCAAGGTGAAATTAGGGTGTGGACACACAGCCAAACCATATTATTCTGCACCTGACCCCTCCCAAATTTCATGTTTTCACATTTCAAAACCAATCATGCCTTCCCAACAGTCCCCCAAAGTCTTAATGCATTTCAACATTAACTGAAAAGTCCACAGTCCCAAGTCTTCTGTGAGACAAGTTTTCAAAACTAATTATGCCTTCCTCGAAATACCCCAAAGTTTTAGCTCATTTCAGCATTAACTCAACAGTTCACAATCCAAAGTCTCATCTGAGACAAGGCAAATCCCTTTCCCCTATAAGCCTGTAAAATCAAAAGCAAGTTTGTTACTTCCTAGATACAATGGGGGTACAGGCATTGGGTAAATACAGCTGTTCCAAATGGGAGAAATTAGCCAAAACAAAGGGACTACAGTCCCGATGCAAGTCAGAAATCCAGCAGAGCAGTCAAATCTTAAAGCTCCAAAATTATCTCCTTTGACTCCATGCCTTACTTATATCCATGTCATGCTAATGCAAGAGGTGGGTTCCCATGATCTTGGGCAGCTCCACCTCTGTGACTTTGCAGGGTATGGCCCCTCCCCCGGCTCCTTTCACAGGCTGGCATTGTCTGTGGCTTTTCCAGGTGCAAGCTGTTGGTGGACCTAACATTCTGGGGTCTAGAGGATGGTGGTCCTCTTCTCACAGCTCCACTAGGCTGTGCCTCAGTGGGGACTCTGTGTGGGGGCTCCCACCCTGCATTTTCCTTCTGCATGAGGTTATCCATGAGGGCTCTGCCCCTGCAGCATGCCTCTGCCTGAACTCCAGGCATTTTCATACATCCTCTGAAATCTAGGCGGAGGTTCCCAAACCTCAATACTTGACTTCTGTAAACTGCAGGCTCAACATCATGTGGAAGCCACCAAGTCTTGGGGCTTGCACCCTCTGAAGCAATGGCCTGAGCTCTACGTTGGCCCCTTTTAGCCATGGCTAAGATGCAGGGCACCAAGTCAAGAGACTGCACAAAGCAACAAGACCCTGGGCCCAGCCCAGGAAACTATTTTTTTCCTCCTAGGCCTACAAGCTTGTGATGGGAGAGGCTGCCATGAAGACCTTTGATATCTCCTAGAGACATTTCCCCCACTGTCTTCACAATTAATGTTTGGCTCCCTGTTACTTATGCAAATTTCTGCATCTGACTTGAATTTCACCTCAGAAAATGGGTTTTTCTTTTCTATTGCATTGTCAGGCTGCAAATTCTCTGAACTTTTATGCTCCTCTTGCCTTTTAAACATAAGTTTCAATTCCAAACCATATCTTTGTGAATACTTACAACTGAATGCTTTTAACAGCACCCAACTCATATCTTGAATGCTTTGCTGCTTGGAAATTTCTTCTGCTAGATACCCTATATCATCTCTGTCAAGTTCAAAGTTCCACAGAGACTGGCAGGGGCAAACTACTGCCAGTCTCTTTGCTAAAGCATAACAAGAGTCACCTTTGCTCCAGTTCCAAACAAGTTTCTAACCTCAGCCTGGACTTTATTGTCCATATTATTATCAGCTTTCTGGTCAAAGCTATTAAACAAGTCTCTAGGAAGTTTCAAACTTTCCCACAACTTCCTTTCTTCTGAGCCCTCCAAACTGTTCAAAACTCTGCCTGTTACGCAGTTCCAAATTCAGTTCCACATTTTCAGCTATCTTTTCAACAATGCCCCCCACTCTACCAGTGCCAATTTACTATACTGGTCCATTCTCATGCTGCTAATAAAGACATACTTGAGATTGGTTAATTTAAAAGGAAAAAGGTTTAATTGACTCATAGTTCAACATGGCTGTGGAGACCTCACAATTATGGTAGTAAGTGAAGGAAGAGCAAAGGCACGTCTTACATGGTGGCAGGCAAGAGAAGTGAGAGCCAAGTGAAGGGTGAAGCCCCTTATAAAACCATCAGATCTTGTGAGAACTCACTCACTATCACAATAACAGTATGGGGGAAACCACCCCCATGATTCAATTATCTCCACCTGGTCCCACACTTGATACATAGGGATTATTACAATTGAAGGTGAAATTTGGGTGGGGACGCAGGGCCAAAACATATCATGTGCAGAATCAGAGGTCTTCTGAAAACTAATCCGAAGCCAAAGTTGGATAAGACAGAAACCTCAAATATATTTATTCCAAGACATAAAACTAAAGAACGGGGATATAAGCCAGGGGCCAGGAAAAATTTTTAAATATATTTTTTAAATTTTTTCTACTATTTATTAAAAATTTTGTGGATACATAGTAGGTACATATATATTTATGGGGTGTATGAGATGTTTTCATCCAGGCAAGCAATGTGAAGTAAGCGATTAATGGATAATGAGGTATTTATCCCCTCAAGCATTTATCCTTTGAGTTACAAAAAATCCAATTACATTACTTTGGTTATTTTAAAATATACAATTAAGGTATTATTTACTGTAGTCACCCTATTGTGCTATCACATAGAAGGTATTTTTCCTTTTTTTCTGATTTTTATTTGTTTGTTTGTTTGTTTGTTTTTGGTAACTCTTAACCATCCCCATCTCCACCACAACCCCCCACTAACTTTCACAGCCTCTGGTAATTATCCTTTTGCTCTTTACGTCCATGAGTTCAGCTGATTTGATTTTTAGATCCTACAAATAAATGAGAATTTGCAATGTTTGTCTTTATGTGCCTGGCTTATTTCACTTAATCTAATGACCTTAATTTCCATCAATGTTGTTGAGAATGACTGGATCTCATTCTCTTATATGGCTGAATAGTACTCTATTGTGTATATGTACCACATTTTCTATATCCATTCATCTGTTGATGGACACTTAGGTTGCTTCCAAATCTTAGCTATTGTAAACAATGCTGCAACAACAGTCGGAGTTCAGATATCTCTTCAATGTACTGATTTCATTTCCTTTGATATATACCCAGCAGTGGGATTGCTGGAGCATACAGTAGCTCAATTTTTAGTTTTTGGAGGAACCACCAAACTGTTTTCCATAGTAATTACACTAATTTACTTTCCCACCAACAGTGTGCAAGTGTTCCCTTGTCTCAACAGCATTTGTTATTTCCTGTATTTTGGATATACGCCATTTTAACTGGGGTGAGATGATATCTCATTGTAGTTTTTTAGTTATTTGTTTTTTATTATTATTATACTTTAAGTTTTAGGGTACATGTGCACAATGTGCAGGTTAGTTACATATGTATACATGTGCCATGCTGGTGTGCTGCACCCACTAATTCGTCATTTAGCATTAGGTATATCTCCTAATGCTATCCCTCCCACCTCCCCCAACCCCACAACAGTCCCCAGAGTGTGATGTTCCCCTTCCTGTGTCCGTATGTTCTCATTGTTCAATTACCATCTATGAGTGAGAACATGCAGTGTTTGGTTTTTTGTCCTTGCAATAGTTTGCTGAGAATAATGATTTCCAATTTCATCCATGTCCCTACAAAGGACATGAACTCATCATTTTTTATGGCTGCATAGTATTCCATGGTGTATATGTGCCACAGTTTCTTAATCCAGTCTATCATTGTTGGACATTTGGGTTGGTTCCAAGTCCTTGCTATTGTGAATAGTGCCGCAATAAACATACGTGTGCATGTGTCTTTATAGCAGCATGATTTATAGTCCTTTGGGTATATACCCAGAAACGGGATGGCTGGGTCAAATGGTATTTCTAGTTCTAGATCCCTGAGGAATCACCACACTGACTTCCACAATGGTTGAACTAGTTTACAGTCCCACCATCAGTGTAAAAGTGTTCCTATTTCTCCACATCCTCTCCAGCACCTGTTGTTTCCTGGCTTTTTAATGATTGCCATTCTAACTGGTGTGAGATGGTATCTCATTGTGGTTTTGATTTGCATTTCACTGATGGCCAGTGATGATGAGCATTTTTTCATGTGTCTTTCGGATGCATAAACGTTTTCTTTTGAGAAGTGTCTGTTCATATCCTTTGCCCACTTTTTGATGGGGTTGTTTTTTTCTTGTAAATTTGTTTGAGTTCATTGTAGATTCTGGATATTAGCCTTTTGTCAGATGAGTAGGTTGCGAAAATTTTCTTCCATTTTGTAGGTTGCCTGTTCACTCTGATGGTAGTTTCTTTTGCTGTGCAGAAGCTCTTTAGTTTAATTAGATCCCATTTGTCAATTTTGGCTTTTGTTGCCATTGCTTTTGGTGTTTTAGACATGAAGTCCTTGCCCAAGCCTATGTCCTGAATGGTAATGCCTAGGTTTTCTTCTAGGGTTTTTATGGTTTTAGGTCTAACGTTTGAGTCTTTAATCCATCTTGAATTGATTTTTGTATAAGGTGTAAGGAAGGGATCCAGTTTCAGCTTTCTACATATGGCTAGCCAGTTTTCCCAGCACCATTTATTAAATAGGTAATCCTTTCCCCATTGCTTGTTTTTCTCAGGTTTGTCAAAGATCAGATAGTTGTAGATATGCGGCATTATTTCTGAGGGCTCTGTTATGTTCCATTGATCTATATCTCTGTTCTGGTACCAGTACCATGCTGTTTTGGTTACTGTAACCTTGTAGTATAGTTTGAAGTCAGGTAGCGTGATGCCTCCAGCTTTGTTCTTTTGGCTTAGGATTGACTTGGCGATGCAGGCTCTTTTTTGGTTCCATATGAACTTTAAAGTAGTTTTTTCCAATTTTGTGAAGAAAGTCATTGGTAGCTTGACAGGGATGGCATTGAATCTATAAATTACCTTGGGCAGTATGGCCATTTTCACGATATTGATTCTTCCTACCCATGAGCATGGAATGTTCTTCCATTTCTTTGTATCCTCTTTTATTTCATTGAGCAGTGGTTTGTAGTTCTCCTTGAAGAGGTCCTTCACATCCCTTGTAAGTTGGATTCCTAGGTATTTTATTCTCTTTGAAGCAATTGTGAATGGGAGTTCACTCATGATTTGGCTGTTTGTCTGTTATTGGTGTATAAGAATGCTTGTGATTTTTGTACATGGATTTTGTATTCTGAGACTCTGATGAAGTTGCTTACGAGCTTAAGGAGATTTTGGGCTGAGACAATGGGGTTACCTAGATATACAATCATGTCGTCTGCAAACAGGGACAATTTGGCTTCCTCTTTTCCTAATTGAATACCCTTTATTTCCTTCTCCTGCCTAATTGCCCTGGCCAGAACTTCCAACACTATGTTGGATAGGAGTGGTGAGAGAGGGCATCCCTGTCTTGTGCCCGTTTTCAAAGGGAATGCTTCCAGTTTTTGCCCATTCAGTATGATATTGGCTGTGGGTTTGTCATAGATAGCTCTTATTATTTTGAGATAGGTCCCATCAATACCTAATTTATTGAGAGTTTTTAGCATGAAGGGTTGTTGAATTTTGTCAAAGGCCTTTTCTGCATCTATTGAGATGATCATGTGGTTTTTGTCTTTGGTTCTGTTTATATGCTGGATTACATTTATTGATTTGCGTATATTGAACCAGCCTTGCATCCCAGGGATGAAGCCCACTTGATCATGGTGGATAAGCTTTTTGATGTGCTGCTGGATTCGGTTTGCCAGTATTTTACTGAGGATTTTTGCATCAATGTTCATCAAGGATATTGGTCTAAAATTGTCTTTTTTGGTTGTGTCTCTGCCCGGCTTTGGTATCAGGATGATGCTGGCTTCATAAAATGAGTTAGGGAGGATTCCCTCTTTTTCTATTGATTGGAATAGTTTCAGAAGGAATGGTACCAGCTCCTCCTTGTACCTCTGGTAGAATTCGGCTGTGAATCCATCTGGTCCTGGACTCTTTTTGGTTGGTAAGCTATTGATTATTGCCACAATTTCAGAGCCTGTTATTGGTCTGTTCAAAGATTCAACTTCTTCCTGGTTTAGTCTTGGGAGAGTGTATGTGTCGAGGAATTTATCCATTTCTTCTAGATTTTCTAGTTTATTTGCATAGAGGTGTTTGTAGTATTCTCTGATGGTAGTTTGTATTTCTGTGGGATCGGTGGTGATATCCCCTTCATCATTTTTTATTGTGTCTATTTGATTCTTCTTTTTTTCTTTATTAGTCTTGCTAGCGGTCTATCAATTTTGTTGATCTTTTCAAAAAACCAGCTCCTGGATTCATTAATTTTTCGAAGGGTTTTTTGTGTTTCTATTTCCTTCAGTTCTGCTCTGATTTTAGTTATTTCTTGCCTTCTGCTAGCTTTTGAATGTGTTTGCTCTTGCTTTTCTAGTTCTTTTAATTGTGATGTTAGGGTGTCAATTTTGGATCTTTCCTGCTTTCTCTTGTGGGCATTTAGTGCTATAAATTTCCCTCTACACACTGCTTTGAATGTGTCCCAGAGATTCTCGTATGTTGTGTCTTTGTTCTCGTTGGTTTCAAAGAACATCTTTATTTCTGCTTTCATTTCATTATGTACCCAGTAGTCATTCAGGAGCAGGTTGTTCAGTTTCCATGTAGTTGAGTGGTTTTGAGTGAGTTTCTTAATCCTGAGTTCTAGTTTGATTGCACTGTGATCTGAGAGACAGTTTGTTATAATTTCTGTTCTTTTACATTTGCTGAGGAGAGCTTTACTTGCAACTATGTGGTCGATTTTGGAATAGATGTGGTGTGGTATTTTGATTTGCATTTTCTGATGTTGAGCACCATTTTGTATGCTTCTTTGCCATTTGTATGTCTTCTTTTGAGAAATGTCTATTCAAATCTTTTGCCAATTTTTTCGATTGAAATATCAGATTTTTTTTCCCTATAGAGTTGTTTGAGCCCCTTATTTATTCTGGTTAGTAATCCCTTTTCAGAGGAATAATTTGCAAATACTTTCACACATTCTGTGAGTTGTCTCTTCACTTTGTTGATTGTATCCTTGGCAGTACAGAAGCTTTTAAATTTGATGTTATTCCATTTGTCTGTGTTTGCTTTGTCTGTGCTTGTGGGAAATTGCTCAAGAAGTCTTTGCCCAGACGAATGTCCTGGAAATTTCCCCCAAAGTTTTCTTATACTAGATTTATAGTTTGAGGTCTTAGATTTAAGTCTTTAAATTATTTTAATTTGATTTTTGAAAATGGTGAGAGATAAGGGTCTAGTTTTATTATTTTGTATATGGCTATCCTGTTTTTTCATTTTCCAGTTTTATTAAAGAGGCTGTCTTTATCCCAGTGTATGTTCCTGATACCTTTGTCAAAAATGTGTTCACTGTAGGTGTGTGGGTTTGTTTCTCGGTTCTCTATTCTGTTCCACTGGTGTATGTGTCTGTTTTTATGAAAATAACATGCTGTTTTGGTTACTATTAGCTCTGCGGTATAATTTCAGGTCAGGTAAGTGTGATTTCTCCAGTTTTGTTCTTTTTGCTTAAGATAACTTTGGCTATTGTGGGTCTTTTGTGGTTCCATATAAAGTTTAGGATTTTTTCTTATGTGAAGAATGTCATTAGTATTCTGATAGAGACTGTACCCAATCTGTAGAGTGCCTTGGGTAGTGTGGACATTTTAACAATATTGATTCTTTCAGTCCATGCACATGGTGCATTTTTTTCATGTTTTGTGTCCTCTTCAATTTCTTTCATCAATGTTTTACAGTTTTAAATATTAGAAATTTCTCACTTCTTTGACTTATTCCTAGGTATTTATGCTTGGCTATTCTTAATGGGATTACTTTTTAAATTTCTTTTTCACATAGTTCGCTGTTGATATGTAGAAATGCTAATGATTTCTGTATGTTTATTTTGTATCCTGCAACTTTACTGAATTTGATTACCAGTTCTAATAGTTCCCTTGTGTAGTTTTCGGTTTTTCCAAATATAAGATTATATCATCAGAAAACAAGGATAATTTGACTTCTTTCATTGTGACTTTTATGCCCTTTATATCTTTCTCTTGTGTGATTGTTCTAGCTAGGACTTCTAGTACCATGTTGCATAACAGTGGTGGTAGTGGACATCCTTGTAATGTTCCAGGTATTAGAGGAAAGGCTTTCAGTTTTTCCCCACTCAGTATGATACTAGCTGTGGGTCTATCATATATGGTTTTTTATTATGTTGATGTATGGTTCTTCTATATCCAGTTATTTGGGGGTTGGTTTTCTTTTTTATCATGAAGGGATGTTGAATTTTATCAAATGCTTTTTTAGCATCAGTTGAAATGGTTATGGTTTTATCCTTCATTCTGTTGATATGATGTATCACATTTATTGATTTGCATATGTTGAATCATCCTTGAATCCCAGGGATAAATCTCACTTGATCATAATGAATAATTTTTCTAATGTACTGTTGAATTCAATCTGATAGTATTTTGTTGATTTTTGCAATAATATTTATCAGAGATATTGGGCTGCAGTTTTTTTGTGTGTCTGTGTCTGGTTTTAGTATCAGGGTAATACTTGGAAGTATACCCACCTTCTCTATTTTTCAGAATAGTTTGAGTAGGATTGGTATTAGTTCTTCTTTAAATGTGTGGTGGAGTTCAGCAGTGAAACCATCAAGTCTCAGGCTTTCTTTACTGGGAGACTTTTTCTTACAGCATTGATCTCATTACTTCTTATTGGTCAGTTCAGGTTTTTTATTTCTTCCTGATTCAGCCTTGGTAGGTTTTATGTATCAAGGAATTTGTCCATCTCTTCTGGCTTTTCCAATTTATTAGCATATAGTTGCTTGTAGTAGCCACTGATTATTCTTTGAATTTCTGTAGTGTCAGTTATAATGTCTCCTTTTTTATTTCTGATTTTATTTATTTGGGTCTTCTTTTTCCTTGATTAGTCTGGCTAAAAGTTTGTCAAATTTTGTTTAACATTTCAAAAAAAACATTTTTTCTTTCATTGATCTTTTGTATTTTTTATTTCAATTTAAATTATTTCTTCTCTGGTCCTTATTATTTCTCTCCATCTACTAATTTTGGCTTTGGTTTGCTCTTCATTTTCTAGATCTTTAAGATACATCGGTAGATTTTCTATTTGAAGTTTCTTCTCTTATTAGATACAGGCACTTATAGCTATAAGTTTCCCTCTGAGGACTGCTTTTGCTGTATCACATAGGTTTTGGTTGTGTTTCCATTAATATTTATTTCAAGATTTTTTAAAATCGTCTTCTTAATTTCTTCATTGATCCACTGATCAGTCAAGAGAATATTGTTTAATTTTGATGTATTTGAATAGTTTTGAAAATTGCTTGTTACTGATTTCTAATTTTATTCCATTATGGTCACAGAGGGTGCCTGATATTATTTCAAAAAGTTTTTGAATGCTTTAAGACTCATTTTTTACCTAATATATGGTCTATCCTTGAGAATGATCCATGTGCTGAGGAAAGAATGTGTATTCTGCAGCTCCTGGATAGAATATTCTGTAAATATCTGTTAGATCCATTTGATCTATAATGTAGATTCAGACTGATTTTTTTTTTAATTGTTGTTGTTGATTTTCTGTTTGGAAGATCCGTCTAATGCTGAAAGTGGGGTGCTGAGGCCTCCAGCTACTATCGTATTGTGGCCTATCTCTCTCATTAGCTCTAATAATGTTTCCTTTATATACCTAGGTGCTCCAGTGTTGGGTTCATATATATTTAAAATTGTTATATCCTCCTGCTGAACTAACCCCTTTATCATTATATAGTGACCTTTTTATCTCTTCTTACAGTTTTTGTCTTGAAATCTATTTGTCTAAGTATAGTGACTCCTGCTCTTATTTGGTTTCCACTGACATGGAACATCTCCTTCCATCCCCTTTTCAGTCTATGTGTTTCTTTATAGATGAAGGGTGTTTCTTGTAGGCAACAGATCAATGGGTCTTTTTTTATTATTATCTATTTAGCCAGTCTTTGTCTTCTGATTGGAGAGTTTGGTCCATTTATATTCAATGTTATTATTGATAACCTTACTCCTGCCATTTTGTTATTTGTTCTCTTGTTGTCTTCTCTTTCTTTCATTCCTGTCTTCCTCTAGTTAATATGTTTTCTCTGGTGATATGATTTAGTGTCTTGATTTTTCATTTTTTGTGTAACCACTGTATGTTTTTTGGTTTGAGGTTACCATGAGGCTTGCAAATACTATCTTAAAACCCATTATTTTAATCCGATAACAACTTTACACTACTTGCATAAACAAACAAGCAAAAAGAAATGTAATAAAAACTCTACCCCTTATCTTCATCCCCCACTTTTTAGCTTTTTGTTATTTCTATTTATATATTATTGTATTGATTATATCTTAAAAAGTTGTTATATTTATTAATTTTGATTGGTTCATTGCTTAGTCTTTCTACTTAGGATAAGAGTAGTTCACACACCACACAGTTACAGTGTTATAATATTCTGTTTTTCTGTGTACTTACTATTACCAGTTAATTTTGTACCTTCAGGTGATTATTTATTGCTCATTAATGACTTTTTCTTTCTGATTGAAGTAATCCCTTTGGCATTTCTTGTTGGAGGGTCTGGTATTGATGAAATCCCACAGATTTTGTTTGTCTGGAAAGGTCTTTATTTCTCCTTCATGTCTGAAATATATTTTCACTGGATATACTATTCTAGCATAAAAGTTATTTTCCTTCAGTGCTTTAAATATGCCATGACACTCTCTCCCGGCCTGTAAGGTTTCCACTGAAAAGTCTGCTGCCGGATGTACTGGAACTCCATTGTATGTTATTTCTTTCTTTTTTTTTTCTTGCTGCTTTTAGAATACTTGATTTATTCTTAACCTTTGGGAGTTTAATTATTAAAGTCCTTGAGGTACTTTTCTTTGGGTTAATCTGCTTGGTGTTTTATAACCTTCTTGTACCTGGATATTGGCATCTTTCTCTTGGGAAGTTCTGTGTTATTATTCCTTGGAATAAACTATCTACTCCTATCTCTTTCTTTACCTCCTCTTTGAGGCCAGTAATTGTTAGATTTGCCCTTTTGAGGCTATTTTCCAGCTCCTGTAGGTGTACTTTATTGCTTTTTATTGTTTTTTCTTTTGTCTCCTCTGACTGTGTACTTTCAAATAGCCTGTCTTCAAGCTCACTAATTCATTCTGCTTGATCAATTCTGCTATTAAAAGACTCTAATGCATTCTTCAGTATGCCAATTGCATTTTTTAGCTCCAGAATTTCTACCTGATTCTTTTTTATTATTGTAATCTTTTTTAAATTTATCTGACAAAATTCTAAATTCCTTCTCTGCATTGTCTTGAATTTCTCTGAGTTTTTTCAAAACCACTAATTTGAATTCTCTGTCTGAAAGTTCACATATCTCTGTTTTTCCAGAATTGGTCCTTGATGCCTTATTTAGTTCAATTGGTGAGGTGAGGTCATGTTTTCCTGGATGGTGTTAGTGCTAGGAGATGTTCTTCAGTGTCTGAGCATTGAAGGTTTACGTGAACAACATCTTGCTTGAAAGGTTGCTGCTGTGGTTTAAAAAGGGTCAATTTTTTAAAAAAATTAAGTTATTCATAGTTTAGAGCACTTGAATAAAGTATGTTTTTGTAAGCAAATTTACTTTTCTCTTTATCTGAGTTCTCCAAAATTTTGATTGTTATTTTATGACAATATGGTTATTTGCGTAAGTTTAGTAAGAGTCTTTTAGAACAGAACATTTGGAGACACTGTTTATTTTATGAAGACTTTGACTAAAATAGCATATTTTAAGGTAAAATTCCAGCAAAGCCAACTTAAGAGGAGCCTATATAAGCATTCAATTATTGCTGTACTGTATATGAATAATCAGGCAAAGTATAATAAGTTCAAAACTTATTTTACACACAAATTGGTCTTACTATAATTTCTCTTTAATAGAAAAGGAATGCTAGAATGAAAGATAGAGATTGTTTCAAAGGAAAAGTGTAACACTTGATACAAGATTTTAGCCCTAGTGTTTTTTTTTTTTTTTGAGTGCAGATTGAATCATAAATTATTTCTTGGCTACAATAACTCTCTAGAGAGTACCAGATTATAATTTTTCTTCATATCTTTTGTTGGTGCCCTAATGGAATAGGTTTCTATTTCCGTTCTGACACACAAATATGCTTATGATTGTCAAAATATTAATGTTATTGATTGAACCTTGTTTTACTTCCAAGGAAACAAAAATCATGGCATTCTGAAGGCCAGAGATGCGACCCTCTCTCATTTGGCATCCCACTGGGCCCAATCTGTTTTTCACTGCAAATGCCCTGCTGCTAAAACTATACAATCACCCTCCCTCTAGGCCCAAGGACTGTCATGGAAGAGGTGGGCACGTGAGATTGTAAGGGCTGGTTTTGAGGGATAGAATTAGATCAAGATCAAAAACTCCAAATCAAGGATGGCTGCAAAGATGCCTAAACAGCTAATAGAACAAGCGACTTTGCCTTCTTAGCTATCGTGCCTGGGTCACCCTTGCATCCAGTCAGTTTCATAACCTTGCCTTAATTTTAAGGGGTAAAAAAATGCTTGTCCACATCCACATCCATTCCTATCTGGCCTAGAACAATTAATGGGCTGTAAGTCATTTTGTTGTGATTATATGGTTCCTAACTGACAAAGTTTTGATTGAATATTGTTGAGGTGAAATAAAATGCTTAAATCTGTGCATTTCTTTAAACATTCGGTCATTCATTTTCTCATTAATTCAACCATTATTTATCAAGCACCAACTGTGCTTGGGTATGGGAATGCAACTGAGAACAAGAAAGTTATATTCTTTTTCACAGAAAACCCAGAAGTGGTTTTCAAGAGTAAGTAAAGCAATTACAATTAAATGGTGATAGTTGAGATGACAGAGAATCACCAGTCCCAGGCATGGTAGATCTTTCTAGAGGAGTGGAAGAATAATGTAAAACATGTGATTCAAAAATTAGCAACCATTAAGTCCAGTAAATCATGTTTTCATGTGTGATGTGGGATGGAGGGGCAGGGAAGGCATGCCATGAGTGGTGTTGGAGGCATAACCACAGCAACCCCTGAAGAACCAGAAATTAAAAAGGGTGTGGCTTGTTTGTGGGACCGAAATTCTTCACTCTGGCTGGATCTCAGAGTTTGATGTGAATCGTGAGAGTGTAAACGGGAAAATAAAACCAGATGCAAAGGGGTTTGTACACGCATTTTGTACACTTTGTAAACCTCAAGATTATGGATTTTTTTTCTTGAGATTGGTGACAAGCTGTAGAAAGGTTTAAAGTAAGGGGGTGCCATGATCTACTTCACCTTTTAGAGCAATCCCTCTGGCTGCAGCAGCACAGGTTACCTACAAGAATGCAAGGATGGAGTCAGGAAGACCAGATATTGGGGGCAGGAGTAACGTATTACTTGTAGTAATGTAGTCCGTGTAGCCATTGTAACATGTAGATGAAGGTTGCTGCTCAGTCACTATTACAGTGGCCAAAATTGATTATGGCCAAAAATACAAAATAATTATTGTACTTTCATATTTCAGAATTTAAAATCTGTATTATTTCTCTGCCTGGTCAATTATCAACTATATAATTGTCTTCTAAAATTTCCCACATTCATCAAATCTGGTCATGCTTTAATCAACACTCAAGAGAGTTACATTTAAAAAATAAAAATAGAATTGCATTACTCCCTCTTACAATTATTCACTGTCATCCCATCACTCTTCGGGTAAAGACATTTTTAACATGTCTTTCCATATTCTGTACTACAGCAAACTCTTCAGCTTCTGGCATTATCGTTTACAATCTGCCCTCAACACTCCAACCACATTTACCTTTCCGTGGCCACTCTTATCCACCAGATTAGATTAGCTCCTTTCTCCTAGACAGTCTCATATCATTTGTCTTTTCCTTCTTATGACCGACTGGTATTATAAGCAATGATTGATAGTTCCAGAAATATAGTGAACTGAGCTGATATGAACCCTCCTTGCTTTTACAAACACACTAAAATGATGTATGAAGTATAACAAGAAAAACGCTTAAATGCATAAACAATCTCAAAGGAAGAAAAGTTAAATCCCTAGGCTTCAGCACTAAAGAAGAAAATATTAAAGCCAGAGAAATGAGCAAAAACTCACACTGCCATAGCCACTGTGATTTTTTTTAAATCCAAGTTTAGGATCTGAGGGCTGGTAGCTAGTCTTTCATGTCCATAAATGAACGCCAGGAGATAACTGTAGATAAAATTTATTTCTGTACATGAAGACTGAAGCTGCAAAAGTTGAAAAGAGAACCAGAAAAAGGTAGAAAAGACAATGAGAATATTTTTTATTTCTTTCTAGACACTAAGGAAGCATTGAAAAAAGTCAGCTATTAAAAATAAAAACCTAAACCTCTTACATGCGTAATTATTCCAACTAAATCTTCATTTTTATTATGATGCTATAATTCTGAGGCACAAAATTAAAATGGAAACTGGTTTAAGACTGCTTCAGCCACAGCAGAAGTCCACACAAAAATCTTTTGAGACACTTGCAGGACCCCTAGCTTGCCACCAATATTAATATAAAGTCCCAGCTCTTGACGTGTACAAGATGAGAGTACAGGACCCTTTGCATCTGGCTTTACTTTCCTCTTTAGATTAAACTCTCTCCACTGATATAAAACTTTGAGATCCAGCCAGAGTGAAGAATTTCAGTCCCACAAACAGCCATATCTTCTTTTTTTTTAATATCCCTGGTATTTTAGATGTGCCTGTGGCTGTGCCCCGAAGGCTTGTGATGACATGTCCCTTTTCACAAGGTGTTTACTTCATGAGACTCCCTTAAAACAAATTGTCTCCTGTACAGATTTAGTTTATGTATACCCCAGATTCAGGCTGGTCTTTCTGCTACCTGGGCCTCAGTTGCGTGTCTTAATTCCTGGGTGAACAACTCTAATGATGACTCATACTCTTCTTATAGTAAAGTATCACTGCCGTTCGCTACAAATATCACGCACTTCTATGTAGACCAAAGATGACAATACTACATCAATTAACAAAGAAAGACCGCCACAGCAGCATATTCGCCAGAATGGATCTGCAAATATACTACCTTTCTCAGCAGCTTCCCAAAGTGCAAAGGGACACCTTCCCCTAGGAGTAGATTTTGATCAGTCAGAGAAAAAGACAGCAAGAAGACAGCAGATAAATTTCTCTCCCTTTATTTCTTTACCAATGGACTCTTCCAAAATGCAGCATCCCATGGAGGCTGCCTGGAGATAGTATGCATGACTGAGTACAAGCTGTGCTTTGTTGGAAAGCTGTGGACATCTCCGTAATGCATTATCTTATATTTGCTCCGATTCTTTCCCTAGCTCACTTTCCTTTTTCTTTCGCCTCTCCTTCCCCAGGTGGTTGCCTTCCAATATAACACAGTCATGTGCTGCATAACAACATTTTGCTAACGATGGCCTGCATGGGTAGTCCTATAAAATTATAATGAAACTGAAAAATTCTCATTGCCTAGTGACATCATAGCCATCTTAACCTTGTACCGCAACGCAATACTCACGTGTTTGTGGTGATGATGGCATAAACAAACCTACTGAGCTCCTGGTCATGTAAAAGTATAGCACATATAATTATGTATAG
Organism: Homo sapiens; assembly: GCF_000001405.40. Classification (NCBI taxonomy): domain Eukaryota; kingdom Metazoa; phylum Chordata; class Mammalia; order Primates; family Hominidae; genus Homo; species Homo sapiens. The sequence goes on from NC_000003.12 coordinate 77,997,448, forward strand.
TACATAAAAGTTGATAATGATAATGAACAACTATGTTACTGGTTTATGTATTTATTATACTATGATTTTTAACATTATTTTAGAATGCATTCATTCTACTTATAAAAAAAAGCTAACTGTAAAACAGCCTCAGGCAGGTCCTTCAGGAAATATTTCAGAAGAAGGCATTGTTATCGTAGGAGATGACAGCTCCATGTGTGTCATTGCTCCTGAAGACCTTCCAGTGGGACAAGACATGGAGACAGAAGACTGATATTGATGATGCTGACCCAGTGTAGGCCTAGGCTAGTGTGTGTGTATTTGTGTCTTAGCTTTTACCAAAATGAAGTTTAAAAATGTTGTATGATTATTTTTTGTTCTGAATACTTACCAAGAAACAACTTACAAAGAGAGGAAGCATCAAGGCACCTCAGTGTGTCTTTTTAAAGCTAACATTATCACTGAGAAAAAAAATTAAAACACAGAAAAAGCTATTCTTCTTAAGAAAAAGTTTGAGTGTTTTTAACAAATCTATGAATTGATTTGCAATTTCATGATATCTTCATTGGTAATGTACCTTCAACTATCCAATCATGTGCACATATTTTACTTAGCAGGCACTTAATACAGGCTGAATTACCTAGATATATTCAACTGATTACCTGTCTCTATTAGAATACACACGTGGTTGCTAACTACCTCTCTTAAACTCTAATGATGCATCAATAAATAGGAAGTTATGAAGCAAATTGAGACAACTATCTAAATCATCCTAGCAAAAATTCCCTTTTTACCTGGAATACTAGGCCAACAAAATATCATTAATTTCTGGAACTTGTGAAGTTTGCCTCTGTTCAGTTAATTAGGAAAATGAGTCTCTAAACAAATTAATAATGTAAACAAGCAGATTGTGGTCTCCACAAGAGTCAAGGGCAAATAACTGCTATTATCTATTTGTAAATTCAGTCAAGGAAGGAGAGTTTTGTCATCATACAGAATATTTTATTATAAAATTTATTATATGATATTAATTATATAAAATAAATTAACATTATCACATTAAATTAATGTTATTAGAGAAAATTAGATTTTGAAATATTTTATTCTCATTGCTCTATCTTTACTATATTTATTTGAATGTTCTAGTAGCATGTAGAATCTAATAAAATATCAACTGTATAGGGATCTGAAAATACATTGTAGCTATTATTCATTTTTGAATTTTCAATGTCAGAAAGTTCATTGTCACAGGTAACCTAGTAAGCATAAATTAATAATTATTTTGAATTTAATTAGTTTAAATGTATCACGTACATTAACCAGTTAATGTAATCAACGTTAAATTTTACATGCCTTCTGCAAGAAGTTCTAAATCCCTAATGTACATCTCTAAAAGACCTGATTTCTTTCCCCAGATTTATCTCATCTTTTTATCCATCCATCTCTTTCTTCCACTAACTAAAAATTATATCTCAATAGCTATAAATCAATTGCATCACTAGTCCCATTCCATCTATGAGAAAACTCCAGTTCAGAGATGTTAAGTGACTTCATTAATGCCACACAGCTAAGCAGTAAGAAAGAGCCAGGAGTGGAGTCTAGAAACATCTAACTCCAGATCTATAGTCTTAACATTGCACTATATTTGCCATGTGCTGTCTGATATACAAGTCATAAAACTATTTCTCAATTCTCTGGGAAATTTCTACATGCCACTCTTGCTCAGCCTGTTCCATATACCCAGAGCCTATCACTTATGTCAGCCTTTTGAATTTTACAAATTCTTTATATCTTATTAAAATAAGATATAATTCCTTATGCCTTTTCCAGTTCTTCCCAATACAGAGTGATTTTTCTTTTTGTACAATTCTTAACCATTGGACCTATTCCCTTATTATGCCATTTGTCATTATTTACCGGCATTGTTTTTACATTTTTATAGGTATTCTCTCCTCCACTAATTTAGGGGCTCTTTGATGATAAGAATTACCTTGCTATACTTTAAATACACCAAAATTTGTTATGATTGCTGAAGAAGTAAAAACAGAAAGTATAATCTACCAATTTTATTCAGTTTAAATAGTGGCATACCTCAGAGATATTGTGGATTCAATTCCAGTCCTCTGCAATAAAGCAAGTCAGACCAAGTGTTTGGTTTCCCAGTGCATATAAAAGTTATGTTTATACTACACTGTAGTCTAGTAAGGGTGCAATAGTATTATGTCCATCTTATCATTTCTGCCTATTCAATATGATAATGGCTATGGGTTTGTCATAAATAGCTCTTATTATTATGAGATATGGTCCATCAATACCTAGTTTATTGAGAGTTAACATAAAGGAATGTTGAATTTTATCAAAGGCCTGTTCTGCATCTATTGAAGTAATCATGTGTTTTTTGTCTTTGGTTTTGTTTATGTGATGGATTGTATTTATTGATTTGCATATGTTTGAACCAGCCTTGCATCCCAGGGATAAAGCTGACTTAATGGTGGTGGGTAAGCTTTTTGATGTACTGCTGGATTCCGTTTGCCAGTATTTTATTGAGGATTTTCACATTGACGTTCATCAGGGATATTGGTCTGAAGTTTTCTTTTTCTGGTGTGTCTCTTCCCAGTTTTGGTATCAGGATGATGCTGGCTTCATAAAATGACTTACGGAGGAATTTCTCCTTTTCCATCGTTTGGAATAGTTTCAGAAGGAATGTTACCAGCTCCTCTTTGTACATGTGGTAGAATTCAGCTGTGAATCCATCTGGTCCTGGGCTTTTTTTGGTCAGTAGGCTATTAATTACTGCCTCAATTTCAGAACTTGTTATTGGTCTATTCAGGAATTCAACTTCTTCCTGATTTAATCTTGGGAAGGTGTATGTGTCCAGGAATTTATTCATTTCTTCTAGATTTTCTAGCTGACTTGCAGAGGTGTTTAGAGTATTCTCTGATGGGAGTTGGTATTTCTGTGGAGTCTATCAATTTTTATTGTATCTATTTGATTCTTCCCTCTGTTATTCTTTATTATTCTAGCTGGCAGTCTATTTATTTTGTTAATTTTTTCAAAACACCAGATCCTGGATTCATTGTTTTTGAAGAGTTTTTATTTCTCTAGCTCCTTCAGTTCTGCTCTGATCTTAGTTATTTCTTGTCTTCTTCTAGCTTTTGAATTCGTTTGCTCTTGCCTTTCTAGCTTTTTTAATTGTGATGTTAGGGTATGAATTTTAGATCTTTCCTGCTTTCTGATGTGGGCATTTAGTGATATAAATTTCCCCCTTAACACTGCTGTAGCTGTGTCCCAGAGATTCTGGTACATTGTCTCTTTGTTCCCATTGGTTTCAAAGAACTTCTTGATTTCTGCCTTAATTTCATTGTTTACCCAGGAGTCATTCAGGAGCAGGTTGTTCAGTCTCCATGTAATTGTGTAGTTTTGAGTGAGTTTCTTAATCCTGAGCTCTAGTTTGGCTGCACTGAGGTCTGAGAGACTGTTTGTTATAATTTCAGTTCTTTCGCATTTGCTGAGGAGTGTTTTACTTTCAATTATGTGGCTTGTTTTAGAATGAGTGCCATGTGGCACTGAGAAGAATGTATATTCTGTTGATTTGGGTTGGAGAGTTCTGTAGATGTCTATTAGATCCACTTGATCCAGAGACGAGTTCAAGTCCTGAATACCTTTGTTAATTTTCTGTCTCCTTGATCTTTCTAATATTGACAGTGGGGTGTTAAAGTCTACCACTATTATTGTGTGGGAGCCTAAGTCTCTTTGTAGGTCTCTAAGAACTCATTTTATGAAACTGGGTGCTACTGTAGTGGGTGCATATACATTTAGAATAGTTAGCTCTTCTTGTTGAATTGTTCCCTTTACCATTATGTAATGCCCTTCTTTGTCTTTATTTTTATCTTTGTTGGTTTAAAGTCTGTTTTGTCAGAGACTAGGATCGCAACTCCTGCTTTTTTTTTTCTTTCCATTTGTTTGGTAAATTTTCCTTCATCTCTTTATTTTGAGCCTGTGTGTGTCACTGCACATAAGATGGGTTTCCTGAATACAGCACACTGATGGGTCTTGACTCCGTATCCAATTTGCCAGTCTGTGTCTCTTAATTTGGGCATTTAGCCCATTTACATTTAAGGTTAATATTGTTATGTATAAATTTGACCCTGTCATCATGATGCTATCTGGTTATTTTGCACACTAGGTGATGCAGGTTCTTTGTAGTGTCATTGGTCTTTATACTTTGGTGTGTTTTTGTAGTGGCTGGTACCAGTTTTTCCTTTCCATATTTAGTGCTTCTTTCAGGAGCTCTTGCAAGGCAGGCCTGGTGGGAATAAAATCCCTCAGCATTTGCTTGTCTGGAAAGAATTTTATTTCTTCCTTACTTATGAAGCTTAGTTTGGCTGGATATGAAATTCTGGGTTGAAAATTATTTTCCTTAACAATGCTGAATATTGGCCCCCAATCTCTGCTGAGAGATCCACTGTTAGTCTGATGGGCCTCCCTTTGTAGGTGACCTGGCCTTTCTTTCTGGCTGCCCTTGAAATGTTTTCCTTCATTTTGACCTCAGAGAATCTGATGATTATGTGTCTTGGGGTTGATCTTCTTGTGGAGTTTCTTAGTGGTGTTTTCTGTATTTCCTGAATTTGCATGTTGACCTGTCTTGCTAGGTCAGGGAAGTTCTCCTGGGCAATATCCTGAAGTGTGTTTTCCAGCTTGTTTCCATTCTCCTCACCTCCTTCTGGTACTCCAATCAATTGTAGGTTGGTCTTTTTACAAAGTCCCATATTTCTTGGAGGCTTTGTTCATTCGTTTGTATTCTTTTTTCTCTAGTCTTCTCTGCATGCCTTATTTCAGCAAGGTGGTCTTTGAACTCTTATATCCTTTCTTCCACTTGATCAATTTGGCTGTTGATACTTGTGTATGCTACATGAAGTTCTTGTGCTGTGTTTTTCAGCTCCATCAGGTCATTTATATTCCTCTCTAAATTGGTTATTCTAGTTAGCAGCTCCTCTAACCTTTTATCAAAGTTCTTAGCTTCTTTGCATTGGGTAGAACATGCTCATTTAGCTCAGCATAGTTTTTTATTACTCATCTCCTGAAGCCTACTTCTGTCAAATCATCCATCTCATCCTCCATCCAGTTCTGCACCCTTGCTGGAGAGATGCTGCAATCACCTAGAGGAGAAGAGGCACTCTGGCCTTTTCGGTTTTCAGTGTTTTTTTTGTTGATTCTTTCTCATCTTCGTGGTTTGTCTAGGTTTGATCTCTGAGGCTGCTGACCCTTGGATGGGGCTTTTGTGGGGGCTTTTTGTTGTTGTTGTTGTTGTTGATACTGTTTATGTTGCTTTCTGTTTGTTTCTTTTTCTTTCAATGGTCAAGTCCCCCCTTCTGTAGGGCTGCTGCAGTTTGCTGGGGATTCACTTCAGGCTCTATTCATCTGGTTCACTCTTGTGCCTGGAGATGTCACTCAAGGAGGCTGGAGAAACAGCAAAGATGGGTGCCTGCTCCTTCTTCTGAGATCTCTGACCTCGATGAGCACCAACTTGATGCCGGTAGGATCACTCCTGTATAGGGTGTCTGACAACCTTTTTTGGAGGGTCTCATTCAGTTGGGTGGCACAGGGAACAGGATCTGCTTAACAAAGCATTTTGTCCCTTGGTGGAGGGGCTCCCTAGGGGCTCAGGCCCAGGGAGATCCAGGTTCTTTCCCTGAGCTCCTGGCTGGAGTTATTGGAGTTGCTGCAGGGAAGCCCCACCCAGTGAGGAAGGATGAGTCAGGCTCAGGCCTGAAGAGGCACTCTGGCCACAGTTGGCCACAGCCAGTGTGCTGGGCTGTGGTGAACATGTCTTGGGACCAAGTTGTCCAGCCTCCCTGGCTCCAGCAAGGGAAAAGCGTGGCCTGGAGCTATAGATATGAATGTCGCCCTTCCCCCACCCAGGGAGATTAGCATGTTAAGCAGTTGTGAGTCCCAGTGCTGGCTGCTGCCCCTCTCCCAAAGAGCTCAAAGGGCTTAGACAGCAGGCAGCTGCAGCTGTGGTGGTGGTCGCCCTTCCCCCCGGGAGCTCAGTAGGCTTCAGCAGATTCCAGCTGAGAGACCACTGAGAATCTGTGAGGCTCCAGGATTGGGACGCTGGGCCCCGGTGGTGTGGGTTCATGCGTGCGATCTTCTGATCAGTGGATTGATCAGAGGATTGCCCAGTTCCGTGGAAAATGCATGGCTTCCCCAGCTGGGTAGCATGCTCACTCACTGCCTCCCTAGGCTGAGGGGTGGGGCTCCCCTACCCTGTGTGGCTCTCAGGTGAGCAGTACACCACTCTGCTCTTCCTCCTTCTCTGTGGATCACACCAGCCTCCTAGTCGGTTCTGATGAGAGAACCTAGATACCTTGGTTGCTGGTGAAGTATTCACATGCTTATGATGGTTCTTTCCGATGGGAGCCTCGATTGCTGCTGTTTCTAGTCAGCCATCTTGCCGCGTCCCGCCTTGACTCCTTTAAGCCAGAGGTTTCTAATTTACCCATATACATCAGAAACATCACTATAGCAGATATAGCATTACAGAATGTATTTCTTAAATAGTAATATTTGAAAGTCAAAAATATTACTTGTACCCTGGGCTACAGAATGGATGTTGTGTTAACAGTCATGAAAATCACATTAATCTCTTTGTGTATTTCCATTAGAGCTCTTTGGTGCCCAGGTACATTGCCAATGAGTAGTAATATTATGAAGGTATCCTTTTCTCTGAGCAGTAGGTCTCAACAGAGTGCTTCAAATACTTAGTAAACCATGCTGTAAACAGATGTGCTGTCATCCAGGCATTCATCTTTCATTTCTAGAGCACAGGAAGAGTAAATTTAGCATTTTCAGAATGAAAAGTGAATGTTGGCTGCAAATAGAGTCACTAGCTACATTAGCCTATAAAAAGAGAGTCTGTTCTTTAAAGCCTTGAAGCCAGGCATTGACTTCTCCTCTCTAGCTATGAAAGCCCTAGATAGCATCTTCTTGCAAGGTTGTTTTATCTACATGGAGAGTCTGTTCTTCAGTGCAGCCACCTTCATCAATGATCTTTCCTAGGTCCTTGCTGCAGCTTCTACATTAGCACTTGCTGCTTCAATTTGCATTGTTACTTTTCGGCAACAGTTTCTTTCCTTAAACCTTAAGAACCAACCTCTGCTAGCTTCAAACATTTCTTTTGTGGCTTTTTCACCTCTCTCAGCCTTCCTATAATTGAAGAGTTAGGGCTCTGCCCTAGATTAGGCTCTGGCTTAAGAGAATGTTGTGGCTGGTTTGATCTTCTATGCAGACCAGTAAAACTTTCTCCATGTCAGCAATAAAAGTGTTTTGCTTTCTTATTTGTATGTTCACTGGAGCAGCACGTTTAATTTCCCTCAAGAACTTTTCCACTTGGCTAACTGGCACAAGAGGCATAGCTTTCGACCTCTCTTAGCTGTTTACATGCTTTCCTCACTAAGCTTAATCATGCCTCACTTTTAATTTCAAGTGAGAGACTTGCAACTACCTTTCATTTGAACACTTAGAGACCATTGTAGGGTTATTAATTGGCATAATTTCAATATTGTTGAAATTAGGTAATAGGGATCCTCAAGGAGAGAAACAGAGCTGGAAAAACAGCCAGTGGATGGAGCATTCAGAACACACACATTTATTAAGCTATTCAACATGTACGGGGACGGTTTGTGATGTTCCAAAACAATTATAATTTTAACATCAAAAATCACTGATCACACATCACCATAGCATGTATAATAATAATCAATCATCATAAAAATAAATGTTTGAAATATTGTGGGAATTTCCAAAATGTGACAGATAGATGTGAAGTAAGCACATGCTTTGGGAAAAAATGGCACTCATAGACTTGTTCAGTGCATGGTTGCCATAAGCCTTCAATTTGCAAAAAAAATACAGTATCTGTAAAGTTCAGTAAAATAAGATATGCCTCTACAAATTTTAACTATATATATTTTTGAAGACTAAAACATTTTTCTTAACAATTTTTAAATTGCAAAAATGTGTTCACACCTATATTACACATATTTTCCTAGTTTAAACTGTAGTTCCTATATTATCTAAAAGTGCAAATAATATTTTTTAACGAACTTAGAATATTTAGTAATATTCTAAGTTTGGAAAGCAGGGATGAAAGAGAATTGGCATACACACTGTGATAACTGGAGGAACAGAGTGGATGTTATATTTGCTAAGAAGTCTGGGGGGTCTTTGGAGAGAAAATAGGAAAGGGATTAGACTTGACCTGCACTGCACTGGACTCAAGACCTTGGACATCACATTTAGACTACCATGAAGGAAGGTGGGTAGAAGCTCTCTTATTGTCTCAGGTAAGAAATGTATTCATTGAAGCAGAAAAGACTTAATGAATGTGAGTTGATTTCAGAATGAGAAGAATAATTTTAGATTGAAACTTGTTGATTTTTTTTTCCTATTCAAGTCTGAGGCAACTGTACACAAGTTTAACAAAAACAGGAGCTTTAAGAAACTGCAAAAAGTCAATAAATATAAATGCTCTTCTGTTTAAAATATTGTTAAAAAATCAGAAACTTCTATCATTATAGTGAGCTCAAGCATGATTCCAACACCTTGGTAGAAATGGAACCATTTATTGTTTTAGTAAAAGAAACACAAGCAGTGATGAAGGTTAGCAGATTACTATCAGTAATAATAAAAAAAGGAGATTCTACAGTTAGAGCAAAATATTTTGGGCCACATAATAAGAAGCTAGAGCAGAGCAACAGAGCTTGGCTGTAACATTACGGGAAAAAGTGATACCCACAGGCAAACATCAAAGGCTGGTAAGTAGAAACAGCCAGCCACCCAAATCCCTTATAGGAAATGGGAGGAACTACGAGAAGTAACTAGAATTTCAACAATTCTTCTTGGAAGAACTTACAGACAAAAAGTGTGTCTGCTATTATTATTGTTGTGATCAACCTTTCCTCATTGCCCCATTGTCTAATGCAAAAGTATGTGTTACACATGTAAAATAAGAAGTGCAACAATGATTAAAATGTCATTGTTATTAATTTTTTAATTTTCTTTCAATTATTAAAAAAATAACAAATTAACAAAAACCTAACTTTTCTGAGCCATAAGTGTGAGTTTAAAAATCAGCAGAAGGGTTCTCTGTTGGGCTTTGACTTTCATAAGAACTTCATGATAAACTCCCTGGCTGACACCGTCTTTGGAAAACATGCTTCTCCCCAGGAATGCCCTAGCATGTGCACAATGTGACATGCTGACATTGACCATGACTATTTCCTGTCCTTTCCGTTTAGGCTTGAGTTCATTATATCATCTATTTTCTTATCCTTTCTGGCCTCTACACATTGAATGTCAACTTCTAAACAGCATTAAGAAAACAAATAGTACCACCTATCTCTGTTCCCAGAAGTAGTCTCATTGGATAGGAAAAGGTCAAAATTAAATTTTCATCCTAGATGAATATTGTGCCCAGATGCTAGCAAGGAAGCCCAAAGTCATTATGAAAAACCTTAAGTGCATATATCAATCTCTAGATGAGCTGATTCATTTCAGATTGTACACTAGCATCCTTCTTTCTCTTGTGTACCTGTTTGGTTAATTATTTCTCCCTGTTATACTACAAATTCCACAAGGTAACCCTGTAGCACCTTTTTTTTTTTTTTTTTGGAAAATAAATCATTATCTTTTGTCAAAGGCATGCATAATTGCAACAAAGTAACAGTTCAAAACTGCTTACAGTTGGCTTTTTACATTTGACAAATACTGAAGAGAATAATTGCCTAAAGACAATGTATAACCTTGATTTAAATGACTTATTATGCATACTTCACACGTATGCAGTGAAAATAATCTTCCTCCCTCAAAACAGTTCCCCCTGCTGACAAATGAATTTGTTAGGTGGAAAACAATGTACATTTATAATTCCCTTGTCTGTTTTATAACTTCATGTATCTTACATCTACTCCCCTTTTACCTCATTGCCCTACTTTTTAAGCCAAGAACTCATTTTTCATCTATGTTAACTTTGTATAATGAACACACAAGTCTAAGGAAAATGAAGTATATAATACAAACAGGGTAAGTAAATGAAAATAAGAGTAGTATTCATGTTCTTTCCCTCCCTGTAAGTGTACATAACATTGATGCTCTTGTGATGTCTAGATAGAGGGTAGGTAATAGCATGAACTACTGCCAAATAGCATTTAAAGTCCTATCAAACCTCACATTACATATATCCCAATTAAGTAAACTATAGTTTTACTTTGTCCCCCCTTTCACGACAGACAAATGATTACTCTCTGAATGTTATGAGGGTTTTGCAAAAACATTTTCAGGATTTACAAATAGTCTGGTGGGTTCGTTTCTTGTGACTTTCAAGCTTTCTATCTTAAATGTTATCATATTGCTAATCAAATGAATTAAAAAGCAAATGGGATATTGGGAGAGGGAGGTTTTATTCCCCTCACTTAGGAACATCATTAAACAGGAAAGGAAAATGCCTATTAGAGGGCAAACCAAAAAGACTTCAAAATAGTTGAGAACACCTGTCATGCTTTTTGGTTTTATTAGCTGCCTTTCCCTTAGTAAAATGTAGACTGCAACCATCATTAAATTGTATTTAAAGTTGTGCAGATGGTGGTCAATATTAATAGATGCTTACTTGTATCAAGCTGTCAAAAAGTCCAAAGTAAAAATTGCTCAATGATGGACTATAACTAGAGAGGAGTGTTCCAATTGGTCTAAGCAGTTTGATATATGAAGATAGAAAGCCAAATAATTAAGGATCAGAGGTAGAGGGCAAAAGTAGCTGTCTCACAAGCAATGCATTTGGACCTTTTATCAAAAAGAAACATTGATACAAATATAATAGGAATCTTGCAGCATAGGAAGGAGGAAAAACACCTCTGCTAACTCAGTGTCTCTCAAATAGGAATCCATAAATGAAAACCCAGCAATCTTTACACGGTTCTACAAATTTGGTATGACAAGTTTTTCAAAATTATATTCATATTTTTAAATAGCACATTTTTACAAGATGTAATTAACCACCATAAAATGTAGTATACTGAGGTACTTCAAAGGTGACGTTTGAATGTCATTGGCTGTAACTGGATCCAAATATCTATTTGGATCCAGATATATAGATAACCATTAGATCAGATAGACAAGATATGCCCACATATGCATATATGCATATGTATGTATATGTGGGTCTATCTATATATCTGTATATACATTTACATATGTATATGTACATAAATATACATGTATATACATGTATATACATGTACATACATATAGCGTCTATGTGCCAAGTAGTAGTCTAAGACTAAGTGTACAACAGCAACAAGACAGACAAAATCTTTGTTCCCGAAGCACTTGCATGTCTTATGAGAATGTATGGGGTAGTAGCAAGTACTATCCGGGGAATCAAACAGGGCAATGTGATGACAGAACATGCCTGAGCATTAACAACAGAAAGGTAGTTCAGCAAACCCTCTACAAAGGGACGATACTTAAACTGAAACATACATGATGAGAAGGAGCAAGGCCAAGAAAATAAAAAAACAGGGTGAAGAGAAATCCAGTCTGAGACTTTTAGTTCAAGGACTGTCAACAGGAACAAGTTTTATGTGTTTTAGAAGAACAGAGAAGTGTGCGGTGGGTGGGACTTGGTGAGCGTCCATATTAGAGAGGTGAATGAAAATCAGGCCATGTGGTCCAGGATAAAAAGTTTTTGAATTATTGGAAAAGCATCCATGTTTTTAAATTTTAATATTGCTATTTAAAAGATCACTCTGGCTCCTAAGAGGGTAATGGATTATTGAACGGGAAGGGAAATGAAGACCCTATTCAGGGGTTGCAGCAATCTATTCAAGAAATAAGCACAGCTTATATTGCAATGCTAACAGTAGATACAGAAAGAAGTAGGTGGATTGATTTGGTGAATGTGGGCGAAAGAGAGTAGGGTTTGGGTGACAAGTCTCTGGTAATCCTCTGCTCATGCGGACAGGCTGTGTTCTCATTTACCGAGTGGCAAAGAATCAGAGTTAATCGGTTTGATCGGAGAAAGGATGCTGAAAATAAGAAATTCAAGTTTAGACATTTCAATTTTGAAATGTCTATCACTGGTCATCTAAATGAAAAAGTCAAGTAGGAAAAAAAATGGTTCTCAAGTTTTATGGTAATGTTTAGGACAAATCAATGATATGAAAAGAAGAATGATAACGCCATTGGATGCTTTAGAATCGTTTAGGAGCCTGTGAGACACTCTTGGAAAAGTAAATGTCCTGATTTATGAACACAGTGCTAAAGTCCTTTGTAAAATGAAGAGCACAGTATCATTCTTTTAAACAACTCACTGGAATTAAAAACTTTTTAAAGCTAAAACCTAAAAAAGCCACACATGAATAACTTTTATTCAATTTAATAATGTGAACATACTGACATTTATAATCTAAATGTTAACAAAATATAATAAAATGTAGTTGATTTTAAATTATCTTCAAGATATTTCCAAATAGTATTTTCTAAATAACATCTTTTGACATTTTAGTATCCATTTATATAGATTCACTTTAAATGTTCAATTTCCACTTACAATTTTTTTTTTTTTTGAGACAGAGTTTCACTCTTGTTCAGGCTGGAGTGCAATGGCATGATCTCAGCTCACCACAACCTCAACCTCCCTGATTCAAGTGATTCTCCTGCCCCAGCCTCCCAAGTAGCTGGGATTACAGGCATGCACCACCATGCCCGGCTAATTTATTTATTTTTATTTATTTATTTTTGTATTTTTAGTAGAGATGGGGTTTCTCCGTGTTAGTCAGGCTGGTCTCAAACTCCCTACCTCAGGTGATCTGCGTGCCTCGGCTTCCCAAAGTGCTGGGATTACAGGTGTGAGCCACTGCGCCTGGCCCAAATTTTTTAATATAATTAAGGACCTTCTGTATTAAAACTTATTTATGTATTCCCCTCTTGTTGGATATTTATGTTGTGTCCTAATTTTGGTAGGAAGTGTTAGATATTTTTGACATTTAAATGAATGTCATGTTTAAATTAAATGATTAGTTTCAGATAAAATGCTATCAGAAAGCTTGTCCTACTTTTATTAAATACCTTTTGCTCCATGATTGCTTTGTGTCAAAATATTATTCATTCTTCACTTTCCTCCCTCTTTCTACAGAAATTGCAGTTAACAAACTTTCACCAGTGATTTTTCAGTTAATCCGTTTATTGCAATTTATAAATGGGTTAGATTTATGTTGATGATCTTATTTAAATAAATTCCTTGTACTTTTTTCTCCTTCAGATTAAAATATGGTTTTATTTAACTTCTTAGCTCTTAAATAAAAATGTTGGAATGCAATTTAGTTTTAAGAGTTCAATGCTTTGAACAAGTCACAGCCCATTATATTTTTGTGGATGGAATACAGGCAAAAGAGGGAAAAGCAGATATCTGCTGTTATTTTTAAAGTGTGACTTTTAAAAAAATCAAATGTACAGCTGAATCTGGGGAAATAAACATTCTTTATGGATTTTCTCTGATGCTAAAAAATGACTTAATGATAGTTTCTAACAGGAAAGAATTCCTTTTATTAAATTACATGTTTCTTTGGTTAACATTAAGCCATGGTTTTTTAATTTAATTTATTTTATTTTTTTTAGATGGAGTTTTGCTCTGTTGCCCAGGCTAGAGTGCAGTGGCATGATCTCAGCTCACTGCAACCTCTGCCTCCTGGGTTCAAGCAGTTCTGCTGCCTCAGCCTCCCGAGTAGCTGGGACTACAGGCGCCCGCCACTGCGCCCAGCTAATTTTTTTTGGTATTTTTAGTAGAGATGGGGTTTCACTGCGTTAGCCAGGATGGTCTCGATCTCCTGAGCTCGTGATCTTCCCACCTCGGCCTTTGTTAATTTTATTTAACAAAAAATCCAACTCTTTACCAGGATCTAGAAGGTCATATACATTTTGTCCCTGCTCCCTTCCCAAATTCATCTCCCACCAGATCTCCCCCTGAAGCTCTGCATACACTGGCCTTTCTCTTATTTGAAAACAAATGGACTGGCTTCTGCCTAAAGCATGCTTTCCTTTCTGCTTAGAATACTTGATCCCCAGTTCTCTGTGTCAGGCTTCTTCTCATCACTTAACTCTCCACTTAACTGTAATCTCCTCAGAGACCTATTTTCCCACCCAATGGAAAGGTACAACAGTACCTGGCACATTGAACAGAGTTGGCCAAAATTTATTAAATCGATTGAAGGTTAGTGATATGGTTTGTGCTCCCATCCAAATCTCATCTTGAATTCCCACTTGTTGTGGGAGGGAGCCAGTGGGAGGTAACTGAATCATGGGGGCAGGTCTTTTCAGTGCTGTTCTCATGATAATCAATCAGTCTAACGAGATCTGATGGTTCTAAAAAATGGAGGACTCCCTGCAAAAGCTCTCTCTTTGCCTGCTGGCATCCATGTAAGACTTGCCTTGCTCCTCCTTGCTTCTGCCATGATTGTGAGGCCTCCCCAGCCATGTGGAACTGTGAGTCCAATTAAACCTCTTTCTTTTGTAAATTACACAGTCTCGGGTACATATTTATCAGCAGTGTGAAAACAGACTAATACAGTTAGCTTGAGAGAAATTTAAAAATGTTTTAATCTAGTAAAATTGGCTTCTATCACCTTTAGCGAAGGCTAATGAAATTCTCACTTTGTACCCTTTTTAAAAACTGTCATTAAAATCCTCACATATTTCTCTGTTGATTTACTGCTATGAGGTAGATGACATCATCTGGTCACTTAGCTAGTTACCAAGAAAATTCTGGAATAATTATAGGAAACGAGAAGAAGAGAACATATATCTAAAAACCCATTATGTTCTGAAATTTTGGATAGTTGAGTTCATTTATTAGACATAGTTCATTAAAACAGATATAACTACTCTGTGGGCAGCACATAGCTCCCCTGGGCCCATCCTATAGGACATCTAGAGATGGCTTGACAAGTGGTTGATGCCTTGAACAAAGAAACTAGTTTTCCTTTTCTCTACTAGAGAGCTTTGTTTGAGAATGAAACGTGTCTGAGGTAGATATTATTATTTCCTTGCACACATAAAGAAACTGAAGCTTAGGAACCAATAACATCTCTAAGGTTAAAGGGTGTGAATGTCAGCACATTAATTCAATCTCTTCAGTCACATTTTCTTCACCTTGCCAGGCTTTGCTACCTCCTGAAATAATTCCTTGATATCTTCTCTGGAATGTTCTACACACGAATAAAAAACAAAGTGTTAAAAACTTGTCATCAGTGCTCCTCTTCATATTATGTCTACTTCAGAGAGTGAAACTGTCGTTTACCTAGTGAATTACTCCCCATCTAAATAGACAGTTATTAAATCCTGTGTGCCCTGATTTCTAAGTATCCCTTGTTTTGGTAACAATTTTGCCAGGGACTTGCCTTCATTTCCTTTACCTCTACCATAGTTTAGTCTTTTATCTCTCAGATTTCAACATAGAACTAGAACTGATCCTTCACTTCTACTTTATTATCCCTTCAAATTCTACTCTCATGACTGAAATGGACCTTGCTAAAGGAAAATGTCCCTATTAATTTTTTTTTCCTTAAAATACTACTGGCAGCTTCCAATAGCCTCCAAGATAAAGTCTAAATGCCTTGGCTTAGTTTATAAAATTCTTCACTTTTAGGAGCCCAGCTTCTGCTCAGTACTACCCAACACTGAACTACTTGAAGTTTGTAGTATATTTTATAGGTTTCTAAGCATCCATTCTTTCATGCCCCACAGTCTAGATATCTCATCTTCCTGACTGATTTCCACTCTTGCAGCTATCAACTCAAATGTCATATCTTCAGGAATGTTCCTGGACTTCTACATTTGAATTAGAGATCTTTTTTCTGTCCCTCTTCACCTCTGAATACCTATTTCTCAGATTTTATATGCTGCATGGAAACAAAACAGTTAACGAGCTCTTGTGGGCAGAATGGTTCTCTTTCAGTTCAGTGCCCCAATACCCAAGCACTTAGCATAATCCCTAGTTTAGAGACTCTTAAAACATGCTAATTAAAATCATTAAAAATGTGTAAATGAAAAAGTACTTTTTCATAATTCGCAATTTTGCCTGGTTATGATCCTTAGTAGACATCTAGGAAAAGTAAACACACTGAATGAGACAATCACTCTATTTCTGCTAAGTCTAGTTATGCTTGTAGTTACCTCCTGGTTAAATTCAACTGGCTTCTAGGTGGTCTACCTGCTGCCTCATTGTTGTTCCTGCAACATTCTTCCTCAGAAATGAAGCTCCTTAAGGCCTCATGTCAGCCTTATCACAGAATCTCAGGAAAGTTGGGATTGAAGGGATAATGAGGTTACCTAGTCCAATCTTCAAAGGAGCCCATATCATCTATTTTGACAGGTGTAGTATTCAATGATAATTTATCTATCTGTAAATGTGCCATGACAAATTTTACGGAAGTAATGAAATTTTAGTAATCCAAGAAGACAGCTCCACTGTGATCTCTGCTATTGCATATGTTTTCTTGGTGATAAGGAACCTAGGGAGAAGAGATTCAAACTGCTATTTTAATAAGATTTTGAGGGGAGAGCTCCAGATTTGTGATATGATAGTAAATTGGCTGCAAGTGAAAAAAAAAGAATATATGAAATTGGTTGTTAAAAAAGAGAACCATAGTGAAAGATTTGCTAATAATTTTATGATTGAGGGTTCTGTATCACAGACTTTCTCTTCATTTAGAGACTTGTTATAATCCAAACAAAGAAAAGCTTGGCTGTTCATGCAGGAGGACGGAGTAAAAGGTAAATAACACATTTAAATAATTGAAAGTTCTCAAGAAAGGTTTTTAAAGGGAAGAAAGTCTGTAATCTTCTCTTAACACATTTCTTTCTTTGGTTCAAGACCCAGAGAGACAAATGTGATCGTTCTAGCCAATTACAGGAATATATCCTAAACTTTCCTTACCTTTACCATTCTTCTTTCTATTTTTAACTTGCCAAGTTTTCCTTCTTTCTGAATCCCATATAAAAACCATTAACTAGGGTTGTTAATACACTTGGGCAATTTCTTTTATTTTCATGAATACGAAGTTAGAAATAAAAATTACCCCCAAAACATTAAAAAGGGCATTGTAAGTTCTATAACTAAAGGACTTAAAAAAACAGTAAAAATATTTTCATCCTGATTGCAAAATATCATCCCAATTTTATTGCCATATAACCTGGAACTTACACTTAAATAAGGGGGAGACTAGAAGAAATTCTGAAAGTCAGTATAAAAAAGATTATTCTAATTACCTAATTTTCTCACAATCTGCCAACTTTACTGCCATTGTTAAAGCGCAGACTCTCATCATGTCTTATCTATCCAAATACAACGTGATAGCTCAAAAGTGCAAAAATATATGTCATGTTAAAACATATTTTGCCATAGGAATATTTTCCCAGTTTCTTGTCTTATTAGCACAATTTATATTAAATGGAAACTAATAAATGCATTTTCCAGAAAGACTCAAAGAGAATCAAGCTTGCAAATGCACACGTTAGCCCAATTCCAGAATGGTTTCCTCTCTGTGATTGCAATTGATAATTTCACTTTATTACAGACTTCAGGCAACTTCTCTCATATATATAATCTTAGATGGATTTGGTGTTTTCAGCATCTTGAAAATAAAGCTATCATGTCTGTTTATTCCTTTCTTTCAAAAGGCTAACATCAATACATGATTTGGGTGTCAAAATAAGTCCTACATGTAAAACAGAGAAAGATGAAGGAAAAGTATTCCTATGGCTAAAGAAAAAACAAATGATAACGAGTTGGTCCTATCATCTCATAAGTGAATGCAAAATGGTAGAGAACTATAAATCAGAGACGAGGGGCTTTCCCTAGAGTGGATGGCACTTTAGGACACTATATCTTATATTGGGTAAACGGTTTCAATTACCTCAATTATTAGGGTCTGTTTTAAACCTTCCCAATAATATAATACTTAAACAGATATTGAAAATATCTCTGGTTTTTATAATAGGATAAATTTCTTTGCTGTCTCTACCGAGCTGTGATCCAAAGGAAAACAATCACTCAATACTATGGAAGAAACACCATTTTTTGTTCATATTTGTTTCTTTCTTCCTGATGTATTTATTTATCAAGTAAATGAAACCAGTGAAAAACGATGTTAGACATTTCTGTGACAATGTCTTAATGCCAATTAAGGACAATGTCCTTAAATGCCAAAGACCTGGACACATACCCATGACTAGGAAAGAAGATTCTAGAAATGCCTAGTCATGCCAAGAGATGATTTAGTTGTTCTTGCTTTTCTCATTAAAACTTTCAAGGTGAATGAACATGTGCTCCTAAAAAAATCACCATTTAAAATCCTGCTTTTTTGAAACATTTTCAAAGTCAGCCCATTGATACCATCTTAACAGACACACAGCTGGAACTTTTCTCCTATAAATCTAATGACTTTTTCTTTAATACTTTACCTCCTTCAGTTCCGCCTTTCTGGACAGCACAACATACTGAGTGGTGATTTATACCAGGATACAGGCTGTTCTTGCCTTTTCTTTGTCCAGATTGTATGAAGGTCACAGTGAGCAACAATTTCTCTCATGTACTTATGTGATATTACAGAAGCCAGGGCTTCTCTCAGCTTGAGTTTATTATTTGGAGATTTGAGTCCAGACTTCTTTAGCTGCTTGATTTATTTTTTGCCTTCCCCTAAATTAAAAATACTGCTGGTGCCTATATTTCACTGTATGTTTTCATCAAGTTTTTAAGTTTTATTTGCTTTTTTAGATTGCTTCTCCTATGACATTAAGGGGAATGGAAATTGCAGTGAGTTTATCATATTAAATAAATATAATCTAAATACTAAACACAACTCCAGTCTTTATCCATTGGCTTTCTTCTATCTTTCTCTTTTAAGAAACGTGGAAGTTTGAGATTGGAAGGAAACTAAAAGTTATCAACCTCAGGTTCTATTTAATGTTGAACATCTGGAGTTCCGCTCAAACATGCCCTGCAATGCGGATCTCATTTCCCCACTAAACAACACATTCCTCTTTCCGAAGTCTCTTATTGTTAAAAGGATTAACTGTGTAGCAAAACTTAAACTGTTACTTTCATCCATTTTTTGGTACCTTTCCAGAAATATAGAACTTCTAAGTCATCTGTCCTAAAACATCCTTGAAGACAGTTCTTATATCTTCTTTCCTCTATCTGCTCCAAATACTTCCTCACCTACACCACAGGTCATTAAGCAACCCACCCAGTGGTAAAACTTTCTCTTACCAATTTGCTCTAGGTTATCAGCCTTCCTGACATATAAGCCACTAAATCCATACAGCTACATGCAGAATAGGACATAATCATATCAACATTTCATATATTCTACGTATTATATTACAATTAGTGTAATCTAAATGTAGAATTACCTTTTTTAAAAACCACATTGTATTGTAATTTCTTGCCAATTAAAATCACTAAAGTCAAATTATGTAACTTCTATCTTATGTAACCTAAGTAGGGTTCTGTACCTAAAATTAGAACAATTGATCACATTTGTTTTGATTACATTTGCTCTTGTTGGGTTTAATCTAATCTTTCTTAGAGAATCCTACCAAAGTACCAGGTCAAGGCACAGTGGGAACTCAGGTCAGGATTATAAATCAGGCTGCTGTAAAGACACATGCACACGTATGTTTACTGCGGCACATTCACAATAGCAAAGACTTGGAACCAACCCAAATGTCCAACAATGATAGACCAGATTAAGAAAATGTGGCACATATACACCATGGAATACTATGCAGTCTTAAAAAATGATGAGTTCATGTCCTTTGTAGGGACATGGATGAAACTGGAAACCATCATTCTCAGCAAACTATCACAAGCACAAAAAAACCAAACACCACGTTTTTACTCATAGGTGGGAAGTGAACAATGAGAACACATGGACACAGAAAGGGGAACATCACACAGTGGAGCCTGTTGTGGGGTGGGGGGAAGGAGAAGGAATAGCATTTGGAGATATACCTAACGTTAAATGACGAGTTACTGGGTGCAGCACACCAACATGGCACATGTATACATATGTAACTAACCTGCACGTTGTGCACATGTACCCTAAAACTTAAAGTATAATAATAAAAAAAAAGAAAACTAAAGCAAGATATAATGAAGACCGAGAAGCCTTTAAAAACAGGCAACTTGTGAATAACCCTACCTTTTACTTGCTGATGGAAAATCTGAAAAAGAAATGAAATAAAAAGAGGAAGAGAATTATTTCCCAGCCTTTAGACTAGAAAATGTGTGTGCTTTTGTGTATAGCAGAAAATAGGAAAATATAGTGTCAGGCACTATAATTTAATCAACTATGTGTTAATTATTGTATGAACCTAGAAAAAGTTAAATCCTTATCCTTATAATACTTGTTTATGAGTCAGCAGTATAATTATTAGATATAAATCCAAAATATTGTGTCACAGAATTTAGTATTTCTATGTGTTGAATATAAGATATCCTAGGAAAAGCAGGTTACGTAATCCATGCACCATTCAGAGAAAAGAGCCCGTATGTAAATTTAGGTCTTTCTGTACATTTAATCAATTTCAAAAAAGTAAAAGAATTAGCATGACTGTGTTGTTGTAAATAAATAAAGCAATGCAAATTTTCTCTTTGTGGAAGAGGTAGGGCAGAGTGGACATGGGCTCAATTATCTTACTAAACATAGAAAGTGGAAATTTTATCCCCAAAAAATTTTTTGAGTACCAATTATAGAATGTACCAGTCAGTATTCTAGTCACTAGGCTAACAAACTAACTCTTCAATGCATGGAGCTTACAATCAGAGAAATAACAGAAAAATTAAACAAATATTTACCAGATTATAAAAATAAGAAAAAGAAGAAAAAATAATGAAATGTGGATAAAGAAATTCAAGTGGATGTGGTATTCCATTTTTAAATAGGATCACACAGTAGTAATGAAATGAAACATTACAGTACTATTTGAAAGAGGAGGTAAAATGAGTCAAACAAATATCTGGATGAAGAACATTCCAGGCAAAATGAACAGCCAATGCAAAGGCTGGAACATCCCTGGGGTATTTAGGAAACTGCAAGAAAGAAATTGTGTACTGAACCTGGTGATCAAGAGGCAAAATAATAATAAGATGAGGTGAGAGAGATAACGGTGGCCCTAACTGTAGGGTCTTATAGACCTCTGAAAGACAGGCTTGTACTTTGAGTGAGGAGCGAAGGCACGGACAGACTGACAGAGAAGTGATAATTTGACTTACATTTTAAGAGGATTATTCTGGCTGCTCTATTGAGCATAGATTGTGGGGTGAGGGCAGGTGAGTGGAATCAGGGAAAGAAATGAGAAAGCAATTGCAATAATCTATGTGAGAGGCAGTGCTGTCATAAAACAGGGTAGTAGCAATAGCGCTGGTGAACAGTTGCCAAAACTCCCAAAAATATTTAGAAGACAGAATATGTATTAATATCAATTACACTGGAAAGTGTTTGAGAAAGTGAATGATGTCCATGTAGATCTTTACTCCTTTAATCTTATCCCCAAGAAAAGTTCAAATAAATCAACTTATGGAATAGTGAGATCTCCAAAAAAATTACAGAGCCAAGAATTCAGCTGTATTTTTTATAATATCAGAGAATCAATCTTTGACTAAGGTAAGAGCAAATAATGCCTCTCTACTTTTGCCCCATGTATTATTTATAATATGCTAAATATTAACCTGGTCTTATAATTATGTGATGGATAAAACTAAATCCAAAAATCTCATATAACATCACAAGTAAACATAAAAAACTTAATGATTATAAAATTGCGTATATGATTCTTAAATAACAAACTTCAGAGACTTTTTCTTCTATGGAAACCACAAGACTGAAACTTTTCCATTTTCTTCAGTTTTTTTTTTTTTCTCCTGCTGTCAGTGTGGTAAAACATATCTATTATTTCAAAATAGGAAAATATTTACTGTTGCTTTTTGGCATTAGAGACTGACACTATATGCTTGTTTTATAGTCTAAAATTAAGGAAGAGATAAGTTACAAACAATGAAATCACATTCTGTTTTCCTGAAAGTTATAAACATGTATCACCTGGTAGGCAACTTTATAAACTGGCTCACGATAATTCCCACCTGCTTAATAGTATTCACATCGTTGTAAAATCTCTTCCCTTTGAGTAAGAACTGGACCTTTGTGACTTGCTTGTAACAAAGAATAGGTCAAAAGTGATAGATATCACTTCTCTGATTAGGTTACAAAATTCTGTGGCTTCCATCTTGCTAGCATTCTCTCTTACTGGTACTCCCTTTTATGCCCTCTCCTCAGCTAGCTGATATGTTGTAAGATGCTCTCTGGAAAAGCTCAAAGAACAGGGAAGTAAGAAAGGCCTCCAGGCAACAGCTCATGAGAGACTGAGTCCTGCCAATGATGGGGATTCTTTACAGAAGAGCCTTGAGATGACTGCAGCCCTGTGAGATTGCCAGAGCCACAGGACCCAGATAAGCCACACCTAGACTCCAGACCCACATGTGAAATAATAAATCTGTATCAACTTAAACTGCTAGATTTTGGGGTAATATGTTATGCAGCGATAGGTAACTAGTACACAGTACATTTAGTCCATAAATTAAAGAATTATGAAAACAAGAGTGAATAAACACTTTTAAGTAGATCACTTAATTACTTTAATATCTTGACTTTTTAATGCCCTTCCTAAGAGAGAATGGTCAACTATAAATGAAGCAACAAAAATAGGCTTTTGAGAACAATAAACTCAAGTATATCCAGTTGAGGGAATGATTCAGTCAGAATGAGAACACAGTAAACAGCTGAAATGGAAGCTATAGCTTTCCATTTTGGTTTAATACCTATAGTTATACGATAAAAGTGTGGCAGCAACTATGAATTCATTATCATTCTACCCTGTTAATGTTTTGTGATTTTAAGACTCCTTCAACTCAGAGGAGTGTGTTAGATGCCTTTAAGAGTTTGACAAATGGATAGAAATCTTCCTATTTGCTATTCCTTCCCCTTTTATCTCTGTTTCCATCCCCCAACCGCTAAAATTTAGTCTTACACTTAAATGATATTGAACAAGAAGACTCATTCCATACTAAGAGGCTATAAAGTACTATAAGGCAGATATAATTATCTTCATATATTATAAAGTTAGGCATGGAATATAAGCAAAGTCTAATATCAATATTGAGTAAAACTATTAATGACACATTCTCTGAGAAGTGTGGTCCATCTCTAGTTACAAACAATGAAAGGATTATAAAGATGGGTTTTTCTTATGGATTTGGTTATTATGACTCAATGTAATATTCTTGCTTTACACTCAGTTACCTTAAACAATAAGTTCTTGTACAAGTTTAAAACAGAATATTATTCTCAATGCAACTAGCAACCACCCATTAACAGTGGGAAATGGGATAACTAGCTAGTTCTCGTGCCTATTTTCAATGTCTTTCACAAGATGTGTGTTAAATTGAGCTTTATTCTCCTATAGTATTTCCTCTGGCTACAATTCTCAAAATACAGAAGACTTCTTTATGCTACAGCTTATAGTTAGCTTATTTAGAAACCCAGTGCTGCTACTTGTTAGCAATGTAATGTTTGGGGAGTTACCTAATACCTTTGAACTTTAATTTTTTTATCTATAAGATGGTAATCATAAACTAGAGCACAAATGGTTTTTCTTAATGTTCATGCAAGATAATAAAAATGGGACTTACTAACTCAAATCTTAATTTAAAAGCATGAGAGTATTAATGTAATATTATGTACTGTGCCACACTACAGTGGAGGAGAAATGAGTACATGAATATTTGCTCTCTCATTTGTGGAAAGAAAAGGGATTATTATAATAAATACGTATTAAACCTAGTAGCAGACTGGTCATTTTAAAATTTGTCTTTCTGCTGATATATTATTAGGATACATCATGGAAATGTACCTTATTCTAATAAAACCAGTAACATCAAGGAAGGTAAGTTAATGTCTCACAAATAAAGAGTTAACAGTAAGTGGTCCAAATACATCGAATTAAAATAGCAGCTTGTGGTCTCTGCATTCATATCTTTAAATTCAATCTCAGAATAAATTACTGGGAGTTTTCTCATGGAGCTCACTAAGTCCTTGGCCCTGGATTACCTCTTGCCATGCACCCTAAGGAGAAGTTTCCTGTGCATTTGACTGCACAGAGATAAAAGACCAGGTAACCTTATTCAAAGTACATTTTTTTTTCCTTTAGTGAACAGGCAGTAAAGACCTCTGAGATCCTTGTATACTGCTTCTTAGATCACCCAGAATAACTATATATAGTCGAAGATGGAATTTGCTTAAGAATGGTAGCTAAGGAAAAATGACTTTAATATGAATGAATCAGGTGTCAGTCGGTGTCTGGCACTGTAGGCTCATTTGGAACATTAAAAACCCATCACTTACTGCACATAGTTTATGATAATTAAGGCCTTCCAGACTGCCCACTTGGTCCTTTAAATAACTTTCTAAACCATACTGTCCTTTATGTCGATAAGAATGCCATAAACATTTAACAAGAAATTTTAGGTAAGATCTGTTTTTCTTCAACAATTTAGTTTTAATTTTTTAAATATATGTAAAAGAATCTTATTGTTAGAGGTGACAGAATAAAGGCATTTCTATGTCACTTTCTTCCCTGAAACCTATAAAACTACAAAATGCATGAAGCTCAAATAAGGATTTTCTATCTTCACTGAAGGCATGAAAAACCAACCTGATTGCAAGCCTCAATCTATAAATAACTGCCCAAAACAGTGATCTTGGGACCAATTTGTGTCATGAGGCCTAAACTAGATCTCTATATATCTGTGTCTGTTTCTGTATGTCTGCATCTGCGCCTGTGTCTGTGTGTCTCTTTGTCTATATCTACATCTACATCTATATGCTAATATGTACCAAACTAGATGGTACACACCGAAATGTCTGTAACGCTAAATAGTTGAGGATGACTCATCATTTATTTGAGATGAGAAGCTTAATGATCTGAATGGGTTATGAAAAACTCCTTGAGCCTTATTCCACACTGCCGGGTGGCAGAAAATGAGGCCAAATGAGTCGTCAACACATATTCACAAGAACATGCTGCACATAGAAGGAGTGAAGGGGACAATCAGTGTCACAACAGCTGAGCCTGAAACACTAAATGCAAAAATCTAAGGTAATTGAAAACAAAAGCTTATGAGAGAATTACTCACTCTAGTCCAAGCTTATTTCCGTTTCACCTGAAATGCTCAAAGCAATGAGTTGATGATGGTGTACATACCTGCTCATATTTGATGGGGTAAGAAAGTATTCAGAGACATAATTCCTTCTCACGTTATTCTTCGGCAAAGAGCTTATCCAAACAGCTCTTTTGGCCCCACTAGAAAATGAGACAAAATCAGAATGGAATCTGCATCAAAACTAGAGATATTTTAACATAAAAGGAGGACAAATGAAGGGTTATCTATTAGAATAAGAGTTTGTAAGAAAAAATTAAAAATATTTTATATAAATGACATTAAGGAAATCTTAAAAAGGTGTTTGTTTAAGACAGAGTCTCACTCTGTCCCCCAGGCTGGAGTGTAGTGGCACAATCTCAGCGCACTGCAACTTCCACCTCCAGGGTTCAGGCGATTCTCATGTCTCAGCCTCCAAGTAGCTGGGATTACAAGTGTGCGCCAACATGGCTGGCTCATTTTTGTATTTTTAGCAGAGATGGGATTTTGCCATGTTGGCTTGTCTGGTCTCAAACTCCTGGCCTCAAGTGATCTGCCCACTTCAACCTCCTAAAGTGCTGGGATTATAGGCGTGAGCCAACGCTCCCGGCCAAAAAGGCCTTTTTAAGACAAAATATCAAAGAAAAGATAAAAATCAAATAAAAATAATAAAAAAGGGAGATAAATAAGCCAAGTAAATGAAAGGTCAGCAGAAAAAAAGAAAAAACAAACATGAAATTAAAAATCATCTTATAAACAGCAGGATTTATAGTAGACAGAACTGAAAACATAGAATTGGACATAGAAAAAGAGTTGAGGTAATAGAAGCAGATCAAAGCATATTCACATACCACTGGCAGCCAAGAACTTTCAAATAACTTGTCCTTGCACACTACTTTGTAACCCTAGGATAGCTCAGGTTCAGGGAGGGACTCATGAATGGCCAAGGATGAAATTACCAACACACACTGAGTTGGACACTCTCAGTCAAAGGTTGATATATCAACCTTTGATAGGATCAAAATACTTATTCACATCACATCAAAAAAGCAAATAAAATGCAACTTAATTTTCCATAGCTGATGCAATTTTCCTCACATGTTTCTCAAGCTCTTGGACAATAGCAAAACTTTATCTTATCCATTTTTCTCACTGTCTCTTCTGGTATATGCAGACTTTAAACAATCCCTTTCAGGTAAATGCTGACTCTTTCACTCTGCTGCTTCTTTCTATGTCCTCTTAAGATGCCATCTTGCTCTGCAAAAGAGCTTACTGAGTCTTTATGAAGGTAAAACAGAGGGCCTCACATTCACATTTAGATCCTTTTGCTGCCCTTTGAGTCTTTGATGTTCTCTTCAATGATGGTAGCCCTTGTCAACTTGTTACATCTTGCCCTAGGGCAGTGACACCACACACAACCCAAGTGTGAGGCCCTCAAAGTTGTGGCTAATACATCTTAGTCCCAGAAAAGTTAAAGTTTCTGCCTTGTGTCCTGCCTATACCTTAAAGAGTTCCACTCTGGACCTATTCTAACTGCATCTCTCTCCTGGGCTGAGGAGTCCATTGAGTGATGGAGGCATGAGCCTGTGTGCTCACCTTCTAAAACATAGTATAAGTATACTGGATCTCAGAATTCCATGACCAAATGGGCCCTGAGACCATTTCCAAGCACAAGTCTCTTCGCCTGGTCCATCCTTCTAGGGGCAGAGTCTGTAGCACTTATGTACAGACCTGGGCCGACAAACTTTAAAGTGGCCACATGATCAATGCTTTCTGGTGTTCACACCTTGTATAATCCCCAACACTCTCCCCTTGACTGTAAGAGGAACCTGTGACTAATTCTAACCAAAAGAGTATGACAAAGGCAATGAGATGTCACTATATGATTACCTTATGCTATATGACAAAAGTGGTGGTATATCACTGTCATGATTTAATTAGGTTAGATTGGAGTGATTGGACATTGCTACCTGACTCATAAGAAAGCCTTATTCTCCTTATTGCCTTCTAGAAAACAAACTATGAATCCTATACCCTCCAGAAAATGAATTCTCTCAACACACTGAGGGGCTTGGAAGCGAATCCTTCCCCATTTATGCCTGAAGATGAAGATGCTGCTGACACCTTAATTGCCATGATGGTAAACTCCTACTCAGGGCACCCGGCTAAACTGTGCCTTGATTACTAACAAGGAAATATTTTGTTGATTTTAGTTGAATTCTTTTTTCATTTGGTTGCTAAAAGAAACTGTGGGTATAGTTTGTGGTATTTTTTTGTGCAACGTAGAAGACTATTACAGCATCCCTAGGCCAAAGAGGTGGCCAGGGAGAGGGTTGTTGGGAGAACCAAATGCAGTTTGGATGTGTAGTACATAGGTAAGACCATTGTTTTTCTATCAAGAAAGTCAGCTGTGAAATACTGAAAAATGATCATTTTGCTGTAGGAGGAACTCTGCGTTACTGGGGCTATAAACCTTATAGCTAAACTTTGAAGGCAAAAGGCTAAAAGGATACATTAAGGGGAACTAAACATACTGATTTACTAGCAACCAAATGAAAAAAGAATTCAACTAAAATCAACAAAATATTTTCTTGTGACTTTAATAGAAAACTTTTTAAAATCTAAGTTTGTATGCTGAGTGTAGTTTGCTAGATGTAATCATAACTCATGATCTTAGCTAGCATTCCACCAACTGGTACAATTTTGAAAGTGCTACATAGATAAATAACTTTGGAAAATGTCACGTTAGATTACCATGAAAGCAAAAATATCCTGAGGCTGTCTGTACAACAATCACTATAAAACATGTCTACCTACTGCAAAAAGGAAATCAAAGTTAGATCAATTGGTCTAAATATAAACATATGTAAACATCTAGCAAAACCAGGAGTTTTAACTGAAGTTGCGAGGTAAAGTGAAGAGGAGAATCCGAAGTTATTGTGGCTTCTTCTCTTATTTCAAATAGTAGTAGACAAGGAAACAGGAGAGGAAAAAGAAAGAGGCGGACATGAAGGTTAGTGCAAGGAGGTCATTTGTGTAAATAGTTGGGAAATTTAGTTTTGAGGATAAGCTGTGTTTATTTCAAGTGTCACAGAAATCTAGACATGGCTGGTGGCCTAGTGAGGTAGAATGCATAAGGAGCTTTTTTATTGAAGGAACAACATGCCTCCTTGGACAGCCCAGAAAGAGAACCTAGCACATAGGTGTTGTCCAACCAAAATGCCCGAGATGTTTGTAAATGTCCAGTTAAAAAAAAGAAACCTCCAAGTGCTGTTGCCAAGTGACAGACTAAATCTGAATAAATCTGGAGGGAAACTGGGTGGTTAGCAAAGAAAGCCTGTGAGAAGCCAAAAGGTGAATCAGCATCTTCTAAGTTTTGCAGAGAACACAGGACACGTGGTTTCACCAGCCATGCCCCAGTAGAGCGGCGAGTAGAACATCTGGTGGCAACACAGGTCTTTACCAGGAGAACAGGGTAAGAAAGTGCAGAGACTAATTTGTGAGCAACAGAAGAAATGTCCAAATTCTTCACCCAGCTTCAATGGGAGTGACTGAAGCGTGCAGACTCTGGGTGGCTGGGGTAAGCTGAGATGTGTTTGTCCACACAGGTGAAACACCACATATGGACTACAAAAGATAAGTGAAATGGACTTAAAGGGAGCTAGAAGCACAGAAATTCAGGCTAGCAAAAAAAAAAAAAAAAAAAAAAAAAAACAGAAAAATAAGGAACATGACTCAGAATATGTCCCTATTTTGTATGCCCAAGATTAATGTGTCCCAGGAGCGGGGTTAAATGGTCAAATGTGAGTCTTATTTAAAATCTGGCTTATAAATCAAAGTTAATTTTTACTTCAAAAATCCAATTACTTTTTCATTTGTTAGAATTTTATATATAGGGCAATGCCATGTGTGTAAAGACATTATGTGTGTGTGTGTGTCTGTGTGTGTGTGTGTGTGTGTGTATTTGTTTATGCATAAAGTATCTCTGGAAAGAAACTTGAGCTGGTAACAATGATTGCTTCTGGGGAAGGAAACTGGGAAGTGGTTTAAGAAGGGAAAGTTGACTTATTTTTAACTTTGTACACAATTATGTCTTTTGAACATTTTTACCATGCACATATTTCCTATTCATAAAATTCATAAAATTTAATTATGAACAAAATAGAGCTGTCAGTGTGTTAATGACTTTTTCACAAACTAAAAATATTTTATATATATATGTCAATAAATGAGAGAGCAGCTAATCCTTGTCTTTTATTTATTTATTTATTT
Organism: Homo sapiens; assembly: GCF_000001405.40. Taxonomy (NCBI): domain Eukaryota; kingdom Metazoa; phylum Chordata; class Mammalia; order Primates; family Hominidae; genus Homo; species Homo sapiens. The sequence goes on from NC_000003.12 coordinate 78,027,008, forward strand.
ATTTATTTTTAAATAGGAGTAAAGATGAGGTTACATGGGTAAACCTATTGTTTCAGAGTAGACAACAGTGTGATTATAAAGATCCCATCTGGGCACAGTGGCTCATGCCTGTAATCCCAGCATTTTGGGAGGCTGAGACGGGCAGATCATCTGAGTTCAGGAGTTCGAGACCAGCCTGGCCAACGTGGTGAAACCCCGTGTATACTAAAAATACAAAAATTAGCCAGGCATGGTAGCAGGCGCCTGTAATCCCAGCTACTCTGGTGGCTGAGACAGGAGAATCACTAGAACCCAGAAGGCAGAGGCTGCAGTGCGCCAAGATTGTGCCACTGCACTCCAGCCTGGGCGACAAGAGTGAAACTGTCTCAAAAAAAAAACAAAAAGATTCCAAAAGTCTTACCAGCCAAAATCCATTTCTCCCTTTAGCCTTCCTGGATCACCATAAAAATGATTTGATTATGGGATGATAACTTTTTAATGTCTCATTTTTATTTTTCCCTACCTTCTAGGAAACTCAGGTGGGCAATGCTAACTTGCAGTCTCTGGTACAAGTAATTTTCTATTTCTTCTATACAAATTCTTATCTCTTTTTATCTTTCAGTTCAGAGTGGCTATTTTATGTAGTGGTTTTTATTAGTCATCACCTTGAATATGCTCTGGTGGTAGAGACTGCTTAAATTTTAAGAAGTAAAACCAAGTAAAATAATGGATTGGACAACGCATTCCAAGACAATATTTTCAAAAACTTAAATTTTAAGAAGTAAAACCAAGTAAAATAATGGATTGGACAACGCATTCCAAGACAGTATTTTCAAAAACTCTTAGCTAAAATTATATGTATTAAGCTCCCTAGAGTTCATATGGCAATGCGTATAAATTCCCTTTACAAAAATAGTATTTAGTCCTCAGTAATCTGTCTTCAGTTACTAGAGAAAAACATGCCTTGTTGGTCAGTCTTAAAAGAAAGCTAATGACTTCCTGGGCAGGATAAATATAACAGGCACATTTTGAATACATACTGAGAGCTGGCTTACTTTATAAGTTTGCTCACCTGGGAAGTTATAAACCTAAATTGTCCTTCAAGCATTTTCGAGAGACATTGAACCAGGCCTAAGCACTCAGCAGCATAGGCAAAGGGAGTTTGTATTGGGACTTTTCAAGGTTTGATCTACCTTGTCTTACGTGGTTCTCAACTAACGGTGCTTTTGCCACACCACCCCTACTCAAGAGACATTTGGTAATTTCTGGATATATTTGTGGTTGTCACAACGTGGGGTGGAGGGTGAAACTGACATTTATTAGGTAAGGGCCAGGATTACTGCTAAACAACCTACAATGTATAGACTAGCCTCACAACAAAAGATTGTTCATTTCAAAATGTCAGTAAAAGCCAGGTTGAGAAATCCTGGTCTAGATCTATTCTTCTCTTGGGTTTTGCTGCCTCTCTAGGTGTTGTGCAAGACAATAGGGCACACCTTTCTCTCTTTGCTTTGCTTGATAGTAAGGAGAAAGTGGAGAGCCAAGAGTGGAAACACTTCTCACGTTCGGCCTGCTTTGGGCTACAATGCCGATATATCAATGCTCAGGAAAACTTTCACACTCTGAGGCTGAGGTATTGAAATCAACAAAATAGTTCTCTGCATGTTATTCTACCAGATTCCTTCCCTCAGGTAAGAGCTTACAGCATGCCATTTGCTTGAATAGAGGAGAAGAATAGGGCAAAATGCAGGCGGGTAAAATAATGGATTAATATTGTTAACAAAATATTATTTCACCCCTCCAGTATGACAGAAATGTTACAAGGATTCAGGGAGAGAATGTGTGGAGCATCTGGTTTCTTCTGGCATATAAAGAGTCTAAAGAAAAGGTGAGAACAGAATACATGTAAGACAAAGGTGCTACTTTGGATGGCAGAATTAGGTGATTATGAAGTCATTGGATGAAATTTGGAAAGCTCAAAAAATCTAGATAATTAAATTCATGGTTCTACTTCAAACCAATGTTTTGTTTTTGGCATTTTCTACTTACTCAAATATTTCTTTTAATTAGGGGAGGGAGTAGTATTAAGAGTCATCTTTTTTCTTTTTTCTACCTAGTATTTTCCTAGGGCTCCTAATGAATACAAAATTTTTAAGGAATTGAAAAGTAGATATATGGGGTTGGCTAATTTCCATATCTGCTAAAGTATTCTCTGAATGTGTAACACCTTAGAAATATACATCATGTTTCCAAAGACAAGGTTAAAAATAGACACGAAACAGAACACACACAGATGTTGAAATTCTAAAATATTAGCAGTACACTTTCACTAATCTTCACGTACCTCACCTCTGAATTTTTCGTTAAAAATGATAGACAAATATTTAAGAACACTTTGATATTTCTTTTTAAAACAATGCATATCTAATAATTGCATGTAATGATATACAATCAATTTTTTATTGCTATGTGTTGGAAAACGATATTCATTGATATGATAAACATACACTAGATGCTTCCTTATCATTAGATAAGGAAAGGACAAATAAATTTTTTTTATTTTAACACTTTCTTCTTCTAAGGAAGACTGTAGCAAGAAAATATATTCTAGATACAGGTATAAACAGAGATCATTATTCATGTAGAAAGACGAAGAAATACGAAGGATTACGGTACTTACAAAAACTTTATTGTAATGTTCTTTAACTCACACAGACACTAGTAAGCTAGTAGTGTGGTAACCTAGTGGATCTGGCATAATTACCTTTCCAGAAAACTATTGAGAGATGACAACTTGCTAGCAGCCTTCGCTCGCTCTCCGCGCCTCCTCGGCCTCGGCGTCTCGGGTCGCGCTGGAGGAGCCCTTCACCCTGCCGCTGCGCTGTGGCGGCCGCTCTCTGGGGCTGGCCGAGGCGGGAGCCGGCTCCCTCTGCTGGCGGGGAGGTGTGGAGGCGCAGACGGGAACCGGGGTGGCGCGCGGCCCTCGCAGGCCTGCGGAGGTTCCAGGTGGGCGCGGACTCGGCGGGCCCCGCCCTCGGTGCAGCCGGTCGGCGCCTGCAGGGCTTGATCGGGGGACGAGCACCCTCTGGGATGCCAGAGTGCCCGGGATAGGTGCTGCAAAGTCCTGGGGCGAGTGCCAGTGAGAGGTGAAGCAGGCTGGGCTTCTGGGAAGGGTGGGGACTTGAACTTTTCCGTCTAGCTAAAGGATTGTAAACGCACCAATCAGCTCTCTGTCAAAATGGACCAATCAGCTCTCTGTAAAATGGACCAATCTGCTCTCTGTAAAGTGGACCAATCAGCTCTCTGTAAAGTGGACCAATCAGCAGGATGTGGGTGGGGCCAGATAAGGCAATAAAAGCAGGCCACCCAAGGCAGTTTTCAAGTTTTTCCTACTCAATGCCTAAGGAAAAACAAAATAAACAAAATCTGGAAAATAAAACAAAATAGGATTTTCTTTTATTTTAAGAGGGGACTTTTAAGACATGGGTTTTTCCAAAAAAAACTTTTCCCTGGAGGTTTCAAATATTCACTATTTAGTCTGAAATTATGAAGATAAGAAAAGAACTAACAAAGCATACAAAAAATGTCAATTAATAATACTTTGCTCATGTCAAAGTGTGGTAAGGATTTTAAAAGCAGCTATGTGCTTGACTATTTGTAGCAAGGGCATGGCAAGAAGCTAACTACTGAGAGGCTATGTAGGGACAAGTTTCCTATACTTATATATTTTTTTCCTGACCCCATAGTGTAGGGACATAATAAAAATCTAAAGATGCTCAATTTTCATGATCTTTTGGAGCAGTGTTTTCTTCCTGCTTTCTGAAATAGATCCTTCTAGGTACTTTTTAAAATATCCTTTGCAGTAGGTCTTAATTACTGGACTTTCTCAAATGTGAGCTAGATTCTCATCTCTTTGTAAGCAACACTGTTTCTCAAAAAGACCTCAATGATCGTATTTTTTTTAACATCCAAATATACACAACTCCCAAATTCAGATTTGAAGCTCAGATCTCAAGCTTCCCTAGATCTTGTATATCCAACTGTTATGCTTCTGATAATGGTACTTGGGCTTGCAATTCCTCAAGCAAATGCCAGATGATGGTGATAATGTTGTTTGTTTGCATAAACTGTAGGTAAAATACCTTGTTTCCTCTCTATAATGAAATATGTCAGCAATTTAACAAAATCTAGGAAATTTGGTTTTATATTTCAAATAATGAAATCATATTAGTGATGGTGTTCAGGACATACTGTCTCAAAATATGGCACCTTGGCATACGGCATATTGAATTTGAGAAAATGGCAGAAGCAGGAAGGTCTCAGACCTTCCCCGACACTTTCCCTTGAAGCAGGTTATAAAACCTAGAAAGGATTTTCTGACCTTTTCCCAAAGCAAGTCATGAGACCCGCATATGAGAGGTGTCCTTGCTGTACTCAGAAAAAAAAAAGGAGCATCCTTAGCTCCAAAGAACACAGAGGAAACTGAACCAACCGGCCTTGCTAAGTTTCCCCCAGTATACCACATTTAGTTCATACTCTGTCCTATGGTATTTATTCACAACTGTTCACTCTTCATCAAACCTATTGTTTAAAAAATACCCAGGTTTAACTATTTCATTGGGTCTTCATTTTTTTGGAGCTTCCCATATATGTAAAATGTATATTAAATAAACTACGCTTTTCGCTTGTTAGTTTGTCTTTTGTCACAGAGGCCTCAGCCATGAACTTAGAAGGGCAGAAGGAAAAAACATCTTTCCTCCTCTCCATTTGGTTTTTATAAGAGATAATGAAAGGAACACTTATAGGAGAAAGACATGAAAATTCAGCGGCCTAGGCTTACAGCGCCTCCCTCTAAATAACCCAATGACTTACATAACAGCTATTTATCTCTGTCAGTACGTTTAGAGACTTATAGAAACCATCAGATATCAGAATTCAGTGCAAAAGTAGAAGCGTCAGGTTTTTCTGTAACTCCTACGCTTGCAGTTTACTCTCCCCATAGACTTGTAATGTTTATCTTTATAATGATAAGGAAAAAACATCACTTTCTGTTATGGCTTTATGCCTATTTTATGTAGTACAGAATAAACCTAATAAAATGATGTTGGGATTGTTCCATAAGGCATTCTAAAACTTCTTCTTCCTAGTAGTTGAATTAGAGTTTTTAGTCATTAATAAGACACATGGCATCATAAAAACACAAAATCTGAAATAAAAAGAAAGATGTTTTGTCCAGGATTCAGAAAAATATTTTGTCTCCATTTTGCCATATGCTTCATGAGATCTTGTACTAAGCTTTTCTCACTTACTGCTGACTTCTGGGCACCATGGTACCATACCTGGCAGCTAGCACAGTAGCTAAGAATAAGTAGGTGCTTTGTTGACTAAATAATTAGATTTTGGAAATTTTACTTTCTATCAAAATACCACAAATTACTCTTCCATAAAAATGGAAACATTTTCTTAGATCGAATCATTAATATGAAGATCAAAGGAGATATGTATTATTTTCATGGTCTGCAAACCCTTAGTGTCATGCCAAATTCTTTGATGTTATTCTTTTTGTTACTAACTAAAGTAACTGGATTCAACAACAACAACAACAATACAAAATGCTAGAGCTAAAAACTTTGTAACTAACTATGTCTTCTATCTTGTACACCCCCCACTGCCCTCCCTGCTTAGGCGCATAACAGCTTTGAATGATCTGAGCTACCTACGTTCTGCTTTATTTTGCCTCTGCTCCTGAGCATGGACAAAAAGAATCAAACAGCTTATTTAATGAACGTCACTATAAATTCCTGGTTAGTTTGCAATAATACCTCTAAAATCTCTATTGCTTAAAGCAAAGCACATTTCTTCTTCACACTTTAGGTTCATTGGTGTGGGTTCTTTTCCATGTCAAACTCAAGACACAGCAGCCACTGTTTGGAGCATTTGTCAGTTGTTGTGACGGGAGAAGAGAGGTTTGGAGGGTTTTCACTGGACATTTAAATCCTCTTTCTAGAAGTGGCACTCAGACACTCAATAAATTCATTGTCTGGAAACAGTTACATGGGGAATAAGAAGTGAAAGTCTGCCATGGGCTCAGAGGGAGAAGAACTCTGGGGAAATACAGGATGAAGAATGCTAATAGCTACCGCACCCTGGATCTTCAGAGAATCCCTCAAATCCTACTTGTCCTTAATCTTTTCTCTTTGACTTCTGTTTCCCACAAAAGCAATTTCCAACTTTCTCACTTGTTTTCAAACTTCCAGTTTACCAACTATCATCCAGTTTCTTAAGATGTCTGTCCACTAGTTCATGGAAAACTGGAAACTATCAATACCCACAAGGTGGTAAGCTCTGTGAGAACAGGAATCATACCTGTCTCCTTTGCAATTATCCTTTCTGCCTACCATGGTAGCTGTTGTTAAGTAAATATTTATTGAAGGGTTTTTAATTATTACATAAATCTGGACTCTTCTGTCTAGGTTTCAATGATCATTTTTCAATTATTATGTAAATCTCTGGTAGGCTAATCAATGGCCCATCAAGAGATATCCAAGTCTGAATGCTTGCACCTTTTAAATGTTAACTTACTTGAACTAAAGAGGTCTTTGCAGATGTGATTAAGGATCTTGAGATGAGAAAACTTCCCTGAAAAATGTAACCATACACATCTTTATTATATGGAAACAAAGGGATATTGACACACATAAACACAGAAGAGAATGTGAGAAGAAGATGAAGAAGAGAGAGATGTGAAGATGCTGGCCTTGAGGATTGAACTGTTGTGGCACCTTGGTGCCAGCCAAGGAATGCTGGCACCCATCCAAACCTAGAAGAGGCAAGGAATAGACTCTTCCCTGGAGCCTCAGGAAGGAGCTTGGCCCTGCTGACACCTCAATTCCTCCACCAAGTGATAATGATTTTTAACCTCTGACCTTCAAAAGTATAATAGAATGCAATATGTGTTGCTTTAAGCCATGAATTTTGTGATAATTTGTTATAGGAAACTAATATACATTGCATAGATTTAACATTTTTTTTTTCTAGAATTTGTGCACTGAGCAAAGAAAAAAATTCCTATACTTGAAAATGTTTAATACTAACCTGGAAGTAAAAAATGTGTTTTGATTTGTATCCACATATACTTGTTACATTTTGAGGAGTTACAACACTCGCAGCATTTGTTTTACTTCCTTGAAATGAGTAGATTTATAAACTTTAGAATGGAGTCTTCAGAATATCAAAATCAGACTCTGTCTGAATGTATTTGACTGTCTCCCAAATTTCGATGGTTTAAAATATATTCACTATAATTGCTGTGGTTTGTGGAGGTAAAATTGTATATGGTTAAATTTCCATAGTTGTGGTAGCATTGAGGCTTACCAAAATTATGAGTTTGTTTATTGGGTTAACTCCCAGCTCTCTGTTCTTCTCTCTTTACAAATTAATAATATTCTATATGTACTTGTTTTGCTTCTGCATCAGTTCCTAATTTTCTTTTCTTCAAATTACCAAAATATATTGGCATTGCTGCAATAAAACGAAAACCTAATCCTTTGCAAAATATAAAGAATATGTAGAACTCTACAAAAGTCTTTAAGACTTTCTTTAGAAGCCAGGTTACAAGCATGTAATGTTTCTTTTTCAGGTATGAAAGCAAATGCGATAGTCACATTCAAATGACAGTCACAGAGTCTCATAAAAGCCAAAATACTGAATTGCAATTTAGGTAACTGTTGACAATGGGTTATGGGTTATGTGAAGAAATTGAAACTTTCTCTTACACATCTGCTTACTTGCTCAGATACCTTTGCACTAATTTTAAACTCTCAAAGTATGTATACTTACAATTCTCTAGTAGTATATAAAAATATTTACATCCTAGGCAAATTACTTTATATTCTAGTATTTGTCCATTAATGTTTTATTTGTTTCATTACAACAGTATTTTATTTTTATAAAAAAGAAAGGATTTTTATAAATCTACCATGATAGATTTGTAAAATATAGATTTCTAAAAAATCCTTTTTTTTTTTTGACTAATGCAATGCCTTTTTGTAACAATTGGATGCAATTGTAAGTTGCTTCCCAGAGGAATAAAAAAACAATTTGTTATGCGATACTTTGTTGGTTTATAAAAGTCATATTGCTGCTTTTGGAACGGATTTGCTAACAGCCATGAATGCATTGGGAGGTTTCAGCTTACTGTCTTATTTCTGGCTGGTCCCAAAACCAGCAGCACAGAGATAATCCCTTTGTTTCTATTTAGATTGTGAATCCCCTGTGCCTCCCGAATATTAATCAGTGTTTATTTCACTTCTCTTCCGTGCCTGCCCTCTACAGTCTTCACGACAATATAATAAGACACAGCTGATGCTGTTTGTTTATTCCTGTTGAGATTTTTTAACATCCGACTTTTTCTCTGTTACATTCAGCTTCACCCACTCTCACTCTAATGCTAGCTCTATTTCTCTTTCACTGGCCCCTGAGGGAGCCTCATATATGCAAAAAACGCCCTTTGAAGTTGAAGAGAGCTTCCCCTTTCAATAGTCTTCATTATCCAGGACGCCAAAAAAGAATAAGTGCCTCCCAAACAACTGAATATAGGAGCTGTGTCTCCTCTGTGTTGGACAGGACCCTCTTCTCCCCATTTCTTCCAGAACCTAGAGTGGTGCCAGCCCCCTGTGGGTGTTCCTTAAATGTTAAATGAATGGATGAATGAAAGCCAATGTGAGACTATAAGAAGAAAAACACAAAACTAAATGTTAAGCACAAAAGCAGTCACATTTTCCAGTTGAATCAAAAGCAGGCTGTTTCTGATCAAATAGTGAGGCATTTAGCAAAAAGAAGCAATTGCAGAGGGACCAGTAAAGTGATCCCAGAAGAGAACTGACTTCAAACAAAAAGGATCAGTCTCATTCTTACCATGTCTGTATTTCCCAAGAGAGCAAGAAAGACCCCTGGTTTTTTGTTTGTTTATTATTATTTTTTTGAAACACATTTAATTCTTCTGGAATCTTTTAGATGCTATAAATCAGCAAAAAGTTGTATCATGGAAAAGCTACAGTGAACCTAGAAAAATGACAGGTGACAGTGGGTGGCTGGTAAACTAAAATCTGGAAGAACTGTAGAGCACAAATTGGTAACTGCTATGTGGACATCTTTTTCCACATTTTTGTTACCACAGCATGACAGCACTTTTTGAATGTTCATGAAGCAAGTACTAAGAAACGGGTTCCAGACATCATAAATATTTCAAAAGCTATTGAGAAAATGAAAGGCTAAACATATGAGACAGAAATAAAGTGAGAAACAAGGGTTGAATTCAGAAAACAGACACTATATCTAAAGATGTCACCCGAAGATTAGAGTCTTTATTGTTCCAAATCAAAAAGTTCTGAAGGGAGGAAAAGAACCTCATTTATGGCACTCATCTGTACCTCTCAGTGCAGGCAGAGCAAAACCAGAATCATAGAGACAACCAAATACTGGCCACTGTGACGAGGAAGAATGTGATCAGCAAATCAAAATGCTACACATTCACAGTAGCATCAGAAGAAGAATAGACAGAGGTTTCTCAAAACCACAGGGAGCAAACCAGTAAGAAAGGCAGGGTATACAACTTGAAGGAGGTGGTTAATACATAAGACACATGAAAACCAGCATTCAGATACCCAAATTTTCTTTTCTCACCAGCCTTTGTCACAGCAACAGAATGATGTGATCTTGGAAGCCATAGAGGCATCAAAGGGCAGTTGCTCTCATGGTTTATATGAGGAAATCTCAGGTGCTTCTTTCCTAGGGTGAATAATGTGGTAGGATTTGAGCATTACGGGAGAATTGTGAAACGCGCCACCTCTATCCCTGCCTATTTGCACTCTTCCCTTCTTAGGGTGCCCCAGAACGGACTAATGAAAGCAGTAAGACACTTCCTTCCCCCAACAGTTGGACATGGAGATGAAAATACCCACAGCTGAGAAAGGAATCCTTTTAATGATTTCAATTGTACCAAAGCTGCCTATTTCCATATGCAAATCTGAGTCAACTCATTTCAGGTGTACTTTTGTACTTTGCCAGAAAGAGTCTCATTTCTGCAACTCTACCATGTATATGGGTAGAGTTCTCCTAGTGATGACCCCTCTTTCAGGAGTAATCCCTACTTAATGCCATCTTCAAAGAAACTTCCTAATTTGGAATTAGTTTATCTTTACCCATGGATGAAGTTCCTCTTTAATAACTATTCTCTTTCATGGCACCCTCTATATGCCAGGCTTTACTATGCCAGACTAGAAATCCATTCTCTCCCACCTCTGAATATTCTAGTACTACTCATCCTTTAAGACCTAACTAGACTAGTGCTTCCTCCAGGAACCTTTCCCTAGCTAACATCTGACTCCCACCCCCACCCCAGCTTCTTCAGGATTTAGCAACTTTCCCTCTCTTTGTTCATGGCAGTTGCAACCTTTGTTCTGTAGGCCAGAGATATTTACATAGGAGTTACTTTCTCCACTGTATCATAAGCTTCTTGAAAAAGTATCAAACACTTTGTATTATAAACACTGGCTATACCTGTAAGATAATACATTTCAATTTCATAAATTTTGGCTCTTCAAACCTATCTAGGATTGAATTCATGCTCTTTTACTTCTCACCTAGTTAACTTGAAAAATCAGTCAACCACTATGATTCCCAATTAGCCTAACCGGAAAATGAGAATGATAACACCTGCCTCACAAGGTTGATGTGTACGCAAACGTTCCTGACACTAATTGAGTATGGTAGATGTTCAGTAAAAGTCAGTTCCCTTTTTCTTTCCCCAGTGAATTCTGGAGCTTAATTGCTATGGCTTATTTGACTCCATATAATCAATTACCAGGATTGGAAAAGAAGATTTTAAACATATAGACTTCATAGTCAAAAGACTTTGTATTTGTTTGTTTTCATTCATTTAATGGAGAAGTAGCTGTGGCTTTACAGGTGATGAAAATGAACTTTGATTTTATTCTGAGCACAATGGGAAGTAAAGAATTTTCTTAAGAGATGCAAGGAAGTTCTCAACTACTCAATTTAGTTGTACAAACTGAGAATGAAAATGAGATGCATAGCAATTTGCGGCATTAGACTTATGACAGAAACAAAAATAATCTAGAATGTGTTACACTAGTGAAGTATCACTAACCTAAACCTTTGAAAGAATAGGAGAACAGAGCTACAATGGTAAATTGCAGACATGTTCTAAAAGTTTCTCAAACAGTTGGTACTAGACCAGATCAGTGGTACGAACTGTTAAATATGTCCAGTTCCCACAATCCCAAAGCTGGATAGGCCTACAGTTTTTTATGGTGATTTCAAGAGTACCCATTCTTTGCTATCTTCTCTCTTCTCTTTATCTGAAAACCGTGGAACTCCAGAATAGACTTGAAAATGTAGCAGAAATGGCCATTTTAAATATTTAACCCCGAGACACTAATAAGTTAGGCACAGGAGGTCTACATTGTTGGATTTGAGAAATTTTATGGAAATCTATTTGCCTAAATTCTCTCCTCTCAGGTGCCACATTGACTAAAATATTACCAGAAAAGATGCCACCTTTTAGGTAAGAATTTTTTTTCCTTCCCAAGAAAAGAGAAAATAAAGAAAAAAACAAATTACAGCAATCTATGATATAAACTTTTGAATTAATTACCGTTCTGAGTCAATTACACATAAAACAGTACTTAAACATTTACTTTCCAACATATTTTTATTGAGAAATTACTATGTGCTAATTACCATAATCAACAAGATAAAGGCTGTTCTTATGTCTTACATTAACAAGTAAAAAGATATATGTAAAAGACAATTTCAGAAATACATGTGATGATAACCAAGGGTAGCGTGATTAACCTGGATACCTGGTTACCTCAAAAAGAGAAGGGGTAATAAAAGTAGGCCTACGAGAGAGAGAGATAAGGAAAATTATGTCAATAATTAGTCTTCTGGTATGATATAGAAAGAAAAGAAACAGGTATTTTTTACATTATCCTTCTAAAGAAAATCTATCTTTCTAAAATACGAATTTCTCTTATCTTTAACTTCGGTAGAAGCAGTATAAACTATTTGTCTTGTTTTTTCATTTTTTCCTGTTACCTAGTTCTAACACAGAAGAGAAGCATAATTGCATTTTTTTAATTCAATACTTTGAATTAAATGTTTGAGAAACTTACATAAAATGTTAGAAAAATGGAGGAAAACATTATATAAATTCTTTTGTTAAAAGGAAATATTTGGATGCTTTCAAAATAAAGAAGTTTATCAACAATAGTACCAGCTGGGCAGAGAGGCTCATGCCTGTAATTCCAGCACTTTGAGAGGCCAAGGCAGGAGGATCACTTGAGTACAGGAATTCAAGACCAGTCTGAGCAATGTAGTGAGACCCCATCTCTAGAAAAAAATTAAAAATTAGCTGGGCATGGTGGCATATGCCTGTAAACCCAGCTACTTAGGAGGCTGAGGTGGGAGGACGGCTTGAGTCCAGGAGGTTGGAGCTGCAGTAAGTCATGATGGTGCCACTGCACTCCAGCCTGGGAAACAGAGCATGATCTTGTCTCAAGAAACAAACAAGCAAGCAAGCAAAAAACAGTAGTACTAGAAACATACTATAGTAAAAAAAACCAAAAAAAAAAAAAAACAAAAAAAACCTCGTTAATCTTGTGAGATGTAAACATGGTGTTTTTTTGTTTTGTTTTGTTTTGAGACAGAGTCTCACTCTGTCACCCAGGCTGGAGTGCAGTGGCGCAATCTGGGCTCACTGCAAGCTCCGCCTCCCGGGTTCATGCCATTCTCCTGCCTCAGCCTCCCGAGTAGCTGGGACTACAGGCACCCGACACCACACCCGGCTAATTTTTTGTATTTTTAGTAGAGACGGGGTTTCACCGTGTTAGCCAGGATGGTCTCGATCTCCTGACCTTGTGATCTGCCCACCTCGGCCTCCCAAAGTGCTGGGATTACAGGTGTAAGCCACCACGCCAGGCAACACGGTCTTATTTAATACACTTTTCTCATAAAAAGCTCACTTATATTTTAGAAATTATTTCAATAGCCTTCTAAAGTTAGAGAAGTAGCACTATTATTTTTATTAGTCATTTTACAATAGACATAGAGTTTTTGGTGGAATTTAAAATAAAGAAAGTATTCCAAACAATTATAACTAATTCATTTAATTACATATTTTTCATTACTTCCTATAACTGACAGTCTTATTTTATTTCACATGATACATTTACCTTGCCTTTTATAGAAAAAAAAGTTGAGAATGAAACTTCAAAATCTTTTTTTATTTATGCAAAGTGTAAGCTTGCTATAGATTTTTATACCCAAGTTTTCTCTCTGAGATAGTTAGACAAGATTTTATCATATTTATTTACCCTTTTCTAAGAACAGATGTTTTTGTTTATTTGCCTGTTTTTGTGATACAAGTCTAAAATTTTTGAGTACTCACTAAGCCCCGTTCTTATTAGAGAGAATATGTTTATATTACAACATATATAAATGACTGAACTGAATAAAATGTAAGCCAAAAAAATAAATTGTCTGATATCACATATTCCCTACCCCTAAATCTGCCTGAGATGTGAAGACATTGGTTGTTGAAACCAAATATGAGCAAGGAATATATCTGTTACATATATTTTAACCACCTCTGAAGCCAATCGAATGACCCCATTTTTTGCAAATTCTAACTTATTTCCCTTGGCTTATGTTTGGGTAGCATTTAGTTTCCATAACTTCTTGAACTGATAGGTCATATTTAAGCACCTTTCTCACTGAAATAAAAATATAAGACTGATTCACTTATAAATAATATTATAGCTGGCTGGGCTCAGTGGCTCATGCCTGTAATCCTAGCACTTTGGGAGGCTGAGGCAGGCAGATCACTTGAGGCCAGGAGTTCAAGACCAGCCTGGCCAACAAGTTGGAACCCCCATCTCTATTAAAAATACAAAAAATTAGCTGGGCATGATGGCATGCACCTGTAGTCCCAGCTACTCCGGAGGCTGAGGCACGAGAATCGCTTGAACCTGAGAGGCAGAGGTTGCACTGAGCCAAGATCACGGCACTGCACTCCAGCCTGGGTGACAGAGCGAGACTCTGTCTCCAAAGGGAAAAAAAAAATTAAAGCTATTAAATATGTAAAGTAGAGCTAAGCACCAAACAATGTGCAGGATAATGATTGTCTACAAGTATTTAAAGGTGTCAACATCACCAGGAAAGACAAATCATTTAACATAGAACAAGATTTTGGCAACATTAAACGACTAGCATAATATTGACAGGATGTGGACAATGAATAAGAATTCATGAAGCGGAACTACTTTTGGAAATTGAGTTGTAAATTTTCTTCCCCTAGTTAAAAGACATGATATGACACAAAAGTTTGTTCTGCAGGCAGAAGGGCCTGAGACAACTCTGTAAGTATTCACTAATAATTGCCCATGATTTGGCAACATGCCATTTATTTCCTTTATGATCCATGATCCTACTCAGTATTTTCATTCTCAATAGTTTGTAGATCCTCTGTATAGCCTTATGAGGTAGAAGAAGATCATGTCAAACAAAGCAGCCCTAAACCGTACAGTTGTCTAACTGGGAATGCACTTGGATACTAATTTTCCATCATCAATAGAGGAGGTTTAGCCACACCAAAAATGTTTGGCTCTCTCCCAACACCACAGTTTTGTAAAACTATGGTCAGGAATAGGACTTGGAACATCTTCAAATCTGCATACCTAAGGTACAAAACAGCAACTACATTTCTTATGAGTCTACAATGGCAAAATTCTTAGTTACCTTTTTTCTTTTTACTGTATTTTTATAGCAATCATTTTAATTATCTCAGAATTCCTTCTGCTAATAACAAATGAGAAAAACAGTTTGAATTTAAAACAAAATCTCATTATTTCAATAACGTGTAGCTCTATGGAGCAGTGCCTCTTACCATTCATTTTAGAGATGATATGGCGATAAGCTCACTCCCACAAGGTAATATTGATTCAACAATCTAGTAATCCCATAAGGACAAAAGAGCGTCCAAGTATTACTTGTTTTAAATGAGGTCATCCTGCTGGTGCTCTCTGCATCCTTTTCTCAGCTAATTATCTAAGGTGAAATTTATTCATACTTACCATGTATGCAAAGACTGTAGAGATAGGTGCATAAAGTGATTTGTCTTAGAGCTCTTGATTCTTCCCCCAAAAGTTAAAGACATTGTGTGGTTCTCTCCACTCTTGAATAAATATGAAAATAAAAATATATTGCTTAGTAGAGATAGCAAAAGCCCATATTATACACCTGTGCTCTTTAAGACCAACTGGGCAAATACAAATGGTATATAAAACCCGTGTAGAAATGAAGGTGAAATGAAAAGTGGTACCAGTTTCTAGGTTAAGAAACTGCCTCCCTCAACCCCACACCATAGCCCAATACCCACCAGAAAATTCTCTGCAGCTCTGTAATAGTTTTAGTTTAGGTCATTGATGAATAAAGTACAGACACCTAAAAATATTTAGAACAAGTTAGGTTTTTAAAAAGTCTCAAAAGTTGGAGTAAGTGATTTTTTTTTATTTTTAAAGTAATAATGTATAACTGTCTCATTTATCCATTTCACTTGAAACATGCTGATATGGACTTCAAAAAATGTTTTCAACCATGACAAAAATCTCAGTTCTATTACTCATGAATTTTTTATATTGCTTTCAATTGCATAATGCGAGAGGTTTGCAATTTTCTTAAACAAAAATGCAAATTTAAAATCTAAGTTTTTATTTTTTCCCCTTCTCACTCATTTAGGAAATAACTGTAAAATCCATTTCATCAAGATCTTCACAGGTATTCTATAAGAACAAACTGAAAATAAAGCCTATATGTGGCTGTGATGGTTTTGAAGATTTAATGGATATCAGGCCAGGAAAATTGTGATTGTTTGGGAGTACCTATAGCATTTCTCAGGAGCAGTCTCAAAACCAATTTGATAAATACATAAAAACCCATCTGAAAGAACTGACATAAAATCATTTTGGTATTTCATTAGTCAATGTTTATGAAAGGGCCATTGGTTGTGAGATTAGTAATAAATATTTTGCCATTACTTTCAAAGGCAAAAACAGCAGTTACTTTTGCACTGACCTAATACTATTAAGACTTATAAAGATTTAGCAAAAAATTTTGAAGAAAACCGAGATAGCTATCCTACCAATTATTTACAGTATTTTAGCATCTCAATCAGTGATCATTTCTTTTCTGAAAGTCCTTACAAATTCACCTGTATCTAAACACAATCAAGGTTTTAGTTGAAATGTCACTGCCTAGTGTCAAGTATTTTCTCCTGGGACTTTTTGGAGCAATGAGGTATAATCTATAAATTTCCACTGAGCACATGATTTCTGTCAGCTCCATAGAGTGCAGCCACATGACATATAAACTGCAGTGAGCAGAAATTTTTTCCTTGTGTCTTGCCTGACTTGTCTTTCCAGTTATTATTTTGGGAATTTCTGAGCCACCATTATCACTTGATACACTTAGACAACTTTTAAAAAGCAGTTATTTTTCTGAATAATATCATATGTGTCCATTTCATTTCAGTCTGCTTACAAATACCTTCTTGTAAAAAGTCACAGAATTCGAGGGCTTATAGCTCTCATAAGGTTGGGATGCACACACTTCCTCTGTTTGAGAACGTTTCCCCAGCTCCTACAGGCCTGCTGGCTTAGACACTTCTACTTTCCTTTTCTCACCCTAGCACCTGCCTGCTATATTTGAGATTGAAGCAATGTACATATTCTCAGGTCTATGGATATGTATGAATACTTCTTGCTTAGGCATTGACAGCCTTAAAATGGGATAACTTCTTAAATGGATTGCTATGAGTTGTCCGTTTACTCATAGAGCTGCAACTATTAATTTTAATTAACCTGTCTCTATATTTATGACCCCTCTGTAAAAATGTATTGTTTCTAGGGCTTATACTTCATCACATAAAAACAACTTTATGCAAACCAAAAGGAGCAAAATTCAAGATCAGAAATTGACTTAAGAGTAAAAAGAAAAAGGAGTAGAAAGAATATACCACAGATTAGAGAAGGAAAAAGAGCAGTATGTCAAGAGCAAGTGGAATGTGGCTGAAAAAATGGAAACGACAGACACTTCAGGGACAACTGGAAGGAGGAGCGTCATTGCATTTTGAATATAAATGAATCTCAGGTAATTTCTATAACCCAGAAATAAGCATCTGCTCCAAAAGGGGAAACTGGTAGTTTGTGTGAGCTAGCAAAATATTAAAAGGGCAGTTAATCTATTACCAAGAGTCTAGTAGAGCCCAGATCATATTCTATGAGATTTGTTGGCTAAATATGACAATATCCAAATGCGTTGACCATTATTGCAGACTGTAATAAGTCACAGCAGCAAAGGGACCAACTTCTCTCTAGTACCGTTCAACTAGAACTAAAAGAGAAAAGCAGGGTGATTACTCTGAGACTAACGAGGGTCAGATCAAGAAATTATTCATGCATTCTCTTGAGTGGAGGAAGGGAGAATTGGAAACAAAAGACGGCAATACATTCTGTGAATGGGAAAGAAGAATTCAAGATGACTCCTAGGTTTTCGGCTTGAGCTGCTGTGTGGATGCTACTACCATTTGCTGATATAAAGATAAAGTGGTAAAATCATGAGCTCCTTTGTGAACATTCTAAATGTGAAATGTTGAATAGATATTTATTGGAGATGTCAAGTAATATGACATCTACAGCTCTAAGTAGAGGTAAGTGAGACAGAGAGGTTTGCCAGTCATCAACAAATAGATTTAAAGTGGTGGGAATGGATGAGACCATAGAATCATTTAGTGAAAAGAGACATGGGCCCATTTCAGCATTTAAAGACAGGATATTAAACAAAGAGCCATTGAAGAAGAAACAAACATAGATGGAAAGAGAAGACCATGATGATATTATGAGAAGGCAAATGATGAAAATGTTGTTGTTGTTGTTTGTTTTTGACCAGGGGGCATTGATCAACTCTATCCAACAGTACTAAGACGTTGTTTATGATGAAGCATGACATGAAGATTGTTGCTGACCTAGATGCTTCAGTGGAGTTTTGAAGAGAGGAGCCAGATTCAAAAGAGGTAAAAAAATGCATTATAACATGGGATAATAAGGATAAAAATTTCATTTAAGAAATTTTATTGTAACAGTTGCAAAACAATGCAGCAATAGTCAGAGGTGGATATGGAGTAAAGGAATTTTTTTAAAGACAAACATATTAAAACAGAGCAGTAGGAATGTAATGAAAATATGTGGAAATACTATCCCGATATATTTGAGTTTATGAAATAAGTTTCAGCATCAGAAAATGTAAATTCAGCTGTAGCTAAACAAGAAATGGAAACTTCTTTCAACCTAGACCTGTCAGACTGTCATTCCTAAAAACTGGAAGTGGGATACTGAAATATCTAATAGAAATCTTTGTAAGGCCTGACTGTACATTCGACCCTTATGTTACAACCCTTGTAGTTTTTAAAATGTGTCTTTTTTTGTTTTAATGAATTTGAGTGGTTTTCTCTATAAAATGCAAAGATTACTAAGAACACTAAGTTAAACTAAGTTAAACTTTCCCAAAATCCTCAAAATTTATAAGATTTTACTAGATGAACCTGAAATAAAGAGACAAAAATACAACGTTCCCCAACATATTTGACCATAAGACATTGTTTGGAGAATATTTCAGGAAACTAACGATTATATGAAACAATTTGCAATATTATATATTTGTTGCTTCTGTCTCAAGTTACTTAATGTTTCATCTTCATATTTTGCTTCTGGCTTTGTTCCATTCTGGTGTAATGTCTGCATTCATCTTGTCACCTTCTACCTATGTCACCCGAATTCCATCTGTCAAACTTGTACTTTTTTCACTAATTTTTCCCCTGACTCCCTCTGAGACTTTGTGAGCCTTATTAAGATTTGCTATTTGAGATGAGAATGTCATTGTCTTGCATAAATCCTCTCATTTTTATGTTTGGGGAAATGTCTCCTCAAAATATGGTACTTAAACCAATTTTTAAAAATCTAGTTAAGGAAAATACTTATATTTTCTTTAATATATAACAGAAGAGAGATGACATAAAACACAACCTTCTAAATCAATACTGTCATTTTTAATTTTCTTGAAGGAGAGATATCACACATCTCCCTTTATAGAACCCCCACATGCTCAATTTTTTATATCTTTCAGAAGCTTGGAATGCTCAAACATGCAGTACATACAAACACTGATTTCTTTAAACCATGAGGTGGTATTTGCCTTTGTACTGCACAGTGACAAGTTTCCATTTTAATGATGTTTGAATTTAGCATAGGAATTGGATTCCCTTTTGAATCCACTACACATTCAAATTCCACCTGCTTATCTGTATCTCTTACTAAAGATTAAACTGTTAACCCTCACAATGAGGGAAAAACAATTAAGAACTTCCAAAAATGTACTGTTTAGTACTGATATTTATATCAAACACGTGTTGCAATGACTGGTGTTTTGCATTTCAAACCCTGGCTTATATACACTTCCGTGCATTTATAGCCTTATTCAAGGCAGAAACCATTTGCTTTTTACATAGCAATTAAAGCACAGAAAACATTCAGAATTTTGCTAAATGGCTTGCCTAGTTTATTATAGTTTACCTTGTCTTTTTGTGAGGAGAGCTATTATTTCTGCTCCAAGCTCTTGATCTCCGTGGGGAGTGGAAAAGAGCATCTGTTCTGGAACAGAGCTGAAAGTAAATCCCTAGGAATGGGGATGCGGAGTGAAAAAAATGGGAAGAGAACTCTGAGCACATCAGAAAGTCATAAAGAAAGCTCAGCACCATAATCAGCTTGCAGCTATCACAAAAGACTTCGAGAGGAAGCTCAAGCGGTTAGAAGTTAGTACACTCAGTTTTACAAAAACGAAAGAAGGGGTGAAGAAGGCAAAAACAAAAATACAGTAAATAAGAGAATCGAGTATGAGGTAGAAAATGGAGAGCGAAAAAGAAATTGAGAAAAGAGGAGAAAGGAAAGAAGAAATGGATGAGAAAGAACTGTAAGATTTTATAGTTGAGTCTCAGTATGAGACAACTGGGAAAAATGGTTACCCAGTAACAATCTTAATGGACATTTGGATTTTTCATGGCTAATATGACTGTGTGTATCTAGACTGGTTAACTGTCTAGGCCAGACTGAATCATTTTATGAGTATAAAACATCAGTGGTCCATCCAGGTTTGAGTGTTAAAGTGATAATTTACTTATTTTAGGGTAATAAGGAAATATTTTTACTTGTTTTACAGAACTATAAATCAGTGTATTAAAAGAAATATATACATATCTTTTTTTAATTTTATTATTATTATACTTTAAGTTTTAGGGTACATGTTGTGGGGTGGGGGGAGGGGGGAGGTATTGCATTAGGAGATATACCTAATGCTAAATGACGAGTTAATGGGTGCAGCACACCTACATGGCACGTGTATACATATGAAATATATACATATCTTGTAATTACATATAAATATATGCACATGTATATATGTATATACATACACACATGCACACACACACGTCACTGAAAGAGGAGCACCATATGCATGCAAGATTCTTTCCCCTTAAAAAAGGGTTAGCTACATTTAAAAATTGACATATATTTGTATACTTGGATTTTGATTCATACAATTCCTACATGAAATCTTTGAGGTTAATATTTGCTCCCTTCTTATCTAAAACAGACTGTTTTCACAATAGCTATGTAAGCCTTCCTTCACTAATACCCCATTCAGTAAGAAAGGGCTTATTTTGATTTCTATGAAACCATTTTGAAAGTATTGTAAAAGTTTCAAAATTAAAATGATTTCTTAATTTTAAAGATTATGCTTTATGAGGAATATAAAAGATTAGAATCAAAAGATAAGACTGACTTTGATCTTCAAAGCCAAGCTGTCTACTTGCTGCATGAGGCTTGCAGGAAAATATGAGCACGTTCTCAATATTTGCATGGTATGTAACTAGCCCTTAATAACCTTACAGGCTGCTGTTTATAACACAAATCAGGCTTTTGGATAAGTTGATTGATTGGAATTTAAATTCATGGCTTACATGTTTTTGTTTCAGGTAGTTGAATAAATGAACATCAGAAAAATATGGTAAAATCTAAAGTTTAAATTTAGAAAAAGAAACATTGTTTTTACTAGATGTGTTTATACCATTTGTATGATCTGCCCTTACACACAGATGCACACATACAAAATGTAATGACGATATTTCTAACCCATTTTTCTCTGCAAATAATGAGATTCACCTAACATTTATTTCCCAGTAGCTCTGCTCATCTGATCTAATTCCTCATTGACATAACCAGGACTCATTTAATTGCAAGAGCTAGAAACTCAATGCAAGGAATTCGAGCAAAATACAAAAATTTTGGCTCATAAAATTGGTACACAGTGAATTGGTATAAAAGAAATATCTGGTATCATCGACTTAATAAATACCAAGAGTGTGTGTGTGTGTGTGTCCCCATCTCTCTTTCTGTCTGTCTCATAGATGCCCACATCATGGATATTTTTTCTGCACAAAGTTTCATTTTCTTTTGTTGTTGATAGACTTTTCCCATATAAGGTAGATAGCGGCTCCCAGAGGCTGATTATTTGCACATAATTACAAGAATTTTCTCTATCCCTGCTCAGCCCCCTGCAAAAAATTCCTGATTAGTATTTTGATTGCACTACCTGGTTTATGTGCATGTGCCTTTTTCTGGACCAATCTCTGTGGCCATGAGCATGAGGTCCTCTGAGCTACTCATGAGCATGCACCCCTCTATTAGGTGCCTGGACTTGTAGCCGGAGCATTATTTACCTGCAAAAGGATGAGAAGTGAAAGTGAAAGAGAACAGACATGCCTTCCTGACTGCAGTCATCATTTCTCCTTTGAAACTGTATGTTTCCCCAACGTTTACAACCGCCATGTGATCAATTCAGAAAGAAATTATTATTGAAAAACAGCTATGAATCACCACAGACATTACTAACACAATAATAATAATAATAATAGCTATTTCTTATTTCAGGCAATTGCACAAGATATGTTCTTCTATTATCTCGTGTGATTTTCCTCAAAATATTATGAAATAGACTATTTCTGTTTTACATAATAGAAAACTCAAATTGAATGTGAATAGCTCAAACCATTTAACCAAAAGTTATAAAGTGTATTCAATTTTGGATTGTATGTAGAACAATCAAAACCTCAAATAGCAGACATGGTGATAGTATAGCATAAATTTTAGGCTTCTGCGGGCCTTAATCAGTACTGTCAATGTGATGGCATGTAAGACAACACCAAAAACTTAGCAATAATTATAATGTAGTCAACACTACATATAAGAATAAGACGTAGTTTCTGTATTGGTTAGGATTAGGTTCAATTGAATGTGACTGAATCTGTAACAATATCGACTAAGACACAGTCTTATTGTTTTTTCATGAAAATGAAATGTAGGGAGAGGGACACAGTCCTTATTGGAACCGTTACTTTATTATCGTTGGAGATCCATCCCTAGTGTTTTGCTTCATGTTCCAGCATGACTCTTCAATAGGCAGCTGTAACGTTCAAGCTATCAGAAAGACTGACAGTTACAGAGTGCAGAGCGAGGTGTGTCTCCCTCCATCTCAGATACATTCCAGATGTTGTGCATAGCACTTTTAGGCAGCACTTTATCATATTGCCACACCTAACTACAAGGGAAGCTTATAAATAGAGGCTTTGTTCCATTAGGTCATGTGCACAGCTAAAATTTGGGATTCCCTAAGAGAAGAAGAGGGAAATGGAGCAGGCAACTAGGAATCTCTGCCAAGAACTTTCATATACTTTCCTCTGCAAAGTGCCACTGATACCACTCTTGAAGCCCAACTATTATCGCCCTGGTCCTGTTCCTTTATATAGTTAGGGAGCAACATTCTCACCTATTATATTAAACATAAGATTTTACTTTGCAGTTTATAGAGTTACATTATGCTTTTTATTTATGAATTTAAGCAGTGTGTTCTCTCTAACTTCTCGTTAAAACCTGTTTAGCTCTCTACATACTGTCTCTCAAACCTTACTGCAAGAATATGTTCAACCATAGTAAAAAAACCAAAAACTTTACACTGTCGTAAATTGCATCAAAAAAAATGGCTGCAAGAGCATTTCTTGTTTTGTGTATTCTTCCAGAAAAGTGTCACTCCCTGAAGAGGGGATGTCTATTTCCCTTACCTTGAAGTTGGGAGGGTCTTTGTGACTATTTTGATGAACAGAATGAAGTAGAAGCAATGCTGAAGGTTTTCTGAAACTAAGTCACAAATGCTGAAAAAGCTTCCACCTGACTCTCTCTCTTTTGGAATGCTTGACCTTGGAACCTAGTAGCAATGTTGCAAGACAGTCGTGTGGAAAAACCATGAATAAGTCTTTTGACCACAGCCTTAGCTGCTTGAAATGTCCCAATTAACTGTATCAATCATCAGATTAGTAAATGAGTGAGACTTCTGATGATTATAAACTCCAGTTTTTGAGCTATCACAGCTGATACACACTGGAGTGGAGCAAAGTTGTCCCCACTGAGCTCTGCCCAAAGTACGTATGAGTAAGCAAAGTATATGTGTCATTGTTTTAAGCCATTAAGTTTTGGAGTGGTTAGTTATATGATACTTGGTAACCAATTAAGGACTAGTAGAATAGAAATATGTGGGGAGAAACTAATAGAATAGAAGTATCATCCAATCATCTCATTTTAATGGTGAGAAAACCCTGGGAGAATTCACAGCAAGTAAGTTACTTACAGCCATACAATTATGCAGCATAATATATCCACGAGTCACTCTCAGGCATTCTAATTCTTCCTATGCAGTTTGCTTTTTTTCCTCTATGATATCATATCTGAAATATTATTTGCAATTTTTCTATATCAAGATTTATACTTTTAGATGTGAACTATAACTCAGTAATTCTCAACCCCGAGTGTATGTTTGAATTACTTACTGGTCCTCTGGAAT
Organism: Homo sapiens; assembly: GCF_000001405.40. NCBI lineage: Eukaryota > Metazoa > Chordata > Mammalia > Primates > Hominidae > Homo > Homo sapiens. The sequence goes on from NC_000003.12 coordinate 78,051,071, forward strand.
CAGAATTCTCTGCCCCATTACAGGCCTATTGAATGGAAATCTCTGGGCGTGGGTGTGTGTGCGGGGGGGCGGGGGGTGCACGCATGCAGACCCACACACCAATTCTACACCTAATTCTAAGGAGCAGACACTGTTGAGACTTCTTGGTATAGATCATATTCCTTGGCCGAATGTTTCTTTGTTTTTTGCTTTTTTGCCAATTCTTTTTCTTTTTGTAGCGATCAGGGCCTCACTGTATTGCCCAGGGAGGCCTTAAACTCCTAGGTCCAAACCACCCTCCTGCCTCTGCCTCCCCACATGTTGGGATTACAGGCTGGGATTACAGCTATGAGCCACCACAGAATGTTTCTTTGTAACAGAGAATCAACAGGTAGAAAATTTTCATATATTCAACTCTGGATCTGTCACTCCAAAGTCCTTAGACCCTATTGCTTTTATTTGCATAAAACAAAATGGAATATTAACAAACTGTGTTTGGCAGAAAATGAAAAGATACTTGTTATATGATATAATCCCTTTCTAAATTATATTTTGCTAAGAATCTTCTGTGCATTAGTCCTTCTCTGACTCAATTCAGTTCAACACATTAGCCAGGAACTATGCTTGGCAATGGGAATTCAAAAATGAAAACGATCTGCCAGCATAATTAGGAAGATTTTCAGAAAGCTGACATTCATTTTTGTGTGATAATGCCATAATAGTACACACAGGCTGCTATGGGACCACAGAACAAAGGCCATTATTCCAACATAAAGGCACTTGAAAAAAATCATATAGGAGACAACACCTGAGGTGACTCTTGAAGGTCAATCATAAATGTTATCTAGACAAAATAACATGTTATTTTAGGGCATGTAATTCAAGAAAAGGCTAGTATTACAGCAGGGGTCAGCAAACTTCATTCAGCCTATGGGCCAAATCTAGCCACTACCTATATTACAAATAAAGTTTTATTTGAACAGAGTCATGCCCCATTGTTACAACAGAGTTTAGTTGTCATAACAGAGACAGAATGGCCCACAAAGGTGAAGATATGTACTAGCTGTGCCTTCACAGAAAAAGTTTTCTGACCTCTGGTTTACAGAGAACAGTATCTTACATATTATCATATATTCAATAAATTACAAATGTTAAATATAAAAAATATAAAATTTAAAGGAGAAAAGGGAAGAGTTTTTGAGTATATAGTCATAGGTTGGAGACATGAAGGGCTGTTAGGGTAAGGTGCTTGTGGTTTGTTTTTGTGTCACAGAGACCAGATTAAGAGTTTTAAGGAGCAGAGGGACATGATCAGATTTAGCAAGATTTCCCTGGTGCGTTGTGGAGATATTAAACCCAAGATAGGATATAAGGAGCCTGTTAAAAAGTAAGGTATCTTAAGGACTTAAAGTAGGAGAGAGAGAAAACAGATGAACAGAAAAGGATCTATAGCAATCCTTTAGTAGGTAAAATCAGCATGACTTATTGAATCTCATCTGTCCTCATTTTAAAACATGTATGCGAATTATTGACACTCCTCCCTTCAAAAGGTGAAGCCTAATTACTCTTGCCTTAGTTGTAGGCCCAACCTAGGGACTCCTCTCCAATGAAAAGAATGTGACAGGAGTGATGCTGTGTGGCTTCCAAGGCTAGGTCACAAAGAGCATAGCTTCTACTGGATTCTCTCTCTTTTGGATCTCTCTCTCTGATGCTCTGCTCTAAAGAAAAAGCCAAACAACCTGTTTTAAGAATAATAAAGCAGGCCTAGGACAGTTCCATGTAAAGAGAACCTGAGGCTTTTCCCAAATTTGCCAGCAACATCAGTGAACCACATTGGAATGGGATCCGATAGCATCTCTAAGTCTTTGGCTGCCTCGAGGCCTGGACAGCATCCTGACTGTAACCTCGTGAGAGACCCTGAGCCAGAATCGCTCCAACGAGCTGCTTCCAAATTCCTGACTCAAAGAAACGGTGAAGGAAATAAATATTTGTCGTTTTCAGTCATTGATTATGGGGATAATTTGTTATGGGGCAACATATAATTAATATGTCACGATTTACTGAAATGGGTAATGCAGGAGGAGGAAAAAAATGGGGTGGTGGGCGGAAATGCTATGGCCCTGATGATTTGAAGGTCATGTAGGAGAGCATAATAAACATGTCAAGAGAAACTTTGATATTCTTCTCTAGTCTGACAGTCAGGGAGAGGCCAAGGATTAAACTAGTATTCCTTAAGGTACCTGTAATGTACAATCTTGAAACTCTCTTCAGTGCATTTTTATTTTAGTGACGATATTTCCCTTTACGGCAAGGTGTTTGTTCTTCTCTTTGCTTCTTTGTCCATTGGTGTGTAACATCTTTTGGGTCAGCACATAACTGTTGTAGAAAGGAAACATTTCTAAAATAAGAAAACTGGCAAAGATAAAACTTTTAGTCTTTTAACTTATATTTAAACACTCTGTTAAAGAAACAAGCTCTCAACTAACAACCAATGTACCTGAAAACTAGAAAAGGTTTCCACTGAAAGCTAAACTGCAGATGCTCTCAGTGAGTTGGAGAAATTCCGACACCAGGGTTTGATAGTATTTTCCTCAGATACTCTAAACATATTCAAATGCAATATTCTCCAGCTAGATTTTTCATGGATATGTGCACTAGATAAGGTCTGTGAGGTTGGGGAAGTGTCCAGATATAAGCATACCGAAGATAGAAAATGACTCTACACTGTTATAATACTAGGTTCAACTTCTAGCTTCCAGCATAAATATATCCCTAACACCATAGTCTGAATGTCAGCAAAATTGCTCTCTGCCACGGTTGAGTGCACTGGCATAAAAATTATATAGTTTAATATTTATATATCAACAAGGAACATCTACAGAAAATATGCTCACTCTAGTTCATAGAAGATTGAATGTGGACATCATAAGCAAGAAAATTATATATCTCAAAAACCATTACAGATTTAAGAAAATATAAACGTCAATACAATTTCAAAAATTAGGAGTTACCAATTTAAATCTTTAAAAATTAGATATTTAAAAATTAGGCTGCATGGGGGCAGCCACTCAGATGTTGCCCCCTCAGTGAATGATCCTCAGGCGACCCAAGTTTTTGGCTCTCTGGGGTGTCAGTTTGTGAAGAGGAACCCAGGCACGTTACACACCTTGGATTTTGTTCTCCTCCTCTACAAGGAAAATGCAATAAGTTGTCTCAGGGCAAAGGGGAATTTGTTAAATTTCTTTTCTTTGAATTGGTAGGGGTACAAGCACTTGGGGACTGAAAGTCTGGAAGCTCTTCTGAGCTGTTGTTTAAATGTTTGACAAACATTTAATAAGTGACCCTTATTCATCAGGCATACTAGGCACTTTGAACATGGGTTGATAGCCCAAGGTACTTCCTTTGAGTAGCTTATGGTCTCAGAAGATTGGTCACCTTTTGGCGTTATTAAGGGCATTGTATTTTTCATGTTCACACAATCAGATACACACACACTCACACACAATTAACAACAAACCTTACTGAATCACTCCTGCCTGTGTTAGACACAAAGAGTTCTGTTGATCCCCTTAACACCCACAAACTGTTGTGCCAATTTACAACTGTAACCATATGCAGCTTCACATTTCTTCAAACTTTTACTTGCCATTCTCTCCCTCCATGTTTCTCTTTATCTTCCGTCTTGTGTCCTCTCCTAAAATCCAAGAAAATCCTCAATGAACTACTGAAAGACCTTTTTATCCTGGATTAAAGGTGAAGCCTATTCTGTGGCTTGTTGGGGTCTGTGTGAGGAGCAGGATTTTACTTACTTAGTAGATCCAGAAGTTAGAGTAACTTTTTAATACTGAATAGAATAGAAATTAATTTTTCACCACCATGGGAGATAGATGTGGTCAGCAAGGGGAAAGCTAGACTGACTTCCATTTGCTGTGGTCAAAAAAGAACATAGAGATTTTATTATCCAAAACTAGATGATGCTAATAGATGGAGCCTGCTAGTTTATCCCAAGAACTGCCATTGTATTAGAACAGGGTCATCCCATCTGAGTTTAATTTTCTAATGAAAACAACACCAAAATGTTCCTGAGGTCCTTGTGAAGTTTTGAAATACTGTACCCCAAGTAGCTAAGTGGTGGGAGAGAGGGGGTAGCTGCCTGCGGGATTGTCTGAGGGGGGTGAAATTAACAGCTCGCCAATCTGCTCAGATGGAATTCCTGTGAAAATCATAAAAATGACACAGCACCCACACCACACATTCACTTGGAGATGTCTTCCTTACAGCCCACCCTCTCCTCCTCCAATACCAAAAATGCACAAATTAGCACTACATAGAATTTTGGTTGCATTTGTGAACACTGAAACTCTGAGATAGCTCTCAGTTAGTTTAGAAAGTTTATGTTAGTTTATGTTGCCAAGGTTGAGGATGTGCACCAGTGATACAGTCTCAGGAAGTTCTGCGAACATGTGCCCAAGGAGGCCAGGGCACAGCTTGGTTCTATGAATTTTAGGGAGACGTGAGATATCAATCAATATATGTAAGAAGTACATTGGTTCGGTCCAGAAAGGCGGGGAAAACTAGAAGCAGGGAGGGGCTTTCTAGGCCACAGGTAGGTGAGGGACAAATGGTTGCATTCTTCTGAGTTTCTGATAAGCCTTTCCAAAGGAGGCAATCAGATAGGCATCTAACTCAGTGAACAGAGGGATGGCTTTGAATAGAATGGGAGGAAGGTTTGCACTGAGTAGTTCCCAGCTTGACTTTTCTCTTTAGCTTAGTAGTTTTGGGGCCCCAAGATTTTCCTTCCACACATTGCAACATGGTTTAAAGTCCAAATCCAAATCCAAATTGCAAGCAAAGGCAGTGATTCCCAAGAGCCCTCAAACATGCCGAATGAAAAGTTCTTTCAGAAGACGTACAGGAGAATGATTTTTGAGCATTTGTATTCCAGTAGAATTGTTTTTGTAATTATCTACCCAATTTCCTTTAAGAGTCTCCTGAGGCACTTTTTGAAGACTAGAAGAAAATGAACAAAAGGTTCTTGTGGTTTATTAGAGGGGGAAAAACAACTCCTATTATTTAAAGGATCTCAAAGCCAAAAGAGGGATTTTAGGTTGAAGGATAATAACAAATATTGTGCAAAGATTTTAAAATTTGTTTTATTCCAGGGAAAAGAAAATATTAAAGTAACCCAACCAACATTTTCTTGGGCATTAAAAATAATGATGTTTATTGTAATTCATATTTTGTCTTTGCTTTTCATATCTGCATTATAAATATGCACCTTACAAATATATTGATATGGTTTGGCTGTGTCCCCACCCAAATCTCAACTTGAACTTTATCTCCCAGAATTCCCATGTGTTATGGGAGGAGCCCAAGGGGAGGCAATAGAATTATGGGGGCAGGTCTTTCCTTCTCTATTTTTGTGATAGTGAATAAGTCTCTTGAGATCTGATGGGTTTATCAGGGGTTTCCGCTTTTGCTTCCTCCTCATTTTCTCTTGCTGCCACCATGTAAGAAGTGCCTTTTACCACCTGCCATGATTCTGAGGCCTCCTCAGCCATGTGGAACTGTGAGTCCAATTAAAACTCTTTTTCCTCCCAGTCTCAGGCATGTCTTTATCAGCAACGTGAAAATGAACTAATACATATATTTGTCAGAAAACCGAAGCTATACTTGTACAGCCAGCTATTTTTAAAAGTACTTTATGTTCTGAAAAAGTGCTATGACTTGTTCTCAATCTATGTGAAAAAGACCTGAGCATATAAAAAGTGTTTGCTCTCTGTCCTTAAATGAGTTGTTAGGTATTATGTGTTGAAACTTCTGACAGGGGCAAAGAGCTGATGGAAACTTGTAAGGACTTACATTATAACTCAAGTAGGTATCATTGCATTATGCTGTTAGACTTAAGGCTATAGTAGAATTGCATGAGCAAATTATATTTGTTGTCATAAATCAATGAATAATGCTTTTATTAATTATTTGTTGAGTCTTGCTTTTGGTCTCACACGGGACTTTAAATTTGGAATGATTTTGGGACAGAAAACAAAACCACACCCTCATTAGGTCATAATTGCTTTCTAACTTGATCTCTGGCACATTATTTACATAAGTAGATTTTACTTATTAGTCTTGTTAGCAATGAAGTAATCATATTTGTTATCCAAAGTTAAACATGATGTACTGTTGGCTTTTTGTCAATTTTAGAAGGGATGTAAAACCTTGGCATAGAGCTGAAATGTTTTACATGACAGAAGATATTTTATTTTTCTTTAAATAACAGTCTAATATTCCTACATGCACAATAAATAGACTCTTCTGAGAGTGTATGGAAGTAGAGGCCAGGTGCGGTGGCTCACGCCTCTAATCCTAGCACTTTGGGAGACCGAGGCAGGCAGATCACTTGAGGCCAGGAGTTTGAAAGCAGCCTGGCCAACATGGTGAACCCGTCTCTACCAAAAATACAAAACAATTAGCTGGGCGTGATGGCAGGCACCTGTAATACCAGCTATTTGGGAGGCTAAGGCAGGAGAATCTCTTGAACCAGGGAGGCGGAGGTTGCAGTGAGCCAAGATCGCACCACTGCACTCCAGCCTAGGTGATAAAGTGAGACTTTGTCTCAAAAAAGAAAAAGAGAGAAGAAAAGGGGGGTAGAGAAAGCAGTTATCAAATAGATTAGAATAAAATGGGTTGGGTGAATTGATATCTCACTTTAATATTTTAATTTTGTTTCAGGAAATTTTAGGTGAGGCAGGAGTTCATCAGCATATTTAACAAAGCCACGAAGTAAAAAGGCTATCATGGATTGACCAGCTAAGCAAAAGGCTAACAGTAGGAGGCTATTGAAAGAGGTGAAGGTGGAAAAAGTAGCACTAGCTACACTATGCTAGGGAGAGCTGCACTGGTCTAATTACTCAACAGTATTTGTCACGATCCAACCATTTGTAAAGCACCATTCCAGATGCCGTATGCCTTAAAGTTCGGGTTATAAGGAAGGACAGAAAAAAGAGCAGCTATTAAACACCTGTCTTTACATAATATTATTTAATTTCACAGTAATCATAAGCTATTATAAGATAAATATTGATATTCTTATTTTCCATAGGTTCGGTGAAATCAGGCAACCTACTCTCAGTTCGTTCCCTACATAAAGCAATATAACTTGTACCTGTGATTTAGACAAGTTCTTATCCAAAGATCCATACAGCTTTGTCAATGAGAATGAGGAAAATTTACAAATATTGTGGAAAATAGCAAACTTTGTACCCCAAATTATTTAATGGTACCTAGATAGTTTTTCAGACACAGACAAATTTGAGCATCTAATTATGCAGAGATAAAAGTTTTATGTAATAAATATATATATATACCCTGATCAATATCTCTATTTCTTTTATGAAAGATATGAAGTACATGGTAAGAATAAGAGATGTACAACTTTATAAATGTTTTCATTTATTCTATAAAAGATTTAATATCTAACTTTAGCCCTCAGTCTGACTGATAATTTAGCTACAACTGGAAAAATTCAGAAAATTTGACAGATATTAAAATTATCTTGGCTGTAAAACTTAATTTTTCTCAAAAATTGTCCCTGGGTTGATGTTAAACTGTTAGCCTTTGAGTAAGGGGTTTAAGAGGTTTATGAAAATAGTACTGAGTCACAGATACGGAAGGAATCTCTACCTCTAAATCCTGAAATAGGTGTTTAATTGGTTTAATGGGTTTACACCATTAAATGTTGGCCAGAGTAATGTTGGCCATTGCTCTGGATGTAACTTGTCCCAGTTTCTGTTGGCTGAGAGTGAGCCATGTCCTCATCTAATCCCCTGTGGGACTGCTGCACCTAGAAACAGTGGAGTGCGGTTCCCTTGCCACTTATGCCTCATGGGAGACACGGGGGATTGCCTTTGACCCTCTTGTGCCTAAATATTTTGTGACACCCTTTCTATTCTGTGACTAACACACACCACGACAACACATGAAAGTTTCCTATGAAGCTTGTCATCTCCTTAGTTTTCATCTAGAAAGTGGGCACATATTATCTTAGCTTTGTGATGCCCAAACTTAAAAAGGATACTATGTAATTTTATTCTGTCTTTCAGACTTATCTATGAGTGAAGGTAGTTGTTGTGGAGAGGAGGTAGGATGTCTGCCTCTAACCTGTGGAATATTCCACCTTCTTCTTTTCATCTGCCCCAAACAGAAGGTATTTTATATCCTATGGGAAGGGTGTGGGACGTTGCTGACTCAGGTCATTTGAGCTTAAAGGGTAGAAATTTGCCACTTTTGTTGTCTCGTCTGTTTTGACAACTCTACTCACAAGCCTCAGGGCAACAGTGGCTCTAAGAACCATACAGGGGACAGTCACAACTAAAAGGAAGTGTATGGTCAGCAATGAGTACTTGGAATCAAATTATATTTCTACCACCATTTGTCTTTTGCAACTTAATGCATATACTCAATCAGTAATGCAGATATTAATGAATTTTTAAAATATTCCATTTTAAACTCAGATCATTATATTCCAGACACCTGGATGGAAAGAGAAATATTTGATTAGTCATGCAGATGTTTCTAGATATTTATTTAGTATTGTATATACAATAAAAATGGCTGAATCTCTTTTCATTCCGGGGACTGTTCGGGGACTGTGTATACTAACGACATGGAACACATTATTTTAAATTTTGAAACCATTGGAGATATAAGCAGCATCCTTGAAGAAACCAGAGGGTAGGAGGAAATGATGTAATTTGTGAAAAATTATAAACAAAACAAACAATATTGACTTATCTTTATCTTCTACTGTTCATTCTACCCAATGGCTAGCTATATTTTTTCAATTGCCTGTGATATTCATTTAATGAAGTCATTTTATAAAGACAAAAATACGATGCTGGTACTTTTCCTGTAAATCAAAACTATTTCTACATGCCTAAGTTCCTGGGATTATTTTAGACACAAAAGTCAGGAAAACAATTTCCAAAAATACACATATTTTCTACCTGCTTGTTTCATTTTTATGAAATTGAGTTCTCCTAAAAGGCCTGATACTACACTAGCCTCAAACAGGTCACATATCAGAAAAAGTCAATAATGCTTGGATGATTTAATCATTTGCATCCTAAAATTTTTGCAGAAATTTTTGAGTAATATTTTGACAAACACACATAATTTTTCTTTTATGAAAACTGCAATCTTTTTTAGGGGACATAGAACATTTTTTAAAGGCAAAAATAAGTTTATGCCATAATCAATCACTCAGCTACAGCTTTAAAATGGTTATTTATAAGTTGCTTAATCTGCTTGCCTTATTTAATGGGTCTTTTCATTATTTATTCGATTAATGTTGTAAACACAGTATTGATTCCAAGAGTAATGCTTTTCATAAAATATATCTGACCATAAAATTGAGCAGTAAAAGTTAAAATATAAAAACTCCTAGATTGGTTTCATCATCCCTTTAGAAATGTATGTAAACCTTGTGCTTTGGGGTTATAGACACAGGGGAGAATTAAAATACCAGATGCACATATTCTCCAATATGTGAGACCAATTAGGGGTAATTATTCTATTGAACATTTTTAATTCTGCTTTTAGGAAGATATTCTAATTTAGGATTTTCTCTCTTCCTGTTCAATAAAAAGTTATTTCTTATATGCAAAGAATATGCATATTAGAATATAATTTTTGAAATTATTTTGTCCAATGCTTTTTTTTTAAAGAGACAGGACTTCGCTCTGTCACCCATGCTGAGTACAGTGGTATGATCATAGCTCACTGCAGCCTTGAATTCCTGGGATCAAGTGATCTTCCTGAGTAGCTGGGACAACAGGCACGCACCACTATGTCCAGCTAATTATTTTAATTTTTGTAGAGACAGGGTCTTGCATTGTCTCCCAGGCTGGTCTCAAATTCCTGGCTTCAAGCAGTTCTCCCGCCTCTGCCTCCCAAAGTGCTGGTTTTACAGGTGTGAGTCACCATGCCTGGACCCAATACTCTTAATTCAAATTTGTGGATGCTGAGACTCAGAGAGATCAATGAACTTGTCCAAAGCATCATCATGTGTAATTAAGCAATTTAATTGTTCCCACTTTACACACACCCTGTTATCTGTACACACACACACAGTCTAATGCAGTTTTTAAAATGACTTATTTAATGGTGAGTTATTATCCTATTTCTCTTCCTTTGGATGAAGCTTCATTCCTAATACAATTTATTCTGTACATTCAAACCACCATCAAAATATTCTACTGAACACACCTGTATGGGTTTGGCCTATGAGGGATTTTAGGTATTTATAAAATTTGAATCATTTCCAAACTATCTCTTGTGTAGATCTTTCTATTACCACTGCTAACTTAGTCCTGACCTTCTTAATTTCTCTTCTATATGCTGCAATGATCACCTTACTGGTCTCCGTCCCCAATCAATACTACACACTACTGCTAGAGTTATTGCCCTTACCCTGTTGTAAAACATTCACTTCCTATTGCTTAGAATAAATGCCAATTACTTAGCCTAACATTTAAAAATCTCCATTATATGACCCCAACCTATATTTCAACCTTCTCCCTCTACCTCTACTCTCGCGTGCCCTAACTCCCAAATCACATGTGGCTGTTATCTATTTGCCATTCCTTCTGTTTGTCCAATATGTTTTTCCTAATTGATCTTAACTCAAGTTTTCTCATTCATCTGAAATTATGCAGTAGATTTATTTATGACTTAGACAAAATCTCACCTCCTTGCAAGGCAGTCACAAACGTCACTATTCAAAATTCATCCCCTCACCTATACTGTCATAAGATTGTTTAAATGTTAATCATAGCACCTATGACAGTCTTCTACTAAGTGTATTCATGTATAGCTGTCTTTGTCCCTAAAATAACAGCAAGCATATGGAGGCAAGAGAAAATTTCCATTTTGTTTTTGTTAATCCACAGAGTATTCAACAACAAATTTATGTTGATTGAATTGATTTGATTGAAAATTTGGGTGGTTTTAAAATACATTACGTGTTTTCTTATCCTCTTAATATGCTATACCATATAATGTGTTTTTCTTGCTAACTCAGGACAACATTTATTAGCATTTATTGTACTAGGTTATAATGCCCTCAAGAGCCACTAAGGCATGTCAAATTCTTTGCCCCTAGAGTAAATAGCTACTGACTGTAGAGATTTGATTTGGGGAGTTTTATATCCTGGGGACTCCTTACGCCAGCAGCTTTATTTTAATCAATCGCCTGGGGGTAGGCCTGAAGGTGTTACTGTCCCTCTCCTACAGAGGGAACATCAAGGTCCTTGTAGTAGCCGTTTGTTTCTAAGACTTACTGTCCTTTCTGGTTGTTGGATGAAATGCTACATGCACCATTGCTTCCAAAGAGTTAGACTTTTTCTCATTGAGAAATAAGAAACAACTTATTTAACTTTGGGCAAGAAAAAGTTGGAATTTGGGTTTTTACAGCCCCACTTCTCACTGGGATGGTTGACCTCATTTTCACAGCAGGGGAGACTGCGCTGAGGCTGAATGTTTTCAGGAGGGCAGGACAGTCACGCCACTGTGGCCCATTCCCTCACCCTCTTTCATGTGTACGGAAATGGAGTGGAACGTCTTTCTTGGGGTGGGCATCCTCAGCCCCACAGCCTAGCTATTCTTGCTTCCTCCTCAACTGAAGTGGAAATTGTGGCACTACTGTTTTTGGCTAGAAGGCCATGGGGCATTAGGTCACTGGAGCCCTCAAGAGACACAAAATATAGCAAGGGCAAAAATCCAATGCCAGCTGAGAGAACAGGGATTTGATTTCCTGTGGGAACTTCCAGTCATGTTCCAGTCCCTCCAATTATGTTCCCTGCCCCCTGCCACCCTGAGTTATAATTTCTTCAGGATTCAATAATAGTCATTGTTCATTTCTTTTTTGGCTTTTCCCTCCTGTACTTTTTCAAGCAGCCTCAGTTTTTCCAAGTGGATATTTCTTTCTCCCCAGAAAGTTAATAGATGTATTTATTTTATCTGAGCTGTCAGAACAATTTATCAATCTTTTTGCTTTAGGTTTTTAATAAAATTTATATTTAAGATTTCTTTCAGAATTTTTCTCATGAACAAAAATCTTCCCAGGTGGCAATTGGGAACACATAAATTGTATTCACCGAAGGAACGAGAAGCACCAATTTGTTCCTCTCCTCCATTTCCTCCTGGAGCTCAGCTCATGCTTGGCGGCCAGAAGGAAATGCTTTTCCAGAGTCGTTTTTATGTGGTCATAGATTTAGGTCAGGCACCGCATTTCTGCTTCTTCAAAACAATGCTTTCTGTAAAAATAATGACAAGCCCAGAAATCTGGAAATCTGTTCTTATTCTGCCTTCATTGCAAATTCACAGCGACCTTAAGTAAGTTACTGATATCTGAGCCTCAGTTTCCTTCAAATGAAGATAACAAACTCTGGCCTCCTATCTTATGGAGTGATGTAAAGATCAAGTGAGAACATCCAAGAAAAACATGGAGATCTATTAAATACTAAAGATAAAGAGATAATTAATGTGACCATACTTCCTAAACTATAAAGAAATGTGTAAGAGCAATTAAGCTCATTGATTATAATTGTTCCCCAAGAGTCCTGAGCACATTGGCTGTGGGTCAGGAAGAGCAATACTGCACATTTAGTTGCCACTTTCTCGTCCTTGCTGTGCTAAATTCACCTCCTACCTGCCCTTCAGGAAGGCTTTCTCCTCATGATGGCCCAGTCGGTATCTCGCCTGCAGCCATAAAACTGAGCTTATCTCAAAGGCAAATACTCAGGTTTAGTAAATACAGAAACATTCCTGGAAATGCATCCAGAGTACCTTCCTGCCTCTATTTTCAGGGACCCAATGGCCCTCACATTGTTTTGATATTTATGTCCTAGGAAGGTTGTGGATATTTAAAGCTCACATGGCGTGCTGATCAGTGGAGGGGGAAAAAAAGTCTTATACCTCCCTAGTTGGACCACCAGTTATTCTTTCGGAAAATTACAGAGTGGAAAAAATCTGAGGGCTTGAAGTAGATCTTGTACTTTATATCCGAAGAATCTTGATTTGTATGGAAAGGCTGATGTTTCTTGGCTAATTTTGTTCTGAAGAAATACCGCTAGCTTCCTGCCACATGGTAGTGACAAAATAATACCAGCAGACCTAAACACATAAAAACGTTGAGGTGAACACGGTCTTGCTTCTTTCCCAACCCCGCCTCAAACTTGTCATTTATACAAGGCAAGTCCGATTTTGGATTGGCCTCTCAGAGAATGTTTCCTCCATTCACAGAACTAGAAAGGTTTGCCATATTGTTTCAGATCCATTTTTCATTCAGGAATAAAACAGATATTTCAAGGGGGTTAAGTAGGTATAGTATCTCTATGACTGGTGTTTTGTAGTTTCTTATTTAAATACAAACAAAACAAACAGACAAAAAAAAAAACCCAAAACAACGTATTAGGTAGATTGCATTTTTCACTTTTCACATTAATTTTAAACAAATCTAGGCTTTAAATTAAGAGATGTACTTAACAGTCACAACTAGTGAAAGTTGAAGCCAAAAGTTAAAGTCCATACTCTTTCCCAAACATTACTGTGTCTCTCTTAATTCACTAGTTAATGATGCTCATAAATAGCATATACCCACACAAGTTGTTCCCATTATATAGGAACACTGCAACCTCAGTAGTACACTCAGGGCCATTCAGGGATCCTGTTTCCCCTCCAAGTTTGCTTTATATTTTATACTGAGTGTGAATATTCTGAAATATTTCACTATCTCTAGATGCCATCTAGGTCTCTAACTCCACAGATATCTCCTGTGGGTAGGGCATATACAGTAGCACTGTGATTTAAGGAAATACATTTTGACATTTTCTTATTATTGTTACTTTTTTGTCTGTATTGGTTCCCAAGCATCAAATAATATTGATTTTCATTTGGAAATGTGTCTGTTTTCTTTCTGTTCTGCCTCCACAGTAACTGACCAACCCACTTTAGAAGACTCCTCCCTAGGGTCTCCTTGCCTCCAAACCGGATCTCTTCTAATCTGCCCTTCACATTGATTCCTGGGTAACTTCTCCTAAAACACAGGTCAGATAATATCTTTTACTTCCTCATTTTTTCTTCAATAGCTTTCTAATGAAAAAAAAAAAAAAATTCCCCAGTGTTGGAGGTGGGACCTGGTGGGAGGTAATTGGATCATCGGAGTGGGTTTCTCATGAATGGTTTTGCACCATCCTCTTGGTGTTGTTCTCATAATACTGAGTTCTTGCTAGATCTGATTGTTTAAAAGTGTGTGGCACCTCTCTCTCTCTTCCTTGCTGCTGCTCTCAACATGTGAGATGCCTGCTCCTGTGCCTTCCACCACAAATGTAAGCCTCCAGAGGCCTCCCCAGAGGCAAATGCCAGTGTTATGCTTCCAGTACCTCCTGCAGAACCATAACCCAATTAAACTTCTTTTCTTAATAAATTACTTGGTCTCAGGTAATTCTTTATAACAATTCAAGAACAGCCTAGTACACTCAGCTTTTCTCAAACGTCAATGTCTCGTGAAGGAGACATGCTCATAGAGCCGATTGTAAGCTCTGTAACCTTAGGGGTTGGGTGTTTTTGAATCCCATTGACTCTCAGCACTGATCACTGTGCTTGAATCATAACTATTTGCAAAATAAATGGAGGGCAGGAAAAAAGAAAAACAAAAACTCAAATTCTGTTACAATATAAGCTACAAAATTCAAGTAAGTATAATGTACTATAAGAATACAGATGAGAAATAACTGATCAACTGTACATGAATCAAACATTACAACAGTTTTGATCACTTGCTGGGTATAAACTTAATGGAGAATAGGGAATCAGGAGTGTTTCATCAAGAACTGCTAAGGACTTAAGATTTTACCCTATTTAGAAAGTGATGAGTTAGTCTGAGCGATTTCCTGGATACTATCAAGAGACAAAAGCCTCCAGCGTCAAAGATAAAGGTCAATTTTTTACTCACAGCAAAAGCAGTAGTGAGAGTGTCAGCACTTTTGTAAGTTCCTGAGCCAAATTTCCCACAAGAAGGCCAGGCTATACCTGCACATTGCAGTGGGAGCTGTGTTAGAAAAGAGAAACTCTGGGCTTCAAGAACAATAATATTAAGATAAGTAGGGAGCACACCTTCCCTTTTGCTCTGGGAGAAGAAACTTTGTCTTTCAATACTCTAAGAAAATCTGCCTTTGTGAGCCAAGATCGTGCCACTGCACTCAAGCCTAGGCAACAGAGCGAGTCTCCATCTCAAAAAAAAAAAAAAAAAAAAAAGAAAAAAGAAAACCTGCCCTTTGCTCCAGAAGAAACACTACCTCTGTCTTCCAAAGTTGTTCACTGTCCAGATACCCTTAAAAAGATAATTGGGCAAAGGCAGTTAGCGCCTCTGCTGGCAAGACTTGCAGAAGCATGAGAAACCCACGTAGAACTGTCTCCTAACTTGCCCTTTCTGGTTCTATGTCAGAAACCCATGTGCGGTACATTAAACAGTTTTTATTTCCATTTTTAAGGGCAGCCCATATATGGTTGAACAGGTAGGGGTAGATAACAGAGCAATCCCAGAGAGGCAGATTTACTATGAACCTGATGAAGCTTAAACTTCTGAGTTATATACCTCTTCCAAGGCCCTGTCATTAATTATGTATGAATAATCTTTTATTCTTTTTCTTTGAGAGGGCTGTACAAATTATGAAAACCTCAGACTCCAAGAACTGGATCCACCAACCCTTGCCACAGTGTATGCAGCTATCATTTAAAATGAGGGTGGGGTGCATGAGTGCTAGAAAAGGCATCAGGTGTGACTTCTGTTCATGGAAGAAGTCCTATAAAGAGTAGGACTATGAACTCTAGTAATGCTATTTAGTTAGAATGTGAAAATTATTAAAGGATAGTCAGAAAAATGTAAGTAAATAGAGAAAGAAGATGTTTCTAAAAAATATTTCAAATGTAATAATTGTTTTAATGGAAAGGATATAACATGTCTTATTTCACATAGGTAAATTCTATCTTTATTTTTCTCTTGTAAAATCTACTGTCCTACTCAGAGTCACCTTCAGTTGATATCTAAGCCTCCCACAATCTAAAAACGTTTGTTATTAACACTTACTTAATACTTTTTAACATTAAGTGGACCTTTATGTGCATATCTGAGAGACTATACATAAACATGGATGGGCCTTTTCATAATTAACAGAAAAATACATTTATAACTTACAGCCATCTTCTCTGAAGCTAAAGCTCTACGTCTGCATCTATTCAGTAAGATAATTTCCCTAATTTCTCTTCATACATTCCTTTGGTGGTGTACATCCAAAGTTGTCTCTCAAGCCACTGAGTTTTGAATTTAAAAGATGAAAGTTTATCATTCAAGGCAACAGTCATAATCATTTCCTTTCTTCAGTTCCATTAAGATGAAAAAAAGAAAATCTCAGCAAACAGAATATACATGCCCTTCACAGCATGTGATATTTTCAGCCTAACCTATTTTTAATTAAAAAGTCCATCAGTAAGCCATATCAATGGACTAACGTCTAGCTGAAGTTAAATACTTACCATTAATTCTATTAGATGTAAAAAGTAACTTTAGAAACATAGTTATGCGTATTCATTTAGTCCATTTTATTTTTAAAAATTCTAAAATATTTGCTATTCCAGGAGAAAAACACAGTTAAATTTTTTCTTTAACTTATACTAAATTTTCCAAATTTATTTCTCAGGTTTATATGTAGTCTCTTAAAGTATAAGTAACATTTTTGCCTATAAAGTAGATCAACACCCAATCTTTCTAATATCATCCTCCAATATGAAAAGAAGTGGTTGATTTTAGGACTGAGGCAGGAAATATACAGGATGGGCCTGGAGCATTTTGTAGTATCAGAAAGTAAGCAAGTGCTCAACACACACACACAAGCACACACACACACACACACACACACACACACACACACACACACACACTAATAGTATTGATACGGCTCCGGTGATTGGAGGAATGCCAGATTCTTCGTCTCCAGTCGGAATAGATAAAACCACTCATGGAGTGGTTTTAAGGAGCGGAGAGTTTAATAGGCAAGAAAGAAAAGAGAAGGCAGAAGGCAGAAGGAAGAGGCTCCCCCATACAGAGACAGAGAGAGGAGGGCTCCAAAGCAGAGAGAGGAGACCCACAAGTTGGGGGTAAACCAGCCAGGTATATATAGAGGCTGCAGGAGGAGGTGTCTGATTTGCATAGGTCTCAGGGGATTGGTTTGACCAGGCATGACATTCATGTAGCCCTCGAAAAAACTGGCCCTCCCACCCTAGCATTTTAATATGCCAATGTAGGGTGCCATGTTGTTCTACACACGTGGGGATACGTGGGGGCAGCCATGTTGCCAGGCACATGTGGGACAAGGGCAAGAACACAAGGATGGTAATCGCCATGTGGGGTGGACCCAGTTTTTAAAGGCCTGCATTTGCATATCAGAGGTTGACTGCCTTGCTCTAAGAGCCGGGGCTTTCCTTCTAGATAAGAAACGTTTCTGGAACAGCTTTAAAAGAAACAAAAACTTTTCCTCTCTATCCGCCTAAAATAATTTCTTAATAACTCCTACCACACTATGTCAAAGAGAAAGGGAAGCCAGTGAAAAGACCTCCCAAGATACAAGGCTAAAATAATACATATATAGAGAAATATTCTATTAAAAACCAAATTATAAATATTCATGCATCCATACTGAATACAAGTATATGATTGAATGAATACATAAGTAAATGGGGAAGAATACACAAATCTCCCCTGTAAGAGGCAGAACAGGACTCCCTTCTCTTTAAGTATGGGCTACACATAGTGAGTTCCTTCTAGACAGCGAAACAGAAAAAAGGAGGGAAAGAAAAGTAGCTTTGCAGTGGAGAACTCTGATAAATAATACTTCAGCCCAGTGATCAAAGTGAACATCAACAGTAGTAAGTAATGTTGATAATATGTATATTTGATATGATGTGATGAGAATGACACTTTATCTTTGTTGTCTATCTCCTTCCTCCCCTAAACCTATAATTCTAGTCAAATCATGACTCATTAAAAACATTAGTCAAATCCAAATTGAGTAGCATTTCACAAAATAACTGAGTGATATTCCTAAAAATTGTCAAAATTATTTAAAAAAAAATAAAATTAGGACAGGCGTGGTGGCTCATGCCTGTAATCCCAGAACTTCAGGAGGCCTAAACAGGTGGATCATATGAGGTCAGGAGTTTGAGACCATCCTGGCTAACACGGTGAAACCCCATCTCTACTAAAAATACAAAAAAATTAGCCAGGCGTGGTGACGGGCTCCTGTAATCCCAGCTACTTGGGAGGCTGGCGCGGGAGAATCGACTGAACCGGGGAGGCGGAGTTTGCAGTGAGCCGAAATTGTGCCATTGCACAAGAGTGAAACTGCATCTCAAAAATAAAAAAAAAAAAAAAAAAAAAAGAAAAGAAAAGAAAATCAAAGAAACTCTCACAGCCAGGATCCTAAGAAGATGTGATGACTAAGTGTAACGTGATATTCTGGATGGGATTCTGGAACAGGAAAAAAAAATCAGGTAAAATCTAAGGAAATATGAACAAAGTATACACTTTAGACAACAGAATTCTCTCATCAGTTATAGAATTCAGAAAAAGAAAGCTCACTGTCAATCCTTAAGTAGCTGTTTAAATAAATACTTCATGAAAACCTCAAATTCTATTTTAAATAGAACTGTCATTTTCCATTACTCTTCTTTGCATTATCTTCTCTTCATGTAGTTTACAGTTTACTGCAACATATGCTGAGTTACAGAAACATAATACATATAAATCTAGTTAGATAAATAGAAGGATCAAAGATTTGAGATTAGAACAAGTATAGATAAAAATAACAGCTTCTGAAAATAGGTATATTGAATGAAAGAATGCTTAAAGGGATGAAAAATAAAACACGGAAAAGACAAAATGTCCATCTGACACAGGCTTGCTGCTGTTTGTGATTCTATATTCATAAGGTACTATAATTTGTGTTTACTATATGGTGGTCAAAATAGCAAATAACTTAACAATTATTAAATTCTATTAGACATCATGAAACTGCTAACAAAACTAATAAAATGTGATGTAGAATGGCAAAAATGAAAAAAAGCAATATAAAACCAACTCTTGGTGAGGACATGGAGCAACTGAAACTCTCCTACATTGCTAGTGGGAAGAGTAAACTGGTACAACTATATTTAGTATTTACTAAAGGTGAAGCTATGCATACCTTATAACTGAATAATTTCACACCTAGGTGTATACTCATCGGTAACACACAAATGTGTTCACTAAAAGACGTGTTCTAAAATGTTCATATCACTATTCATAATAACCAAAGCTATTGGTTATTCATAACAAACTATGAATCATTATTCATATGAAGCAACTATTCATGATGAATAGTAAATCACATCAATATTCATAATAACCAACTGAAATACTGTTTCCTGGATTCAATAACTACAGGTATTTTCATAATAATCCAAAAGAAGAATAAATTATTGTATATTCACACAATGGGATACTGTGCAGCAATGATAATTGCTCTATACAAAATACATGTATTTTACATTACAGTATACAAAATATACATGAATCTCACAAATATATTGAACAATAGACACACAAGATTATGTAGTATATGATTCCATGTATAAAAGGAAACAGTGAAAATAATCTATACCATTAGAAGTCAGAGTAGTAGGAAGAAGGATGACGGGCAGCTTCAGGGAGCAGGTTACAAAACATATTCAACGTGTGAAAATTCACAGAGCTTTATACATATGATGTACATACTTTAATTTCTCTATGTCTATGATTTTTTATTAAAAAAATACGGTTGTCAAGACACCTGGCTTGAGTGATATTCCTGTCTCACAATACGATTTACATATATGCAATAAGAACCTATATGTGAAGAGAACTATATTATATGAATACATCTACAATAATGATAATAATGAAAATAGATATATTTTTATTTTACTTTCTGCCATATCTCTCACTCCCTAACTTATTCTCCCACAGCCGCACCATTTACCTGTTTAGAACAGTCTTTGAAAAGTCCATAGACTCTAAAATCAGATGTTTTTCAGACCAGCTGTTTTTCAGGTCTTTAATATATGAGGATGAATTTCGGTTTGTGTGTTAAAGATTCATTTCTCATGCCTGTAAGCACAGACTTTCTAGTAATAATTCCAGAGAAACAACATCACAAGTACTTGATTATAAGAGATAGTACTAAAAGGATATGATAAACAATGCTTAAAAATGTTTCTATATTTTAGATACATGTTGCTAAACGACTTGAATACTATTTCCTGGACTCGATAACTACAGGTACTTTCATAGTAATAAAGCTAATCACATACTAAAGGAACAAACGCTAAAGTTAGAATGATTGCAAGTCTTCCTTGGACACAGGGACTCTGACAGGATGACAGGAATCTTAGCAGACAGCCCTTGCTAAGTTTTCCTGTTTATTACCTTCAGCTCATGCTCCTGGTCTTATCACAGTTAGGAGCTTATTAATGTATCTCAGATAACTGAACATCAATAACAATAATTTATTCCAGCATAGCAGGTAAAAGACACTGTGCTAAATACTTTATATATTTTTTCATATTTAAATCTCATAAATCCTTTGTGATAATCTATTACAACTTTTTACTTATTAGATTACAATAATAAAGTTTACAAAAGTAAAGAGATTGACCTAGTATTTAAACACGTATTTGCCTCATAAAGACTATGTACTTAATCACTAAACATATCTCATGTCTTCATGAAACTCAAGTTCTAATGGCAAATTTTATTTTGGATACCTAATACTAAGTCTGAACCTAAGATTGAACAAATAAGCTCAATATAAACAGTATTCATTATAGTCTAATTTCTTAATACAAGCAAGTATTAACCTGGAGACATATATATCTTATGTAAATATCAATGTAAATATCTCTGTAAGTTTGTATGCAATCATCTCTTTGGTGCCACATTGTGTTATGCTTTGACAGTGTATAGAAAACAGCAGGATCTGTAGCTCCAATGAAATCATTGTTACAACTTCTCACTCCTGCTAGCTGTAGATCTCCTAGTGGGCATTGTTCTGGCAGCTTGTGCGTCCCTGCAGAACTCGCCGCGAATCCTCTGGACAGGAATTCCATAGGCAGGTCTCAGCAAATATAACCATATAGGTTGGCTTGGGTTTATCTCCTACTACCTGGGGTCGTTTCTGAGAGAAAGCCATAGCTCTTTTTCAGGGTACCCATGGACGATCCTTTTATATTATAAATTCAAAAAAGCAAATCACACTTTCACAGTCCAAATATAGCCTTTGGTCTAAAGTCAACTGCTATTTGTAGTCAAATTGAATCTGGTGCTTGTTAGTGTAAGAATAGAGAATTCAACTAATTTATGGAACAGTCCAGTCATAAAGGGAGAAAGTCTCACAAAACTGTTGATGAAAGGGATCTCAGGACCTCAGAAAGGATATTTTCCTAGAATCCCTACCAAAACACTCACTGTGTAGGCTGCTGTGATGATTAGATGGCATTATAAAATTCTAAGCTCCATGTTACTAAGAAGTAAATAAATGTTAGCTATTAGTTTTTACATTTTCTCATTTCTGCTCCATACATTGCCTTTATCAACTTCCTTTAATTGAAACCTGTGTTCTCAAAAATTCCCTTAAGGCTGTGTGTGTGTGTGTGTGTGTGTGTGTGTGTGTGTGTGTGTGTGTGTGTGTTCTCATAAAGTCCTATTGGCTCTGCTGCCGAAAAAAATTGTGAATTCATTCACTTTATACTAAATTCATCCCATCATTCTGATTCATCTACATAAATTAATCACATAAATTCCTAACTAGTATCCTTTCATCCACTCAAACTTCCTCCTCATTTTTCACTACAAGAGGCCAAAATGATGTTTTCAAATACAAATCTATTCATCGGTTTTCCTTATTTATAAGTGATCAGTGATTTCCCTTTGCTATAGGAGGATGTCCAACTCTCTACCATGGCCTTTCTCCTATGATTATTTCTACTCTAGCCACAGTGACTTTTCTACTATGTCTTCCAAAACACCAGGAACTTCCACTCGACAGCCTAGAGGATTCTGTTACTTCCTTCTGGAAGCTCCATTTTCAAACCCTGTCTTTATAATGTTTTTATGCTTCATATTTAAGCATAAGTGGTTTCCTTCGGTTTCCTCTCCACTTAACCCTCAAGTTACACCAGGATTCCCTATTTATAATCCTAATGCACTCTTCACAATTGCCATTGATGGGCTTTAGGACATGCTACCCCAAAATGTACACACCTTGATATATTGAATATTTTAAACTGAAGGAATTTGAGAAGTAGCAGGAAGACTCTGCCCTTCCTTTCCCTTCTTCCCTGAAACAGATTATAAGATTCTTATGTGAAAGATGCCTTCCTTATTCCCAGAGAAAAGGAGCATTCTTATCTCCAAAGACACAGGGACTCCAACAGGATGACAGGAGTCTTAGCAGACAGCCCTTGCTAAGTTTTCCTGTTTATTACCTTCAGCTCATGCTCCTGGTCTTATCACATTTTGCCTTGACTCTCCACTCTTCTTTTTTTATACTAGGTTCTACCAAACCTAGCATAACAACATTCCAGCTCAACTGTTTCTTTGGGTCTCTGTTTCTTATGAAGTCTCCTGGGTCATGTAAAACTGATATTAAATGATGTTATATGCATTTGTATGCTTTTCTATTGTTAATATGTCTTTTGTTACAGTGGCCCTGACTGAGAGCATAGAAGGATAGAAAGAAAGATACTTTTCCTCCTCTATACCACCAGTTTATTAATTATGCATTCACTTTGTCTTATACCAATCTTCTGTGCTAGTCTCTGAGTTCCATCAATTTCACACCCAAGTGCCCTGTATTAGTCTGTTTTTATGCCGCTGATAAAGACATACCCAAGACTGGGAAGAAAAATAGGTTTAATTGGACTTACAGTTACACATGGCTGGGGAGGCCTCAGAATCATGGTGGGAGGTGAAAGGCACTTCTTACATGGTGGCGGCAAGAGAAAATGAGGAAGAAGCAAAAGCAGAAACTCCTGATAAACCCATCAGATCTTGAGAGACTTATTCACTATCACAAGACTAGCATGGGAAAGACTGGTCCCCATGATTAAATTACCTCCCACTTGGTCCCTCCCACAACACATGGGAATTCTGGGAGATACAATTCAAGTTGAGATTTGGGTGGGGGCATGGCGAAACCATATCATGCCCCCTTGTCTTGTCACCTAATACAATTCAGGCCAAATGGTAAATACACAAAACTATCTGGCAAATGAAAGAAAGTTTAACAATTAGATATTTAGAAGTCAAATATTTATTTATTATCTATATATTGTACTACATCAATGGCTTCAGAATGCTCTGTGATGAAAATATTTACTTATTTACAAAAGCTGGATCAACATAATACCAAACCCCAATTACATAAATACACATCACTATTAACATATTATGAGGTAGAAGGAAGAATTTTAAAACTGGACATCGTTTTTTATTCCCAAATGATATAAATAATTTCAACATAAGTATAATGTGATACTTTAATCCAAGTTTATTTTTATAACACACAGCAAGATAATTTATCTATTTGAAGAGAAAGGCAATTTATATCATATACATGTATGTATGAATGTGTGTGTGTGTGTGTGTGTGTGTGTGTGTGTGTATTTGCAGTTGTATTTTTTTTTTTTTTTTGCTAGGGCTTCAGTAAAGTAATACCACAGATGGGGTGGCTTAAATAATATAAATTTATTTTCTCTCAGTTCTAGAAATTGGAAGGCTAAGACCAAGGTGTCAGCAGCTTGGTTTCTCTTGAGTTCTCTCTCCATGGCTTGCAGATTTCCACCTTCTTGCTTCATCTTTCTGTGGTCTTTTCTCTGTGGTGGCACATCCCTAGTGTCTCCTCCTCCTTTTAAAGTGACATCAGTAATATTGGATTAGGGATCCACCCTTATTAACTCATTTAACCTTAACTACCTCTTTAAAGGTACCATCTCCAGAGTCACTTCGGGGGCTAGGGCTTCAATGTATACATTTTAGGAGGACACAATTCAGTGTATTAACAGAAATTCAGATTCCTCCCTTATCTCATAAAAATGTTACCACGATTTAAAAAAAAAAATCCACCAGAATAGCAAAACAGTGTGATTGGTTACAATGAGTATATGCTATTTATTCCTGCAGTGTTCATAAGGCCCAGAAGAATTCATTTTTTGTGGTTGTGCAATGATAGTGACAAACTTCCCTCATTATTATTATTATACCTGACATTTTGCTCTCACAAGTTCATTTTTTAAGAAACCCAGCAGATCAGTGTTGTAAATAATTATTACTGTTACTGTGTGCAGACTAACCCCTCGGGCTGCACAAACTGTGTGTGTGTCATTTTTTCCCCCTACTGTCACCCTCTTTTGACCCTTGGAGCTCTGCCATTCTCTTGGGTATCTTGTCTGAAAGCTGACAAAATAACAAATGTTGGAGTTAAGTTTAACATTGTGTTTGTCATTCATCTCCTATAAAAAGCCAACATTTCTCATTAAAATTAAAAGCATATATTTATGTAAAATTTTCAGTAATATTATATTTTTAAATTAAACATATTTCTTTATTAACCACCACTTTCTAGTCTCCTAATAACTAGTCTATACATCACATCAAAATTTAATGATTATTTATTTACTTAATGGAATATTACTGTTTAGAATAACAGATTTCTATCTCCATACCCGTATTTTATATTCCCCTAATGTTTTCCCAGTTGAATTTCTAATCCTTGCTCCTAGACATCTTAACCTTAATCGTGTTCATTTCAGTTATGTGCTCTGAATACAAATTGCTCATTTTGTAACACAAGCAAATAAATAATTTTATCTTTTTCTTCCTCTTTCCAACCAAGCTTCTTATTTTGCAAATCCACCTTCCACATACAACCCTAGTTCGGATTCTATTTCCACATGGTTGTTAAGTAGTTATGAACATATGTTTTATGTTTTAGCCTGTGTAACACCACCACATTTATACCTTTGAGCAAAGATGGATCCCCCTAACTTGGGAATGATTACTTTACCATCCTCATTTGACAATCATGTATCTCTAACCCCACATCCCTTAAAATGTCATTTTTTATCTTTGCTGTTGTAGAAGAAGGTCTATTAATTCATTCCGCTGGATATAAGACCCCAAATGTCTGTGCAGAAGCCAGTAAGATTGCCCTCACTGCTTGTTTCTGTTCCTTAAGTGCTATCAACCTACTGCTTTCAAAAACTAGAATGTTTTTCATTCCTTGTCTCTGCCACTGCTTCCACAGAACATTTTTCCTGGACAGGCTATTCTGCTCCTTTGCTGATTGCTTCCTATGACCTGGTTTGCAGAGGTTGGGAGGGGAATTAGGAGGGAGATCCAAAAGCAACAGTTTCCCAAGATAAGCTCCCAGTTTGGAATTTCTTTGTGACACTGCAGATGTTAGGCAACACATGGATACAGCTGGGAGACACCAAGGTATAGTGAGTGCCAGAGTTCCCAACCATTTAATATACAATGACACTCTTACAACATGAAAGAAAAAAAATGAGCTCCCACATAATTTCTGTAGTTTTAGGATGTGTTTATAAGAAAATACATGACTACAAAATTTTTACACACCAGAATTTTGAAGTATAATAGTATTTCATCAGACAATAGGATCTATCCACTTTTGACAATTTGTACAGATAAGGATATATTGTGTAGTCACCCAACAGGCTATACTTTCTATCTGTCTAGAGTCTAACATTCCCTGAAATAGCTATTTAGTTCTTTTCCTTACCCACACCCTCATATTTGAAGGCCACAACTTGGAAACAGCAGGAGAGAAAAGAGTACTGAATTATATGCTCCCCTTCGGTTGTATAACTTGAAGCAAATTACTTAACCTCTTAGATCCTTTAGTTTCGTGAGGCTTAAAATTAAATAAGAAAATATACATAAAAGTCTGCTATGTCAAATTGGTTATAAAGGCAAAGTATAAGAGAAAAAAATGAATAAGAGAAATCTAGAAATGATTTCTCATTTCTAGATGAGAAATCCATGTGATGTGATCAAGAAAGCTAAAAATCTCTGGCAGTTTCTTTGGAGAAACACGGTTTTGGAGGTACGTGATGGATGGCACAGTGTGCTTTCTGGATTCCTTCTTCCTGGCTTGAACTCTTGTTTCATTTGGGACAGGGGAAGCAAAATGGGGTAGCGCCCTCAACTTATCACAACCCTTCCTTCCCATAACGTCACAGAAGTTTAATGATGTGCCATTTTGATGTCTTCCAAAAACAACTCTTACCTTGATTTTCCACTGAAACTCATTTTACACACATAAAACCACAAAATAGTCCTCAATGGTATTAACATTTTCTTTGAAATATTATTGAAAGAACAAGGGAAAGATTTTGGAAAATTTTTATTTCCTTTCCTGTTGTAGCTTGGAAAATGAGCAGAAAAAGCAGTTTTCCCATGATAAGATCATGCCATGCATTGAAATAAATCTATAAATTAAAATAAATACTTCAGTTATCCAAACCAAGCCTGAAATTTGCCAAGGTCTTTCTTGAGTATGCCAAGTGAAACAGAAAATTTAATTTAGGCTGATTAGTATCATGGTTATAAGGATACTCACCAAAGTATGAAATATTTACATTATTAGTTCAACAAAATCAGATTATACATTGATGGATATGATTTGTGAAGGGATCATGACTATATGGTTTCACTTCAGTAAATACTGAACCAGTTTAATAAAATAACCAACAAAGGTATCATTTGGTGCCAATATGATCAAGGGTGTGTCACGAATGGTGTAACATGATTTGTCACCTGGGCACTTGTCAACTAGCAAAGAGAGTGCAACCAAGTCCACTGACTCATTTGTTGAGAACATTATGAGACCATTCACTGGTAATGATTTTCAATTTTCATTGATCTAGGCCAGATTTGAACTGCTGACCTGGAGGTGCAAGATCCTATATCCGGCTTCTCATTGCTTGTGGTTAAGATTGTTCCATTTCAAATAGTCTTGCTAAAGAAACTATTTAGGAATGGAAAATATATTGCTTCAGTGTCTTCAAAGGACTTCCTTAATATACAGTTTCAAAATACGCCTGTCTCACTAATTTGTTTCAGTGATTTACTCCCATGATTAATATTCAGAATTCTAAAAGAAGGTAGGGATTAGGGGATCGAATCAACCAATCCTGCTGTGAAACATAATCAGTATTTCTTTATTATTTAAATTTTCCTAAAGATTGATGGAAGGGAACAATTTATAAAAATATACACTTATAGTAGTCAGTCTTATTTATAATTCATTTAAAGACTACCATATCTCTTTCAAGTTTTGTAAATAGAAACCAGTTGGAAAAAAAGAACAATATTGCACAAATCTTATTACATTGACAATCTAAAAATTATATATCTCACAAAAAAAGATCAGAAACAAAGGGTGTGAGTGGATAGATGAAAAATACATTATAGCATTTGCCCACGCAGTCTGTGCCTCCTCCACAGCAGATTCTCATAACTTGGAAAGGGACTGTACATTACCCTGGAGCAGTGATTAATCAGATATAACTTTCAAAGCAAGTGAATAGCTAAACACCTTTGAGAAAGAGATTTCATAAATACACTTTTATCATCATCATGCTAAATTGTAAAATTCTTTTCGCATGTGTAAAAATCTTTTCTCACACTTTGTAAATTATTTCCTGACCCCTCTTTATAGATATGTTATTACTTTTCTTACTACTGGCATGACTTTCTGGGAAGATCTGCAGACACTATATTTTATTCCATATTTCTGCAGTGTGAGAGATGTTTCTTTCAAATATTCAGTTACAGACAGTGTAATGCTTGTAAAACTATGTCCCCCACATGTTCTAATATCAAAAAATATCCCATTTAAATGACTTAGATCAGAAGAAAATTTTTACAGGCATCTCTTTGAAACTAAGTAGCTTTAAGCACATGGTAGATGGCCACTCAGTAAAAATTTCTTTTCTTCTTCTAGAACCACTAAGCTCCAGAAGTTTCTCATTGTCTACCTTATAAAAACAATTTTTCAACATCAACTCATCTCATGCCTATGATTTGTAGCATAAGTCACGTTTTGTTCTCTATTATGTGACCTTCCAAATACTGAGAATCTGACAAATCATATAACTCACTTCTGTGCCCTTTTAAGAAATGCAGTTCATCTGCTGCCATCCTTTTCTAAGAAAGAAAGAGTAAAAAACAAAACAAAACAAAACATCACAATAAGTGGATTTTTCTTGTCTGTTTTCAGAAGGTGAGAATGTGGGTTGGAGGACAAGTTTGTGTGCAGTGTTAGGTGATGGGTTAGGGTTATGCTGAAGGCAGGGGAATAGCTCACTCAAGACATTTTATGTCTTGTACATGCAACTGAAACTCAGGTTAAAAGAAACATTTTACTGTCTAACAGCAAGTCTAAAAAAAATGACTAGATGGCCTATAGCTTGGTGAGTAAACTGGCCTTTTATGTGTTTGATTATATTATCTCTACAATACAGAGTTTTATGTTTACAAGAAAAAATGTTAGTAAGAGTAAAATGATTGCTGAACAAATAACAATTACTAAAATGTAAACAATTAGTATGTGTTATGCAATGTGCCAAATGCTTTACCAGGTAAAGCTCTTTTTATTCACATTGCAATCTTGTCAAGTGAGTAATATTTTATCTCAAATTTTATAGATCATGAAATTGGAGCTTAGATTAGTTAATAACTTGCTCATAACTAGGTAAGATATAAAATACTGGATTTAAAACAAGATTTTTTTGTCTAAAGCCTGAAATTTTAAAGACTGTGTTATCCTCCATGGCCACTATAGAGGAAGGAACCCGTACTAACTCCTGAAATGGGATGACATGATTTGTGGATAAACTAATAATACTTCCAGCATTAGCTCCAATTAGGAAGTCGCCATGAAACTGTTACAGTAGGTAGCTAGTCAGGCATGAGCAGGGACAGGAGAGGGCTCCCCTTATACACCAAGGATATTAGGCAACCATCAGGTGATGGTCAGGCAGTTGTCACACCGCCTCTCTAAAATAATAATTGGTTGCAGCCAGCACCAGGGAGAGGCAGTTTCCCAATACATAAAAATACCTGGAATTGGGAATCAGCAGCTTTCAGAAATTGGGCAAGTGGGCTTAAGCATGAGTAGTAAGAGGCAGAGCGGTGGACTACAACCTTCGGGGGGCATTCCACCTGAAAATGGAGAAAGCCTTAGGTGAGCGTGCGTACAACTCCAGTAAACACACTGCGCACACTCACCTTCCAAGCACTAGTAGGCCACCGTGCATGTGTACAACTCATCCCAAGGGAGGAATCAAGGGAAAAGGGGTGCAAAATGCTGGAAGTGGGTCAGCATATAAAATCCCAGGTTCAAAGTCAGATGGGGCACTTGACCTCCAAGATGTCCACTTTGTCCTCTTCTAAGTACACTTGAATTTCTTTTCATTCCTGCTCTAAAGCTTTTTAATAAACTTCAACTCCTGCTCTGAAACTTGCCTTGGTCTCTTTTTCTGCCTTATGTCCCTCAATCAAATTCTTTCTTCTGAGGAGGCAAGAATTGAAGTTGCTGCAGACCCATATGGATTCACCTCCTCTAACGTATTTTGGTGCCATGTGACTCAGCCAGCTTTCACTGCTAACAAGACCATCTGCTCCTCCCATTCCACCCTTAATTTGTGTGGATAGAGTATGCTCACCCTTGTGGTATGATGTAGACTCTTATTCAAAAGCCATTGAAAAAATAAAGTTCTTTCTAATTCTAGAATGCTAAGATTTATGTTAGGAACAAATACAGTCTCTACCACAAAGTGATCAAGAAGATATTGAAACAAAGCTCAAGATAGGCAACCAAACTATGTAACTTTAAACCGATATAATAAAGGGGGAAATGATGGTTCAATGATCATTAATGAAGAGAGAAAGGGATTGGGCAATTGTGACAAAGTGTAACACTTGATTGTCAGTCTGAACTTTAACAATGTCAGTGCAATTTCCCACCTCAAGCTATGATCTTTGACAATAGTTCCAACTAAATTGTAGCCAAATTATAGTTAAAGTCTTGAAATTATTGTTACTATAAACCTGACCCCACAGGCAAATGCCTACTTTGTCTTTGCCAAAACAATTTTTGAACTGGTATAAAATTCTGCAGGTAGAGCTGGGTTATAGAAGTGGAGGTGAAGCTGGCGGATCACAAGGTCAGGAGTTTGAGACCAGCCTGGCCAATATGGTGAAACCCCGTTTCTACTAAAAATACAAAAATTAGCTGGGCATGGTGACGTGTGTCTGTAATCCCAGCCACTTGGGAGGCTGAGGCAGGAGAATCGCTGAACCCAGGGAGGCGGAGGTTGCATGAGCTGAAATCATGCCACTGCACTCCAGCCTGGGTTGACAGAGCGAAACTCCGTTTCAAAAAAAAAAAAAAAAAAAAAAGAAGTGGAGGTGAAGCTGAACATATCCGATTAACTGCTTTAAGGAAATAACAGTGACAGCTGACAGGAATGAGGCAGGATGATAGAATACACTTGGGCTTTATCAAAGATTCTCATATTCTGTATCAAAGACGGGTTTGAGGTAAGTTGGGTACTCTCCTGGGAGGAAACAACA
Organism: Homo sapiens; assembly: GCF_000001405.40. NCBI lineage: Eukaryota > Metazoa > Chordata > Mammalia > Primates > Hominidae > Homo > Homo sapiens. The sequence continues at coordinate 78,081,840 of NC_000003.12, forward strand.
ACAAAAAGAAAGGTATTAATTTTTGGATCACCCAGAGTAATCAGAGATGAATCAGTAAAATTTGGCAGTCTCCAAAAGAAATTTTAAGTAATATTAAAATGGATTTTTTTCCCAATATTGCTCTTAACAGAGTCCAAAATTTTCAGTTTTCTATCACCTTTCTCTCCTTCCTATCTGGCATCTGTGAGAAAGTAATGTGCAGGTGAACATAAGAATGTAGATAATCATTGAAATGTTGAGATCTATGAAATACACCAAAATATTTTTTAAAATAATATAATAATATAGAAGAGTATACCTCTCCTTATCATAAAAATGATTTTTAAGCCCATTTTATTTTTATAAAAATGTAAGTTATGGACAGAGGAAAGCATTGAGTTTTCTTGGTTTCAAATGGGGGTGATCCAGGCCATTAGTGCTAGTTAAACCCTTTTCCTTTGGTATTCAAGATGGCAGCATGCAGTCTTCAGGCAATGTAATGCTGAAAAACAAGACTTTCATGATAAAATAAAGGAACAAAGACGAGCTACTCTTGTCAGTGTCAGTAGGTAAATAGCACTAATCCGTCTTCATTACTGCTATGCATGCTGTAATACCAGGTGGGAGGGTGTGTAATACCTTTTACCATTATCCGAGAGCTAAGTACCATGCAGAAACATGAAGGCAGAATTATCTTTGATCAACAAAAATGTGGCAATCACTTCAATTTGAAAATTGCCCTCAGAAGATTTTGATATCTTTCTGTTAAAATGCCAAGACTTTTCACTTTCCCTCTTTGTCATTATTTCTCTAAATTATAAAGTTTGTTAGATTTGAATACTTAGTTAATACAAGCTTCTTCTCAAACAAAAACAAAAACAATAAAACACCTTGATCAGTAGATATTTTTTTAATCCCCTTAAAGAGATAAGAATTAATTTCAAAGATAAGGAGAAATCAGAAAATAAAAAACGCAACTACCCGCAGTGAAGAAATCTGTCATTTTAATATTAAATACTCTTTTATCAGTTTCATTTCTGACATCTATATTCTTGATTTGCCTACGAAATAGTGTTTCTTCTTTACTTTTGAAATCTTACACATGACCGAAATTTGCTAAAACCCAACTAATCAAAATTGGCTCCGTGCAGAGTTGATGAATAACATTTGTCTTTGGGCTCTCTTTTAGGGCTTCCTCCCACTGACTGCAGGACATATTCTTTAAATAACTTGTCGTCTCCAACACTCACATCAGTGTCTATCTGTTTCTTCCACCCAAGCCCCACTTCTCACCCCACCATCACCTGCTATTCTTTTTGTGTTCTCTATGTTAATAATTGGATTCATCAGTCACTGAGTTATTAAAGCAACAAACATGGAGGCTTCCTTACTTCTACATCCTATCAATGTTTATGTCTTATTGATTACACTTCTAGTTATTTCTTCCCATTTATCCACTTTCCTCTATTTACATATATTCTTTCCTAAGTAAGGTTTCTACCTCTCATATGATAAGGCCCAGAACAGACTACTCCAAAATATGGCCACTTAGCACATGGAATATTTTTAACTGAAGGAATTTGAGGAAACCACAGAAGCAGGGAAGTCACTCTCAAGTTCTTCCCTAGAGTGGTTTATAAAATATAAGGAGGACTTTCAGACCCTCATGTGAGGTCATAAAACCTATGAAGAATTTTCATAAGTCCTTCATGTGAGAAGTGCTTTCTCTACCTCAGAGGAAAGAAAGGAACATCCTTATCTCTTTCTTATGACAAAGGGTCACAGAGAAAAATTTAAACAGTCTTTGCTAAATTGTCAACAATTTATTGCGCTTGATCACACCCTTTTTGTCTTATCATATTCCTCCGTGACTAGCCTCTCTTCATCAATCCTCACATAAAAATACACAGGTTTAACTGTTTCTTTGGGTCTTCATTTCCTTAAGGAAGCTCCTGTGTTACATAAAACTTATATTCAATAAATGTATTTGCTTTTATCTTGTTAGTCTGTGTTTTGTTATAGGTGCCTTAGCTATGAACATAGGATAGGTAGAGAAAAAAAGTTTCCTCCCCTGCACAAGTTTCCCTTAATTTATTCATGATCAGGTAACAATGCTGATTTGGTTAAATAAAATCTAATCATCCCGCTCTTTTTAAACTCTTCAGTTGCTCAGAATAAAAGCCACATCCTTCTATGTTGCTTAGAAGGCCTAAGGAGATCTAAACCCTGTTTGTATCTTCAGTCCCTTCTTTCAGCTCTGTTTTCCTCCCAATTATTTCCAAAACTATTTAGTAATTAAATACAATTAACAAAATTATAGATGTACACAGCAAATCTGGTAGCCTGTGAGGACTGTGATTTTAGTATATCTTACATGAGGAAGAGTAGACACAGATAAAATTGGACCAGCAGATTGAGACTAATTCACAGAGAGACAAACGACACTCTAAAGAATATGGGAGGAAGGGACCAAAGTGAGAGTTATTATGAGTAAAATCAATAGTTCTTGGCAAGTGATTGGCTGGTGAAGACAAGAAAGAGGAAAGAGTTAAAGATGACTGAGGATTTGACCATCATGAATAGGAGGAAGATGGTACCATTGACACCTAAAACATGCTGAAGAAGGATCATAGTATGTCCAGCTTCAGGCATATTCATTTTGGAGAATATTGAGATATGCTATTCAGGAACTGTTCATAATAAGAAACTAAACATTTGAGACTCACACTTTTGTATGTTAAGTCACAGATTTGCACTTGATTTTTTTGAACCATGTATTTCTTGTTGCTAGAAAGAATTTTTTAGTGTAATCTGGATATTTATAATTTTGTAAAAGAATGTTATTCAAATCCTAGTTGGTGAAGTGTAAGACAGGACTCACTACATAATTGACAAGGTCCAGTGCAAAATAAAAATGAGAGTTTTGTGGTTCAAATATCATTAGCAATTTTAAGACAGCAACATCAGAACTTTAAAACAAACCCAGGGTCCTTCTAAACACTGGTCCCTGTGTAACTGCATAGCCAGTACTGTGCAAGGATAAAGGGTTTTACCTCCTTACTTTCGTGATGACCGAAAGATGAGATTTCAAGTGTTTTTCTATGTTCTTTTGAAACACACTTATAATTCTGATGGGGCATAAACATCTGTACTCAATTTATATGTGCTTGATAGAATCAGAGTTAGTTCTAATGCATCTTTGATAGAACTTCTGACACATCTACTATTTGTAAACAAAGATAGTGAGATAGTGATTAGGGAGAAAACAATTCTCACTGTTAGTAGATTTCTTCTTGCTACTTTATTAGGTAAGTGATACTAAGACTAATAACTTATCAAAATGAGATAAAAGAAGAAACATGTATATTATGGCTCTTCAGAAAAATAAAATGAGTATTATATCTAGATATGAGGTTCCATCGTCAAGCCCTAGAACAAGGAAAATTAATGGTATAATTCAGCTTGAGTTGAAAGCCTGAGAACCAGGGGATTGAACAGTGTAACTCTCACTCTGAGGACAAAAGCCTGAGAATCAAAGGGGGGCTGCTGGTTTAAGCCCTGGAGTCTGAACTGCCAAGAACTTGGAGCTTTGATGTCTGGGGGCAGGGGAAAATGAATCTCCTCGCTCCAGAAGAGAGAATGAATTCACCCTTCCCCTGACTTTGTTCTAGTCAAGCCCTCAATGAATTCAAAATGCCTGCTCACATCAGTGGGCAAGGCGGATTTTCTTTACTCAGTGTATTAGTCCATTTTCACACTGCTATAAAGAAATTCCTGAGACTGGGTAATTTATAAAGGAAAGAGGTTTAATTGGCTCACAGTTAATTAAACTGGGAAGGCCTCAGGAAACTTACAATCATGGCAGAAGGGGAAGAGGCAAGTCTTACATGGCAGCAGGCAAGAGAGAGAGCAAGTGTGTGAAGGAGAAATTGTCAGACACTTATAAAACCATCAGATCTCATGAGAACTCACTCATTATCATGAGAATAGCATGGGGGAAACCACCCCCATGATCCAGACACCTCCCACCAGGTCTCTCCCTCAACACGTGGGGATTATGGGGATTACAAGTGAAGATGAGATTTGGGTGGGGACACAAGGTCTAATCACATCACTCAGTCTACTGGTTTAAATGCTAATTTTGTGCAGAAACACCCTCACAAACACATCCAGATATAGTGTTTTACCAGCGGTCTGGGTATTCCTTAACCCAGTTAGGTTGACACAAAATTAGCCATAACATGTGTGTCACTCGAAAACCAATTCCAGTCAGTCACACTGCTCGACTAAAGGGAAATGCCTGCTATTTTATTGTTTAACAAACAGTCTCTAGTACAGTCATCCCTCTTTTTTCTTGGTTTGGCTTTCAGTTACCATGGTCAACCATGGCTCAAAAAATTAAATATGAAGTTTCAAAAATAATTTATAAATTTTAAATTATACATCATTCTGAGTAGCATGATGAAATCTCATGCCATCCTGCTCCTTCCTGCCTGGGACATGAATCATCCCTTTGTCATGAACATTCACACTGTCCACACTACTTATTCCCCTTAGTCACTTAGTAGCCATCTTTGTCATTAAATGAAAAAAAAAAAAAAGTACATTCATGGCATCCCTTAACGATTCAGGTAAGTCCTGAGAAATGCATCACTGTTTGAACATCATAGAGTGTACTTAAGTATTTGTGTATCTACACATATTTAAATAACTTTAAAGATACAGTAATAATACAATATAAAAGATAAAAAGTGGTACACCTGTATATGGCACTTACCAGGAATGGAGCTTGCAGGGCTGGAAGTTGCTCTGGGTGAGTCAGTGAGTAAATGGTAAGTGAATGTGAAGGCCTAGGACTTTGCACTATTACAGACTTTATAAATACTTAGGCTACACTAAATTAATACAAAATTCTTTAATAATAAAGTAACCTTAGCTTACTATGAGTTTTTGCTTTATAAACATTTTAGTCTCTTTTTTAACTTTTCTACTCTTTCGTAATAACACTTAGCTTAAAACACATTGTACAGCTATACAAAAATATTTTCTTTTATATCTTTATTCTATAAGGTTTTTGCTATTTTGTTTATTTTACTTTTTAAACTTTGTTGTTGTTGTTGTTGTTAAAAACTAAAACACAAACACACACATTAGTCTTGGCCTGCATAGGGTCAGGATCATCAGTATCACTGTCTTCCACCTCTACGTCTTGTCCCACTGGAAGGTATTCAGGGGCAATAACACACATGGATCTGTCATCTCCTACAACAACAATGCCTCTTCTAAAACACTTCTTGAAGAACCTGCCTGCGGCTGTTTTATAGTTAACTTTTAAAAAAATATGTAGAAAGAGTACACTCTAAAGTAACAATAAAAAGTACAGTAAATACATAAACCAGTAACATAATTGTTTATCATATATTATCTACTGTATATATGCACTGCATGTATAGTAGATGCATAGTGTGATGTGATTTATTACCCACAAACAAGTGAGTAATGCATCACCCTATGACATCACAATGGCTACAGCACCAGTAGGTAATAGGAATTTTTCAGTTTCATTATAATCTTATGGGACTGCTGTTGTACATGTAGTTCATCATTGACCAAGACATTGTGGCACATGACTGTTTACGTAGAGTTCACTACTATTTGCAGTTTCAAGCATCTACTGTGTGTCTTGGAACATATTCCCCCATGGATAAAGAGTGACCGTCATATATGTTATATGCTAAGCAATCTTCTAAACCTCTTACAAATATTAACTGATTGTTTATAACAAATCTGTGCAGCAGTTCTATTATTTCCATTTTACAGGTAAGGAAATCAAGGCATACAGAGGTTAACGACTTGTCCAAGAATATACATGAAGAAGTAGCAGAGCTGAAACTTAACCAAAGCCTTGTGGTTCCAGAATTCATGTTCTTACATAAAATGCTTCACCATTCCTTCAACATGCTACCACCTACAAACTGAAGCTGGGGCAGAATGAAATGTTAATATAATTATTTTGAAAATGCAATGAAAAATGATTATGTAGGGTAAGTTAGTATTACAAATATGTACTGCCTTTAATTTGAATTCCTGCAACTATCCACAATTTGAAATTTAAATTAGTATGCTGTCATCTAATGTATAAACTCTGATTTTACATGTTTTAGGGGAGGAGAGAAGGTTCTTTGGAATTTTTTAACTTATTACTTGGTTTCTTTCCATCTCCCTGCCCTATGTCTAATACAGTGAGAACTTAAGAAACCTTTATTTTATTATTCAGTATTCAGTATTAGACTATACTACCTTTAAATCAGAAGTCGGAACAGCTTGCGTTTTCAAGAACTTGGAAGTGCCTAAGGGAAGGTGTTGATGGGGCAAACACTGACTGGGAGGAAATATGAGCTGTTGAGTAGTTGGGTTCCTAGAATACAGTCTGACTTAAGTTGTTTAAGATATTTAACTCAACATAACACATGCATGACTTTCTAACATAGATGAAAGATAAACCAATAGCTTACTGCTACCACCTACTTTAATTCACTCTTTACCTACTTTCCAACTTTTCTAAAACAAGAGTGATCATCAAATTTGTCTACTCAAATATAAGACATTTTCAAAAGCAAAAAAGAGCATTACTAAAGATTATGCTGGAATAGCAGGTGTAAACCAGAACTGTCCCAGGCAAATTAGGGTATACAATCACTCAATACGTAAGCAATCAAATCTACCAATTTTTAGCATAACCATAGTATTTAATTGCTCATACCTGGCCACCAAAAAATTGTGAAATCTCATTAAATCCCCTCTCACTTAAAGCTGATGCCATTATCTAATTGACCAAAGTGTAGCCCAGTGCATTTTAATTTATTTCATGTGACTCAAACAAAAGGTTTTCAGCTCACCCACTGTCACTTCTCAGACATAGGTAAGTAGGGCATAGAAGTTCAGAAAAGTCAAACTTTTATTTTATCGTGCTCATACCAATGTTGAAAGATATGTGGGGAAGAGGGACAGAGGCAGACAGAGATGTCAACTGCATGTTTGGTCAGATAAGGATGATGGCAAATGGTAGTATTAAGTCCTATTAATATTCAATTCAGTATAATTTGATTTTATAAGCATACATTTGATGATGTTCAAAATTAAGAAACACGAATCAATTTTAAAATCATGCCTTTGTATCAATCAGATGTCAGTGTATACTCTAGAATTCTGGTAATTATAGATTTAACATTTATGTTATTGACTACTTATATGAGACCCCAGCACTCTATGAAATATATCAAATTATGATTTTGCTGAGCCACAGATTTTATTTATAATCTGGATATGGGAGTAAACCATTTATTTTAGCCAGTGATCCTAGTTGACTATGCTTACCACATCTATGCCTCAATATTGGCTCTACTATTCTTCCCTCATCATGAGGCATTTTATGGGTGAATCGTACCCAGTAAATTCAATGGCTTAGAGTTCTTTATAATAAAAATATTTCCCTTTCCCAAAAGCAGGGCCAATTGTGTATACAAACAGCTCCCTGTTAGTGGACCAGTCCATTCAGATTTGATAGTATAAGTCATTAAGACTGGAGAAACTAAAATTTGAACAGGCAAAGTTGGATGATCTCACAGGGTGTAAGCATGAAGCTTTGTGAATTGATGGATTGCCCTCCACTCTAGGAATTTTTCTATATAAAGAACTTTGGCCCCTTGAATTAGAGCACTACTTTTCCTGCACAGTGTTGGAAAAACAATGAGAATTCATGCTCTGCAGTGTTCTATTTCTTTTCGAGTGCCCACAAGCACCATTATGTCAAGTCAAGCAAGGTTCGACACGATTGAATAGCTTGCAATTTTCTTTTACATCAATCACATTCCAGACATGACTACTTGAGGCTACAACCCTGATCACCTTGATCAGGCAAAGGCATATTCCAGGTCCCTATGATGAACCCACTTGTAAAACATCTCTTAGGGTATGCGCTGCTAACTTAAGCCTCCCCTGCCCGCCTTTTTAAAACTGTAAGTTGCTTGTTTTCTGTTTTAGTCTCAGAGTGAGATTGTATTTGCAAATTCTTAGGCCTTCTTATATAGTCACTATGTTTCAAATGCAGTTTTAGGGAAAATTTACTTCAGTATTTAAATCTATTCAGTCTTTTAATGATTTAAGCATGTTACCAGAAAAAAAAATCAAATTTCTAATCTATAAGCCATAATATAAATTGTTAATAATCACAAAAAGAGAGAATTGGGTTTGATATGAATAAAAAGAGACAAAGAGAATGGCATAATAACAGACATTTTGGTGAAACAGCCTAAGAATTTTTAAGGTTTTGCTTTCTTAAAATATTTTTGTCTATTTTTTGGTAGGGGGCTTTGTTATAAGAATGAAAATCACTGCCACTACACAGGTTAGTTACATTAATTATATATTACTTTGTAACTAAGCACTCCCAAAACAGTTACCTAAAACAATGTTTTTTTTTGTTTTGCTTTTCTTCATGGATTGTTGGGTCCAGTGGCAGGTTCTTCTTTCCATGTGGTATTGGCTGGAGTTAATCATGCAGCTGCCTTTAGCTAGGCATGGTGTAGCCGGAAGTCTGGATGTCAGGAAGCCCTGGTTCCTATGTCTCAGAGCTGGTGCTGGCTTTCAGCTAGGCATCAGGTTGTCTTCCGCATGGCCTGTCTCTTGCCACTAGCTTAGACTTGCTTCCTCACAGCATGGCAGCTGGATTCCAACAGCATGAAAGCAGAAGCTAACAGTCTTCTGACAGCCCAGATTCAGAACTGGCACAGAATCGCTTTCACCATGTCCTACTGGTCAAAGCAAGTCACAGGGCTAACCCAGATTCCAGCTGAGTGGAAAGAGTGTTCATCATTTAATGAAAAGAGAGGCATACACAGGTCAGGATGAATGTAATTTTGACATCCTTCATTTGAGACAATTTACCACTCATGTGGTATTTCTTCTGTCACGAACTTGTCACTAGAGGGACAAATGCTATTAAAACTATGTATAGTGAAACCAGGCATAAAACATACTGGATGCTTAACAAACTTTCCCTCCTAGTAATTCTGATACAAATTGTTTAGTGAAAGTTACTCCAAATTATCTTCTCCCATGCTTGAAATAAATCTTACCCTCTGAGCCGCTCTATGACCTAGAAGCTAATTTCTCCAGTTTAGTTTGGCACTTTAGTCATTTTCCCAGTTTCCCATTTATTGAAAAGTGTATGTTCTAGGGAAAAGGTGGTTTTTGACCAAGATGTAAAAGCAAGAAACCATTTCACCTTACTATATTTAGTAGAGATTAAATAATCTCTACTAAATATAGTAAAAAAAAGCATAAAGAATGTTTATCCAAACTTATTAGTTAAAATACTAAATTTAATCTATATGGATTCATCTCTAACCCACAATTAAATATAGCAAATAATCATTAACTATAAGGCATGATAAATTAATACCACTTATGTCTTATATGAAAATCTGATCAAACAAATCTTAGTTCTGAAATGTTCTTAATAAAAACATTTATTGTCTCAAGAATATTCTACTTTTAAAAATAAAACTCTATCCCTTCTGGCCACATTTTTAAAAAATTAAAAATAAATAAAAAATAAAAGTAAAACTTCATCTAAAACAAAACTCATGATGATGTTTCTTATTCTCTGATGTTGTATTATTTGAAAATTGTTTTTCTTTTTTTCCCAAGAAGTATAATAAGGCTAGAAGCATTCAGAGCGACACATTCTGAAGATACACTATCTGAAAAGAGACATGAGGAAATTCCTGTGTCTCCAAATGGCAGACTAAACTCACAATGGGGCATGACTTGTTATCACCTGCTGGAATGTTTCAAGTGGCCTGATTTGACAAGGCAGAGGTGATTTACGGTTAATGTTTTATTTGATTCCAATGTCTAACAATAGAACAGTCACTTCTGTTTATTTGGGCAACAGCAGAAATCTGACTTACTATGCAGAATAAATGCCTAGAAGACATAAAACATATTAAACATGTAGAAATAAAGCTCAACCTCATCTATGCCCTTACATTTTATATGTGGTGAGGGGTGTGAGTGGGAGGTGAAGGTAGGAAGTGTGTATGTGTGTGTGGTATATGCTTGTGTGGTTTGTGTATGTGTATGTGTGTATAAAATACCAGTATAATTCACAGCAGGGGGAAAAAACCTTTTTTTATTTCAAAAGTTATGTGCATCTAATAAGATTTATTTTTAAATTATGAAATATTTTTCAGATTCTAAAGACAAAACAATAAAGCACACTTTTAAAATTATCATTTCAGAATGGAACAGTGATATTGTTTGGCTCTGTCCCCACCCAAATCTCATCTTGAATTCCCATGTGTTGCGAGAGGAACCCAAAGGGAGGTAATTGAATCATGAGGGCAGGTCTTGCCCCTGCTGTTCTCATAACAGTGAATAAGTCTCACGAGATCTGATGGTTTGAAAAAGGAGAGTTTCCCTGCACTAGTTCTCTTCTCTTGCCTGCCTCGACATGAGATGTGCCTTTCATGTGCCGTGACTGTGAGGCCTCCCCAGCCATGTGAAACCGTAAGTCCATCAAACCTCTTTCTTTTGTAAATTGCCCAGTCTTGGGTATGACTTTATCAGCAGTGTGAAAATGGACTAATACAGAAAATTGGTAACAGTAAAGTGGGGTGTTGATGAAAAGACACCTGAAATGTGGAAGCAACTTTGGAACTGGGTAACAGGCAGAATTTGGAACAGTTTGGAGGGCTCAGAAGAAGACAGGAAAATGTGGGAAATTTTGAAACTTCCTAGAGACTTGTTGAATAGCTTTGCCCAAAATGCTGTCCAGGCTGAGGTGTTCTCAGATGGAAATGAGGAACTTGTTGGGAACTGGACCAAAGATGACTCATTATGTTTTAGCAAAGAGACTGGTGGCATTCTGCCCCTGTCCTAGAGATGTGTGGAAATTTGAACTTGAGGGAGATGATTTAGGGTATCTGACAGAAGAAATTTCTAAGCAGCAAAGCATTCAAGAAGTGACTTGGATACTGTTAAAGCCATTCAGTTTTGTAAGGAAAGCAGAGCATAAAAGTTCAGAAAATTTGTAGCCTGACAATGCGATGGAAAAGAAGAGCCCATTTTCTGAGGAAAAATTCCAGCTGGCTGTGGAAATTTGTGTAAGTAATGAGGAGCCGAATGTTAATCTCCAAGACCATGAGGAAAATGTCTCCAGGGCATGTCAGAGATCTTCATGGAAGCCCCTCCCATCACAGGTCTGGAGGCCCATGAGGGAAAAATGGTTTTGTGGGTAGGGCCCAGGGTCCCTCTGCTGTGTGCAGTCTAGGGACTTGGTGCCCTGCATTCCAGCCTCCACAGCTGTGACTGAAAGGGGTCAAGGTACAGCTTGGGCTGTTTCTTCAGAGGGTGGAAGCCCTAACTCTTGGCAGCTTCCAAATGGTGTTGAGCCTATAAGTACACAGAAGTCAAGAATTGAGGTTTGGGAACCTCTGCCTAGATTTCAGAGGATGTATGGAAATACCTGAATGCCTAGGCAGAAGTTTGCTGCAAGGGCAGGGCCCTCATGGAGAACCTCTCCTAGGGCAGTGTGAAAGGGAAATGTGGGGTCAGAGCCCCAACACAGAGTCCCTGTTGGGGCAATGCCTAGTGGAGCTGTGAGAAGAGGGCCACCGACCTCCAGAATGCAGAATGGTAGACCCACCAACATTTTGCACCTTGCGCCTGGAAAAGCTGCACACACTCAATGTCAGCCCATGAAAGCAGCCAGGAGGGAAACTGTATCCTGCAAAGCCACAAGGGTGGAGCTGCCCAAGAACATGGGAACCCACCTCCTGCATCAGCATGATCTGGATAGGAGACATGGAGTCAAAGGAGATCATTTGGGAGCTTTAATATTTGACTGCCCTGCTGGATTTCAGAGTTGAATGGTGCCTGAAGCCCATTTGTTTTGGCCAATTTCTCCCATTTGGAATGGTTGTAATTACCCAATGCCTGTACCCCCATTGTACCTAAGAAGTAACTAACTTGCTTTTGATTTTACAGGCTAATGGGCAGAAGGGACTTGCCTTGTCTCAGATGAGACTTTGGACTGTGAGTTAATGCTGAAATGAGTTAAGACTCTGGGAGACTGTTTGGAAGGCATGATTGGTTTTGAAATATGAAGACATGAAATTTAGGAGGGGCTGGGGCAGAATGATATGGTTGGGCTCTGTGTCCCCTCCCAACTTTCATCTTGAATTGTACTCTCATAATTCCCACGTGTTGTGAGAGAGAGACCTGGTGGGAGGTAATTGAATTATGGGGGCAGTTTCCCCCATATTGTTCTTATGGTAATAAATAAGTCTCATGGGATCTGATGGTTTTTTAAGGGGTTTCCACTTTTGCTTCTTCCTCATTCTCTTCTCTTGTCTGCTGCCATGTGAGATGTGCCTTTCACCTTCTACCATGGTTGTGAGGCCTCCCCAGCCATGTGGAACTGTGAAGCCAATAAACTTCTTCCTTTTGTAAACTGCCCAGTCTCAGGTATGTCTTTACCAGCAGCGTGAAAATGGACTAATAATGGTAAATTTTTTTTATTGAGATTAGAAAAAAAAAAGTCAATTGTGCTAGGTAGAATGTTGCCCACCCCCACTCCCCTATTCACCCAATATATCGGTGCCTGAATCCCTGGACCTGTGTGGACATGTTACCTTACACAGGAATGGAGACTTTGTACCAAAAATTAAGGATCATGAGATAGGGAAGATCATCCTGGATTATATGAGCGGGCCCTATCTAATCAGATGGGTCTGATTGAAGAATTGAAGAACCATTCTCACTTGTGGCCAGGGAGGGAAATATGATTATGGAAGAAATGGCAGAGTAATGTGATATGAAAATTACTCAACCTGCCATTGCTTGCTTTGAAGACAGAGGAGGAAGGATACCAACCAAGGAATGCAACCCCTAAAACATGAAAGAGGCGAGAAAACAGACTTTCCCCATAAATTAGTCTAATCTCACACTGCTATAAAGAACTACCTAAGACTGGGTAATTTATGAAGAAAAGAGGTTTAAATGACTCACAGTTCTACAGATTTAACAGGAAGTGTAACTGCAAGGCCTCAGGAAACTTACAATAATGGCAGAAGCACATTTTACCGTGTGGAGCAGGGGAGAGAGAGAGAACAAAGGGGGAAGTGCCACACACTTTCAAACAACCAGATCTCGTGAGAATTCACTCACTATCATGAGAATAGCTAAAAGGAAGTCCACCCCCATGATTCAATCACCTCCCACTAGGCCCCTCCCCTGGAATGTGAGAATTATAATTCGAGATGAGATTTGGGTGGGGACACAGAGCCAAACCATATCAACCCTAGAGCACCCAGAATGGAACAAAGTCCTGATATTATGTTAATTTTCTCTCAGTGAGAGCTACATGAGATTTCTGTTCTATAAAACTGGAAGAAAATAAACATATTGTTTTAAATCACCAAGTTTCTGGTAATTTGTTTCTTTCCTGCACCTCTCCCCACCCCCACCAGGCCCACAGCTTTGAGGTATGATTTGTTACAATAGTTACAACACATGGCTCTTTCCTTTCTTTGTAATTCTTGCACAGTTTAATTCTAGGCTGTTTTTGTGAACAATTATTTAAATTATTTATACACAAGGCTATAATCAACTATCCCTGAAGATACATAAAATATTTAGGCAGTGCCAACCTTCAGATTGTTTTTACATTTTATATATTCTAATAATTTATCTATGTTGAAACCAATCTATTGATAAATCAAAATTGCTTAAGTGAATTCAAACTTCAACTCTTAATGCATTTATTTTAATTGTATTTGTTTCAAAGCACAGTAAACTTCCTACCTTTACTACTACTTTTTTTCCTTTCAGTAATAATATGGTAAATACTGTCATGGCTTAATAAAGGGTTATATCTACCTCTGTCTTCTTCTCTACTAACATCCTAATTTTGAAGCAGGTAGAACCTAACTTTGACCAGTTTCAGAGAATGGTTTACGATTAGATTAAAACCATCAGTACTATGGCCCTATGCTGCTTGCCTGTGATGGGTCTAGAGTCAGATATATACCTAGTTGTGGCAAACAATATTCAAGAGGAAATCATTTAGGAGACTTTTCATTTCCAGAAAAGTTTTGCAGCCTACTTGTCACCTATGGATGAAATGCTGATGTCATGAGCCATAGTCACTATCTTTTTTTTATAAGGAGAGATGAGCACAAACCCAAAAGGCCTACATGGCCAGCATAGAGGAGTAGAAGGATAGAGAGACCTGCTTTGGACTGCCAACCATGGTCTTATTTATTAAGTAATTAAATGACTGCTTTCAATAAGTTAAAACTTTTAACATAAGTTACTATTCATCTGGCTTTCTGCTACTTACAGCCAAACACATGTTAACTGACATAGGTAGGAAGTTATTTCTTTAGACACTAATATAAACACGAGTAGTCACAAACAAACCTTTAAGTTAAAAAAAGATCTTATCTGTGGTTGTATCTACATTGGAGACTAAATAGGTTATAAAAATTAAAACAGACAAGAAAACAAATCAGGGCTTTGGTAAATATTTGGAGTTCTCAAAAAACATTTTTTTCTACTACAGGAATATTTGAGCCAAACTCAATTTATGAATTTTCTTTAAGTTTTGTAGCAGATTCAGTGTTACTTATTAATTGGCTAGTGATTAATACTAATTGTTCAATACAGCACACAAAGAAATATACTGTTCTAAACTGCTCTGTTTAGTTAAGATTGTTATGAGATGTAGACATGCCAAAATTCAGGGTCTGCTGTTACATGTATGTATATAATAAAGGGTTTATTTTATTTATTTATTTATTTATTTATTTATTTATTTATTTATTTATTTTGCTCCCATTACAAAAGTCATGGTGGACACTCAGATAACAAAAGGCAGGTTATCCAGGTTATCCAGAAGAAAGCAAAACAAATTTACTGAATAAAGTTTTGTATGACACCAAGCCTTTAGAAATGAAGACCCAAAGACCCAGGGAAAACTATTTTTATGCTTAGGTTTTATGAAGGATGGACAGCTATGTAGATATGTGGTTGGACAAAAAGTATATGCTCTAATGATGACAAACTCAGGGAAGTTCAGCAAGGCCTATTTGTTCAGATTCTTCTTGGCCTGTGTAACATTCCTTCCCCAAGTATGGGACAGGACTCTGCTGTATTGAGGGTCATGTGGCCTTATAATAATGAAAGTATTCAAGGGAGGTAGGGCAGAGAGTGACCTCTCTTGGTTTTATGGTTTGCTTTGGGAGAGAAGAGTTCTAGTTGACTCACCATGAGAAAGGGGAATTCTAGTTTCTATAACCTACTTAATGGGAAAAAGGAAAAAGACAAAAGGAGGGTTGGGAGAAGGTGAAAGAGAAATTCTTGCTTCTGAGGTCCTTTCAATCTTCAATTCAAAGTACTCAGCATGCCAAAGCACCACATCAGGGGTATTGTGTTCTGAGCCCCACCACGACAGTACTTCTACACTGTCATCCCCAATCCTCCCTACCTACTCAACCGTAGCCACCATCAACTCTCATTTTGTTTTAAGTTTCAGGATACATGTGCAGAACGTGCAGGTTTGTTACATAGGTATACATGTGCCGTGGTAGTTTGCTGCATCTATCAACCTATTATCTAGGTTTTAAGCCCCCCATGCATTAGGTATTGGTCCTAATGCTCTCCCTCCCCTTGCCCCCTACCCCCCAACAGGCCTCAGTGTGTGTTGTTCACCTCCCTGTGTCCATGTGTCATGAACTCTCATTTTTTCCTAATTCTGTCTACACCCCTCTCCTCCAAATCCTTTTTTTTTTTTTCCTGAGATGGAGTCTTGCTGTGTCACCCAGGATAGAGGGCAGTTGTGCGATCTCGGCTCGCTGCAGCCTCTCCCTCCCAGGCTCAGCTATTCTCCGGCCTCAGCCTCCCGAGTTGCTAGGATTACAGGCATGTACCACCACAGCCAGCTAGGGTTTTGCTGTGTTGGCAAGGGTGGTCTTGAACTCCTGATCTCAAGTGAACCACCCACTTCAGCTTCCCAAAGTGCTGGGATTACAGGTGTGAGCGACCGCGCCTGCCTCCCCAAATCCTTTTCTAAGAAGGACAATGTGTTTGTTGGTATTGTATAGTATCATTATAAGACAAGCATGTGGTTAAAGCAATTTGATAAATAAGTTTCAACAGAAAATATGTTTTCCATCAGAGCCTTTGGCGAAATTGCAAAATAGATTAAGTTTGTGTTGGGTGCCCTTGGCTGGCCCCTTCCTTTTTAGATCTATCTATCTAGATAGATAGATATAGATCTATTCTGCAATTTTGCAAAATGTTTTATCTATATAGATTTAGATGGATAGATAGATTCAAATATAGATCTCTATATAGACTGATAGATGATAGATTTTAAACTCCAACCTTTTTCCCTTCCTCTGACTTTCGACACTGTTTTCTCTGTTGAAGATCCAACAACCCTCTCCTCACATGAAAAGTGCTTGCTAGTCTTCTCATTTCTGCAACTGATATCATTTGAGAAGAAAATAATTTAAATTCATTCATATTAGAGAATGACTGGCTGATAGGCTCAACTACCCCTATAATTATTTTTATTTTAAAACAAGGAGATTATTAACCTAAATTACACTCATTAGAGAAGCAGCTGGCATATAGGACAAAGTTTCAGTCTAAGCTGTCTGTATGAAACTGACCGCCATGTCACTCATTCTAACCATGACTCACTTCTGTCATCTTTGAAAACACCAGTTTGAATTAGAAAAGTGTTAGTGCTTCTGAAAAATTTCAACATACTATGATTCTTTGCATAAGGAGGAGAATAATTTTGAATCAGGGGACCTCTTTATTATGTCTTGTCTAGAACACGTAGGAATAATCTGGCAAATGGGTTCTACAAATTTTCTTAACTTCAATCAAAAGATGATAAAACTAAACATTTTTAAATAAATATGTTTTTACCAATAAAGAAAATTCTCACAGCCAAGTTTTTCTGCTTGGGAATTGCCTCTCCAAGAGAGTTTTTGAGATATTACCACATAGAGAATGAATAAAGAAAGATTTATGTGGTGGACGATATTTGATCATTGTGTTCATTTATTCTTTTAGAACAAACTTTAGCAATGTCAGAACCATTTGACGGGTGTGAAAGACTAGCAGCTGTAGAAACACACATTCGGCTGGAAGAAGCCACACATGTAGCCCCACCTGCTTGTAGAAGGCACAGGTCCACATTGAAAACTGGAAACTTTCACTATAACCTATGCTTTTTCTTTGAAATTTGACTTGCTACTATGTCCTAAGTAAGCAATGACAGGAACTAAGGCTAGCATTCCTCTTTCAAGCAAAGTCTATTTCAGTTATGAAAAGGCAAAAAAAAAAAAAATTGTCTCAATTTTAATTGGCCAGATTTGCCATCCGTCTATTGCGTGTGCTGAAAGGTTACCAAATGAAGAAAAGCTGCAGTAAATTCAAGTTATCGCTCAGATAATTGCTATAGCACTTTAACTGCAATTTTAAGTGAAGTGCTATTAATAAAAAGGCTTGTGACAAGGAAAGTTTATTTTAGAGTGGTATGATACAATTTGGGGTGATGCTGGAGTTCGAGAGTGAGGTGTTAGACTATCTAGAAAGCAAGAAATAATTTGCATTTGGGAGAATTTGAAAATAATTGAGATCAGTCAAGAAGTACAGATAACAGGGAATTTCAGTGTTTTTACAATATATCATTTCTCCTGCAGCATTCTCACTACTAAATAGCTGGGATAAAAGTTTTAAAACATAATTTACATCATAATAGGGAGTTTAGAGGTATATAGAATTTAAATTTAATCTGAAACTCATGTATGGCAGAATCTTAGTATTGAGTTGATACATTTTTACAGAATGGTTCAAAAGGTTAGAACCACATTAGTTCTTACCTAAAATAAAACAATTGATCCTTGACTTTGCATACATTTCTGGTATACATTCTAAGTTCTTCAAACACCCTTTAAACATATCCTATGGCATATTTTATGCAATATATTTGAATGCTAAGTTTTTGAGTGTTTTTTCTAAGATATCATTTGCATGAAGAAAATATTAACAGCCAAAATCTCAATCCAATTCCCGTTACAGTCAAGATCTTTATCCAATTTTCTATTAATCAAAATTTGAGATTATCTACCCATTTCAACATATAACATTAGAAGATACATATGTTAGATGATAGATACTTGATACCCACCCTGGGGGTATAAATGGAAAAATAAAACACAAAGTAAGACTATTCTATTTTTATATAAAAGTGATTTTTTTTATTTGGGCCTATTGCTTTCTTTGTGACAGGCTGCCTTCCTAATGTTACAACCATGTAGATAACTAAATATGTGTAAAAATGGAGAGGTTCTTCTCCTAAATGTACTCAACAGAACGCAATGGATATATGCCAAATTTCCAATAATTTCATTGGCTGCTTTGGAAATGCCTGCAGATGCCACTTTTATTTTTGTTTTGTTTTGTTTTTGAGACAGAGTCTCACTCTGTCATCCAGGCTGGAGTGCAGTGGCACGATCTCAGCTCACTGCAACCTTCACCTCCCAGGTTCAAGTGATTCTCCTGCCTCAGCCTCCGAGTAGCTGGGATTACAGGCATGCACCACCACACCTGGCTAACATTTGTATTTTTAGTAGAGACAGGGTTTTGCCACGTTGGTCAGGCTGGTCTCGAACTCCTGGCCTCAAGTGTTCTGCCCATCTAGGCCTCCCAAAGTGCTGGGATTACAGGCATGAGCCACTGCGCCTGGCCCATCATTGTCTTTCTTGTTGAAGAAAAGGTGTATTGCCATTTGCTTCCCATGACACTCATTTGCACACTGCCATGGCTCCCATCAATGCTGTGACTTTTCTCCTGGACATCAGCATGCCTTTCATTATTTGGCTCACTGTCAAGACTCTGAACATACACAGTAGAGCTTACCCAAAAGAACTTCAGTCTTCCCTTCTTTGCTCACCATGATCTGGCTGTGTTTTAAGATTTCAGTTCATTGTAACTGTAGGCGGTAATGTAACATTTGAAGGAAATAATGGTCATCTACTTATGAAACTGCAAACAGCTACTATGATAGGTTCAAAATACAGGCATTGCTGTTAGGCGATTATTTTAAGCTTATTGTTAGTGCAGTGAAGACTCTACACTTTATCTCCCTGCCTAGAGGTGAATGTGCTAACATTTTGTACTTTCTTTGTTGCTCATCAAATCACAGAGTATCTTTTGTTTAAAGCACAGAATTCCATAGCAACTTTCATCTCTGCATTACTAATCACCTTGAAGACCTGCAAGCTTTACTGTTATACATGGGACCAGTTCACAGTAATTCCTTTTTCCAAAGTTTTACAAAGCATGTTTTAATATTCCTATCTCATTTGATCTTCAAAAGAACTCTATTTCTATCCCCACTTCATGTGTGAAAAGTGACAAGACTTGCCTATTGCTACAATCTAGGAAGTGTTAGCACAAGTACAGCACAGTTCTCTATCCTGATAAAATGCTTTTTTTCAGCATGTAAATCTGTCTATCTGAGCTGCTCAGTACTTCATGTTTAGCTGATGTAAAATTCATGGCATTTAACTGACCCTACACATTAGTTCATGCTTTTATGCACATCATCTTCAGTGCCCTGTACGGGAGACGCTACTTGCCAGCATACAGTGGTTTCTGGCTTATTTTCACAGGCTTCTGAAGACAATTATAGCCTAATGACTCAAGAGTTTCCCAGAGCTGGAATTCTTTTCCAAAATGAGTTAACCAGATCCCTTTTATGCATGGCTGCATGAAATGAAATGAAAACAGAAGATGACCATTTTTCATTTTCCTGTTCAGATTCTGATCTGTAAGTACTCCCTGAGATCCTACTACGGGCCAGATGCCAGTTTATGTGTTCTTAGATATGATTCCTTGATAATATATAACCTGTAACACACACACACACACACACACACACACACACACACACACACACACAACATGTGAGATACTTAACATATAACCTCTGGCTGGCCTCAAACCCCCTTCTGACCTCGTCTCTGAGTTTTGCTGTCTTCTTCAAAAAGAGAAACTTGCTTACCCATTGCTGAAGCTCAGGTTTACTGATGCTGAATGTTTTATAAATCCGATAAATACAATTCAGAAGTTTTGATGTTGATCTTTTTTTCTCTCTTATCTGTCAGGCTGCAGAGATCAGAAGCACTCTTGCATGGGGGTCAAGAGGCACATTGCCTGTCAATGTCTTCATGGTTGATGATACAGTCTTCAAACCAAAAAGAAATATGTTCAAGTGTTGCCAGGAAAATAAATACAGGACTTTAATGCCACAAGAGTCATATTTTTGACCTGTTTCTCTTAATAATCTTAATCAAATACATATGACTACATGTGTATATTTTCCTAAAATGTATAATCTCTGAGTAATATCTTTAAGGATTGTGATAGATTATACTCATATCTTAGAAAGATAGCTCTAATAGTTTGAGGAATGAATTGGGGAATATAGAAACAGGATGTTGTTGCAATAATCTAAACAAAATAATAGGGCCTCAAATAGCACAGAAGCAATGAGAACACTGAGCAGCTAAAAAACAAAAATGGTAGTTTTCCAGGTAGATCTTGATTAGGGGTTAAATAAGGGTTGATATTTCAAGACTTTTAGTTGATACACTTAAGAGAAAATTATGTAATTAGCATGGACAACAAATACATGAAGAAAACTAGTTTAGATCCAAGATTACCTTGGGATACTTTGAAACATCTGTATTGGATGATAGTGGTCAAGAACTGGTCAAGGGTGATGATGTGGGGTCAACCACGTTTATACCAGAAAGAAAGTCAGGGGCATGTGGAGGATAAGAGAAGGCTAAGGGCCAAAAATAAAATCCTAAAGAATTACAACACTTAAAGACTGAAGGGAGAGCCAAAGAAAGAATCTGCAGAAAGATTCTGATAGCTAGGAGGAGAGGAAGAGTGCTAGTAAAAGAAGCTAAAGAGAGATTTTTTTAAAAATGTTAAATGCTACCAACTGCAATTAAGAAAAATTACTAAAAAGCATGATTTAGATTTAAAAGGGTTTTCCCAGGCAACTAACAGAAAGTAGTTTATTTAGAGTGACCAAAACAGAAGGCAGATTGCAAGGAACTGGGGAATGGAAGGAAGACTAAGAAGTGACGACAGCGGCCGGGCGCAGTGACTCACGCCTGTAATCCCAGCACTTTGGGAGGCCGAGATGGGCAGATCACAAGGTCAGGAGATCGAGACCATCCTGGCTAACACGGTGAAACCCGGTCTCTACTAAAAATACAAAAATTAGCTGGGCGTGGTGGCGGGCGCCTATAGACCCAGCTACTCGGGAGGCTGAGGCAGGAGAATGGCGTGAACCCAGGAGGCGGAGCTTGCAGTGAGCCCAGATTGTGCCACTGCACTCTAGCCTGGGCAACAGGGCGAGACTCCATCTCAAAAAAAAAAAAAAAAAAAAAAAAAAAGAAGTGACGACAGCTCACAGAAGAGGAAACTTTCAATAAGCTAACACAAAAAGCAACAAAGGGATGAACATTCATTATTACGAAATAAAAATGAGGTTATCTGAAATATACATTTAAAGTATAAAAATAAAAGTCATAATTATCAAAACTTACTGATTCTCTTTTTTCTGTATATTTTCTCTAAATATTATAAAAACAGTAGAGGCTAGTTTTGTAAAAGAATTCCCATTGTGCAAAAGAAAAGCTACATCCAAGTGTAGAACTCAGCTTGCCAGTTTTGAAGACAAAACTTTAAAGTTATTTAGGATACCTATCTGAACATAGTTAAACTAAAATCACTATAAATATTATTTTCATATCTTTTGAAAAGTAGCAAATATCAGGATTCTGGCACCATGAAGTAAAGGAAGGTAGATATATCTATCAAAACAATAGTAGCTAAAGTTGTTGAAACAAGCTAAAACTTAAATGCTATTTTAACAAGATCTCTAGGGCATAGTGTTTAACTTATGAGGCATTTAGAAATGTCTGTTTTAAATAGATCAATATAAAATTTTGTGGTTAGTACACAAAATATTATTTAGGGTAAAATGAATCTCTATTGGTCTCTTAAAACAAATTGCCCTTATTTTAACAAAAAAATGTCTACAGAGGATTTTATAAATCTACACACATATAAATGTATAGTTACTAAATTTTGTAGTTGCCTAAAATTGTCATTGATTTTTTCCAAGATCATAAAGTTCACTCTGGACATATGTTCCCCAGCTAGAGAAAACTCTTCCCACACTTCCTTGTAGCTAAGTAGGGCCTTATGACTTCATTTAATTAAATATAAATGAAAAGTTTTAAATTGCTTGGTCTTGCCTGCATTCTTTTTAGTTTACATAAAGTAGAACAGTAATGTGCCTATGATCTAGCTTTGACTTTTGAGGTATATTTTACATAATGTAAAATGTATAAATTTTAAGTGGAGCATTCTGACAAAATATATACACCCATCTAACTATCACTCAATTGAGATGTGGAACATTTTCATTACTTCTAAAATTTTCTTATGCCACTTTTTCATCCGTGTGGTTTCATGTTTCAGTAGGTTCTTTTTTTATTTCTTTGTGTATTTTCATCTATTCGCCTATTAATGGGAATTTGGGTTGTTTCTAGTTTATGGCTATAATGAGAAGAGCTACTATACTATATTCTTGTTAAAATTTTTGTATAAACATATGTTTCCACTTTTCCCAAACAAATATGTAGAATTGCTGGGCTATGGGAAGAGTATGTTTAACTATTATAAAAACTCTCAGAACAATTTCCAAAGTGCTGTACCATTTTAGATTCCCACCTGCAACATATATAAGAGCAAGCTTTTATCATGCAGATGATGACAATGCCCTAAGGGATGAAGAAGCAACTATATGGGAATAAACTTGGTCCCTGAATTGGGCCATAATCTCCCACCAGCTTGGCCTATTTACCTTGGCTCTTTTCCATAAAACAGATGGACAGTGAGATGCTGAGGGGGTAAGCAATGTGTTTAGTCTACTCAGTGTAGGTACGAATGGGGTACATATTTTGTAGTGAATGTCTAAATAATAAAATCAACTAAAATCCCATCTGCCTTTAAAAAAAAAAGTCACCGTGTATTACATTACTAAACAATGTCAGGGAAGAAACTACTTCTTCCCACCGGGGCATACCATTCATATACCCCCGCCCTTGGTATGTCACTGAAATAAATGACTGTCTTGCTCAAGCCACTGTATATTTTCAAAATTTACTTATTCTTGATCTTTTTCTTTAAAATAGCTGAATTTGAGGTATACATACTATCTTAAAACTATGCATATACTGTATTAACATTTGACATTACTGATACATACAAATTAGTTAACATTTAGGGCACATTCTTAAACATGAGATATGAACTGCAATTAATCAGCACTAGTAGCCTATTATCTACTTTTTATATTACACAGTCAGAATACTTTCTACTGGACTGATGAATACTTTCATAAAAATTTAGGGATACCTGACTTCTACAATGGAGACCTACATTACACAGTAGGATTTTAGGCAATCATCCTGATATCCCTGAGCAGTAGAGCTTATCTCAGTAGCACTTATTGAACACCATATCACCAGGCACACAAATATACAACCTCTCTTTATAAATTCTCTCTCAGCTTGAACAAATAAAGTAAATGCAACACCCACATCAAACTTCATCCACAGCACTTTACTCTCTTGCCCAATGGCCTTGATATCTGGCTGCCTTTAGCACCTTTACTTCAACTTTAGGATTAAATATGTCTTCACTTTTGAGTTACAACTGTGGCTTCTCATAGGTGTAGTTTCTTAGGTTTTTTTTTTTTTTTTTCCAAGATAAGGACATATCCATAGACTAGATTAGTGTACTCCAAACCTACTCACCATTGGTGATACAAAACTAACATCTGCATGAGTGGAAGAAAGTAGGTACAAGAAAATCCTTGCTATTCTTTATGGAGTTTGGTTAACAGAATTTGTTACTTTTTAGACCTCTAATTATAGGATAAAAATCAATTTGAAAAAAACCTACCTGCTTTAAAAATGCATGTGTGTGTGTGTGTGTGTGTGTGTGTGTGTGTGTGTGTGTATCTCTAGCCTATATACTCCCGGCCAAGTCCTCCGGGATCACATCTGTAGTTGAACAAATTTTTTTTTAATTTATTCCAGAAAGGTAAACAACTTTCATCAACTATTGACAGACATTTCAGTAAGTGTGTAAGAAGGGACTATTAACAGATTTGAGCTTGTTTTAGGTGACTTGGGGGAACGTTTAAAGACATGTGACTTTACTATGAATAGCATATTGTCATGAAGTAAAATTTTTTGAACATTTTAATGGAGCTTATCTAGAAGCAAAGGCTAAGAAAAATTAACATAATAATTCAAAAAGGAGAAGCTGTAACATATTAAACAGAATAAGGAGCATGGTTAGTCGTTTTTATGACATAGGTATGTGATTCACAATTTTGTCTGTGTTCAGACATGATTATAACGTGGTCTTTTTTCATTTGTTTCAATCTATCACACTCACAGAGTGTTCTTGTCTAATGCTGATGTTCTGAGAAATTGTGTTCAACAGGACATTGAGCTCTATCTATGAGCACCAGGTCAGCTCCTTGATATCCGTAGTGGCTTTTGTTCTGTGACATTGGTTTCCCGTGCTGCCATAGCAAATTATCACAAAATTAGTGGCATAAAATATAAAATTGTTTTTCATTTATGTAGGTCAGGAGTCCAAGTCAAAATAAAGGTGTCAGCAGGGCTGTTTTCCCATCTGTAGTCTCTAAGGGAGAATTTGTCTCCTTGAATATTCTAGCTTCTAGAGGTCAGCTACATGTCTGGATTCTACTTTTTTCCTCCATCTTTAAAGCCAATAACAGCAGGTCAAGTCCTACTCACATCCCATCACTCTGACCTCTGCTAACTCCTTCCACTTTCATGGACACTTGTGATGACAATGGGCTAACCCAGATAATACAGGCGAATCTTGCCATACCCAGATTCTTAAATGTAATATATCTGCAAGGTCTTCACTGTCATGTAAGATAATGTATCCACAGGTTCTGGGGGTTAGCACATGTACATCTTTGGGGAACAATTATTCTGCTTAACATATCATCTCACTCTGATGCATAAGACTATTTAAAATAGACAATATACAAGTAGAAAGAGTTCACGTACAAGAAAATACATCCCAATCAAGGGGTCTTGGTTTGGTTGATGAAGTGGTTCAGCAATGTCACAGACACAGGTTCTTTTCATCTCTCAGACTTCTTGTCCACTTCATCGTTATCTTCTTATCATTGTTATCTGGGCTTCTGGTACCAATCCAGAGAACATCTTTCCTAGTTGTCAATTAAAAAATGAGCAAAGACTGGCTCCCAATGACTCTCTTAACTATGGGAAACTGTTTTTCCAAATTCTCCAGCAAATCACTTCTGAGTTGACTGTTTCAAATCACCAAGACCTGCTCACTTTGAATTAATCATTGGCAAGAAGAATGGTCTGACTCTTTAGACGTATCAGTGAGGGTGGAGTGGGAAATCATTTCAATTTTCCTCATCACATAAGGCACTTGGCACCCTTTAATGGAGCTAAATAAGGAATTAAAATTCTAAAAAACATACGAGGTCTGTTGTTTGGATTGTAAGTCAGATGTGGCCAAACACCAGATTACTACTGATCAGAATATATCTTAGTGAATGGTCACAATAAAGTAATGTGAGAACCTAGGCAGGTTTTAAAAATTAAAGACATACATAACAAATACCCAGCTTGGTGCAAACAAACTGGGACTATTAATCAGTAATTAATAGAATACTTAAGAACTAGAAGTCGTAAGTATCAATAGGCAGGACAAACAGTTTAATTCAATAGACTCAGTAGTCAATAAGAAGAGACAGGGCATTGAATAGCCAGAGGCAAAGCTTTAATAACAATAAGGCCTTATAACTGAGACTATCTTCTTTCTTAGTCCAGTGCCTGGCACACAGAAATTGCTTAATAAATATTCTCAGGTCTAATGTAATTAATAGACTTTAACATAAGAACTTGTGTTAGGGTTCACTTAGAGGGATAGAACTAATAGGATATATGGGGGTTTATTAAGTATTAACTTATGTGATCTCAAGATCCCACAATAGGCTGTCTGCAAGCTGAGGAGCAAGGAGAGCCAGTCTGAGCCCCAAAACTGAAGAACTTGGAGTTTGATGTCCGAGGGTGGGAAACATCCAGCATGGGTGAAAGATATAGGCTGGGAGGCTAGGCCCATCTCGTCATGAGAGGTGACTGTGTGCTGGCAGCCCTCACAGCCCTCGCTCGCTCTCGGTGCCTCCTCTGCCTGGGCTCCCACTTTGGTGGCACTTGAGGAGCCCCTCAGCCCACCGCTGCACTGTGGGAGCCCCTTCCTGGGCTGGCCGAGGCCGGAGCCGGCTCCCTCAGCTTGCAGGGAGGTGTGGAGGGAGAAGCGTGGGAGGGAACCGGGGCTGCACGCCAAGCTTGCGGGCCAGATGGAGTTCCGGGTGGGCCTGGGCTTGGCGGCCCGGCACTCGGAGCAGCCTGCTGGCACTGCCTCCCTGGGCAATGAGGAGCTTAGCACCCCGGCCAGCGGCTGCAGGGGGTGTGCTGGGGCCCCCAGCAGTGCTGGCCCATGGGTGCTGCGCTCGATTTCTCGTGGTGCCTTAGCTGCCTTCCCGTGGGGCAGGGCTCGGGACCTGCAGCCCACGATGCCTGAGCCTCCCACCCCCTCCGAGGGTTCCTGTGCGGCCTGAGCCTCCCCAAGGAGCGCCGCCCCCTGCTCCATGGCACCCAGTCCCATCGACCACCCAAGGGCTGAGGAGTGCGGGCGCACGGCATGGGACTGGCAGGTAGCTCCACCTGCAGCCCCCGAGCGGGATCCACTGGGTGAAGCCAGCTGGGCTCCTGAGTCTGGTGGGGATGTGGAGAACCTTTATGTCTAGCTCAGGGATTGTAAATACATCAGTCGGCACTCTGTATCTAGCTCAAGGTTTGTAAACACACCAGTCAGCACCCTGTGTCTAGCTCAGGGTTTGTGAATGCACCAGTCGACACTCTGTATCTAGCTACTCGGGTGGGGCCTTGGAGAACCTCTGTGTCGACACTCTGTATCTAGCTAATCTGGTGGGGACGTGGAGAACCTTTGTGTCTAGCTCAGGGACTGTAAATGCAGCAATCAGCACCCTGTCAAAACAGACCACTCGGCTCTACCAATCAGCAGGACGTGGGTGGGGCCAGATAAGAGAATAAAAGCAGGCTGCCGAGGCAGCAGTGGCAACCTGCTCAGGTCCCCTTCCACACTGTGGAAGCTTTGTTCTTTCACTCTTTGCAATAAATCTTCCTGCTGCTGCTCACTCTTTGGGTCGACACTGCTTTTATGAGCTGTAACACTCACCGCGAAGGTCTGCAGCTTCACTCCTGAAGCCAGCGAGCCCACGAGCCCACCGGGAGGAAAGAGCAACTCCAGACTTGCCACCTTAAGGGCTGTAACACTCACGGGGAAGGTCTGCAGCTTCACTCCTGAGCCAGCGAGACCACGAACCCACCAGAAGGAAGAAACTCCGAACACATCCGAACATCAGAAGGAACAAACTCCAGACGCGCCACCTCAAGAGCTGTAACACTCACCGCGAGGGTCCACGGCTTCATTCTTGAAGTCAGTGAGACCAAGAACCCACCAATTCCAGACACAGTCACTTCATGTTTGTCTGCCTGCTTTAAATTGGCTGGTGGCTGATTAGATGGTGTCCGTCCAATTAAAGGTGGGTCTGCCTTCCCCAGCCCACTGACTCAAAAATGTTAACCGCCTTTGGCAACACCCTCACAGGCACACCCAGGATCAATATTGCATCCTTCAATCCAATCAAGTGGACACTCAGTATTAACCATCACAGAACTTATTCTGAAGTGCTGCTAAGCTGGAATGTTGAGCTGAAATAAGATAAATTGAGATCACCTGTAACTTGTAGGCTATGAGGCTTATTATGCCAGGAAGCAAGAATGAGGAGGGATAGTGCAGGTAGCACAAATTGATAATACTTTCTCTCAAACTCAGCAGGAAATAAGAGCTTGTTTCTGTATTTTTTTAGTTAAACTGTTATACTTTAGTTTGCATTTGTTGCTGAAAAGAAGAAAGAAGAACAACAATATACTAAAGAGAATTCCAGTTTCTGGTCCAGCATGTAAGGAGCTTCGAAGTCACCACCCCATACTAACAGCAAGTAAAAAGCCAAACAAATGGAAAAATCAACACCTCTTCTTAGATTCCTCAGATAAGTGAGGTTGTAGGCCAAACCACTGCTCCTAAAGCTGGAGAGACAGGTAGACGGAGAGAATCATAACTTACACGAGCAGAAACCCCTGCATGAACAACTAGCTGCGTGGATAGGAAAACCTCAACTAGTGATTGACCATTTATTGTAGACTCACTGTGGTCAAATCCAGGAGTTAAAAACTCCAGGGGCACCAGTTATGAGAGGTCCCCTACACTTCTGTGAGTTTTCCCTCTGGGAGCTCTACCAGGTTCTCACAGTAAATATTGGAGACGAATCCCCTTCATACTTCCAGCACAAAGAGGGGAAAAAAGTAACCATTGAAATATACCAGAGTATCCTGGTTTTCTTAACAAAGCCTGCCCTCAGGAAACAGTTTCTTACTAGAGCTTAAACTACTGGGATTTTACCAGAGCCTAATCAGCCTGTGGAAAAATAAATATCCAACACTAGCCCTCTCTAGTTATTCTGTACTACCTAAGAGTGGGGGGCGGGAGTGGGGGGAAGTAAAGAAAGAACTGAAAACTGCTTGTGAAGTTCACAGCCCAAGGGCTAAAGCTGACTAAAAGATTGACACCTAATCATAAGACTACAGAACATTTTCCCTCTCTCCACCCCTTACCACTACATTACTGAAGGCCTTTTTTTTTTAATTTTGTGAACTTATTTTCATGATTGATCTGTTTTTTAAAATTTTATTATTATTATACTTTAAGTTTTAGGGTACATACTAAAGGCTTTTTACAACATTCCTTTTACTTGGTTCCTTCAACCAAGTATATTATGTCCCCTTTCAAAGAAAAAAAATGCAAGGAATACTAAAAGGCAAAAAAAAAATTTTTTTTAACTGACATAGCAAGCATAAGTGCTAGACACAGATCTATCAGGGATATTGGAATTATCAGAACATGAGTTTAAAACAACTTTCGTATGCTAAGAGCTCTCATGGAATGAGACAAAGGCCAGAATAGATAATGTAAGCAAAGAGGTGAAAGGTCTAAGAAAGAATTAAAAAGAAATGCTAGAGATAAAAAAAAAAGGAACAATACTGCCAGCACAACAATGCTGTAACATAAACAAAGAATGCTTTCAATAGACTCATCACAGCTGAGAAATAATCTCTGAGCTTAAGGATATGTCAATAAAAACTTCCAAAAATGAAAATCCAAGAGAAAAAGACTAAAAGAATGAAACAAAACCCCAAAACCCAGAATAGAATATTCAAGAACTCTGAGACAACTACAAAGAGTGTAACATACATGTAATAACAATACCATGAGACGAGAAAGGGAAAGGAACAGAAGTAATATTTGAATAAATAATGACTGAGAATTTTCCCTAAATTAATGTCAGACACACAATCACAGATCCAGTATGTTCACAGAACACCAAGGAGAAGAAATGTCAACAAACTACATCTAGGCATGTCAAATTAAACTGCAGAAAAAAACAAAGAAAAATACATTAAAAAGATAATTAAACTGTCCCCAAACGTCCTTCCCATTGGTTTTAGATAGTCTCTTACTATTACAGTATCAATTCATCATTCTCATCCTAACAAGTAAAACACAAGAGATTATTTACTTAAGTCAAATAAACATTTAGCAAACTATCAGGCATCAGATAAGTTATTTCACACGAATTTGAACTTACTGAAATAACTGGCTTTGAATTAAAGCAAACCTGAGTTTTACTTCTTGGTCACACTCTAAACACGTTTGACATTTAAAAAAATACTACCTTAATTTCACTAAGGCTTTGTTTTTGATGCCATAAAAAAGATAGCAGTATTTATTTAGCAGGACTATTATATAATAAATTATGTCTGTAAAACTAGGTAATATCTAATAATAGTAGCTTCTTTGTATACAACAGCTACTCTCTTTAGGAGTAGTGAAAAGTTACAGAAATATAGAAATATGAAGGAAACAGAACAAGAAATATGTTCCTAATGTTATTTTCTAGCCTTCTAATCATATCTCAATTCCATAAAACTCATTTTGACAGAAAATCCAGTCCCAGTCATTTCAGGCAATCTTACAACAGGGCAGAGGCCAACATCACAAATCCACTCCAACTGGAGCATTTTCTGTCCTTGATTTCTATTAGACCAGTCTTCTCTCTAGATCATATAAACAGAAGCCTATAGCATTTCAAAAAATGTCTTGCTGATTCAGCAAGCAGAATAAACATCAGGAAAACAAGAGATAACATTACACAATTAAGCATATGAAGTCATATCTCTAGTCAAAATTTGATTGCAAAAATCTTTTGGCCCCAAAGGCCAGGAATTCCTCCCAGCATTTCCAGCAATGTTCTCTCCTTGGCCTCTTCTGTAGGGTCAGCAGCTTTAAGGCAATGTGTCTCAACTCTACTTGCATATTGTAATCATCTGGAGTGTTTTTAAATAGACTGCTGCTTGGGCCCTGCCCTCAGAAAATTTGGGCTTAATTGGTCTCTGGTGAGGCCTTGGGTGTACTGTTGAAGTGAAAGCTCCCCAGGTGATATTAATGAGCATTCAGGGCTCAGAGCCACTGATTTAAAGCAAACTTTTACTTAAGCCTCAGGGCAATTCCTCTGTTCATCCCCGGGCAACACCCTCTGTACTATGAGTCTGTATTCCATTCACTTAGAATTGCCACTTTGCCTCCTGGGGTCCATGCTCGTTGCCTCGTGCTAGTTTGTTCACTGATATGCTCCCAGTTATTCCTTCCATCGGCTGTGGATTGACTGCTCCACCACTTGTGCATCAGTGCATCACTGTATTCCTCGGTTATTCACTGATTCTTGGCATTGAGGAAATGGCTTCTTTGGTGTGGGATTCTCTGCACTGAGGCAAACTATGCGTTTTAAATGTCAGCTGTTTCTTGAACGAAGGTCACCCAGCTCTAAAGTAGTGTGTAAAATGTGCTCTTCTCTTTAAGGAGATGATGTACATCAAGCACTTTGCATATGGAAGCACTCAAAAAAGGCCTCCTTTGTGAATAACATTGGTTTCCTTGCCTATATTTTTTACTGGGCTCAGTGTTCTGTGGCTCTGGGGTCAAGTTCACAAGTACCATAACAATGATCTCTAACAACATTCCTCATGTTACCTGTCTACACTTTAGCTCTAAGATTTATCAGATTTTCTTATTCACTAGGCATAGTTTAAATCTCTTTTCAATTAAAATGTACAAGTTCTCTTATGTAATTACCAAATTCCTTTGCTCCTAAGAACTCATCCTTTTGGGGTCTCATGGAGGCTGTGGCCATCACTTTTCTTGCACATAAATAGTGAATTGTCCCTTACCCAAAATGAAAGCAGATCACCTATGAGATTAAAAGGATAGTCTTACTGAAAAACATTTCCTCATATTTAATGATAAATATATCCACTCCTACATCAATTTTGGGTTAAACCCTTACTTAGCACTCCACAAAGATAATATTCATGTGTGTCTGAGAATTTCTGTATTCACACTTACATTATTATAAGACTTTTCTCCTTTATTTTGTTTGCAAGTTCATTGTAACATAAATACAAAATTCACATTTTTACAAACACTGTGAGAAATGTTCTAAGAGTCAGTAAGGACAGAGAATTAGCTCTCTTTATTTTGTGATCTGCCTGTGAATAACACCCCCAGCCATTTTCACAAGATGGTATATGGTTTTACCTTTGCACAACCCATTATTTTATGAAGCAGTATTATCAGTAAAGAAATATGATTACTACGAAACCACACTGTGAAGACCAGAACTGAATGCTACAATAGAAAAGAGGTTTCAATAACCATTCTCAATTTGTTTCCTTTTTCTTTTCCTTATGAAAATCCTAGTAACTAGTATTTTAAATCTAATTATCCTAGTAATTAGATTTCTAGTAATTAGTCTATCTTTTTAAAATCAGCTCTAACCTGAGATGTCAATGATGTTTAAATTATTTTAGCTGATCAATTTCATAATTCAAGATTTGACTTGTCACAGGAGATTCTGAGGAGAATCATGGTTAAGTTCAATAAGAAATTGGTAATAAATGTTTAAGGAGATTTACACACAAAAGTTTTGACTTGGTTTTCCTCAGTCATAAAATGAACTTTAAGAAGCATCTTTATTTATATTTAGACACATGAAATCATTGTGGCTTACAACCAAAAGAAAAAATTCTTTTTCTTGCTTATAAAAATTCTTTCAGCCAATGACAGCCCTCAGTATCTAGACTTTGGCTAATATTTTCACTCCACAAATATGAAAAAAAGTTATTCCTCTCAATGGCAGAGGTGACAAAAACTGGTAGTATGGGTGTCTTTGATATTCTAACAATCTTTCTCTTAACGCTCATTCCCTAAAGACACTACACACCACCAAATACATGCACACACACAGACATGCACACATACACTGAAAATATATCTGCTAACACACCTTTACCACGTAGGAAGAGCTATTTACAGCTGGGTGGCCCCGTGAATATGGAAACTCTTTTGTCTCCACAGTTACCTTTTAGACTTTCCCTCCCTTTCTCAGACCTGTGCTGTCGCCTGTTCCTATCCAGAGATGTTCTCTCAGCTCTCAGTGACCTGTCTGCATAATCTCTCCAGTCCAAAATTACCACAAGTCTTGGCCCTATCCCACCCCCATTTTCAAACAGGCCTTTACTCCAGAGAGGCCATAGGCAGCTCTTAACAACAGCCTGGTCTAATTTCCCTACAAAAATCCAGATGAATCTATTCCTGCCCATAGTGTATCCAGCCCCTCTCTAATATGAAATGCATGTGAATTTTGTCTAGGGAATTAACAGATCCCAGAGGGAGTGCGTCAGTGGTGGGAATGGAAGGCAGAGGCAGTTGACAGTAAAAGTAACTTTTACAAATGGATTTATGTTTTCATCATGACTTATTGTCCAACCTTCTAAAAATCTAGTATTTTTATGTTACCTTTAAGAATAAGCAAGTGTTGCCAGGTATGGTTGCACTCTCCTGTAGTCTCAGCTACTCAGGAGGCTGAGGCAGGAGGATTGCTTAAGCCTAGGTGTACTGGGCTGCAATGTGCTATGTCAAGTGGGTATCTGCACAAAGTTTGGAATCAATCTGATGAACTCCTGGGAGCCAGGAGACCACTAGGTTGCCTAAGAAGTGGTGAGCTAGCCAAGGTCAGAAAAAAAGCAGGTCAAAATTTCAGTGCTGATCAGCTGCAGGATTGCACCTGTATATAGTCACTGTCCTCCAGCTTAGGCAACATAGGGAGACCCTATCTCTTAAAAAAAATAAATAAATAAGTAAATAGATAAAATTAAGCAAGTATTGCAAAAAAACTAATTATATTTACAGACTATAGGTAAGGGAGAGGAAAAGTCCTGACGCAAGCTACAGGAAATTAAAACAGACAAGTAAGCCCTTGAGTCTAATTGAAGAGCAAGGATCACTAGGAAGGAATCCTGGGCTTAGAAGCACTTAAAAGTGCTGTTCCTCAAACCTCTTCTCCCCCGCCCCTGCCCCCCTCCCCCATTTTCAAATCTAGAGTGCCTCAGATGCCAGGTTTTAACATCCAGGATCAGTCTCAGCCCTGCCAGAGACCTGCCTTGGGAGGTTGGAGCTGGAACCCTAAAATACTAGAAGCCTGGATAATAGGCTTCTAAACACAATAGACTAAACTATGTTGCTAGACAACTAAATTAGAAGTTAATTTTTTGTCCTTCTTATGATGATTAGCTTTTACAAGAATATGAATAGAGTATTATACTTCAGGAACATTGTGATTTAAATTAGCTTCTACAAACCTGTATTTTGTTCATACAGCTGATTCTCAAGAAGTCCCAAGATTGAAGATCCTTGGAATGTAGAGAATTGTTCTTTATTTCCCATAAAAAGGAGACCTTCAAGAACTTAACCACTTTCCCCACAGTATTTTGATGAGTATTGGAAGAATATAGAAGTTTGTTTCTCTATGAGTGAAACATTCGTCATTGAGTAAATTTCTGTATTTGGCTGATGAGGGAGGATACAATTCCAGCCAGCCTGCTGACAGGCTATGTGGGAAATGGTAAATAAATAGATAAAGGATAGTGTCCTAAGGCTGAAAATAGAGTTTTTGGAGGTGTCTTGAAAGCCATTTTAAGGAATACTACAGTCTTAGAAGGTTGATTTTCTCATCCTCATTTTATATTTTATTATGTGAAGACACAAATTTATTGCTTTGCCCTGAATCCCATTACTTATAAACGGCAGAGGGGGGATTTAGCCCTACATCACACTCCATATTGTTTTAAGCAGGCACTGCTGCCTTTCAATGTTCAGAAATATGTGCTTTCTACAAGCTCATTTATTTCTATATTTGAGTAGTAATTGTTTTTTTTTTCTCCTCTCTTACTTGCAAAGCTCCTTTTGAACAAATTTAACTTTGCTTCAGCTAAATGAAGGAGGGCATTTTCTTTCTCCATAAAGATAGTGGGTATTCTAGTCCTATGGTGGTCCCTGCCACTAACTTGCTGTGTGACTTCTGCAAAATATGTGTCTTTCAAGGCCCAGATTCTTCATGTGTCTGTTGATGGGGTTGGCCTGGAGGTCTCAAAAGGCTGTGATGTTTCATATGCTGGTGTTCCTGACAGTTGTTCTGTGTCAGAACCGTGAGAAATCAGGAAAACTGGGACTGACAGAAAGGTGAAAACACAGTTGGGGACAACTGTGGAAAACCATAAATGTGATCCCTTCCTGGCTTCAGTTTTTCTTCACAGTTGGTATTCATTTGACTCAGTCCCTCAGATCCCAGAGGACAGTGTGTTATACAAACAGTATCAGTGGCCACTCTGGCCTATGCCTCACGAAGAAGAGGAAGGATAACTACATAAATAAATAATGTAACATTGGAATTGGGCAATTTTCTGTCCTTTGGGGGCCACTGGAGAATGCCAATTTGGACCACACAAGACTCCAGGGGTTGTAAAACAGCAAACCACAACATGGTATCCACTTGAAGCCTTTCACCGCAGTGTGGTTGGCCAGGAGCTGAGTAACCAAACCTTTTACAGTGCACAGCACAGTCAATGCAGTCACTGGAAACTCTAACCTCACTCTCCACTTCAGGGTGGGCTCAGGAGTCCTATGGGTCTGTAGCTCCCAAAAGCCAGTCTGAGGACTTGCATCCATCAATGTCAAAGTCTTCAGAAGTTGGCTGTAAAATGCAAGAAAAAAAAGTACAAAAGAGAAAGAAAATAGGATGTGCTTTTTATAAAACTAAATTTATTGATGAACTAAAGCTGTTAAGACTTTTCTCTTTTCTGATTTTTCCTACTTTTTAAAAGTAAAATGTTCTTTCACTTGTGCAATTATAGTGATAATAAGTGGTAAATTGTATATGTTGTTTATATGTTCATATGTTGTTTTGTTGTTTTTTGCTTGACAAACCTATATCAGATTCCAGGCTTATTATTGAAATTTTCCTGGCCCATGAAATTGAACACTGTGGACACTTTTGATTTAAAGTATACAGGAGGGATGAAACCTCTGGAGCCCCTTGGTACACAAAGAGGCTACAAAGCAGAAATCTGAAGAAAGAAAATCCCTGAACCATCTGTAAGGTTTGGAGATTTGGACCACTTGCCCTCGGTTCCTGTTTTTGGATCTCACTTTATCTCTATTGTTGAACTGTGATTCAACAGGGTCAGAGA
Source organism: Homo sapiens (assembly GCF_000001405.40). Taxonomy (NCBI): domain Eukaryota; kingdom Metazoa; phylum Chordata; class Mammalia; order Primates; family Hominidae; genus Homo; species Homo sapiens. The sequence continues at coordinate 78,117,866 of NC_000003.12, forward strand.
AAAACTAAGTTCATTAGTACTAAAAAACACATTTTTTCAAAAAATAGGCAAGAGTTAGAGATACTCAGATTTAACTATTATGCCTCTATAAGATAGAATGCTGTAATTTTCTGATTTCTTTTCACTTTGAAGAATGCCCTTGATATTCATTGCACTCTAATTTTACTGGATACAATTATGATATGGGTGAGAATAGGAGGTCAATGATAAACAAGCTGCCAATTTCTTAGCACATATTATGTGCAAAATAGTTTTTCATGTATTTTCTCCATCTCATAATTACTGTAATTTAAAAAGATAGAGAACTGCCACTTACAGTGATAGTGTAAGATAATATAAATAACAAGGATTTTGGCTTCCAATAAATCTGAACATGAATCCTACCTCTATGGCCTTGGTAAGCTAATTGAATTTTTTCCTTATTCATAAAATGAGGCCAACAATAATAATGCATGAAATTTTTATGAGAAACATACTGTAGAGTAAGTGTGAAATATCCAGATTAATGGCTGGTATATGGGAAGAACTCAATATCTGACTAAATAACTTCATCAAGTTCATGATTATTGTATGTAGCAGAGGTGAGAGCACCAGTCTCTGCCTCACAATCTATGAGCCTAGTACCATAGCAAGAATAACTGGTTTGTTGCACCATCTTAGAAAGTTGGGGCATAAACATGACATTGTTGTATTTTCTCCATTTACCCCTTTAAATATTCTGTCAAATCTCCCTCACTGTCTTCCTTAAAAGTATCTTAGGAAGGATCCACAGCATTAGGCTCACAAATATAAAACTGTATCAACAAATTTAGTGTGGCCAGTTTGAACTACCAATATATCCCTTTTAGATTCTGACCTTGCAGTCTTTCTATTGTCACGTCAATATTTATGAAACTAACTTTTACAGTCATGTTGCCAAAGACCCTCCTAGCTCCAGTCAGCCTGCTGTAGAAGTTTGGAGACATTTGAACAATGCTGCAAGGATGCAGAGTAGGTAGAAGAGTAATTTGGACTATGACTATACCATATTTCTGCTAATTTGGCAGAGTTTCTGTCTAAATTTATGTTATCTCATCTAATACTCAATAATAGGCCTGTATTATCTATTGCTGTGTAACAAATTACTGTAAGTCTGGAGCTTAAAACTAAGCATATTCATTATTTCACAGTTTCTGTGATCAGGAGTCACCTGGATCTGCAGTCTCATCTGAGGCTTGACTGGGGAAGAATATGTTTTTGTTAGCACAGTTCAGCTCATTTATAACTTGAGGGCTTCAGTTTCTTCCTGCCTGTCAGCTGGAGGCTATACTCATTTTCTTGAGGCTGTCTTCAGCTCCTTGTCATATGGCAGCCCAACATAGGCAGCCTCTGATAAGGCCTCTTACTTCTTCAAAGCCAGCTAAGCAGTGAGTAACTCCAGCAAGACAGGTGGTAGAATCTTATGTATCCTGTAATCCCATATATGTGATCACATGCAGCCTGCTAATTTTGCCATAACTAGTTATTTACAAGCAAGTCACACCCAAAAAGAGAGAAATACAAAAAGGTATGAATATCAGGGTGTAGGACTCATGGTGTTGTGCGGGGGCACTCATGAGTCTGTAGGCTACAAGGCAGTATTATTAAAAATATAAGAATCCATTAATCTCTAATGAAAATTGTTAGTTAAAAAGAAGCTTGGAGGTCCACAGTGTCCCCACCAACCTATACACCAAAACTTTTGGGGGATTGGAAAGCACAGAATAGTAGAGAAACTAGTGACTTACAATAAGCCTACATTCTTATTAAATTCTACTTCTGTGCCCATTGAGCTATATTCTCTTTTTATAGGAAATAACTTTCTATCTAAAGGTGCTTTAAATTCTGTAAGTTCTCTCACTAGAAATGGTTCTAATTTGGCAGAATCAACACTGTGCATTTGAGTGATTGGGTAACAGAAGGAGACTGTAAAATTTCTGAGTACTGAATATCCAGTACATATGAATGTTTGATAGCTTTATTTTATTATCTAAAGTACATAGTAATGACTAAAGTTAGGGATAAGGATCAGTTTAAATACATCATGAGGAGGTATGACCTTCTCAATCATATGAGAGTCATAATCACAAACCAAGTAGCATATGTTGTTTATCATAGAATTAAGTGTAGAAGGGTTCTTTCCTTCTGGGAAAATTATTATTTTCCCTGCTAGGGCCTTTTATTCTTTGGCTACTAATATGGCAATTATTCTCCTTTCTGTCTTAAGTACTTTTCCCACTTATCCCCCACTCCCCATAATATTATAAATGCCTACCTTTCGTCAGGTCCATTTTTGTTACTAAGACAATACACCTGTTCTAAAAATAATTGAATATCTGGAGCTTATCTGGATTTAGAAAAGGATTCATGTTTCTGCTTCTTAGAATTTCTTGAAGCGCACTTTAGAAAACTATTTTTTTTTAACAAATACAGTTATGTAAATCAAAACACAAACATAGCTTTTGTTCCTTTAAAGCCTTTTTCATAAATAAAACTGCAAGTTGTAAAATTTGCTTACTTTGGCAGAATAATGCATCAAATTTTCGTTCAAAAATTTGTTCTCCATATTTAATAATGACTTGTCTAATTTCAGATTAATTTTATTTAATAATCTCACTCATTATATATACTTCTAGCTACATATCTTTAGGTTATATGGTTCAAAATCAAGAAGAGTCTTGATACTAAATTCAAACTCTCTTTTCTTACCCAAGAGTTTATATAAAATAATGTGTATAAAATCCTATACAAATGTTACTAACTTATATAACATTTTTTTCAGATTGAGGAAATTCTTCGAAACATCTGAGACCTTGAGAAAATAATACTAACAAAACATAAGAGTGCAATATTTGAAGTTCAAAAAATCAGAGTTCCTTTCCTTTTATAGCATTTAAGCAAAAAGTTTGAGGTGATATGTTTTTAATTTGTTACTTCAAATCTACATTTAGCAACACAGTCCTGACTTCTATGTTCAATATGAATATTTTATTGTCTCATGATGAAAGAACCTAGGAAATAGCCACTTGAAAGAGGACAGAAGCTACATGGACATCTGGTTTAATTTATAGCTCTTGTTCATTACCCTCATACCCAAATCTCAGAACATATGTGGTAAAGGCTTCTGAGAGGAAACCTGGAAACTGAACCTGAATTCTAATATTCTGAAGTTATGAACTAAAGCTGTTTAAAGTTAACAATAACTTTCTGTATTACTATATTTTTAATGCAGTAGAATTCTATGTTAACTTCATGCATAACTGTCTTTTTAATATAGTAGAATACTTTGGACACTGACTACTAAACTGTACCCAACCAGGGATATGGAAAACATTAGTATCCTTACCTGATTTGGTTCCCATCCAAATTCATTTCCCAGCTATCTCTAGGCAGTGAGGGCCAAATGCCAGTGGTGTAGGTAGCCAGGAGTACTCTCAACCACATACTCAATGCAGTATGCTCTGAGGCATACTGACTTCCTATAATGAAGACCTATTTCCTACAGAATTCAGTACTAAATCCCCAACCTAGCTATCTTGTTATATAGAAATTAATTTGATAGTTAGATAAGATAAATACATTATATGAAAGACAGGCATATGCACATGCATACAAATATATAAACATATGTACACATCACCTATATATGTGTGTGTGTGTGTGTGTGTATGTGCACATATATGTGCCAATTTTATTACTGCTGACTGGTGGCCTGCAAAAGAGTATTACTTTTTTTTTTTTTTTTTTTTGAGATGGAATCTTGCTCTTGTCATCCAGGCTGGAGTGCAGTGGCATGATCTCAGCTCACTGCAACCTCTGCCTCATGGGTTCAAGCGATTCTCCTACTTCAGCCTCCTGAGTAGCTGGGATTACAGGTGCCCGCCACCATGCCAGGCTAATTTTTGTACTTTTAGTAGAGACGGGGTTTCGCCATGTTGCCCAGGCTGGTCTTGAACTCCTGACCTCAGGTGGTCTGCCCAAAGTGCTGGGATTACAGGCATGAGCCACTGCAGCTGGCTGAGCATTACATTTTTTAAAAAGCAAAATAAACAGAAAAAAAGTCTCCCTGCTATGGTTTTTAGCTTACATTTTAAATCTACCCTGCACAAACAGGCCTTAATATATGTATATATTTATCCGCATATTATTAAATATATCTTCACTATATATTTCTGTGTAGATGTGTATGTTTGAATGGTGAGATAGACGTGCTTTTAGAATAAATACAATAAATTTTACATACTGAGGAAGAAAATACTATTCTATTTATTCATTTATATTAGTACTTGGAGTGAAACATTAGATATAATCACAGAAGGTTTGAAATCTTATCAGAAAACTCTTCATAATTGAAATGCGAAATCACAAACATCTATGTTGCTGCCACCCAGGACTATATGTCCCTAAATAAGTCCTCTCAACTCAACAACTCCTCTCAACTAACCACTCGGGAGCTTGAAAATTCTTACATGATCCCATCACTCTGGCCACAGTGTATTCATTTAGGGATGGGAACCAGACACAGATTTAACCAATTATTCTATCCCCAGATTTTAGAACTTTAAATTTATAGAGCCAACATCAAGTAGGCTTTTTATTGCCATTTGAATAAAAGTTAGTTTGCAGTGAAAGAAAATGAAGCCAATGTATGCAGAGAAGAAAGAAGACAAAGAATTGTGCCTGGGTCCCATCTTACTCCCAGCTGCATTCCTGCACTTTCGTTTTTTGTGTTTTTTTTTGATGGAGTCTCGCTCTGTCGCCCAGGCTGGAGTGCAGTGGCGCTACCTCAGCTCACTGCAAGCTCCGCCTCCCGGGTTCACACCATTCTCCTGCCTCAGCCTCCCGAGTAGCTGGGACTACAGGCGCCCGCCACCACGCCCAGCTAATTTTTTTGTATTTTTAGTAGAGACGGGGTTTCACCGTGTTAGCCAGGATGGTCTTGATCTCCTGACCTCGTGATCCGCCTGCCTCAGCCTCCCAAAGTACTGGGATTACAGGCGTTAGCCACCACGCCCGGCCCATTCCTGCAGTTTCTAAAGTTTAGCTGTTTAATCCTTTTTTGGATTTCATAAGGAAATAAATTCTTTTTTTCCAAAATAATATTCATCATGCCTTTCTGTCACTTGCAGTCAAATAATCAAAAAATATAGTGATAATCTCTGCATGGAAACAATTTCCTTGCTGTTTTCCCAGTGTAATTTCCTTTTATCCTCTAAATTTAAGCTTCAACAATCATTCATCTATGAAGTCTTCTAAACTGCTAAGTACAAATTACTTGATTTTCTATGTGCCAGGCCCTGTACTGTCCTTATAATTCTTATTACTATTCAGAATGGTAATTGTCTCTAGTTTCTCTTTACCTTGTCCAGGAACATTAACACAGGAACCATATTTATTGTTCCTACCTTTGTTTGTCTAATGCATAGTATGAATCCAAGAACAATAAGAGATAATAAATAATTGTTGAATGCAAGAAACAATAAAGGAAATAATAAAAGATGTTTGATTTCATACCAGTTTCCTCCAATTTACGACTTTTAAAATTTGTCAATGTTTTAACTCAGAGCATAGGTTGTCAAACTGATACATACTGTATTAATCACTACTACTAATAAAGCCAACTTTCCATGTAGGAATAAATGGAACACTAACTTCCCATACAGCTTTTAAAAATACAATATTTTTAATAAATGGTGCAAGTAAAAAATGTTGGTAACAGAATTCTATAGTACAATCTTAGTTTCCATTCTTTAAATTCCCCAAGCAACTCTCTCCAAACAACAATACCTACAGGGTCAAAATTCAGATTTTCCTTGTCTGACAACCAAAACACAATTTGTATCTCTTAAGAGATGTGGAGCTAACTCAAAAATGTCGTATGCTTCGTTTTCCAAGAAAAACAGCACTTTTTGGTGAACTGAAGAAAGCGCACTTGGTTCACATGAGACTAATGGTTGTTCTCAGCACCTGGGAGGAACTGCCCTTTCAGGAAACAGTTTGTCTTGATCAGAAGCTGAGAAAAATACTTGTACTTAAAAACTCTTGCCTCAAATATTTCATATATTTAGAACCTTTTTGGGGGCCTTTGAATAGTGTTTTCAGTATACTTTTGGGGTATTGTTTATGGTGATTCTTGAAAAATATCTTTATAGACAGAGGGTTGTAAATTGTGCTTCTCAGTTGTCCAATCTAATAAACTGTCCCAAGTTGTGCTGTATTTTTAAATGTTGCCGTCCATACATTTATGTGCATAATGATTTGATTTTATTCTTCTTTTGTTAACTATTAATTATCCACAAAATACAATTGACATTCATGTTTAGGTAAAGAATAATGGCCTGTTATGATTTTTAAATGTAATATTCTGCATTTTAAATATAATATTCTCCATTAAACAAGCCATAAACTGTCAATATTTACTCACACTGACCTAAACTGAAAGCCTCTCATTTTAGTTACTCTGGCACAAGATCTTACATATACATTACTTATCTCCTGCCAATTTCCAAAGAAATACTATAAAAATGTTAATACAGTCTACAAATCACATTAATGTTTAGGAAAATCAAATTGTATATATCAATGTAATACAGGCTTGTGTGGCCTATTTGCATGGGATAGATTTAAAATATAACACTAAATCTACAGCAGAAAGGGTTTTTTTTCTGTTTATTTATTTAGCTTTCTTTTCAGTACAATATTGTTTTCTGGTTGCCATTCAGCAACTGACAAAGGATGGTTATTATACCTGAGTAAACGATCTTTCTTTAGGACTTGGTGTAAGATCACTTCTTGGTCAAACTCCATGTTTCCATCATCAGCAGGAGACACATGAGAGTTCCTGGTTCCTTACACTATTGATGGGACATGGCTGCACTCCCCTCTTCGCCTGCACTTTTCTCACTCATAGCTTGTCTTTCCTTTTGTACCAGAGGCCATCTGAACTTGTCATAAAGCCCTCATCTCTGTCCACAACAGTCACCAGAAAAAGACCAACACTCTCAGGTCAACCCTAATCCATTGAATTCTAATCCACATATGACTCTGTTCATTTTTTTTTTTTTTTACTCAAGCTCCCACTCCTCCCCAGTTACTGAAACCTCCTTAGTATGCCTTTTGGAAGTCAAGATGAAATCTTGTAAAATCTCTTCTAAACTAACATTCTTCTCTAAACAATCTCTTATCCTTCATGTTCTAGGGAAACCATCTATGCCCACTGAGGATACCTGATTCCCCTGTAATCCTCCCCAAAGGGCAGCTGTTTCTCTCCAGTGCTTTTTGTACCATGAGGCACAAGGGGTGCAGAAGTGTCCCTTTTACTACCCTTTACAGGCCCCCATTTTGAATTTCGTGTATTAAACTGCACTCCACTTTGATACATAGTCTACTTCACCAACCACACCACACCCCTACATTGTTCTTTGAAAATTACAGATCTTTGGCCCACTGCCACCCATTCCATTGCTACTCCTCTCATAATTCTTAATGAATTCAAATTCATAAAACAGTCCCTTCAAGAGCCTAAACTTTCACTTCCTTAACCCTTTACCCTATAACGTTCTTCACCCTGCCTTAGCCACTCAATCACGTGGTTATTTCTTTGAATAATAATGTGTCATTTCTTTGAACAATAAATAACCACGTGATTGAGTGGCTAAGGCAGGGTGAAGAACGTTATAGGGTAAAGGGTTAAGGAACTGATAGTTTAGGATACTGTAGTTGTAGCTGCTAATAACTACAAGTATTCCAGAATCTCAGTCTCAAACAGCTAACTGACACACCCAATTTTTTCAAATCAACCTCTTACATGTTACACTCCAACTCAGATATTCCTTTTACCCTACCAGACCTTCAATATTTTTATACTAGCAACTTTTCACTATCTTTATCTCCATCTTATTTTCTCCCTCCTATCTTTAATCAGATGGCCAATCATAATTATTCCTTTGAATACACTCTCAATTTTTTTCCCTTTTCTCTTTTTTTATATTTGTGTGGCTAAGCCATAGCCCTGACTAAATCCAGCGCTCCATATTACTACATTCCTGAACTTATGGTGGTGAACATACTAAAGTAAAACAAAACCAAACATTGAAAAATCAAAAATTCAAAGTGTGACTAAATCATGAAGAATAGATGTAGTTCAAATGTATAGTCACTGACCTTCGATACTTCCAGAAAATGATAGGAGTCTATTCCCTCTCCTCCTCTGCTAGCTAACCATTTTAGAGATTCCCTAGTCAAGCTTCCAACAATGCTCCATTGCCCCTTTTGGTTGTTGACCTTGTGTATTAGTCTGAGTTCTCCAGAGAAACAGAACCAATAGAAATGTATATTGCCTTACATAATTATAGAGTCTGAGAAGGTCAAGGTCTGTAGTTAGTGAGCTAGAGACCCAGAAGAGTTGATGGTATAGCTCCAGCCCTTGTCTGAAGGCCTGAGAACAAGAACATCCACCAATGGTGTAAGTTCCATTTCAAGTTCAAGTCTAAGGGCAGGAGAAGACTAATGTCTCAACTTGAAGACAATGAGACAGAGAGAGAGAATTCTTTCTTTCTCAGCCTTTTATTCTATTCAAGTCTTCAACAGATGGATGAGCCCACCCACATTGAGAAAGGCGAGTTGCTTTACTCAATCTACTAATTTAAATGTTAATCCTATGCAGAAGCACCCTTACAATCACAGGCAGAAATAATGTATAAGCAAATATCTTGGCACCTTGAGGTCCTCAAGTTGACACATAACATGAACCATCACACCTTGTTTTCTTCGTTGAGAAAACAGAGTGAATCAGAAGAGAACACTTATAAACCTCCCCCACAGCATGTATCCACCAACCAGCCTTCGTGCCACAATATTCTGCCTTTACTCCTGTCACACTTGGATGCTACAAGCTAAGGCCAACCCTCAGAATTGTATAATAAATGGTATCACAATTTATTGAGTGATTGCACAGTAAATTGCTTTGGCAATTTTCTCTATTTCCTTCAGTCATGCCATTTTTATCTTTATAGTGGATCATTCCCATCCCAATTTAGACATAAACTTATTTCTCTTTTAATGCAATAAAACAAAATGAAACAAAAAACTTTTAACCCCATTTCCACGCCTCTATTTGAGATTTTGCCTCATTTCTTATGTAAGATAAAAGTTGTTTTTAACCTCTGATTTATTTGCTCTCATTTCTCTTAAATCTAATCTAATAAGTTTTTTGCCCCTAATACCCCATTGAATATTCTTTATATTCTTTTTTTTTTTTTTTTTTTTTTTTTTTGAGACGGAGTCTCGTTCTGTCACCTAGGCTGGAGTGCAATGGCGCTATCTCAGCTCACTGCAACCTCCACCTCCTGGGTTCAAGTGATTCTCCTGCCTCAGCCTCTTGAGTAGCTGGGACTACAGGTGTGTGCCACCACACCTGGCTAATTTTTTGTGTTTTTAGTAGAGAGGGGATTTTACCGTGTTAACCAGGATGGCCTCGATCTCCTGACCTCGTGATCCGCCACCTCGGCCTCCCAAAGTGCTGGGATTACAGGTGTGAGCCACCGTGCCCGGCCCTGAATATTCTTTCTATAGCAAATCCAATAGCCAGTTTTCAGTCCTGGCCTAGTAGTTCCATTTTACATGATTTGTCACTTTGTTCTTCCTGAAATATTTGTTCTTCTCATCTTCTAGGGTATCCTACCAGCCTAGCTTTCCTTCTACCTTGCTTGTCTTTCCTTCTCAGCCTCACTTGCTGGTACTTTCTCATGCCCCTAAATGTTAAATATAGGAGAACTCCAGGGTTCCATCCTTGAACTTCTTCTTTGTTCTATCTCCACTCATTCTCTGAATTAACTCAACTGATTTTATTATTTCAAATAGCAACTACATGTTGATAATTCCAAATTCATTTTTAACCTAAAGTTTATGTATCAAAGGACTACTTGACATCCCACTTGAATGTTTAAGAGCATCTGCAACTTAATATACTGAGAATTGAGCTTTGCTATCTTACCCTAATCTTTTCCTTTTTCAATTTTCCTTAATTAATGGCAACATTTTTCTTTCAGGTGCTCAGGGTACAAATCTTAGGGTCACCTTTATTCTCCTCTTTCATTCATTCCTTTTATATTCAGAGGATGGCTATGTCTCTACTCCTTCCCTTCGCCATTCCCTCCAACTTCCCATGCCCCAAACATCAGTATCTCTTGCCCAAATTTTAGCAAAAGCATCCAAAATTATCTCCTTTCACAATAGTCATAATACAACTTGCTCAAAATACTTTATTAACTTTCCAATTCACTCAGAGTAAAAAAAAAAAAAAATTTATCATTTCACACTGCTATATAGAACTACCTGAAACTGGGTAATTTATGAAAAGAAAAAAGAGGTTTAACTGAGTACAGTTCCACAGGCTTAACAGGAAGTATGACCGGCAGGACTCAGAAAACTTACAATCATGGCGGATGGCAAAAGGGAAGCAAGAAACTTCTTCACATGGTGGAAGGAGGTTGGGGGAGGGAAATGCCACACATTTTTAGACCATCAAATCTCGTGAGAACTCACTCACTATCATGAGAAGAGCATGAGGGAAATCTGCTCTTCCATGATCCAATCATCTCCCACCAGGTACCTCCCCCAACATTGGGAACACAATTTAACATGAGACTTGGGTGGGGACACAGAGATAAGCAATTATCAATCATCATCTGGAAGGCCCTATGTGATCCATCTCCACCATCCACCACTCCTCATTCATCTCACTACAGCAGCTCTGGCCTTCTTGTCTTAAACTTGCTGGACTCTCTTTTTTATCTAGACTATCACTTTTTCTGTTTCCTTCTGGGCTTCTCCAGATAGCTACATGGCTATTTCTCTGTGATCCATCAGATCTCTATTCAAAGATTACCTTTAAATGTGTCTTATTCTAAACATTCCATTTAATATTTTAGTACTCTTTTCCCCATCAAATTCTTCTTGTCTACTTAAATTCTCTCCAAAACACACATCACTGTGTAACACAGTATATGTATATTCTTATTGGTTGTGCTTTTTGTCTGTCTTCCTCACCAGCAATAAAGGCTCCAGGAGGGCAGTGACTTTGTGTTTTGTTGGCTGTGTTATCCCTACCACCTAGAAACACAATGTAGACACTCAGAAGCTAGCTGATGAATGATTTGTTGAGTGAGAGAGGGAATAGCAAATGATAAAATAGTACCTGATTTTTGTTTGAGGAAGCCACTGAAAAGAAAAGCAAGAGACCCATTTACTCTATTTCATCTTCCATATATAAACATATGACTCAAACAGCTTAGGAAGCTCCTTCAGCTCTAAACCTCCATAAATCAGTGTTTTAAAAATATTTATGAGTAAAATAATTACTGGTTGCTAAAAAAACATTTCCTTGACCTGTCTGATATGGTCTGGCTTTGTGTCCCTACCCAAATCTCATCTTGAATTGTAGTCAGAATTGTAATACCCATGTGCTGGGGAGGAGACTTCATGGAAGGTGATTAGATTATGGGGGTGTTTCCCCCATGATGTTTTCATGATAGTGAGTGAGTTCTCATGAGATCTGATGGTTTTATAAGGGGCTTTTCTCTCCTTTGCTTGGCACTTCTCCTTCCTGCCACCCTTTGTAGAAGGACATGTTTGCTTCCCCTTCTGCCATAATTGTAAGTTTCCTGAGGCCTCCCCAGCCTTGCAGAACTATAAGCCAATTAAACCCCTTTTGTTTTACTCAGTCTCAGGTATGTCCTTATAGTAATGTAAGAATAGACTAATACACTGTCTCAGAGATTCTGGCTTAGTAGATTTGTGAAAGAGCCAGTGCATTTACATTTTTAACATGTGCTTCATTGATTTTGATACAGTTTTTTGAGAAGCTGCTGTAGGTTCACTCAGAAGTGATTCAAAATGAGTGACTTATGTAAATTCAGAGTGGGGAGAACATTCTTTATTGTTGTTAACATACTGGGTTAAAGAAAATGTGTCTGGCATAAATTTCTTGTGTGCATTATTTTCAGGAGAGAGTTTAAAGGAGAACAGCAATTTGCAAAACATACCACAAAAACTCAGTATGTATTCATCCTCAGGGGATATGAAGACTTGGCCTTTAAAAGTAAGATCTATGCCAAAGCATTCATAGAAAAGCAATTGTTTCTTTAAAACATTTATTTATGAGCACTATGAAAAACTTGAGTTCATTGGCTAAAAAAAAAGGTGCTTGGTTCCTGGTTCCTATGAAGAGCTAATACTAGTCAGATGTACAGCATTCCATTCTTAGAGAATACTTTTATTATTTGGATCAAAATAGAACTGGGCCCATGATACTCTTTACCATAATTGTGACACTCAGTTCTTCTCATTGCTACCTGGTCTTCTGTAGACTTCTGCCTTTACCAAAGGTATTTTTTTGTGTGCTTCATTCTGAGTTAATCACCTAACTCAGATAGAAGGCATTGTAATAGATGTTGTCTCATCAGCATTCAGAACTGTTCTCTAGCTTGAAGAGAAATAGAGTAAAGAAAAGACTTCTTAATTACACTCCGCATTCCCACTCATTAATTGACCTTCGTTCAATTAACCATAAATCAACTAATGTGGTGTATGTTACAGATAAATTAACAAATGTCCACATAACACAGTATGTCTAACAAGAGAAATTTACCCATTTGTAATTAGTTTTGTTTCCCACCAGAATTTGAGGGTTAGCTGCTATCAATCTTATAAGAAAAAAAGCAGACTTATTTTCCTTTTTTTCTTTATAAATGTGTGAGTCCAAATGAGAACATCTCTTCCCCCGAAAATCTAAAATCAACATACGGTTCTCCAATGGTTCTCTTTTCTTAGTCTACATTATTTCAAATATAAGAATAAAAGGGATTAAAGATAGACTGAGAGGGGCCTGGCACTACTTTGTTTCTGTGGCCGAAGCAGCTCTGACATTCTAAAATTACTAGCTTTAGATAGGGTGTAGCAGAAGGCAAGATGAAACGTCAACCGATTTAATATTCTCCTTTTATTTAAAGAATAGCTTTTGGAACTCAGTATCAAGGGAGTCTGTTTTAAGACTAAAAGTATTTTAAAGGACAAGAGTCTCAGTCTATTGAGCAAGAATGAAAGTGTTAGTTAGCCAATTCATTTATGTAAAATAGTTTTTAAAATAACTTTTTTGCTGTCTCTCAGACTTCAAACTCATATAGGATAAGAGCTAGGGAAGTGAAAGTCAGTGGGCAGAGTAAACTTGACCCTGCTGAGGTTCTTCGTGCAGATGCCTCTGCCCTGTTTTTGCTGCCCAGTCTTGGAGATAAGGTAGACTGAAGACAGAGAGGCCAGTGAACTATTTACTGTTGCTTTGCAGAGATAGAAAACCATCAGAGACCCACATCATTTTTTAAAAATTAGTAAATCAAGACTTTTTTGTGACTACTGGGATCAATCTATTTTTAAGTGAGATAATAATATCATCATTATGTAAGAAATATCCTTATATATTTAGACATACATTCTGAACTATTTGGTGATGAAAAAACATGTTAGCTTATATAACTTAAAACATTTTAGCTAAAAAGTGTTAGAAAAAAGTGACAAAATGTGAATCAATGTTAATGTAGGTATAAGGAGGTCTATTATACTTAATTCCTTCCTTAATATATTAATAGAAAATTCGCTGTTAAAAGCATGAAAGAAGGTGATTCTGTGTCTTTGCTATTGTGAATAGTGCTGCAATGAACACACGCATGAATGTGTCTTTATGAGAGAAGAATTTATATTCCTTGGTAGACTGGATAAAGAAAATGTGGTACTTACACACCATGGAATACGGTGCAGCCATAAAAAAAGAGTGAGATCATGTTCTTTGTAGGAACATGGATGGAGCTGGAGGCCATCATCCTTAGCAAACTAGTGCAGGAACAGAAAACAAAATATGGCTTGTTCTCACTTACAAGTGGGAGCCAAATGGTGAGAACACATGGACACAAAGAGGGGAACAACAGACACTGTGGCCTACCTGAAGGCAAACAGTGGAAATAGGGAGAGGAGAAGCAAAAATAGCTAATGGGTTCTAGGCTTAATACCTCGGTGATGAAATCATCTGTACAACAAACCCCTGTGACACAAGTTTACCTCTAGAACAAACCTGCACATGTACCCTGAACCTAAAATGAAAGTTTAATTGTTAAAAAAGCATGAAAAAGAACACAATATAAGTCAGCAATACTTAGATCACAGTTAGTTCTTCTTTATAACAGTATTTTACTCCATGTAAGCATTCTTGTATGTACCTTGTCATTCTGCAAAACTCATTTGCTTTCAGATAATGATTTGGTGCCCTAAGTTCTACAATAAGAAAACACTTTTGTTTTTAGCAAATGCTGCCTTTTTTTATATATTAGTTCTTAGTCATCCAAGTTTTACCTACTCTCAGTGTTTTGGAAGGTCAGTTTTTACCAGAAAAAAACAAATATTATTCCTTGATTGTTGACACATTTTTATTTTCTCCCATCTCTATCTCATTGCAAAAATATCTAATCTGTTATACTAATTTATCTAATGTCTTGAACCCTAATATAAATGAACATAAGAAAATATAATATTTTATGTAAAATATGTAACTTATTGATAGAGCAATGTGAAACTAATAGTATTATTTTGTGATTAAAAACATACATGGAAGAGTAGAAATGGTGCAGGCTGTTGAATTAGAAATAAAACTCATTTATATAGCGATATTTTTAAAGAATGTCCACAATCATATTCATCCAAATGCCTAACTTCTCAATGTTGCATAGGTCAGTTTCCAGATATTAAAAAATTTCACAATTGTTTTCCAGGGTTGAAATTACAAGGGAAAAATGACTAGGTCAATTTAATTACAAAAATTCCTGTGTACATCTCCATGTATTTGGATTCATAATGTAAGTAACGCTCATGAGCATTAAACAAAATTAATAGACATTGTCTCTTCAATGTGACTTAAAGTGAAAGCCATATTTTATTCTCTTACCCAGACTTCATCATATATATTTTTGGAAAGGGAATAACAGAAATTTATTAGGGATAAGACCTCCAAAATAATTCAGAATTGTATTCATCAGATGCTTCTAGATTGGAGCTTTCATCACAGGTCTGAAAAGGAGGTGAGCCGTTCAGCAACAAATACTATTTATAGATTGGTCGAGGCTCAGTGACAGTAAGTTTGATTGAGGATTAGATGTCATTAAAGTCTCTGAGCTACATCTTGAAAAGGGGAAGAACTTGCCCGTAGTAAACTGATAACCTTAAATAGTTTATAGTTGAATGCAAAAAATTAAATGTAAAGAAAAACCCTAACATTTCAAAGGTTTTTTTCTATAAACATTCCCAAAATATGCCAAAACATCATGAAACTCTATTTTTTCCTCCACAGAGAAGGAAAATCCCTGCCATTACAGATAAAATCATCTCAATTCACCATCCATTTCTCCAAAAAATTTTCTAAAACATAAGACAATTATATCCCAAACATTTTAATGTAAATATTAGTTTTCCTGGAGCAAAATAAGCAGTGGTTCTTTAAAAAGTAATACATGAAAATTCTAATGCATGCTTTTAAAATATTACCATAAATGATCTTAAAAGCAAATAGACTGAAAATTTCCACTCACCCATTTATATCCATGCAAATATATCCTGGCCATAATAAGTACTTGAAGTTTTTTTTTTTTATCTAATCTTTTTATTTCTATAAATAATTAAGGTTACAATTGGGAGATGAATGGAAATGAGCAAATCTTTATTCCAAACGTGGATTATTGAACATTTCTAAGTATTGCTGTAATTGACTATAATGGTGCTGCTCACAGTTAACACTTTGCCACCATTTCCATGCTTCGAGAGGTTTATAACTCATTCATAAACATTTGCTCTATATTGAACTGCATATTGAAGATTTCAGCCTTTGAGAAATTGCTTTTGTGAAGTTGAAAAAAGAAAAGTCAGACTAGACTTCTCTGTTACAACATTATATTTGTAAAGTAACAAGCATTTTTGGATTAAAACATTTTTCAATTTCATGATAACTTTTTAAAGCAAAATTTGGCTGTGACAATACTCCAACAGAAAAAAAAAAAAGATTTAAACTCAAAAATTACTTTTTTTTTTCTTTTATTTAAGACAGAGTCTTGCACTGTCGCACAGGCTGGAGTGCAGCGAGGTGATCTTGACTCACTGCAACCTCCACCTCCTGGACTCCAGTGATCCTCCTGCCTCAGCCTTCCAAGTAGTTGGCATTACAGGCATGTGCCACCACATCTGGCTAATTTTTGTATTTTTTGCAAAGATGAGGTTTCTCCATGTTGGCCAGGCTGGTCTCCAACTCCTGGTCTCAAGTGATCCGCCTGCCTCGGCTTCCCAAAGTGCTGGGATTATAGGTGTGAACCACTGTGCCCAGCGAAAAATTACTTTGTTTTTTAATGGTCTCATGACAGTTCTCTGTACCACTTTGGTAAAGAGTATGAGTATTTATAATTTAAAGGCACGGTATACCTACAGCCATTTGAGACTTTCAGGTAACTTGTATTTAATTTACCAAAAGAACGTTTCTTGTTAATTGCATGTTGCTACCCATGCATATATTCATTTGACAAACATCTAGTATATCTTCAACATTGGTGATTGATATGGTTTGGCTGTGTCCCCACTTAAATGTCATCTTGAATTGTAATCCCCATAATACCTACATGTTTTTTGGGGGACCCAGTAGGAGGTAATTGAATCATAGGGGCAGATTCCCCCATGCTGTTCTCGTGACAGTGAGTTCTCACGCGATCTGATGGTTTTATAAGTGCCTGGCATTTCCCCTGCTGGCACCCATTGTCTCTCCTGCTGCCCTGTGAAGAGGTGCCATCCACCATGATTTTAAGTTTCCTGAGGTCTCCCTAGCCATGTGGAACTGTAAATCAATTAAACCTTTTTTCTTTATAAATTACCCAGTCTTAGGTATTTCTTCACAGTAGCATGAGAACAGACTAATGGAGTAAAAAAGTTGAATAAAACACAATCTTTGTGGATGAAAGAGATAGGTGAACTAATATTTATATAATAAACATTAAGCCTGGTATATCTAAGTACCTCAGTAAATTCCTGTTAAACTTATGTGTATGTGTGTGTCTTTATTGATTGTACAAATACAACACACATAAGATAATATGGTAGAACACAGGAGGAGTTGTTAAGGTCTGATTCAAATATCTAAACATTGAATAACTTCAAAGTTCTGCAAAAACTTGTGTAAAGTTTAGATATTTTGAATTATCTATATTTATAGACAATTAGTAGTTTTTAATATACTTTCTTGGGTTAACCTATAAATCAGAGGTGGCAAAATCAAATGTCCACAGGAATTCGATAGGTAACAGAAATGTGTGATCCTAAACCAGAAAGAGCCTGGGGCTGGGGGATATTGGTGAGGAGTTCCTGAATAAACCTCGAAGTTACCAGTTCCACTGACAGATTAACATTCTAAATTTGTAAATTTATAAAGCGCCAGGCCTGCCAACCAAACATGTTTGGTTCCACATCTGTATTTGGTCCAGCTGCTTGAGCTGTTAAATACAACCCAGTTTGTTTTCTCAATATTTTACCTTAAGAATACTATCCTCAATTTTAGTCCTGATTCTTTTTTTGCCACTAGTTGCTATCTGTAATTTATTTATACAGAACTTTATCCATATGCCAGTTTAAGCTGAAAATTGATTTTGTATGTAATTGCTGAAGGAGGTAAAAGGTGATGGTAAAAAAGGTGAAGATTTAACAGACACACAGACATGACTTCATAAACAATAATAATTTATTGAAGCATTCATGAGTGATGGTTCAGAAACTGAAGTTAATTATATCACTCAATTCCACCAGATTCTAGGACCTGAATAAAATTAACCATACTCAAAAGAAACTGGTAGACAACAACAAGAATGGTGCCATTTATGGGTCACCTAATATGGACTCAGGCACTTGTGTCAAGTTTTTTAAAATTGTGGCAAAATAAACATAACAGAGAATGAACCATCTCAATCGTCTTTAAGTGTATAGTTCAGTAATGTGAAACATATCTACACTGCTGTGTATCCAGTCTCCAAAGCTCTTTTCATCTTGTGAAACTGACACTCTGTACCCATTAAATAACTCCCTACTTTACCCAACTCCAGCCTCTAGCAATCATCATTCTACCTTCTCTAGCTATGTATCTGGCTACTATAGGGGCCTCATATAAGCAGAATCATAGAGTATTTGTCATTTATGTGATTAACATAATGTCCTAAGTTTCCTGCATGTTGTCACTCACCAGAATTCCCTTTATTTTTAAGGCTGAATAATATTCCCTGTATGTATACATTACATTTTGTTTATACATTCATCCATCAATGAACACATGGGTTGCTTTCATCTTTTAGCTTTTGTCAGTACTACTATGAACACGGGTGTGTACATATCTCTTTTATACCCTGCTTTCAATTTTGGGGGTATATACCTGAAAGTATAATTGCTGGATCATATGGCAATTCTATTTTTAATTTTTCCCACAATGGCTGCACTGTTTTACATTCCTGCCAATTTAATTTTAAAACAATTCTAAAAGTCTGTCAACTTCTGAGAGCCACGAGCTTTCGGGCATTTCACAGAGGGTCCTCAAGTCTCAGTTTCCTCACCTATGAATGAGAATTGTTACCTCATAGTGCTTCTAGGAGTGGACTGAATGAGATTTTCCTTTAAAGGTATTTATGCTTGTTGCATAGTAAGCACTTAATAATTAATTCCTGAACAGACACATTAGGCTCTTTGATTTGTTTAAGTGTTTATTCTTGTAAAATCTTTCTTTAGTTGGCTAATATGAATTATTTTGTGTTAATTCTAGTTATACTCTCTGAAATTAACATCCTCCTTCTGTTGTTCTGTATCCATTGTGGGCTTCTGTCATGCTGGTCTTGTTACCGGAGTTGAATCCATACGTGTCTGCAGCAACCTCAATTCTTGTCTTCTCAGAAAAGGAAGGGCATGAGGCAGCAGGAGAAACCGAGGCAAGTTTCAGAGCCAGGTTGACAGTTTATTAAAAAGTTTACAGCAGGAATGAAAGGAAGTAAAGTATACTTGGAAGAGCGCCAAGTCGGGATTTGAGAGCATCAATTGCCCCGTTTGAACTTTGACTTAGGGTTTTATACATTGGCATACTTCCAGGGTCTGGCATCCCTTCTCCTCTGATTCTTCCCTTGGGGTGGGCTGTCCGCATGTGCAGTGTCCTGCTAGCACTTGGGAAGGGCCGCATGCCCAGTGTGTTTACTGGAGTTGTATGCATGCTCACTTGAGGTATTCTTCCCTTACCAGTCAAATCTGCCTAGTAGGTCACATACCAATTAAACTCCGCCATTTTGCCTCTTAATGTGCACATTTGAGCCCATTCACTCAATTCCTGAAATCTTACCGGGAAGCTGCTGATCACCAGTTTTGGGATTTTTTCTATTTATTGAGAGAGTGCCTTCTCCTGGTGCTGACTGTGACCAACTATTTTAGGAGACTGTTTAACAATTGCCTGACTATCTCTGATGGTCATCGGAAAGTCCCGGTAGAAGTGAGGGGAAGTGCTCTCCTGTCCTGCTCATGCCTGACTAGCTACCTACTGCAACAGTCTGAGCTCTAATTGCTCCATCATAGTGACCAAGGAATTACCATTCTTTTCTTGAAATTTTAAACATTGCCTTGCACATATTGACTATTAGTAGAAGTTATCCCTCCTTGCATCCCAACAATGGCCATCCTGTTTCTAAGGTAACAAGTACTGTTTCAATAGGCTTTACATGAATAGTCACTAGGGATATTATGTTGTACTTTGGACTTTGGAAGAGTGCCAGTGATTTTGAGGTTCATACTTTAGATGGTTAAAGGAACAAAGGAGGAGAAACAAGATGTTTGTCCACCTTCCATCTCAGGTGTAATATCTGCCCATCCTGACCTGAATTAGAAGCAGGACTGGAAATTATTAAGGCAGTGTGGAGAAGCATTTGGGAGTTTTGTAAGGTTATCCCCCTCAGTCCCAAAGCCAATGGCCATGTTTTAGCAACATTGCTTATACCTTAGAGAAATAAATGCAAATAATACATTTAGTTGAATCTTCTCAACAAATGGAACCATGTGTTAATCTGTAGACCTTATTTTAATCCATTCATGTATTTTGAGCCTAGTCAATTTTAAAACTTGTCCAATGACAGTTATTAAATAACAATGTAATTATGTGCATCAAAGAATATAAAATTATTTATTTACAATGATATTTAACTTTTCTCATAAAAATGTTTTTTGGGAATATACATTTATTGGTCTATTTGTAAGCTATGAGAACAAAGTATAAAATATGTGAATTGTAAACTCCTCCTAGAGAAGAGTGTTTGAAACCACTACTGGATTAATTCCTTTAACCATCTAAAGTATGAACCTCAAAATCACTGGCACTCTTCCAAAGTCCAAAGTACAACATAAAATCCCCCTGACATGGGCGGTTCCATCAAATAAACGGGTTATTGCTAATATGGAGAAGACTGCTGAGATCTATTTTAACCAAGAAACTGTTGAACATGAATGAAAAGCAGGATGGAAAGCCACCCTTCCTGTCAATGCCACTCAGGACAGACCAGGAAAGTTCAAGGATAAGCAGAGGGATGCAGCTAATTTTTAGTAGAAGACAGAGGTTTCATGAGAGAGGAGAAAGGAGACTACAGTGCTGCACAAACAAAGCTTTTAAAGTTATTTTTTGAGGTTAATATATATACAAAATAAGCAACAAATTCTTTGTAAAATGCACATTGGCTTCTCTTTATACACAAATTCAAAAGACAAGAAGACTCTTGAAATTCTGCAATAAAAATTACGAATGACAATAAAAATAGACAAAAGATTTAAGCAAACACTTCAGAAAGGAAGATGCATAAGTGGCCAATGAACACGTGAAAAAGTGCCCAACATCATTAATCATGAGGGAAATGCAAATTAAACTACAGTGAAATGTCACTATGTATGCATTAGAATAGTTAAGATGAAAAAAAAAAAGATTGGCAATGCCAAAATATTGGTGAGGATGTGATACAACCAGGTCCATTGCTGTTAGAGATGGAAAATGATAGAACCATTGTTTATTTTATGTCTTTCATTTAAAATGACATCTTTCAAATATGGAAAAATTGAGAGAGATCTGATAAACATAATGTCCAATATAAGCATGAGTAGAAATAATATAGGTTAGTATAAAGAAATGTGGTGAATTACATATAATTAGTTTTATTTTAAAATATCTAGTTCAATGCTACAGTTGAAATGACTCCTTCTAGTTCAGATGAGAGGTTCTACTCAAACTAGATGTAAAAGCAATGTGAGCTTAACTCCTCTGATAAAGCAAAATTGATGTCATCAAGTATTATGTGGCTCTATTTATCTCCGTGGAATGACTCATATTTTAAAATATTTCCTTTACTGACCTCAGTAAGGAACAGTTGATCATTTTCTCCTTCATCACTCACTTTAAAGAGGGCCTTCTGGGTACTCTCCTGAGTTGCTAGTGCTTGATAGTCTGAGAAAACAGCAAAAAGACATACTGATATCCAGTTTTTCCGTAAGTATATAGCCTTAAGTAGCCAATTAACTGAAATCACCACTACTGGATTAATTTCTTACGCTTAAGGTATTTTCTCCAAAGAGAGCTTGTTCAAATAAATATATATTTCAAGATATGAAAGAAACATGAAATAATTAAAAAGTCTTAAGTGGCAAGTTTCACATCGAAAGAAGACTTGGATATTTTCTATATTCTCCTTGGAGATAGGGAAGAATACACTGACAAAAATTTGAAAGAAACATCTTATGCTCTCATTGCTGGATGGAAAAAGAACCATAAAACTAATATTTTCATATCCTTAAGAAAAAGGAAAAGAAAAGTGGGTTAACAAGAGAATTAGTATTTATCTGTCACGAACTCCAAATAAAGGATTTTATATACTTTCTAATTGATGTACTATCTCATTTCTGTATCCACAGCATTTCTAAGAAAAACTTATGGTCCTCAATATACAGAAAAAGAATTTGTACCTTCTAAATTCATTTGCTTACTAAGGCAAGAATTGGCAGAATTCTGATTTCTGTTATTTCTACTACATAAGCTCCTCCAATGTCTATATCTTCTAGCTGTATCCAGGAAACTCAAATCTTAGTTGTGAGAACTGGTTAACTATAGAAAATACACTTGTGGTTTCTGAAAAGACTATAAATGTAATCTGAGATTCTATTTCATAAAAGCAAGAAAAGGAAAGCAAATAAAACAAAAAGACAGACAACTGAGAATAATAGTGGAAAAATGTACTGTTGGACCATTGTCAGATCAGGAGATTATATTCTATCATATTTTTTCTTTATGATTTATATATATATAAATTAAATATATATGTGATATTAAAACATATCTCAGTAGTTTGGAGATAATTTTCTAAAGAATGAAAGAATTATGGTCTCTGGTATAGCTTCAACACACTTAACTGAACAGACTCTTACATTTGGTATATAAACCTGTGTTATCATCTAGTGGTAAAGTGTTAGAAATACAGACACAGACTCCCTGAATCCCCAGAAGAAGCTAATTCATGAATCCAGAAAATACAGCATATCATACAAACAATGTGGTCTAATTGCATTCAGCTTGGTTCTCAAATATATACAGATAAAGTTGGATCACAGTGGAGCTTGATAAAAGCTTAAGTCTGTGCATTTAATGTTCCGCGGAGGTGCGAATAATGCTACCTTCAGAGCTGGGTGGGAAAAGTTTTATTACTTTTATTTAAATTGTAAACAATAGTTAAGAAATAGCTTTCCTGATTAAGCACTGGAAAACCACAAAGCCTATGAAATATTGATGCCAAAAAACATGCCCAAAAATGAAAGTGGGAAATTAAAAATAATGGACTATTACTTAGATACAAGTGCTATTCTTTCCTAAGAAGAGGAAAACACTGCCAACATGGTATAATAGACTTGGTCTTTCTCCTGGTATTTCCCTAAAATTCTGATGAGAAGGAACACTGATAAGATGCAAAAATATCAGAAGGTACACTGTGGCACATAAGTCCATGAATGCAGTTTCTTTTGGATCAGGAATGAATATAAGAGACTAAGATAGGAAATGGGTACATTATCAATCCTTCCCACACACATTCTTTCAGCACCTGTCATATCAGTCTCTCTATAAGTTACAAGAGCTAAAGCAAATAAGTAAAGATCTAATGGGGGAAGAATTGACATACAATTACAATCCAAAATAAATGGCATGATAAAGACCTGCACAACGTCTGTGAGCAACAAAGAAAGAGTAAAAAACTGAAATTGGGAGCAAAGAGAAGCTTATGAAAGAGGTACTAATTGAACTTGGCATTGAATTATGAGTAAGGACTTAACAGCTATCTGAGATGGAGAAGATCAGAGGCCTAGAAACATTAAAAAAGCTGCTCTGCTTGAAAAACAGTAAGAAGCTTGAAGACGGCAAGCTCATGCGTGATGTTGCAGTAGAAAATCCTGGGCAGTCAGAGAGTCATAGGTGATGTGCAATAGGTGGAATGTGGAAATGACTAACAGAGAAGATATTTAGGGAGCAAGAAGTCCATCTAAAACACAAGCTATTGACTTATTGTACGGTTTGTTTTGATATTTTTGTAATTTTATTTGTCATCAATTTAAAGGGACAAACTTTTAGAAGTTAAACTCCTTGGAAACATTTTGTCTATTTTGGTCAGTGCTTAATTCCTCAATGCTTAGAAAAGTACCTGGCACATAGCAGCAGCTGAATGAATATGTAAATATTTGTAAATGAAAACTTAAAAACATTCAGTAAATATTTATTGAGCCCTTGATGTGTGCTGGCACTGTAACATATATTAGGCATGTTGACCTTTTGCCCAAGAAGATTAAGTTAAAGATAAATTATAACTGGTGACAAACATGCTTTCTCAAATGCCTGGGAAATCTACCAGAAGGGCCCTATTCAATATAGTAGCCAATAACCACATGAGGCTCTTGATCACTTGAAATGTGTCTATTCCAATTTGAGACGTGCCGTAAGTATAAAAGTCACACAAGATTTTGAAAGCTTGGTGCAAACAAAGAGAATAAAAATATCTCAGCAAACTATTTTGTATTGATTGCATGTGGAAATGATAATATTAAATGTACTGTCTTAAATAAAATATCTCATTAAAAGTAATTTACCCCTTTCTTTTTACTATATATGTGGTTGCTAAAAAAATGTAAAATTACATACATACCTTGCTTTATATTTCTACCAGACAGTGCTCTGCTAAAAATCAAGGATTGAACTATTATTCTCAAAGTATGGGTTGAAAAGCCTCTTTACATTTAATTTTCAGACTATATTAATTTTGAATGCTGAGGCTACAGATGAATTTGCTAAACAATTTGAGTGACTTAAGTGAGTTGTACAATTAAGAACAACTGTACTCAATTCTATAGGAAGTAACCTAATTCAATACTTGATGATTCAGGCACAGATATAGAGAACCAATCTTGAGCCTTCACAAAGCTTAAGATTTCTTGCTGACTGGAGGGAAAGTAAGAAACTTTCAATAGCTTTTTCTGCAGGTATTCAGATTTGACCTAGTGCCCCAGTTTATAAATGGAATCAATTTCTTTGTGAAGTTCCACTACTTTCTGGATGCAGGAAAATAGCGCAAGCGCTGAAATGGCAGAATTGGAGAATATGATCTACGCTGCTAGACCTCTCTGTCAGAGCTGTATGATTGTGACCCCGTGTGTGCTTCCTGACGGAAAATGTTTTCCCCTGGGCCAACTCTGCTGCCAGAAATTTCAGAATACTATTTGAGGTGTGTGCATTCATGTGAAATAGCAGTATTGTGAAAATTCAACTTGGAAATTCTATGCATTATGGAACCAGTAATCAAATAGATGAGGAAGAAATGGGGATGCTGGAGCATGGCTAACAGCAGGGTTGGCTGGACAATGTTATTCTGGTCTAGAAAAGTTATGAAGGAGCTTTATCTAGGATGAACAAATAACTGTTTAAAGAGGGTGTAGACTCACTCAAGGCATTTGCAAGAGAGAAGGAATCAGAAATCCAACAAATTGCAATGTAACATGAGAAAAAATATTGGTAGATGATCTAGTTCTTAAAACTCTTCCTGTCAGTGCAAAAATTGAGTTCACACATGGTCAACATTCAATCTGAATTTCAGGCAGGAAATTCACTGTTGGTTCACTGTAGTTATTAATGGTATTTGCCAAATAGTCCCAGTTCTCTCCACTTCCTGACACATAATAGGATTTTATTTCCTGGCAATCTTGTGGTTTGATGGAAACATGTGATTAACTGTATCCAACAATTTGTGTGTATTAGTCCCTTTTGAGAGAGAGCATTTTATTATCAATTCAAGCTTGTCAATACTACGTGGAATCTAAGATCCACAATAAGCTGAGTCACATTGATTACACTACCTTTGACATAATAAGTAGAAGCTAACCAGAATTAGCCTTTCCATCTAACTTATTTATTATAGGGTTATTTGACATAACAAAAATCTATTTAATATAAAAGTTATTCAATATAAAAAGCTACCCAATCAACCAGACTAAAATTTTTCCATCTACACACAAACACATATATTCTTTTGGACTAGAAGTAAGGGGAATACAGGGACTTAACCTGTAGGGTTTATTCCCACAGTCCCTCAACCAGTGGTAAAGTTTCCTGATAGGTATTTATCCTCTCTCTTTCTCTGATAGATGCCTACACTGCCACCATGAATTGAATTCAGTATGAGGGCTCTCATCTGAATGATACCCAGGGTTCTGGGCTTTTTCAAATACTAGGAAAGTGTGGACAGAGCATTCTCATCTGCAGTGGGAGCAAGAGCCATCCATCCAAGAAAGCCCAAGGTTTATATAGCTGTAGTGAGAATTTCCATTTCTGTGATTTTTCCCCTAAAGTTGGTGTTATTTCCTTGCTATGACTAGCTATTGCAAAATAGTTGGTATAATGTGTTGATCTGATATTTAATTCATGTACATCTAGCTTTGTGACCCCACCTTTCTGGTGGTAGATTTTAGCGATAATCAAATTACGCAAAACTCATATATTGACTAATAAAATGATATTCCCTTATATGGGACTTCATAACATTTTAGACCCTTGTATACATTGAGGATAGTTCTAGAGCTCTCTTTTTCCTGTGGCATAATAATCTTCAAAGTTCAAGACAGTGGCTTCTCCATCAGCTTTGGTCTCTGATCGACTACAGTTAAACATTTCTGTCATTAGGCCGGGCGCGGTGGCTCACATCTGTAATCCCAGCACTTTGGGAGGCAGAGGCGGGCGGATCACGAGGTCAGGAGATCTATCTAGACCATCCTGGCTAACATGGTGAAACCCCGTCTCTACTAAAAATACAAAAAATTAGCCGGGCGTCGTGGCGGCGCCTGTAGTCCGCTACTCGGGAGGCTGAGGCAGGAGAATGGCGTGAACCCGGGAGGCGGAGCTTGCAGTGAGCCGAGATCGCACCACTGCACTCCAGCCTGGGCGACAGAGCGAGACTCCGTCTCAAAACAAAACAAAACAACAACAAAAAAAGATTTCCATCAGTAGTAACCAGAAAGTTAAAGACAAATAAAAGAATATCATTTCTGGTGTTACTGGTCTGGCTTATGATCTTGGTTACAATATTTACTAGCTGTGTTGCCATAGGAAAGTAAACTCTCCTCTCTGAGACCTGATTCCTTCATCTTTAAAATAAAGCTAATCATGGCAACCCAATGAATGATTATGAAGAACAAATGAGATAAAATAAAGGAAAGCCATTCCACAGATGACTAGTAATTCACGTCATGATAAGCAGTAGATATGACATTTTCTTTTTGTCTCCAGTTATAGATTTTCCATTTGGTTCTTTTTTTGTATTTTTCTTTTTTTTTAATTTTTAATTTTGAATTTTAGTGGGTACATAGGTATATATTTCTCTGAGTACATAAGATGTTTTGATACAGGCATGCAATGTGTAATAATCACATCATGGAGAATGGAGTATCCATCCCCTCAAGCATTTATCCTTTGTTCTACAAAAAATCCAATTACATTCTTTTAGTTATTTTAAAATGCATAATTAAATTATCATTAACTAGAGTCACCCTGTTGTGCTATCAAATATTAGGGCTTATTCATTCTTTCTAACTAATCTTTTTATACCCATTAACCATCCCCACCTTCTCCCACCCCCACTACCCTTTCTAGCCTCTGGTAATCATCCTTCTCTCTATTTCCATGAGTTCAATTGCTTTGATTTTTAGATCCCACAAATAAGTGAGAAAATGTGATATTTGTCATTCTGTGCCTGGCTCATTTCACTTAATATAATGATTTCCAGTTCCAGCCATGTTGTTGCAAATGACAGGATTTTATTCTTTTATATGTCTGAATAGTACTCCATTGTGTACAGGTACAACTTTTTTTTATCCATTCATCTGTTGAAGAACACTAGGTGGCTTCCAAATCTTGGCTATTGTGAAGGGTGCTGCAACACACATGGAAGTTCAGTTATCTCTTTGATATGTCGATTTTCTTTCTTTTGGGTATGTACGCAGTAGTGGGATTGCTGGGTCATATGGTAGCTCTATTTTTAGTTTTTTTGAGAAACTTTCAAGCTGTTCTCCATAATGGTTTTACTAATAAACATTCCCACCAACAGTGTACCAGGGTTCCCTTTTCTTCACACCCTCCCCAGTGTTTGTCATGGCCTGTCTTTTCTATGTAAACCATTTTAACTGGGTTAAGATAACATCTCATTGTAGTTTTGATTTGCATTTCTGATGATCAATTATGTTCAGTACCTTTTCTTATGCCTGTTTGCCATTTTTATGTCTTCTTTTGAGAAATATCCATTCAAATCTTTTGCCCACTGTTTGACTGGATTATTAGATTTATTTCTAGTATAGTTGTTTGAGCACCTTAGATATTCTGTCCTTGTCAGATGGATAGCTTGCAAATATTTTCTCCCATTCTGTGGGTTGTCTCTTCACTTTGTTGATTGTTTTCTTTGCTGTACAGAAGCTTTAACTTGGTGTGATTTCATTTGTACATCTACTCAAGAAAATTTTGTCCAGACCAATGGTCTGGAGATTTTCCCCAATGTTTCTTGCAGTAGTTTCCTAGTTTGGGGTCTTTGATTTAGGTCTTTAATCCATCTTGATTTTTGTATACAGTAAGAGGCAGGGGTCTAGTTTTATTCTTCAGCATATAGATATCCAGTTTTTTCAGCATCATCTATTAAAGAGATTGTTTTTTCCCCAGTGTTTGTCCTTGACATCTTTGTCAAAAATGATTTCAGTGTAGGGGTGTGGATTTTTTTCTGGGTTCTCTAGGCTGTGCCTTGGTCTATGTGTCTGTTTTTATTCCAGTACCATTTTGTTTTGGTTACTGTAACTCCAAGGTATGATTTAAAGTCAGGTAATGTGATTCTTCCAGTTTTATTCTTTTTGCTTAGGATAGTTTTGGCTATTCTGGGTCTTTTGTCATTCCATATAAATTTTAGGATTGTGTTTTGTATTCTAAATTCTCTTTCAATGTAAGACCTCTATATGCTAACTAGCATTTGAATAGTGGTAAAGTTAAAGTGATGTTGAAGCTGTTCCTTAGCTTTCCAGTTAGATGATGTGGCCATCAAATGAAATAGAGATTATGAAATAAGGGGGAAGTTGTGTCCTGCTGTTGTCTCACTGAATAGAATAAGTAATTTGCACGACTCGTTAAAAAATACGGGTATCTTTCCCCTACATTGCCTTTAGGAATGAAATTTCCCATTTACATCTTAGGTATTGTACTCAGTCTCCTTTTCTTCCCCAATACATAAATGCCTATATGAACTTCATGCCTGTCTAAATCTAGTAGACTGTTCTCTCCTAGCCTTAAAAACTCTTCTCCTATCTTTTTTTTTTCTTTTGTGAGACGGAGTCTCACTCTGTCGCCCAGGCTGGAGTGCAGGGGCGCCATCTCGGCTCACTGCAAGCTCTGCCTGCCAGGTTCCCGCCATTCTCCTGCCTCAGCCTCCCGAGTAGCTGGGATTACAGGCGCCCGTCACCACACTCGGATAATTTTTTTGTATTTTTAGTAGAGACGGGGTTTCATCGTGTTAGCCAGGATGTTCTCGATTTCCTGACCTCGTGATCCGCCCGCCACGGCCTCCCAAAGTGCTGGGATTACAGGCGTGAGCCACCACACCCGGCCCCCCTTCTCATATAATTCTTGAAAATCGCTCACCCCTCTCTGCCCTGTCAGCAAATGTTAAATTTTAATTCTGAAGACCCACTGTATTTTGCCTCATATTACTTTTTTTCTGCCAAGGCTGCATAGCAAGAACACAGACTCTTGCCCCAGCATCTGTTTTACTTTCTGTTTTTTCCTTTGACACCATTAGCTTTCTGTCTTTACACTTATTCTTGAATTTAGGAGAAGATCGCCCCCTGAGCCAGTCACTGTGCATTTGTTGGTACAAAATTGGATGTTCTTTCTGCTCTATTTCACTTTTCACAGCATTTTTGCTCGGGTAATCCTATCCCTGTGTTGCCCAACTTGAAGTCTGAGTAATACATAGTCTATAGTCTAACAATATTTTGATTTTTAACTATGATCTAGCATTTTAGTAAGCGTTTAGCTAGGGTCTATATTTGGTCAACAGAAAGAAAGATGCTTAAATTATTTTCCTGGAAATTCTTCATTCATTCATTCAACAATAGTAGTTTACTTACTAAATACCTAACAGTAAAGGAGGTGTTCAAGAAGAAAAAAGAAAATTGTCCCTCAATGAATTTACAGTCTAGTTGAATAAAAAAGAATAGTCTATTTATTGTTTTAGTTTCATTTTATTAAAAATACTTCAATTCCCTTTTTTTTCACCTTTAGATCAAATGAATTCAACAACCACCTAACATATTTGGACTATGTACAGAGTCAATCTAAAAACATAAGATTTTAATGAAGAACATTCTAATAGTAATTATTAAAGTAAAAACTCTGTTTTCTTTATATCTTTATTTAATTTTCTTTAGGTAGAAATCTAATTTTGAATATTTGCCAATTTAATATGTAGTTAAATAAAAATCTACTCATGACTTCTTAAGTTCAGGACTCCACTGGGTGTACAAATGAATAATTGAGGGAATTTACAAAGAATTCAAAGAAGAAAATAACCATTTGGATTTATTAATTTTATTGCCATCAAAGTTTACTTCAATTCTCAACTTAATTGTCCTATGGGTATCTATCCTTTTTTGCTTTTACATGCTTCACACACACACACACACACACACACACACACACACACAATACTCATATATCATGAACATCCACACGTTTCAATTTAATCCAATAGAAAACTCTCATTCACCAAAAGCTTTCTTTGATTTCCATAGCTTTGAAGGCCTCCTCAGATCTATTTTCCCGCTGTCCTATTTTCTTTCAGTTTTATCCTTAAGAAAGCCTCTCTGTGATTTGAAACATTTTCCACTGTTACTGCAGTGGTTAATTTTTTATCATATTTATACCAATAATATGATGCATTTAAGCACTCTGCTGTGTTTTGATAAGATTCCATGGGGGTCTAGGCATTTCCAGCTCTATAAAAATGTTCAAAAAATAAAGCATGAGGGCAAAACTAAATGCCCTGCTGACCAAAAGAGTTCAGAAGACACGGTCGAATCCTGATCTATAGAAGCATTTTCTGAGGATGAGAGCCACACAGAGGACTTCATTAACTTCCAAACACTCCAAAATGAAAAATGGGAAGAAAGTATCTTGGAAAGATTGGACAGCAAGACGACACACTAAATAGCATACACATTATGATAAGTAAAGGGGGTTGTTTGATTTAAGGAGTATTGATTTCACTTTCCTTTTTAATGAAAATGGAGAATAAACTGGTAGTTTCAAGAGAGGAAAATAAAGTATTATATTTTTACCAGATATTGACCACTTATGCTTGCTTACTCATGCCTTCTAGCCCTCTAAGTTTCAACATGAAGAGAGAGGGAAAAACACTCTTCTCAGACTATAATGAACAAAGAAAAAAGAGGAATAATGTAATTCTTCTTAAAATTTCAGAAAAAAAAGTAACAATTGAAGCTTATCGTCCTGCCCAAATATAATCTGTAAGAATAAATTATAGTTAGTGAGTCTTGCAGCATACACAGGACACAGGATGTTGTAATTTTTATAATATTATCTTGATATATCATTAGTGATTTAGCAATTCTAAATGTTAAATTCCTCACTTGCCCTTGGAGGTCATGCTATAAGCTATTTGAAAAGTAGTTTATTCGGATATGTTAGGAAATGTGAGTTCAACAATGAATAACTTTTAAAAATATTTTATCATAAAGGAACAGAGAAATATCAACTGCAGAGCAGAGAAATATTCTATTTTCTACCACCTTTGCCAGGATAAAGACTATTTTTTAAATAATTAATTAGGAGGCCATTAGACTGAGGTGGCTCCAGTACCCTGGGTTTATATGTAAGCAAACCAAATCCAATTCAATGTAAACAGTCATTTTCTAGGCCAATCAGAAACTGCCACCTAACTCCTAAGGAATTTCCACTCCTGAAGCTGAACCAATTAGAAACTGCAAATTAACCTCTAAGTAGGAACTTTTCCCTGGAGTGCTCCCAATAAGGCTACTGGTCCTCTTTAGTCAATCAAAAATTTTCTTTCTTGTTCTGATTCTGCAGAGACCTATTAAAGCCTTCCCTCTGTGGCCCTTTATTAGATCCCCAAACCCTCTGTGGTCTGGAGCTACACAATTCATGAATCACTGTCTGTTCAAATAAACTATTTAAAATTTCTATGTGCCTTAGTTTATGTTTTGGAACTGCCTAAAGGTCATTTCTCATGTCTAAAATTTGGCTGTGTCTTATACTAATTGAGGTAAATAAAAGATAGAACATTCCTAACATCAAAATAATAAGTAAATAAATAAATAAATAACAACTAAAAACTTCTCAGGACCAATTACATGACTACATTAGGTAAAATAATTTTGTTTACTATTATTTTAACCCAAATCACTAATTAAAAAAAAAATTAGAGATGGGCTCTTGCTATGTTGCCCAGGCCATCTTCAAACTCCTGTGCCCAAGTAATCCCTCCACCTCAGCCTTTAGAATAGCTGTGATTACAGGTGTATGCCATCATGCCTGGCTTTCCAAATCCCTAAATTTTAAGTGTCAGTTTTCTGATTTATTTTTCAACTGGTGACAGAACTTTTTAATGTATTGGGATAGTTTTGATCAGCATTCCAACTACCCACATAACAGAAGAGGCCCCTGGATGCACATCTTTTGTATTTCTCTTGACACTGTATGCACCAGAGACTTTATGGCATCAGAGGCTGTGCCACAGAAAGTCACTCAAAATTGGCTCGAATTTTCTTTTCACTCTTATTAATGGAAAGTAACACATCATACTATTAACATAATTAATTTGACCTAAAAGCTATATACAAAACTTTCTTAACAGAGGGAAATTATTTCTTTAAATATACTCAAACTAAACTTTAAATAGATATGCTTCATTACAACTCAAGAAAGAAAAATGAGGCTAAATTAAATTTGAATGAAGCTAATGTAAATTTGAAGTTATTACCTCTTTCCTTTTAACATGTTAGGTGGATTCTGACAACAAAGACATTCAGACTTACAATTTAGTTATGTAAAATACTAATGACAATTACCTTGGAAACAGTTACAGTTTCTCAGAAATCTACTTATGAAATCAAAACACAAATACAATCATAACATTCTCTCTTACAATAGAAGCACAGGAAGCAATAAATGGTTGGGTCTGGAAATAAACTATCTATAATTTTGGTAGATGTGCATTTCTACCCCTCAGTTATTGACCTATCACCAGGGAGAGAAAGGTCAAGTCCGTATTCAACTCACTCCACCTGCTACAACTTGCCAATGGATTAAAAAAAGGAAAATGTAAGAATTAATGTGGAGAAGTATAATATTTCAAAGGAAATATCAATGAGCCAGTATCCAAGTTTTTAAGTTAAATTCAGATGTTCATTGAGCCAATGACATTGTTATTTGGAGTGTGTGTGTGTGAGTGTGTGTGTGTTTGTGTGTGAGTCTCAACAAATAGGTCAAACAGAGGGCTATGGAAACTGGAAATTGCTAGCAGTCATTAGGCCACACTTGAAAAACAACTTTTCGGTAAAAAAAAAAAAAAAAAAAATCCACAAATGAAAGAAATCAACTAATTGATCATCTTTGATCAAGATTTAGGGCTATAAATTTGCTCATAAGTATTTAAACTAATTGTGAGCAAAAGACTTGAATGCATTATGACAATTAGACTATGCCTTAAAACTGTAGAATCAGACAACCTTGACACTTGTTTCACTTGAACTATTGAGTCATTTCAGTTGCAAATATTCCCAAAAGAAGAAAAATTAATATTCTGTGGAGTTGCATGCAATATGGAAGCCCTCTGAACTACCTGAAGGGTTCAAGGCAGGTTTAGCCCTTCTGGTCTCTGACTGTGTCTACAAAAGCAAAGTGAAGTGAAGAAGTAAAGCAATTATCCTGATTAACCAAGCAAAAAATAATTCCCTGCAAGTCAGTAACAGGCAATTGGTGAAGCATGAATTATCCAGATTTACTATACTATATATGTTGGTCAACTCGTCAAACAACACTATTTTACCTTACATTGTTTGTGTAGACAATTTTAAAAACTTAATAATATTGTGAAAGGTAGCTAACCTCGACCCTTAAGTGTGCCTACATTTCTTTTCATAACATGGAGATGAAGGAAAGGTTTATTTCAGGAGACCTAGCACATACTGAAATACAATGAAGATGAAGGAGCATTCCAATATTATGAATTGAGAATGCTATGTCTCTAATGACCACATAGTCTTCATAAGCACCCTAGGCTAGAAGGGAATATGAAGCTAGGTCAACAATAGAGCAGAGGCCATGGATAAATCAGTGATGTATATTTCACTTCAACCTCAGAAAACTCACACTTATGTAGGGGAGCCTAACCAAATAAAGTAACCAAAGACGAGGAGATAAAATAAATTCGAGTTTTGAATATGTTCCATTGGAACCAGATGAAAGGTTGAGTACAGAGAGATCTACTGTAGGGTAGTTAGTGAATTCCCCCTGAGATGAATTAAGTATTTCAAATTGTCCATAACAAATGACCACAAATCGAGTAGCTTAATGCAACACCATTTATGCAATCCTGAGTCAGGAATCTGGGATCTGCTTAGTTTTGTTCTTTTAATTTAGGGTATCTCACAAGACTGTAATCAAGGTTTCAGCCAGAGCGAGGGTCCCATCTGGAAACTCGACTGAGAAAGGAATTTCTTCCAAGTTCGTTTACGTGGTTGCTTACAAGATAAGGTTACATTTGAGTTATTGGACTGAGGGCTTCAGCCAACGGCTGCTGGCCAGGGGCTGCCCCAGGCCCTTCCCACATGGAAATGCAAACATAGCAACTTATTTCATCAAAGCCAGCAAGAGAGAGAACCTGCTAGCGAGACCAAAGTCAGACCTTTGTAATCTCATTGCAGCAGTGACAAACTCTCTGGGTTGAGATATGCTATTGGCTACAAGAAAGTTACTAAAAGGAAGGAGATAACACAAGGCCATGCACACCAGAAGGCAGGGATCATGTGGGGCCATATTAGACACAGTTTACCACAGAAGGCAGGGATCATGTGGGGCCATATCAGGCACAGTTTACCACAGAAGATGTCACCTAAACCTAGCCCTTGGAAAAGTAAGGGAAAGAGAATGCCAGGCAACAGTAAATGCCGAAGGCCTGAGATTAAAAAAAAAAAAAAAAAAAAAAAAATTAAAAGCTCTTTAGTGTTCAAGAAATTGAAATAAGACAGAATAATAGAAAATTATAAATGACGAGGAAAGTGTTAAAAGATGAATTGGAGAGATAAGCTGAAGTCAGGCCATGAAAATCCTCTTAGACTATGGTAAACTGTTTAGTTTTATTCTAAGTGTGAGGAAATCTATTCACAGTTTTTAGCAGAGGAGTTACATGATCTCGTTTACTTGCTAAGTGGATAACTGAGGCTGTTGTGTGAAAAATGGAAGGGATGTCACAGTAGTGGTGGTAATGAGATGGTAATGAAGACAAGATAATTGAGACTATTCTGGACTGAGTGAGGCAGTCCAGTGGCAATGGGTAAAAGAAGAAACATTCAAGCTATATCTTAGAAGTAGAACCAACCTGGCTTGAATATGACAGGTGAGGAAAAGGGAGAATTTAATTACTGCTAAATTTCTAGAATAAACAGCATGATTGTATTATTAACTGAGATGCACAAGACTGTGGAGTGGGAATGAAAAAACAATTTGACCAGAAGAAAAATCCCAAATTGAATTTTGGAAATGTTAAATTTGATAATGTTTGTAGGACTTCCAGTGGAGATGTCAAATAGGTAGTGGGAAATAATCTGAAACTCAGACAAAAGATCATGCTGCAAATTTATCTGCATGATATTAATGAATTTTAGACGTAATCACTCTAGAAGATAATGCACTATTAAATACATATAATCGATATGTATATATACATATATATTTGATAATCATTTTCTTAAGATGGCAGATTAGAGGCATTGTTAGCATACCTCTCCCACTTGGATGGACAAAATAGGGTTTAGAAATTCACACTGTGAACTTTTTTTCGAGAAGCAACACAGGAACTGAACAAGAAAACTGAAGGCATCTACAGACTCTTTGATGGAAGCAGGCGGCTGCAGCTTACACTGTGAGTCAGGTGAAGGGCTGCAAGTCCCCAGTGTGACAGGGGGAGAGGCTGCCTCTGGGATACACCCCCTGACCAAGGACCTGAAAGTCCAGGCCATGGAGGAAAACCCTAACTCCACCCAGCACAGGAACTGACTTGCAGAGGGTTGTAGAATTTAAAAATAGAAGCAGCATTAGGAAGACCCTTGCATGCACTCCCAGATTCTAGCATGGACCAAGTAAACCATTCCTTACTGTTCCTCACAGGGGACCCTGCAGAGGACAGCCAAAAAAGTGCAGGCAGTGGTCGCAGGTTGAAAAAAGTCCTAAATGGGGTTTCACAATATAACCTCCTGTGGTGACCAACTCCCTTGGCCAGGGTCAGGGCAGCAAAGAGTGAAAAGCAGGCTGCACCTGCAAGTGTAGGAGTCGCGGGTACAGTTGTGGGTACAGGAGCCAGGGGCCCAGCTTGGCAGTGGACAAGGAAAGGTGTGACCTGAAAGCTGTGGCTGCTGTCCCCGGAGGGAAAGCTTATGACTCAGGGTAGTTGAGAGTTCTGAGTACAGCCTGACTGGAACTCAGGTCACCTCTGCCAGAGGAACACTGCAGGAGAACATTTGCCTCCTCAAATGTGTGGGAACCATGTGGGGCTTACCACTCACCACTGCTCCCCACTCCCTGTGCAAACTCTTCTGTGCAGCAGAGGCAGCAACACTCCCCTCTGGAATATCAACTCAGTGGCCCAAGAAATGTTCCTGCTCCTTGCCCTGTAGGCAGAGACTCAGAGCACAAATCTTCCTGATGCAGCCCCCACCTGGCTTTGCCCCACCACCTGCTCTGGTAGCTTCACACAAAAGACAGAAACTCTGGGGCGCTATATGGCCCTGACCATTATCTAAGAAACCAGAATACTCTCCCTGGGCAACATAAGGCAAGCAAAAATCCCACTGCTACTACCATAGCTGGTTCTCTTGTGAAAGCACCACCTCCTGGCTGGAGGCCAACCAACACAGTCCATTACAGCATCTCCTGGTAGAATAACACTGTGCCCAGGAAGGAGAAAATGGCTGTGCAATCTCAGCTATCACCACTGCTTGCACCACTCTGGCTAACCAGGAGGTCCTGAGTCTGTCCACATGACCAGTTCATTACTATTATAACTGGCATTCAAGAAAGCCAACATACTAAGGCTATCAATAACCAAGAAATCTCGTGAAGTCTATGTCATGCCCCTGCCATCTCAATTAGAGCTGATGCTGCCACCCACTGCTGGGAAATTTGAGAACATGTCACATCACCAGATGCCTTGCAGACATTTCTGAGCACCAGCCTGGATTGTGGCAAATTCGCTGGGCCTCTAGACCCAGAGGAGAATTAACACTCACAGTAGTCTGGCTCCCAGGGACTCCCACTCCTAGGGGAAGAGGGAGTGTACCCCATCAAGGGAACACCCTGGGGGACAAAAGAATCTAGATAGCAGGCCTTAAGTACCAGATCTTTTCACTGGTGAGAAGTTTCTTTAACCAGAGCCGCAGTTGCAGTGCTGGGTTCAGCAGGGTAAGTCTTCAGCTCTAACCCAACATTCAGACAACCCTGTTTCATGTGAAGGGTCTTGGAGAAGAGGATGCATTACCCCCCTTACCCAACACCACTGGCACAGTTGAGACTCCTCCCATGTGAGCTTGGCATGGGTGTGACCATAGACAGCCTTTCTGGGACACATCAGGGTGACTGCATCCCCACAGGAGCAGCCTCTAAGTACAGGCTTGCACGAGAGACAGAGTTACATTTGTTTCTACTTGGAACATCAACATTTCTACACATGAGAAGAAGTGCCTATCTGATCTGAATAGCTAGAGCTCTGGGACAGAAGTATCTGAGAAGTAGATAAATTTCCTGCTGACCTGGCAAGGGAGCTGAGGCAGACCCAACCCTTCCCCCGATAAGACCGTAGTGCAGACCCAACCCTTCCCCCAATAAGACCGTAGTGCAGACCCAACCCTTCCCCCGATAAGACCGTAGTGTGACTCCATGAGAGCTTCTCCAGCCACCTCTATCAAGGCTGAGACCTCTGCCTACCATTGGGTATTGCATTTACCCACCTGCTTTAGCCACAGCTAGTTCCTACAACCTCCCCTACTGAACTGAAGCCTGAACCATCAAACCAGTAAATAAAATACTGGGAGAAAATAAATAAATATAAAAATGCATGCCATGGAAGAATGAGAAAAGCTTTAAGAGACGTCTACTATTCCAACCCCATAGGAGACAGCAAACTTGTGCACACACTGAGCACATTGCTACCAACATGTGAGAAAGCCATTATACGAACTCTCTATAACCAAGGAACTCTTACAGAGTCTTCACCTCTGAAAGCACCAAGAACCAAATTAGGCTATGATAAACTATAAACATTAAAGTCTTATCCTTAAGGGGAAAAAAGAATTTAACAACAAGCACAGGCAAATCAAAAACAAATTCAAGAACAACTAGAAGAAATAGTCTACACAAACACCCAAAATATCACACTACCTCTCCAATAATGGATGTAAACCAAGATGAAATCTGTGAAATACCAGATAAGAAATTCAGAAGGTCTATTATTATTAAGCTACTCAAGGAGATATGAGAGAAAGGTGAAGACCATCATAAAGACATTTAAAAAGCAGTTCAGGGCCGGGTACGGGCTCACGCCTATAATCCCAGCACTTTGGGAGACCGAGGCAGGCGGATCACAAGGTCAAGAGATTGAGACCATTCTGGCCAACATGGTGAAACCCTGTCTCTACTAAAAATACAAAAATTAGCTGGGTGTGGTGGCGGGTGCTTGTAGTTCCAGCTACTCAGGAGGCTGAGGCAGGAGAATGGCATGAACCCAGGAGGCAGAGGATGCAGTGAGCCGAGATCACGCCACTGCACTCCAGCCTGGTGACAGAGTGAAACTCTGTCTCAAAAATAAATAAATAAATTAATTAATTAATTTAATAAAAATAAAAAACAGTTAAGGATATGAATGAAAAATTTTTTAGAGAGATATATATCATCAAGAAAAAACAATCAGAACTTCTGGGAATGAAATACATACTTAGAGAATTACAAAATACAGTGGAAAGTTTTGACAAGACTAGAACAAACAGAAGAAATAATTTTAGAGCTCAAAGACAAGGCTTTTGATTTAACCCAATCAGATAAAAATAAAGAAAAAAAGAATCAAAAGAAATGAACTAAATATCGAAGAAATATGGGATTATGTAAAATGGCCAAACCTAAGAATAATTGGTGTCCCTGAGGCAGAAGAGGAAATAGTAAGTCTGGAAAACTTATTTGAATAACTGAGGAAAAGTTCCCTGGTCTGGCTAGAGATCTAGATATCCAAATCCAAGAAGCTCAAAGAACACCTGGGAAATTCATTGCAAAAAGATCCTCACCAAGGCATATAGTCATCAGGTTATCTAAAGTCAACATGAAGGAAATAATTCTAAGAGCAGTAAGACAAAAACATCAGGTATCCTACAGAGGAAAACTTGTCAGACTAACAGCAGACTTCTCAGCAGAAACCTTACAAGCTAGAAGGGATTGGGGTCCTATATTCGGCTTCCTTAAACAGAATAACTGTCAGCCAAAAATTCTGTATCCTATAAAACTAAATTGCATAAATGAAGAAATAAAATCTTCTGAGACAAAGAAATGCTGTGGGAATTTGTTACTACCAAACTAGCACTACAAGAAATACTAACAGGAGTTCTAAACCTTGAAACAAAAGCCAGATATGCACCAAAATAGAACATCTTGAAAGTACAAAATTCACAGGGCCTACAAAACAATAACACAACAACAACAACAATATCTAGGTGACAATAAATATGATGAAGAGAACAGAACCTCACATCTTAATAGTCACAGTGAATATAAATGCCCTAAACGCTCCACTTAAAAGATACAGAATGGCAGAATGAATTAAAAAAATCACAACCCAAATATCAGCTGTATTCAAGAGACTCATTTGACATGGAAGGATTCATATAAACTCAAGGTTAAAGGGTAGAAAAAATATTCCATGCAAATAGAAACCAAAATCAAGCAGGAGTAGCTATTCTTATGTCAGACAAAATAGACTTCAAAGCCACAACAGCAAAAAAAAGATAAAGATGGTCACTATACAATTATAAAGGGATCAATTCAACAAAGAGATATTACAATGCTAAATTT
The DNA here is from genome assembly GCF_000001405.40 of Homo sapiens. Taxonomy (NCBI): domain Eukaryota; kingdom Metazoa; phylum Chordata; class Mammalia; order Primates; family Hominidae; genus Homo; species Homo sapiens. The sequence goes on from NC_000003.12 coordinate 78,157,938, forward strand.
ATATGCATTAAACACTGGAGCTCCCAGATTCATAGAATTATTACCCCTGGACCTAAGAAATGAGACAGACAGCAACACAATAACAGTGGGGGATTTCAATATACCATTGAACCACACTAGACAGATCTTCAAGACAGAAAGTCAACAGAGAAACAATGGACTTAAATGACACACTAGAATAAATAAACTTTACAAGACATTCTACCCAAGAACTGCAGATATACATTCTTATCAGCACATGGAACTTTCCCCAAGATAGATCATATGATAGGCCCCAAAACAAGTCTCAATAAATTTTAATAACTCAAAATTATATCAAGTATCTTCTCAGAACACAGCGAAATAAAACTAGAAATAAACTCCAGAAGGAACCCTCAAAATTATACAAATACATGGAAATTAAATAATTTACTCCTGAATGATATATGGGTTAACATGACATCAACAAGGAAATTTAAAAAGTCCTTGAACTGAATAATAGTGACACAAACTATCAAAACCTCTGGGATACAGCAAAAATGGTGCTAAGAGAAAAGTTTATAGCATTAAATGCCTACAACAAAAAGTTTGAAAGAGCACAAATGTACAATCTAAGGTGACACCTCAAGGAACTAGAGAAACAAGAACAAATCAAACCCAAACCCAGAAAAGAAAAGAAATAACAAAGATCAGAACAGAACTAAATAAAATTGGAAAAAAAATACAAAAGATAAATAAAACGAAAAACTGGTTCTTTGAAAAAATAAATAAAATTGATAGACCATTAGCAAGATTAACCAAGAAAAGAAGAGAGAAGATTTATATAAGCTAAATTAGAAGTAAAATGGGCGCTATTATAGCCAATACCGCAGAAATACAAAAGATCATTCAAGGCTACTATGAACACCTTTACATGCACAAACTAGAAAATCTATAGGAAATGGATAAATTCCTGGAAATATACACTACTACAGTGACAGGTGAAATCAGATATCAGAATGTACCTCTTTACAATTCATCCATTTAACCAAATACCACTTGTACCTCAAAAAACTATTAAAATAAAAATTTACATATATATATACACACACACACACTCATGATTGATTTTCAGATCTTCCAACATTTAGTTATCTGTCCTAAGACAAGTCACATTATCACTTTGAGTCTGTTTCTCATTTATAAATACATGTAATGATTTTACATTTGTGACATGTAAATATATATCTCCAAAGCATAATTATTTAATTAACTATGTGAATTTAGTCAAATTATGTAACCTCACTGAGCCTCAGTCCCCTCTTATGAAATATGAGCAGACAGAACCCTATGGGACCAGAAGTCACTTCATTTTTCAAAATTCTGAGTCTATGTTTGAAATATATCATATATTCAGATTTAGATGGAACGATGTCTTAAGCAGATTACTTTTAAACTGTTAAGAACTAAAATTGTTTCTAATGTTAAAAATAAACATTTAATATTAGCATCTAATTAGTGTACTGAATATAATATACATGTATCTTCAAATACTTTATAGAATATAATATGCAAGCATCTTCAAATACGTTTAGAAATAAATTAGAACTGAAGTGAAGATAATCCATAGAAGTTTTATCACATTTCCTGATCAAAATATATATTCAATATTAGCTTGATAGCAATAATATACTTTCAAGATTTTCTTACCAACTTCAAGTCTATAATAATACACAATCAGAATATATTTAATAAATTCTGCAAAAGAAGGTAAGTGAAAAGAAATTATCCCTTTTTCATTTTAGGTCAGGCCAAAAGAATCCAGCCCTTTTATTTAAAAACAAAAATTATTACATTGGCCTAAATTATCCAAATTGGCTATTTTTTTCTTTAACATTTACCTTCATTGCTTTCTTTATCAAATTCAGCCTTGATTAGCCCTATTATGATTATAGAGTTAATGTGCCTTTTACCAAAATTAACCTTATTGTAAAATAGAGAATCATCTTAACAGTATTTGCATATCTGTTTAGTATGAGAAGTTGTGAGTTGAAATGTTCATGACTTTTCAAAAAGCAACAAATTCATTATCTAAGCATTATAATTCACAGTGTAATATATAAACATTAGCAACTGCCTAAGCTATTAAGCAAATACTCTGATTTGAATTTAATTTCTCTTTGTTTTCTTCATCACAATGTTTCTTTTTCCACAGTGGTTCTTATGCATGTAGATTTTTTTCCATAGGCAATTAAACTGTAGTTATTTTTAGGGAAGTGATTATAAAATTTCCACAGTGGAATTCCATATATGATTTCCCTCAACGACTCCTGAAGCCATTTTTTTTGGTTTATATTTTCAGGATAAAAAACAAGATAGAATCTAAAAATCATCATCCTGCTTTCTGCTTTTCTCTCCCCTAGCCCCATGGCAATTTGCTACACTCGTTTGCTAAAATACTAAAGAATAATAAAAAGAAAAGATGGAAATAACTTCTCCCCACATAATATTATGGCTGCCACAAAAACATTAGCCACAGAGTTAAGTGACTCTGAAAATCCACCTATGGTAGCCTTCTTCTTGCAACAGTTGGACTGTTCTATGAAGCTTTACAGTGAGAGAGTTATTCAGTTTTCATTATTTTTATCCAAATGTATCGTGATAAAAAAAACAAGCATTTATCTCATACTTTCTTCTGATTGTAATCAGTATGATAAAAAACATGAATGTGGCATACAAAGAGTGAGGCAAAGAATTTCAAATTATCTATTTAGTATGGTTTGAGATTCTAATGGAATGTTCACTCTTGGCTGTGTCTCCACCTTAGAAGTCAGGATATTAGCACAAAATGTATGAAACCTGATAGAAAAGGAAACCCAACTTTTATTTATTGTATTTCTGTTTTGTAAACCATGATGAAATCTTCCCTCTCCCTGAGAACTCTTCTTTTGAGAATCATAAACTCGTGGGCATCCAAGTTAGAGGAGCAGACTCCTGGGAAGATGTGTTTGAATGCTAGAATTTAATACTTCAACAGGCTGCTAGTTCAGGTGTTTTTACAATTTAGTACCGATTTTCAACTTTCATTTGCCTCACTGCCTTAACTTTAAATCATGTGATTCTTTTTCTTCCCCCCTCAGGCATTAGAGCTATCAATCAGCACACTGAATTTTCCTTTGGATTTTTTCATTAGCGTTCCCCCAAAAGGATGGAGCAGCTCATGGCATTTTCTGCATGTTGACCTTTCCAACACAGTGTCATCAGTTTCTCAACCTTTTCAGCTCCTGGAGCTTCAACTGCATTTGCTTTTTGCTATCCACCATCAAAGCTACAGTTTGATTCTGGTATCGTTCTGTATTTCTCCTCCTCCAAAATCTTCAGCCTGAAATTATCCTCAACTCTCTTATATTTTCAGTACTATCTTTATCTTGCTCTTACTGAAATTATGTTTTATTTTTTAAAAGTCATAATTTTGTCAAGATTACAGTGAATTTTTTCAAAAGTCAAATAGTTGACATACCTTTTATGAATTCAGCCTTTCTTGTTTCCTGTTTTTGATATCTATTAACAAGTTTTAAAATATTTATCTTTTTCTCTAAAAACATTGATTATATCAGTACCTCTTGATTTTCTATTAGATATTACCCATTGATTTTTTTTTAATATATAAAAGCTTAGGATTTAACATTTTCACCATTCCCCTCTTAGGCACAAAATTCTCCCCAAATAGTGCTGATTTCATTTTTATTAATTATTATTCAGTGTTTGAAACAGCTTACTCCATTTAAGAATATTTATAGTTGGATGTGAAGGCACTCTGGCTGCCACGTCTGTCACCCCAGTGATCACCAGTGTAGATTTACACTGACCTGGCTGGCTAGGCTGGTGTCTCTTTTTTCCCTCACCAGTCCCCATGCTTCCCTCCAGAAGCTCTTTCAGAGGACGCCCTCCCTCCTGAGCCATGAGGATCTTTCTTCTGCGCTCTGCTGCTAGAGCCTCCAAACTCTCTAGGTCTGTCTGTAGAACACAGAGTAGTCCAGCTTCCAAGACTCCAGACACAGCAATGAGGTGCTGTATATGGCAGTCTGCCTTTCTTGGAGGGAAATATATATTTATAGCTGATCCACGCAAAATGTTATACTTCTTTTGTCGAACTTTTTGTTTTCTCTTAATTGGATTGTCTTATTCATTTGCATTGTTTTCAATTTAACCTCAAATGCTCACCAATTTGAATACATTCTTTTGCAATATCTTCAAATCTATTACTTGTTCTATCACTTTAATCCTCTTTTACCAATGTTCTATCATTTGTGATCCTTTTTACAAATCTCTCACCACTGCTCCCACAACCTAAGGTGTGACTATGGTCTTGGGATGTCCCTTCGCCATCATGTTGGGATTTTCTAGACTTTCCCTGTGTAGAATCTCCTTTTTCCTGGATCCCATGTCCCTTTTTCTAAGTTTACTCTTTGGTATCAGAGAAAGAAATCTTCCACTAGCTTTCTGAAAAAGGGCTTATTTAAATCATATTCTTGGATAGCCTTTATGCCTGAAAATATCTTTTACTGCCCTCATTATTAGTTGATTTCTTAACTAGGTATTGAATTTAGTGTTCTCGCAGAATTTTAGAGCAATGTCCCATTGTCTTCTAGCTTCCAGTGTTGGCCACTATTGCAGTTTGATGCTGTTCTGTTTCTTGATCCTCTGTATGAAAACAATTTCTTTTTCCAATTTGGAAATACGTAGACTTAAATATTTGTCCACAGTGTTCTGAAATTTTACAATGATATACCTTATCATGTGTCTATTTTTATACATTTTACTAGGTAATCAATGGACCATCTAATTGGAAAACTCATATCAGAATTATGAGAACTTCTTGAATTAGTAATTTGATAATTTACTCCTCTTCTTGGTGCTCCTTTTCTTACACTCATATTATTCAGATATGAGGCCTCCTAGACTAATTCTTTAATTTTCTTATCTTTTTATTTTAATTTCTCAGTCTCTTTTTAAAAAATTTACTTTCTGGTAGATTTCTTCAACTTTATATTCCATCACTTCTGTAAAGTTATTTAATTCTTGCTCTTATATTTTTAATTGCCAAAAGCTATTTTTTCTGGTAATTCATTCATACAGTTTTCATTTTTGGATGCAATATTTCTTGTCTCTCAATTTAAAAACAAAAATGTATTTTATCCAAGTTTCTGATTGCATGGCCTCTCTTTTCTGAAAGTTGTTTTTCTGCTACTACCTTAAGGCAAACTTTCAGGTCAGATTCTCTTCTTAATTTTCTGATGTTTCTTGACAGCCTGCTTATATTTATAAATGTAGCACTAAAACAATGTATGGAAACTTCCTTTGTGTTGTGGGGTGCTGACTGAGTATGGTTCTTTACTGTAGACTGACTTTTCTGATCTGTTTCTGTGCAGAATCTCTGATTTTAGTTTTAGAGTTTTTTCACTTAGGCTGGTCAGTCCCTAGAGAAGTGTCAAAAATATCCTACCTGTGGGGCTTAGTGTGGTATTTGTGTGGGGGTTGAGGACTGAGAGCAAAACATTTAGTTTATAAACCTTCACTAAAATCCATCATATTCAGTAAAGTGTCTCTGTGCTCAGCTGTGCTTAGTGTCTCTGTTACTCACTCCAGAGAATGATGAACCCCTGGTGTTCAGCTGGCTCTAACAGAAGCAGTTGTTAGACTGGGAAGAGTGGAGGGGGAGGAAGGGATTCCTAACAGCTTCTTGGTCTCCTAATACTGGTGAGATTAGACCAATAATTGTGCTTTGGAGGAATCTGTGATATAAACTGATTGCTTCTCAACTTTCTTAACTGTTGATTAGAGTTCAGCCTTCTCAAGATTGCTTACCTTATATGAGCATAAGAGAATCAAAGAGAAACATAGTTTAAAAATCTTCAGTTTTTATATCTCAAAACTGGCCGCTGATATTTAGAAAATTGGGATGACAAATTCAAATGTTAATAGAGATTCATGGAAATAGCAGTTAACCATGAATCAGCTAGTCATATAACTTTCTTCTTTCTTTAATTGCTTTAATAGAAGCGATTAATTACAGTTTCTTGAATTGCTTTAATACAAGTTGCACAGTAATATCTAAATAAAAAGTTTTTTGAAAAAACTGGGGAAACTTTTTGAAACAGACGTGACTAACAAAGGATTAATAGCCTACACATACACACACACACACACACACACACACACACACACACACACACAAACACACTGACAGAGAAAAAGAGAGACCTAAGAATTAACAAAGAAACAAAAGAAACCACTCACTAAATGGACAAGAGACATAAACAGGCAAGTTATCATATATATGTAAATCAAATTGACAAATACACATAGGAAAATAGATCTAATGTACAGAAAAATCAAAAAGCTTAAAAGTAGGACAATGCATTACTATTATATATTTATCAGTTGATGAGGTTTAAAAATAATTTTAATATCAGTATCGGAAAAGTTGTCACTTAACACACGTTTGATATGAAACTTGGCACACATTTTCTGACAGGCAATTTAGTGATAGAGATCACTAAACAATAAAAGGCAAAAAATGTTCATTTATAATAGATAAAAATTTATAGAAAAATTTTACTGAGATCTTTTTAGGTTACGTATGTTCTACTCAATACAGAGGTTTCATCCTGTTTTATCAATTATATATTTATTGCAATCACAGTCAATAGTCATCTTACTTAATCTATAAAATTCTAGTTTTTTCACTTCTTATAACTGAAAATTAAAATTACATGGTAGCTGATAATAAATAATTTTTATTAATATTTTTATTTTCATTAAATAAGCAGGAAAAGATTGCTACAGTATTTAATGAAACTGATGGAGATATTTCTGAACTTTATACATGATTAACTATTCCACCAAAACTGAAAACTGGAATTCAAAATATAAATGTACATATATTCATAAAAAATATTATTTACCATACTTTTGCCTACTAAATAACTGAAAGATATAGTTTCACATATAACATTAAATTATTATAACTTGTTTTAAAACTAGTAATAAACATTCATTAGTTAATTACATTATATCAATTGCCTTTAGTAACCTATTCTATAGAATGTTTTCAATCCTTAATTTAATTTTTTAATAATATTCCTTGAAATTTTCAATAATGTAATTGAGAAATTCCATGTTTGTTTGCTTGTATATGTTTGCTTTGTCCTGGAAGAAAGTAAATCTGATCTGGTTGATTGGTTTGACAATGAAAACCAGCTTTAGGAAGTACGTTATATTGTAGATATTTTTCCATAATTGAATTAGTTAAATCTGAAGTTTCAAGATTTAAAAATATTTTAAGACATGCAAGAAAAGTATTTTATTAAAAACAAATACTGCTGGTGTTTAGAAATTAATAACATTTTAATTCTCCTCGCACTTTCTGATTATGTTGATTTAAACACTATCTCTAGTTTTTTAAAAAATTATCAGTAATTTGATATATTTCAATAAAATATTTTTCATATTTTTTCACCAAAATGAGAAAGTGAATGATCCAAATGTAATGTTTTGAGTTATTTGTTTTTAGGCAAGTTTAAGGAGAATCAGATAAAGTTGTCAGCTATTAATTTATAAAAAATACTTTTTATAACAAATACTTTTTTATATTGGACATAAAAATAAAAAGTTTATAAATTCTCATTGATTTTAAAAAATTCTTTTCCCATCCTTTAACTTACTTAAATATAAAATTTCAGTGCTTGCATTTATAAACCACAACAAAATCAAAACAAAAGAGAAAAATTGATTTTGAACCTACATCGTTTTAAACAATATTCACTGGAAAATATATACACTGAAAAAGAATTTCCTTTTATTGCATTTCAAATAATTTTACTCTTCTTAAAATATTTATCAAAATTTCTAATATATTTATAGCTTACAATCAATTGTATACAAACATTAATTGAAACTAAAATTATTCAAAATTTATTTTCTAACTTTTTATTCTGTGATCATTTTAGACATTACAAATATTGCAAAAATAGTAAATACAAATCTTGTGTATCCTCTCAGCTTTCTTTATGTTAACCTCATACATAACCACAAATGCAACAAAAATCTAGAAATAAGCATTGATTTAACACTAAGCAACAGATATTATTCAAGTGGCTCCCTCTATCTGCCTCATTGTTTTTCTGGTCTAGGATCTAAATCCTGATCACACATTGCATTCAGTTAGCACATATTCCTAGTTACCTCTAATTTGGGAGAGGTCCTCATTCTTTCTTTGTCTCCCATCATCTTGACACTGTTAAAGAACATAGAAAAGTTATTTTCTAAACTTTTTCCTAATTGGGGTTTTTATAATATTTCTCCTTGATTAAATGCAGGTTATGCGTTTGGGGCAGGAATCTAATAGAACTGATGCTACATCCTTCTCAGAGCGTCGTATCCAGAGGAACATGATGTCAATATGTCTCATTATTGGTGTTTTCTGTTAAAATGTTAATTTGCTAATATTTTGATCTTTGCAAATACTTACACTTATAATGAAAAAATTAAAGATCAATTGAAACATACAAGGGGTGGATATATAGTTTTTCAAAATTCTTTTAAAAAATGTTTTAAGATCATAGTGTAGACAAATATTTTTAGATATTAATTTATAGTGTGAAACAGATGATGGATGCAGAAAAGGGTGTGGTCAAGATAGTTTTTAAAAAATATTTAAAAATGTGTTTACATATTATAAATTATATTTATTCATTATTTTTATTATTTTATTTTTATATATTTTACATATATTTTCTTTATCAATAATTTAAAATATTAACTCCATTAACATTTTTAATAAACTATTTTTAAAAATTAACTTTTTACATGAATAAAACTTTTTTGCTGTTGGGAACATATTTATTTGCTAGTGGGAATAATGCAATAAAAGGCAGAAATCCATTATTATTTTAAATCATTACTTACAAGAAACAAAATTGTCTATTAATATGGTATATCCACAAAGTAGAATCTTATACAACTTTTTAAAAAATGATCATTATAATTGTTGACATATGTTGTTTACTATTTATGTTTAGTGAAAATATAAAATTTAAAAAGGACATGCAGAATATGAGTATACTTTTTAAGCGTGCATCTGTGTTTGTCTAGAATAACTTTTAGAATAATGTTACTCTATTAGAAAGTTTAACAATGAATCTCTCTGCATGGTTAACATATATAGTTATCATAGTATTTTGTATTATCAGCTTAAGAATTCAAAATAAGAACCAAAGCCTTAAGGCTAGTTAAAAATTAAATATTTAGACTATACTTGAATACCTACATGTACATATTAAACGTTCCCAGTGAAAATACAAATATTTTTCAAATGGTAAGCTTTCCCTTTCATCTAAAGAACATTAAATATTCAGATACATTATCCAGGCTTATATAGAAACCAGAAACAGTAGACCAATTTTATATCCACCAAGCATTTTACGTACATTTATTAGGCAGCAGTTATGTTTTTAGGTGCTGAGAATACAAAGAAGAATATGACATAGTTAACAGTAAAAGGAGGCCCAAACTTACATTACACGACATGCCTCAATGGACTAGATGCTGTAATAGACTTAACTAGAATTCAAATATTCTTATATGGGCTTCACACACATTAGCTTACTGAGTTTTCTTATGATGACACTGACAAGCAGGTAAGTAAATGATACTTATATTTATTCATCATAAAACTGGAGTTCAGAGAGGTTAAGTGATTTTCTTCATTTCATAGGCTACAAAGTGATAAGACTATAATTTTATCCTAGATCTTCAAATTAAAACATACACACTTACATTTGAATAACATTTTTATCTGTATTCCTGAAACCTGGCTACTGTTCATTTTATGAATGATGATTTTTGGAAGATTAACTGTATATTCAATACTCATATTGATGTTAGTAGTCCTTTGTTTCTTTAACATAAAAGTTTTAAATGAAAACATGAAATAATTATTTAATGCTTTTAAACATCATAAATAAATAAATGGAATCCATTTTTGGACTTTCCATATTTAATATTTGTCTTTTGTTACTTCGTTGTGCTATGAATGTACTCCCAGCATAAAATCCATAATATTTCGTTTAATTTATTTTTCGGTGAATCTGTCAGCTCTTTGAGGGGAGGGGTTACTTCATATTAATCTCTTTTTCTTATCCTTTAGATTACTCTCTGGCATGCATTATATGCTCAAAAGTTGTTAAATATTTGAATGGATCCCTCGGACCTAACTACACTACATTATTACCAACAAAACATTAAAGGCATAATGATGTTCACTATATCTAGTTAAATTATAATTTACATGGTTTGTTACAAGAAAACCTAAAATGTGTGTTTCTTGAAAGATTTCCCTTGATTTACTATTGAAATTATTATTTAATTTACTATTGTATTTTATAATTAAATCCTTATTTTGTTTTTTTAATTTGAACTTCTTGGGTAACACCTTAACTGTTACAAATATTTTAAACATTGAAATTACATGAGAACATAATTCATTATAATGCAGATGTTAGAATGTATCAGAAGTCAAATCATGGCTCAAATAGGCCAAATACAATTGAAAGTGAATTTACCCTACAAAGCACCCTTCAACACCAAATTTACACAGGGATTACCTTGTAGCTCTGAGCACATTAAAGTGGATTCGCATGATACACTCTTTATCTAATCGGCAACTGAAAATGCAGTTACAAATATAGGTCCTTGGAGATTGCAGTTTTGGAAACCCATTGCAAAATATAACCCTTAATTACCTTCATGGTTAAAAAAGCAATCCAGTGTAAGCTAACACATTTTTTTCCCAGTAAAGAAAAGCTAGGAAAAGTAATTTTATTGACCTAAAGGTAGCGTGTGTCCATGAGGCTAGAAAATAATTTTTTTTTTGAAAGATGTATTCAGGGAAACAGAGAAGAGATCAAATTTAAAACTCCTCTTAAATGGTTCATGGAACGGCATTAATAGGAAATCCAATGGGACTTATGCTAATCTACTTTCTTGGCTAAAACTGAGGATGTGAGCAAAGTGATTTCTATAATGGGTGGATAAAATACATTTTATTCTCTCAATGTTGTTTTGTCTTACAGGGAACATCACTATAGGTGATATTACATAAGATTTTATTCAGCCCTCTTACATCGTATTATCGGGTAGACATTAAGAAGCACGTATTTGTTTACAGAGTCATAAGGAATTCAGTTTTGGACTCTGCCCCCCAAAAATCCTAGGCTAGTTTTTGACGCCTCCCTTATTCTCTAGTGACACATGGGAATTGTAGTCCCAGGGCATTCTCCTTGGTCTTAGTGAAGCACTTTTCCGTAGATCTAGGAGCAAAAGTAGAGTAAAAATATCTGGATTGAAGGTACCTATTCATACCTGCTTCAATTCAGTAACTTCTCTCATTTTCCTGGTATCAGCTTCAGCTTCTGTGAGATTCTTTATATTCCTGCATCATGCTGTGCTCGGCTGTACCTCAGAATTTCAGCACGAGCTGTTCCCTCCTCCTAGAATGTCTTCACCGCTTTGCATATTTGATTCCCTTCTCCTTGCATATTTCATTCTTCAGGTCTCAGATTAAACATCAGCTCCTCATTCATTTAGTTCACTCTATGTTACTTATTCTCACATTTTCATTAACTCTATCAAAATTTTTTTAACATTTTCTTGATTACAGCACACTTGCCACTGATTTAATTATTTGTGTTATTGTTTGTTACTCTAATACAACTCCTTTCTGACCACCCAGGGACTAGCACTATACTTAGCACATAGTTGGGGGTTGACAAATATTTATATGGTTAACACATATTTCTTAAGGTTTTTTCTTTTCTCCCCCCTTTTTCTTTTTTCTCCTCCTTTGCAAACTCCTCCTACTCCTTCTTTTGCAGCAATGTAGTTTCAAACGTAGAATCGAATTATTATTTTAAAAAGTTTGTAGCCCAAAATGTTACATACTGGCTATGCCCAAGAAAGTTTGAGGTTTAGCTCATATTCCTACACCGAATACACATTATATTTAATATAATGAGACTAACTCTGATTATTATAGACTTGAGATATAAAAGAACTTCAGATTAAAAAGACGAATTATAATCAGTATACTGTTGTACCTGCTATCTCCCACTTCATAATATGTTTCACATGAACACATTACAATTATCGTTAGTCTTCCCAGTTGTGAGGCACATGATACATAGTAGATGTTCAGTAAATATTTCCTGAATGCATGTGTTGATATATCAATTGCGGAATTTAAGGCTGGAGAGCAGGCAAATAAGCTTGCAGAAAAATGTCTAACCGCAAGGATTGAAGCAAAAATCATTTCTGATTAACTTAGTTATTTGGAAAACGCATTTCCCCACTTCAGTCTCAAAATATGTTTTAGATAGAGCTTGTAATATGATTTTCAGTGATGTCTTAATTATGTTGGCTGAAAATAAAGAGCATTTGAAGCAGAAAATGTAACGTGATGTCACCAGAAGCCAGTTTCCTCTGTGGTTCAGGGAAATATGTGTCAAGTCCGTTGAACTGAGTTTGAAACACAGTTTTGACCATATTGGCTGGGTCCCTGGGCAGGTTACTTAGCCTCTAATCAAGAGTTTACTTGTTTTCAAAATGGAGATAACACCATACCTGGTATATCTGATTATCTGGAAATAGCTTCAAAATCCCAATAGCTTCTGGACGGTCTCCTGGAATATTAAGGCATTGTCAAGACTAAAGGAAATATGACAGTTTAATGAGATAATTAATAGACAGCAACTTATGACAAATCATTTATTTTAAAACTAATTTTTCCAAAAAATGGCATTGAAATAACATTATAGCAAGTATTATTTCAAGTTTAAAATTTAAGTCTCCAAGTGAACCAATAATTATTATATATTGCAATTATTTTTTAATATTTTGGGACCACATATATGCCATTTCTAAGAAAGATAGAGGCCCCTTTTGTGTGTAATAGTAATAACTTTCATGATGGGAATTTGAAGCTCCCAATAAAAGGTCTTCATTCCCTAAAATATCTTTGACGCTGACTACCATGAACCTAATTCCCTATCATAGCCATACATTGGAATTCCACTGTTTATATGCAAATTTCAAAGCGTAAGGCTGAGCCACATGAAATTGATTTGGTTTGAGCATGAAATTGATGGCCAAATACAGGCAATTTAATATGGTTCAACTTTTATATTTAATCCATAATCAGGCATTAGCATCTATGTGAAATTATTTGCAATGGCATCACAAAGCAAACACCAAGCAAATAAATAAAAATTTAGATAAAATAACTTGGTTCTGGATGAGTTATAAAGAAATCAAAACCAAAGGTAAGACATTATAAGGAAAAAGAGAATCAAGAAAAGAGACTCATAGGTTCTTCATAAATTTTCTTTGATTAGACCTTAGCTAGACATGGCATTTGTGGTAGCATCCATCACATATTGATGAATTTATCTTTGAAAAATTGTGTAAGATAAAAAGTGCAGGCTGGGTGGCTGGGTGCGGTGGCTCACGCCTGTAATCCCAGCACTTTGGGAGGCCGAGGTGGGCGGATCACGAGGTCAGGAGATCGAGACCATCCTGGCTAACACGGTGAAACCCCGTCTCTACTAAAAATACAAAAAATTAGCAGGGCGTGGTGGCGGCGCCTTTAGTCCCAGCTACTCGGGAGGCTGAGGCAGGAGAATGGCGTGAACCCGGGAGGCGGAGCTTGCAGTGAGCCGAGATCGCGCCACTGCACTCCAGCCTGGGCGACAGAGCGAGACTCTGTCTCAAAAAAAAAAAAAAAAAAAAAAAAAAAGTGCAGGCCGGGCGCAGTGGCTCACGCCTCTAATCCCAGCACTTTGGGAGGCTGAGGCAGGGGGATGACGAGGTCAAGAAATCTAGAGTACTCTGGCCAACATGGTGAAACCACGTCTCTACTAAAAATACAAAAATTACCTGGGCGTGGTGGCGCTGCCTGTAATCCCAGCTACTTGGGAGGCTGAGGCGGGAGAATCGCTCGAACCCGGCAGGCGGAGGTTGCAGTGATCCCAGATTGCACCACTGCACTACAGCCTGGGTGACAGCGCATTACTCTGTCTCAAAAAAAAAAAAAAAAAAAGAAAAAAAGTGCTAACAAGACTATCATGCCTTCTCCAGCACTAGCATATAGCACACATAAAGCTGGGACTTAAAAAAAAAATAATAATCTATAAACCTGACTCAGAAAGAAAATGTAATTTTTGCTAAAAAAAATTATAGTATCTTCAATGATCATTAAAAATAGCAAGCTATAGGTTGTGCTAATGATTCATATTATTATGAAGAAAATGTAGGTATATTGAAGGATCGAGTATTTCTTTCCTCTAATTTCCCAGGGCTTCCCTTTCTGGAGTTCAATATACACAAACACACACACAACCACCTTAATATACATTATTTAAAAAGTGGGTGAAGGTACTGCTGGACCCAATTAACATAACAACAAAATCAGAGCAAGCGAAGTTCTGAATAGCCTGCCTCAAAACTTCCTGAAAGTTTTTCTATTTCAATTCGGCACATCAAGTCTGAAAACAAAACAAAACAAACAGCTTGTCATGGTGTTACTTTTCCTACCTGAGTTACCAGCACCATTCCCTTTCTTTCCACCCAGGCACAGGTCCATCTGTCCTGCCACTGCTAAATTTGAAGGCTGGGGGTATACACATCTGCCCTGGGCAAACACAATCAGTGTTTCCTCCACAAACACAGATTCCCATGACAGCCAAACAGAAAAGAGAGGGGAAGAAAAGAGAAGCTGCGGATATTAAATTTCTCTTAGACCTACCACCTGATTCTCATTTGACCCACTCTCTCAGTCTTATAAGCCCACCTTCATCACTTTTTATTCACGTGGCTCTTTTACCAGCTGGGCATATGAAATTCTAAGCCTTCGTACTTTTCCAAGTTACTGCACAACAATCTTAGCAAGACAAGAGAATATTTAAGAAGTCCTTTGCTTTCCATCTTTTTTTAGGTTATTGGACTCTTTTGCAGAGGCTATCAACTCCAACTGTGTAAGGACACCTGTCTACCAGAACAGGCTTGAGATTACTAATTCATTTCACATGGGTCACCAAACTGATATCAAATAGCAGTAGTTCTTGTTTATTACCAGCTTAGATCAGATTCAAACGGGAGACTCAAAGCTAAAAGGCTTAACCTCCAGCCCCTTAACCCTGGGTCACTCTCAATCTGTCTCTGGGGCACTTTTAATTAATGGCAGACTGAAAAGGATTATAAATTCCAGAATTCCCATATACAATCCCTTATGAATGCCCAACTCACTAACAGTCAAGAAGCCTTCCAATCCGCACATATTTGTTCATATGATTATATCTATACAAACCAAATTAAGTGGAGGCATGAGGAGGCAATCATCTTGAAAATTCAGGCTAAAATAGAAATACTTCAATTGAGGTTTGGGAATTTACTTTTTTAAGATTGGAAAAATGTGCCAGATGATGTCCCTGCATTAATTTTAACTTTGCATGTGCTAGTGCCAAAGGGCAAAAAAAAACAAACGTAGAAAATTCAGGTAATTATCTAGACCATTAAAACCTAGCCATCTAATACTGAGAGAAAAATACATATAAAGAGAGGGGAAAGCCGTAAGCAACCAGGTTGAGAAAATTCAGCAATTAGCCAAAATCCAATTGCCTTATGGTATAAATATAGTTAAGACTATTGCAGAGTGGAAAAGCAGGATTGGGGGACATCAACTTTACAATTTTTCTATATTTTGGTTTTCTAATGGAATACCCCAAGGTAAAAGAAAGCTCTAGGACCACTAAATGTTCTCTTGGAGTCATGTGCTTCTTTTGGCCACTTCTATATACTTATGATTTTGTTTTAAACTGATTGAGATTTGGTACTTCAGCAATTGTACAGAATATAATTAAATAATCCTTTTCTAAAGCTCCTCTGGAAATAATTATCTGAATTAAGTCTACTAATATTTATTGTACCTTAATCACACAGGTAACCATGGCCTATGCTAGATCTTTCACAAGATGTTAAACTTCTAACATCTTGAATCTTATGAAGCAATCTTATGAAGGTAGTATCATTATCTCTATTATATAATGAAGAAACTGAGGCTCATTTGTAAGAATATCAATTATTTGGTGTATTAAAAAACATAGTCATCTGTTATAGGTTGAATTTTGCCCTCATCATCTAAAAAAAAAAAGATATTTTGAAGTCTTAATCCTCAATACTTATAAATGAGACCCCTTATTTGGAAATAAGGCTGTTGCATGTTTAATCAAGTTAAGAGAACGTCACTAGGGTGGGTCTTAATCCAATATCATGTGTGTCCTCATAAGAAGAGGGAAATTTGGACACAGACCCAGAGACACAGGAAGAACACCATATGACGATGGAGGCAGAGAGTAGAGTGATACATCTACAGGCCAAGGAATGCCAAGGTTTGTTGGCCATCAACATGGGCTAAGAGAGAGGCATGGAATATATTCTCTCTCAGAGTCCTCAGAAGGAACTAACCTTGCCCACACTTTTACTTCGGACTTTTAGGCACAACAATGAAGAGAGAATACATTTATATTATTTTGAGCCAACCAGTTTGTAGTACTTTGATATGATGGCCCTAGGAATCTAATACATCATCCAATGAAGACGAGATAAAATAACAAAGTGGGGAGTTAATTTTACATATTAAGCAAGTTTAGACGATACTAGCATAAATGTCTTTTATGTTTCTTTAGGTAAATACAGCTGGAATATTTCCAGCAGAAAAATATAAAGTCTGGATTACAAAAGGGCTCTTACAAAGTTGTATCTTGAATGCCATTCTGAACACTGACACACACACACACACACACACACAGACGGATCTCAATAAGGGAGACCTCATTACCTATGGAGTGAATGCCTAGCTTCTCAGCCTGGCAGTGTCTTTATGTTTTATACTCTTAAAAGATGTCTGATAATTAGATCTATGAATTCTCCTTCTTTCCCAGGCTAATCTTGTGCTGCTACTATAAAAAAAAAAACACACTATCCTCCAGCTAAACTGAATTCCTGGCTATTTGCCCAAACAGGCGTTCTGCTTTCCCACTTTCTTTCTTTTACTCATGCTGTGCCCATTATATTAAAGTACTGCCCTTCTTCCCTCTCCTTCACCTCACTATATTTAAATCCTTCCAGGCATTAAGACAATTTGATAACTATCTCCTGTACTCATCCTTTGCCAATTAGAGAGACTTGGGTTCAGTTATTCTCCTGTCCTGTACTTTTTGTGACTCTCCTGTGGCTTTTCCAGTTTTCTGCTTTGCCATATAGACATGTGTTTATCTTATCTCCATTACTGTATCAGAAGTCTCTTGCAGTGGGTCGTATCCCTACTTGTCTTATACACCTTCCCTCTACCTCCAGGACCTAGTACAATACCTTCCACATAGTTGGTCCTCTACGAATATTTGCTGGATTGATTTTAAGTTTGAATTGAACAGCACAGTATCTCTTGGGCTGAAAAATCACAATTGCAGATGGCATGCTTGTATTGCTCAGTATTGCTGCACCAATGGAGCAAGGCATATTGCTTCAAATTCTTCATCTAAATGATGGGAGCTACAGAGGGAAAGGTTTTCTAAAAAAAAGAGTATCCACAAGCTAAAGCAACAAGAGGAACAGAAAAATGCTATAGCATTTTTTCCAGTTTATTCTATCCATCTAGTGGCAATTCATTTGTCTGGTAAGAATATCTGCTAGATTCCAGTGTTAGATTCAAAGTAAAGCTAATTTGCATTGGCATAGTGACTTAACTCACTAGTGTATTATTACTGTGTAAGCAGGTGTACATGCAACTACAAATAAATGCTTGCTGATGGAATCCCAGCAGGGCTTCTGATGAGTTTTCATTTTGTTGAACCTTACCCAGGAAATTACTGTGTAAAAAGCTTTCTATTAGTTATTTGCCTGAAATATCATTTAGCTATACCTGGCCAAATTCATGGCAATTATACTAACTATACAAGAGGACATTACAAAAATCTCATCAGTCTTTTATATTCATTTTCTCAAATTTATGACTGAGACTATAGAAATATACATACATATATGCATACTCAAATACAAAAAAGCACACATCAAGAGAAACTTAGTATTTAAAAGTGAAGAAAGAAATATCAAAAGAGGATAACAGAAGTTAATCTTTCCTCAGTATGGTATCCACACTAAGAGTTATCAACTCCAAAATGCAAGTTACTGTTTACTAGTAGCCATAAAAATACGTACAAAATAAATTTATGCATGTTGATTGTAGCCCCAAACATGCTCACATGGAAACAATATAAGCTCTTCTATTGTATTATAGGATACATGAAAAAGCTGACAATGAAAATTAGGTCCCTCAGTGTCACAGCATATGACCATATATATCAGTATTTTCCGTAACAAGCCCTGTGATATGATCAAACCCATCATGTCTCCATAGCTGTGTAATAATGAATTTTGTTATATTTATTAGAATACATTAGTAGATCTGGAGTTTAAGAATATGTTAGTCAACAAATATTCATTGTGTGCCTCCTTCGTAGGAGGTTTTTCTGTGATAGATTCTGTAAGCAGAAAATGTAAGATAATCTCGCATTTCAAAATTGTCACTCTATTTTGAAATGAGAAATAAGACAAATATTCACATGGAAGAAGATGTAAGGTAATGTATGTAATAAAAAAAGTGAAGTAATGTATGCCAAATGGCAAAATACTTGCTATAGACAATCAGTCAGTGCTATAGAAGTCCATGGTGGAGTGAGATTGCCAATGGTAGAGTCAATGGTGGTGTGGAAGAGATCAGGAAAGTGTCACAGGGAGGGTGACCATCTATGCTAGTTTGAATGAAAGAGTTCCAATTTATACCTATACTCCTGGTGTAACAATGGGACCTGCTTTCACTCTCAAAAGTGTTTTGATCTATGGGATAATTATTTGTACATTCTACCACAGGAGCAAATGAGCAAGTGTGGCCTTGAAATGAAGGTAGAATTCGAACAAGCAGAAGTGAATGTTTCTGGAAATCTGAGACAGGAAAAACGGTGTATGCAAAGGGACAAAAGACCACGAGGCCTAGAAATCAATAGGGTGGATGACAGCAGCTTTTGCGCAATGAGGCCTTGTCTGCATTGTGAACTACAAACAAAACATGCACTGGAGACCTAGCCTTCCAGATCCAGCTTTCTCCTGAGAAAACAATAGGGCTTTTTTTCAGAGTATGCTTTAAAGACCATTACTATAGCCTGAATTTATGACAGAAAGAAACATTTGGGAATATGCAGTGATTCCACTCAATGTTCAGTATCTCCTTCTGCCAAGGGTAACCAGATTTAACCAAAAGCAACAACAACAAAGATAGATCATTCCTAAATGTGAACTCCTATAACTGATGAATAATTTTCTAGTATAAGAATGTCCCAGATATTGCATGAGGCATAATGCAAAAGCACTTTTTTAGTGTCAGTATGCTCCAATTATATTACACGGGACATATACTAAAATTCTGCTGCTTGTCTGGAATTCAAATTTGACTGGGTATTCTATATTTTATCTGGCAACGGTATTTCTGCCTCATCAGCCTTAAGGGGTTTCGCTTAGTTACTTTTAGGGTTGACAAATCTCTCCAAGCCTTGACTCAAAACACCAGCTTCTTTAGCTTTCAAAGGTAATTGCTGTTTTGAATTTAGGTGTTAAGAGGGACTTGTATAAGTATTTATTGATGGTTTTCTGATTTTTTTTTAGTTCCAAGTTTATTTATTATATGCTGTGGATTAAAACTCAAACCTTAATTTCTAATTTAGATTATCCTCTAAAGTAACTAAAAATAAAGGTATGTAATGATCACATGAGTTCAACTGACGCTAATTTTTCATCATTGGGCACTTTAAAATTTGAGGCAAAATCTTCAACCAAATAAATCATGTAATGTTTTCCGAGCTCCTCAACTTCCTCAGTTCCCTTTCACAATGGTTGTATGAGGCATTCCACAGAACATAAGTGAACAAACAGGCTTGGCAGCTTGGGGATGCACTTGAAAGTCCCCTTAACTACTAATGGTGCTAACTTTTGTACCTAGAACCCATAAAGGCAAATTTAGTCAATTTATTTACACTATAATATAACTGTCTCCCAAACAGCAATAAACATTCCTTGTCATTACTTTCCAATGATTCTCAAAACTTCCTGGTATGCAAGTGAAAATAAGTTGCTGCTTTCTGATTAACTGTGTGAATATTCTCCTCATGTGTTTTCTCATTTGGTTAATAAATAATGAAAATGACAGTGACAATATTTTCACTTGTTGCAAGCACTGTGCTAAGCATATTAACATGTTGCATTTTACTTGATGTCATTAAAATGTCATTGAATGATTGTGTTCAATAATCAGGAATTCCTTAAGCCATTGGAAGTATGAAAAATGACAGCAGTTTACAATCTTCTGACACATGGATATAACCTTTTGACAGGTACTACAGGAGATAAACTTTTACATCTTAATGTTCTCTATTTGATGGACAGATGGTGCTAGATCAAGAAACAGACTTTGAAGCCTGAAAAAGAACAATTCTCAACAACAGGAAAAATGGTATTTATTCTCCATGAACACACACACACACAAATCAATATCAAAAAATATTAAAATATTGAAGTATCAAGAATTTATGTTGGTGGTTACAGATATTTATAAGAAATTATTTTAATGTTGGAGTTAATAGAAAGGAATCCTCTAAATTCAATGAACAAATAGCCAATAGCAGCTGATTCTGGAAATTGCTAAAAACTCACAGTGATTCCAGAAATTGCTAAAAACTCACAATGATTCCAGAAATTGCTAAAAACTCACAACTTTGTTTTCAAAGTTTTCAAGGCTCTGATCCAACATCAGTTACCCTCTAGCCCTGAAACTCTGTTACAACATCACAGACACCTTTCTTGGCTTTTTTCCCTTCCTGCTGCCTGCCTATCTGTGGGGAGTGAGAGGTATTTTCTCACCATTCCAAGCAATTCTTTGGTTTCCCTGTATCCTTTGTGACCCACCACCCAATCCAAAAAATGCATTTCAAAGCTCCTCTTGGTTCCAGTCTTTAATCTGAATGGCTGGCCTTAATCAAATGCAATGGATTGTACAGGCACTATGATGACCAATAAATTCTCTCACTTGTCAGGCAGGGCTCACTTCGCATATATGTAGCAACATAACAGTGAAAATACAAGGGAGTAGCCTCCTTACTTTTAGGCCAACATAATAATGCATTAGCCACATAATTGTCAGAGTACATAAGCCAATTATATGCACATATAGTAACTGGAAAATAATGTTCTTTCACTAGAGAATAAAAAAAGAAATAAATCTATTAAGATATTTTCTAGTATAAGTAGTGAAATCCGAGATTACTTAGAAGAGACATAAAAGGTAATGGCCTTCTTTCGATATATTTGTGACTCACTTAATAGGCTGGCCCAAATAAATAAAGAGAAAAGCCTGGAACAAATAGAGAAAGCCAAACATAAGTATTCATCAGTGAATTATTTTTGTTTGGAATTTCAAATTTTAAAATTTATGAAATAAAACAGAACTTTATAGAAAGTGAAATTTTAAATGAAAAATTTTTAAGCCGGAGCACATTGTTATAGATTATAGCAAAATTTCACTGGGAAGTGTAAAGACCCAAACAAAACAGATCATACAGAGATAGAGGATTGCTAGAATGCAAAACGTGTCTGTGATCTGACATTTGCAAGTGATGCCATTCAGTTTCTCCTTGCCTGCCAGCCTCTGTTTGTATGAAATAGTTGCAACACTGGGATCGTCTGTCCACTTCCATTAACTTGCTAGTCTTACTTCTAAGTTCCATATCCCTGATAGGGATATATTCCAAGATATGCTATCCATTGGGAATATTGTTCAAAGAGATGCTACCTATCAGGAATGTTGTTAAGACAATTTCTGCACAGGTTTGGGTTGGATTAGACATCTTTTAAGTTTCTTTTAAATTTCAGTGGCTTATAACTGTATTATGATTTTCTTCTAAATAATAGATATTTTTGTCAAAGCACATTAAGACTGTGGCTATACAAAGCAGATTAGCAAATGAATTGTTCTCTTTGCATAATAGCATTATCGAACTTTTTATGAATAATTAATTATGATCTTGATTTCAATTGTCCATGGAACATAAATTTTGTATTTCCAAAAGGGAGCATTTAGCCTCTATTTTGAAAACCAACATTGTCAGGCCATTCCATGAGTATGTTAACTTCATTTCAGGACACATCTTCTTCATGAAACTCTTCTAGACACTCATCAACTCCAGACTAAATGGTTTTTTGATCTATATCAGCCATGACAGCAGATGTGAATCTTGGTTTATAAACTCAAGCTTTTCATTTATATTTATCATATTCTTTATATGTATTTAAAATAAAGGTTAGCATAAAATTCCATCTCAGGCATTACTAAAGTTTCCTCCCCAAGTACAAAGCTTCTTGAGCCTCATATAGCAAAAAACACTGGCAGCCATCCTACCCCCTTCAATGGGGACTCACCTTTCTACATTGTTATCAGTACAAGGTTCTTTATCCTTGCTGAACTCTTCTGATGATTCTGCTGCTTCTATGCTTAAGGCGTGAATTTTTGTTACAATGTTGGCAATCCCTATGTCTAGAGTTCTGCCTCCAAATGCACTATACCCCCAATGACACCACGTGCGGCTATCTGAGGACTTGCCATCTCACCTGAGACTGTCACCATGAATCTCTGCTACACGTGGGAAAAAGCTGACCCTCAGCTTCTTTATAGTTTACCAAAAGTCTCTCTTCCAGCTGTCTACAGTTGTATTTTTCTCTGTTTGTTGTTGTTGTTGTTGGTGGTGGTGGTGTTATTCCATCTCAGGCCTTTTCTGCCTAGTTACTTGCTTAAAGAAGAAAAAATATAGACCAAATGTAAACTAATAACTCAAGAAATAATTCTTCACCAATGCCATTAGGCCATTTACCTCTAATGAACACTTGTTATTTCCCTGAGAAGAATGTACTGTATCATTTGATCTAATCATCTTCTACCTGATGTTTCTCACTGCTATCTATGTAACTAATATGGGAAATATCTGTGCCAGGGTTTATGTGATAATAAATCAATCTTCAGTGGTCAGGCTGTGAGGGTTGTGGGGAGGAAAATGTCTTAGTGGTTCTCGTTACACAGCATCTAGCACTTATGACTGGTCTTCTCTAAAACTGTTAAACCAACAATATTTCCTTAATTTGATGAATAATTTCTGTGATGACAATCTGCTCTATTAAAGCAGGACAAGCACAAAATAAAATGTTGGTCACTAACCTTTTGTGTTTCTCATGTAGGACATAACATTTCACCAGCAATCTTTACTTGCATTCATTTTGAATCATCTTTATTTTGTATGAAGCCCTATGCTTAATGTAACAAAAAATTTATCATTTATGAACTTAAAGTCAAAGCTCTCATCTTGAAGTAAAAGATAAATATTAGTGGTAAGAATAAATCTATATCCGGGAGTTTACTCAAAATTATCTAAACAATAGAATGACTGTAAAATGTTTTTCCAAAAATAATCATATGTTTTTTAAAATGCACTGGTATAAAAAATTGAAGAACAATTTGAGATAATGCACAACAACCCACTGGGTTTGCGAGTGACTAGGCTGTGATAACAACAGGAGTCTGAATCTAGTGATAACAACAGGGCATTTTTATCTTAATGAAGGATAGTAATGATGGCATGGTATTCTCACTGATGACACGAATTTTGACAGTTCTTGACAATTTATGTATTTTGTCCATATATCATATTTTAGAGTTGAATTTATCTTGTACAAGTTTATTGGATATATATCCCATTTCTTTTTCTTTGTTTTTTTGTTTTGTTTTGTTTTGAGATGGAGTCCTGCTCTGTGGACCAAGCTGGAGTGCAGTGGTATGATCTCAGCTCACTGCAACCTCTACCTCCCAGGTTCAAGCGATTATTCTGCTTCAGCATCTCAGGTAGCTAGGACTACAGGCATGCACCACCACACCCTGCTATTTTTTATATTTTTCGTAGAGACGTGGTTTCACCATGTTGGCGAGGCTGGTCTTGTACTCCTGACCTCAGGTGATCCACCCACCTTGGCCTCACAAAGTGCTGGGAGTACAGGAGTGGGCCACCATGACTGGTCCATATTTCCTAATACATAACATGGAAAGAAAAAAAGGAGAAAGCATAGAGGAGATGACCTGGCTGAATCTGATCTGCTGTTTCAATCATTTAATCTTTTGGAGTTAAGCTGTTTAAATTTCATCATTAATCCAAGAAATTCATGTCATAGATATGCAAAATAATCAGCTAGTGTATAAACATCCATTGTACCTTATCTTGAGAAATATGTATTATACAGCGTACAATATATAACAGAAATGTATCCCAAATATACAGAGTTTATAAAATATTCTGGTTTGCAGATATATTTCTAAAATAAACGAGTATGAACAAGACACCGCTGAGGTGCCACTGATGGAATATTCACATTGTTATTTTCTACCTCGTTTCAATATTGTACATGCGCTGACTTCGCAATCCTTCTCATCTCACACCCATTAGGAAGACTTTCAGGGGAAGAGGGTGACAATAGAAACCAGATAATATTATTGGGTGTGAAAGTATCAGAAGGGACTGAAAAGATTGATAGATTAGGTATGTTTCAAACAGAAGAGTGAATACAGACACTGTGTGGTGGAGAGTAGAATCAAGATTCGCTGTGAGGCCACCATTTACTTTCAGAAATTATCTGACTCTAAAGCTGAAAAGAACATCCAAGGTAATTTTGTCCATCCTTTTCTCAAGGTAATTTATTCAAAGCCCACAGTAACTCATGATAGAATTAGGCCCACAACTATTATTATACAAATTCTAAGGTTCTGTTTGAATTACAGGAGGGCCTTAATAATATATACCACTGCAATGAAGTATCTTGTGCATAATGGACACTTATGTGCATTAAATGTATGCATTAAATAATTAATTTTCTGGGAACTATTCATAAAATGAAAGAAGAAAATTGTCATCATTTACAGAAAATGGTAGCATTTTATAGACATAATTTCAGATTAGTGAACGCCAAATTAAAATTTCTCTTTTCACTCTCATCTCTCCCAATATTCATGGTTTCAGAACTTCATCTTTTCTATAAACTTACTTAAGTACTTACTTTTTTATTCTTGTCTCTTTTTTTTTTCCATTTACTCAATTAGGAAAACAAGAGATAATTCAGATTCTTAAGGTGAACATTGTTTCATTTTCCTTTGTTCGAAACCACTTATACTGACACCTCTCAGAGTCTGTTTCTCTTATTTAAGACTCCCCCGCGCTAGTTCTTTGTCTTTTATGAGGAAATTTCCTGAGATTTACTCTGTACTGTGAAACAAAGCCTAAGCAGCTGTGTGTGTGCTCCAGCAATACCAAACTGCCAGGGCTGTTGTTTCTCTTCTCATTGCCAGGCTCTTGTTTATTTGTTTGTTTGTATTAGAATGGTCCGACGGGAACTGACAGGAGTCTACCTGCAGGGCCTGAGTCCTCCATGTTCTCAACATGAGTTTAAGAAGCCAGGCTCTGCACATGGCAATGCCAGCAGCCTGCACAAGTCACCGCAGTTCCCATGGTACAGCTCTGCAAATTTTAAATATTCCTGTCGGGTTGCATTTTACACAACACTACCACGATACATAGAACAGATTTGGACATTTCTGAGGTGAGGGAAATCAATGCGATGACGAGGAATTAGGAACAGTCTGGTTCACTAGCTGCCTGGAAGAACTACCCTTAGAGAGATCAGAAATCTAAACACACACACACACACACACACACACACACACACACCCCACACCACACACTCAATTAATAAGCCAGTCAGTCAGTCGTCCATGAAGATCCTTGTAAAGAAAATAAGGCTTTTTTGTCAAAATAATAATCATGTTTTCTGAGGGCTGTCCTGCTAAAAATATAGCTTCTCCAGAGAAACAGCTATATGCTCTCCCTAAATAGTTCCATTTGGCTTGCACCACTGCTTGTCCTTATCTTCACTGAATAAGAACTGTCTAATATATTTCTAAACGAAACTAATTTTTGGACTCAGTCGCATCGCACATTTGACAATCCCTTCCAGATGTGATTCTATAGAACTATCTCTCACACTTACAAAATGGGCAAAGGGAATTTGGAGATGTCACATAGCAAATCACTTTTTCTGGCCCTTCCAGGATTGAAGAGGAGGGTGGTCCATATGACATTGAATATAGGTGAGTCACACGCTGGGCTTTGAAAAGAAAAGCATTCTCTTGAGCTGTGAATAGGAGCTCTGTATTCCTCTTTGAGGCTAACTGATACCCTGTGATGAAAAACACTGTATAAACCCAATAAGCTTTTGTTCACAGCACCAGCAGGTGTTGTTAAAGCCTTCTGTCCCAGCTCTGACAATGTTCCAGAAACCTGACCTGCCACAATAGGAAGGCCCTGAACAGAATAGTTAATTGTGCCAGATTGTGCAATTCCGTTGCGATACCTAATAGACAAAAACAACAGATTTTTATGGTTTGATTTTTATATTGATAATCAGAGTAGATAAATGGATGTGTTTGGACACACACACACACACACACACACATCTTCACATACACATATACACTCTTACAGTCCCCACAATAATACCAGGCTCAGACTTCCATCTCAAAATGCAATGGCTCTTGAGAAGTTGTCATGCAATTGCAGTACAATTGATGAGAATGTTATGAATTAGCTCTGATTGCAATATGTCCAACTTCTTCAAGATCCAGTACTACTCAATTTTAACCTTTATCAATACTTAGAGATATTTTTATACAATTCAATTAAGCATAATCAACAATGGTATATCCAACTGTTCTGCTCTCATTGTTACCATCTTGGAACAATGATGTCAAGCTGCTTATTAAGATGGTAAAACATACCTGTGGCAAAAAAAATAGGTTTTATTAAACAGGCACTGTATAGGGAAATGGAAAATTGGGATAATTACTTGGAAAAATGTAAGGCAAGTAAAGACTTACAAAGCAAATATACAAATAAAATATACGAAAATGCAATTTAATTCATTGTTATCTTCTAAAAAATTCCTTTAGCTATCACCCAGCCTAAAATGTTTTTCTTGAGCTTCACTGTTTAAATATCTGTAGCAAAGAAAGTTTTGCAAAGTTTGAACCTCACTGACCACCTAGCTTACGGTTTTATAGACAAAAATATCTGGGTTCAAATAATTATTCTACTTTTTAATCATACGTGGATCCGGTAAGTTACTTATCTGGTATAAGCCTTAATTTATGCATCAGATTCTTATAAATTTGTTTGGAAATATATTTATAATCTCACTTAATTTAAGTGCTTAGCCCAGTGCCTGGAGCATAGTTAATGATACATTGTGACTATTAAATTATTTTCATAGAATTCTGCTCTACTGGGGGGTGTAGAGTAGGAAAAAGAACTCAAAAGATGTATCTTAATAAATTTTATCACTTTTAGTCATATGATTTTTCATTCTAAGATTAATACAGTTTGAGTTTTTATCAAAAAGTAACAAAGAAAAAAACAAAGAAAATATATAGCAATAAGTATGAGATGGATAGAAACAAAAAAAAGTAGCAATAAGTATGAGATGGATAGAAAGTAAGATAGAAGATTTTCTCTTGCCTAAAAGTCTGAGTTGCTCCATGAAGTGAGAGTGGCTCTGCTTTATGAGTCACTCAGGAGTCCAGACTCCTTCAGTCTTATTGTGCCTAGAGTGTTGCCTTCATTCATACTATGAAAAGAATGATCTTCTAGGCCGGGCCTGATGGCTCACACCTGTAATCCCAGCACTTTGGGATGCCAAGGCAGTCAGATCACTTAAGTCAGGAGTTCAAGACCAGCCTGGCCAACATAGTGAAACCCCATCTCTATTAAAATTACAAAAATTAGCTGGGCATTGTGGCGTGTGCCTATAGTTCCAGCTACTCGAGAGGCTGAGCAGAATCGCTTGAACCCAGAGGCAGAGATTGCGGTGAGCCAAGATCAGACCACTGCACTCCAGCCTGGGTGACACAGTGAGACTCCATCTAAAAAAGAAAAAAAATAAAGATCTTCTCCATGTCTGTGCTGTAGCCAGTAATCAGATAGGAAGAGGAAATGGAAGCCAAGCACCTGGAAATTTTTCACTTTAGTTCTTACAATCCATTAGCCAGATTACATAAGCACATATGGCCATAAGAGCAGCTGAAAAGTATTGTCACTGCCATGTACCTCATCAAAGCTCAGCAAGTCAAATTGCTAAAACAAAGGAAAGGGTAGATAGGGAAAGACAATTGTGAATTTATTTCAAAAATTTATGCATCAGTTATCCATTGCTCCATAACAAACCATCCCACAACTTAGTAGCCTAGAACAATAGTCATTTGTTTAGCTCATGATTTTTTAAATTGGCAATTTAGACTGGGATCCACTGAATGGTTTTAGCTGGCTTTGGTGGGACTCACTCATGTGTCTGTGGTTAGCTGAAGTTTTGCAGAGAGGCAGGGCTGGCTGTCAGCTGGAGTGCTTTGACTCTCCTCTTGTCCTCCAGCAGGCTATTTTGGTCTGTTCGCCTGGTGGCTGTGCAGGGTCTTTCACTTGTACAATGTCACTTCTGCTACATTCTGTGGGCCAAAGCAAGTCACAGGACCAGCAATGATTTAAAAGGTGGGCAATACATTATATCCCTTGATGGGAAGAGCCAAAGGTCACATTGGCAGAGAATGTAGAGGAGAAGAACTTGTCCCAATTTGTGTAATCTATCACAGAAGATAATCAAATCGGGTTTGCTATTCATAAATTTACTGCAGTAGAAATATGAGAGAGCACTCTTATTGCAAAATGTGATATTAATTAGAGACATATCGAGTTACTCAAGAATGGATATGGATACAAATGTAAAGTCCCTAGGTCATATATAGTTATGAACATGTGCACGCACACTTGCATAATATTTAAATCTGATCTAGACCTTCTACAGTGTACACCTAAGCCATGTGTTAGGGGATAGCCAATCTCTGTTTTGGTGGTTATGGACTCTCCAGTGATCTGGAGGAAAGGAAAGAAAACATCTATATCATCTAATGATAATAGAAGTCCAATAAATATTACAAAGTAGTGGCAAAAAAACTGGCCTGCATATCAGAATAGCTGAATTTTAATTCAAGCTAGGCCTCACAATTTAGATGATATTTACATTTGCTTTGAGCTCACTTTTCATTATGCATTTTGTAAAGGTTTTACTAAATTAAATATAATATTCCCTCTTGTTTTGACTAGTGTTTCTGAATCACTAAGACTAGTAAAAAAAGTGACTTGTCCTTTCAGGTGACTACAAAACTATTAATATATGAGTGAAAAAAGAAATACAAATAATCAGGGTACCTAGTGTGAAATATCAAGATATATGGAAATGTATATACCTATCTAAATTGTGTACATAGGAACTAAAGTCCTAAAATATACCATGTCTGTATGCCAACTACAGAGACACTTTTTCTTCAGAAGAGACCAATGTTATTATTTAAAGTAATAATAAATCATTGATTTATGTATGGTAAATATCCCACAAAAATTATAATTAGAATTCATATACATTTATGTAATTTATTATATAAAAAGGTTTCAAGTGAATTTGTTTTTAATAAATACATAATAATTGAGTTCTAGATATGAGCCTCCTATATTTTCATAATTGCAGGATATATACACCTAGATAAGAATTTATTCTTTTCCTCATACCATATGGCCTTAGAAATCCAACCCTAAGTCATTTTTCTTCTGCAAAACAGACACTAGAATGACAACCAATTTTTGATTCAGCAGGAAGTATTATATAATCCACAAAGATGTGAGCAACACAACATATGGCTACCTAAAACATATATTCATACCTCCATAGTTAGCTACAGTTTAGGAAATGCCTCAAACTTTTAAAGAACCCTATAGATTGAACAGCCTAGTGGTTATCGAACAGTGGTGGCAGAACAATAACCAGCGGCGTAAGTATTGCCTAGGAACTCATCTGAAATGCTAATTATCCCACCATACCCAGACAAACTGAATCAGAAACCATTTGAAAGGATAAGGGTGTTTTAACAAGTCCTACAGGTGATATTGATGCATACTAAGTTTTGAGAACACTAAACTAGTGAATACTATTCAGCAAATTACCTGGGAAATATATTTGGAAACATCTGAATGGAATCAGCTCATTATGCTGCCATCTAATTATTACTATCTTCTGTTTTAAATAGATCAACAAAAGTTACCTATGTTCTCTACAAGAACAATGTCTTTGTGTGCATTATGGCTCTCTGAAAAAAGTAATGCAACTTTACCTGGAGAAATGTGGGCCATATGCTTAGTATATAAAAGAAACCAAATAAATACTTGTTGACCTAATTTATTATTATTTCAAACAAGACCCAAAGAAAATTATTTTTCAAAATGTTGTAAGAAGATAACTTCAATATTTCAATGAAAAAGGGATTCCAACCAGTTATATTGTTTTAAAATCAGAAAGAACCATGTGGTTTGACAACTTCTTTTTACAAAGAAAAAAGTCGCAGCTCACAGGGGGTCAGGTGGTTTTTTTCAAGGTCAATTCAATTTGTAGTGACGGAATTTGGACAGGAATTGAGGTTTCTAACTCACAGTCCAGCATTCCCTTCTTTAAAATCCAGCTTTCCTGATGAAGTAGAGCTCCAGAGAAGTATTTCGTTGTTTAAAATAATAACACAAAAACCAAATGAAAAAATTAAGTCTTTATGTGAATAGAACAATGGCAGGAGGATGCAGTTAGTCCATACAATATGGAAGAAATAAAATTTTAGATTTTCCAAAGACTTTTTATTTATTTCTTTTTTTTTTTTAACAGATCAACTTTTTCATTTTAAATCTTAAATAAGACATGACACCCCGGAATGTGGAGGCTTTAACTAAAAGCTTATTTTTTATTTCTTAAAAATCCTCTAAGCATAAAGAAACCAAACTCCTTACCTAGAAAAACTCTTTTTATAACATCAAAAGGAGATAAATCCACAAAAGAGAAAAAAAAAACTGTCAAAGGGGATTGTCATAGCAACCAGATAAGAACAAACTTGGCATAGAAAGCAACCTGATTATTTCTTCTTTTTAATCAAAATTACATATCATCAGGATCTGAAGCAAAACAATTGGGAAACCAGCAAAATAATTTCAAAGTATATCACATGCACATTAGTGATTATTAACTCTCTCAGCACCTGAGGCAGATGCAATTATTAGTTAATACAGGAGTCATTTATTTTCATAAGATTTCCAGCCTCATTCCTTCCCTCTACTTCATATATTTAAAAATAACCAAAGTGTCTTTTTCAAAAACATTTAAATTTATCTTTTATGTTCCTATGAAAAGTCAGTTCATACTGACTCTCAAGATTTTAAAACTGGTTTATATAATATTCATAGTTTACAGTTAGTGCCTTATGGACAATTAATACTGACTTACATAGCTTTCAAAAATGTTCATGTGTACTTGGTTTTGTAAAAACAGTATGTTGTTTATGAATCTGAGTTTAGTCTCCTACTTGTAGTGACCTCTTTGTAACAAGACATAGAACAGAAATCTGTGATAGACACTTATTTCCCCTTTTCTGCAGTGTCATATGTCTGGAGGAGTAGGCTGATGAAATGTAAGCTGCAGAGTACAATGACCCTCACAAAATAGCCTCAGCAAGTTTCCATGAGGCCAAGACACGTCAACCATATTTCTTGGGTTGGTAGATCATTGCTGCCCTCTTCAACTATGGTAAATTGCGAAAGATGTGGGTTATCCTAATGGCCCCGGGTAGATGCTTACAAATCTCTAAAATAAAATGCTACCGCTGCAAAAAAGAACACTAATTCTTCTAAGAAAAAATTAGATGAGTTTCATTGCACAAAAATGTGTGTGAATGTGCAAAATAAATTGCCATGAAGACACACCTCTAACCTCTCCATTTATTCCCATATCCACAACAAGTTGTTCAAGAAAAATGAAAATTCTCAGTTTACCTCAATATCCAATTGAAAGCTGCTGCTACCAATGGGACATGGCTGTCAGAAGGCATGAACAGGGAATGCCACAGCCAGAACAAAAGAGAATAAGCATTATCCTTTTCCTTAGTGGACACTCGACTGTGCCTTGGAATGAGCATGGAAAGTTTCTCCTCTGAAAATAAAGTAGCAGCTCCATAGTGCTGATCAATCAGATGGTTGCATCAGTGTATCTTACTTCTTGAGTTCTAACTGAATGTCTGAGAACCTGTGTTCCTACTAGAAAGAAGAGATAAGAAAGTAAACCTAAATGAACACTGATTGCATAAAAAATAAGAACACAGATATGCTAAAAATTATGTCTTAGGTCAGATTTTATAGAAGCAGAGTCTGAGGTGAAATTCCTATGGAAATAATTTATTGCAAAGACTTTATTATGCTTCATTCAACAGCTAATAGAACAAACAACAAAAATGATATCAAGGACATGCATCTGAATTTTAAAATTAGTTATGATTAGTATGCATGACAAAATAAGACCAAAAGAATAAGAAAGGTCAATGAAGTTAAAATGCTCTAAGTTACATGCATTGCATGCTGCATTGTAAAATTATTAACTTATTAAAATCGAATTATTTTTAAATACATTGAAAATACCTAAGATTATTAATTTATCTAACAGTTGAGAATGAATATTGTAAACTCTTGGATAACTGGTAAGAGGAAAGTAAAAGATTGATTAATATGTAGCCTCAGAGATTGTCTTAGGTTGGCATCTCTAGAAGTAGCGCCTGAGTTGGGAATTCTGTGGAAGTGACTGTTGAGGAAGTAATTGCAAGTAAACCTGTGAGGCATGAGGAAAGTGGGCAAGTACAAGGGAGAAACAAAACAAAGGTGTAGTTTCAGGAGTACCTTAGCTTCAAGGTGATCCCACCTGGTATTCTTGAGCATATTGATGACAGAGTTATCCCAACTTTAAGTTAAGGGACTAGGTTTTTGTATGCTGCCATTTCAGCCAGTGATTGGCTGCTGTTGACCTAGGGTTAGCTAATGTCCCGGGCATTTCGATCCACGTAGATCCCAACTTGCAGAGAGCACTTCTGAGAAGTGTGTAGCTTCAAGCCATGAGAAACCTACATTTACAGCAGATAGGAGTTTGGCACACCTGCCCAGAAAAGGATAACTAAGAAGGGAAGCATCAGCATCTAATGCAGAAGGGAAAATGAAATAATAGAAACATTTAATTAATCCAAAAAGGGCAAAAAATATAGTGAAAAAGTATATAGGTGGGACAAATAAATAAAAAGTAAGATTAAAACTCAAATTGTTAGTAATTACATTAAATATAAACAGATTAATTTTTCCAATTGTAATACAAAGATTATCAGACTGGATTAAAATATATATAAGCTGCTTATAAGAGACCCATCTTAAATATAAAGAAGATTAAAGAAAAGTTAAAAGAATAGATAGTAAAATCCTAAGAAAATGCTTACCAATAAAAACATGGTGTAAGCTCTACTAACATGAGGAAAAGTCAATTTTAAGGAAAGAGAATTATGAGAGAAAATAATTTCTATATTGTGATAATGAATGATTCAAGCAACCAGAAGTATATAAAAAGTTAATGACATAAGTTTGAAATTTATAAGGAAAAAGTTGACAGAACCAAAAACAGGAATATGTAAATCCATAATACTCCCATAATTGTAATGAAAAAATCTAGCATGCATTGCTCAATAACTGTTAGAACATGCAGACAAAAATATCAATAAGGATATAAATCTGACAATCAAAATTAACTAACCTGTCTTTATTGACATATATATAATACTATATTCAACTCACATGAGAATTCAACTCCCTTACAAATTGACAAACAACATTTACCAAAATTGACCATATGTGGGGTCCATAAGCAGAAGATAATCAAAAAATCTGAAAATTTTAGACATGAAATGATAAACTTTTAAATAATTTTGCTTCAAAGAAGAAAGCAAAATAAAAGTCAGAAGGTATTTTAAACTGAATCATAATAAAAAATCAGACATATCAAATACTTTTGGGATATAGCTAAAACTGTGATTAAAAGAAAATGTATAACCTTAAATGTACAGGAAATAAGACATGGATAAGTCAATATTTTTAGTATCTATTCCAATAATTTAGAAAAAGAAAAGCTAATTAAACTCAAAGGAAGAAAGGAAGTATATAATACACCAACATAAAAGCAGATGTTAATTAAATATAGAAACATACCATAGAGAATATAAAGATTAGTTATTTGTAAAGATATATTACATTTATTACTGAGACCAATTAAGGGAATAAATGCAGAGGGAGAGAAGAAATCAAACTACCAAAATCAGAAATGAAAAGACAGACACAACAAATGAAATTACACATCTTAAAATCAGATATTTGAAACATTTTATATCAATTAATGTACAAACTTAAAGTCAACAAATTCTTTTTAAAAATGTACTATACCAAGGAAACAGATAATTTGAATACTATATCTATTTTAAAAATTGATTCTAGTTAGAACCTCTCCACAAAGAGATCCTCAGGATGAGATGAATTTACTTACGAATTCTACCAAACATTTAAGGAAAAAAAAAATAACAAAAATTGTATGTAATTCTTAAGCACTGCTTTTTATGACACCAGCATGATCCTTATCTTAATCCTTGAAAATAATATCACAAAATAAAATTACATAACAATGTTTATCATAAAAATAGATGCAAATATCCTAGAGAAAAACTGGCAAACCATGTAAGTGAGGTCTGTGCGTTTGCGTGCGTGTTATTTTCTTCCTTAAACGTTGCTAGATACAAAAAGTCGTTGTGTACAACTCAGCTATATTTCTCTGTAGTAGCAAACTAAATTACAAAGCAGAATATAAAAATTATGCTATCTAAATGATACTAGAATTCACCAAATGTTTAGAAATAAATCTAACAAAAGTGTATGAGACTTCTTCTCAGAAAACACTAAACACTGCTGAGAAAAATTACAGAAGATTCCATTAAATGCTATTAAAGATAACTTAATAAAATGGTAAATTAAATACACTCTGCCCTCTAGATCCATGAGTTCCGCATTCACAGATTCAGCTAACCATGGATCAAAAATATTCAATATAATAAAACCAGCAAAAAACACCAGCCATTAAAATAATACAAATAGAAAACAAAACAGTATAACAACTATTTACACAGTATTCACATTGTATTAGGTATACAATACAGTGTATGATAGAGATGATTTAAAGTATACAGAAGGATTGCATAAGTTATATGCAAGTTCTGTGCCATTTTATACAAAGAACTTGAGCATCTGTGGGGGTCGTAGAACCACTCCCCCTCAAATACTGAGGGATGACTAAAATGTTCTTGCTTTGGAAGAAGTACTGAATAAATGTCAGTTTTCCCAACTTGACCTTTACTCTATCAATGCAAAATTTCTGCAAGCTTTTTTCAAGAAATAAAACTAGAACATTAAGAGATGAGTTATATGCTATTTATATGTTGACTATATCTTGATTTATATCTTGATTAGATTTGTGATATTGTCCTTACTTTCTATGTATTTTGTTACTATTGTTTAATGTTCAATGTATTAATCTTATAAGCCCATAATATAATTATTACGCCTTTCAACTTTAACCAGTATTTCTCTTCTTTTTTTGTTGTCTTTTTTTTCTTTCTTTCTTTCTTTTTTTTGTTTGTTTTCTTTTTTTAGACAGGGTCTCACTTTGTACTTTGTCATCCAGGCTGTAGTGCAGTGGTGCAAACACGGCCCACTGCAGCCTCAGCCTCCTAGGCTCAAGTGATCCTCCCTCCTAGCTGGGGCTACAGGCATGTGCCACCACGCCCTACTAATTTTTGTATGTTTTATAGAGCCAAGATATTGTTCAGGCTGAATCAATATTTCTCTAAATATTTATACACGTCATATTTAATGAATAAAAACAGAATCAAAATGTTGTAAGACATTTAAAAATTTATAGCTTCTTCTTAAAAATTCTCTTAAAATCACAAATTTAATATATCAAATTATCTGAAATGCTTTAGTCATCTTAAGGAAGAAAAAATATGTAAATTATTCCATACATTACAAACTCATTACCATACACTTGCACATAAACACTGCATTTAAACATAGAGAATTTAAATGTGTTCTTTATCGTCACTATATTTACAATTTTACTTTCTTGAGATTGCCTTTCTAGGATTATTATTGACATTTTTCTAGTATAATATAATACATTATATTTATATCTGCTTAGGATTACTACAATCACAAGAACCAAAAATATAAAATCTCAGAACAAATACTATTCAGGTTTTCATTAACAACTGATTTTATTTCCAGGTTTTGGTTCTAGAAATTTTCAAATCTAAAAAACAATTTAAATGTTAGTGTTAATGAACCCTTTTAAACTCTCTCCCTAAATTATTCAATATTTAGTGTTTTGCTGTATTTATGGTTCTCTTTGTGTGTACATAAGTGATGTGGAATTATTAAAAATAAATTGCAGACATTTTGAAACTTCATTCTTAAATAGTTCAATGTACATTTCCTAAGGATTTTTTTTAATAACCATAAAATCAATATCACAACTAAGAAAATAAAAACAATAAAATCTAGTATAAGGTCCATAGTTAAATTATACAATTGCTCTTAAATGCCTTATATACCTGTTGAGTTTTAAAATTTGTATTGTTTTTGTTGTTGTTGGTTTTCTATAATCTGGTATCCAATAAGGTTCACACAATGTATTTAATTATTCTTTTTTATCTATTTCTAGCTAGAAGAGGCATCTTTCCCTTTTGGCTTATTTTTCATAACAGTAATTTATAGAGTCCAATCAGTAGTTTTACAGAATTTTACATATTCTGGATATTTTCTTATTGTCTCTTCATGATTATGCTCAGGCCAAATGTTTTCATTTTTTCCTACAAGAATTCTGCACAGTTAATGTTGTGTACTTCTTATTGTATATGCTAAGATCCAAGTAATCTTTGGAGATATTTTGAGATGATGTTAATGACCTTTTCTCCCGCAAACATTTACCTAATAGTTTTAGGATCCATTGATGATCATTGCCTCAACACTGTGATTTATGGAAGGTCTTGAAGTAATTTAAAGATGAACTCAATAAAAATAAAAACTATAGCCAGACAGACATTTTTAAAGGTTTATCTAATGGAAGAAGTAGATAAATAATATATAATTCTGAGGGTTAATTTTATTGTTTATTTTGTTATTGTTGCTAAAAGTTTACATATGGCTTTTAATATAAACCAGTTTCTAAGTCATTCAAGATTTTAAAATAAAGATGTAAATGATCATCAAAATGCATAATATCTAAGAATCACTTTCATTTCACTCAAAGCACATTAATAGATAACTGTTACAAATATATATTACTTTCATATTCCTATATGTAATTCGACTAAATTTAATGTTAATTTGTTGTGGGGTGGGGGGGAGAGGGGAGGGATAGCATTAGGAGATATACCTAATGTTAAATGACGAGTTAATGGGTGCAGCACACCAGCATGGCACATGTATACATATGTAACAAACCTGCACATTGTGCACATGTACCCTAAAACTTAAAGTGTAATAATAATAAAATTTTAAAAAATGTATTATATATAAATGGAGTAAACCAATTTCCTTTTGGGATTTTCATAATTAATGAATGATTATAGACATTATTTCTTATGCCCTACATTAAATTTAAGAAGTATTTTCTACACTTTACCTCAAATGCCTTTAAT
The DNA here is from genome assembly GCF_000001405.40 of Homo sapiens. NCBI lineage: Eukaryota > Metazoa > Chordata > Mammalia > Primates > Hominidae > Homo > Homo sapiens. The sequence continues at coordinate 78,195,883 of NC_000003.12, forward strand.
TATGGTTGAAATGAACAAGAACATTTACCTATGCACTTCAGATAGAGGAGCATGAGCATGAGAATGATGTTTGTCACAAGCAAATAATTACTTTGAGGATTTACAAATACGCTCAATGGATCCAAAATTATTCAAAAATAGGAAAATAATAAAATGCCTGTTTGGAAAACATGATTTTGAAAAATAATCTGTCCTGCTCGGTAAAAATAGTTTGCATAACATTATCAGTTAATATTTAATCTCAGGATTGGTAACAATAAATCAGTAAGTGTAAAGGAAAGGTAGAAACCTTCCTCTTTCCCTCTTCCTCTCTCCCCATCGTTTTCTTCCTTACAGATTATTAGTTGAGTAGTACATAATGGAAAATAAAATACCGATCTTTAAATGAATGGTAACTAACACTTATCAAGTAGGTATTATGCATCAATCATGGGGATAAGCCCTTTTATTAATTACAGAATCAGATTTAACATTCAAGAAAAGCTTATGTGGTAGACACTATTCCTCCACCCATTTTATAAATAGAGAAACTAAGGACCATCGGATGTAGTCAATTTGTGTATTGCAACTACCTACTCATTCCTTCCTAAAAGAGTCACAATTTTTGTTAATTACCCAATCATCACGCGTGAGTTTGTATTCTCGGGATCTTATCCAATACCAATTTATTTCAATAGAACTGATACCAGTAATTGTATGAGACCCAACTCCCCAATTCTTCAATCATGAAGAGAAGTTGTCTAATAAGCTTCTGGAAAAAAAAATGTACTCATTAATATCAATGGACACAGAAAAAAAATGTTTTAGCTTCTTCTCCTGAATATGATTGTGTTTGGGTAATAATAAGATTACTTGCAGTATGAGCTGCAGTTTGAAGATGAAACTGATTATGAGCATGGTAGATGTGACAGATAAAATAAATTCTGCATCTTTGATAAGATATGCATAAATGTTAGCCAGGGAAAGAACCAGTCCTGAAAGTTGTGCTACCTGTCCTTATTGTGTAATGAAGTTTAAGTCAGTTTGACTCAGGGTTGCTTTTATATGTAATCAAAAGTATCCTAATTAAAACACAGGTTGTATTAGTCAGAGTTCTTCAGAGGAAAATAGCCAAATATATATATTTCTGCCTATACATAATATATATTTACATAAATATATTTGTCTATATTATATGTGATATACACAAAAATAGACTTTTTCAACAAAGAATTGGCTCATGTGATTATGGAAGATGGTGCATCCCAATATCTGCAGGGTGATTCAGCAATCAGGAGACCCAGGAAATCTTACGGTTTAATTCCAGACTGAGTCCAAATGCCTGAGAACCATAGAAGCCAGTATTGTATTTCCATTCCAAAAGCTGGCAGACTCAAGACCAAGGAAGAGCCCGTGTTTCCCTTTGAGTCCAAAAGCAGAGCAAAAGCTAGTGTCCCAGTCCGCATCCATCAGGCACAAAGAATTCTCTCTGACTTGGAGGAGAATCAGCTTTTTGTTCCATTCAGGCCTTCATCTGATTGGATAAAGCTGACCCACATTGTGGAGGGCAGTTTCCTTTACTCAGTCTCCCAACTTAAATGTTAATGTCACCCAAAACATGCTGAGAAATAACCAGTGTCACATCTGACCAAGTATTTGGTATCCCGTGGCCCAGTCAACACATAAAATTAACCATCACAAGTCTACCCATCGTCAACTTAGCACATAAATACTTCTTAAATATACAAAATCTTCAAATAAAGACAATGACAAGGTCATGATCCTGCTTAACATGATACAACTCTCCTGTGTACAACCAAAAATGCATTAACCCCCTCCCCAGAAAAGTGAAGTTCTTCACTGATGCCTACCCTTCTCCTTGATATCTTATAACTTAAACACTGTATGTAACATTAAAAATACTTAAATACTATGTTATGAAGTCAATATATCTTATGTCACATGAAAAGTGAATAAAAGGAAAAATAAAACAGATATTTGCTTAATATGTATGCATAATTTCCACACACATATGTACATAGATATGCATATACACACACACATTCATAACAAAATAAGGAAGATGGACTCATGACAACTATGGTCCTCATTCCTTTAACTTGTTTTGTGATTATAGCTGCTATTTATATCTACCTTCTTCCAATGTCCATTTTGCATTATCTTTGCTTTCACCAGGCACTTCAGCTGGCCATGGTTCTTAACCTAGTAGGGTAACTCAAACTTCTATAAAGGACACTAGTAGAACTGTCTAGATGATTGAAGTTTTCAATTGACCTTAATTATAGGGCATGGTAATAGTAAGAGACACCTTAAGGGATGTCCTGTATTCCAGACATACATTTTCTTACCTCCATTGTGGACTGGTAGTCCAATTTCTTTTTGGCAGTCAGGATCAATCAGCCCAGCCAGCACAGTAACTTCCTTTCTTGCCTGATAGTGCAGAGAAATAGGAACTCCAAAGTGACAGAGTGGCGGTCTTAACCACCACTCATTAGCATCTTTAAATCTAATCAAAGAGTAAATTTCAGAAACCACAAAACAAATCCAGAAAACTCATCCTTAAAATTCTGTTCTAAGAAATAACAAGGATCAGAGCAGAAGTAAAATAAAGACTAGAAAAAAAAAAAACAGAAAAAAATTAATGAAAGTTTTGTCTTCCTGAAAAGACAAAATTGACAAAACTTTAGCCAGATCAATAAAAAAAAAAGAGATGAGCCAAATAACAAAATTAAAATTGAAAGCGGGAACATTATCACTGATAGCAATGAAATACAAAAGATACTAAGGGACTTTTATGAAGAGTTATTCCCAAATTGGATAACCTATACAAAAGTATAAATTCCAAGAAACATACAACATACCAAGACTGAATCATAAAGGAATATCTGTTCAGAATAATAATGAGTAAGGAGATAGCTTCACTGGTGACTCCTACCAAACATTTAAAGAAAATTAATACCAATCTTTCTGAAATTCTTTCACAAAAAAATAAAAAGAAAGGCACACTTGCAAACTCATTTTATGAGGCCAGCATTACAGCATATCAAAAGTAGACAAATAAGGACATGATAAGAAAAGAAAATTTCAGGCCAATATCCCTGATGAACATTGATTCAAATATCCTCAATAAAATACTAACAAGTTGAATTCAACAGCACCTCTAAAGGATTATACACTACAATCAAGAGGGATTTATTCCAGGATGCAAAATAGTTCAATGTACACAAATTAATAAATGTGATACACATTAACCGAATGAAGGACAAAAATTATAGAATCATTTTAATAGATGCATAAAAGTATTTGACAAAATTCAATGTTTTTTAATGATAAAAATCTTCACCCAGTTAAGTATGGAAGGGATGTACTTCGACATAATAAAGAGCATACATCACAAGTCCACAGCTAGCATCATACTTGATGGGGAAAAGTTGAAATCTTTTTTCTCTAAGATCATAAATAAGACAAGGATGCCCACTCTCATTGCTTCTACTCAACAAAATACTGGGAGTCCTAGCTAGAGCAATTAGGTAGGAAGAAGAAATAAAAGGCGTCCAAATCAAAAAGAAAGAAGTAAAATTGTTTTAAGATGACATGATCTTATATATAGAAAACCCTAAAGACTTCATTAAAAAAACTGTTAGAATTAAGAAATTCAAATCAAGATTCAAAATCAGTTAACACAGTATCTGAAAAGGAAATTAAGAAGATAATACCATTTATAATAGAATCAAAAAGCAAAATAAAATACATAGGAATAAATTTAATCAAAAAGGTAAAAGATCTGAAAACTGTAAAACACTGATGAAAGAAACTGAAGACACACATACAGTCATGTGCCACATAAGGATATTTGGTCAATGACAAGCCACATACACAACAGTGGTTCCATAAGATTACAATACTGTTTTTTTACTGTAACTTTTCTACAGCTAGACACATAAATACTTTCCATTGTGTTACAATTCCCTACAGTATTTAGTCCAGTATATGCTGTGCAGGTGTGTATCCTAGAAGCAATAGCCTATACCACGTAACCTAGGTGTGTAGTAGACCATATATACTGTCTAGGTTTTTGTTAAGTACACACCATATTGGCCATACAACAATAAAATTGCCTAAGTATGCATTTATCATAAGTGTCCTCATGATTAAGTGACACATGACTGTAAATAAAAACATATGCTGTGTTCATGGATCAAAATCAATACTGTCAAAATATCCATGCTACCCTACTATCTGCCATACTACCCAAACTACCCTACCTACAGAATCAATGAAATACCTGTTAAAATTCCAATGACTTTTTTCACAGATATTTTTTAAAAATCTTACAATACGTACAGAACCACAAAAGACAGCAGATAGCTAAAGCGATCTTGAGAAAGAAGAACAAAGCTGGAGATAGCACACTTCTTGATTTCCAATTATATTACAAAGTTGTGGTAATCAAAACAGCCTAATACTGGCATGAAAACAGATACAAAGGCCAGCAGAACACAATAGAAAGCCCAGAAATAAACCCACATATATACAGTCAACTAATCTTTAACAAAATTGCCAAGAAAACAAAATGGAGAAGGATGGTGTCTTCATTGAATGTGTTGGGGAAGCTGGATAACAACACACATACACACACACAAAATTATATTTTTACCTTACGCCATATGTCAAAATAAACTCAAAATGGATTAAAGACTTAAATGTCAGACCTAACATTTTTATATTCCTGGAAAAAATTCTAGGGGAAATTCTCTATTACATTGGTCTTGTCAATAATTTGTTTATACGATACCAAAATCATAAGCAACAAGAGCTAAACTAAATGAATTGCACTACATCAAACAAAAGAAGTTATGCACAGCAAAGAAAACAAAACAAAAAAGCACCCCAAAGAATGGGAGAAAATATTTTCAAACCATGTATCCAAGAAAATAAGAATTAAAAAGATAATAGGACTTATAATAGAATCAAAAAGCAAAATAATCAATATCCAAAATATTTAAGAATCACATAGAACCCAATAGCAAGAAAACAAATAACCTGACTTAAAAATAGGCAAAATAACCTAAACAGACATTTCTGAAAAGAAGACATGCAATAGCCAACAGGTATATAAAAATGTGCTGAATTTCATTAATCATCAGGAAAGCATAAGTTAAGACCACCATGAGATAATACCTCACACCTGCTAGGATGGCTTTTATTAAAAATTCAAAAGATAACAAGGTCTTCAAGCTTATGGAGAAAAGAGAATCCCTTATACATTGTCAGTGGAATGTAAATGAGCACAGTCTTTATGGCGAACAGTGTGGTGGTTCCTCACAAAATAAAAAATAGAGCTACCATATAATCCAGCAGTCATAGTTCTGGGCATATATCCAAAGGAAATAAAATCAGTATGTTGAAAAGATATTGGCACTTCCACGTTCACTGAATTATTATTCACCATGGTGTACATATGGAAATAACCTAAGTGTCAACTGAAAGATAAATGGATAAAGAAAATGTGATATATGTGCACAATGGAACACTATTTAGCCTTAACCAAAGAAGGACATTCTGCCATTTGTGAAAACATTGATGAATCTGGAGGACAGCATGCTACGTAAAAGAAGCCAGACACAGAAAAACAAATAGTTCATGATCTCACTCATAGGTGAAATATAAAAGACTGGAACTCATAGAAACAGAGGGCAGAAGGGTGGCTACAAGGAGTTTAGGGATGGGGGAAATGGGGATAGTGGTCAAAGCATACAAACTTGTAGGTATAAGATGAATAAGTTCTGGAGACATTCAGGAGGTTGACTACAGCTAATGAAAATATATAATTGATATTTGCCAAGAGAGCAGATCTTAAGTATTCTTACCATACACACACACACACACACACACACACACACACACACACACACACACAGAGAGAGAAAGCTAACTATGTGAGGTGATGAAAACATGAATTGGCTTGATTTTGGTAATCACTTCACAATATATATGTACATCAAGACATCACAACGTGCAACTTGAATATATACTATTTTTATTTACCAATTGTATCTCAATAAAGCTGGGGGCAGGGGGAAAGACTTGAGGACCATAAGCCACTACCTAAAGCTATATAGAATCCACCTCTAAATCCAGCCACCTGCTCAGTACCCAGAACCTTCCTCAAAAAGCACGCTAAACCAGTATCTGCTCCCCACCCAAACTAGTAATGATTTTAAAGATCTTCTTTCTCAGAACCACTCTCAGTATCAAGATCTGGATTAATCAGGGTTCACCAGGGAAACAAAAACATGAAAATGTTTACTCATTTATTTATTTTATCTATTTATTATAATAAACTGGGTCATATGATTATGGAGGCTGGCAAGTCCCAATATCTGCAGAATGAGTCCATAAGCTGGAGATCCAGTAGAGCCCGCGGTTTAGCTCTAGTTTGAATTCAAAGACCTGGGAAACAGGAGAGCAAATTCCAAGCTGAAGGGTGGCAGATTCGAGACCCAGGAAAAGCCAATGTTTCAATTTGATTCTGAAGACAAGAAAAAAGCTGATGTATCAGTTCAAAGGCAGACAGACGAAATAATTATCTCTCACTTTGGTCAGTTTCTGTTTGTTTGTTTTATTCAATTCTTCAATTGATTGGATGAGGCCCACCAAATCATAAAGAGCAATGTTTGACTCAGTCTAATCATTTAAATGTTAATGTCATCCAGAAACACCCTCATTGAAACACCCAGAATAAAGTCTAACTAAATATCTTGGCACTCTGTGGCCCAGTTGAGTTAACACATAATATCACCACAGAGGTTAAGATTGTGAATAGTAGAGGCAGAATTTGAAACTGGGTGCTCTGAGTCAAGAACTTTGGCTTACAAACACTAGCAAATATTGATATATATATACTTCAGCGAAAAAGGAAAGTTATGTCTTAGGTGAAGTATAAATAACCCTGAAAGGAGGCTCTGATACAAATTACCATCACCACGGATTTTCCATTTTTGCTTAAATTTCCCAACACTCATAAACACCAAAGAAATTTCTTAAGACTTGTTTTTTTGGTAACCAGTTTATTCTGTTGGAAAGTTGGGAGGATGAAGTCAAAGTTTCTTCCAAAAGCTTCAAGTCTTCAGTGATTAGAATGTCGATAATATCAGTTTAAGAATAAGAATTTTGATGGAAGAATTTAACTTGGGGTTCTAGTGAGATATGCATATGGAAATATCAAAGAGTGACCAGTCCACAATTCAACTGAAAGATTAGAACAAGGTATATAAACCTGTAATGGTGGGGTCTCCTTTTTCTTTATTTTATATATATATGTATATTTACATATACATATATATGTATATATTATTAAAGCATTATATATATATATATGCTATACTGAGATATATTTCAGATGCCATACAATTCAACCATTTGAAGTGTACAAGTCAATGGTTTTCAGTGTATTCACAGAGTTATGCCACGGTCTCCACAGTCAACTTTAGAATATTTTCATTATCTGAAAAAGAAACCTGGGTCCAATAGCAGTCATTTCCCCTTTCCACCCAACCCCCCAGGCATGGGGAACCACCAATTTACTCTGTCTTCAAAGATTTGGCCTACTATGGAGAGAAAATACCATGAAGATAATATCCATAGTGAAAGAAGAGCTGCAAGGAGGCTTCCAGGAAATACAGGGGAGCTTAACATATCTCTTATGAAACATCTAAAGGACAAGAAATGCACTCACTGTTTGGAGATGGAAACAGAAATGTGCCATTGAATTGGGATCATCCTGTTTGCCCAAAGTGTATTAGAACAAGATATGCATAAATGTTTCTCACACACCAAATGTGTCCCATGAATGAGAGAGTTTGGCTGAGGACATTGAGTCTGCTCTAATAGGCCACTTAGGGAGCAGATGGACCTACAACTACAAGGCCTAGAAGGGACCCCTGGGACAGGGGAGCAGTTACAAGTAACCAATAGATATACATCCATTCTTCACCTGAGGTCAGGAGTTTGAGACCAGCCTGACCAACATGGCAAAACCCCATCTCTACTAAGAATACAAAAATTAGCTGGGTGTGGTGGTACATGCCTGTAATCCCAGCTACTTGGGAGGCCGAGGCAGGATAATTGCTTGAACCTGGGAGGCGGAGGTTGCAGTGAGCTGATATCGCGCCACTGCACTCCAGCTTGGGTGACAAAGCAAGACTCCATCTCAAAACAAACAAACAACGAAAAGAAGATATGCATCCATTCTTGTTAAATGAACTACAGAAGAGAGAGCCCAGCAAGAGATCTTTAAGGAATCCTCAGAAGTTCCTTGTCAAGAAAGTGGTAAACGCAGTCCTGCCTCATGACCCATCTATCTTTTCTTCTAACAGAGAAAACAATCAGAGCTTTCCAGCTCGGTGAAACCCAGAAGGGCCTGCTAGATGGGACAGAAAGTAGGAGTAACTATACAATCTCGATATATACCCAGGGGAAAAAACCTTCCTGGTACAATACGAGTGAGCATAAGATAGTTTTACATAAGAGCAGCGTGGTTCTCTGACTTTTCCTCCAAGCTTCACAGATCCAAGAGGAAGTTTGCTCACTGAAAGCAGTTTGGGCATATTCAGGCATCTCTACAATAATTTTCAAGGATACAATGTCATTCTCTCTCAATTTGCCCTTAGCAGATGCACACTTCACAGTATCTCTTTGATGGTTTCCTTGCATTTCCCTGTAAGACGGTGATAAAACACATTCCTTAGATAATGATAGGAAGACAAAAATTGAGCCATGCATGTAAATGGTTTTACTCTTTATAAGTAAAAATTATGTTTTTGTTTTATTATTTTTGCCATTATTCTCTTCTCAGTACTACTATAAAAAAAACACTGTGGTGGTTAAAAATAGTCTGTTTAATCAAATTACCTAAGGTAGAATCCTGGCTCCATCTTTCAGTAACCATTGCATGGGGACAAGTAATTTTATCTCTCTTAGCCTCTTTTCTTTCATCCATAGAGTAAGAATGATAATACAATATTTCTTGCAGAGTTTTGGTAAAAATTCAGTGAGCTACAACAGAAAAAACATTCAGTAAATGTTAACCAGTTATTGAAACTTTAGTATGCATAGAGGCTGCTGCATCACAGCCGGGGATTCTCTACTCTGGGTCCATGAAGCCTGGCTGGAGGGGCAAACAGAAAAAGCCACCAGCCAAGATCATGTGTAACTAGTGCCCTCTTGGGATCAAAGAAAAGAATCAAAATTACTGAGGAATTTGGAAAAGGAAGAGGCATGACGTGGGAACGCTAATCCCATAAGAGCTATTAATCATGGACCCCACTCAGGGACCAGGATGCTATGGCAGCCAGTGAGTCAGTTGAATGAAGCTGAAAGTTATTTTTTGGTCTAAGAAAATAAATCGTCTGAATAGGGTCTCAATGTGGTTTTCACAAGGGTGGGGAAAGTTGATTTGGATTGTATGACGAAAAGAAAACAAAATTTACAACCACAAAACAGAGTACAAAGATTCCAAAACTGGCAAGAGGAAACCAAGAATTTTGTAAATAGTTCATAATTCAGTTTCATTCACATCTTCAATCCAGCAGGATCTATGACTGAGATCAAGTTCCTCTCTCTCTCTCTTCCTTTTGATTTACTACTGTTTTTCCCTTTAGATCCATTCATCTTTTATTCTAAATAGAATATCCATGATTGATTAGGTTACTACTGGGCACTTTCTGTTTAAGAGCTGATGGGAATTTTCAGTGTACTAATAATTTGATATGACGTTCAAGTTATTTTATTCTTACTGCATTATTTTATTTAACCAAAGCTTAGTAAACTCTGTTGTAAGTTTGTTTTAAAAAGAAAAGAAAAAATAAAAATATTTTCTCATTACTTTGCCTTTTCAGTGTCCACTATATTAAATTACTTTCTTCTAAATTGTATTGCATTTTCCCTACAGGAATTGACGGCTGTCTAATGGATTTATGCAGTGTTTATATAAGGTAAAGAACACTTCAGTAAAAAATTGATTCAATGTATGTGCACTGTAATTGTAGTAATGTAACTTGACAGGATGAAGTTGCTTTTTTTTTTTTTAAGTCTGTTTTATAAAGGCATTCTTGGAATTTTCTGGCTTTTCTCTTTGCAAAATGGTCTTCTTTTGTGGCTTGACTGTACACAAAGCAAAGAAAGCATAGGAGAATATATGTCTCTCTCTCTATATGTATATATATATATATCTATATATAGAGATACAGACATACGTATGTGTATCTATATATTTAAAATTGAAGAAATTATCAAAATTCCTTATTTGAAAATTACAATAAAATTACTATAAAACATTTCACTTCAGATACTTCATGCTGATCATAAATGAGGGGCATGGATTTAGAAGGTAAAAATATATGGAGAAAAAAATTTCAGGAGTATACGACTTGTTTCCATGCTTTCTGCAGGAACTGTAAATTTCTCCTTCTTCTCAATATCCACTTAAGTTCACCTCTTTTTCCATTACATAATTAGCCAAATCAAATAGAAATACAACTTTGCAATCTTTTCATATTAGGATGCTACATTATTAATTAAAATAAGTACACAGAGCCCAATGGTGGATAATTGCTCCTAATCAATATATGTTATGGGATCATAATCTCTATTTTGAGGTCATGATTAATAATCTAAAAGTTGGATGTTGAATTTGTTTAGCTATCCATTATGATTTGACTTTGAAGCTGTTATAAAATTTTTTATTTGGCCAGCCAGAGTTGTCATTAGGACTCCTCACCTCCACTCCTGGCCCCACTCCCATTTCGAGGCCTTCAAGGTCCATAGTCAAAGACAACATAGGTAGCCCCTTTCTGACACAACTATGATAGCCAGGAGCTTCCCTACTGCTACGTTTGCCTCCTGCTGTGAACTAATTCACAATATTGTACTTCTCGTCAAATGACAACTCATGAACCATCACTTTTATAAGAGCCTAACAACTTCAGCTAACTACTTCTCTGCACAAACATGACAACTTCTGTCTCATCCTTCCATTTCACCTTTCCCTTTCTATAATTGTAGGTTTTATAATTAGCCATATGTGTCCCTTCCTTGTCATTAGATTGTGAATCCACTTAGATAGGGACCATATTATCTTTCATTCTACACACCAAATGCATAGTTAAGGTGAATACTACAGATAATGACAGAGAGCCAACAGGCTGATGTGAGCAAATTTGAAATAGGAGCTTAAAATATGATGACTTTTTTTATTCTAAAAGTCTGCCATAAAAGCATAAAGAGACTTCAAACCTGAAAAAGAGTATACTAAAACTAGGAAGCAAAGTGTCAGAAAAGAAATACTATAAACACAGGACACCGACCCAAGGCCACCTGACCTGTGAATTCACTTCTCATGTTCCTCTCTCTCTCCCCTTGGTGTGAACATTTGGCCCTCTACTGAACTCGTTAACCCAGTTGCTATGGTTTCGAAGTTTGTGTCTCCACAAAGTTAGTATGTTGGAACCTAAGACCCAATGTGACAGAATTAGAAGGTGGGGCCTGGCTGGGCACAGTGGCTCGCTCCTGTAATCCCAGCACTTTGGGAGGCCAAGGCGGGTGGATCACCTGAGGTCAGGAGTTAGAGACCAGCCTGGCCAACATGGTGAAACCCCGTCTCTAATAAAAACACAAAAATTAGCCAGGTGTGGTGGTGCATGCCTGTAATTCCAGCTACTCGGGAGGCTGAGGTAGGAGAATTGCTCGAACCTGGGAGGCGGAGGTTGCAGTGAGCCAAGATAGCACCACTGCACTCCAGCCTGGGTGGCAGAGTAAAACTCTGTCTCAGAAAAAAAAAAAAAATAGGAGGTAGAGCCTTTAAGAGGTGATTAAGTCATGAAGCTTCCACCCTCATAAATAGCAACCACCTTAGAAACGTCTGGAAGGAGCTAGCTGGGCCTCCTATGTCGTTCTGCCTTCCACCATGTGAGGATACAACACTTGCCCTTTTGGCCACATGAGGATGTAGCAAGAAGGCCTTCACCAGACGTCAAATGCCAACACTTTGACCTTAGACCTCCCAGCCTCCAGAACTGTAAGAAATAAATTTCTGTCGTTTACAAACTATCCAGTTTCAGATATTTTGTTAAAACAGCACAAACAAAGACACCACTCCTTCCTATAAACCACTTTTTCTACATGCCTATTATGTGCCAGCCACCTTCCACCAAATTTCAGACTGTCCACTTGATTTATATCCTGTGGTTTGTGGAGTCTTTTTCCTAATAATTTCACTACTCCTGCTTTTGAAAAACATTCTACATACCTATGAATATACATGTTACCTCATTTGGTAAGAAAAACATCTCAATAGTAAACACATTGAGGAAAGTTCCTCCAAAACTTGCTGCACATTTGTAAAGTTTAGATGACCAGGTAAAGAACTGGGATTAAAACAAGAAACTAACATCTTTTTTGGGTGAAGGAGGTAAAACTAGGGGCAAATGACACAGTCAGGTATGTAAAGCAGGAATGCCAAGCCAAACTCATCAATATTAAAACAAACAAGGAGGAACTCTAGACCAGATGTGTAAACTGAATCAGAGCAGACCCTGTGATGCAAGTAAATTTAGAGAACGAATGGCCTTTGGAATTAATAACCACTGGTGTGTATATGGAACTATAACTACCTGATAATGTAGAGACCAAATTACCTTGGGAATCTAATAACCTTGGGTGTATCCACATGATTATATCCACCTGACTGTATGCTTAAAATCACTGTTTTCCATGAGTTTCTGACACTCCCCAAGTGGCATTTAATACACAGACATATCTTTTGCAATTTTCAGAAACCGATGATATTTATTACATGGAGAGACAGCAGATACCTTGAAGGTGAAGACTATGATTCATTTTTCTTTAAGAGGCAATAGAGCAGGATGGTTAACAGCAAGGGTTCAAGCACTGGTGTGCTGAAGCCATTCACTCTGGTCCCAAGACTACACTGATAAATATTTAAAAATTTTATGACCCAGTTGTTAAACCTCTATTGATAGCTTGAAATCTGCTATGGTAGGAGTGTCTAAACAACGAAAACAGCAAACACTACAAACAAACACTTGTCTTAGCCCATTTACCAGCACAGTATTGGATGATTTGGGACCCAGCTAAACCACATATTGTGGGGAAATTATGTAATTAATTGTGAAGAAATTATTTAAGCCATCTGGGCCTCAGTTTCCTCAAATGAAAAATAATGGTAAAACCTGTTTCAGAGTGTTATTGGGGAAATACCCAAATTGAGTGTTCTGTTTCCTGCCAAGACCTTTGACTCACATATTTCTACAAGTTTCTGCTATTCCTTCAAAATACATTTATTTCATTTGGAGGCAATATCCTTTACCTAATTGATTACATTGATAATGACAGTATTTCAAATATGAACAACACTTTGAGGGGGTAATTATACCTCTCTAACAACTTTCAAATCATAGTCCATAACTATCTGTCTACACAGGACAAACTTAAATTTGGGTATCATAACATTGAAAAGGCTAATATAACATTTTGTTAGATAGCAATGCCTACAAAATATAATTACAGTGGCATAGAACATATTAAACACCACAGTTGAACTAAATATCTGCTTATATTTGAAATGAGATAAATATGAATGGAAATTTGAGTGCCATCTTCGTGAAGCTTGGGAAAGTGGAAAGCTTGTGAGATTGGAATCAGAAGACTTCAGGTTTGGTTTTAGCTTAATGCTATATATTGTGACTTGTGGATAAATCATTCAACCTTAACTTTTAAGCACATATCTGAAGGCCAGAAATCCAAATATCTGTTATATTTACATGCAAGCTTATCCTGAAGATTGAATTAGATAATATCTTTATAATCATTTTATAAGATGTAAATAAATGTAAAAAAAGGTTTGTTATACCTTAGCAGTTAGACTACTACCACTAATATGGTGTCTTTTTATTTTTAAAAATGTCAGATTGTCCTAAGCTATTTGATATAGCTTGGATGTTTGTCCCCTCCAAATATCATGCTGAAATGTGGTTCCCAGTGTTGAAGGTGGGGCCCAATGGGAGGTGTTGGATCGTGGGGACAGATCTCTTATAAATGGCTTAGCTCCATCCCCTTGGTGAAAAGTGAATTCTTGCTCTGTTAGTTCACATGAGGGTGGGCTGTTTAAAAGAAGCCTGGCACCCTCTCCCGTCTCTCTCTTGCTCTTCCTCTCACCATGTGACTTGATGGCTCCCCTCTGCCTTCTGCCATGATTGTAAGTTTCCTGAGGCCCTCACCAGAAGTGCTGTGCTTCCTGTACAGCCTCCAAAACTGTGAGCCAAATAAACTTCTTTTCTTTATAAATTACCCAGTCTCAGGTATTCCTTCATAGCAGCACAGGACAAACTAATACACCATCTATAATGTACTGGTTTAGACAGATTTCTGACTAAAGGGATGGGGAAAACAAAATGACCTTTAAGATTCTTCTTTGGTTTAAAATTGTGAAATTTTAAAATGCCTATTCTTTGAATTGCAAACTGGTAAAATATCAGAGGAAAGAGTATTAATTTATGAAAAATTGGGATGATATAAATAATTTGAGATTTCTAAGTAAATCACATAGTGTGTCAAAAGAATTAAGAGCAATTAATTTCTTAGGTTTTTCAGGAACCAAAGGCGTCAAAATCCCAATGGAAAAAATGTTTATATCCTCAGGGAACATCTTAAGTGGTGATAGTAGCTCTAATTAATTCTGAAATTCATCTTAATCTACTGGCCAAGGCACCCACAAGTGTTAAAGAAAAAGCTATTATAGGTAAATTAATAGTCCTACACTAGTAACAAAGCCACAGTTAGCATATTTAGATAAATATTCTTAAAAGGAAACCTGATTTCTTAACCTTTTATGAAGTTATCTTTAATTGAACGATAACATTGCATAGTGATTCAAAGCACATTATCACAGATTCTGGAGCCAGACTGTTCAGGTTGGAATCACAGATCAGCCTCTTGCCAGATGTGTAATTTTGGGCAATGCTTCTAATCTTTCTGTGCCTCAGCTTCCTTACCTATAAAATGAGAGCAATAATAGTATCTTTGTTATGGCCTTAGTGTTATAAAGATCAAATGAGTTCAATTACTCAAAGCACTTAGAACAATGTACGACATATATTTTGTCATTGCTGTTGTAATAAGATGCTGATCTACCTCCTCCTCTAGCATGCTCCCTATCCCTGTTCTTCAAAAAAGCACTCACAGAGTCACACATCTGTCTAACACGTTGTATTCCCTACTTTAATCCCTTTTTTTGAGAGGAACGCTTGACTCTAATAGCCTAAAATTAAGGCTTTTCTCACTACCTATACAATATATTCCATTAAATACTCAATTATTAATAGTTTACATATTTGATATGATTTAATGTTCACTAATACCTGTAATGTAAGCATATTATTGTCTCCATTACACAGAAGCAAAAAAAGGAGACACAAACACTTTAAGTAACTTGCTCATGGTCACCTGTGTAGTATGTGTAAGCTAAAACTTCAACTCGGATTTGATTATTGAACAACTCATGCTTCTCAACTAAGCTGTGACGATGAAATCAGAACAGCAGTAGCCTGTGGGAGATAAAGAAAGGAGCAGGGCTGGTTGCAATTGGTAAGATGAAACTTACTGGGATGATAAGACGTGGTCTGCATTGTGATGGGAGCAGTGGTTCCATGGCATGTACCTTTTTCAAAACTACCAAACTGTACACTTAAGATTTGTGCACTTCTTTTTCCCACTTCTTTGTCAACTATGCACTTTAAATATGTGCATTTTGTTGTATATAAAATATATGCCTCCAGGCCTTTACGTTATTTATGCTACTATGCTTCCTTACCCACAAGAAGCCTTAATAGTGACCCAAAGTAATTGTTCTCCTACTCTTTTATTATTGTGGTTACAGCAACTTTGTGCTACACGTTTACTTATATTCTCAAGTTTTTTCAGTATTTATAGATCTTGCTTACAGCATGGTTTTCTCAGTAGCATAGAACATAAGTTTTATTTCTTTTCTTCAGCAACTGCATCTAGCTATATATAAACTCATTTAGAAAAATGATATGTGGGCCAGGTGCAGTGGCTCTTGCCTGTAATCCCAACACTTTGGAAGGCCGAGGTGGGCGGATCACCTGAGGTCAAGAGTTTGAGAACAGCCTGGCCAGCACGGCAAAACCCCATCTCTACTAAAAATACAAAAAATTAGCCGGTTGTGGTGGTGCAGGCCTGTAATCCCAGCCACTTGGTAGGCTGAGACATGTGAATCACTTGAAGCTAGGAGGCAGATGTTGCAGTGGGCCGAGATCGTACCACTGCACTCCAGCCTGGGCGACAGAGCAAGGCCCCATCTCAGAAAAAAAAAAAAAGATATGTAAGTATGTGAGGCAGGGGGAGAAACATCTCATATTTTTTGCATGCATCTTTCTATTTCAAGTCTCTGTATCCTTAACTGGTGAATAAAGTGTTAAAGCTATTTGAGAGGCTGAGGCAGGACAATCACTTGAACCCGGGAGGTGGAGATTGCAGTGAGTGGAGATTGAGCCACTGCACTCCAGCCTGGGGACAGAGTGAGACTCCATCTCAAAAAATAAAATAAATTAAAGTGTTAATGGTAAATAATTCTATGTTTTTATAGGACTAATACCATCAATTTAGGAATAAAATGATTTGCATTAATTTGTGAAGGACATTTTAATTTAATTTCTTCCGCATTGTGATAACAACTGAAAATGCAAAGCTCCCCCTATACACACACACATATACACAAACACACACACTTATGCATGCATGCACACAGACACACAGGAGAAGGGGGTTGCTTCAATAGGAGGATAATAATTTTTCATATTGTCTCTCATTTACTTACAAAATAGTAATGTGGAGGAGCCCTGATTTTGAATGTTATCCTGTGTAAAGTATAAAAACGTGGTCATTGGACTTGCTATTGTTCAGTCAGAGAATGATCATCATCAAGAATCAGATGACCCTACAGCTTGAAAACAGAATGCAGCACTAGGTCGTACTTTAATGTACCTACAGCTTTCTACGTATGGTTTAGAAACAGAAGGGTAAGAAAATAAGGGTGAAGGGGTGTCTCTAGCAATTTCTTTAAACATGTATATGAAGCTTTGTCCTTTATGTGGAAGAACGTATGTTGCACTTAGGGAAAAGATTGTTGAATCGGGACCTATATTTACTGTCTCTAGAATTTGGTATTTGTTGTTGGGAAAGGTGTGTGTGTGTGTGTGTGTGTGTGTGTGTGTGTGTGTGTGTGTGTCCCAGATAACTAGAAATAATAAAGAAGAATATGCCAAACTCACATTGGCTGGGATAAATTAATGAGATCAAGACTTAGAGTGCTAAATTTCATCCTAGACAGACTTATTAAAAAGTACTGCAGCCTATTCCATGTACTTTAGGATTAGTATCTTAGACTTTGGCTTATATACTGCTGATGGCTATCTTATCCTAGAGAGTTTGTAAGTGGAAGAAGAGGAACTACACTTAGAGTAAGAGCCCATGTGTATTCCTCTAAAGATGATAGGGGTGAGTTGGATATTGATGTAGTAGAAGTTTGAAGAAAGGATACTGTCTCCAAAGTGGGGAGACTTTCGCAAAGCTAGGATCTAGAATGTATCTTAGGAGTGATCACTTTGAAATGGTTTGGATACTCTTTCTTGGCCTATGAGAAAATCTCATTTGGTGTTCAATTGTCTTTAGTTTTTACAGGGATTTTCCATTCAGCAACTTCCAATTCTTCCTTCAAGTTTCATGGTGATGAAATGCAGAATAAGAGGAAGGACCATCAAGGGAAATGTTGGTCACTCTGCTTGTGCCCTTTTACTGGGGAAATTCAGAAAAAGTTTTCATAGTTAATAATTAGCAGAGAAGGTCACTATGGCTCATAATAGATGGCCAAATGTCTGCTAGAGCTCCACATGGAATAACAATTGACACAAGGCAAATCTGAAATGGGTATTCAAAAGTTCCTTTCTTCCCAACATATTACAGTAAGGTTACCTTTTAAGGAGATGAGAAAGGTAATATAGCTCTGAATAAGTAAATACAGTAAAAATACAATATTATATTCTTATGACTTTTTGTCTCCTTTTAAAAATCTCAAATCTCAAATACAGTACTTTGATCTTTAAGTGAAAACATAAAAATATTCAAAGAGGCTTGTCTTCAATGGGTTAATATCTTTAGAATTGTCCTAGGTAAGACACATTGGCCAACAGTGAAGAAATAGTTGTATATGTGGGATGTCCAAACAGAATTGGGTTTTTGTTGTTGTGCTTATTGAACTATAAAGTACCAGCATTGTCATGATTTTATTTTTATTACATGTCATCTGAAAAGAAAATCACATTCTTTCAACCCGCTGATGAATGAACACTTGAGCCATGCAAATGTATTTCCATTTGAACTTTATATTTCTTTATTACTTCAAGTGACATTGATTTCACTGCCCTCAATATAAACTACATGCATTTCATTCAGAGGGGAAAAAAACTTCATATATGCAATGTCAATTTATATTGTAAAGGAACCAATAAACCCCTAAAACCTTATTATCTTTATAAATAACTTGATAATCTGTTGCTTGCAGAGCATTAAACATCTCTGTTCTAAACTTGCTTATAATCTAGTAAGGGAGGCAAGAAAAAAATACCGAGATAAATAAGATGCAAGGCAGCATATGCTAAATATATTCACTGAATTTTTAAAAAACATCTTAAGTAAATTTCTCTTCTGCAGGGTATAAAGAAGCAGGCTGTGCATTATGAAAGATAAAAAAGATATTTTAAGGTAAAAAATGATCCTTTAAAAATTTTAGTTTAGTTGGGTAAGACATGGGGAATATGAACGCAAGGAGTGACTTAGAAGAGAATGAATATGAGGATTAGCTAAATCTAGTGATCTTCAGATTGTAAAGATAGAAAACTGATTTTACTGTGCTTAAAAATCCTTGTCACGGCGGGTGCGGTGGCTCACGCCTGTAATCCCAGCACTTTGGGAGGCCGAGGCGGGCAGATCACGAGGTCAGGAGATCGAGACCATCCTAGCTAACACGGTGAAACCCCATCTCTACTAAAAATACTAAAAATTAGCCGGGCGTGGTGGCGGCGCCTGTAGTCCCAGCTACTCGGGAGGCTGAGGCAGGAGAATGGCGGGAACCCGGGAGGTGGAGCTTGCAGTGAGCCAAGATCGCGCCACTGCACTCCAGCCTGGGCGACAGAGCGAGACTCCGTCTCAAAAAAAAAAAAAAAAAAAAAAGAATTTGCCCTAAATTCCTAAGAATATTGCAAAGCACAGTAGAGGTTAGAGGGATACAAACTTTGGACTGGAGTAACCATGGAATACTTCAGGAGGAGACAGCAGATGAGTTGGTCTTTGAATGATGGATAAGGCTGAAGGATGGAGTCATAGGAATCATTTCAAGCATAGTATCAGGTTGATGCAAAAGTATTTGTGGTTTTTGCCATTAAAAGTAAAACCTTTATGCCACAGTTGTAAAGGTTTGAGATATGGGAGGGGAAGGGTCAAGAATGTTTAACAATTTTTATAAGAATTTTAAAGTCAGTCTTTAGTTTAAATCTACACATCTCCTACTCACCTTCTGTGTAACCTAACAATTATAATCCCTCCATTTTTTCATCTAGAAAATGGAAAAATACTGATGTAATAATGTTTTACAAAATTAAATGTAATATCCAATCACAGAGGCTGCCACTTGCAAGGGCTTTAAAAATAATAGTAGTAAGTTGGTGAGTGAGTTTACTGCTAACAGTCAGATACTGGCTGAGGAATGTCAACAGACGTGGTTTACTGTATAACAATGCTCCTTCAAGAAAATGTTAAGTCTTGATGAGTTATCACACCCTATAATCCTGTGAGCTTTGTTTGTATTGATATGTGTTCGCTCTGTTTTGCAAAAATGTTACCATTTACAGCATAGGGCAACTTGAGCCAGTCAGTTTAAAAGGCTGCTAAAAATACGTCTCTCATTCTTAGGTGCTCAATCAATGTTCTTGCCTCACATTGGGAAGCAACAGTTGTCTACTTTGGTTAGAATATGGAGCCCAGACATGCAAGGAAGTTATGAAAGATAAGGCTAAAAATGCAGTTTGAAAATAGATTTAAAGAACCTTGTGCCAGAGTGACAAATTTTCAACATCATGCTCATCTACTTGCTTGCTCATCTAGATCAATAAATATTTTCAACTTAGCCATCACCTCCTCTATGAAATCCTGATTCTTTTAAGTAAAACTAATCAGTTCCATTTTATGACATGGCTGAACTCTACAAACTCATTGCATTTTACCTTGTTTACATTGTTATGTCCTCACCCTGGATGGTGAATTCTGTAGACTATATCTTATTCATTGTATTTTCATCGATTATGTTCACAGGAAATTTGTCACATAATAGATTCTCAATAAATGCTCCTAAATTTCAGTGGTGCTACTCAACCTGTTTTACTGTTGAATCTCCTAATCATTTGCTACTGAACGACTAAGATAGCTTTTTCACTTTTCCACAAATCTCAGAATTACACAGGCAGCTCTGGTTCAACATGTAAACTCAGCACACACATGTTTTTCCTGAGATTTCTATTGGGTTGGTCACTCCTATAAAATTATGCCAAAAACACTTTTTTAATGTTATTAAACTCAGACAAAGAAAAGATCAGTAGTTAAAGCCATAGTGGATGAGAGATTTCAACAAATTTCTGAAAGATTAAATGCAGTTGGACTAGTGGTAATGATAAAGAATCAGAAGTCCTTTCCTAGAATACGGGTTAAGAGAGCAATAGCAGTGGTGCGAGACCATGTACCCATGGGATAACCCTATAAAGAGAGGATTCAAAGATATCAGAGTATGCCAAAGTTAGAGGTGGGACTGAAAACATGAAAATGATTGAAGGTCTCCGTAGGAAACAATTTCCTCTCATCTTCACTACTCCCATCTTTCAGATAATAGACACTCATCTGCTAGCCAAAAATTCTAGTGTTATTACCTAAATAAATTGAACACACTTTCTGGACAAAACTAGGACAGTTTGAAGCAAAGTCTTCTTTATCTCAGCATTTAGGTGTCACTCAAAATGATGTCTGGAACCTAATCAACTCACCCCAAAGCAATTTGACAAGGGCTGCCCTTATGTATAGAAACCCAGTCAACCTTTCCACTGCACTTATTCTTAAATATAAATAAAAAAACAAGGATAACCGGACATTAAAGGATGCAACACAATTCTGGAATAAACAGCCATACTTCACTCAAAAGAAACGATGGGGTGAGACTTCAGTCTTCCAGGACATAATACCTTCAAAGACTATGAAGCAATGTCTTCAAAATTGTAAGAGAAAATGTTTTTCAATCTAAAATTTTATATACAGGAAAGCTATCAATATTGCATAAGACAGAGTAAAGACATTTTTACACTCTGGTTTCAGGAAATTTATCACGTTGCTTAAGAAATAAATAAAGGTGTTTAGGCAGATCAAGATAGTAAATAAAGGTGCTTAGGCAGACCAAGAGGAAATACAGGAAAAAAAAAAAGGAGCCAGGAAGGAAACCCCTTACATGCTGTTTTTACCCTCCACTCCTCCAAATCCATCTTGTCTTCCTGACTCTAGGCCCTGACTGATATACCAAGTGGACAGCCACCTTAGTCCCACCCAAGAGGCAGAGACATAACCTTCCATAAACTTCTTCACCAGCTCACCTCTACAACACTACCTGGAAGCTGAATATGCTCGGCTTCCTAAAAGGCCCTGCAAGTTCCAACTTATTTACCCATGCCAGTGCTTCAGGGAGGGTTACTTTTGTATGATTTTCCTACTCCCTTTTCCAGACCTTATTTCCCTAGTTTCTCCCAAAATTGTGTGAATTCTAATTTCTTTAAGGAATGACTTATTCCATATTCAATAATATTCATATGGATCTGCTTCTCTAATTCAAATTGGACTGATAAAGACCCTTTAGGAAGAATATATAAGCCAACCACATGATTTGCCTTTACAGTAAATATTATTTGCAGTCTCATACTAAACTAGACATTGCTTACTGGTTTTCAGGTTTTAGAATAAACCTGTGGAAAAATCATGAGATTGAAGTATGGTGTTACAATAGGCATAGCTCTCAGTGTTTAGAGGTAAAACTGGGTGAAGAAGGTATAAAGAAGATTGGATCTACTGATGCCTTTGATTTCCAGAGTAAAGAATGAACTGAAGCATGCTTTATGAAGTTGCAGTGTGGATTAATGAAGAAACTTGGAAGACAGGTACTTGGAATTATTTGGTAGGAGAAGAAAGCAGGGAAAGGAGGGTAGTGTAATTAAACTAAGTCTTTATTAATTATAACAAAAAAAATAAATAGAAGAAACCCAAAACTGAGGAATCAGGAAATAGCAGCACAAAGCATATTATTTAGAGATGTAGCTTTGATTATTGAAAGACTAAATATAGAAATGGTTATCTCTAAAAGATCAATAGTTAGCTGATAAGATTAGTTCCTTCGGGACAAAATCAGGACACAGGCATTGGAAGGGATTGAAAAGACTTTTACATTTCCCCACATATCTTTCTGTAGGGATCGAATGGTGTATTATATGTGTATTAGTTTGCTAGGGCTGCCATAACAATATACCACAGACTTGGTGGCTTAAACAATGGGAATTTATTTTCTCACAGTGCTGGAGGCTGGAAGTCAAGGTCGAGGTGCTGGCGGGATCCATTCCTCCTGAAGCCTTTCTCCTTGGTTTGCAGATGCCTTCCTTCTTGCCATGTCTCCATGTCTTCACATGGTCTTTTTTCCTTGCGTGCTCATTGCTAGTATCTTTTCCTCTTCTTTTTTTTTTTTTTTTTTTTTTTTGGATGTGGAGTCTCGTTCTGTTGCCCAGGCTAGAGTGCAATGGTGTGATCTTGGCTCACTGCAACCTCTGCCTCCTGGGTTCAAGTGATTCTCCTGCCTCAGCCTCCTGAGTAACTGGGATTACAGGCGTCCACCACCATGCCCAGCTACTTTTTGTATTTTTAGTAGAGACAGGGTTTCACCATGTTGGCCAGACTGGTCTCAAACTCCTGACCTCAAGTGATCTGCTCACCTCGGCCTCCAAAAGTTCTGGGATTACAGGCATGAGCCAGCACACCCGGGCCCCTTTTCCCTCTTTTTACAAGGACACCAGTTCTGTCGGATTAGGGCCCCACCCTTATGATCTCATTTAACCTTAATTACCTTTTTAAAGGTTGGATCTACAAATATAGTCACATTGGAAGTTTGGGCTTCAACATACAAATTTTGGGGGGAAACAATTCAGTCCCTAATGATCCTGTGAGTAGAATTTATTTATAGTCACTAAATAATTTATTTTAATTTTAAAAATTTTAAAAGAAGTTGCCTCTGGAGTATAAGATTGGGTGTGTAGGCGAGAAAATGAGCTTTCTCATTTCACCTTAAGCCCTTGTATACTATTTAATTATTTTAATTGGGTATAAACATTTTAATATATCTAATAAATGAGCCATAAGGAGAGAAAGCTCATTAGCACTGTGATGGCCTCTCCTAGTATGAAACTTCCAAGGCAGCTCCTACTCTCTTATGGCCTCCCAACTGTCACATGGAGGCCAGTTATTTCTAAGATCTAACCATAGCCAGCAAAACCTTTCTTCTATTTTTTCTTATTTTTTTATTACTTTTTTCTTTTTGTCAATTAGTTTGACAATTTGTTTTCTTATTTTTTCCCCTCTCTCTCCCTTAGTATTCTTATACTGTGGATTTTATATGGATATTCTAATCTTTCTCAAAACAGCATAAATTCCTTTAGTACTGGGATGCTACCAGAAAGAACTGGTATTCTTCATAGATTGTAGTGGTCTGCACTTAGGAGGAACTCCTAAATAAGTAGCAAAATAAGGAAGAAATCAAGAGGGGAGAAATGACAATGCTAATGAAAATATTTGCATAGAATATCATATTTTCCCATTTATTTTCTGTGCGCTAAAGAAAGCATATACATAAAATATAATATATTTCATGGCTGGACAACTGACCCTAGGGAGTGAGTAGAAGAGAATATTTTGTAAGGATTATCTAGAGAGACATATAATAATAAAGCTAAAGTGTAGAACCCAAAATCAATCATTCAACATTCAGCTGATACAAATAAATAAGAAGCAGATGGGGAGTTAACTCAGAGAAGCAGGATCAATATTGGTAAAATGCAAAATGAAATCAGCAATAAACTCTAGGGTCCAGTTAGGGCCTAAGCAAATCTGCTGTACCTTTAGCTCCTGGCCAGATGTTTCTGGAAGAAAAGGGAGGATTCTATGAGTCCTGAGGAGTGGCATAGAGAGATCAAAGACCTGAATGTTTCAGGCATGGGGGAATTGCTCTGTTCCATTTGAGGACCTATTTATAATGTAGAAATGTCAACTCCATGTTGTTAGGCTAAGCTGAACGTGTATTTGTCATATCTGCATTCAAGAAATACTGACACTATGGTCTTGGTTGATGTTGGTATCAATTTCATTTTAATCCTAAATTCATAGAAGGCAAAGATGAATGCATACTTTATTAAGGGGAGGCTTTATTTCAAATTTAAATATTTATAGTATTTGTCAGTTCAGTGCGCATTGAAGACATTGATCTGACTTCAGAAGTCTAGCACAGAAACTGAACTGACTGCTGAGAACATGTTTATCCCTAACACAACACAAAGAATAATACTATGCTGTCATTGTTTGGTAGTTCCATGGGTATAAACTGCATTAATTGTATTTGAATCCATTTCAAAACAATTATTGCAGCTTCACGCTACCAATCAAATATTCAAGGTCATTTCTTAAAGTCTGCCATTTAATAGATATTTATCAAGATCGGTAATAGGAGCTGTGAGGAAAGAAGCTGCTGCCTCAAAAAGCTCATGATCTACAGAGGCAAGTTTCCCATATATTTTTAAATTATCTATCAATACCAAGAACACTGCAAGCTACCTTAGAAAAGAATACAGTACTAACCAACTGGCTATCTTGCCTCCATCACCATGCTGACTTTTACTGTAATTTAAGATGAATTCAGAAATAATGTATCAGAAAAAGAAAGAAAAAATAAAAAAATTTAAACTTTTTTCTTCAAATACACAATTCAAGTGGTACTGCTCTAGATCAAGCTTAAAGATGGTGCAAAATGTTTTTCTTTACATTCCTGAAAGAGAATTCTTTGTAGTTTCTTTGTCTCTCTCTCTCTCTTTCTGTGTGTGTGTGTGTGTGTGTTGGTTATTAGCTATCCATAAACTGGGTACAAATTAGATAATGTGTTTGATCTAAACTAAACTTTTAAACAACCAGAACAAAACATGAGTGTCCTGAGTGTGACATATTAAAATATTGCTATGCCAAAAATATTTGTATTCTAAGGCTCCAATACCCCCCAATTTTCTGTAGCCCTGGGGGTCCAAAAGATATGTTATTTTCTGAGTTTCACCCCCCAGCAGGCGGGCCCCTGGGCTTCCTAAAAACCCACTACTGAGTTGCTTCTCCAACTATCCTGCAGAGGGTGATGGCTCACCTGAAGTCCCAGTCCACTCCACAGTGGAGCCTCACTTGTCTGGTTTCCTGCACAGCTAGGATCTTCCTGGGGGAAGGACTTTTAAAGGAAGACCTTCCCCCTCCCTCAGGACCAAGGTTGTTGGATATTAAGTTTGTCAATTTATATAGCTAGGGTCAGGTTCTCCGCACATAAGGATAAGTAAGCATTGTGACTGGGCAGCTGTACCTGCTTTGCTTTGAAATAGCAAAATGCTATAGTCATAGTAGAAATGCTATGACTGCTTTGCTTTGTTCAAGTAATTTTATTTTAAAGTATTCCCTGCCTTTTTCTGAAATCCTAGTCCATCTGAGAAGTTTTTTTAAAAATTGCATCTTATTATAGAGAAAGGATTGGGATCTTAAGCCCTTTCATCTCAGAAAACTCTTGTATTCCTACACAAATGTGACTCACTTCACCACCACCAATTACACACACTCACACACACACACACACCCTGTCAGACCTCTGAGCCCAAGCTAAGCCATCATATCCCCTGTGACCTGTGCAGATGGCTGGTTCCTGCCTTAACTGATGACATTCCACCACCAAAGAAGTGAAAATGGCCTGTTCCTGCCTCAACTAATGACATTATCTTGTGAAATTCCTTCTCCTGGCTCATCCTGGCTCAAAAGCTTCCCTACTGAGCACCTTGTGACCCCCACTCCTGCCCGCCAGAGAACCACCCCCCTTTTTCCTTTACCTAACCAAATCCTGTAAAACAGCCCCACCCCGTATCTCCCTTCGCTGACTCTCTTTTTGGACTCAGCCCGCCTGCAAACAGCTTTATTGCTCACACAAAGCCTGTTTGGTGGTCTCTTCACACGGACGTGAGTGAAACACAGTAGTTTCCTATACCAGGAGGCTTCATCAGTGATGGACTTGATTAAGTCACTAAAGATTTTTCAGAAAGATGCAATAGCTTCATTAAAATTAGAAACTTAAAAATATTGACTTGGTTATAGACACTAAATTTTAAAAGAATTAATCAATCATATGAATTGATTTCCCAAGAACCTGATAAAAAAGTAGAATTTTAAATTTTGGGGAAGAAAAAAAACAAAGTCCATCAACTACCTTTAGTATTGTAATTCTCTTGACCCTATTTATTCAAGTAGACAAACTTAATTGAAGATACCCAGAAAAGCTTTCCAGTCACAAATCTAACTGCTCTGGGAACAACTTCCATGTACTTCAGAAATGCTACAATTTTATTCTGTTTTCTCATACTGCTCCCATCTCTTAAGAATAAGTGTGTCTCATGTTCTTCTCCTTGGTACTTGCAGTAGATCAAAGACTACCACTAGGCCTACTCTTGAGAGCTGGCCTTCCATTGAGAGGCCTTCTATTGAGAGGTGGCATCTGATTCCACTTCCCTTGAATTTGGGATGACCTTAATTACTTGCTTGAACACTAAAATATGGCAGAAGTGTTTTTCTGAGACTTCCAAGATTTGGTCGTAAGAATCTTCTGCCCATTTCTCTTACAACGTTCCCTCTGGGGGAAGCTAGCCACCCTATAAGGCAAGCTTGTCCAACCCATGGCCCAGGATGGCTTCGAATGCAGCCCAACATAATTTCATAAATTTTCTTAAAACATTATGAGATTATTTTGCATTTTTTTATTAGCTCATCAGCTATCATTAGTGTTACTGCATTTTAAGTGGCCCAATACATTCTCCTCCTTTCAATGTGGCCCAGGGAAGCCAAAAGATTGGAGACACCTGCAGCATAGATTCAACCTTCATGAGACTGGCCTGCTGTTAGGAAGCCTAAGCCTGCCAGGCAGAAGGAAGAATGCGGAACAAAAGATCCCCAACCAGGCCGGGCGCAGTGGCTCAGCCTGTAATCCCAGCACTTTGGGAGGCCGAGGCAGGCGGATCACGAGGTCAGCAGATCGAGACCATCCTGGCTAACACGGTGAAACCCCGTCTCTACTAAAAATAGAAAAAATTAGCCAGGCGTGGTGGCGGGCGCCTGTAGTCCCAGCTACTCGGGAGGCTGAGGCAGGAGAATGGCGTGAACCCGGGAGGTGGAGCTTGCAGTGAGCTGAGATCGCACCACTGCACTCCAGCCTGGGCGAAAGAGCGAGACTCAGTCTCAAAAAAAAGAAAGATCCCCAGCCAGCCCCAACTCTCAGCCACTGGCTGGAGCCAGGAGTCAGACATGAAAGACACATGCACATGTATGTTTATAGCGTCACTATTCACAATAGTAAAGACTTGGAACCAACCCAAATGTCCAACAATGATAGACTGGATTAAGAAAATGTGGCACATACACACCATGGAATACTATGCAGCCATAAAAAATGATGAGTTCATGTCCTTTGTAGGGACATGGATGAAACTGGAAACCATCATTCTCAGCAAACTATCGCAAGGACAAAAAACCAAACACTGCATGTTCTTGCTCATAGGTGGGAACTGAACAATGAGAACTCATGGACACAGGAAGGGGAACATCATACACCGGGGCCTGTCGTGGGGTGGGGGGAGGGGGGAGGGATAGCATTAGGAGATACACCTAATGTTAAATGACGAGTTAATGGGTACAGCACACCAACATGGCACATGTATACATATGTAACAAACCTGCACGTTGTGCACATGTACCCTAAAACTTAAAGTATAATAATAATAATAATAATAATAATAAAATAAAATAAAATAAAATAAAGAACTACCTTGACCTCCAGCCCCAGGACATCCAACCTGGAGAAATCCAAGGATCCCAGTTGACAGCCAGAATCAAAGATTCATAATGTTGCCACAAATATCCAATTTGAATCCCTAATGTCTTTCTTTCCTGTGGCTTTGATAACAAATTACTCCAAACGAGGAAGCTTAACACAGTAGAAATTTATTCTCTCACAGTTCTGGAGGCCTTAAGTTTGAAAGGAGTATCACTGAGATGAAATTAAGGTGTCGGCACAGCCTCATTCCCTCCTTCTAGAGGCTGAAAAGGAGAATCCATTCTTTGCGTCTTCCAGATTTGGATGGCTACTAGCATTGCCTGGCATACGGTCGCATCATTCCAATTTCTGCCTCTGTCTACACAGCGAATTCTTTTCTATGTGGGTCAGTATGGAATCTCCTTCCACATTTTTCTAAAAGGACCCACATCATTACATTTAGTGCCCATCCATATAATCCAGAATAATCTCCTCATCTAAAAATTCTTCTCTTAGTCACTTCTTTTGCCCTATAAATCAATACTTACAGATGCTGGAGATTTGGGCTTGATGTATCTTTGGGACATTTTTCAATTTACCACTAAATACATTATATCCTTTATTCTTATTTACATCATCCATAACAAAAATTCTTAGACTTCCAGTTCGCTCTTCTTTTCTTATACTCTAATTGGTATAAGATTCTGTATCTGTCCCCTCACTTTTGTTTTTTCTTCTAACCTTCACAACATCTACCACACTCCCTATTGCCTTCACACAAATCATTATCATCAGTTTCCACCCTGTGTTTGATCTTTGTTTTCAACAACACATTTACCTTTTTGCTCTGATGAAAACATGACAATCTATTAAGAACATTGTTTCTCTGCAGTCTTAAGTGGCCACTGATTTTTCTCCCTTTTTCATGCCACTGGGCGTGGAAGTGGCATAGATATCTTTCTTGTTCTCCTTTGCCGGTTTTAAATCATTCTTTCTCCTTCCCTAAAATTCTTCTTTTTGAATCATCTTACCATATCACCCACCACCATTCATATTGCTGATATTATAAACTTCAGTTTATTTTATTTATTTCTCTAATGCTATTCTAGTCTTAAATCTTGGCATTTTCAACATATACAGATATGATCTTTTCAACACGTTGGCTTCTCAACCCCCGTTAGTAAATGACCTTGTCTTCCACTTTACATCAGACATACATTTTAATAGTCATAACCTTAACTTTGTTTTTACTAATAAATACAACTTTTTCATAATCTCAGTTGCGTGGATTCTATTCTTTCACTATTATCCCTTCTTTTTTAAGTCATTCAATGACTTTGCTCTCACAATTCTCTCCTCTCTTTTTGCCTCATCAATTTTCTTTCTCTACTGGATCATCCACCATTATGCAAACATACAGTTAGTTCCCTCATCTTAAACAAATATTCTCTTTCCTTACTTCTCCAGCAGCAGAACTTCATTTTTTTTTAAAATTTATCATTTTAGAATAATTCTTCTAAGAATTTGCCTAGTTTTACTGTCTCCAAAATTTTGGAGAAACTTCTCAATCCTGTTGTCCTTGGAGAGTCTTGGTTTATACTTTTTTCTCATGTAATCAACCATGTATAGTCTTATTCTCAAAGCATCCTGATTCAGATGTTAATTCTATAGTTACCCTATTTATTCTCAGTATTACACAGATTTAACTGATGTTTTCATCCTCCAAACATTTTCTTAATTGATTTCCATTTTTCTGGTTTTCTCCTTTACTCATGAGCCACCTTGCCAGTCTCATTTATTGGTCCTTCCTCTTTTCCACAGCCTGTTCCACTCCTGAGGAGGAGTATTGGGCTCATTACTTGGATTTCTTCTCTTCCTGTAGGTAACCACTGCTGCCATATTTAATGAAATTACACTGAAAATGAAATAAATTACTTTAGACAATGATTAGTCACATAAGGTGATAATTTCTCTATGATGGCTACAAAGTATTTTCACTTTGTACATGAGGCTAAAGCAAAGAAAGATTTTAAAAAATGTATCAGTGGGATTGCCAAACTATCAAGAATTATTCTGCTTTATTTCTTTCCTGTCTTCCCTCTTGGATCAGCTTTCCATCATCACTCATAAAAATAAAATATTTCTGACATTATCGTGGTAAAAAAGACACTTAGTGTTCAAGTGGAAATATAAGCTCTAGCTTTAACTTGACCAATCCTCCAAGACTATAATTATTGATAACAAATTCTACTACAAATTTTTTTGTATAATCATGGAGAAGCAAAAGGCTTAAAGAAAGAAAAAAATAATTATATATGTATAAGTAAAATGCAGATTGGTGCTTAGAATATTATGTATAATCTGTTACCTCATTCTTTCTACCCAGAACCTTTCATATAATGAACAACAACAACAACAGCAAAAACTGGTAGAGCCTTGATTGTTCCAAATGTAAAGCAAATACTTTTTTTTCTTTTGTTTATTTTCTTGGTGAAAGGGTAAAGGGGCCTTTAAGAAAGAGGCATGTTGAAAAGCAACCCTTGAATATAAATGTAAATTACAACATTCCCATAAATTGTAACATATCATTATCTTGCCCATTCTTTAAAGAAAGAAAAAAAAAGACTAATAATCATCCAGTTACATGTTAGAATAGTTTCGGGTTATTTCATTAGACTATTATGTTCATTTATTTATAAATCAATATGTTTAGCACCAAGGTGCCCCTTTCTGACCTTTTAGATGCCCTAATGTGAAAGTTGCTTCTCATGATTGCTCATCTCTATTTTCAGTAGGCTACTCCTGTCTATATCTTTGTATTGCTGTCTTTCTGTATTTGGATAATATAAATCTTGCTTCATTTCTTTACTTCCTTGAGTCAGTTGTTTTCTAGTCAGATGCTGAATAATTCCTCAATATTTCTTATTGAATAGCAAATGGGAAGATGAAGTCTAATGTTCATTCCTTCCTTAAAAGTCTTCATCACAGAACAGAATATCATATGGATTGGATGCTTCTTAATTCACAACTCTGGTCCATTAGTGCCAGGACTGAAATCTCTTTATATACATTAAATCTTTCTCCTTCAGTAATATGTGATGTTTAGCCAATCTGTCAAAGTATTTCTTTTATCACATTTTCACTGTCTATTTTTTGTACAAGATCTCATTGTTAAGCTGCATTTTATTGATGCAAAGAAATTTTATATGCAATTTCCATTCCATTAACTATTCCAAAGGATAATACACCTTCTAATGGTGCTGAACAGTAAACTACAGCCAGTTCTGAGTTGCTGTCTGATGTTTTGTTCAGCTGTCTTGTGACCCTCTCTGACATTTCAGCCATCTTTTGGGGGTGTTGTGGGCTTTTACTATTTACCTAAGAAAATACTAAACTAGTTATAACTTGTTTGAATGAAGAAGTAGCTGCTATGTTTCAAATTATTTGTTATAAACAATGATACTTTCAAATAAAATTTCAGTGGCTAATTCAAATATTGTGAATGTGAAGTATCCGTGCTTATTATCAAACTTGTTGTAGATATACATTTTATAGATATTGTTAAAAAATAAAGTACATGTTGTTCAATACTGATGTCTTAGCTTTGAAATCAGAGAGTCCTGTGTTTTTAAATTAACACTTCAAAATTATACATAGATCTGTGTGGGCAAACTACTTACCCAGCAGGGTCTCTGTGTCTATAACGTAGGGTTATTTTAAGGGAAAAATTAGTTAAGGTATGTAAAGCTGTAAGCCTGGAACACTGTAGGACCATCCAGTGACATTGTATTTGTTATCAGTAACTTAAAATCTAGGACATGAAACCCTAATTCTGTCCTTCAGAAGGGCAGTGTGAGCAACATTTTAATTGATCCTAGTATTATTCTTTGTTATTGTCCTTCCTATTAGACCAGTTTTTATGATGGTATTGATTGATCCTGGGATGAATAGTATTGTTAGCACGAGCGTTTAGGCCACACAGGCTGTGACCACGCAACTGTCTTTGTCCAAAAGGGAATTTCTTGGTTTCTACTATAATCCCTTCCATATGCATTTCTGCTCAGATTTCTGATGAAGAACTACTTGCATACATATTTGGCCAACATTTTATATTAATTAAGGGAAATTTCTAATTGTACCATCTCATAATGTCTTGAATATATGTTTGATCACTCAAGTACTTTTTTCCTTGAAAATAAAACTAAAACCTCAAATTGCATAATATTATAGATTTCATCCAGGCAGTGCAAATATTTTGTTGACTTTGGCTGCTGCCACGAAATAACTAAATGTAAATGTATATTACCTTTTTTCTTTTAACAAAGGTAAATTACAGGTTAAATGAGCTTATGCCTAAATAAATAGCTTTTATAATTTTAGATCTCAAATCATCTACCTAAATTTAGTTTAATAATTGCAAATACATTCAAGGTATATTAGAGAATTTGTTCTTTCTTTGTATTGCTGCCAAAATTTCAGTTTGCAGTTTCTGACATCACCAACACCTAAAACGGTGTGACACATGGAGTTGGGATGTAGCTAGAAATAACAGAAGAAAATTAAATCACTTACACAGGCAATCCTGAGGTCCATTTACATTTGAAAAATAAAACCCTTTACTAGCACACTTCTGAAATCACTAAATGGCCTTGCAGAGCTAAACTTTTTGAAAGAGAAAATGAATAAGATGATAGGGAAAGAGAAAACATAAGAGAAAAAGATGAAAGAATTTCCAGGGAATCAATAAACACAGTAAGAGCCAAGAACAAAATGTACTTTGAAGAGCCATTTTGAGATTAAGATTAAGAAACTGCCTATAAACAAAAATGAGTTTTCCAAAGATTGAAAAATATAAAATATCTGATTTATTTCTTCACCATATCTAATATGTCTGGTACTGTAAAGACAAAGCTTACAATCTAAAACAGAAATTTCATGTCTGAAGAGGAAGTTAACAACTAACTAGTTCGGACTCTTGAAAAATGAGAAATGTGATTATTAAAAATTGAAATCACTTGCACAGGCTGTGAAGCTGTTGTTTATCAATTCTGTGAGATTCTATCTCCATGGCTTCCCTCCTCCTAACTTTCAATCTTGTCACCTATTCACAGCAATGGCACTGTGATGGTTAATACTGAGTGTCGACTTGATTGGATGGAAGGATACAAAGTATTGATCCTGGGTGTGTCTGTCAGGGTGTTGCCAAAGGAGATTAAGATTTGAGTCAGTGGGCTGGGGAAGGCAGACCCACCCTTAATCTGGGTGGGCAAAATCTAATCAGCTGCTAACACATCTAGAATATAAGCAGGCAGAAAAAAGTGAAAAGAGAGAATGGGGCCTAGCCTCCCAGCCTACATCTTTCTCCATGCTGGATGCTTCTTCCTGCCTTCGAACTTTGGACTCCAAGTTCTTCAGTTTTGGACCTCAGACTGACTCTCCTTGCTTCTCAGCCTGCAGACAGCCTATTGTGGGACCTTGTGATCCTGTGAGTTAATACTTAATAAACTCCCCTTTATATATATATATGTGTTTGTGTGTGTGTATATATATATATGCACACACACACATATCTTATATATACATATATAATATATACTTATATATAAATATATACTTATTTATATATTAAATACATATACTTATATATTTATTATATAAATTATATATATTATATATATTATATATGTATTTTATATATATATATATATATATATATATATATATATTCCATTAGTTATGTCCCTCTAGAGAACCCTGACTAATACAGGCACATTCCCCTGAACAGAGTAATGATCCAGAAATGACCCGTAGGTGACCAATCGGGTTCCTTTTTTGGACTTTCGCTTTGAACATTGAGAAAAGAAAGAGGTTGCAATCTAAAGGAAAAATATGTGACTTGGAGCTATAAATACCTGTAAATCTCCAGCCACAGGAGAAAACCAGCCTGCAGTAAAACGATAAAGGTAGCACAATTTATTATCATTATTTTTAGCCCTTGTGTCCTGCTGTGTTTGAAGTCAGATCCAACTCTGGACTTGCAAGTGAGACAGTCCCTTATTTCTACTGTGATTTGTACAAATTGATTTCCATCACTTGCAACCCAAGGTGATCTGTCTAATATGTGTGTCTGTATTATAATGTGTATCCTTCAGAAATAAGGCGTGGCAGCATTTTTGTAGCTACTCCAGGGATGAAAAATATCTTTCTTTCCCATCACTATGTTCATGGCTGAGGTCTCAAGAGATTAACAAGAGAAGAACATACAAACTGATTTAATATGGGTTTTATATGACACAGGAGCCTTCAGAAAGGAAGACCCAAAGAAATAGGTAAATTTGTGTATTTTCGTGCTTAGGTTTGACGAAGAATGGAAAGTCATAGAGAAATATAATTGAAGGAGAAAAGGATATGACCTAATGGTTATAAATTGGGGGAGTGGGGGGGTAGAATTAGCAAGGCCTGTTTATTCAGATCCTTCTCTGTTTCTGGTATCTTCAGAGATAAGGATGCCCCTCTCCTTCAGTTCTAGGGAAGGTACTTCTCAGATGAGAGTCTTATGACCTGCTTCAGAGGAGAAGGAGGATGGAAGGTGAGAGCGACCTTCCTAGTTCTACTGTTTTCTTAAATGCCAAGATGCCATATTTTGGGGTAGTGTGGCCTAATCTTATAGCAATAAATATAATTTTATTGTCATCTTTCTTTTGATTCATTTTATAATTGTATTGATCTACCTGGGATAAACATGTGCCCATCTAAGTCTATCCAGAGGCCATCTCCTGAAGCCATTATGCTTTCTCTGTAAATAGTCTCTTTTTTTTATATTTTAGATCTAGAAATTTGTTCAGTATTCTTCCTAGTCAATCACAAAGCTAAAACAAATAATTAAAATCCTTGCTATGTGCTAGGTTTTAGGGGATAGACAATTTATGTGGGAGTTTGGTTAATATTAATAACAAACTTTTTATATTAGTTGATAATATCCACTTTAGAGATAGAATAGCAGGACTAAACAAGTGAAAAAGTTGGAATTTAAACCTGAAGATGGGGGAATAGGATTTTCTAGCACACATTCTATTATGTAAACATCCATTTGAAAAAACTATTCATGCATGAGAATACTTTTCCAGGAGTTACAGAATCCAGAAATTACAGTGCCTGAGTATAGCAGAGAAATAATAAAAGGTGCATGTAAGAGGGTAGCAAGGACAGGTTCACAACACCCACATTAACCCTTTGCCAAGCCTGAGCAGCACCGCACAAGAGAAAAATACTCTCACAAGGGAAAGGAGAGTGAAGCAAGAACGGTTCTGCGCTGAACACCTGCACCAGGCCAATTCAGTGCAACCCTGCCCCAAGCCAGCCGCTGAACACCAGCACCAGGCCGATTCAGTGCAACCCTGCCCCAAGCCAGCCGCTGAACACCTGCACCAGGCCGATTCAGTGCAACCCTGCCCCAAGCCAGCCTCCACAGCCTCAGGCTCCAGTCTAGCCATCATAGACTAAGGCTTCAGGCCTGCCCGAGGCTTTAGGCCCACCCCAGTCCAAGGCCAGTTCCAGTGGACTGCAGCTCCACAATGTCATCCAAAGTACTTAGCCAGTAACTGTGGACCCAGGCTTCAGGCCAGCATCCAGGCTCTGGTAGACCCAGGCTCCAGGCCCAACCCAATAGACTCTGGTGCTGTGCTTGCCCCCATATTTCCAGTTTTATGGATTCAGGCTCAATGACTGCCCCAGTAGCAGGCCATCCCCAGTAGA
Source organism: Homo sapiens (assembly GCF_000001405.40). NCBI lineage: Eukaryota > Metazoa > Chordata > Mammalia > Primates > Hominidae > Homo > Homo sapiens. The sequence continues at coordinate 78,231,953 of NC_000003.12, forward strand.
ATAGAAACAAATAACCATGCAATGGAGCGCCAATACATTTGGTAGTAGACTTCACAGTGGAAATCATACAGGCCAGGAGAAAGTGGCATGCCATATTTAAAGTGCTGAAGGAGAAAAACTTCAATCCTGGAATAGTATATTAAGTGAAAATATCCTTCAAACATGAAGGAGAAATACTTTGCCAGAGAAGCAAAAGCTGAGGGATTTCATCAACATTAGACCTGTCTTATAAGGAATGCTAAAAGGAATTATTCAATTAGAATGAAAAGGGCATTAATGGGCCCCAGGTGTGGTGACTCATGCCTGTAATCTCAGTACTTTGGGAGGCCGAGGTGGGTGGATTACTTGAGGTCAGGAGTTTGAGACCAGCCTGGTCAACACGGCAAAACCCCATCTCTACTAAAAGAAAAACACACAAAAAAATTTAGCCAGGTGTGGTGGTGCACACCCATAATCCCAGCTACTCAGGAGGCTGAGGCACAAGAAATACTTGAACCCGGAAGGTAAAAGTTGCATTGAGCCAAGATTGTGACACCACACTCCAGCCCAGGGAAAGAAAAAAACAAGAAAGAGGACATTAATGGGTGATAAGATATCATCTGAAGGTACAAAACTTGCTGGCAATAATAAATACATAGAAAAACACACAATATTATTACACTGTAATTGTGTCATGTAAGCTACTCATATCTTGAATAGAAAGACTAAATGATGAAACCATCCAAAATGATAACTACAACAACTTTTTAAAATATAGAAAATAAAGTAAGACATTAATAGAAACAAAAAAAGTTAAAAAGGCAGGGGAATGAAGTTAAAACACTGAGTTTTTATTAGTTTTCCCTCTGCTTGTTTGTTTACGCAATCAGTGTTAAGTTGTTATCTTTTTAAAATCATGAGTTATAAGATAGTATTTGTATGTTTCATGGTGACCTGAAATCTAAAAACATACAAGAGATAGATAAAAAAATAAAAAGCAAGAAGTTAAAATATATTATAAAAAATGGCCTTTACTAAAAGAAAGACAGGAAGGAGGGGAAAAGGGAGAGAAGAACACAAAACAACCAGAAAACAAATAACAAAATGGCAGGAGTTAGTCCTACTTATCAATAACATTGAATGTAAATGAACTAAACTCTCCAATCAAAAGCCAAAGAATAATTAAATGGATAAAAACAAGACCCAACGATCTGTTGCCTACAAGAAACACACTTCACCTATAAAGACATACATGGACTGAAAGTAAAGGGATAGAAAAAGATATTCCATACAAATGGAAACCAAAGAAAGACTAGGAATAGCTATACTTGTATCAGACAAAATAGATTTCAAGACAAAAATATAAAAGAGATAAAGAAGGTAGCTATATAATGATAAAGGGGTCAATTCAGCAAAAGGATATTCCATTGTAAATATGTATGCACCCAGTGCTGGAGCAGCCAGATATGTAAACCAAATATTGGAGATGAAGAGAAAGCTAGACTGCAATACAATAATAGCTGGAGATTTCAACACCCCACTTTCAGCATTGGACAGATCTTCTAGACAGAAAATCAACAACAAAAAATCAGACTTAATCTGCACTGTAGACCAAATGGGTCTAACAGATATTTACAGAACATTTCATTCTTTTCCTCAGCACATGGATCACTGTCAAGGATAGGTCTTATGTTAGGCCATAAAGCAAGTCTTAAAACATTCAAGAAAATGAAATTATATCAAGTATCTTCTCAGAGCACAATAGAATAAAACTAGAAATCAATAACAAGAGGAGTTTTGAAAACTATACAAACACATGGAAGTAAAGAAATATGTTCCTGAATGACCAATAGTTCAAGGAAAAAATTAAAAAGCAGATTGAAAAATTTCTTCATATTATAGGAATGAAAATGGAAATACAACATACCAAAATCTATGGGAGACAGCAAAAGCAGTATAGTATAGTGCAGTATAGTTTAGTATAGTATAGTATAGTATAGTATAGTATAGTATAGTAGTGTAATATACTATAATATAGTGTAATGTAGCATAGTATAGTATAGTGTAATACAGTATTGTATAGTGTAATGTAGTATAGTATAGTATAGTGTAATGTAGTATTGTATAATATAGTATATTATAGTACAGTGTAGTGTAATTTAGTATAGTATAGTATAGTATGGTACAGTGTAGTATAGTGTAGTATAGTATTAGTATAGTGTAGTATAGTATAGTATAGTATAGTATAGTATAGTATAGTATAGTATAGTATAACACAGTTTATAGCTATAAGTGCCTACATCAAAAAAGTAGAAAAACTTCAAATAAACTTATGATGCATCTTAAAGAACTAGAAAGGCAAGAGAAAACCAAACCCAAAATTGGTAGAAGGAAATAAATAATAAAGATTGGATCATAAATAAAATTGAAATTAAAAAAATACAATCCAGCCATTTGCAATAATATGGATGGAACTGGAGGTCATTATGTTAAATGAAATAAGTCAGGCACAGAAAGACAAACTTTTCATGTTCTCATTTTTATACCAGTGGAAGTTATCCCAGTTACCAGTGGCAAATCCGTACAGGTCTACAGAAACCTCAATGCTTGCCTCCTCTGAAGAAAAAATTCAGCTGAGGGGCATAAGGCAGAAGAGACTGCGGCAAGTTTTAGAGCAAGAGTGAAAGTTTATTTAAAAGCTTTAGAGAAGAAATGAAAAAAAAATAAAGTATACTTGGAAGAGGGCCATGTGGACACCTTGAAGGTCAAGTGTCCCATTTGACGTTGGACTTAGGGTTTTATATGCGGGTCTACTTCTGGTGTCTTGCATCCCTTTTCCAGTAGAATGTCCCTGGAAGGCTATATGTCAGCTAAACTCTGCCATTTTGCTTCTTAATGCACATGCTCAAGCCCACACACCCAACTCCTGAGATCTTATTGGGAAGCTGCCTATCACCAGTTACAGGTGTTTTTATCTATAGGGAGACTGCCCTTCCTTGGAGCTGGCTGTGACTAATTATTATTTTACAGAGACAGTTAACAACTGCCTGGCCATCACCTGGTGGTCACCTAATATTTCTGGTTGTTGGGAGGGGGCCCCTCTCCTGCCCTGCTCATGTCTGCCTGACTACCTGTTGTAACAATTTATTTGTGGGAGCTAAAAAAAATTCAAACAATTGGACTCATGAAGATAGAGAATAGAATGATAATTACTAAAGGTAGCTGGCAGCGAAGCACTGGAGCTGGTTAATGGGTACAGAAATATAGTTAGATAGAAAAAATAAGATTTAGTATTTGATAGCACAGCTAGTGACTACAGTCAACAATAATTTATTGTACATTTGAAAATTATTAAAAGATTATATTTGTATTTTTTGTAGGACAAAGAAAGGATACATGCTTGAAGTGTAAATGGGATACCTCATTTATCCTGATGTGATCATTATGTATTGTATGCCTGTATCAAAATATCTCATGCACCACATAAATATATACACCTGAAATATACCTATAAAAATAAAAAAAAATTAAAATGTAAAAATAAAGAAAAATATTTGGCTTCCCATATAACATGTATAGGTCTATAATTTCTGTTTTCTATGATATATAAATTCAAATATGATATTGTAGTTGACTCTGGATATATATTCTCATCATTTCCATGACTGATTATAATTGTGATATAGTTCAGAGTATGCCATCTCAAAATGTGCCACTTTGACATATGAATTATTTTGAGATAAAGGCAATTATAAGGAAGTGCACACATACCCTCATCTTCTCTGCCAGGACACAGGACAACTCTTAATCATATTAGACAACTCCAGACCCTTATCAGCCCAGAGATGGCACCAGAGGAATTTACATAACAAAACTAACTAACTGGCCTTTTATATTCCACTAGTTTCCATCACATATTTATGTTTCCACTGTTTGCCACCCATAAGAGCTCAGTCTTTTCTTTTATCTTGCCTTTTATTTTTTAACAAAATCATTCTTCTTTGCTGAAATGCTATGTAAACTCAAGTTCTACCCACCCCCTTTAAGTTACTCATCACTGAGTGCTCCCATGTGTATATGCAATACACATGTTGATAAATGTGTTTGTTATCTCTTGTTAATCTGTCTTTTGTCAGTCAAATTTACAGGGTTCTAGCCTTAGAACCTAAGCTGTGTAGGGGGAAGAATAATTTTTATGCTCACCTACAGTTTTATCTACATTTGTTTTTTCCTCCTTCTTATCTATAAGTTGCTTAAAAATTCTCCCACATTAGGTCATTTTTTTTCTTTTTTTGAGACAGAGTCTTGCTCTGTCACCCAGATTGGAATGCAGTGGCATGACCTCGGCTCACTGCAACCTCCACCTCCTGGGTTCAAGGGATTCTCATGCCTCAGCCTCCCAAGTAGCTGGGGTTATAAGCTTGCCCCACTACGCCCAGCTATTTTTTCTATTTTTAATTGAAACGGGTATTCTCTGTGTTGGCCAAGCTGGTCTCGAACTCTGACATCAAGCAATCCACTTGAAGACCATCCTGGGTCTATCTACACCTCAGCCTCCCAAAGTGCTGGGATTACAGGCATGAGCCATGGCACCTGGCCACCCACATTAGGTCTTTTTATTAAATGAGATAAAATAGTGCCACACACTTAAACTGTGGCATAGTTCCATTTTATCTTCTAAAATCCTATAGAAACACCAGTCTCTTTCAAAAATTTTATTCTATTCTCTTGATAATCTACATATTACATTCTGCTGACACAGGTTTACAGGATATGCTAAACTATGTATGAACCATTTTAGAAATTTCCTCTGAAATTCATCTCCCAGATAAATCTACTGATTTGTTTATTCCATTAAATTTACATTCATTCAAGTGTTTATATATATAAAGCCAATTATATATACATGTTTCTGTGTGTGTGTTATATGTGTATATATATGTGTTATATGTATACATACATATATATACACATACACACATATGAGAAATTTTGTAGTGGAGAGTTTTATATAGACATATATGCATATGTATAATGTGTATATGTTTATTTACACACACACAAATATGAGCAACTTTTGTAGTGGAGAGTTTTATATATACATATATGTATACTTATAATGTATATATATCTATTTATACACACACACAAGGAACTTTTGTAGTGGAGAGTTTTATCACATAAACAACAAGGTAGGAAGAATTTTCTATAAGCAGATATCACAGTTGTTATTTATCTGAAAAACAGTGAAATAAATATAAATTAGCCAGAGGTTGTTGTCATTTTTTAACAACCAATAGTTTGTAATAGTGAGCAAGTATTTATTGTACAATCTCTAGGAATCAAATAATTATACTAAAAACTAGAGATAAATTTCCCAAATCAATATGCGGTCTGCGCTATGCCAATAACTCAATTCTCAACCCTATGTTTCTATTTTCTAAACAGAATAAGAGAATACATTGATCACTGACTTTTGAAATACTCATGTTGATGTTAACTTTCTCCCTTAGATTAATATCCTTATCATTGTTTTTGTAGTGTAGACCTAGACTAAATCCTCCTTGAGGACCATCCTGTGTCTGTCTACATGATTAGGCTCACTCATTTAGTTTAATTACTTTATTCAAATTATAATGAAACAATTCTTAGATCTTTTCTTTTGTTTTTGGTTTAACCCATGAAGTAAAAGCATGGTTTAAACCAGGCAGTAACAATAACAGCAGATAATTAAGTACAAAATATTTTTAGATTTTGACTAGCAATGTTATTTGATCAAAATTAAAAGAAGTTGAGAGAGAAAGGCATTCTTCCACTTTCAGAAATAATGGAAACAAGATGCTTATATACATCTAGAAATTCTAAATTAAACATTCTAATTATGTTTTTCAAATTAATAATGAAGCTTATAAGACAATTAGAAAAATAATATGGGTTATAAAATTTTTAAAGTATGTTAAAAATCAGAGTTAAATCTGGCAAGCAGACTGATGGTCTGCATCATTTTAGGCAATTTTGGGCCCCTGCAAGGTGGAAAGTTGAAACTAAGATTTCTCATAAAAATTCCACGCTCCCTCACAACTTGCTGAAGGGCTCATCCTCACAAAAAGCTAGAACTATAAGAAAGAAAGAAAGAAAGAAAGAAAGAAAGAAAGAAAGAAAGAAAGAAAGAAAGAAAGAAAGAAGAAAGAGAAAGAAAGAAAGAAAGAAAGAAAGAAAGAAAGGGAAAGAGGAAGGAAGGAAGGAGAGGGAAAAGAGGGAGAAAAGGAGGAAAAAATGTGACATGAAAGTTTGTCAGTCTTGGCTTGGGCTCATAATAGAAAAGAAAGACTTCTCAACTGGAATTCCACAACCATAAAGCTGTTCATATTAGGTTGTAGAGTTAGAATTTATGTTATCTACATATTCCAGGGAGTCCCCTAAAAATGTAACATTAAAAATGGTTCCAATTTGGTTATACCTCAAGGACACTTAGAAAAAACAAAAAGAAAATTATTTGGGGGAACATGCCCTTAACCAAAACTTCCAAGAATTTCAACGAATAAAATCTAACCCTAGAAGCATACACATTTATTTATTCCCAGACATTGTGCTTGGCATTAGGGATGTACTGAAGTTGAAACTTTTCTTCTGAAGGTTTGAGTCTAAGTCTGTTGAAATGAATTGACAATCAACAGATTCACAGGAGAAAAGGTATACAAATTTATTCATGTCCACATGGACACAAAAGTCCCACAACTATGAAACTCAAAGAAGGGACAGATAGTTGAGGCTTAAATACCTTCTTCATAGTGATACAGAACAGCTGGGCTCCTTGTTAAACCTCCCCCCACCGTCAAGCCTGCAACCTTGGCCCTAAGTGAAAACAGCTGACCCCATTTTTCACCCAAATGATTGCCTTTTGGCCTGCCATGCCCCTATCCTGTTCCCATAAAAAGACTTCAGCTGGCAGAACAACACAAGCAGTCGAGCGTCTGAGATACAAGGTGCTGAGCATTGAGGATACAAGCTGCTGAACGTCAAGGATACAAGTGACTGATCATCAGAAACTACGGATAGACATGAGTAACTTCAAACAGTGCAGCTTCAGGAAAAGATCACATTCTTCCCACACCATCCCCTTTCCAACTTCCAACCCACTGAGAGCCATCACTCAATAAAATCCTCTGCATACACTGCTCTTCAATTAGTCCATGTGACCTGATTCTTCCTGGACACTGGACAAGAACCTGGGTGCAAAGAGGGCAGGCGCATGGATGCTGCTGCAGGGCCTGCACAGAGCCTGCTCCCACACTCACTTGCTCGCATGCTCCCTCTCTCGAGGAGTGGCCAGCGGCAAGCTGAGTGAAATGAGTCACTCCGGTTCCCACCCATGAAGGGAGTCAAAGTCAAGAGAACAGCCCCATCTCATCAAAAGAGAGGAAAGTTGGGGGCTGTAACTAATTTTAGAGGGGGAGTAAATGATTTCCAGGGCAACTGAATGGATTTGAAGGCAGACGTTATCTGGTAAATGATTGTCTTTGAAATTTGAATGATCCAGAGAGACAGACAAGATCTTGTGACAAAGTCTGTCTAGAAGCAATTATGTTCCTTAGTCGTCTACCTGTGATAATGAAATTTCCGGGAGAACATGGAAGGTAATTTTGTTGCTTTGGTGAGTCTGGTCATAACGGACATAAGGAAATTTCAGAGAAAAATTCATCCCTGAGTAGGGGCAGAAGAGAAACAGGAGAGATCAGGAAGTCATTGATGTCATTGATTCTAAGGCAGCCTCTAAGGCCTTCCTATTTTAGTTCAAAGTGCTCAGCATGCCAAAGTGCTAGACTTTTGGGCTATTGTTTTCAGAGCTACAACAGAGACATACAGTGCACAAAAGCAGCCACAAATCAGTCCTCATAGAGTAAACTGATCTTTTATTTTAAAATAGTTACTGTAGATTTTGTGTCTAAAGTAGATTGAAGAGAAATAAGACAAGAAGAGAGATGAATGAGGGGCTATTGCAATCATCCAAGAGAAAGAAGACAGTTGCTTGGACAAAGATGTTAAGAGTGGAACTTTAAAAAAAATGTTGAAAATAGGAACAATAAGATTACTTCCAGATTGCATGGGGGGGCCTTAGAAACAAAATTATTAAAGTCAGAAAGGATTGAGTAACCATTAACTTTAGATGTAGAAGACAGAGAAAGAAGTAGATTTAGGGGGAATAAAACTGACTTTTAGAAATATTATGTTTGAGATGCTGAGTGTTATAAAGGCCGTATGTTGAAAAGCATTTGGAAATGAAAATATACACTTAGAGAAGTCTTGGCTAAAGGCACAAATTTGGGATTCATTGGTATATAAGTAATATTTAAAGTGTGAATGAAACCGTCTAGGAAAAAAAAATTAAGGTAGAGTAAATAAAAGGCTAACTTCTGATGAGTAGCCAGTGAGAAAAAATCAAGAGGAAGTAATCAACTACAGCCAATCTGCTAATAAGCCAACTTATAATGGTGGCTGAGTACAGATCATTGGATTTAGCAACATGAAAATAATCAATCATCTTCATAAAAGCTGTTTCATTAGATTAAAGGGAGAAAAAGCCTTATTAGAATCTGAAAATAATTGGAGGTGAATGAAAATATTAAATGTAGAAAAATCTTTCAAGAACTTTTACTAAAAGAGAAACAGAAATGGGGCAGTAGCTGGAGAGAGTGTGCATCAAAGTGAAACCATCAGGAAGAAAGTTTTATAAAATCAATTAGGGAAAAAAAAAAAAAACTTCAACTAGGCTTGCAGCACAATCAATAGCAATCATGAAATCAGTTTGCCTTTTGGCCCACAACCTTGTAGCTAATTGCTGCTTACTGCCCCAGGATCACATAGCCCTTGTCACAAGACTCTTTCTTCCTATTCTGTTCTAGAGATAAAATCTAAGACATTGTGAGATCATATGGTTTGCATTTGAATTTCTCCTTTTGGTTCTGCATATCAATATAATTACCGACGAAGGACTGAGCAAGGAGCTGACTTATGGAGGAATGCATTTTTCCGCATCCTGATAATTTTGTCTCCCTTACCCTGACCTCTTAACCACTCCAATTTTCCAGCCTCTTGCCATCATCATTCCCCTTAAAAACTCTTACCAAGAACCCCTTGAGGAGATAGATTTGAGGCTTGAGGATTTCTCCCATCTCCTCTCTCAGTGGTCTTGCATTCTCTGTTGCAAACCTCACTGTCTCACTGTGTTGGTCTGTTGCTACACAGTTGGCATATGAGCCTGGCAGTCCTGTAAAAAAAAGAGATTTTTTATTTTTTTTTATTTTTTGAGATGGAGTTTCACTCTTGTTGCCCAGGCTGGAGTGCAGTGGCACAATTTTGGCTCACTGCAACCTCCGCCTCCTAGGTTCAAGCAATTCTCCAGCCTCCCAAGTAACTGGGATTACAGGCATGCACTACCACACCTGTTTAATTTTGTATTTTTGGTAGAAACAGGGTTTCTCCATGTTGGTCAGGCTGGTCTTGAACTCCCAACCTCAGGTGATCCACCCACCTCGGCCTCCCAAAATGCTGGGATTACAGGCATGAGCCACGATGCCCAGCCAAGACCCTTTCTTATAACAAGATAAATTATAGGTTGTTTCTATGTTGGTAGAAGTGCTCCCATAGGTCAGGAAAAACCAGTTAATCACAATAAAAAGGAACAATTGCTAGGGCCTTATTATTGAGTAGGTAAAAAGGAAATAGGTTCCATTGACCAACTGGAAGGGTTGGTCTTAGTTAGGAGCATGAATCATTAAATTATAATGTCGGAGGAAAGATAATATTATATTGAAGGGAACCAAAATATTTCACCCTAAAATATACTTCTTTGACATATTTTGAGATGACTGTTCATACAAACAGGCCTACAAACAGAATAGCCCTGCAAAGCTATCTTTTGTGGAGATTTGTGTCTGTAGAGAAAATCTGCATTGATGCAGTAAGGCATTCTCTGAGGCCTTGTCTAGATATGGAATAGATCAACTGATATTTGACACCTCTCAAGGTCTGAAAGAAATATTTAGCATTTATTCTCTCCATGGGCTGCTACCTGTGAGGTTTCATCTACATAACGAGACCATCTTTGCTAGCCCATCCTCTTCTTCCCTTCCTATATAACCTGTTTACCACCATAAACTGGTTTGCCATGATTCAATCCCCTATTTTTTCTGTAACCTCAATACATTATAAAAGCCTCAACTATCCACTCATTTCTTTGAGCTCTTTATAAGATCCCCATGCACATTAACAAATTTGTATGCTTTTTCTCCTGTTAATATATTTTTTGTCAATTGATTTTTCAGAGAACCTTCAGAGGGTAGAGGGGAAGTTTTCCTTTTGCCCTTGTGAGGGTGATGAGGATGCATAAAAAGGTTATGAACATCCATTTATTTAGGTCTTGATGATGTGGAATGATTGTAGAAATCAGTATAATAAGACAGGAAGTTGAAAATTTACAAGGTGATAGTTTTAGAACAGAATGCCTGAAATTAAGTTTATGGAATTCTTCTAACTTCTGTTAATAATGAAATCTGATGTATGTTCATGGAGACAAAGTTGGATGGAAGATGAAATCAGTGCAAAAGAGAAAGTCAAGAACTTAGGATACAGAATATTGGCAGAATCATCAATGGAAACAGCAATATCACAAAGAATAGTAACAGAAACAGTGATAGGAGAGACAAGGAGTTAAGTTATTCAACAAATGTTGAATAATAGCCTCAGGTAGCAGCAAATGAAAGCACTAGTTTATAGAATTGCCAGATAAAGTACAAGACACCAAATTATCTGTACTAATTTATTTGAAATTCAGATTTAACTGTGTGTCCTGTAATTTGATTCCCTGCATCTGGAAACCTTAACTTGGTGGTACGATCTGATAATATCAGATTCAAATCTGGAGTTTTTAGACGAGAGATAATTTGAATGATATGTAAGCAAGTTTAAGACAGAATATGTCACCCCAAAATGTGCCTTGTTAGCATAAAAATTATTTTGAGTTGATTATTTTGAGAAACTGCAGACATAGAAGAAGTTCTGAAAACAGAAGTTACCCTTTTATAAGAAAAATTTGCATCTATAAAGAAAATCTCTATTTGTAAGGGTGTCTCCCTCTCCGTATCAGGAATAAAAGGATGATTCTAAGCCACTAGATAGCTCTTATCAATGGAGAAGGCACCAACTTAAATCTGCAAAACAAACCTTACTGTTGTTTACTGTGCTTTTCCTGGTCACCTCTCTATTACTGGCCTCTTAACACCCTTTTTCCTTTGTTTCAGTTGAAGATGGTATTTAAGCCCACACTCTTAGCCACCTGTGTGAGATTTACTAATTTTTCTGCATATTTTCTATGTATACATGAGGTATACATGTTTATAAACTTCTATTGTTACTTTTTTCTCTCTCTTATTGATCTGTGCCTTGTTACAGGTGTCTGTCCCAACTTAAAACTTAGAAAGGGTAGTGGGAAAATTATTCTTCCTCTCGTATAGCAGCCATAAGAATCAAGAGAACAAATTCCTTTACTTCTGATTCAGTACTACCAGGAGTGAGCAAGAAGGTCAAGAGTATCTTCAGAGAGAAATTTCATGATGTAGAAAATCTGGGGAATGACAAATCATGAGTTCTAGAGATTAGAGTTGAAGAGCGTACAGGGTTGAAAAGAGATGTAGGATAAATTTAGTAACAAAGGGGTTGTCTTGAGCAAAAAGAGATTTGAAACTGGGGAATAACCTTAGCATACTGTGGTTCTTATAGTGAGGGATACAAGTAAAATTATAGGGCATAATGGTATTTTTCATGTGGGTCTCCAAAAGCTAGTGAGACTATGATATTTGAGGTGGGAGAGGAGTGATTTTTCCAATACTGTGTACTGTTCTGGGATATTTCTTTACTTCTGCTGAGGAGAATGTGAAAACTGGGTAGAAGATAAAACTCCTGAGCTTTGGCTCTTGCCAATAAAGACATGGAAGTGAAGGAGTGGGTGATCCAGATGAAGTCATGAAATAGGAAACAATATAACTAGACTGTCCCTAGAAGTCAGCTTATTCTGTCTGATAGTAAGAATGAGAACTGATAAGTTTGGAATAAATGGATAATTGTATAGTTTGTTAGTGAGAAATAAAAATGAAATCCTAAACCCCACAACTGACTTAATGGATCCCCTCTTGGCCAAGGGGACCCTAGAGTAACCTTGAAAACTAAGTTATTGTCCATGACAGCAGGGGAGGTCAGACATGCCTGTTACACCCCTTCTCTCACTAAGTGCCTTTAAACTTTCTTTCTTAAAAGCTAAACAGAATCCAACCCTTTCAAAAGACTCCACAGCTGATATCAACCAGCCGCCTGACTGCTGCCCTTCCAATTTGTGGTTTCAACAAAACAACAAACCAGTATTTCTTCCTGATAAGAGACCACCAACCATGGAGTGATTCTGGCCAGTCTACAAAGGATGCACTGTAAGGGCTTTTGTGTTCTCTGTGTGTGTACCTTTTGACATCAGAGAGCCGAAAATTTCACCCTCAGATTATGTTAATGCTGCCATTTTTTAAATGGGACACATGAAGGGGCATGAAGCTTAATTGTGCATGCACTTATTTCTTCTTTCATAAATATTAATTACTGTTCCTGTAGCTTACTGAATATGTACATTTGCCCACCCTGCCCAGCAAAAATTCCTGTCCCCTTTCTCCTTCCCTTGACGTGTCTGTTGCCATGTGCATTATGCATTTCATCTTTTACAACACCATGCTCAGCTAAAACCAAAATAAAGATTCCTGCTTAAGCATATTTGATTCTGTGAGCACATTTTGTTTAGAATTATATTACTTGTTGAATTATGCCTTCCAAAATAGAATTTTTAAAATTAAATTGTATTATTATGGATGATTATATGTAAGCCATTGATAATCTTTGTTACTTATACAAAGATACATAAAATTATCTGCCATATGAATTATTATTAAACAGATTCATTATAAAATTGAAAATGTTTATTGACCTAATGAGTATGAAATTAAATGAATTAAAGTTTTCTCATCTCTAAGGCAGGGGCTAGAAGATGTTTTCTGTAAAGGTCTGGATAGTTAATATTTTTGGCTTTGTGGACCATAAGCTTTCTCTGCCAACCACTCAGCTCTGCTGTTACAACATGAAAGTAGCAACAGACAGCACTTAAAGAATGAAGGTGGCCAGATTTGGCCCAGTTGTGAAGCTATAGTTTTCAGATCCTGCTCTTAGGAATGATTTTTTTTACTTAGGTTTATTGTAGTTGCTGCTTGCTTTCATTTTAACACTGAAATCTCAATGGCATTAAGATAAAGCCCAAAAGGGCAGCACCTAATATTAAAATGGTTAACAGTCATAAAATGATTTAATAGATGTCATTTAGACTCTGGCTTTGCCTCTAGCCATGATGGGTTGTATTTTTGAGAACTATCCTTCCTGATGGAAAAGTGTTCTTAGTAACTGAGCTGAGGTATTTTGATCATGGTTAATTTGTAACAGTCCTTAAAATAGCCCTGTGTTCAAAAACCAGTTGAAAATCCTCCCAAATAGCTTCTAAAGATATATTTCTTACTCGTTTCAGGTCTCTGTTGAAATGTCTCCTCAGTAAGGTTTTCTTTTTGATTCTCCAATACAAAATTGCAATACCCTCAGGAACTCTTTGACACTTCCTCTTCCCTGCTTTATTTTTTCAAACTACTTATCAAACTACATATGTTTTATTTCACCATTTACATTTTAGTTTCTGTCTCCTCTCACTTGAATGTAAGTTATACAAACAGAAGAATTTTCATGGTTTTTGCTCATTGTTGTATTTTCAGTACCAAGAAATGCCCATGAAATACAGTAGACATTTAAAAATACCTGTTGCATAACTGAATAAATGGTTATTGATAAATATGTTAATATTAGTCAGATGTAATCATCTTGGAAAGTACCCAAAGAGATTTTACTGTTTGATTGAAAAAAAGAAAATAAAGTAATACATTTATTACTAGTAATAAATTCAATAAAGCTTGAATTACAGTTTTAGTGTTGTGATTTGAAGTAAGTCAGTGAACCTCTTCTTAGAGGCATCTCATTTTCCTCAAATATAAAATAAGAGTGTTGGACTACATTATCTAAGGGTGTGTTCTCACTGGTTTCCGTTGCTTTTACTGTCTTATTACCAGATCTATACCATCCGACTGGTCTCCCAACTGGGTAAAAGCTAAGCAGAGATCTTAATAACACATTAGTGGAAGGAAAAAAGGTAGCCTCTACCATTCTGACTGTCAATCATCTCCAAGCCTACTGAAATATTCCTGAGTATCAAGTTCAGTAAAAAACAAATCTAGGACAAAATTGTGGCAGGCAGGTGGGAAGGGCTCCCTGGCAAAACTCCAGCTCACGTGTGCACTGGAAGGAATGCACACTGGAGTGGAACTACAGAAGTCTGTGCATTTGCAGCTAGGGAGGAGCCTTGACTCTCCTCTTCCTGGGTGGAAACTGAGATTCAAACTGCGAGGTAGGAAGTGAACCAGCAGAGATCCTGGCTTTGCAGAGAGTCCCCATTTTTCTTCTTTTCCCTTTTCACCCGATAAAACCCTGCCTTATTTACCCTTCAAATTGTCTGTGAGCCTAAATTTTCATGGCCGTGTGATAAGGACCCCCATCTTTAGCTGAATTAATGAAAAAGTGCTGCAACAATTTTGGCACCCAACGTGGGGCTCAAGAAGTGTTGAGTGAAATGGGGACTCTCACTGTGGTTTCTAAGCCTTTTTATCCTCAGACTTCTGAGCTTACTGGAAACCGCACCTCCTCCTGCATTGTTCCCAGGGTTCAGGAAAGTTGATCAGCCTTGATCTCCATGGCCTTTTCTTTCCTTTTTCAGGACAGACCAGTGAGCAGTGGCTCCCTCTCTCCTCCCCTCCCTGCCAGGGTTGTGATCCATAACCCAAGGGCCCCACATCGCTGGTCCCTGCTATGTGCCACAGGAGCTTAGCCCTTCCCCAGCCAAGGGGTTTTACTCCATCAGACAGTAATTAAGCTTTTGTCCTGGTGGAGGAATCAGTTGCACAAGAATAAGAGATTCTTCCCCAAGCATTTTAAAACTGCTTCTTTTCTTCCCCTTCTCTACCCCATCAGCAGGTAACTTTTAAAGTTTTGTCTTTTCTTCCTTTTGGAAGACATCTTACTAGCCTAGGAATGATAAAGATCACTGTTTATATTCTCTGTAATGTTTTGGTTGTGATAAAGGGTCTTATGGGGACTGGGTTTTCTTCTGTCTATGTAGTTATATGTGTGTGTATGGTGTCTGTAAAAAGAGCTCTAATTAATTTGACCTAAAGAAAGACAAGCACTTGGATCAAATATTTTTAAACAGAAGATAAAAGCTGTGATACCTTCCAGTTCACGTGACTTTAATCTTTGAGAAATAAAAACAGTCTTAAAGACTACTGGTAAAATGCAGGTGTCATTAAAGTGTAAATAGGTGAACTAAATTATGCAGGTCACATGCAAGGTTTGCTAAGTGTTTAAGGTTATAAACTGCTTTTTGGATTTTGAGAACTTTTCAATTTGCCAGTTTCACAATTGGTAAGGCCGGAGGACATTTGGAGCTAACCATGCCCTTAATTATGCTGGAAGAAGGCAAATCTTGGCTGCAGATAGCACACAATTAAAACAACTTACCAAGTTTTACATTAAAGTTAAAAATTTCTGGGAGTTACCATTATAACCTGTAATTGAGACTACCAGAACTAAATTTACATACAAGTTGTGTAAGAACAATAAAATGTGTTTTGTTTTTTTTTGTTTGTTTGTTTTTTGTAAAAGGTTATAAGGAGGCATGGAAATGTAAATTTTTGCCTAGGGTTAAAGGATTGTTTTAAATTAAATAAGATAAAGCTGAAGGTTCAAACAAGTGGTGGAAAGATTGTGGAAATTAATCTTGCAGAAGAGATTCTCTGTGTGAACATAATGACTAAATTCACAAAAAGGTATTATATGATCATTCTGTGAATTGAGCATTTAAATAAAAGCACAGAAAGGTTTTCTTAATGCACTAATCTGCTCTTTGGCAAAATTTGTAAAGGGTTATAAAACGTTTTTGCTTCTTTAAATTTCTGAGTCATCACTTTGGCAAAACAAATAACTTATGATAATCTGGAATTCTATTCCATAATATCAAGTGTTTAAAACTTTGAACATATTTAACAGGCTCCTCAAAATCATACTTCACTTTCAAAATTGTTTTTCCTAATGCTTGTTTTTTTTGGATACTTCAGAGGGCCCCTGAAACATCCAGAAAAGAGGTAAACAGGATTATTTGACATGTTTAGGTACATGGAAATGCCAAAATGATGTTCAATCTTCTTTAAGTTATATTTTGGTAAATAATACTAACATATATTCTAAAATTGTATGGGATTTCTAAAATTCTAATGTCTAAGTATATGCTATGAATCAAAATTAAGGTTGCTATGTTGAGTTATTGTAAACCAGGGAGATAATCAAACTTCTTTGATAATTGTGTTTCTAAGTGTTAACTACCCTAGACATTTTGTTATTTACAGACAATTGTTGTCTTGTTTTAGTCTTTTTCAAAAGATGGTTTATAATAAGCTATAGAACTGTGACAGGTGCTCTCAAATACGGGCTTCTGATAACTATGGAGACTGTAATATTGGAATAAAGAAAAATATACAGGACTCATGAAGAGCTGAAATGCTCATGAAAAGCAGGTATTTTCTAAGAAGAGAAGGGAACCAGGAATACCTGCCTCCCTTTTTCTAGATAGGTGACCATTCTACCTCCAGGTATTTGCTAGGAAGAGATGGGAACCAGGAATTACTGCTCCCCTCTTTCTACATGGGTAACCATTCATCTTCAGTCAGTACCCCTTTCAAATGCATCCTGAACCCCTGATACTCCCTTGAAAAATGTCTTCTTTCTTTTTTCTCCTCCTCTGTTGTCTTTTCACTGATAGGTAATTGTGTCTCTGTACTATGGGATGCTCCCCTCAGATGCATCCTCCAAACTGGAAAGAGTTAATTTCCCAAACATTAAACTGGTTGGCTTAGGACTGGGCTCAGGAGAAGGGAACCCAGAAACCCACCATGCCGGCAAAAGAGTAAAGTTTCTTTTTACCAGTTAGGCTTTTGGCATCCGTCTCCCTGTGCAAACTGGTAAAAGGCCTCGGGATTTTTGAGCTCTCTTTACCCCTCCCCTTGTTTCATTCTGATATGTGTTTTCTAATATCCCGGTTTGTCTCTTCCTGCCTTCAGGCCATCAAACTCCAAATGGTCACGCAACCGGAGCCTCAGGGGATGGCTCTTTCTGCTGGGAACCCTTAGATAGGCCTCTGAGGGAGCTCTGACTGCCATTTTTCCAAAACAGCATCCCCTGTCAGCAGGAAGCAGTTAAGATCTGTCTTTATCCTTATCCTTAGTCTAACGGCAGTTCATTGTACTTCTTTAAAGAGGGGAGTGAGACACACAGGTGGGAAGGGCTCCCTGGAAAAACTCCAGCCGGCCTGTGCTGTGGGAAGAATGCACACTGGGGTGGAGCCACAGAAATTTGTGCATTTGCAGCAAGGAGGAGCCTGGCCTCTCCTCTTCCTGAGTGGAATCTGAGATTCAAACGGCAAGGTGGAAAGCTTACCAGCAGGGACCCTGGCTTTGCAGAATTTTCCTGTTCCTATTCTTTTCCCTTTTCACCCAATGAAACCCTGCCTTACTCACCCTTCAAACTGTCTGTGAGCCTAAATTTTCATGCCCGCATGATAAGGACCTGCCTTTAGCTGAACTAAGGAAAAAGTCCTGCAATGGAATGATATGGACTCATTTTTCTATTTTTCTCTTTCTAAATACAATTCAACACTGTCAAAAGTCAAAGTTACAACAAATTTAGTTATAGATCGAATTGGCTTTTGTTTGCAATTCACAAACCAGACAGACTCCATTCTACAAAAAAGAACAAGAGCTCCCACTGGGCAATAGAAAACAGTGGGTTTTGTAAGGTAGGAACTACAATAAAATAAAAACCTGGAACAATAGAAAAGTGAAACTGATTGGCTAATAATTACTTCAGGCTACTTTTTTGTAAGGGTTAAAGCAGAGAGGACTTTCTTATTACACGGACTCAGGTAGACTGGACTTTTCTGTTTTAAGAAAAAAAAGTCTGTTTTGGATGTATCCATTTCCTTAAAAGTTTCTGTTTGATTAAGTGGCATTTAGCACGAGTGACCTCATTTTTGTTTAGTCTGGTCTTTTAGGGTCTAGAGCAGGAACTCAGTCCAAAACAATAGTCTCCCATAGTTTTTGTTTAACAAAACTATGGAAATAATTCAATAATAATCATAAAAGGACACTGAAAGGTAGAAAGTGGAAGTGTCATAAGGACTTGAAGAAAGACACAGTGGTGGGTTCTCTGGGCTTTCCTTTTACCTGCCATAAATCTCAGAAAAGGTGCCAGAGAGAGCTACAATGTAGAACTATCAAAAGGAATGGTGGTGGGGGAGAAGAAAACCCTCATTTTGGGAAAGGGCAAATCTGGCAGACTCAGCAGAGGATCGTGCCCAGTGGTGGCAGTAGCCCAATTTGTCTGATGTAGTACCAAGAGTGGATTGCAACCTGGCTGACCACCCAATACTCCACAGCCAGAAGCAACAGGCAGATCGCTCCATCCACACTGGTTGTACCAACAGGCCTATTATCTCCCAGGCTTCCACCCAGCCACAGAAGGTAATCTAGGCCTGGAGTCCTCCAGCTCTCTAACCAGTGACAGTGCAATATGCATACCCTACCCCTGCTTGTCCTCCATCCAGTGACAGAAGATGGCTCAGGTAGATGCTTGCGTCCCTGGATAAAACTAGCAGATGGAGTGAAAAATCCAATAGCACTTAGTGACCAGAGAACAGGCCAGAAGAAACATTCTCCGTCCTGTGTGTCTGGATACCCCTTATCCTGTCTATCACTGGGCACCCTAGAGAAGCACATTCTGCTCCCAGAAACAGCACCACCAGTGATCCAGCAAGAGTTCACATAAACCAGAAGGATGATTTAGACCAGAATAGACTTACAAGGACTCAGAAACCTAAATTGTCATTGGGATACAGCCCACAAAAGTAGGCTACTTACTACGCATTGAACTTAAAGAGGGTGACTGCCTGCTAACATAGAAGATTAGAACAGGATCAAGCATCTCCTAACATAATATGCAAAATCTCAAGGATACAACTGAAAAATCACAGGTCATTCCATCAGTGAGATCACAGCTTGAATGATAAAAGAATCAACTGACACCACTACTGAAATGGATTAGATACTAGAACTGTCTGATAAAGATGTCAAAGCAACTTTAACATTATCATCAATTCCCTTGCAACAAATGAAAAATAGAAAACCCATCAAAAAACGTAAATTAAAGAAAAGAACCGGGCAAGAAATATGTGACTGAAAAATACAATAACAATTTTTTTAAAGTTGCTATATACACTCAATTGTAGAGAAGACAAAAGATAGAATCAATGTACTTGAGAAAAAAAATTTACTCAATTTGAACAAACAAAAAGAAAATAAGGTAAAAAGAAAATGAACAGAATATCAGGACCTGTGAGACAAAAACAAAGGCAAAAATCTAGTATTTATATCATTTGAGTCTCAGAAGTAGAAGAGAAAATGTGGGACTAATAGACTACACAAAAAATATTAGCTGCAATCTCTATAAATTGCGTGAAAGGCAATCCTGCAAATTCAAGAAGCTGAGTGAAATCTGAGTAGGATAAACACAAATAAATCCCTTCCAAGACATATTATAATTAAACTTTTGAAAAGTAAAATAAAAGGAAAAGTCTTAAAAGCTACCAGATAGAAATAATGTATAACCTTTAGAAGAACACTGACTCCAATGACAGTGTATTTCTCATCTGAAACCTTGGAGGCCAGAGAAATTGGCATAATGTTTTTCAAGGGGTGAAAGGAAAAAAATGTCAACCACAAATTCTATATCTAAAAAATCTTTCCTTTAGCCATATAAAGGAAATAAAGACATTCTCAGACAAATAAGAGCCGAGAGAATTTGTCACTAGCAGACCTACCTTTAAAGAATGGCTATAGGAAGCTCTTTAAACAGAAAAGAAGTGATAACAGAAGAATGCTTGGAACTACAGAATGAAAAGAAGAATAACAGAATAAGTAACAATAGGGATAAATATATTATACTCTCCTTTCTCTCATGAGTTTCTAAAATAATAATTGATGGTTCAAGCAAAAATTAAAATACAATATGTTATACTGTATAAATATGTGGTATGCAAGCCTGTTAACAGAAATATTGGAAAAAAATATATTTTGGTGGTGGAGGCTAAAGGAACCTAAGTGGAAGTAAAATTTTAATAGTGACTCAATAAAACATTAATGCAAGTAGGCTGTATTAAGTTATACATTTTATACTACATAGGGCAACCACTATGAAAAATTTGCAAAATGATATACTAAAAACAAGGTAAAAAAATGAAATCCTACCAAAAGAAATGAATAACCCACATGTATATAAAAAAAGAGAAACAGAAACAGGAAACAGAGAAAATAAGTGAAAATAAATAAAACAGCAGCCTTAAACCCTAACATTTCAATCATTACTTTAAATATGAATTACTTATACACCAGTTAAAAAAGATTGGCACAAGGGATTAAAAAAAAAATGATCCAACTTTATACTGCCTACAAGAAACTCACTTTGAACATAAGGACATAGGTAGTATAAAATGAGAAGGATGCAAAATGCTATATTATGTTAACATTAATCAAAAACAAGCAGAAATATTTATAAAAAATCAATGAAATTAAAAGCTAGTTATTTTAAAAATTAGAAAAATTGATAAACCTCTATCATGACTGACAAGACAAAAAGAGAGCACACACAAATCATGCATAATGAATGAAACAGGATCTATTACTATAGATCCTGTACCCATAAAAGGATAATAGTGGAAAACAGCAAACAACTTTACATTCCAAAGTTAAAAGAAATAAAAGAAATAGACCGATTGCCTGAAAAACCACAGACTGTACTTTCTGAGGGTAAAATTACTGACCTGAATCATCTTATAACCATGCATTTAATTTTATAATGTAAAAGTTCCCTCCAAATAAATCTTGAGGCCTAGATGGCTTCCCTGGAGAAGTTTACGAAGCTCTGAAGAGGAATTAACACCAATTTTATAAAATATGCTACAGAAAACAGGAGTGAACACTTTCTAATTCATTTTATGAGACTATTGTTACCTTGATATCAAAACAAAGATAATACAGAGAAAGAAATCTGCAGACCAATAACTTTCAGTAAATTAGATCCACAAGTTTCAACAAAATGCTAGCAAAACAATTTTAGCATATAAAAAAGATTATATCTCATGACCAAGTGAGAATTATCCCCAAAATACAAGGTTTGTGGAACATTTAAAAGCCAATTAATGTACCACATCAATACTACAAAAGGCAAAAAAACCACATGATCATCCCAAAAGATGCAGAAAAGTCATTTGACACACTCAACATTGTTTTCTTGATAAAATTACTCCAAAAACTAGCATTAGAAGAAAACTTGCTTAGCCTGATAAAGGGCATATATGACAAACCCACAGCGAACATGAGACTTAATGGTAAATATGTTGATTAATTTTGTGTCAATTTGACTAGGCCACAGGATGCCAGGTATTTGGTTAAACATTAATTCTGGGTATGTCTGTGAGAGTGATTATGGAAGATATTAGCATTTGAATTTGTAAACTGAGCAAAGCAGATAGACCTCCTCAGTGTGGATGTAGATCATCCAACTTACTGAGGATCCAAATAGAACAGAAAGGTAGAGAAAGATTGGGTTCACTCTCCCTCTGCCTGTTTGAGCTGGGACACTGATCTTCTCCTGCCTTTGGTGCTCCTGCTTCTCAGATTTTTAGACTCAGGCTGGAATCTATACTGTTAGTTCTCCGGCTCTCAGGCCTTCAAGCTACAACACAGGCTCTTGTGGGTCTCCGATCTGCAGACAACAAATTATAGGACTTCTCGCCTCCATAATTACATGAGCCAATTCCTTATAATAAATCTCATTATATATTATGTATTATAAAAATACATAATATATAATATATAAATTATTAAATATTGAAATATAAATAATATATAAATTATTAAATATAGAAATATAAATTATTTGCCTGATATAAAATAATATATAAATATTCAATATGATAAATATAATATATAAATATATGGTAATATATATTTATACCCAGAGGATATATATGTATATATATTCCATTGGTTCTGTTTCTCTTTAGAACCCCTACTAATATAGTATAAGATTTAAAACATTGAATGCATTTTCTTTATGATCAGAACAAGGCAAGAATGTCTTCTTTCAATCCTTTTATTAAAAATAGTATTGAAGTCCTAGCCACTGAAACAAGGCAATGACAAATAAAGGCATTCAGATTAGAAAGAAATAAAACTGTTCCTATTTGCTGATTCCATTTATATCACAGTTTTGAAATTACAAAATTACAGCAATGGAGAATTGACAGTGGTTGCCAAGGGTTAAGGGAGGGGGTGGATGGGGGCAGGATGTTTGGTTTTGAAAGAGTAACAGGAGGAATCCTTGTGGCAGTGGAACAATTCTGTATTTTGATGTGGTCGTGGATGCATGGACTCACACGTGATAAAATTGCTCACAGAATGAAAAAGCTAAACAAATACAAGTAAAATTGGAGAAATCAAAGAAAAAATGGTAGATTATACAAATGTTGATATTCTGGTTGTAATATTGTACTATAATTTTGCAAGCTGCTATTAGTGAGGGAAACTGAGTAAGAGGTGCACAGAATCTGTCTGTCTGTATAATTATAACTGCATGTGAATTTACAATAATATCCAGAAGGTTTTAAAAAGCACATTTAATGCCATAATTATTTGTTTTTTATAACCCAAAAATTGCCAACTCTGGGGACATATTATGGCAATTATTTGAAATGGTTTGAAATACTTCCATACCTCACTCACATTTACAGGATCATATATAATAATAGTGGAATCATTATGAATGCACATAATCAAAGAGAACCACAATTTGACAGTGCTGATAAGAATGAAATAAACTTGAGGCAGAATAGTATGGTTGAGAAAATAATCTATGCCACTCTCTGTAATAAAGTGTTCAAAATCAGGTGTGTAACCAGCAACTTTTGAGAGTAAAAGGGAGTTGACGAAAGATATTAGAACTGATGAAATTACTATCAGCTCTCCAAAAGTAAAGACTATTTTATTATTTACAAACAAAACACTGATATCTCTCCTTCTCCACTTCCAATCCACAAAGGAATTAAGGTGGCTCCAAAACCAAAGTTGCTTTTGTGATTACTAGTGTTCACTTAAAAAATATTGGTCATTTTTCTTTAAAATTAATAGACATCTTCCAGAGGAAGTCAAGAATATTTATGTGATTGCAGTCAACTTTTACAGATCTGAAAACCATTGCTCAAACAGATTCTCATATAAAACCTGAGATTGATAAGGGCACTGAGTCTGGTTTCATCATCAAGTGGTGATTTTAAGGTACTCCAAGCCAAGATTTCATGTGCAGTCACAGGCAAGTCAAAATGTCTGCTGTAAAATGATGTCTGGTTTCAATTAAGCTCATGATGAGACATTTACATATAATTGTTTACATGATTTCATGTCAATGTCTTTACATCATATCCTGTAGATAAGAACTGGAATTTACAGTGAGCTTGAACTTATTCTTGTAACTATTTCACAACGGAAAGCTAAAGTTCATTTGTAATTGTTTTCTGTATTTTAAAAGACATTCTTTTTTAGCTTTAATTATTTATAGATAAAATGTTTTATATGTCTATCTTTAACAAAGAAAATGTCATTATGTATTATTTTCTTATGAAATCCCTAAGTAATTTTCCATCCAATAGGTCAGAGATTCTTTATTAAAAAAAAAAAAAACTATTCCTTTCACCTTTCACATGTACATTTCCAAATAATCAATTTTTACCTGAATTTAATTGAATAAGAACTAAATATGTAATCTTTTATTTTAAAATATCTTTTCTATATTCTGGATATGTCACAGGAACTTTTTTTTGAAATCTGAAATCATGCAAATGCCTTTCGTTAAAATACCAGAGATTTTACTCCCCTGAAAATTTGCATTGTTAGGAATATATAGCATAAAAAGACCCAAATGCTATTAAGGTTTTTAAGCTGTCAACTGAATTCTGCACACTACATTTATTCTGTTTCCATTTGCTACCAAGGAAAAGTGCAAAGTCAAACATGTTCTTACAAAAAGCACTATAAGCTGCATGTAAATGAGACCACTTTTCCTGAGGATCTATCTTCAATTTGATAGTGCATTTAAGTGCTTGCTTTCACTTAGAATAGACTGAAATATACAAATAGAAATTGAGAGCAGTGAAAATGACATGTATCCAAGATTTTACCCAAGAATAAAAGAATCAAAACAGATTATGCTGTCTCTTTAAAAGACCTATTTGATTAATTAAACGATTACTTTCTATAAAAAAAATACAGATGTTAAATGTAAAAACAAATGTTTCAGGCAATAGTGACCAAAAGGAAATACTAATCTGGCAACTTTATTGAAAAATATTGCTGTGATACAGTGTCTTTCTTTTCTTATTTTTTCTTTCTTGGTCTAAATACCATTTTGCAAACTGCAGATGGTTTGGATTTATAGCTATAGCTATTTACTATACATGTGCCATTTTCCAACTGGTAGGAGATTTGCAGATGTGTAAGCCTGTTAATCCAGACCAAAACACTCTAACCATTTTTTCTTTTTCAATTCATGATTTATAGACATATCTTAAGATTACAATATTAGTTTTTATGGCCTATTTTATGAAAATTATTCATACTGTAGTTATTTTTACAGTGGTTTTCCAATTGAAACCCATTTTGGATGGGTGTGACTTTGACAGGCATAGTTGCATAGTGGTGAAAATTATGGTTTGTGTTGTCAGACACACCTAGGTCTAGATTCTGTCTTCTTCTAATTAACCGTACCACAGAGGGTAAGTCACTAAATCACTCAGAGCTTGTTTCTCTGCTTTTGTATAATAGATATAATAATGCCTAACTCATCAGTGAAATAATACCTATAAATTTCTAAAATAGTCCTAGAATTTAGAAAAGACAGTAAATGTTAGCTCTTACGATTTTAACTTGTTTCAACTGAATGTGACATTTTAATTAATCTCTGGAAAGGCATCTCTGCCCATAATAAAAACAATTTTTATTTTTTAGAGGTGATATAAAATGGAGATCAACCTAGTTTTCATGTCAGATTGTATATTGCATGTAAAAATTCATTTCTATTCTTTCTGTAGGAGAATACCTCCTCAGGCCCTTGAATTTGGATTTACCACTTTATATTCTTAGGCCAATGTATGTGAGCAGAGATAATTTAAGCTGCTTTCCAGCAGAAGCTTAAATATCAAAGTTACTACTTTGCTTCCAAAAAGAGAGCTGGTATGCTCTGCATACAGGGGACTCTACATCCCAGGTCCTGGATCTGAGCTGAACAGAGATAACAACAACCAAAGTAAAGCAGTCAGGATAATTAATGTGAATGAAAAAAAAAAAATGTTTGAGTGATAAGCCAGTGAGATTTTGGGATTTTTTATTACCTCTGGAAAATTGACAAATACAAAAATCGATACCTAAAAATAGGGCACTACCATAACAAAAACTCTAAAATATGTGACCTGGGCTTTGGGCCCAGGGCCCGTACTGGGAAAACTGAGATGGCAGTCTGGAAAAATGATAACTCGTAACAGGCAATGGCAAGTCATAATATGAAATAGAGAAACAACTTGAGTGGTAAATGATGTATGTAATAAATGTGCGGCTTTAGGGAAGGGATTTGCAAAATTCAATGTTGTTAATGTGCCTTGGTTGCCATTTGCTGCATTACACAAAGCATGGCAAGACAGAGGTGTTTTCAGAAAGAATCCATCATTTTTCCTGAAGGAGTAAAAGGAAGAGAAACGAATCGAGGTATTTCAAGATTTGCATTGTTGAAAGATGCAAATATTCCTCTCTGAGCAATTAAGGCTGGTTTATGTTCAGTCTTTGAGCAAAGACCAAATCAAGGGTGAAATCTGCACAGCCTTTGTTAAAGCCTCTGATTGAATTAAGGCGGTCCCCAGGAAATCCTTTTAGTTGGAATAGTTGAGCAAAAAAAGACAAAGAATGTGGTCACCCAGAAGCATGAAATATTCAAAATACCTATAATACCCATAATTACCTTTAGAAAGAGGTAGTCCCAAAGAAGCTATAAATTGGCTATTGGGATGCCAATCTGACTGGAATCAAATAGTAAAATAAACCACAACAATGAAAGACTGTTTGAGATATAAAATGACCTTTAGTATTCAGATTTCTTCAGACAAGAGGTAGCATTAGACAACTGCTAAATCTATAAAGACCTTATGATGCAGCCAAGGAAAATAATATTAAAAACTCCTATAGGGTAAAACCAAGGAATATGGAGATCCACAGTCAAGAAAACCAGAGTTTCTTTAGAAATATCGTATACTCCCAAGGTAAGGGACACATACAAGTTTTCCCAGAGGGATATTCTGAATGGCTATGAATCAGTGACTGCTACGTACTTTCCATTCTTTCTCTATAAAAGGGAGGACTTTATGCTGTTACCCTCTCTCTGTTCTATCGTTAAATGTGAGGGCTGGAATGGGTCCTTTTGGGTCATGGACTCCTAGATTCTGATACCTGATATAGAGGGTGTCTTTCATAAAATCCCAGAAGGAGAGCTTGATGTGACTGAATGTGGCTTTGGAAATTCCTCTTTGGGGAGGGTGTGGGTGTATTTTAAATGCAGAAAGGAGGAAAGTAAATAGTTGTGACTAAACAGGCTGATTACAGTAGATTTCAAATATCCAGTCCCTTCTTCCCTGTGGGAGGATAATATCCTGACCCTACTGACTAGAATTTGGACATGCCATGAGCTTCAGCCAATGAAATGTGAGCAGATGTGATGTTTGCCACATAAAAATTTAAAGAATGAGGTCAGGTTTTAGAAGGAGAAAATATGTGTGATGGAATTTTAGGCCTTCTGTAGCCTGGAGCAGAGGCTTAGCCTTTACATAACATGAGTGCAAAGCAGAATTGGCTCTTAAAAACCACTGAGATTTTTGGATTGTTTGCTACCACAGTAAAGCTGATATAGATTGTCTTGAAACTCTCATATTAAATTTGGAATTTTGCTGTTCCTCTACCAGACCAAGGAAACAATTAAGTATTTTTCCCCCAAAACTATGTATAATCTGTCTTTCAAAGAATCATTATGCATCAATCAATAGAGGGAAATGGAGAAAAACTGCAAGCTTCAATGTTGATCTATGCTTCTAGCCATAAAAGTTTCTGAAATTTCAGAGCCTAGTTTCAAAGACTTTGAGTACCTATTATGAGTGCGGAAATTGTCAACATAAAAATGGAGTCACTTATGTTAAAAACAAAACAAAACAAAAACCCTGACACATAGGACCAGGGAAGTCTAAGAAGTGAGGCTTCTTATGCTTGTATTCCTGATAACAAAAACTATCACAAAAGACTGCAAAAACCACAAACCTAGCACAAAGGCCATCGCAACTTTACACAAAAAATAATTCTGCCAAGAGATCTGCGGAGCAACTGCCTGTCCAGCCTCAGACTGACATTACTCTTGTTTTTGATGTTTGCTGTCAAGGGTAATCATTTCAAAGCAATTATGTAATCCTCCTCATTTCTCTTTTAAAATCCTTTGTCTTCCTTTACCTCCCTGAATACACACATACTTTACTATGACATGCATATTCCTATCTCCATACCTTATTCTCTAATAAGTATTATTTTCTAGAGAGCATTTCTCTGTTTGTTATTTAGGATAACATGGGCCTGGTATTATACAAATACATTTGGTGCTTCATATACAATTTTTAAAAATCTTTACAATAGGATATAAAGATTATTACTGCATGAAAAAGCAAATACTCAGACCAGTAAGCGATTTCCTAAAACCACAAATTCAGTAATAGGGAGAGGCTGAAGTCCATTCTAGCTGTGTCTCATCCCTGTATAGCCAATGTTCTTTCCACTAATCTAAAATGATTCAATGCCAGGTTTTCACATGTGTCAGCATACTTCGACAAAAATCATGGAAACCATCACTTTAAAGCTCCTATTTTGACTTATTTATTTAAATCTTGCAAAATTGGACAAGGATTAAAGCTGGATCAGTTGATGTAATCTTTCCTCTTTCCATTATTGGATGAGCCCAATTAAAGCTACGTAAAGTGGAATGGGTTAGTGATAAAATGGCTCTTGATTGTAAAAAAAAAAAAAAAAAAAAAAAAAAAAAAACCTTCAAAAACGAACTCCTAAAAACAATATTTCACCTTGAAAAATACTCTGAAATGTATGGCTAGTACATGACTAATAGATTCACATAAAATTTCCATCCCTGATAAAAATTCCCTCAGAGGCTTTCCATTACACATATAATGAAATTGAAACTCTTCATATGACCTAAGGTCTGACATCATTATCTTGCCCTTCTCTCTCTCTCCAACTTCAATTTTTTCCTTTCTCTTAGATTCTTTCTAGGCTAGACAAACTGACTTTTTTCTTTTGTTTTTCTTTCTTTTCCTGTTTCTTGTTTTTTTGTTGTTTTTTGTTTTGTTTTGTTTTGTTTTGTTTTGAGACAGTGTTTCACTTTGTTTCCCAGCTTAGAGTATAATGGTGTAATCACAGCTCACTGCAGGCTCAACCTCCTGGGCTCAAGTGATCCTCCCATCTCAGCCTCCCAAATTGTTGGCATTAAAGGCATGAGTCATTGCACTTGTCCTTCTTTTGTTTTTCCAGCATATAGAATTCATTGTCACCTCAGGACAGTTGTACTTCTTGGTATATTGCTTTCTCTTCAAAATTTCACATTGCTCATTCCATGCCAACACTAAGGTTTTCATTCAACTGTCACCTTCTTAGAAAAGACTTTTCCAACAGCTTCTCCTGTCATGTTTTATAATATTATTCTTTATTATCTTCTACATGGTACACAGCTATGTATCTATATGTTTATTATTTTTCTTCCTTCAAGTAAATGTAAGCCTTACAAGTCATTATCTGATGACTTTTGTATCTATAATGCCTAATAATAGTGCCTAGCATATGACAGACACTCAAATATTTTACAACTAAAATTCCTCTATTGTAAATGCATTCTGTATTAATTTACAAGTGCCATAAGTGAAAGTAACTAGTAAATTACTAGTAAAGTAGCTAGTAATTATTGATTTCTTAATTATTCTCTTATTATTTTTATTAACAAATTTGGATTTTAGGAAATGACATGGTATTGGCATTAAAACTGACATAGTATTGGTAGCACTGTTGGCTAAGAATAGAAATAGAATTGCCAAATAATAGATAAACTGCTGTGCATGTTAATTTATTTGCTAAAGATATATATTTAAAAACTAGTAATTCTATTGTTTCATTAGTATTCACAAAGTATTTCAAGAGATGAAAATATACTGGCAATTTTTTGTTTCATTTAATCCATAAAAATAGGGCATATATTAGCATGCCATATTAATCTTTTAATGGAAAATAAAGATGAATATGTATCTTCAACAAAAGCTATTCAGATACCTCATCAAAAGAAAAAAGTCAGGGGTAGAACAGGTAACTAGAAACTATATCTTATATAATTTCCCTGAAACTACAAATTACATATGTTAAAGAAATAATGATGAAAATATTTTTAATATAAGATTTTATATAACAACATTTTAAAGTACCATAATACTAGAATTCTGTTGGGGTTAATTTGTTGATCTCTATGCCTAAGCAAAAATTAATTTTTTTATTTTTTATTGATACAAAATATTTCATTTATTTACAGGGTACACGTGAGTATTTATTACACACATAGCATGTACAGTGATCAAATTAGGGTCATCCTTTAGTAGTTATCATTTCTCTGTGTTGGTAACATTACAAATCTTCTCTCCTAGCTGCTTCAAATCATATAATATATTGTTGCTAACTATAGCTGCCGTTCTCTGATATGGGATATTGGAGCTTTTTTTTCTATCTAACTGTAAGTTTGTACCCAATAACCAACATCACTTTGCCTGCCCACCCACCCCACTCCCCACCTAGCACCCTTCTCAGCCTCAGGTTTCTGTCATACTATTCTCCATCTGCATGAGATCAACGGTTTTAGCTCCTGCATATGACCGAGAAAATGTATTTGTCATTCTGTACCTGGACTATTTCACTCACCATAATGACTTCCAGTTCCATCCATGTTGCTTAAAATGATAGGATTTTGTTATTTTTATGGCCAAATACTATTCTATTATGTGTATATCACATTTTCTTTATCCATTCATCCATCAATGGACACTTAGGTTGATTCCAAATCTTGGCTACTGTGAATAGTACTGTGTTGAACATGTGAGTTCAGGTATCTCTGATATACAGATGTTTTTTCCTTTGGATAAATACCCAGCAATGGGTTTTCTGGATTGAATTGTAGCTCCATTTTTAGTTTTTTGATAAATCACCATACTATTTTCCATGGTGGCTGTACTAATGTATATTCCAGTCAACAGTGTAAAAGAGTTTCCTTTCTCCACATCTTCACCAGCATCTCTTTCTTTCTTTTCTTTTCTTTTCTTTTTTCTTTCTTTCTTTCTTTCTTTCTTTCTTTCTTTCTTTCTTTCTTTCTTTCTTTCTTTCTTTCTCTTTCTCTCTTTCCTTCTTTCCTTCTTTCTTTCTTTGTCTTTTTGATTATAGCCATTCTAACAGGCTAGTCAGAATATCTCATTGTGGTTTTTATTTACATTTTCATGATGATTAGTGATGCTGAGCATTTTTTCATATAACTGTTGGCTATTCGTATGTCTTCTTTTGAGCAACATCTATTCATATCCATAGCCCACTTCTAACAGGATTATTTGTTTTTTATTGTTGAGAAGTTTGAGTTCCTTGTATATTTTGGATATTAGTCTCATGTTGGATGAAGACTTAGCAAATACTTTCTCCCATTCCATAGGTTGTCCCTTCATCTGTAGATTGTTTCCTTTGCTGCATAGAAGCTTTTTAGTTTAGTACAGTCCCAGTTATCTATTTTTGTTATGGTTATTTGTGTTTTTGAGGTCTTAGCCATAAAATCTTTAACTAAGCGAATATCTTAAAAGTATTTTTCCTATTTTTTTCTAGTAGTTTTATAGCATTGAGTCTTACATTTAAGTCTCTTATCTATTTTGAGTTGATTTTGTATATGGGGAGAGATAAGGGTCCAATTTCATTCTTCTGCATATGGATATATACAGTTTTCCCAGTAACTTTGATTGAAGAGAGTAGTTTCTCCCTACTGCATGTTTTTGGCACCTTTGTCAAAAATCAGTTGGCTGTAAGTACTTGAATATTTCTAGACTCTCTATTCTGTTACATTGGTCTATGCATCTGTTTTTATGCCAGTGTCATGATGTTTGGGTTACTACAGCCTTGCAATATATTTTGGTGTCAGGTAGTGTGATGCTTCCAGCTTTGTTCTCTCTCTTTTCCTCAGGATTCCTTTGACTATTCACGCTCTTTTGGGGTCTATACAAATTTTCAGTTTGTTTTTGCTAATTCTGTGAGTAATAATGTCGGTATTTTTATTGGGATTGCGTTGAATTGCTAGACTGCTTTGGAACGTATAGTCATTTTAACAATATTAATTCTTCCAATCACTGAGCACAGGATGTCTTTTCATTTCTTTTTGTCCTCAATTTATTTTATTTGTGTTTTGTAGTTTTCCTTGTAGAGATCTTTTACCTCCTTGGTTACATTTATTCCTATGTAATTTTTATAGATATTTTAAGTGGGATTGAATTCTTGATTACTTTCTCAACTAGTTCATAATTGGTATACAGAAACACTACTCAATTTTGTATGTTGATTTTATATCCTGCAACTTTACTGAATTTATTGATCAAATCTAAGAGTTGTTGGTGAAGTCTTCGGGTTTTTCTCGATATAAGATTATATGATCAGCAAAAAAAAAAAATTTACTTATTTTCCAATTTGAAAGCCTTTCATTTTTTTTTTCTTCCCCAATTGCTCCAGCAGTATGTTGAAAAGAAGTGGTGAAAACAGGCATTCTTGTCTTGTTCCAGATCTTAGAGGAAAGGCTTTCAGGTTTTTCCCATTCTGTACGATGTTAGCCCTGAGTTTGTCATGTATGACCTTTATTTTGTTGAGGTATGTTTCCTCTATGCCTAATTTGTTGACAGTTTCTCTTATGGAGGGAATAATTTTATAAAATGCTTTCTTTGCATCTATTGAGATGATCGTATCATTTTGGTCCTTCATATGGAAATCACATTTATTGTGTATGTGGAATCATCCTTGCATGCCTGGTATAAATCCCACCTGGTCATGGTGTATTAGCTTTTTAATTTGTTCTTGAATTTGATTTGCTAGTATTTTCTTGAGGACTTTTGCATCTATGTTCATCAAGTATATTGTTCTGTAGTTTCATTTTTGTTGTTGTTGTATTCTTGTCTACTATTGGTGTGAGGGTAATGCTGACCTCATACAATTTTTTAAGAAGAGTTTCCTGTCTTTAACAGTTTCAGGAGTATTGGTATTAGTTCTTCCTTTTATATTGGTAGAATTCAGCTGTGAATTCATCTGGTCCTGGGCTTTTCTTTGTTGGTAGACTTTTTATTACTATTCAATCTCACTACACAAAATTGGTCTGTTCGGGTTTTCTATTTCTTCTCATTTAATTTCAGCAGGTTGTATGTTTCCTGGAATTTATCCATTTTCTCTAGGTTTTCCAGTGTGTTAGTATATAGTTGTTTATAGTAGTCACTGATAATCTTTTCTGTTTCTCTGGTGCCAGTTGTAATGTCTCCTTTTCCATTTCTGAATTTTTTTATTTGGCTCTTCTTTTCTTGGTTAGTCTATCTAATGGTTTATCCATTTTGTTTATCTTTTCAAAAGATAAAATGCTCATTTCATTGTTTTTTATTGTTTTTCTGTCTTTATATTACTTGGTTTCTCTCTGATCTTATTTCTTTCCTTCTGCTAATTTTGCATTTCATTTGTTCTTGCTTTGCTAGTTCCTTGAGGTCCATTGTTAAGTTGTTTATTTGAAATATTTCTACTTTTCTGATGTAGGCATTTATTGGTATGAAATTTCCTCTTAGCATTGCTTTTTCTGTATCTCACAGGTTTTGGTATATTGTGTTTCCATTTTCATTTGTTTAGAGAAATTTTTGATCTGCATCTTAATTTCTTCATTGACCCAGTTATCATTTAGGAGCATGTTGCTTAATTTCTATGTATTTCTATAATTCTCAAGGTTCCTTTTAGTGTTGATGTCTAGTTTTATTCTATCGTGATTATGAGAGATATGCTATATGATTTCAATTTAAAAAAATTTTTTTGAGACTTCTTTTGTAACCTACCATATGGTTTATCTTGGAGGATGTTTCATGTACTAATGACAAGAATGTATATTCTTCTGTGTTGCAGTATGATGTTCTGTAAATGTCTGTTAAGTCCATTTTGTCTGAAGTACAATTTAAATCCAATGATTCTTTGTTGGTTTTCTGTCTAGATGATCTGTCTAATGCAGAGAATGAGATGTTGAAGTCCCCCACTATTATTGTACTGGAGTCTGTCTCTTTGGATTCAGTAATAATTGTTTTATGAATATGAGTACTCCAATTTCAGTGCATATATATTTAGAATTGCTGTGTCTTTTTCCTCTTCCTTTTCCTGCTATGTCCTTTTATCATTATGTAAGGATCTTCTTTGTTTTTGTTTTGTTTTAATTTTTTTCACTTAGTTTCTTTTATCTGATATAAGCATAGCTATGTGTGCTCATTTTGGTTTCTGTTTGTATGGAATACCTTTTTCCATCCCTTTTCTTTGAGTCTATATGTATCTTTACAAATAAAGTGTGATTCTTGTAGGCAGCATGTAGTTGGATCATGTTTCTTATCCATTCAGCCAGTCTGTGTATTGTAAGTGGAGAATTTAATCCATTTATAGTCAAGGTTATTTTTGATATGTGAAGTCTTGTTTGTGTGATATTGTTAATTGTTTTCTGGTTATTTTATATATTCTTTGTTCCTTTTTCTCCTCCTTCTGATTGTCATTGTGGTTTGGTGGTTTTCTACAATGTTATCATCTGAGATTTTTTATCTTCCTAATTTATGTGTTTGGTTAACCAATAAGTTTTTTACTTTTGTGTGTTTTCATGATGGTAAGTGGCCTCTTTTAACAGGTTAAGGACTCCCTTGTGGATTTCTTGTAAGATCAGACTAGTAGAGATTAATTCCCTCACTTTGCTTCTCTGGGAAGGCTTTCTTTCTCCTTCATTTATGAAGAATAATTTGCAGTATATGGTATCCTCGTATGGCAGGTTTTCCTTTTCCTTTTTTTTTTCTTTCATCATTTTGCATATGTCATCCCATTTCTTCCTGGCCTGTAAGGTTTATGCTGAGAAATCCACTCTTAGTCTGATGGTGAGGGAAGAGAGAGACCCTCTTATATTGTTTTATATTGTTTTATACTCAGTACCTGTTTTAAGGAAAAAAACAAGGAAGTGAAACCAAAGGCAGGCAGCCTGGCGCCAGGCCCGAAACCAGGCCTGGGCCTGCCTGGCCTAAACCTACTAGTTAAAATTCAACTCATGACTTAGCAACTGATGTTATCCATAGATTCCAGACATTGTATGTAAGAACATTGTGAAACTCCCAGCTCTGTTCTGTTTCACTCTGACCACCAGTGCATGAAGCCCCTGTCACATACCCCCTAGATTGCTCAATCAATCACAACCCTTTCATGTGAAATCTTTAGTGTTGTGAGCCCTTAAAAGGGACAGAAATTTTGCACTCGGGGAGCTCAGATTTTAAGACAGTAGCTTGCTGATGCTCCCAGCTGAATAAAGCCCTTCCTTCTACAACTCGGTGTCTGAGGGGTTTTGTCTGCAGCTCGTCCTGCTACAATGGTGGTTCCTTTATAGGTGATTAGATGCTTTTCTATTGCTAGCTTTAGAATCCTTTCTTTATCTTTGACTTTAGACCGTTTGACTATAATGTGCTGTGGTGAGGACCTTTTTGCATGTATCTGTTTGGAGATCATTGAGCATTCTGTATTTTAATGTCAAAGTCTCCTATTAGACTAAGAAAGTATTCATCCATTACTTTTTTCAATAGGTTTTCTAGCCCTTTTGCTCTCTCTTTGCACATAGGGGCACCAATAATTCAGCTGTTCAGTTGCTTTTTGTTTTCCCAAATGTCACAAAAGCTTTGCTTATTCATTTTATTATTTTTAAAAAATTTTGCCCAACTGTTTTACTCCAAAAGACCAGTCTCCAAGTTCTGAAATCCTTTCTTTTGCTAGACCTAGCAGTTGTTGAAGTTTTCTAATGTGTTTTGCATTTTGTTAAATAAAGTGTTCAGTTCCAGAATTTGTTTGGTTCTTTTTAAAAATATTTATATTTTTTGTAAATTTCTCATTTATAACTTGAATTGTTTTTCTGTTTTCTCTGTGTTGGTTTTTAGAATTCTCTTGTATCTTGTCTAGCTTTTTAAAAATCAATATTTTAAGTTCTGTGAATTTTGTGATTTCTTTTTGATTGAAGATACATTGCTACAGAATTATCTAGTGTTTCTTTGGAGGTATCATATTTCTTTGCTTTTTTGTGTATTCTGTGTCCTTACATTTATATCTATGCATTTGGTGTACCAGTCACTTCTTTCAATTTTTAAAATTTTGTTGCACTGGGGAGGATTTTTCCCTAAAGATGTACAGATATTGTTGGGTGGCTTGGACACTTTGGCTTTTATTGTGGGTGCATGCAGTAGAGTAGACTCTGTATGATTTATTTGGCTGTAAACAGTATCAGTGGTATCTGTGATTTCCTCAGTGGCTTAGGGTATGGTTATTAGAGAAGGCTGTGGTGAAGTTTTGCTGGGGACTAAGATGCCAGATGGGCCGATCTTCAGGCCCCAGTAGTAGCAGCATTGGGCTGAGCATGCCTGTCCTTGAGCCCCAGAGCAGTATGTACTGGCTTCCATGTTAGCAGGTATAGGTGGGCCAATTCTTGGGCCTCTAAGTGACTTCCTTGGATGATGGTAGTGGCAGTAGTGGAATGAGTGTATGGGCAAGTTCTCACATCCTTTGGTGTTGGGCGTGATGTGGGTGATGGTAGTAGCAGTGGTAGGACAACCTACTGGAACCCAAGTGGCTTATGCTGGTGGTGGCGGTGGCTGCAACAGGGTTGGACAGGCCAGTCCCCTGACCCACAGGGATGCATGTGAGTGAGTGCCAGCTATGGTGGCATTGGCAAGTTGGTTCAGACTGACCTCAGACTCCAAGAGAGATGTTCAAATGCCAACAGTGGTGGACTAAGCTGAGTGATCCTCAGGCCCCTGGATGGCATGATCAAGTACTGGTAGGATGAACTGGGCTGGTGAACTTGTCCTCAAGCTCTTTGGTAGTACATTCAGGCTCTGGCTGTAATAAGCAGAGGCAGGGTGGTCCCTGGGCCACTAGCATAATGCTCAGATGAGCAGTGAAGCAGCTGTGCTACATCACGGAGGGCAGAGGGACAATCTCATCGGCAGCACCATAGGTAGGCAGCTCTAGGAGGCATGGTTTGCTTGTGGCTCAGTCCCACAGCAGCCCACAGAAGTAGTGCTGGCATTTGTCCTCAGGGTATATGGATTTGCCCAACATTCCCTCTCCCTTATTGGCCCAGTAGCTGCAGTGGCATCATCAGCCCCAGGGCAGGACACATTTCTTTGAGGGCTGGGCTCTCAGAATGCTGCTAGCTGCAGGTCTGTCACCCAGGTGGGTGGGGCCACTCTCAGTCAGAGCAGCATAGGCAGGCAGCCACCAAGAGTGTGATTTCCTGGCCCCTCAGTCCCACAGCAGCCTGTAGGAGAGGTGATGAAATTTGTCTTCAGTGTGCATGAAAGTGCTCAGCTTCCTCTCTCCCTCTTTGGTCTGGTGGTGGCAGTGACAGTGGCAGCCCTCAAGCAGGATGCAGACCTGTGGGGGCTCAATTCTTAGAGAAGCGCCAGCTCTACCTTCAGGCTTGCCCTCTGGGATTTGAGGCAGGGGTGGAACTACTCTCCGTGGGAGTAGCATAGTCAGGCAGCTGTGGGGAGTACAGTTTGCTTGTGCCTTAGTTTCACAGCAGCCCACAGCAGCAGTGGTGAGATTTGTCCTTGGAGCGCATGAAAGTGCCTGGCCTCCCCTCTCCCACCTTGGCCTGGGGGTAGCAGCAGCAGCTTCAGCCCCGGGGCAGGATGCAGTCCTTTGGATCCTGAGGTCTCAGAATGGCACCATGCAGGGAGTGCGCAGGGCTCTGAATCCTGTGGGTCTCTGTGTGAGTTCCCTCTCTAGAGCAATGTCTCTGTGCAATCTGAGGGCAGCTGCCTTTTTGTTAGTCACCTGCAAGGGTGGAGAGGCTCCCCTGGAGCTAGGACTGTAAAAGTCTGTGGCAAGAATGTGGAGCCCTGGTGTCTCTCACTTAAACTTTTTCCACATTCAGGAAGTTCTCCTGGCTCCTAGACTAAGAAACTATATTTAATGTGTCTTGCATTTCACATCTGAGAAAGGTCCAAGGTCATTGAGTAATTTAGATGAGAAAAACGGTGAATAAAATCAATCTTGACTTTCTCAATGTCAAATTACAAATTGCACAGCATCAAGCACACACTTTCCTTACACATAGTAGCTGCTTAATGAATATTTGGTTAAAGGAATGGTTATTGGATGATCTGAAAAACAATTTTGTTAATTTGTTTTATCTTCTTAGTCTGTGAAATCTTTGACCTAGATAGTTAACAAGTAGCAGAAAGGGATTTTTTTCTTCTCCCAGCAAGAAGTGATTTTTAAAATGTAGTCATATCACTTGCAGAATCAGGTTCATAATATCTCATATGAATTTAGTCTGACACTAGGGAAATCTATCTTATTCCATCTTTTTTTCTAATGACTTGTGCATAAAACATTTTTCTTACAACTTTTTCAACACATAGTATATAAGACATATTTCTTTGAGGTTTAGACTATCCACACATTCCCTTTCTCACTGCTGATAACCAATAAATTTCTATTATCTTATTTTTACTCATTGGAGACTTTGGGGCCAGCTCACAACCTAATAGCTCATTTCTATTCTATCTCCTACAAATTTATGTTTTCATGTAGGTGTAATTTGATAATCTCACTGCTATAGACTGAATTTTTCTGTCCCCCCAAAATTCATATATTGAAATCCTAACCCCTAATGTGAAGGTATTTGGAGGTGGGGACTTCAGGGGTGGTTAGGTCATAAGAGTAGATCCCTCATGAATGGGATTAGTGTTCTTATAAAAGTGACCCTAGGGAGTCTCCTCACCCCTCCTGTATGTGAGATTATGGGAGAAGATGACTTCCTTTGAAGCTAGACCCTTGCCAGATTTTAAATCTGAGAGTACCTTGATCTTGACTTTTCATTATAAGCCACCCAGTTTATGGTTATAACAGCCCAAATGAACTAAAACATGTATTTCCGGACCTATTTAAACTTAGTGGCCATACCTGCCCTCTGCATCAATCTTCCAAACAGTGGCCATCATCATCTAGGGAGCTGTTCTAACTCAAAATTTGAAACCCCTTGACTACTATTCATTTGCCTTTCCTTCTTTCCCAAACTTCATCCAATTTTCTTTACCAAAACTTTGACCTCATGGGGACCTTCAGTGCTCTGACCTCTCCATTTTATCCTCCTCTGTGATCCCTCTGTAATCCTTATAATCCTTCTATTTTATTTTAGCCTCTATTCTTTCCATATTCAGCCTTGGCCTCAAAGTTGATTACATGAACTATAAACCAATCTATAAGCCTATAAGCACACCTACATAGTTTTTTATTTATTTGTTCTTTTTTATTTTACTTATTTTTTATGGCTACTCTATCTCCCTTCTCCTCCTCCTTCTCCTTTTCCTCCTCCTCCTCGTCCTCCTCCTCCTCCTGTTCACCTCCTCCTTATTCATCCTCCTAGCAAAACTGCAACAAAGGTGGCTAAGAGCTGCTAGAGAAATCACACAGCTAGACAGGGACTGCTATACGTTCATGGACTTCTATACATTCATTCTATATATTCATGGCCTCCAACCTGAATAGGGTCCCAACAGGGTCTTCTCATTTCTAATCCTAGAAATATTATATAAATCTTACCTTAATGAATCTTCCTGCTTTTTTAACTACTAATTACTCTCTTTTTTTTTTTCAAATATTCTCTTCTAAGGTCTTTTGATATTACACTTGTTGAATTTTCTTTGTACCTTCCAACTCTTCTTTCTTTCCTTGGTAGACTTCTACTATACTATTCGTATCTTTAATGATAATATTTCTTGCTCCCTCAGTCCACTGCTCTACTCATTATATAGGGTTTCCCTGAGTAATCTCATTCTTTTTTTATATATTGGTAAGTCATAGATCTATATTTCCCACTCAGCTTTTCCCTTAAGTTTATGACTCATACATTCAGGAGCATGCAGAATATTTATTTCTACCTAGTGGATCTAAAGTGTCTAAAATTTATCACTCTTTTCCTGGTTCCTCCACCAATACTCACCTAATGCTTCTAGCTGGTAACCTGGTTCCTCCACCAACACTCACCCAATACTTCTAACTAGTAACATTTTTTGGCTAATTTTCTCCCTCATTTCCCATATACAAGAAATCACTAATTTCTGTTGAAATGTGCCATTAAATAATTCTCTAGGCTAGGCTCGGTGGCTCATGCCTATAATCTTAGCACTTTGGGAGGCCAAGGTGGGTGGATCATGAGGTCAAGAGATTGAGACCATCCTGGCCAACATGGTGAAACCCCGTCTCCACTAAAAATACAAAAATTAGCCAGGCATGGTGGTAGGCGCCTGTAGTCCCAGCTACTTGGGAGGCTGAGGCAAGAGAATCGCTCGAACCTGGGAGGCGGAGGTTGCAGTGAGCCGAGATGGCGCCACTGCACTCCAGCCTGGTGACAGAGTGAGACTCCATCTTGAAATAATAATAATAATAATAATTAATAATAATAATAATCTAATCTTAGTTTTCTTCATTTCTATTGTCTTTGTATTGACTTGGGCCTTTTTTTCCTCTGGCTTGGCTTCTGTAACTGCTATCTAATTATTACTTCTCTTGTCTTCTCTTTGTTCAGAATTTTCAAAATGACCTATGTAAAGGAGATTCTAATCTATTGACTTTTCCTCCTAATACACTCCCTATGGAGTATGGGATCTAACATCATAATTTCCTTTCTAATCCTCAAGACTTCTTCCTCTCTTACTCTTGTCTTGTGCACTTAACAGAGATATACCAGAAGTATAAATATGTGCAACTGCATACCCTTTCTATCTCCCCTCCTTCTAGCAAATTCTGAATCAGCCTTTCTAATTAACATCAGAAATCACCTTATTCAGGAAGTCTTACTGGACTTATCTATGTCCTTGTCTCAGCCACATAAAATAGGTGCCAAATTTGGTACCTG
Source organism: Homo sapiens (assembly GCF_000001405.40). NCBI lineage: Eukaryota > Metazoa > Chordata > Mammalia > Primates > Hominidae > Homo > Homo sapiens. Next base: position 78,272,594 of record NC_000003.12, read on the forward strand.
ATAAGGTTTGGATGTTTTGTCCTCTCCAAATCTTATGTTGAAATGTGACCTCCAATGTTGGAGGTGTACCTGGTGGGAGATGTTTAGGTGATGGAGTCGGATCCCTCAAGAATGGCCTGGTGTCTTCCCCATGGTAACGAGTGAGTAGTCACTCTGAATTTACATGAAATCTGGTTGTTAAAAGATCTTGGCATCTCTCTCTTGCTCCCTTTCTTGCCATGTGACATGCCTGCTCTCCATTCACCTTCCACCATGATTGTAAGCTTCCTGAGGCTTCACCAGAAGCAGATGCTGGTGTTATGCATCCTGTATAGCCTGTAGAACCATGAGCCAAGATAAATATTTATTTTTCTTTATAAATTATCTAGTTTCAGGTATTCCTTTATAGTAATGCATGCAGACAAACACAATATCCACAAGGTCCTGGGTATAGCTGCATTTGTATAAATATCTATTTATGTCTATAGCACCGAGTAGAAAATTTTTCATTTGAAGGTAAGTACTGGGTTTTATTCATCTTTGTAGCTTCAGCACTTAGCTAAAATATTATTTATTGAAACATTTAGTACTTCTGTACATGCCAGTACTCTATCTGGACAGTTTATTCAACTCTTCTCTCTGTGTGTATATCTTACCTATTTTGGTAGGTTGTGTTACTTACTGTTTTGGGCTGCCTGACACATTTTATTCCCCATCGTAAATCTTTTATTCCCAAGATTAAATGTGATTCAGGCCTGGCCAGTCATGGTGCTCCACTGTCCTGGACACAGTGCTTGATTCAGAGATGGATTTTCACTAAAGCAGAGCCCATCTGATTTTTTTCCTTGACTTGAGAAATCAGCGAGGCATTCTTTTCCACATGTACTGCTAAGTTGGAGAAATCTCAATGTGTGGCTGATGATAGCCATTTCCACCAGTCACGTAGAGGAAATCTGTTTGTAGGAAATATGAAACCCAAAAGCAGAAGGAAGCAGAGCTGAGAAATCATGAGAGCAAGCCCTGATGATATTGTAGGATGGTAAAGTCAGCTGGGTCTGAAAGCACTCCTCCTTGGTTCTTCTCTGCTATATAAGCCTGCAAAGTACCTTACGATGATTGAGTTTTATTACTGATACTTTACTGAGAGCGGTTTTTAGAGCGTAATTTGAAGTATACCTTGACCCCTAGCCCTTCTCTAAACTCACTAGCCCACAATATATATAATCCATTCTGGGCTGCATAGATCTATTTTATCTATTTCCTTTTGGCATCTTATACATAATAACAGAGTCTTTCTCTCTCTCTCTCTCTCCCTCTCTCTCTCTGTCTTTTTTCTTCCCTCCATACACACTCATAGTACCAACTATATGCATACGTTTATACTCCTCCTTAATTTGGTTACTGTCTGTTCTAGAGATTCTATGTTTTAATTTTTTGGCATGTCCCAAAGTCCTAGGATATGTGATTTTTAAAAGACTATTTATTTTTAATGAATTAGTAACATTTATTGAATATCTGCTACATTTAAGTCAGTGTTGTAAGTGTTAAAAATATTGGGGGTGGATTTTATGTATTTAATTTATGTCTGCCCAATGTTCCTGTCATTGGGGAACCACATATCTCCTGTTTCATTTTCCAGAGTCCATCTGCTCACTACATGTGATTCAAGCCTAGCTCGAAAGATAGGCAAGTGATGACTTAGGACACTGTCAATGGCATGAGACTTCTTTCCAAGCTATCAGAAGACCGCCTTCTTTTCCCACTGCTACTGCCAGGTATATGGTTAGCACTCGGAGGTAACCTTTAAGACAGTAAAGCAAGGCAGAGACAGGGACACAAGATCGAGATACAGAACCAGATCTCTTTCAAACTCCTAAATTCATCCAGGCCAGACGCTAGTTTATGTGCCTTGATATTCACTTTAAGTGAAACAAAACTTGTTTGTCTTATTTTTCTTATTCTTGATTAAAATAATTTGAGTTGTATCGCTCTTTTCATTTAAGACTGAAAGAGTTCTACTTAATACATATGGATGCCAAAATGAGGGAGCTAGAGCCCCTGTCCTCAGGGAAGTTTTAGATCATTGCCAGTGGAGAAGAAACACCTGTAGAGTGTGCTACAGTGCTGCATACAGCACAACACGTAAAATGAACAGCCCAGAAGAATTGTTACTTAGAATATAGAAACTATAGATTGATGTATAAGAGTTAGAGCTTAGACATGAAGAAACATGCTATATAATAAATATTTATATAATATATTAATCAGTAAAATAATAAATATTTATATAATAATAAATATAATGAATAATAAATTAATATAATTATAATTGATATAATATATAATTATATAAATGATATCAATTAAAATTATAAATAATGTAATAATATAAATGCAATTATAATTAATATGTTAATTAAATTATCATAAAATAATATTTATATAATATATTAAGTAAAACCTAGAAACTTAAGAGCAAATTATCTGCTTTTCTTTCAAAAATCATTAAATTGCTTTTTCTAAGAGAATGGAATATAGAGAAAGAAACCTCTCATTACACAAAGTTTATTCATAATTTTAAGTGAGCTTGTCAATGTTGTAGATGCTAAGAAGATATGCAACAAAGACACTAAAATCAAGTAAATATCTCACCATGAGTCACCATTTCAGAAGAGACTATTTTTTGCCATAAATAAAGTTCCTTTAGGAAAAGAAAAGACACAAGGAACATCAGATGACCTTGCTATGTTTCTAAATTCAAGGAATTGATACCTTTATAAAATACACATAACTAGATTATGTGAAGGAAAAAACTGGATATACACTGGTCAGAGAGAGTTCACCCAAGTGGGTTTTGTTTGCGGTTTTCTTTATATAGCTTGAAAACAATAGCATCCCTGTAGAAAATATGTAGTGCTTAGTGCATATAGAGACAGGAATAGTCACAGCTAATTGTGAAGATGATGTAAGTCTGTCTGTTCTAAGTCAAACCTAAACTAACCGTCTTTCACTTCCTATCCCAAATCTTTCTTTTTCTATATTCCCAATCTCAGAAAACAGCACCATGGTATATGAAGCACTAGAGCTGGAATCCTGAAAGCTACGTTCTAGCCTTCCATTTCTTTTCATCTCCATTTCTGCTTGCTAATTGTGCTTTTCTCACTTCAACACATCATCCTGAAAACAGAAAGCAGCATCTTTTTCACCATCCTCTTCTTTCAATTCCTACTTCTATGGCCTCAACTCTGACATTGTCACCTCTCTTCTTTGTCTAACTCTACTGACAGAGAAAGAGACTTGCAAAAACAAAGATGGTTATTTGTGAGCTAGGCCAGAGAGTAAATAACAACAACAACAACAAAAATCACAAAAACAAAAATATCTGTCCTGAAATAAAATACCCAGGTCAAATTGGAAAAACCAGAAAAAAAAAAAGGTGTGGGGGGTGAGACTATGCTTTTGGTTCAGGGCTAAATGTGGAGGAGAGTTATAAAGAGGTGAGATTGAAAGTGGGAAGAAGGAAACATATATTGGCCATCCCATGAAGAAGGCGTATGTGAAGTGGCCTGGATCAATTCTGAGACAGTGTGGCAATACCTGTGGTGTTTGTTTTGTGGTCCATGTGCACAAGCATGATTGAGCCACATTTATTACAGTGGTCTGGATAGGGTAGACATTCAGAACCCTTGCAACGATCTCCCTACCTCCATCAAATTTTCCACACTTACTGAACATATTTTCCCTCAGTTATCTGTTCTTATTTCTCTCCTACTTGAGACCTTTCAGTGACTTTTTAATGGCTGTTCTTGGCATGAACGTATAGGCGAAGAAAAATAATTCTTTCTTCAACTCTCACAGGTTCCAGTTGAAATGGAACCCTGTAGAAAAGATAAATCAACAAGAGAAAAACAAAAAGAAATATATATATATGGAGAGAGATAGCCAGGGAATGAATAATTCTCAAAGAGGTAGCTTTGAAATTCAGCTTACATAACATCTTCAACAAAGAACAATAAATTTTTAGAGAAGTAATGACAAAGAAAAAGGATTTTCACTCTCTAGCAGTGGTAATTTTAAAAAGGCAAATAACTGGCAGAAAAACACTAATTAATAAGGTTTTTCACAAGGGCAGTAAGAGTCTAAAGTTGTCTTCAGTGGTTAAGCTTTGCTCCCCTTGTAGAGGGGTGAGACAGGATATCTTCTGTCTTTGTAAATCTATGACCTGCTTTTAGGCAAAGAGAAGGAGGGCAGACAGCTTTCCTGCATTTGCTCCTTCTTAACTGTCTTCAGCTCAACAATCTTCCATATTTTGGAATACTTCCATATTCTGATCTCCCACTAAAGCCATGCTAATGACTGTCAAGAACTGATCTTAGGCCAGGCACCATGGCTCATGCCTGTAACACCAACACTTTGGGAGACAAAGGTAAGAGGATCACTTGAGGCCAGGAGTTCAACACCAGCCTGGGCAACATAGTGAGACCCCCATCTCTACATTATAAAAATATATTAAAAATAATGTATTTTGATCCCTTAGTGCCAGTGGAATAGAAAAGAAGGTGTTGGCAGGGTTGAAGGCAGTATACCAAGTATCAATAGTCTATGATAGATTCAGTTATAATCACTATGTCTAGAACATTAGAACAGCCAGTTTATAGGAGAAATAACTGAATTCAATTGATCATCATCTGCCAGCTCACTTTTACTGGTCATGCAGGGCTTTTGTTTCAATATACGACATCTCTTACTACCCCTTACTACTAGTAAGAGATGTCGTATATTGAAACAAAAGCCCTGCATGACCAGTAAAAGTAAAAGTAAAAGCTACTTTCATTTCCTTAATCCAAGCTCTCATTTTTCTTTCTTTTCTTGTGATTCTATATAGTTTTGGTTGGACTACTCAAGAAAAGACCAAGAGGGGGTTTGATGACAGATTTATAGGTCTAACTATCACTTTCTACATGTGGCTTTTCAAGATTCAGAGAATCACTATACATTCAGCAGTGGAAGCTACAATGTTAGTTAACAAACAGGCCCAAATGACCCTACACAGGTCTCTTTCCCCATCAGTTGAAAGCAGGTACCCCCCTTATAGGTCCTGTTCCCATGGTGACTTTGGCATCTATAGCCAAAAGAACCATTAATGTTGGATTCCCTCCTCTCCTTTGCAGTGTGTTCACATGGATGCATGAGGCCTTTATTCCCTCCTTTGGGGACAGGGAGACCTTGGCCTCACCCTAATCATCATTCTGCTTAAAGCAGCTAAAGTATTAGAGAGCAAGTGAGGGAGAAAGTGGCTCTGTGCCACACACACACACAAAAGGTACATTTACATGTGGTTTCAAGCTGTGCTGGGACTGGTCATGGCTGAATAAAAAACACTTTAAATACTGTCTGCCTGCCTAAAGTCCTACATGAAGCAGCAAGGTCATCATTATTGCTACCATCTATGTCAACTTTGGGGACCTCTTGACTCAACAGCTGCAGACACATTGCTTTCTGCTGGAGCTGTAGTTTTTGCCCCTTTTTTGCTGACTCAAGCTTGCCAACACTTTTTGCTAAGGAACCCACCACAGTGAGGGCATTTCCTGCCACATTGTCAAGATAACTTCTCTGAAATCTCACCTGTTTTTAATGTAACAGCTAGGAGAGTTTTCCAGGGCAGCAGGGTTGACCACAAGAAATTCTTTATATTTATTTCAGTCATTTCTCATTCTTTAGTGGGTGACCTTTATTAGCATTATAAATTCTCTGCAGTATCCTCCGAATACTATCAGTCTGTCAATTTTGGGTGGAGCCTAATTTATCTGTCTTAAGGAACTCTCCCTAAAAAGGCCAAAGCTTTCTTAGAGGACAGGAGCCTCTGCCTAGGACCCTAAGACATTATTTTAGATAGATAGTTCGAAGAAGGCCTCACTGAAGAGGTGATATTTTAGAAGGATTTGTTTAAATTGTGAACATGAACTGTGTGGGTATTTGGTGGAAGAGTGGTCCAGAAAGTGAAACAGCCAGTTAAAGGATCCTGAAACAAGAATCTGAGGAGTACAAGAGAAGAACAACAGAGAAGCCAATGTGACTGAAATAGTGTGAAGGAAGAAACATGTGGTAGGAAATTGTTTCCAATATAATATTTAAAGGAAGACCTACTGGAATATTATAACCAAATAATTTATTATTATACTTCATCAGTATTGATTCATGTATCGAAGAGATCAAGTCTTGCTCTGTCACCCAGGCTGGAGTGCAGGGGCACGATCTCAGCTCACTAAAACCTCCGCCTCCCAGACTCAAGTGATTCTCCTGCCTTAGCCTCCCAAGTAGCTGGGATTACAGGTGTGAGCCACCACTTCAGACAAAAAAAAAAAAATTTGAATACTATACTTTCTCATAGTTTCTTACATATAACCTCTTACATTTATGTGTTTTGCCCTGTTCATCCCCTCCCCCTCTTTTTTGGTCTTACTTGTTATCTGTCTTCTAAATTACATCAATAGCAAATTATGCTTTACGAAGTTTAATATTTCTGGAGAACTCAGTGACACATTAACTCAGAGTGCTAAATACACTTTGTTCTAATATTGAAACCAGAAGGAAAATGCCCACGTCCTTTTGAGAATGTGGAAGAAGACTTCAGGTTATGCAAGGGTTAACCCTGTATGTGAAATAGAGGATGATTATGTTGGCCACTGAGTAAACAAAGAAAAGGAGACAGCTCTGCTCTCTTATTGTAATTGCAAATTTATTTTTTATAGTTTCTATTTTCCTTTAAACTGCCTTAATCTGTCTTCCTGCTGTGACCTATTTCCGGTAATGCATATTCAGTATAAAAATAGTAGATCAAATCATATCAGAACTCAAGTTACTCCTTGTGGAGCAGAAATACGTACTTTTATACAACAGTGAAATCAATTCCCCTCATACTAATTATTTAATTTCCATAATACACTGACTGTATTCTGCTATTAAGTATTCATATCTAAAACTTGTTTTGTAATATTTTAATAGTTCTTCCTTTAAACAACACTGTGAGGAAATACAGTTACTATTTTATAGATCAAGCAATTGAGCAGTTGGAAAGTTAAATTATTGATCCAAAGCCATACAATGAGGCTTTGCGTATACTTGTAACCAGGGTGTCATTTGGCCTAACTGATCTTTTTAGTTCAAATGTGTTGATTGAATGAAAAATTAATCAGTCAAACTGACATATGACCAAATTGATCAACTACTAACATTGATCATTTCAGGGTGGTGTTTCTCGAACTGTGGCCCACAGACCATTTACAGACCATTTCAAATTGCATGCATGTATCAAAACCTCTCATGTACTCCATGAATATATACACCTACTATATAACCACACAAAAAAATTAAAATTAAAAAGCTATGAATTCTGCTTCTCACCCCAAATATACAAATAAGAATTTCCTGGGCTAGGGTCCAGGACTCTGCATTCTAAACAAGTATCCCAAATGATTGTTATGCATGCCAAAGTTTGAAAATGTGATCGTTTGTGGGCAGTATTAGCGAAGTGCAACTGAATTACTTCCTAGGGTGTATCTAGCATTCAAATAAGTAGAAATCCTTGATGTTAATTAACTAAGCCAGGAAGGAGTAGAGTGGAACTGGCTAAAACACTGATGATTCTAGACGCTCTTTCAGATATTCAATGCAGCCCCTCAGTCTACCTGAAGAAATTTTAAAATATTCTACTTCGATTTTACATCTAAGAGATATCCCTTAGTGGTCAAACTGTGGTGTATGTATATGTATACGGCCACGTTAGGAAAAATAAAAATTTGTAAACTATTCAATATATTGTGATTCAACTATTTAATAACACCACAAAATGTATAAGACAGGTAAATTTGCTTTTATTTAGTAATTGGGCCATGCAGTACATAATTCTTTCTCTTTCCAGGATATTCATGATTCCCTACCTTGAATCAATGCCGCCATCTTCCTTTTAACTCAGGTAAGCAACAAATGCCAATCTAAAATTCTGCTGCATGATGCAAAATTATCATTTATCATAAAAATTCCCTTATTCACTGACTTAATGAATCCATACTAAGTACATACTGTGTTTGATGTAGATATCTATATAGTCTCAGATGTTCCTGCCCATCACTTTCATTTTCAGAAGATGAGCTTGACTTCTTTGCAATGAACATTGACGATAGCAAGAACTTCTGTTATTTTTTTTATCCACATGCTGCCATAAATTGTAGTACAATTATTTCTGATTTCAAACTGTGAATTTGTTCTAATGCAACTCATATATCCAGGAACCTTTTAAGCATAACACAAATGTCATGCTTGCGGATACATGATTTCATTCATGAGAAATACCAGAACACAGAAAGCTGTGTTAAGTCGAACTGCCTAAAAATGAACAAAATACACTTAAACACACATCTCAAATATTGATCAGGGGCGGGGCCAAGATGGCCGACTAGAAGCAGCAAGGTTCAGAGGCTCCCATCAGAAAAAAAACATAATAAGCATGTGAATCCTTCACCAGCAACCAACGTATCCAGGTTCTCTCATCAAAATTGACTAGAAGGCTGGGGTGACCCACAGAGAAAAGGAAGAGCAGTGTGGTGTGGTGGCCCACCTGACAGCCACAGGGGGAAGGGGAACCCTCTACCCCCAGCCAAGGGAGGCAGTGAATGAGCGCCACTACCCAGCCAGGGAAACTGTGTCTTTTCCAGGGAACTGTGCATCCCATGTATCGGAAGATGCCACTCTTGAACCCATGCAACCAGGGCCTAGCATCCCAACTCCAGAACGGGCAGAGCCTTACAGCTTCTCAGCTCGAATCTGCTTAAGCCTACTGAACTCCCAGGGGGAGATGACCTGAACCAGCTGCCCCTGCCTGCTGTCTAAGCCATTTGAGCTCCTTGGGGGAGGGGCAGCAACCAGCACTGGGACTGGAAATTGCCTAACAGGCTAAGCTCCCCGGGCGGGAGAGGGGCGGCACTCATTTATACAGCTCCAGGCTGTGCTTTTCCCCTGCTGGAGCCAGGGAGGCTGGGCAGCTTGGTCCAAAGACTTGTCCCCACAGTCCAACACACCGGCTGTGGCAGTCTGTGGCCAGAATGCCTCTTCAAGTCTAACCCTGACCCATCCTTCCTCAGTGGGTAGGGCTTCCCTGCAGGATCTCCAGTAACTCCAGCCAAAGGCTCAGAGACAGAATTCGGATCTCCTTGGGCCTGAGCCCACAGGGAGTGGGGTGGCTGCCGTCTCTGCAGACCAGCAGACTTAGCCTCTCCTCCTGGTACTTCTGAGGAATCCGGGAAGCCCAGACGAGTGGGCTTTCCCCCAGCAAAACACACCCTCTCCAACAAGGGACAAAGTGCTTAATTAAACGGGTCCTGCTCCCTGTGCCACCCAACTGGGTGAGATCCTCCGACAGGGGTTGTCAGACACCCTGTACAGGAGTGATCCATCCTACTGGCATCAGGTTGGTGCCCCTCAAGGTCAGAGGTCCCAGAAGAAGGAGCAGGCACCCATCTTTGCTGCTCTCCAGGCTCTTTGAGTAACATCCCCAGGCACAGGAGTGAATCAGATGAATAAGGCCTAAAGTGAACTCTCAGCAAATGGCAGCAGCCCTACAGAATATGGAGGGATCTATTTGAAATAAAAACAAACAAGCAGAAAGTAACAACAACAGCATCAACAACAACAACAGCAACATAAAAGGCCCCCACAAAAACCCCATCCAAGGGACAGCAGCCTCAAAGACCGAAACTAGACAAACTCATGAAGATAAGAAAGAATCCATGAAAAAATGCTGAAAATCCAAAAGGGCAGAGTGCCTCTTCTCCTCCAAATGATTGCAATGCCTCTCCATCAAGGGCGCAGACTGGGAGGAGAATCAGATTGATGAATTCACAGAAGTAGGCTTCAGAAGATGGGTAATTAAAAACTACAGTGAGCTAAAGGATCATGTTCTAACCCAATGCAAAGAAGCTAAGAATGTTGATAAAAGGTTAGAGGAAATGCTAACTTGAATAACCAGTTTAGAGAGGAACATAAATGACCTGATGGAACTGAAAAACACACCACAAGAACTTCGTGAAGCATACACAAGTATCAACAGCCAAATCGACCAAGTGGAAGAAACGATAACAGGGTTTGAAGACCACCTTGCTGAAATAAGACATGCAGACAAGAATAGAGAAAAAAGAATGAAAAGGAATGAACAAAGCCTCCAAGAAATATGGGACTTCCTAAAAAGACTGAACCTATGATTGATTGGAGTATCAGAAGGAGACAGGGAGAATGGAAACAAGCTGGAAAACACACTTTAGGATATTATCCAGGAGAACTTCCCCAACCTAAGAAAGACAGGTCAATATGCAAATTCAGAAAATACAGAGAACACCATTAAGATACTCCACGAGATCTACCCCAGATTCTCCAAGGTTGAAATGAATGAAAAACTGTTAAGGGCAGCCAGAGAGAAAGACCAGTTCACCTACAAAGGGAAGCCCATCAGACTAACAGCGGACTTCTCAGCAGAGACTCTACAAGCCAGAAGAGATTTTTGGGGGGTCAATATTCAACATTCTTAAAGAAAAGAATATTCAACCTGGAATTTCATATCCACCCAAACTTAGCTTTATAAGTAAAGGATAAATAAAATCCTTTTCCGACAAGCAAATGCTGAGGGATTTTGTTACCACGTGGCTTTCCCTGCAAGAGCTCCTGAAAGAGGTACTAAATGTAGGGAGGAAAAACTGGTACCAGCCACTGCAAAAACACAACAAAATATAAACACCAAAGATACTATGAAGAAACCACATCAACTAATGCAAAATAACCACATAGCATCATGATGGCAGGATCAAATTCACACATAGTAATACTAACCTTAAATGTAAATGGGCTAAAGGCCCCAATTAAATGACACAGACTGGCAAATTGGATAAGGAGTCAAGAAGCATTAGTGCGCTGTATTCAGAAGACACGTTTCATGTGCAAAGACACACACGGCTCAAAATAAGGGGATGGAGGAAAATTTACCAAGCAAATGGAAAGCAAAAAAAAGCAGGGGTTGCAGTCCTAGCCTCTGATAAAACAGACTTTAAACCAACAAAGATCAAAAAAGACAAAGAAGTGCATTACATAATGGTAAAGGGAACGATTCAACAAGAAGAGGTAACTATTCTAAATACACATGCACGCAAAACAGGGGCACCCAAATTCATAAAACAAGTTTTTAGAGACCTACGAAGAGACTTAGACTCCCACACAATAGAAGTGGGAGACTTTAACACCCCACTGTCAGCATTCAGCTATGAAATCATGTTTCCTCTGAAAATTAAAAATAAACAAACTGTAAACCTAAATGCCATTGAGACAATCTTTTTTCAAACAATATGAGGGGAAGGTTCACTTTCTCAATACATTTATCACTTCAACTTTGGCAACAGCTTCATTGTTCTTAAGGATACTATCCAGGCACAATATGCAGTGAAGCGGATTCTGATAATGACAAGGAATTTTTCATAAATTCTTAACATAGTCCATTGGGTTTATGTGGAATTGGTGAATTAGAAAATTTCTCTAATGTTTAATTGTGTTAATTCCCTGAGGGGTTAATTCAGTGGTTTCATGGCATATATCACAAGATGAGATTCCCATGTGGCACAGTGAAGAATTGCAATGAATGGAATAAATCAGATGCCATATACTTTACCCTAGACCTTAAATGTCCTTAAATTGATTACTATCTTTCTCAGCCATGTGACTTTTCTATAATGTTAATAATAAATACATGTTAGCGACCAAATCTATAAAATATATCTTTCATTTCTAGTTGAGTGAATGTTTTTCAAGGAGTGGATATAATGGTGAACAACAACAGCCACAAAAACTTTATTTGAATCCTTATTTCACTATTTACTAGCTGAGTGACCTAGGACAAATTACTTAAATGCTCTATTTCTTTATCAATAAAATGAGAATCAAATAGCTATTTATAAGGTGGCCTACAGAATAAAATATAATTGTGTATTTTAAGTATCTACTACAGAGGCTGGTATTTATTATATACACAATAAAATGAGTATCTTTATGATTTGCTCAAAATATAAGTTCATACAATATAATGTCAAAATCATTTTGAAAAAAATCAACTGTATATAATCTGATTTATTTTTCAAATGTAAACATTAACTGTTCTTTCCTATTATCATATGAATATGCATATTATAAAAATTTTCCACAACTCAGAAGTATAAGTAATAAGGGAAAGAGTCTTTGTATCATCCTCAAAATGATAGCCACTATTAACTATTTGCTGTAAATGCTGTCACATATTTTCTGAGTATATTTTTCTACAAAAATGAATGAATAAACATATACATATGTTTATTTCTGTAGCTTTTTATTTGTCATAGAAAATTTTCTTTGTCATCTATACCACCCTTGTAAAATAACAAGAATACTTACTTGTATTTGCAACCTTGTTTTAGTCCATTTGTGGTGCTACAACAGAATACCTGAGACTAGGCAATTTATTAAGAAGAGAATTTTTTTTTTCTCGTAGTACCAGAGGCCGGAAGGCTTAAGCTCAAGGTACTAGCAGTTTCAGTTGTCTGATGAGAGTTGCTCTTTGCTTCCCAGATCACACTTTTTGTTGCATCCTGCAGGGGAAACCAATGCTGTGTCCTCACATAGCAGAAGGCAGAAAAGTAACAGAGCCCAGTGTTGCCTGAAGCCTTTTTATGAAGAACTTAATCTCATTAATGAGGGAGGAGCCCTCATGGCTTGATCATCTCTTAAAGGCTCACCAACATCTGAATTTTAGAGGGAGCACATTCAAACCATAGAAAACCTAATTGAAAAAAAAATTGTCTTTTTTGTAAGCAGTGCAAGAATTCCTTGGAAGAGGGAGAAGGCAGCCTTTGTTAAGAAAACGCTATGACAACCCGGCTGTAAGGTGGAGGGTAGTGACTAGGACTGAGTGTCAGACTGGCAACCAGAAGCTCTGAAGAAGAAGGCATCTGCTCTCCCTGAAAAGGAGAAGGACGTGGATGTTTTTGGAGAGGTAGAGTGGAAAAGGCTAGAAGCAAAGAAGAGGAACTAACGAGGCTAAGCTCTGTGTGTGTGTTGGTGTGTATGTGGTGGGGGGTGGAAAGCTGGCGGCCAGTGAGGGGGTTGGGAGAGAGAGATAGGGAAGGACAGAAAGAGAGGGAAAGAATAAAAAGAAAAGAAGAAAGAAACAAAAAGAAAGAAAAAGAAAAAAGAAAGAAAATAAATAGGAAGAGAGGAAGGAAGGGATGGTATTGTAAATATATATTTTTGCATTTACTTATGTCATTATTTTATTAAAGGTTATATTTTCACTTATATATCATACCTAATTGACACTCTATTGTCGAATATGCTAAGTTATACTCCTTTCCTAGCATCCAAGAACTCCTGAAGAGCTTTGACCTCTTTTCTTCTATAAGAACTCTGTTCCAAATGAAAAGTTCAATATTTGTTTCCCTAATACATGGTAAAATCTCATCTTAGAACTTCTTACTTATATTTGACCACACACTTGTGAATTTAAATTTTATACATTTCTATGAAATTCCCTGAATTTAAATTCTGCCTTCCCTTAAAAGCTGTTTGAGGTTTACTATCTCTATGAGGCCATAATTGGTTATTTCCTCTCAAGCCATTTGTCATTTATCAAGCATCCTCAAACTTGTAAAGCAAAGCTAACTTCAGCCTTTTATTTTATTAAAATGAATTAATCTAAAAAATTATTTGAAGAGTGGATCAACACAAGCACTTCAAGAAGTGTAGTTCAATTTAAGCATTAATTGGGGGTCTGGAGTAGTGGCTTAAAGCCACTACCATGGTTTGAGAATGCTTGTTGTCATATTCTATGCATTCCTTATCTGAAAAACAGGATTATAAGTGCCTGAAGTTAGGAGCCTCCCCCTTATGGTCAGCACTTATCCTGGAACTCACTCTGTGAAAGTCTACCATAAATATTTTTAAATGTTCATGTTTTGAATATTTTAAAGAATTTCACAAAGAAATCATATCCCCAAATTCTACACCATTATGATTTCCCTCAGAGAAAAATTCTGAATTAAATACTAGTTTATACATTTCCTGTTATAAGCCCAGGTACTGAAACTAATGATTAAGAAATATATTTAGTGCCTATTGGGTGCCAGAGACTGTGCTAAACCTTTATATAATCAGTGTATTTAATCCTTATAACAATCAGAAGATAGGTAGTATTATTTACTGAAATTTAATGTTCAGTATACAAAGATCTAAAAAAGCATAAATAACATATATACCTAAGGACATATAGCTGGTAAGTAGTAAAGTTGGGAATTAAATTCAGAATTGTTTTACTCCAGCTTTAAGCCACTACTCCAGACCTCCAATTAAATGCTTAAATTGAACTGCACTTCTTGAAGAACTTGTGTTGATTCACTCTTCAAATAATTCTTTAGATTAATTCATTTTAATAAAATAAAAGGCTGAAGTTATGTTTGCTTTACAAGTTAGTTTAATGAAGAAATAGCCTCTTGAAAATCCTCTAGGATTTTAAATAAACTCTAGGTCAAAACAGACAAATTAGCATAACATTCATATTAATGCCTCTGAAAGAGTGTTACAGAAGAAGTCAATGCTTTGGAATCTATGCAATGCCAGATATATTATTTTCAAAGGGGCTTTGGTTACTCATTACAGTGATGGATGACTGTGATGAAAATATCAACATATGCCCAAGTCTTTCCTTCAGTGTTTCTCCAATAAGCATAACACAGTGACACACAATGAAGATTATTTAATGAGACTGGCAATGGGATTATTTGCTAAAAGTGTAAGTAAATTTGATTTTCAAATCACACAGTCTGACATTCCTTGTGACATTATCTACTGATTTTATTTGACCTTGCCATTGTTAGAATTAAGAAATGTCTGAATAGACAATAACCAGTTCAACAATTTTCAATACATCGATTGTACCTCATTGTAAGATAAATTCAGAGACCCAAGGGAGACAATTTTGTTTAAGAAGAAGTATAAGACTAATAGATTAGATATAGATGGTCTTTAATATACTATATACAGTGTAGAATTTGTGATCACAGTTGTTAAAGTTATACTTACACAACACACAAACACTTCAAATTTGAGAAAGTGTGAACATAAAAATCCAGTTAATTTAAGAATATGATAAAAAATGTAGTAGATATAATTTTTTGGCCTATGCTATGGTCCAATTTGCCCAAACATCACACATAAGTGGGTTGAGCTTGCAGGTACTCAAGAGAGTAAGTAGTTAGCAATGTTGTGCATATTTTGCATAAATAACTATATTTTCTAAGTAATACCTCACAAGGTTTTGTTCAAAGGGAGATTGAGCAGGAACTAGAAGATAGCAGAACCAGCATTCAAAGTGGACTTCAGAGTTCATGCTTGTGACTCCTCTGTGATGCTCCCTCATCTGAATAAAATTTAGCTAATCACTGTTTTCAGAACAAGACCATCCTATATGTTCAAGTAATTCAGCCCCCTATTCATCGGTCAGTATTCTACCTTTCTGGACTCTCTTGCTTTTGCACAGCAAATATTCTGGAATATTGAATTGTGAGAAAAGGCAAACTATCTCCCAATGGGACTCTTGAACTGCAACCCTAGTCAGGCAGGACACTAGTCATAAAGTCTCTTAAAACTCCAAATTAATATTGGAGTAATCAGTTAGACTATGAGGCAAGCTTGGAAGAGCTACCTAATGCTTCAGCTGTAATTACTGCCTTTCCACCATGTAACTGTGTGATCTTGGAGAACTTAGATTTTCTTTCCTGGCCTCAGCTCAGTACCTGATATGGATAAAAATGATATGGTTAAAAAATCTTCTGTTTCTAAAAGGATCTCAGTGCTAACAAGGCTAACGTGGGACCAAATTGAGACAGACAGAATCCTTGTTATACTTGCACATGTAATAATTGGAGAATAGGTTGATAAATATATTTCTTATTTTTTCATATAAAAAGAAGAAAATTATTCTCTGTAGGATTATGATCTGGTTACATTAATTTTTTGGACAAAGGAACTTACAAGGGGTATGCTTGCTTCTTTAAGTGCAAGGAGATAATAACTAATTTAAATATGTGAAATAAATAAATTAGTTGAGAAATTATTACTGAGAGCAGTTCTCCCTGGTATTTTGAATCCATGATAAAATGCAGTTTCTATCTCTAAACAGGAAGCAGTTGTTTAGCCAGGTTTTTCACAAAATGTATGTTCACAAAATGCTGCAGAAATAGAAACAGTCTTTTCCTTATGGAGAAAAATGTTAAATATAGTTACAGTGATGAGAGCTATATCAATACATCAAGATAGTTCAGGTTTCCTGATTTCCAGAAAGATGGGAAGCCTAAAGCAAATAATACATAAGTGAAGTCAGAAAAAAAACCATTATTATTTAGGGACATTTTCATCTGAAAAATATTGTTCACTCTTCCACAAATCATGACTATTTTGTGAATAGCAGTTTTTTGCCTGTTGTGTTGATCAATTTATCACTAAGATTCTTTCTCACCCTTCATTCCTATTAGTAAGTGTGATGCTTAATTTTATATGTCAAGTGGCCTGGACCACAAGGTGCCCAGGTATTTGGTCAAACATATCTAGATGTGTGTGTAAGGGTTTTTGGATGAGATTGACATTTGAATCAATAAACCGAGCAAAGCAGATTGCCCTCCTTGATGTGGGTGGACCTCATACAATCTTTTGAAGGCCTACATAATACAAGAAGGATGACACTTTCGTGAATAAGAAGGAACTCCACCTGCCTGACTGTTGAGCTGAGACATGAATCTTTTTCTACTTTTAGACTTGAATTGAAACATTGGCATTTGGATCTCATGTGTGCTGGCTTTCAGGCTGAAGCTGTATCATCAGCTCTCCCAGGTTGCATCTTCATCTTGCCATTTGATTTTAGAACTTAGCCTCCATAATCACATTAGCTGATTCTCTAACATAAATAAACAAACAGTCATCCTGTTGGTTCTTTTTCTGTAGAGAACCTTGACTAGAAGAGTAAATTTTACATACATTTAAATAAATGTGACTACATAACAGAAGAATTTCCTTTCATCAAATAACTTGAGGTAAAATAATTTCCTGTTCCCAAATGTGAGCTTAATTCATTTGGATTAGTATCTAATAATAAGATTTTTATTTCAGGACAAATGTCATAGTTGAGAAAACATTAATATACAGATAACTCTATTTACCTGTGTAGAAATATTATTGAAAAATTGGTTTCTTGCCACCTAATTTTATCAGACTTTCTCTCTCTATCCTTTCAAATCCAATGCTTTTCAAGAGTTGCAAAAATAGTTTTTCTTATTAACCCGAGAAAAACATAGTAAGTGTTTAGCTTTAATATAATTAAGAGTTTTTGAGCTATTATCTGTTTTATTAATTTTTTCCGCTACCCTCATTATTGTAGATTGATATCTACAGTTTAATAAATAGTTAATTAGCCCTCCTTACATGCTACATTCTATCTAGGAAATGGAAAAATAAAGAGAAATAAGACAGAGTCTCTACATTTGTGGGGCTTAAATACAGCCATACACTGAACAACAATGTTTAGTTCAATAATGGGTGACATATAATGAAAGTGTTCCCATGAGATAAAACGTCGTATTTTACTGTACCTTTTCTGTATTTAGGTGTGTTTAGATACACAAATAGTTACCATTATAATTGCCTACAGTATTCACTACAGTAGCATGCTATACAGGTTTGTATCCTAACAGCGATAAGGTATACCATAGAGCCTAGGTGTGCAGTAGGCTGCACCATCCAGGTTTATGTAAGTGCACTCTATGATGTTCACTCTCGGAAATTGCCTAACGACAAAATTCCCACCTTTAAGTGAGGCATAACTATAATTTATTCCATAGTCTCTCCCCTCTTTCCTGTTCTTTATTAATACATTTGCTTACTCTATTGTGAGAAGTATAGTGAGTGAATTTACCAACCTCCAAATTCACAAGTAGAGAGAAATGTCCTTGACACTATCTACCAAGAGGATTTATTTATGTAGTCAGAGGAAGAGTCTAGACGTTGTTCCTGAATTGACCTAGGCACCTGCTAGTTGTAGAATATTCCTATGATGGCCTGAGAAAATGCAGGTTCACATGAATAATAACCTTTCTATTCTGCTTATTCTGCCAGCGGCAGCATGAACTTCTCCCAGTAGCCTCTTTGTCCGTGAATATGGACAAGTGGAAGAGAAAAACCACAGAGGAGAATTTGAGCTGAATTTGTCTTTCAACTATCAAGATTTACATTTTCTTTGTCTTTTTTTACCTTTTTTTTTGTTTCTTTATTCTTTGCTCTATATTGTGTGGGTACTTGCCACAAAGTTTATGTTTTATCTCTAAATGTATAACAAAAAAGTATTTCAAAAGATGAATGTGAGCTTTATAAAGTAGTGGTTAAATACTAGGGCTTTCCAGTTAAATGGACATGGATTTGAAAGGTGATTCTAGTACTGTAAAGGCAATTTTCTTAACCTCTCTATGCTCAGGTTTCTAAAGTTAAAATAGGAATAAAAATAATACTAATCTGTTAGTATTGTGTGACGCACTGTGTGCAATGATATTTTAAAGGGTAGCTACAGACCAATCATTCTGAGGTGGTAGAATGGGTGGGATGTGGTCCTGAAATAAAGGGTTCAGAAGATGGGGAGAAAGGGTGGGAGACTTAGTAACTTGCCTTTTCTCCCTTTAAGATTTCATATCTTAGAGTCTGATTGATTGCTACCTTATACCAAGACAAAGGTTATAATGTCAGGTAACACCATAACTAAATGAGGTCACTTTCTGGATAATATGATAAGTGAATTTAGAGAACAAAATTAATGCTTGAAAACACAATTTTTAAACTTTTAAATATATTATTGTAAAACGATCTCAAAGGTAAGTTAATATGTTTTAAAAAAACACAATTGTTTCCAAAACCACTGTTTTTATTAAGAGTGATAATAATAAAATATGTCTCCATCTAGTTTAACAGTATACTAAGTCCTCACCTAATGTCACTGATAGGTTTTTGGAAACTACAACTTTAAGTGAAACTATGTATAAAGAAACCAATTTTCCCATAGGTTAATTGGTATAAATGAGAGTTAAGTTCCTGTATTTCTAGTCACAAAACATCACCAAATTTCTAAATAAAGGTCAAAACACTTCCAATATTAAACATAGAAATAAATGAGAACTATACATATATTTGAGAAAGATTAATGAAAATAAGCAATATAATCATATTAGTCCATTTTCACGCTGCTAGTAAAGACATACCCAAGACTGGGTAGTTTATAAAGAAAAGGAGGTTTAATAGACTCACAGTTCCACGTGGCTGGGGAGGCCTCACAGTCATGGTGGAAGACCAAAGGCATGTCTTACATGGCAGCAGACAAGAAAGAGAATGAGAACCAGACAAAAGGGGTTTACCCTTATAAAACCATCAGATCTTGTGAGACTCATTCACTACCATGAGAACAGTATAGGGGAAACTGCGCTCATAATTCAATAACTCCCACCAGGTCCCTCCCACAACATGTAGGATTTATGGGAGCTACAATTCAAGATGAGATTTCAGTGAGAACACAGTCATATCATATCAATAATTATTTACCCAATTATTCCATTTCAGGTCTCAGATGCTGCACCCCATCCCCACAGCCCAAGGAGCAAGGCAGGAACCCACTCTGGACAGAACATCATCCAATTGCATGGCACACTCACACACATCCATGCTCACTCAGGCTGGGACCACTCAGCCATATGTCCACACAATTCATTTGGCGTGGACATTTTGGGGATATAGGATGCTTTGGGAATGTAGGAAAAAACAGTGTACCCAGAGAAAGAAAATCCATGAAGACATGATCCAGATGTGCAAATGTCACATATATATTGGCCCCAGGCAGGGAATCAATGTTTTTTTCTCATCAAGGTTATAATGAAACAACACTGAATGAAAGGGTGTTATTTCAGGGTGTGCTATATAAAGGAAGCCTAGAATCAACTACCAAAAGGAGCACAAAGAGGCAATTTTGAATACAGCCTCATGTTATCTCCACCCATATCATGGAGCAGCATAATATAGGATTCATTGGAAACCTGGGGAGAAGCCACGCAAGAAAATGAATGGGAAGATTTTTACTCATATATAAAATCTGACACATTTTGGGTATTTGGGGTTTGCAGAATGGGAGAGAAATCACTTCAGAGGAAAGCTTTTGTTCTGTAAGCAGATGATACTGAGTTTTCTAGATGTTGTATCGCAAATTAAAGAAAGAGTTTTAGACTATACGGCCTCTGCTCCCACAGTCGGGTGGGCTGCGGAGGAGAATCTAGAGGAGGATTCTATAGAGGAGCTATGGAGAGAATCTTTAAAAGGCATGGGGCATGTGACAAATGAGGTAGTTCAATGAAGACCAAATAAGATAGACACATACCAAAGACTATTTTAAAAATTTGCATAATTGATCTCTTTAGCTACAATTATCATATAACTAAAATTGCCTGACATAAGAATCCTTATTTCTTCTCCACTTGCACTATACAGTCACTTATACTAATACCATGGATGTTTAATCATAAGATTTGGAAACAAATGGATATAAATGTCACACTATACAAACTGAACCTGCGCTGAGAACATTTCTACCACTGGATTTTTCAGGTGTATTCTTCACCATAAAGGAAATTAATTAGCAAACAAGAGCAATACTAACATGATTGATGATCTCAATGACCTTTTAAATCGTGACAATTTGCTCTCTTCTGGGTATTTCCAATGGCACCATCATTATTAGTACCCTGTGAGAGTCATGTTTTATATTTTGTTCCTAGACTTTGTATTTGACATATTTCTTTTTAATTTCTAACCCAGAGAAGGCCCATAAAGAATGTCATGAGAAAGGCAGCTCTCCTCTGAGACTTGGTATTAGGCAAAAAAAAAGACCTGTTTTCAGATCAGCTGCTCAGGTGGAATTACTCTCCAAGGGCAGTCTCGTTCCTCTGAGGTGAAGTAGATCTTCCCCCTTTTTGTCTTTCAGGGACTATGAGATACACAGGTCTTCAATGCCAGTCACCTCATGGACTCACCACCTAGTTTATCAAGGAGAAGTTGATGCTGGGAGCAACTACAAAAATGAAGCTACTCTGATTTAGGTGGCACAGAAAAGCAGGCGAGGGTTTCTCCCTCCTGTCTCATTTGATCATTTTTCATGCTTTACCTGTGCTTCTAGGGGCCAATCTATCTTTTTTTTTTTTTTTCTGCCTTCTCTGCTTTAAATGTTCCCAGTTCTGTCTGGAACTTGTCTTTGAACAAAGAAAGATTTACTTCTTTCTTGATTCTTTTATTCCCCTCATTTTTGTTTATTCTCTTCCTGGCTCTTAGAGCTTTTCTCTTAACATTGTGACTGGTGTATCTATTTTCTTCATCTCTCACCTCCTGCCCATGAACTTATTTATGAGGAAATGTGTAGGATAATAGAGCAACAATTTGGCTTAAAGGGCTCTAGCTGTGTGACCCTAGGCACATCAGTCAACTCCTTATAAACAACAGGTTTCTTTTCTCTAAAATGAGGATGTTAGATTCTATTATCTCAGTAGTTCATCTCAGCACTAATTTTCTATGATTCCTTTTCTCACAGTGCTGTCTACCTTGCAAGCCCAGTACATGTATATTAGTTCCCTATTGCTGCTGTAACAAATTGCCACCAGCTTAATGGTTTAAAGCAAGGCAAATTTGTTATTTTATATTTCTGTAGATCAGACATCTGGCACGGTGCCCTTGTGCTAAAATTAGAGTGCTGACAAGCCTATGGTTCTTTCTGGAGCCTTCAGGGAAGAATTGGTTACCTTGCGTTTTCCAGCTTTTGAGAGCACCTGCATCCCTTGGGTCATGCCCTTTTCCTCCATTTTCAAAGTCCAAAACAGGATGTCAAGTCCTTCTTTCTTTGCATCTCTTTGAACAACTGTAGCCAAAAAGATTCTCCATTCTAAGGACTCCTGTGATTTGATTGGGAGCCTCTACATCATTCAGGAGAATCCTCTGACCTCAAGTTCTGTAACCTGAATCACATCATAAGGTAATCTATTCATAGGTTCTGGGGATTCGCGTGTGGGAATCTTGGCAGGCAATGATTTTCTGCATTCCATAATGATACGGAAGAGCTAGGCTCCTGGCTAAACCCCACCTTTAAGCCTCGGATGGTGACCATAAGTGAAAACATCTGACCCCATTTTTCTGCCCAAATGTTGCCTTTTTGGCCCAGTCTGCCCCTATTCTGTGCCCACAACAGACTTCAGCTGGCAGAGCAACACAAGCAGCTGAATATCAAGAGGTGAAGAAGCAACTGGGCATCTGAGACTATGGATAGATGCGACTTAACTTCAGACGGCACAACTTTGGAGAGGAGCCCAGATGGAGACGACCAGGCTTCAAGGAAAGATCACCTTCTTCTTGCACCCCCCTTTCAGCTCCCCTTCTGCTGAGAGCTACTTCCACTGCCTAATAAAATCCTCTGCATCATCACCTTTCAAACCATTCGTGCGACCTGATTCTTCCTGGATGCCGAACAAGAACCTGGGAACCAAGAGGGCAGAGTATTAGGCTGTCACCCTGACTCTCCACTAAGCTGGTTAACACTTAGCTGCCATGGACAGCAACTCCTAAAAGAGCATTAATTTTATCACACCCCTAGACGCTGCCAGGGGGCTGGAGCCCAAAAGCATTTGCCCCAGCTCCAACACCCACTTGCCTGTGTGCTCCCTCCCGTGAGGGGTTGAGCCCAGTGGGTTTGAGTGAGTGAAGTTCATCCCTGTTGGCAGCAAAGTGGCAGGCTGAACCCAGAGCCAGTGCACTCTAGTTCCCATCTGCAAAAGGGTCAAAGGAACTCTCCTGTCTCAACAACATATTACTGACTAACACAAGCATCTTATGCCTGGTAGCATCAAATTAAGCAAAGGTAATCAAGTACTTTTGTCCTTTTTCCCACTTTTCTTGTTTCAAATGGCATCATAGAACGATCCTGCTCAGTCTCAAACTATCACCATACAGAACACACTCTTCTGAAGCCATTCTTACACTGTCCCTCAGATTAGATCTTTCAGAAACCTACATTCCTGCCTGTAACTCTTCTATCTACTGTCCCTGCCTGAACTCAGTTTGCTGTTAAGTGTATTTCAAAGATTTCCACTTTGTATATTAGCTTCTCAACATCCCACCTTATTTTTCCACCATTATTCTCCTCTCCTTCTATCTTTGGTCATTCTAAGTGACTACTGCTCTCTGGCTTTACACTGTACATTCGTAATGAGGACAAGTTGTGACACTAGACTTTTGGCTTCCTGCTGTGGTTTCAAAACCCTTGAATATAAAAGACATATCTTCTCTTGGACCTCTCAAGAATCTCTTGAGATTCTTGCTCTAGCTATGCCTTTGCCTTTTTAATTCCTTCCAGTTATCACGATCTTTTGACAGGACCAACTCGTAGGTAATTGACCAATGCAGCCACACAAGGTTCTGTGCTCAGAAGAGGGCCCCATTCTTGGGGCTGAATGCTATGTCACTGCCATCTTGAAATTCTTAGTAATTCTATCTTTGAATTTATGTTTGGATAGTAAAGTCTGACAGCACAACTGAAGCATGTACCAGAGACTTGGAGCCTCAGCGCACTGCCATTTTGCTACCATCCTTCTTTCTTGGCAGATCCTAAATGTAGGGAAAGGGAGAGTCAAGGATGGTGCTGAATTGACAGGCAGAACCCAGGGTGACTGTGAAACTCTGAAGTTGCTCAACCTAATGACATATTTTCTTGGGCACAGGATTGCAAGGAAACATGACATCAATTAACAAATAAAAGACACCGGCCGGGTGTGGTGGCTCATGCCTGTAATCTCAGCACTTTGGGAGGCCAAGGCAGGCAGATCACATGAGGTCAGGAGTTCGAGACCAGCCCGACCAACAAATTAGCTGGGTGTGGTGGCACATATCTCTAATCCCAGCTATCAAGATTGTGCCAAGATCACGCCATTGCACTCCAGCCTGGCGGCAGAACAAGACTCCATCTAAAAAAAAAAAAAGACACCATGAAAGGCAGACAAAGAGAAAAAAAAAATTTTTTTCCTGCTTTTTGAACACAGGGCCCTAAATATTTATTTTGTACTGGCCCCAGGAATTATGTAGTTGTAGTTGGCCCTGTCAGTTTCATTTGAGATTTATCAACCTCAGCACTTTTGACATTTTGTCCAGATAATTCTTTGTTTGAGTTACTGTCCTCTGAATTGCAGGGTATATAAAAGCATCCCTGGCCTCTGTCCTCTGGATACCAATAGCACTCTCCAAACTGTGACAATTGAAAATGTCTCCAGACATTCCAATATCCCTGGGAAGAGGGGTAAAATCATCGTAATTGAAAATTAATGGTTTGCTTTTTGAAAATTTAATCCTTACTCTTGACTTTCCTGTTTGATGAAGGTACTTATTTCTACCCTGAACTCTAAGTCCAACTACTTTAATTGTCTAATATTGAGTAAAATCACAGGGGCTAGAATCCATCTTGGATTTGAAACTAAGCTTTTACCTTTATTAGTAGTATTAGTGTGAGCAAGAAAATCTTACAATCTAGTTTTCCCAGAATAGGGGGAAAAAATTATCTTTTCCTTCTACTCTCCTAAGTTCATGGCCTCTATTACAAAAGACAGATTAATAAGAGAAAAGTATACAAATTCATTTAATATAAGTTTCACATCACACAGGAAATGAAAACCTTCATAAGAAAATGAAGATCTGAAGAAGCATTTTAACATGAATGGGCATTTTTTTTTTGTAGTAGATTTGATGAACAGTGGAAAGTTGTGGAGAAATATAATAGGGCAAAAAGAGTATGATTTGATGGTAATAAACTAGGAAAACCTTAGCAAAGCCTGTTTGTTCAAATTGTTCTCTGTGTCCCTGTGTCTTCAGAAATAAGGATGTTCCTTTCTTCCTGCTATAGAGAAGGTATGGCTCACCTGAGGACCTTCTGACCTGCTTCAGGGAAAGGTCAAAAGTTTCTTCCTAGGTTTTATGACCTGTTTCAGTGGAGAAGGTAAAGGAGAAGGTCAGAGTGAACTTCCTGCTTCTGTGATCTCAAATTATTCCTTCACCTTAAAATGTTTAATATGCCAAGGTGCAGTATTTTGGGTGGTATAACCTGAACCCCATCATTACCTTTAACTGAAAATAATAATTATAACAACATCTACAATAAAATATTATTGTGAAAATTAAATGGTGTAATATATGTAAAGTTCTTAGCACAGTTCCTTGGTCTGGCACATAATGGATAATCAAATGATAATATTACTATTATTATTATTATTATTATTATATTGGCATTATTAGAGCCAACTCCATCATTCCTAGAAAACTATACAGTGCTGGTTCCTTTGCAGTGTTAACTTTTTCCTTTTACTGATTTTTGTTAACTCCTTTATTGTAACATAACCACTAGTAGTTTTGTGCTTAATGTTGATCTTCTTTGTCTATTGATTTAAGTTAATATCAGAGTCCTTCCTAGCAGTCATGGGGTTTTGATAACAGAAGCTAACATAGTTGTATCTTCTCTTTCCTGCAGGGTAGCCCGAATGCCATGTCTTCACATTTTATTCCACTTGGATCTCCTGTAGAATGGCTGTTTACCATGGAAGGGCTGATTCCAATTCTCACGTTAATCACTTACAAGGCAGAAACCAGCTAGTCTAGACTGGTAAAGGGCTTTCCAGTTCATTCATCAGCCTCCTCTGATTCTCTCAGGGCTCATTCAGATGTTCCCAATCCTTTCACAAGATTACAATTCAACACATATGGAAGCACAAAAAAAAATGCTGATTTCCCCACATAAATAATAATTAATTACTAATGAAGATAATGGTGACAGACTATGGGACTTAAGAAAAAACCTACGAGGATGTATCACAAGACAAATCCTTCTAAAAATTAAACTATTTGCAGACAATCAGAAAGTCAAAACTAACAATCTCTTAAACATTTCTCAGATATGGCTGTAATAACATAGCATTCCTATAAAAATGAACTTTTAGGTTAAATATATCTTTACACATACATGCACTTGCACCCACATGTACACACAATCTATTTTTGGATCTACTGAATAAAGCATCATTATTTAAAGTGAAGCAATAAAAGTTTCAACGTCTTTTTTTCTAAGTATTAGCCTTGAAGTTATTCACCCTAACCAAAGCACTAAGTTATTTAAGGAAACACCTTGAATTAATTGCTCATTTTCAAGTTCCTTGCACATTCATTCAACAAATTGAGTCTTGTGTTTTGTTTTTAATTCTCAATTCAGTTAAACAAACTGATTTGGCTAATCACCAAATCTACTGAATGATTTACTATTATATTCATAGAAAGAGCAGAGATTGTGTTAAATATGTTGGCAACCCTTTTCATTCAGCTGAAATTTGTTTGTGTACCCATAGTTCTCTGTACATCACCCATCACCACACTAACCGCTTTGTACTCTGTGATCCCTGTCTGTCTGCTGCACTGGATTGACAGCCTTATGCCAAAGTTCCTGGCACAGGTTAGGCCTCAAAACATATTCACTAACTTGTGAATTTTCTATGTTTTGACAATTTTCACCAGGTTTAATAATTTTTTAAGAAAAAATTCTAAATGAACATGGTAAAATAAATGGAAAAAATCAAAAGACAGTATATATCAAAAGACAGTAGATATATATATGCACCTGTTTTTTAAAAAATTGTTTATAAACTCATTTGAAATGAGGAGATATGGTTTCTATTATTTAAAAAACACACTAAAATTCAGACATCTTTTTTTAATGAAACAGTTGAAGAAATGTAGACATAAACCTAATAAAACTGAAAAAAAAACTGAAATATGCTATTTACCTGATGTTAAAGAATGAAACTAAATCTTAAAAATTAAAATTTAAAATTAGAAACCTCTTATTATTAAACAAATATATACCAATCTTGGTTGTATTTGGGGTAAGAACTTTTTGAAAACAGATGATGTACTCTTCATAACCTAAAATGTTTCATGCATATTCATTTAAATTTCAAAGAGGATCTCATTATCTCATCCAAAAAAGAATTAATAATCCTTAATGGTTTCCGATGACACTTGTCTTTGTCCGTTTCTCAAACGTGCAGATGATTTTAAGCATACAAATGTTTCTGCTCATGCTTTGACCTCTAAAGTTTCCTGCATGATTACAGAATTGAAAAGAAATCATTCTTTCTACACTTTGTTATGAATTTTGTATTCCTCTTTTACATATGTCAACAAAACTATACTTGGGTTTACTTTATATGTTTGCACCAAGTTTTTAGAATTTAAAAAATTAGCAAAATAAGAAAGGGGCCTTTGTTGATTCTTAGAGGAAAGCAAAGTACTGATGGTCAAGGCCCCTGTGAGCCCTCACAGGGACTTGGGATCTATTCCTAAACACAACAGGAAATCACAGAAATGTCCTTAGGGATGAGCAAATCAAACAGACCTGGGTTCACATACAGCTTTACTGTCCACTCAATGCCCTCAGCTACTCAACAGATGCAAAAATAGTAACTATCTCATTCAATTATGACAACGATGATGTGAATGTAAATGACTTTGTATGCTACTGGGCACCTAATAAAAACATGCACATCTTAATATACTCAATTCAACAGTTCATTGAGAATCTTACACTAGATATAAAAATGAACCAGTTGTTTTTTTTCCCAATAACCACGTTCAAATTGTATTGCCAATTCTTCCTTTTCTGCCTTTTAACAGTGTCTTAGACAAATTTTGTAACTCTCTAGTTACTTTAGGTCCATTTTGAAATTCTAGTATCATACATTATTTTAAATTCTTCTGACCACAGCTAATCTGATGGTTGAAGAGGACTTGAAGTGGACAGAGGGATTGATCTGCTTTTATTCTTCCTCCTGCTCTGTTACTTTAAAGTAGAGAGTCTATCCTGGTCTGATTTTGAGATAAAGGCAATCTCTTTCTGTGGCTTCTATCCTCTGTTGTTAGATGGTACTATGGTCTGAATGTCCTAAAATTCATATATTAAAATTGAATTCATAAGTTGAACCTAAAATTCATATATTGAAACCGAATTCATATGTTGAACATAAAATGCATATGTCAAAACCTAATGGAGGTGAAACTTTTGGAAGGTGATGAGGTCATGAGGGCCAAGTCATCATAAGTAAGATTAGTGCCCTTATAAAAGAGGCTCCAAAGAGATTCCTCACCCTTTCCACCATGTGACAACAAAGAAAAAGATGGCCACATATGAAGAGGGTCCTCAACAGACTGAAATCAGATAGATCCTTGATCTTGTACTTCTGTGCCTCCAGAAGTGTGAGCAACAAATTTCTTTTGTTGATAAGCCATCCTGTCTGTGGTATTTTGTTATAACAGCTTGAAGAGACTAAGACAGATGGTGCTTAGGAAGAGCAAAGCATGGAGGTAGTTGTCTGCTTACATTCCTGGACACCTGTCTGGATTAGAGTTGTCTCGCATGGTACTATTATTTACATCTAGTGGATTCTACCAGTATGGTGGTCTTATGTGGACTGCACGTGGTTTTCTAGTAATGAATTCATCTTCACTCCACTACCATTCAAAACTGAGAACTCCCTCAGAGAACAACAGCTACATTTCCGTATGGTCTGACAATGTGTCCAAACCCCAATCCCTATGGATATTGCGTTGCTTTGTTAAGCTGCCACTCAACTAGTCCAAAAGCTCTTGCCTCCTCTTTTATCTACAGTGCTCCTTCCTGTAGAAAGGTATTGTCTGCTAAATCTTTCTAAGAAATCTGGTATGGGAAAGGCACCTTTTTCTTCCTAGGCACCCTACAGTTACAAACAACTGGGGAAAAATTTTTCTGAAACATTGTCACCTTTGAAATCTCCATTTGAAAAGTGTGAACCATACCCTAATTTCATAAACATTCCTAAACTCCAAGGAAAGATGTTCAGCTTGCTCAAGAACTTCATCCTGTTTTTCACTGACAGAACCCAAGCCAGCTTGAAGACTGTAACCCAGAAAGCAACGAGCCTTAGGCCAAGAGTCCAGTCTCTCCTTGTAGGACTCTCTAATCTCTCTAGTGATTCTCTCCAAGCATAACTTCCTCTGACTAGTAAAAGTATAGGAGTTGGTGAAGTTAGGTATATTTACCATAAACAGTTCACCCCCCTCAAAACACATGATCCCAAACTCTGATTCTTCTCTCCTTATACCCATCCCCAGATGGCCTCTTGTAAGAAGTAGGAGGGTTATATGACAAAAACAGCAGATACAGTTCTACCACTTTCTGATGAAAATATGAAGGATTTCTCCTAGTAATTTTGGAGCTGATTGGGCTACTTCCTTACATAGGAATGAAATAATCTAGTGTGCAGAGCAAAGATAAAGAAACAGCTGTGATTTTGGAAGTGGAAAAGAACAGAAAGGAGCAGGTTGAATGTTTCGAGCTAAAGCAAAGTCTCACATCATAAGTAGGATAACAAAAAACTATCAAAGATGGAGGAGCAAGGATACAACCTTAATAATCTGTACCTAGATTTGGCTGGCAATGACTATTTTTTTCCAGGGTTGCATTATTATGTATACAATACAGCTAACAAAGTCATTTTAGGAGTTAAGAAATATCACCAAGATCCATATGTAACATTTTATTCCCTTTTGCATCCTGAAGATATGGATTCCATATCACAGATGAGACTTTCTCCATCACTTCATTGGCTTTGTTTGGAGAATCCTGCTGGTTATTCATTTAGTTGTTGGCATTGATCCTGCTGAATTCTAGAGTTGTGATGGTGAGTTATACAAGGTTTTCCTGTGAGAATTGCTTTGGTGTTAGTAATGCACTCAAAAATGTATCTAATAAATTATAAAACATATATATATGTATACATATGCAATAGTACTCCAATTTCTTCTTTTTCACCATCTGTATTAGGAGCTTTTATTATTTAACTTATTAGTTAATATCTCAATTTGATAATTTGAAAACATTACTGGCAAACCATTTATTTTCAGTTGCAAGTAGTTAGGGAAAGTTACATTTTTCTCTTATCCTTAGGCATTATAAATTCCTGAGTGTTATGCAAAGCATTACTAGAATGATTTGCACAACAGGGGGCTCAGTTTTTAATAAAAGTGACTCTTATTTTTAATTATAGCAATTAAGATCTTCTTATTGGCAGCCAGGCTACTGCTCTGCAGTGATGAGACTTTGCTTCTGCCATTCCACTGGGCTTAGAATATATCCTACTCCTTCGGTTATGAGTCTCAAGATTATTGAACATAGATAAGTAATACACGGAAGGCATAATTCTTGAAAATAAGTCTGAGGAACTGCTTTTAACCTGGTAGGCTCAGACTCTCCTCATATCTTAGGAAAAGGAAAACGAAAGAAGCAATGCATAAAGAATGAATATGTATCTTTGCAGAAACCTTGGTTGGAAATATTTTGTCACTGTAACATATTGTGAATGAATATTACACTTCAGCTTGGTACATACTTGAACAATATGTTTTAAACAAATGACATGTTCGTTTTCTCACTCTCTATATGTGATCCTCATAAAGAAGAAACCCCATACAGGAATTAAAACTGCCAAAATGCTAAGCCTTGTGACAGTTCTATTTCTGTGGTAGACCTAATTAAACCTCAAATTTTCCAATATTTTCACTGACATCATTTATGTTGTAATTAACACTTTTACTGCTAAAGACAGTTGTTTTCAGATGAAGTCTTTCATCTTGTTGTGGTTATAACTACAAAACTGAAATAATAAAACCATAATTATGAAAATTTCCTAGCCACAAGTTTGCACATGAGACTGCTCTACATCTGAACAACAACAAAAGGTAATTAAATGTAGACAGGTATAAGATTGCAGAATCATAGAGCACTGCCTAGTGTTTCTATCTTTCTGGTATATTTTAACAATATTTGTAATTTGGCAAGCTATGTAGATGATGGCATTATTATAAACCTAGAAAAATGTATATTTTGAGCAGATGGAGCAGCTAACTACAACAGTGTGGATGAGGAAGAGTCAGATAACTATATATAAATATTATGATGACACCTGGAAGTCTGTACAATTTATATAAACTAGCATAACAGTTGGTAACATACGAATCTGTGGTCTGACATACATACACACACACATGCATATATGTATATATTCTTGGATATAAAGTGTTAGGCTCGATAGTAATATAAGTATCTAGTAGATAACTAATCAAATTCATTTCTTAATATTACTTTAAAATCCTCAACATGTATGTTTTTAAATTTCCATATTTTAAACCAATCCATTTCAATAAAAAAATTATAGAGAAATAGAGCTCTATTTATAGTAGTTTTCTTTTAAGTGGAACAAGGTTGAAATAAATGGAGAAAATTGACATTCTACCTTATTGGTCATCA
The DNA here is from genome assembly GCF_000001405.40 of Homo sapiens. NCBI lineage: Eukaryota > Metazoa > Chordata > Mammalia > Primates > Hominidae > Homo > Homo sapiens. The sequence goes on from NC_000003.12 coordinate 78,304,122, forward strand.
TAAAAAATGAAGAGAAAAAAGATGTTGCTATTACAGAATGATTTGATCAATTGTATTGATGGGCCGAGATAAAAGTGCTGAGAACTGTACCTCAGGTTGGCACAGCTCACTGAAAGCAAATTTGCTGTGAGTGATGATAATTTGTACTGAAAGAAATTAGTGCCAATTTGATTAGGAATTGCCCTTCTGTTCAGATTTCAGTCGCTAATATATCCTGTCATGGTTACAGCTTTATCTAGGACAGAGGAGTAAAAAAAAAATGGTCCAGAGAGGAAAAAGAATGATTCAGGGACATTCTCCTCCTTTGATTTGTAATTTTTTAGGGCCAAGACAGGAGCACAAAAGAGATGATATAATCATACTTTACATTTCATGAAAAACTATGCATTTTCCCCACCTGAAGGCATTATGATAATTTATCTTAAGCTTGAATGATGCATGAAATGAAAGTGTTTCTAGCTCCTGTTTCCCCTTCATTTTATGAGTGAGAATAATAGATCTTTGTCAACAATGGACTACATACAGTGTTCCCATAAGAACACTGAACTGAAAAATTCCTATCACCTAGTGACATGGTAGCCATCCTAATATTGTAGCACAACACATTACCTTTTCTGTTTAGATAAACAAATACTGATCATTGTGTTACAGTTGCCTACAGTATTCACTACAGTACCATGTTGTACAGGTTTGTGGTCTAGGAGAAATAGGCCACGCCATATAGCCTAGGTGGGTAGGTGAGCTATTCCATCTACGTTTGTGTAAATGAACAGTGTGATGTTCACACAATGACAAAATTGCCCAGTGACACATTTCTCAAAATGTATTCCTGTCACAAAGCAATGCATGACTGTATTTGTTCATCTACTTATTATATCTCAGCATGTAAGCTCTGTGAGGTCAACCATTTTGCCCTGGATCTAAATAATGCTTGACACATATTACTAATAAAAACTAACACTAAAGAGTTCTTACCACATATTCATTCCTTTACTGGATTTCCTATTAAATAGATAATCCTAGCTTCTCCATTTCAGATATGAAAACTCTGAAGCACAGCAAGTTTAAGTAATTTGTCCAAAGTCACACAACCAGGAAATGATAGTGCTGAAATGTGAACCCAGACTGTGGCTTAACCACTATGTTGTAGACCCCTAAGATACACACATGAATTAATAAGTGGATTAGTCAAAGAATGTTGTTATTTGATATAGTTTGGGTCTCTGACCTTACCCAAACTCATGTCAAATTGTAATCCCCAGTGGTGGAAGAGAAGCCTGGTGGGAGTTGATTGGATCATGGGGGCAGATTTCCCCCTTGCTGTTCTTGTGATAGTGAGTGAATTCTCATGAGATCTGGTTGTTTATAAAAGTGTGTAGCACTTCCCTCTTCTCTTTCTCTTCCTCCTACTCCAGCCATGTAAGACATGACTCCTTCCTCTTTGCCTTTCACTGTGATTGTAAGTTTCCTGAGGCCTCCCGGGCCATGCTTCCTTTACAGCCTGTGGAACCATCAGCCAATTAAACCTCTTTTCTTTATAAATTACCAGGACTAATGTGGTTCTTTATAGCAATGCAAGAACAGACTAATAAAGAAAATTGGTACCTAAGAGTAGGGCATTACTATAAAGATACCTGAAAATGTGAAAGTGGCTTTGGAACTGGGCAGAGGTTGGAACAGTTTGGAGGGCTGAGAAGAAGACAGAAATTTGAGGAAATGTTTGGAACTTCCTAAAGACTTGTTGAATGGTTGTGAGCAAAATGCTGACAGTGATATGAACAGTGAAGTCCAGGCTGAGAATGTCTCAGATGGAGATAAGGAATTTATTGGGAACTAGAACAAAGGTCACTTTTGCTATGTGATAGCAAAGAAGTTAAGTTGTGCCTCTGCCCTAGAGATCTGTGGAACTTTAAACTTGGGAATGATGATTTAAGGTACTTAGCGGAAGAAATTTCTTACCAGCAAAACATTCAAGATGTGGCCTGGCTGCTTCAACCAGATCACCTCTATGCTTAAGCAAAGATTACCTCTATGCCTAAGCAAAGGGGTGATCTGAAACTGGAACTTATACTTAAAAGGGAAGCAAAATGTAAAAGTTTGGAAAATTTGCATCCTGGCCATGTGGTATAAAAGAAAAACCGATTTTCAGGGCAGGAATTCAAGCTGGCTGCAGAAATTTGCATACACAAAGAGGAGCCAAATATTAATAGCCAAGACAATGGGGAAAATGCCTCAAAGGCATTTTGGAGACCTTTGCAGTACCCCTCCCATCACAGGTCTGGAGGCCTAGGAGGGAAGAATGGTTCCTTGGGCCAGGCCCAGGGCCCTGATGCCTTGTGCTATCCCAGGACACTGCTCCCTGTATCCCAGCCACTCCAGCTTCAGCCATGGCTCAAAGGACCTAAGATATGTCTCAGGCCACTGCTCTAGAGGGTGCAAGCCATAAGCCTTGTCAGCATTCATGTGATGTTAAGCTTGCAGGTGTGCAGAGGGCAGGTGTTGAGGCTTAGGAGCCTCCACCTAGATTTCAAAGAATGCATGCAAACTCCTGCATGTCCTGGCAGAAGCCTGCTCTATGTGTGGAGGCCTGATGGAAAACCTCTATGACAGCAGTGTGGAAGGGAAATATGGGATTAGAACCTTCATACAGAGTCCCCACTGGGGCACTGCCAAGTGGAGCTGTGAGAAGATATCTACTGCCCTCCAGACCCCAGAATACCAGATCCTCTGATGGCTTGCACTGTGTGCCTGGAAAAGCTTCAAGGACTGACTGTCAGCCAATGAAAACAGCTGAGAGGGCTGTGACCTGCAAAGCCACAGGAGAAGAGCTGTCCAAGGCCTTGGGAGCCCACCCATTGCATCAGTTTAAATGTGAGAGATGGAGTCAAAGGGTATTATTTTGGAGCTTTAAGATTTAATGATTGCCTTGCTGGGTTATGGACTTGCATGGGGCCTGTAGCCCCTTTGTTTTGACGGATTTCTCCCTTTTGTAATGAGTGCATTTACCCCACTCCCATATACCCATTATATCTTAAAAGTAACTAACTTGTTTTTGATGGTATAGGCTCATAAACAGAAGGAACTAGCTTTGTCTTAGATGAGACTTTGGACTTTGGATTTTTGAGTTAATGCTGGGATGGATTATGATTTTGGGAGACTGTTGAGAATGCATGATTGTATTTTGAAATATGAGAAGAACATGAGATTTGGGAGGAGATAGTGGCAAAACTGTATGATTTGGGTCTGTGTCCTCACCCAAATCTTATGTTGAATTGTAATCCCTAATGTTGGAAGAGGGGCATGGTGGGAGGTGATTGGATCATGGGGGCGGATTTCCTTCTTGCTGTTCTTATAATAGTAAGTGAGTTCTTATAAGATCTGGTTGTTTATACAAGCGTGTAGCACTTCCCTCTTCTCTCTCTCTTCCTCCTGCTCTGGCCATGTAAGACGTGACTCCTTCCTCTTCACCTTCCACTATGATTGTAAGTATCCTGAAGCCTCCTCAGCCATGCTTCCTGTACAGCTTATGGAATCATCAGCCAAATAAACCTCTTTTCTTTGTAAATTACCCAGTCTCAGGTAGTTCTTTATAGCAATGTAAGAATAGACTAGGCATTATTAGTTAAGACTTAAGTAGTAAACAAACAGACTTTATTGAAAAACATTTCTGACTACAGTCTTCTCTTGGAGTTTTGAACCATTCATGCATGGACTTTGCCAAAAATACTATTAATTAATTTGAAATCTGAAAATAGATGGGAGTTTACTCAGATCTTTTGTTTACAATTATCCTAAACTACCTGATCAAGAAACTTTGTAAATATTGTTGTTTGGGGTTGTTTTCCCTTTATAGACTAATCTTTTGTAAAATGAAAACTGCTATTAGCCAATTTGCTAATTAGGGTCATGTTTAGTGGAACAACAAAACATCCACTTGATCATTTATTATTTCCCATAATAAGAGTTCAAGCACTTGAATTTCAAAACCAGGCAAATTAGCGGCTAGGTCTCAGTCAGCATTCTATTCCCAGTTAGGGTGGAAGTTAAGAGTTTCTATTAAGTTACTAGGCTTTTCTTTAGCTGAAATAATGAGTTTAAAATAATATTACAATCAGCACCCAATGACTTGATAATGAGTTCTTCTGTTTGCCTGGAATTCATAGCTTAGTAATAGCAGGTATATGATATATGTGTAACTATACAGAGGTTTAAAATTAAAAATGCCTTGTTGTAAGTATTTATAAAAAAAAAAAGACCATTAAGCTCTCCTCTAACAATATACAGTTTTTAAACATACTCACTTTTCTATCTATAACCTATGATTCAAGATGAATGTAAGATTTTAAGTGAAACTCATTTAGGAAAGTTGCTTGTTTTGTTGCTCTCCCGGAGCCCCCAGAAGCTGGTGTCTGTAGGGTGGACTTTTCTAGGCTTCAAATCTGATCTGTTCTGCAACGCTAAACAAGATGAAAAATGTGCTGCAAAATCTTTGAGAGTCAAGAATACCTGGAGTTTTATTTATTCAATTTATAGCACCAACTCAAAAGAGAGCCTGAAGGACTGGAGTAATAAAAAACATTTATTTTTAATAAAAATATAGAATATGCCAATTCCTTTCACCATAATTCTTACCCTATCTATTATCTTAATAGTAAGGGTTACTAATGTTGATGTTTTGCTATTTGGAATGTACACACCCTGATATATTAGAAAAGTAAAAATAATGATTTAACATTTAATATGGGATTATTTATTTATTTTATAACAATATACTCCAAGTCTCTAGATAAAGGGAAATGGGTGCATTTATTTTCATTCTGAATAAATTGTATGGACTCAATTTGTATGACATGTCACCAGTAACAATACGATATGTTTCAAGCTACATTCAAGACAGGAAAGCAGTTTGCCAAGTTGTAAGCACACTGTTTTCACCCAAACCAATTATTCAATGTAATATTTAATAAAAAGGCTGAATAGCATGTGGTTCAGTGCTTGACAATTCATAGTATCCAAATACGTCTTCTGAATTGAATTGAATTGAATTGGCTGAAAACCTCACATATAGAGAGACTTTTTTGAATGATGTTAATTTATTGTCTCAGAAGGAAAGAACATTTAATCTCAGGCAAACTTCCTCTAGTAAATTCTTCTTTTGATTTATACAAAGGACATCTATTACAGTAGTATAAACTCTCCAAGGGAAAAAAAAAAGGAAGAGAAAAATATGAAAGAGTAAACAGTGAATCATTTAAAAATCTTTTTTTGTGTTTTGCCTTGCTTTGTTTTTTGTATTAAACACAGCACTTAGTTAATTTAAAATAGTGCTTAGTGTAAATTATTCCTGAGCTGATCCAAGGCTTAATGAATAGGTGATTGCTTAGCTGCAGGGCTTCAGAAATCCAAATTGCCTTCTTGAAACAAAGCCACACCCTCTTATTCTGATCCCAGTAAAATATGTCATAAAGGTGGTAGCTGTGGATTCAGAACTCTCATTTTCAGTATTAAAAACCTAGACCAGAAACCCATAAGCTTCCAATTATTATCTTAGTACAAATAGAGAATACACTCCCTGAAACCTCTTCTGTAAGAAATTATTAAACTTTTCTGTTTTCATGCTACTCATGATTTTGTTTGCCCACAGTAATTTAATAGTTAACATTTTTTAGCATTTACTACATGCTAGATGCTGTTCTAAGAAACATATATTAGCTTTAATCCTATAAAAACCTTATGAGAACATTTAATACTACAAGCTAACTTCCAAAAAGGAGGAATTAGAAAAAAATCACTGGCTCCTATTCAGAGTTGGGTATCCTTCCATGGAACACCTCTGACTCCCTGACTCCATACATTCCTCCTTGGGTATTGTTAACATACTCCTGATGCCCACACATTTGTTCTTTCCTGACCACAAGTATAAGCATAGCTGCCTTGTCTGGAGATGCAGCATCTCACAGAGGTATCAACACTATGTCTTACAAAGCAAGTAAACTCTACAATAGGACCTGAGGGTTGTGTATACAGGTAGAAAAAGAAAGAGAGAGAACTCTTCCACTTTACAATAATGTGGCACCACATGGACTATATCCTCATCTAATCTCAATGCTAGATGTCCAGCTCCCTTTCAACCTGTATCACATCTAAATCCTTTCCTCCTTTACCCGGTAAATCCCAGACCAACTTCTTCCTGTCTCTGGCCTCAGCCAAAGCTGTTCCCACTATGATCTGACCACTATTTTCCCTGCTAAGAAAGAAGTCAGGGCCAGATGCGCTGGCTCATGAATGTTATCCCAGTACTTTGGGAGGCCAAGGCAGAATAAACACTTGAGGCCAGAAGTTTATGACCAGCCTAGGCAACATAGTAAGACCCTGTCTCTACAAAAGATAGAAAAAATCAGCTGGGCTGGTTGCACCAGCCTGTAGATGGAGCTACTCAGGAGGCTGAGGCAGAAGAATTGCTTGAGCCCAGTGGGTCAAGCCCACAGTGAGCTAAGATCATGCCACTGCACTCCAGCCTGGGCAACAGGGTGAGGAAGGAAAGAAGGAAAGAAAAAGAAAGAGAGGGTGGTGGGGGGCAGAGAGAGAGAGAAAGAGAAGAAAGAAAAAAGAAAGAAAGAAAGAAAGAAAGAAAGAAAGAAAGAAAGAAGAAAGAAAGAAAGAAAGAAAGAAAGAAAGAAAGAAAGAAAGAAAGAAAGAAGAGGAAAGGAAGAGAAAGAGGGACGGAAGGGAAGAGAATGAAAAGGAAGGGAAGGAAGGGAAGGAAAATGATGGGAAGGAAAAGAGGGAGGGAAGGAAGGGAGGGAGGAAGGGAGGAAAGAAGGAAGGGAGGGAGGGAAGGAAAAAGGAAAGAAGGAAGGAAAAGAAAGGAAAAGAAAAGAAGTCAGAACGTTGCCTGAGAGAGACAACCCAAAGAAAGAAATTAAGAAAGTTGCTAGTGAGCCTTTCTAAAGGACAGACCAGCTTTGGTAAAAGAAGCCGCAGTTGAAGATGAGTCACCTGTCAAGCCAGAGGCCCCTCCTGCTGCTCCAGCATTGGCCCCAGCTGGGTCATCCAGCATGACTGCCCCTGCTTCCACTATGCCCTATGCAGGAGCCCGCTAAAAGGACACAGGCTGTTAGCAAGAACATAGCAGCCAAGAAGGAGAAAAGCGAGAGGAGAAAGAGGGACAAATTCAACAGACAAAAGAGAAAAATTGGCTCAAAAGGTGGCTGAAGAGAGGACTCACAGTGAGGAAAACTGCTGATGGTTAGGAGCTGGACAAGTCAGAAGGAAGAGCAACTGTAAGGGTGAGCAGAAGAGAGAATGAAGGTGGTGGGAGGAGATGAAATGCATTCAGCAATAGAAAGAAGCTAATGTTCCTGAAGAAGAGAAAGTCCCACAGGATGAAAGAAGCATTTCCCAGGACAAGAGCAGGAATGCTGTAGACAAAGAAGTGACTTCAGCAGATTATGAAAGAACCAGGAGCATGGAAGCTACAGGTAGGAAAACTTTGACCCAAGAAATGGGGATATCAGTGTCTATACTTCCATATGAGGCACACTGCCCAGGAAACGGAGTCCTTGCAACTGGCTCCTCTGTTGGAGCTCAGATTAATCGGGAGTGACGATGGAAAACCCTGCCCATGTGGAAAAACAACCAAGTGAAGAGACAGTCTATTCTGAATGAAAAGTTTAGAGAAATTATAAACTCACCCATTGCTTGAGCCCAGGAAGTCAAGGCTATAGTGAGCCGAGATCACACCACTGCACTCCAGCCTGGATGACAAAGTGAGACTCTGTTTCAAAAAAAAAAAAAAAATAACTCTTCTAAAATCTGAGTGGGGAATGATGGGCATAGATGTAATAAAGGGCATGCCAAAGTCCTCAGTTTTCTCTTCAGGTTGAAAGGCAAGACCATCTGCTAAGGAAGGGGTGGATGAGAGTCAAGAAAGCCAGAAAATGTTGGGAATAATTGCTGACAGAAACAAGATAGAAGATGGCAAAAGACAAGTAAAACAATGACGAGTAGTATAAAGTTTTAGTGAATATTGTTGGATAAAATAAGTCCATAATTGACATATATATGGACCCTGTGTTATTAGATATTAGGTAGTAGGTAGTATATTTGGTAATACTTAATAGAATATTTAGAAAGACACTGACTTTGATTTAATACACATAGACTAGTAGTTTACCTCTTTGAAGTGATATGTCAATAGGACCCTTTAACTAAAATGCTTTTCTGGCTATCTGAAATTCCTCTACGAAAAATTCACTCATTTGACTATGAAAACTTTTCAAGGCTGGCATGGTGGCTCATTCCTGTAATCCCAACACTCTGGAAGGCTGAGGCCTGAGGATCACTTGAAGCCGGGAGTTCACGACCAGCCTAGTCAGCATGGCAAAAGCCTGTCTCTATTAAAAATACAAAAATTAGCCAGGGGTCATGGTGTACACCTGTAAACCCAGCTACATGGAAGGCTGAGGCACGAGAATCACTTATACCTGGGAGGCGGAGGTTGCAGTGAGCCAAGATTGTACCACTGCATTCCAGCCTGGGGGAGGGAGTAAGACTCTGTCTAAAAAAAAAAAAAAAGAGCTTTTCAATTCTAATAATTTTCTTCTAAAATCCTCCAACACTCTGAGCATTATTAGCTGAGGACAAAGCCACAGAGTAATGTAAACCTATTTTTTAAATGGACGGTTACTTCCTAGGGACAGAGACCACAGAAACTTTGAAACAGTACTTGGAGTTGTAGACCCTGAAAATGAGCAAATTAAACCTACATTGATTTTTAAATTTTTACTGCTGTAAAAATCTGACTATTCATCTCAAGAACTTCTTGATAAATAGTTACCACCCTGGAAATGTTTCTTTGCACAAAAGATCAAAATTACTTTTCCCCAGAGTTCCCTTTACAATCCAACTCTATTGAAGTCACGGTTATATTTATCCTTGGGTTTCTTCCATCACATAAAAGCTGCTAAATGCCATCTATTTGCATGTGTGTGTGTGTGTGTCTGTGTGTATGTGTGTGTGTTTTCCTTACTGAAGTTACAATGCAAGAAGCATTGATTTTGCTGAATGAAAAGGTGCCGTGCTCTCAACAGAAATGATAACTTGCCATTTATTATGAAATTTGACCTTGGTGGCACAGCAATGAAACTACTGAAGGGGATCAATATGATATCTTGGGGAAAAATACCATTTAAAGTTAAGGTTGATGAAGGTCATTCTGTCTTATAATTCTCTCCTGTACCATTTACAGTCAGCAGTGAAAACATGAGAAAGAAAAAAGACGAATATTACTTTTTTTCTATGAAAAACTTTGACCTTGGAGGAGACCTATTAGTTCAGTAGAACACAACAATGACTCTTCATAGTGGGTGGAGAACAAAAGTGTTTTGCATAATTAAATTGGGGTAGATCCCAGAAAGAAAGCATAAGAGATTTAAGGATGAGGCCAAGTACTTGGGCAGAAAGCAAAGCAAAGCTGATGTATCACACTGCATTCATGCAGAGCAAAGACATGAGAACATCATGGAGGATGAGATAAAAGTCAAAAGGAGTGAACTGAAAGTTGAAAACTGGACTTGTTTAATGGTCAAAAAATTTTATTTGTCTAGTCAACATTTTGAGATAACAAAACGTCACAGACAAACTGTCTTATTACTTTCCTAAATACTATTTTACCATGCACTAACACCACAATATGATTTTTTTAAGCTGATAAAATGCATACGTATTTATCCTTAGTGTTAAATGTAAAAATGTGAATTAAGTCTGATATCACAGGCTTGGTAGTTGTGAGGTTAAAAAAGAATTAGCTTTTAAAATAAAACAATAACTTGTGTTTTCTTGATCTAATTTCTCTGAGGGTTGGAACTTCATTTTACTTCACAGTTAAATTAGGTAATAACTAAAGTCTCCTCTTTTACCAAGTTGTGAATTTCATATGAAAACACTGCCTGGAATCTCTCAGTGAATAGTTCTACTCTCCATGCCTAAATTAAGTATTTGAAGTGCACCAATGTTTTAAGATCACAATTGTATTTAACGTATATAACTTCAATGTGGCAAGTGGTACCCTGGGGTTTCCCCATTTGTCTGTAACACATGCATTCATATCAAAATATGTACAAAAAGGACAAAGTAAAATCATCACATAACTATTTATTCAGGAGAACTTAATTCATTTTTTGAAGTGAAAATGAAGTCTTATGCTGATAAAGGGGGAAAAGCATTAAGTCAATATTTGAAGAGGGAGGGTGAATACCAACTGCCAATTTGCTAATCAGCTCTCATCAATGTCCAAGATGACTGTCTTTCATTGAGAATGCATTTCAGCCTCTGTTTATTAAATTTCAGATGGTTTACTACAACTGCCAACAAGAGAACTAATTGATGCCAATTACAGGGTCTTTCTCAGAGGAATTGGAATGAGTCCACACGATCATTTCACACACATGACTCATCTTCCCTCAATGTAATAATGATGATTAGCCACCTTGATACCATTATAGATAAAAATACAATCTCTGAATTGTCTTATAAGATATTTGATCTGAAGTTAAATCGAGATAATTTACTACTGGCATTGATAGAGCAAATTTCCCAGAATTTGGATTTAATGTTAGCTTTCTCAGTATTACCATCTCTGTAGGAATGCAATATCCAGTTTCATAAGAAATAGGAATATATTTTTAAAATATTGTGGAAATGCTACTCTTGAAAAGCCTTTTTTTAGAAAATGCAAAAATAACACAAGCTGTGCTACTATAACACACATGTCTGACTTAACAACACAAAAAAGCATGTTAATCTAATTCTGAATGACAATTGCTATTTATGCTGTTGCTTTTTCTAATGTAAACAACTGATCACTTCTCCAGAAGTCAATGTCCTGCCTCCCTAAAGCCCACTGAAATCCTCTCTTCTATTTAAAAGCTATTATACAACTCCACAGCATCATATTTTATTTATTCTTATAGGTAAGGAAGTGGGACGGGCATAATGGCTCACACCTATAATCCCAGTACATTGGGAGGCTGAGATGGGAGGATTGCTTGAGGACAGGAGTTTGAGACCAGCCTGGGCAACATAGTAAGATGCCATCCTTTAAAAAAAAATGGAATTCTTACATTGCAAAAAGAAAATCTCTTCTTTACATATTCTTAATTAAAAAAAATGGTAGGATTATGCCTTAAAATGAACTAGGAGAACAGAGGATAAACTCTATCATTTATTGGTGCTAGGATATACCAGACTTTGCACTAAGTATTTTATGTATTTTTTCTAATTTAATCCTCAGAGTATCTTTGTATTGTAGATGTAATGATTCCTTCTCAAGAATGAAGAAATGGAAACTAATTCTCTGGTAGCACCATTATGCCAAAAAGGATACAACATGGAAATGAAAGGAGACCTGGAAGGGATGACTATGAAGTTCATATGGTGAATGACTTTGTTCTGAGTATACGCGCTTTTCATATGAGTCAAAATAATTTTATATATATGTTTAAGTTCATATAATAAGAAACTAGAGCTCTTTGTTTTTTACTTAAAAATATATGAAGAAATTGAACCTATTTATTTTGTTTCTACATACAATATAACATTTGGTTCAAAGATTGGCAGTTTTTCAGCTAAGTAAAATTATTGTTTTTTAATTCGTTATCCCACTATCACCTAAAAGTCACCTTGAGAACACAATATACATATCCGAGGTCTGGTTTTAAAAAAACAGAAGAGCCAAAAATCTAAATTTCCAAACATTTAGAAGGGAAGAAGATAATCTTGGAAATCAAAGGTGGTCAGTATTACCAGAAAAGTAAAGAGATTATCAAAAATCACTGACAACATGACAGAATTGGCCTACACATTACAATGATCATTCTTCCTACCTCGAATCCACTGAAAGTTTTGTTTCTTTTTTTGTGGGTTTCAGATGAATTTGGAGCACTGAAATACCTTGTTTCTCTCTGGACTGACATATACTTTATTCTACAGAACAAACTCCTCCTGATGATAACATGGTATGAACTCTCTTACTATGATCAGCATCACAGAACTGAAATACCTTGTTTCTCTCTGGACTGACATATACTTTATTCTACAGAATAAACTCCTCCTGATAACAACATTGTGTGAACTCTCTTACTATGATCAGCATCACAGAATCTATAACTTCTGTAGTGGTAAACTTTAATTCACCATTTTAAAAGATGCACTAAAGATTTAATGGTTAACATTTACTTAAAAAGTAATTCATTTATAGCATATTAATAAACTCTCTGATAGGGTATTAGTCAATTTTCATACTGCTATGAAGAAATACCCAAGACTGGGTGATTCATAAAGAAAAAGAAGTTTAATGGATTCACAGTTCTACATGGCTGAGGGGACCTCACAATCATGACAGCAAGCAAAGCAGGAGCAAAGGCACATCTTACATGGTGGCAGGTAAGAGAGCATGTGCAGAGGAACTACCCTTTATAAAACCATCAGATCTCATGAGACTTATTCACTATCCTGAGACCAGCATGGGAAAAATCCACCTCTGTGATTAAATTACCTTCCACTGGGTCCTTCCCATGACATGTGGGGATTATGGGAGCTACAATTCAAGATGAGATTTGGGTGGGGACACAGCCAACCCAGATAGATATTACTCTTTTTCATGCACCTAAAATAGGTTTTAATTTTTTTAAATTTAAGAATATTAAGAATAACCTTGTAGCCCTAAAGTTTCACTAGTGAGGAACTCAAATAAATTACAGTTTATACTTACCTACCTGCCTCATCCTTTTAAAGTAGTTCCAAAGTATCTTAATAATGAAACAAGTATGTCCAGATCATCTACCCTGTTCCTAAAAGGAAAATAGTGGACAAGCAAATGAGCAAAAATAGCAAAAGTTTAAGAAAGATCATTGCATGCAGTCCCAATTACCTAGTCCCAAGACATTGCAAAGTCACATTGAATGAAAATGGATGAACTATACTTTTGGAAACCTACATCAACTATTGCCACATCTGAAAATTTACCCATTGCATCAGTTTTACAGATTTAAATTTGTCACAACAGCAACAAAATCAAAAACAACAAAATAGAACTATGTATCTTTGACTTTAATCCTGATATTACTAAATGTATTCACAGAAACAGTCTGTCTATTCTGCTGTTTGCTTGTTATTGGCAGGTTTTTCCACCTAATTTTCTGTTAATTTCAAGCTTAAAAGCAAGCAATTTCTTTGGCCTGAGAACCCCCGCACAAGTAAAATGAAAAACGGTGCAGGAATACAAAGGATTTACTTAACAAGAGTCTAATGAAATCTGATAAACCTTTCTAGGAATTTCAGGATAATTTTCTCATTAATTAAGATCAAATATAGAAACACGTGCCAAGGGATTTCAAATGTTATGTTAATAAGAGCATGGAATTTTCTGATGTCTCCCTAGATAAGAAAAATAAGGTTATAGTGTAGAGATTTTCTTTCTTTAAATGCCATCAAATGCAACCTTGGGTGCATGAATGAATGAAAGGTATAAACAACTGAATGAAGTTTATACTTAGAACAAGAAAAGTGTTTAATTATTTTAAAATGCTTTTTGAAATATCAAATGTCATATCAGAGCTGAATAAAATTATTTTCCCCTAAGCCTATTTTCTAAAAGATATGTATCAGACATTTTATATTGTATCTAAAAGCTTTTCTTATATAAAAATATTATAAAATGTCTGTAGAGAATGGAGCCCTAACATGTTGGTGATCTCATTTTTAACTGTATAATTTATACATTGGGAATTTGACAGGAAGAAAAATCTTTCAGTGTTGTAGTAGAACATCATTTTGAATGTCAAAAAATTCTCAGAGGACTTGGTAACAAGAGCCATTCAGTACAAAAAAAAGAAGATACTTGTCTAGGAGATTTCTGTCAGAATTAACTTAAAATACTCACATACTCTGGTATTACTACCTCGCATCCAGATGTTTCAACAGAATCTTTTACTTCTAAACAACCTCAACAGGAGATGAACATTGTGCCAATAAATATCTAAGGTCTGAAATAATCACTCTTAGCTGGCTAAATCAATACAATAAAGAGAACTATTAGTTCAAATGAGGGAAGGAAAAACAGGGATTGTATGAAATACTGTAGGAATTTGCAAGCTAGTAGTAATCTAAATATCATAAATAAGGATCAACCAAGTGAACTGATTATTGAACTCATTTATTACAAAATGGGCAGCTTAGTTTTAGACAATACTTTAATCATCAATCCACAGCCTATGCAAATCTTACTTCTAACTTATAAATGAATACATGATATAAATATATTTTTCTCCAAAATACTGTAATGAGAATTCACATCCTCTTCTCATTAAAAATTATTAAAATATATCTTATGTACTTGACATATTTGGTAATGCTTTATGTAGAAGTAGCTGAGACCCACCTGCTTTTCTTATAATTTAGGGAAGAAAGTTCAAAATTAACAGAGGATATTTTTAATTGAATGAAAAGAGAGAACATTTCAGTATACAATGATGAAATGATAGACATAGCAAGGCCTGCTTGTTTAGATTCCTGTTGTGTCCTGAGTCTTTAAAGATAAGGATGCTCTGTTCTCCCAGGTAGAGGGAAAGCACTTATCACATTAGGGTGTGATGACCTGGTTCAGGAGAAGCTCAGAAATTTCTTCCTAGGTTCTATGACCTGGTTCAGTGGAAAAGGGTTGGAGAAGGTCAGAGATTTTCCTGCACAGGATGATTTTCAGATTTCTTCATTTTAAATATTCAATATGCCAAGGTGCCACATTTTGAGATAGCATGTCCTGAACAGCATCAATGTCTATTAAATTCATCATAATGATAACTACAATTAAGTATCTACTACAGAAGACACAGTAGGCTAAGCACTTTAAATATACTTTAATCCACACAATACAGAACATTTCGTATTAAACCAATTGTAGAGACGTACAGAGCAAGTTGTGGAAGTGATAAAACAACACTTTATCCCAGTTAAATAGAAGGCATTAAAGCAGGGATTGTAACCAACACTCTCTGACTCCAAATCCCAAGTTCTTTTCACATTATGCTGCTTCTCACAATTACTTATTCCACAAATATTTATGGCTTCTCTAGTGCGAATCAGACATTGTGTTAGGTGCCAGGTACTACGCTACGTGCTAAAATCTTGATATGGTCTGGCTCTGTGTCCCCACTCAAATCTCATCTTGAATTGTAATCTGAATTGTAATCCCCATGTGTAGGGAAAGGGATGTCTTGGGAGGTAATTAGATCATGGAGGCAGTTCCCCCATGCTGTTCTCATAATAGTGGGTGAGTTCTCATGAGATCTGATTGTTTCATAAGGGGTTTTTCTCCACTTCACTCTGCACTTCTCACTCCTGCCAACTTGTGAAGAAGGATGTGTTTGCTTTTTCTTCCACCATGATTGGAAGTTTCCTGAGGTCTCCCCAGTCATGTGGAACTGTGAGTCAATTAAAACTCTTTTCGTTATGAATTATGCATTCTCAGTATTTCTTCATAGCAGTGTGAGAACAGACTAATATAAAGCTGAAGAGGCGGAATGTATGCAAAATAGTATACACTTTATCATGAGACAAATTTGAATTTAAATCCAGATCTGCTCTTTGGCCACTCACTATATGACCATAGGCTGATTATGTACTTCTTGCAGTCTTGGTTTCTCCTCTATAAAATGGAAATGGCAGCAGGATCTTTTTCATTTGTTGCTATAAAGATTATTTTTATGAGCATCAAGTACCTAGCACAGTGCCAGGCACATAGTATACAGACACAAAGCAATATCTGTTATTATTGGTACTTCATAGAATTTTTCTGAAGATTAAATGAGTTAACATCAATTTCTTAGCACATCAAATATATTAGTTTTAACCTTTACCACGTACTAGAGAAAGACATAGTGCATACCTCTTGGGCCAAATAATTCTGGTTTTCTGTGATGTTGAAACCCACAGATAATTAACAGGAAATTATAGACGTAGCCTAATGAAAACATAGTTATTATTGACTAAACTGCTTATGAATCCAGTCTGGGTTTTGTGGGTTATATGGCAATAAATAAGCAAAATCGTCACCAGCAAGAGGTCCTTCTGCTCAAGAAAAAAATAGTTCTTGCTTTTTTGTCTAATATGTCAAAACCAGAAAGACCAAGTTTACTATCTTTGGATTTTGTAAATGATAAATATTTATTGAATGGATGTATGATTCTTCCTTCAAGATCTTTCTCCCTCTCTCTCTTTTTCTGTGTGTGTGTGTGTGTGTGTGTGTGTGTGTGTGTGACCAAATTAGTCTAACTCAAGAGGAAAACACATATAAGAGAAAGAGCAGATAAGGAAAAAGAATTGTGAAGATACCAAAATATGCTATCCCAAAATATGCCTCTTTGGCATCTGGAATATTTTGAGCTAAAGGCTATTGAAAAGCAGCAAACCTAGGAAAAGCTCCAAAAACAGGGCACAAGTTTTCTTTCTATAAAGAAAAGTCTTATTTGGAAAAGGTAGCTCTCTCTCCTGTACCAGAAACAGGAAGACTCTTAACAATTCTTATCAAAGGAGAAAGCACCAATGAAAATCTGCATAAAAATATTATTAAATGGCCCTTATTTAACATACTTTTTTAGTCACCTTTCCATAACTCGCCTCTTCCATATGAAGACCAAAACTCCTTTTCCTTTGTCTAGCCTAAGGTGGTATATAAGCCCAAGTTCTAACCACCCCTTGGGGTTTCTCCTCATTGAGTGCTCTCATGTGTATGTACAAGGCACATCTTACTAAACTTTGTTTGTTTTTCTCTTGTTAGTTTGTCTTTGGTCAGTCTAATTTTCAGAGTCCCAGCCAGAGAACCTAAGATGGATAAAGAAAAAAGATTGTTTTTCCTCCTTCAGAGTTGGATAGAAAAAAGCCACAGTTTGACCTTAGGAAAATTCTTGTCTCTTAACTTGTTGCAATCAGTAAAAGTTGTTTGGTTCTGGATGGTTGTGATCCCAAAGTAATGGAAAATCTCTGGCAAAGTGTTGGAAAAACAGAGTCTAAACCTGACTTTGCTGTATCTCTTCATTTCTGTGAGCCCCTTCTGTGAGAATAATAATAATGTCTAGCAAGTACTGAGCAATTACCATGTCAATCTCTTTATATCTATGTAATCATTTAATCCTGTAAACAATGAGATGGATACAGATGAGGGGCCATTGGTAGTGGGAATTTTTTTCAAACATTTTGTTTCAAAGCTAGTTTGCACTAGAATCTGGATTACAACCAAGAGATTCCAGCAGTAGAGTTTCATCCTCAACTGTAGGGGAGGAAATATTACTTCCTTCTGTGCTGCTGGGTTCTTTGGCTGGCCTAAAAATTAAATTGACATAAGACACATTAACAGGAGAAAAATAATTTTAATTATGTATGTATGCATACAAGTCCCACAAAAATATGGAACTCAAAGAAGCTGGATGATTCAGGCTTATATATTATCCTGAGCTATTGAAAGTAATAGGGGTTTGAGGGTAAGAGCGAGTAAGGAGGAAGGCCCAGTTAAGAAAGATGGTGAGTAAAAGCACCATAAAATAAACATAAAGTTTGTTATGCAAGTTTTTTTGTTTTTTTTTGTTTTTTTTTTTTGAGATGGAGTCTCGCTCTGTCGCCCAGGCTGGAGTGCAGTGGCGCGATCTCAGCTCACTGCAAGCTTCGCCTCCCAGGTTCACGCCATTCTCCTGCCTCAGCCTCCCGAGTAGCTGGGACTACAGATGCCTGCCACCACCCCCAGGTAATTTTTTTTGTTTTTTTAGTAGAGACGGGGTTTCACCGTGTTAGCCAGGATGGTCTCGATCTCCCGACCTTGTGATCTGCCCGCCTTGGCCTCCCAAAGTGCTGGGATTACAGGCATGAGCCACCATGCCTGGCCTGTTATGCAAGTTTTAAGTCCGTGATTGAGGGTCCATTCATTAAGTCTCTAGTGATTTAGTCATTTATTCCTGAAGCAGAGGCAGACACCCTTACAAAAGGATATTTCCTTTATAGATATAAATTTCTCTTACAGATGGGCAACGTCTCACAGATACTTCTGTATCTACAGTTTCTCAAAATAACCAACTCAAAATAATATGCAAAAGAGGTATATTTTTAGTTGGTGTGTCCTGAGTCTCAATACAACCAATACACTATGTGTAAAAATGAAAGAATCAGTCTAGGTGGGCTCAAGGACTCCCTTCCAACACCAGCATTCTTTGTGCTTATGTTGGGTATGAAAAAGATGACAACAAAATTGACTGCCTACAAGTATGGGAATTATTTTAGCTCACAAACATGACGCTTCACAAAAAACAAATTCTGTTTTTCAGATGTAACAAATAGGGATAGAATACTTAATTCTTAATAATAATTTTCATAGGATAACTTTTGTTTTACTTTCAAAGCAGAAATCAAACTCTTCTCCTAAGGGATATTCTTATCCTTCTAATAGAATTTTTATTGGTAAATGATTTCTCTTCCTACAGATCTTTTTCTTTATGTCAATATGATGTTTTTTTGTTATAGATTTAAAACATTGTGTTGTATTTTTTGTTTGTTCATTGTTTGTTAGCCCCTGGCAATATTTACAAGATTGAGAAAAAATACAGTCCCTAGCAGTGTGGCTTATCATCTCAAAGACAACACTAACACATGCATATTCCACACACAGACACACATACATACATCCTCCTCATAAATGACTCAATCCAGAGTTTCAGATGCTAAAGTCTAACAGTTGCCACCATTGACATTTTCAGCCAGGGAGGGGAGAGGGTGTCATTCTCTCTTTATTCATTTTCGCTTTTATTATGTAACTGTATAATGTGAGTGAAACCTGTATTTTAAAAGGAAAGAAAGGGGTAGCCTATTCACGCTCTCTAGGTGTATGCAAACCACTTGAAACCAATTAGGTGTCAACAGAATTGTTAATTATCCTGGGGTCACCAACTTTTGTGAAGCCTTTCAGAGTAAAGGGGAGGTGTGGTTTAGCACACAGCAGGTTCAAACAACCCTCTAATTGACAAATTTTATACTCAGCAGTTGGGTTGGCTGGAGAGGTTAAATCACAGTTACTCTCCTTCACAGGAGAACATGGATAGACCATTATGTTTAATATTCATTCATTTATGAAACAAAGATTTATTGATTTGCTGGTTTTAACTTTAGAGTTTGGCTACCAGTGGTTAATAATAGGTCACTGCCCTATGAATATTTCTTTCTGAGAGATACTCTCACTTTGCAATTTACAAATAACTAATTCAGAGAAACCGATTGTAGGATACATCAGAAAACTCTAAGTCTAGAGACTTCTAGAGCATAGGCTGCTTTGTTTCCTAATTCTGAACCTGAAAAGTCAAGGTGCTGTACATTTACTTAGGCTAAAGAATTAACAGTCTTCATAAGCACAGCCCCACACCCATAAAACACCAGCTTTCTCCATCTACATTTTTAATTCCAAGATTCCCATTCCCCTTTGAAGAAGCCACCATCACTGTCAGGCCTCTGAGCCCAAGCCAAGCCATCACATCCCCTGTGACTTGCACGTATACGCCCAGATGGCATGAAGTAACTGAAGAATTACAAAAGAAGTGAATATGCCCTGCCCCACCTTAACTGATGACATTCCACCACAAAAGAAGTGAAAAAGGCCAGTCCTTGCCTTAACTGATGACATGACCTTGTGAAAGTCCTTTTCCTGGCTCATCCTGGCTCAAAAAGCTCCCCCACTGAGCACCTTGCGACCCCCACTCCTGCCCGCCAGAGAACAAACCCCCTTTGACTGTAATTTTCCTTTACCTACCCAAATCCTATAAAACGGCCCCACCCTTATCTCCCTTCGCTGACTCTCTTTTCGGACTCAGCCCGCCTGCACCCAGGTGAAATAAACAGCCATGTTGCTCACACAAAGCCTGTTTGGTGGTCTCGTCACACGGACGTGCATGAAATTTGGTGCCGTGACTCGGATCGGGGGACCTCCCTTGGGAGATCAATCCCCTGTCCTCCTGTTCTATGCTCCATGAGAAAGATCCACCTACGACCTCAGGTCCTCAGACCGACCAGCCCTAGGAACATCTCACCAATTTTAAATCAGGTAAGCGGCCTCTTCTTACTCTCTTCTCCAACCTCTCTCACTGTCCCTCAACCACTTTCTCCTTTCCACTCTTCAATCTCTCCCTTCTCTTAATTTCAAATCCTTTCATTTTCTGGGAGAGACAAAGGAGACACGTTTTATCCGTGGACCCAAAACTCTGGTGCCAGTCACGGACTGGGAAGGCAGCCTTCCCTTGGTGTTTAATCATTGCAGGGACGCCTCTCTGATTATTCACCCATGGTTCAAAGGTGTCAGACCACGCAGGGATGCCTGCCTTGGTCCTTCACCCTTAGCGGCAAGTCCCGCTTTTCTGGGAAAGGGGCAAGTACCCCAACCCCTTCTCTCCTTGTCTCTACCCCTTCTCTGCTTTTCTGGGGGAGGGGCAAGTACCCCTCAACCCCTTCTCCTTCACTCTTAGCTGCAAGTCCTGCTTTTCTAGAGGAGGGGCAAGTACCCCTACCTTGTATCTCTGCACCCCAATCCCTTATTTCCACACCCCAACCTCATATCTCTGTGCCCCAATCCCTTATTTCCATGCCCTGACCCCTTATTTCTGTGCTCCTACCCCTTATTTCCATGACGCAACCCCTTATTTCTGCACCCCGACCCCTTATTTCTGTTCCCCATCCCTTATTTCCATGCCCTGACCTCTTATTTCTGTGACCAATCCCGTATTTCCATGCCCCAACCTCTTATATCTCTGTGCCCCAATCCCTTATTTCCACACCCCGACCTCTTATTTCTGTGCCCCATCCCTTATTTCCGTGCCCTGACCTCTTTGTGCCCCAAACCCTTTTCCCACTTTTCTGGAAGGTAAGAACCCCCAAACCCCTTCCCTCCTTTCTCTACTCTCTCTTTTCTCTAGGCTTGCTTCCTTCACTATAGGCAAACTTGCACCCTCCATTCCTCCTTCTACTCCCTTGGCCTGTGTTCTCAAAAACTTAAAGCCTCTTCAACTCACACCTGACCTAAAACCTAACTGCCTTATTTTCTTCTGCAATGCTGCTTGACCCCAATACAAACTTGACAGTAGTTCCAAATAGCCAGAAAATGGCACTTTGAATTTTTCCATCCTGCAAGATCTAAATAATTCTTGTCATAAAATAGGCAAATGGTCTGAGGTGCCTGATGTCCAGGCATTCTTTTACACATCAGTCCCTTCCTAGTCTCTGTGCCCAGTGCAACTCGTCCCAAATCTTCCTTCTTTCCCTCCCGCCTGTCTCCTCAGTACCAACCCCAAGCATCGCTGAGTCTTTCTAATCTTCCTTTTCTGCAGACCCATCTGACCTCTCCCTTACTCCCCAGGCTGCTCCTCGCCAGGCCAAGCTAGGTCCCAATTCTTCCTCAGCCTCTGCTCCTCCACCCTATAATCTTTTTATCACCTCCCCTCCTCACACCTGGTCCGGCTTACAGTTTTGTTCCATGACTAGCCCTCCCCCTCCTGCCCAGCAATTTACTCTTAAAAAGGTGGCTGGAGCTAAAGGCATAGTCAAGGTTAATGCTCCTTTTTCTTTATCCCAAATCAGACAGCGTTTAGGCTCTTTTTCATCAAATATAAAAATCCAGCCCAGTTCATGACTTGTTTGGCAGCAACCCTGAGACACTTTACAGCCCTAGACCCAAAATTGGAATCTGGCCCTCAAACCCCACAACAGGACTTAATTAACCTCACCTTCAAGGTGTACAATAACAGAAAAAAGTTGCAATTCCTTGCCTCCACTGCGAGACAAACCCCAGCCACATCTCCAGCACACAAGAACTTCCAAACGCCTGAACCGCAGCGGCCAGGCATTCCTCCAGAACTTCCTCCCCCAGGAGCTTGCTACACGTGCCGGAAATCTGGCCACTGGGCCAAGGAATGCCCTGCAGCCCGGGATTCCTCCTAAGCTGCGTCCCATCTGTGTGGGACCCCACTGAAATCGGACTGTTCAACTCACCTGGCAGCCACTCCCAGAGCCCCTGGAACTCTGGCCCAAGGCTCTCTGACTGACTCCTTCCCAGATCTTCTCGGCTTAGCGGCTGAAGACTGACACTGCCCGATCGCCTCGGAAGCCCCCTAGACCATCACAGATGCTGAGCTTCAGGTAACTCTCACAGTGGAAGGTAAGCCCGTCCCCTTCTTAATCAATACGGAGGCTACCCACTCCACATTACCTTCTTTTCAAGGGCCTATTTCCCTTGCCTCCATAACTGTTGTGGGTATTGACGGCCAGGCTTCTAAACCTCTTAAAACTCCCCAACTCTGGTGCCAACTTAGACAATACTTCTTTAAGCACTCCTTTTAGTTATCCCCACCTGCCCAGTTCCCTTATTAGGCTGAGACACTTTAACTAAATTATCTGCTTCCCTGAGTATTCCTGGACTACAGCTATATCTCATTGCCACCTTTCTTCCCAATCCAAAGCCTCCTTTGCGTCCTCCTCTTGTATCTCCCCACCTTAACTCACAAGTATAAGATACCTCTACTCCCTCCTTGGCGACCAATCACACACCCCTTACCATCTCATTAAAACCTAATCACCCTTACCCCACTCAATGCCAATATCCCATCCTGCAGCATGCTTTAAAAAGATTAAAGCCTGTTATCACTCACCTGCTACAGCATGGCCTTTTAAAGCCTATAAACTCTCCTTACAATTCCCCCATTTACCTGTCCTAAAACCAGACAAGCCTTACAAGTTAGTTCAGGATCTGCACCTTATCAACCAAATCGTTTTGCCTATCCACCCTGTGGTGCCCAACCCGTACACTCTTTTGTCCTCAATACCTTTCTCCACAACTCACTATTCCGTTCTCGATCTTAAAGATGCTTTCTTCACTATTCCCCTGCACCCCTCGTCCCAGCCTCTCTTTGCTTTCACTTAGACTGACCCTGACACCCATTAGGCTCAGCAAATTACCTAGGCTGTACTGCCGCAAGGCTTCATAGACAGCCCCCATTACTTCAGTCAAGCCCAAATTTCATCCTCATCTGTTACCTATCTCGGCATAATTCTCATAAAAACATACTTGCTTTCCCTGCTGATCATGTCCGATTAATCTCCCAAACCTCAATCCCTTACAAAACAACAACTTTCCTTCCTAGGCATAGTTAGTGTGGTCAGAATTCTTACACAAGAGCCAGGACTGCACCCTGTAGTCTTTCTGTGCAAACAACTTGACCTTACTGTTTTAGCCTAGCCCTCACGTCTGCGTGCAGTGGCTGCCACTGCTTTAATACTTTTAGAGGCCCTCAAAATCACAAACTCACTCTCTACAGTTCTCATAACTTCCAAAATCTATTTTCTTCCTCATACCTGACGCATACACTTTCTGCTCCCCGGCTCCTTCAGCTGTACTCACTCTTTGCTGAGTCTCCCACAATTACCATTGTTCCTGGCCCGGACTTCAATCCGGCCTCCCACATTATTCCTGATACCACACCTGACCCCCATGACTGTATCTCTCTGATCCACCTGACATTCATCTCATTTCCCCAAATCTCCTTCTTTCCTGTTCCTCACCCTGATCACACTTGATTTATTGATGGCGGTTTCCAATTTTAATTTTTAAGAGAGTGAATATTGATTAATATAATCTATATATATGTAAGCTCTATAGGGTTGTAGAGGAGGAAATATACAGTTCTGACTTTCTGTCACAGTCACCAGAGCTGTAGCGGAGAAAGTTTTCTCTCTTCCCTCTCTGAGTTCTTATCTGAACTGCCTGTAACAAAAGACAGATGAACAAAAGAAAAACAAACAGAAATGTATTAACATGCATACCTCCTGTATATACATAGGAGATACCCAAAGAAATGAGTAAATCTCCAAAAGGTGGTTTAGACTTCAGGCTTAAATACTATCTTCAGCTGGAACAGAAAGAGGAAACCAGTAATGGGGAGATGACCTAGAAAAGCACAGTTTAAAAAAAGTGAAGTTTGTTATGCAGATTTAAGTCAGCGCCTTAGCCATTAACAAAATTTTCTTGTGATTTACAACCATCTTTCTCTTTAGGAGATACTCTTACAAATGGATACTTCCTTCATAGATTTAGATTTCCTTATAAAAAAAATTCTACTCCGTTTTCAGAGCTTTTCCTTTGTCTGAAGTTTCTCAAAATAATCAACTTTAATTCTTAAGCCAAAAGAGGCATATTTTAATGTGGCGTACTCTGGTCTCCTACAGTCATATTTTGAGGTAGCATATTCTGTTCTCCTATAGTCTGCTAAATATTTTTTTTAAGAGTGTAAAGAGATCAGGAGGCAAAGAAGTTTGAAAACTGCCTAGCTAAAATATTATATAAAATGGGGCTTTTTTTTTTTTTTTTTTTTTTTTGAGACAGTCTTGCTCTGTCGCCCAGGCTGAAGTGCAGTGGCACGATCTCGGCTCACTGTGCAAGCTCCGCCTCCCAGGTTTCAAGCGATTCTCCTCCCTCAGCCTCATGAGTAGCTGGGATTACAGGCACGCACCACCACGCCTGGCTAATTTTTGTATTTTTTTTAGTAGAGACGGTGTTTCACCATGTTGGTCAGGCTGCACTCGAACTCCTGACCTTGTGATCCTCCCACCTTGGCCTCCCAAAGTGCTGAGATTACAGGCATGAGCCACTGCACTTGGCCACAAAGGGCTTTTTAAATGTGAAGTATCATATTCATAAAAACTGTTAAAATAAAAACTGAACTAGAATTAAGTCATTGGTAAATAGACTTGTATAATTAGCTGTTCCCTACTTTGTGTTCCAACCTATTTCACTACACATGTTTGTAATAAAACCTGTTCTTACATAGGATTAAGAAGACGGGTCTGGCTTGGCACAGCAGCTCACACCTGTAATCCCAGCACTTTGGGAGGCTAAGGCAGGTGGATCACCTGGCCTGGCCAACATGGCGAAACCCCATCTCTGCTAAAAATACAAAAATTAGCTGGGCGTGGTGGTGGGTGCCTGTAATCTCAGCTACTCAGGAGGCTGAGGCAGAAGAATTGCTTTAACCTGGGAAGCGGAGGTGGCAGTGAGCCGAGATTACACCAATGCACTCCAGCCTGAATGACAAGAGCAAGACTCTGTCTCAAAAAGAAAAAAAAAAAAAAAAAACAGGGGTCTGATGGCCTATTTACATGCATTTAAGAAATAATGAAACAACATTAAATTATGGCAGAGGAGTGTAAATGAAATTCATGTCTACATAATCAACCCAAAGCTACCATATTATTAAGGATGTGAAGAGTACTGGTATTCTGACACTTTTTTTTCCCAAGGGAAATACCATATTAGTGGCATATCAGTCCCTGTCAGACACTTAAAGAAGTTAAGGGTTGAGGTATGGGGGTACTCATTCTCTTCCCCTCTTGCTCTGGGAGCTGGGGGACATTGGTTTAGGAAACTAAGTATTCCTACCTGTACTTTTGAATCCTAAGACAGTAAAGCAAAGGCAGAGAGACAAACAGAAAATTCACAGCAGTCGTGGCAGGGTTGAAAATGTTGTGGGCTAGTAAGCATCTGCCCTACAGTAGTGGCAGCAGCTGTGGTGGCAAATGAGAGTCCACTGTTGGTGGTTCTAGTGTCAAAGACATGATCTTGCCTCTGTTTTCATCAGTCTAGTCTCTGTTGGTTCAAGTCCAAATTCTGAGTCTGATTCTGGAGCCTTCCCATGATACTGCAATTACCTTATCCTTCCAGTTAAATTATCTGCTTATTTCACCAGAATTGGGAATTTCGTTGTTTGCTACCCAGAACCCAACAAATACTGGCTGCTGAATTAGACAGATTTGGGCATTCAGTTCCAGTTTCACTATGTTCAAGCTATGTGAACTTAGCCAAATTGTTTCACCTCCTAAAAATGTAAAAATAATAATAATTGTCTCTTTAGTTTTGGTTTATTGATCTGTATATTAAAGTTATTGTTATGAAGATCAAATGAGATAATGCATATAAAAACAGTACAGCATCTGCTTGGAATACATTTGAAATATAATCAGAGAAAAGTACATTTCACAAATAAAATTACTCTAAGATTAATATGAGTGAATATAGACAAGACTTTACTCTTACATTTTTTCAATATTTTTTTTTCCTGAGAAACATGTAGAGTTTAACAAAAAATAACCATTAACTTTTCTATCATATTCCTCTAATCCATTTCTGTTGCTGTATCAAATCATCATTCCTTCTTTCTACTTAGAGCTCATTCAATACTGTTTTTTAAAGTAGTGATATTGGTATTTTGGATGGGACAAGTGTTTATTGTACACGGCTGCCCCAAGCATAGCATAATCATCACTGATTATTGCCCATTGATATGGTTTGAATATATGTCTCCACTAAATATCATGCTGAATTGTAATCCCCAATGTTGGAAGTGGGGCCTGGGGGGAGGTAGGGATCATGGGTAGGGATCCCTCTTGGTGTGGTGCTATCCTTGCAATAGTGATTTCTTGTGAGATCTGGTTAATGCAAAGTGTGGCACCTCCCCCCGCCCAACCACCACTCTCTCTTGCTCCTGCTCCCTCCATCTGAGATACCTGCTCCCCCTTTGTCTTACGTCATTATTGAAATCCTCTTGAGGCCTCCCCAGAAGCCGATGCCAGCACTATGCTTCCTGTACAACTTGTGGAATTGTGAGCCAATTAAACCTCTTATAAATTACTCAGTCTCAGGTATTTATTTACAGCAATGCAGGAATGTCCTAACAGGCCCACGTACGAGCCAAGGAAAAGTTTATCTCCATCCTCTAGAAGTTCACTGAAAATGAACTAACAAAAAGTGGATTATAGGAGAAAAAGGCATAGGAAATTTATTTTAATATGCATATGGATATGAGAGCTATACACAAAGTGAGAGACTCAATGAGGTGTCAAATGATTGAGGCTTAAATATTCTTTTCATAGGGGAGAAATGTATGGACCCAGAAAGCAGACATTATTTTGAAAATGATTCTCTATGGAAGTTAGATGGGAAGGTTATGGGAAGGTGAGAGGCAGAACTGCACAGGAACAAAAATTGTCTTATTATGGAGAAAAAGTCCTCCAGGTAATCTCTGGGAGCTTCCTCACAAGAATAAATACAAAGTCTGTTTGGGTGTGGTGATGACTTCTAGTCTCATCTCTTCTGTGGTGGTTAATCTTTCCTGGTTAATTGATGATGTTCCTCTTTTATTTCTATAAAAAAATACATGAGGCTGGGCACAGCGGCTCACGCCTATAATCCCAGCACTTTGGGAGGCCTAGGTGGGTGGATACCTGAGGTCAGGAGTTTGAGACCAGCCTGGCCAACATGGTGAAACCCTGTATCTACTAAAAATATAAAAAATTAGCCAGGCTTGGTGGTGGGTGCCTGTAATACCAGCTACTCTGGAGGCGGAAGCAGGAGAGTCACTTGAACCTGGGAGGTGGAGGTTGCAGTGAGCCGAGGTCACGACACTGCACTCCAGCCTGGGTGATGAGAGTGAAACTCTGTCTCAAAGAAAGAAAAAAAAGAAAATAATACACCTGAGACTTTGTGATTTATAAAGGAAAAAGGTAATTGGCTTATGGTTCTGCAGGCTTACAAGCCGCGGCTTCTGGGGAGGCGTCAGGGAGCTTTTACTCATGACCGAAGGCAAAGTGGGAGCAGACACATTACATAACCAGAGCAGGAACGACAGAGAGTGTGGCAGAGGAGCCACATACTTTAAACATCCAGAATTGGAGAGAACTCACTCACAGCCCACTACCACAAGGCTACCACCAAGCCATCTGAGATCCACCTCCCGACTCAAACACCTCCCAGTAGGCCCCACCTCCCACACTGGGAATTACATCTCAGCATGAGATTTAGCAGGAATATGTATCCCAACTATATCAGAGGGAGTCTTAGGACAATTGCATTTCCTTTAGGTATCTGTTCTAGGTAAGAAGCCTCATGTACAGAAAGAACTTAGACTTTGGATTCATCTAGGGATAGACCGCAGACCATAGACAAGTTATTCATTCTCTCTGGGCTTCAGTTTTCTCATCTGTTAAACTGGAATAAGAATTATATCAACTGGATGAGATTGATGTGGGATTACGTGAGGTAATATGTGTAAAGCACTTCAAATAATGCTAGACACAGAGTATGATCTCAGCATGTTAGTTGCTACCAAGCCATCACACTAATATTTTTAATTATCTATGAACTGGGACTGAAATTAGCACCACGTCATCAGATTTTAAAAAGTAAATGAGATAAAATATGTAAAATGTGTACTTTTTCATAGTAAATTCTCAGGGGATGTCAGCTGTTATATTATTGTTCTTAAAACTTTGGTTTACTTCCTATAATATGAAGTCAAGAAGATGGATGCTGTGGTTTCCTCTATGTAACAGGGCAAGTCTTTCTTCCCTGTAATATAACAAATGGAGCTTTATCAACTACCCTGGCTTTTGGCAAAAAGTAAATTTTCAAACTGAATGTGCTTTAGAATAATTTTCAGACAGTTATAAATGTAACTCTCACACAAAGATAAAATGAATATATGTCAAAAATTTCATTAAACTCATTAATGAAGGAACCAGTAGGATGTTAAAACAAGTTCAATATAGAGTTTATAGAGCAAAGCTAAAGCCAAGAATGTTGAAATGCATTTTCTAAGAGATGCAAAACTGGTTAATATCCTATAGGACCATATAATGTAATAATTGCTGTTATCTTTTCTACAGAGCAAAAATTAATTGTATATCATCCAGACAAAATTTACTTACATTGATACAGACAAGAATCACTTTTATTACTGTCAGTTTTCTATAATTTAACTTGTATTCCTGTAAGTGCTAACCCATAAAAAGCCAGTTAAAGGTACATGGCCCTATGGAATCAGATCATCTCTGAAAGTTTGCATGACAAGACTCAGCATTTTATCAAAAGGACACCTAATAATATTTTTTGCCCATTTCCCATCTTGAACATTTATTTTCAAACAAGTGCTGCTTCTGAATACTGCCCTTTCAAGGAGAAGTTATTTATTCTATGACAATTTTACAATACATATTAGACAGTCCCCTCCTATCTATACCACTGTGTGTATATGTTTATAGACTTTTTAAAACATTGTTTGCCAACTTATTTTTCCAGTTGTATTTATTTATTGGTATATAAAAAGACTACACATAATTAATGCATACAATTTGGTGAGTTTGACCCACCTGTGTGTTACCATCACCAAAATTCAGGTAATAATTAAATGTTCTTCTCATTATAATCAATGAAACTCATTAACACATTGTTATCACCCAAAGTACATAGTTTAAATTAGGCTCACTCTTTATGTTGTACATTCTATAAGTTCTGGCAAATGTATAATAACATATATCCACTATTGTAGTATCATGTAAAGTGGTTTTACTTTCCTAAAAATCCTCTGTGCTCTATTCATCCTTCTCTCCCTCCAACCCCTGGCAACCACTGATGTTTTTACTGTTTCCATAGGTTCGCCTTCTCCAAAATGTCTTATATTTGGAATCATACAGTATGTAATATTTTCGTATAAGCTTATTTCACTAGTAACATGCATTTAAGTTTTCTCCATGTCTTGTTATGGCTTCACAGCTCATTTCTTTTTAGCACGGAATAATACTCCATTGTCTGAATGTACCACAGTTTGTTTATTGATTTGTCTACTGATGGTCATCTTGGTTGTTTCCAAGTTTTGACAATTATAAATAAAATTGCTGTAAACATTTGTGTCCAGGTTTTTGTGTGGCCACAGATTTTCAATTCCTTTGGGTAAATATTAAGAAGTGTGATTACCTTGTCATATGGTAAAAGTATGTTTAGTTTTATTAGAAACTGCAAAACCATCTCCCAAAGTGGCTGCACCATTGTACATCCCTACTAGCAATGAATGAGAGTTCCTGTTGCTCCACACCATCTCCAGCAGTTAATGTTGTAAGTGTTTTGGAATCTGATCATTCAAATAGGTATGTAATGATATCTCATTGTTGTTTTAATTTGTAATTTCCTAGGGACACATGATGTGGCGCATATTTTTATATGCTTATTTTCCATCTACCTATTTTCTGTTCATGTATTTTGTCAGTTCCTTTAATCACATTGTTGATTTTCTTTCATTAAGATTTAAGAGTTCTTCGTATATTTTGAATAACAGTCCTTTTTCAGATGAATATTTCATAAAGATTTTCTCCCAGTCATTACCTTTTCTTCTTTTATTCTTGACCATATCTTTTGCAGAACAGAAGTCATTAATTTTAACATCATCAAGCTGATCAGTTATTTCTTTCATGGAACATGCCTTTGGTGCTTTATCTAAAAATTATCATCATACACAAGGACATCTAGATTTTCTCCTATAAGTTTTATAGCTTTATATTTCATATTTAGGTCTATGATCCATATTGAGTTAATTTGTGTGAAGGTTGTAAAGTCGGTGTGTAGATTCATTTCTTTGCATGTGAATGTTCAGCTGTTTCAGCAGAATTTATTAAAAGGACAATCTTTGCTCCATTGAATTGCCTTTGCTCCTTTTTCAAAGATCAGTTGACTATATTTATGTGGGTCTATTTCTGGGCTCTCTGTTCTGTTCTATTTATCCTGCTTAGAGTTCTCTGAGCTTCCTGGATGTGCAGTTTGGTATCTGACTTAATTTGGAGTAAATTCTCAGTTATTATTGCTTCAAATATTTCTTCTGTTCCTTTTTCTCTTTCTTCTTATTCTGGTATTCCCATAAGGCATAAGTTATACCTTTTATAGTTGCCCCACAGGTCTTGGATAGTCTGTTCTGGCTTTTTTGTTCTGTTTTGTCTTGTTTTCTTGGCTTTTTTCCCTTTGACCTTCCATTTTGGAAGCTTCTATTGACATATCCTCAAGCCCAGAGATTCTTTTCCTCAGCCATGTCTAGTCTACTAATGAGTCCATCAAAAGCATTCTTCACATCTGTTACAGTGTTTTGATCTCTAGCATTTCTATTTTTTTTCTTAGAATTTCCATTACCCATCTGTCTTTGCAGGTTGTGTATTTTATCCATTAATGCTCTTAGCATAATACTCATAGTTGTTTTATATTCTCCATCTGATAATGCCAACATCCCTGCTACATCCACGCCTGGTTCTAATGCTTGCTCTGTTCTTCAAACTGTTTTTTTTTCTTTTTTGCTCTTTAATCTTTTTTTAATAGCCAGACATGGCATACTGGGTAAGAGGATCTGTTGTAAATTGGTCTTTGGCCATGTAGTGGTAAGGTGGGGGAAGTGGAAGAATTTTTTCGTCCTATGATTAGGTCTCAGTCTTTTAGTGAGCCTGTGCCACTGAACTGTGAACTGCACAAGTATTTCTCTCACTTTAGCGGGGATAGGATGACTAAAGGACACTGAGGCTGAGTATGTTCCTTCAACCAGGTAGGTTAGAGTTTGGTAAAACCCAGCAGGTTAGGCTCTGTAAAATATATTCTCCCAAGGATAAGTCTTATTAAGAAAAACAGAATGCCCTGGCATATGTCAAAATGATTCCTTTTCCCCATCCCTTGCCAGAAGCACAAAGGAATTTTTCTCCAATATTCACTATGAGAACCTGGTTGAGCTCCTGGAGGTAAAACTCACCAAAATGTGCCCCTCCCACAATGCCCTGGAGTTTTCAACTCTCATCCTTGTCCATACTGAGCCTCCAGGATTTGTCAATTACGGTTTTAAGGTTTCCCTAGTAAATACTAGTTCTGGAGAAGTTTGCTCCTGGGTTTCTCCCTGTCGGTCATTCCAATTTTGGGGGTAGTGGTTTGTCCTGTAATCCCATTCTCTAACAAATCTATGAAGGGTTGCTGACTTTTCAGTTTCTCAGCTTTTTACTTACTGTAAGGACAGAGTGAAAACTTCCAAACTCCTCAGATGCCAGACAGAAAATCCTTCTACTGTTTTTACTGTGATTTTACCTACAGATTTGACGTCATACATTCCCACTTGTGTGTAGCCCACACATTTTCTCCAAATTAACCTAGAATTGCCATTGCCACTTCCAGAATTTGACCAAAAAAATTATCTAAATATGCTTTCTGGTTATAGTAATTGTCATGGGAATACTATGACTAAGAGAAAAACGCTACAAATATGGGATTCATTTTGTTCACAGAGAGTTATCAATGTGAGGGAAAAGAGCAATGTATTTAAAAGCTGTCTCTTCTTGTTCACAGGTACTAAATACTGTCCATCTCTTTAAACATTTTACCTCTCTACGGGCCCCATGGTAAAGTGAATTCTACTCTTAACTATTTGGAAAGCAGTTTGTTAAGCAGAGAAACACTGAGCTGTGAATTAAAACTTCTAATGTGACACTGGAGGCACATAGAATTTTATCCAGATATTATAGAATATTAATGTATTTAAATTTTATTAAGCAAGTCAATGGGAGTAATTTCATGGTGATAAGATATCTAATTTCATTGCCTTCAGTGGCCCAGCTTTGTCTCATGTTTTTGTCCATTTTTTGCAGGCTTATAGCTAAACTGCTCTACACATAGACATCATCTTCTCTATTTTAAAATATTCGGACACCTGCAATAACACATAGTCATAAAGCTCTTTTATATTGAGTTATTCATCCTTCAGCTTGTTTTCATTATAGGTCTATTGGAAGATTTCCACCCTCAGTCTTACTCTCTTAGCAGTTAATTAAAATATTCTTGCTACTGAAATGTACTATATAGTTCCTATAAATTAGGGGATGTCAACTATTGTAGTTTTCTTAGAGTAGCTAGGATTCTTCCTTTTTTAAAAATTCCCACTATTTCATACTTGCAGCAATTTAGAAAAATTGCCAATGCATCAATTAATGCCAATTGTCTAAAGGCTTCTATAATTTGAGCTTAAAATGCTAGCTCCAACCATAGAGCTTTGTATTTCCATGAACTGAGACTTAAAATACTGGGTTCAATGTTCATTTACCTAATGTTCCCCGGTAATAAAGACATCTATTAAGGACATCTGTTGCAATTTGGTAACCTCTAATTTTAATGGAAAATAATAGAGTTCATGTCTGTAAGATTAGAGGTTATGGACTAGGTCTTTACACTGGTTTGGCGTCCTGGATATAATGTTCTGCCAGCCAACCTAATACATTCGCAAAAGGCCCAAAGTCTTGGTTCTGCAGGCCAATAAAAAGAAATAAAGAAAGAAAAACTTTTCTATCTTGTCATTTTGATCATTGCCTTGTTGAAAATCTGTCACCACCTGCTAGAAAATAATACTTTGTTTCTCTTTTTAAAAAGCACATGAAGAGACAAGAAACCAGTGAATAATTACACAGTAAAATGTACTTTGCCAACTAAAAACAAGAGGGTGGGAAAAGGCAGAAGAGAGAAGAGAAGTAGAGAAAAGGGTAGGGATGAAAATCTCTGAAACTCTGTATAGTCCCCCAAACCCCCCATAGAGTTCATGGCCTTTCACTGATACTTAGGTTTTCGACATTTTTCTCTTTGTAGGGGATGGGGATTCGGGGGTGAGAGAGAGACAAAACCTTTGCCTCTTGAACTGACAACCTACAGATAGTAAAAAGAATGCATCTGAGAAAACAATTATATCTGCCAACTTCAGCCACTGTAACAATGAAATCGTGACTGTTTTTAAATTCAAGCCAAACTTTAGCATTCCTTTTGAATCCAAGTCCTTAATGGCATTTATGACTCTCATGGGTATTTATTTTAGCTGAATATCTTGCATTTGCTATGCCAAGAGCAATCCCAAGTAAAAAGGATTCCTGTCACTTTATTCAGGCTTCAACAAAAAGCACCCAAGCCAGTAAATCACTAAATGGGACTACCAACTTCCTATGACATGCATGAATAATGCCTTAGCAGTCAGCTCACCGGAAAAATTAGAATGGGAGTGAAAAAAATCCTGTAAAAGTATGCCTTCACAAGCTGAGCCCAGAACTCTATCAAAATCAATTTCTTCCATTTGACATCTGAGTATGTTGAAATGTTCTAACAGGAAGCAACAGAATCAAATTTCTTTTCAACTTGCGTTCTGCATAAAGGAAGAATTATGATAACCAAGCTCTCACCAGGCTTTAGGTATTACTCAAAGTCCAATGTTAACTTGAGGCCACCTTGAGGCAGGAAAAACAAAGATGAAGGCAAAAATTTGGTGTTGGACACCTAGATTGACAAAAATCGAGCAAGTCAAGTTTCACACAACTATGTTTTTTCTTCAGTGACAGAAAGTTGGAAATGTCCTTGATCCAGTTTTACATTGGAGTATCAAAGGAAAAGGTTAATTGTGTAAGACAGTAACAAGATTATGGAATGGGTGTAGAAAGTTAAATATCTTTTACTATGATCAGTCCTCTATATAACAGTCCATACAACCTCCTTCATCGAAACCATGAGGCCCCTTGTAACTGAAACTATGTGCTTAACATCTTTGTTAAAGGAAACAGAAAGTCATTGAGATGCATTCAAATGTGTTCCTTTTGCTTTTTAGTCAGACTGTGCTTGCAGTTACCTTTGCTTTCTAAATATAATAAACCCAGAGTTAAGTCATTAAGTGTTGTCACCGAATGTATAAATGGCCACCTTACACATTTCTAAATGAATATCTCATTTTACATGTTGTTTTCTTCAAAAAAATTTTTTATCTTAAATTGATTACCCATTACCAAAATGACAAAGAAATTTTTAAATCCTAGGAAAGAAACAAGTTTTTAATGGCATAGCTAATGAAACACATTTCTGTTGTATTTTCTAGTATATTAATTTATTTCAAAGTATTTCTAAATGTACCAAAATTCACATATGTTTTGCTGAGTTTATTTCAAAATGATTTAGTAGTAATAAAAAGTAGAGTTTTTATATTATACTAATTAACATTCTTATCTTGAAAGGTCTGACCTATCATTTTGTATTAGTAATAATACAGAATTTTTCAATAAAAAATAAATAAGAGAGCTAAGGCATCATTTTTTGCAGGCTCATGTGGCTCTTTTGGTGATTTATAGACTAATCAATCATTAATAGAATTAAAGGCCATTTATACTAAATAAATTGCTTATCGCTGCAGCAAATTGTGTTTTGAGATTTACTGGTAAAGACTATAAATTGCCAGTCATGTTATTAGACATATAAATCACACCGTTACTGAAAATTGATTATCTGACTCCAATTTTTCTGAACATATTGTTACTCTTGCTTATTATTTTTCTTACCTAGGTCAGAGAAGTTCAACGCTACAGTGAATGAAGAAATGTGCAATTCTAGTATCTAAGGCTAATACTCTAATGTTTTTTGTTGTTGTTTTCTTGTTTTGTTTTGATTTCAATATTCTTTGAGATGAAGAAAATAAGATTTTTGCTTTTACATAATATTGTAGTATTGTTTTTGTTTTTTCTATTCACTGTCTGCTATGGTTTGAATATTTGTGCCTCCCCCAAACTCAT
This sequence comes from Homo sapiens, assembly GCF_000001405.40. NCBI lineage: Eukaryota > Metazoa > Chordata > Mammalia > Primates > Hominidae > Homo > Homo sapiens. The sequence goes on from NC_000003.12 coordinate 78,339,624, forward strand.
ATATTGAAATCCTAACCTCCCAATGTGATGGTATTAGGAGGCGGGTCCTTGGGAGATGATTAGCTTAGGAGAACAAGGCACTCTCTAATAGGTTTAGTGCCTTAAAAAAGAAAAGTGCTCTCTTCTACCATGAGAGATTATGGTGAAAAAACCATCAGAAAGAAGGCCCTCCCCAGAACTCGACTGTGCTGGCAGCCTAATCTTGGCTTTCCAACACTGAGAACTGTATGAAATAAATTTCTATTGTTCATAAGCCATCCAGTCTATTGTATTTTATGATACTAGCCCAAATAGACTAAGATACTACCCAAGTCTAACTATCCCAGTCTAACTATATAAAAACTAATATATTTTTAAAAAATCATTGCAAAATATCTCTTGAATTTTATGATGGAACAGTGTTATAACAAATCCATAATGAACACAGCTTCGTCCTCCTCCTTTGGCATTTTGCTAAGATCCCAAATATATAGTCTGCTTCTAAGAATAGAGGAATCACAAAAAGTTAAGGCATGCACTATGAATATTTGTGGTGTTTTGATGGTTTTTATGATAATTATTTAAGAGATAAGGTAGCATGTATTATTTGCATCTAGATGAAAAATTGGTTTAGGAGAACATTCTGGATACAGATTTTGAGTTCTAAATTAGTATGCTAGTTTCCCTGTCACTTGTCTTTTCCTATCTGGTATATGATACACCCTACACAAAGTTACCAGAATATTCTTTTTTTGTTTTGTTTTTGAGACAGAATCTCGCTCTATTGCCCAGGCTGGAGTGCAATGGCAGGATCATAACTCACTGTATCCTCCACCTCCGGGCTCAGGGTATCCTCCTGCCTCACCCCCTGAGTCGCTGGGACTACAGGCACGTGCCACAATGCCCAGCTGAATTTTATTATTTTTAAAATTTTTTTGTAGAGAGGAGGTCTTGCCTAGTCTGGTCTAGAACTCCTGGCTGTAAGTGATCCTCCTGCTTCAGACTCCAAAAGCACTGGGATGACAGGTGTGAACCACCACACCTGGGCAGAATATTCTTACATATGGCTCTCATGGTTCCTCCATTATTTATAGTATAATTTTCAAGAATTCCGTTTTCTCAAACTACTCTTCACAAGCTCTGTCGTCCAGTCAGTCAATTCCAAAAAGTGATTGTTACCTAAACACCCACGTGCCAGATCCACTATGACTGCCCTTATCCCTCTGATGGTGCATTGCAGCACTACCACTACCATCTCCATCCTTCAGGGCCAGCTCAGAGACAACCGTCTCCAGAAAGTACTCGTTTTCATCAAAATGCTAGCCCTGTTTTATCCCCTTAGGAAGTATTGCAAATTGTCAGTTCATCTCACGTACTTATATTTCTATTTATGCATTTATCTACTGTATCTACCTTTTTTTTTTTTTTTTTGAGATGGAGTCTCGCTCTGTCACCCAGGCTGGAGTGCAGTGGCGCGATCTCGGCTCACTGCAAGCTCAGCCTCCCAGGTTCACGCCATTCTCCTGCCTCAGCCTTCCGAGTAGCTGGGACTACAGGTATCCGCTACCATGCCCGGCTAATTTTTTGTATTTTTAGTAGAAACGGAGTTTCACCGTGTTAGCCAGGATGGTCTCGATTTCCTGAACTCATGATCTGCCTGCCTCGGCCTCCCAAAGTGCTGGGATTACAGGCGTGAGCCACCGCGCCCGGCCTACCGTATCTACTTTTAAAATTTTTTACCACAAAATGTATATACCTTCTTATAATCTACAACAGGCAGAATGTAAATTTTAACAAATAGGCGATCATAGCTTTTTATTTCAGTATTTCAGGTATGATGTACTTTATAGAACAGAGAAGTGTCTCCACCAAATCACTTGCTAGCAATCTGATATATTGTGATTTGATAGCAATTCAATAACACACAATTATCAAATGATTTAATTAACCTAGAAACAAATATCTGCAAATTAGAAACTAATTTTAAATATCTTGCAAAATTCTCCATTCCCATCAGGTCTGCAAATGTAAGATCTTGCAAATGAAAAGAAACAAGATCTGATCACAGATGAAGGAATTCAGAGTATGCCATCCTCAAATATGCAAGTTCGACCTAAGGTTTACTTTGAGCTGAAAGCAATTAAAAAAGAAACAGACTCGAGAAACTCTCTGCCCTCCCTGTTTCCCTCTCTACTAGGAAAGACAGGAGAATGCCTAATCAGAGGAGACAACTCTAGACCTTAATTAGCCCAGAGATGGCACCAGAAGCATCTGCATAACAAAACTTACTAACTAGCCCTTATCTTCTATTTGAGCCCACCCACAATTTGCTGCCCTAGAAATTCAAGTCCTGGAGTCTCACTCTGTCACCCAGGCTGGAGTGCAATGGTGCAATCTCGGCTCACTGCAACCTCTGCCTCCCAGGTTCAAAAGATTATCCTGCCTCAGCCTCCCAAATAGCTGGGACTACAGGCATGTGCCACCATGCCCAGCGAATTTTGTATTTTTAGTAGAGATGGGGTTTCACCGTGTTGGACAGGCTAGTCTCGAACTCCTGACCTCAAAGGATCCACCAGCCTTGGCCTCCCAAAGTGCTGGGATTACAGGTGTGAGCAACCACACCTGGCCATCTTGTCACTTTTCTACATTATTTTTCTTTGCTAAGATGTCATATAAGCTCAAGTTCTAACCAACCCATTGAGTTACTACTCAGCACTGAGCATCCATCGTGTGTGCGTGATGCACATGTTAACAAACTTCTTACAGTTTTTCTCTTTTTGATCTGTCTTTTGTGTCTAATTTACAGGGCTTCAGCCAATGAACCTAAACTAGACACAGGAAAAATAAACGGTTTCCTTCCTTACAAAGGAAAAGGGTACTTTGCTTTTCTGATGGACCACCACTGAGCCACAATGGTGGGGCAGTAAAAATACAGAAGATGAGAACCTCTGGAATGAGAAACACCTATGTTCAAATTTCAGCTCTCACTTATTTGCTATATTATGATAAAACACACAGACACACACACACACACACACACACACAAGCTGTTATTTGATGCATGTAATAATTTTTAGCTTAAACTTTGCAAAAAATTTATGTAAAATCATAACTTGGTCCCATAATTCTTCAAATATATAAAAAACTCATGCCCCTTTGGGAATAAACTTTTGAGCAAAGATGCAGAGCAAAATGATAGCACTGTTTCTTACATATTCACGCTGTGTTTAATCATCATAAATGTCATGACTTGTGCTTATACCTGCAAGCTGAAGTTTAGAACAGAAATACATATCCAATTAATTTTGTTACAACTATAAATATCAGGAACTCTTTCAAAATCCAGAAAAAGGGATTTGTTAGTTGTTTTTGTTGTTTGAGTCAGTGTTAGTTATATTTAATTAATATGACTTCCCTCCTATGAGTACACAGAAATGTGCAAAGAAAACATCCAACTTTACTTATCCCTAAAGATTTTTAAAGTAAACCATGACAGTAATACCTTTCTAACACTTGATTACAGAATCACATTTGAACTATGTACAAGATCTTAGGATGTTGGAGGTGGTAGGACTGTTCCTGTTTTTTCACCATGCTATGAGTACCATAAGTAATTTCTTCTAACAAAAGGTTTTTCAAAGGTCTATTATGGCTAAGTTGTTAAAACTGCTGGTAAATGGTCTGAGGGTTTCACTAAACCACAAACCTTTCTGCAGGTTTCTTTTTTCCTTTTTTTAAAAAAAATACGTATTAATTTCCCCATGGGTATACTACACCTTAGGAACTATTTTTTTTCCCATGAAATGGAATAGCCCTTTGGTTGAAGGAAATAAAAATATGTTGCTGTTATTCTTAGCCATTAAACCAATATTTGCTTTAGTCATAATAGAATTCCTTTTATAGAAGCCAGTTAAAGGAAAATCCCTTCAAAATTACAACAACAAAAAAATCCCTCCAAAACTATATGCTTTTAAAGATAACTATACATTTGAGGAGAGATGTGACTAGAATCATTTCAAGAATTATTTTCAACTATAATTAATTAAACTATTGTCTATTTGTTTTTTTCTTTTTGCTTTCTCCTTTTGTTTTGAACAGTTGCCTAACTAAGTGATACCAACCCCAGACAAAGTCATTAGCACTAGAAGATGCAGAGTGTGCAAGAAATATAAAACCTTTCCCGAAATGTGAAAAAGCCAAAGCTGATTTTGAACTCTTTAGATTGTACCTGACTAGCTCTAATAAAAACTCAGGATTCAGGTGACCCATAGGTGCCATGTGGAAGTGTTACTGGGGGTCCTTGCTCCCAGAGCTCCCAAGAGGGTGGTGGGCTGCTTCCAAAATGGCGGCAGGCAGCTTTCAAGATGGTGGCAAGCCTCGTGTTCTCTGACGTGGGGTTCTTGGCCTCACAGATTCCAAGGAATGGAATCTTGGGCCATGAGGTGAGTGTTATAGCTCTATTAGAAGCCGTGGGTCACGGAAGAGAACGTGGAACCCAGTGACTAGTGTTCAGCTCGATTAGGACGAACCTGGGCACTCAGCTGTGCAGGAACAATGGCAAGCCTCTAGCAGAATCAGGAGCGGCAATGGGCGCCTTGCTGGATCAGGAGCACAGTGGACACCCTGCTGGATCTAGAGGGATGGAAGTCAGTGGCGGGTCTGTGTCTGCGACAGCGGCAAACCCCAGTGGTGGATGGCGAGCGAAAGCTCAGCTTGAGCTGTAACAAACACAGACCAGAGAGTGCAGTTGCAAGATTTAACAGAGTGAAAACAGAGCTCCCATACAAAGGGAGGGGACCCAAAAGGGGCTGCGTTGCTGGCTCGAATGCCTGGGTTTATATCCCTATCATTGTCCCTCCTGCTGTGCTCTCAGACAATAGATGATCAACTATTTCTTTACCTCCTGTTTTTGCCTAATTAGCATTTTAGTGAGCTCTCTTTACTCCCTGATTGGTTGGGTGTGAGCTAAGTTGCAAACCCCGTGTTTAAAGGCGGATGCGGTCACCTTCCCAGCTAGGCTTAGGGATTCTTAATCGGCCTAGGAAATCCAGCTAGTCCTGTCTCTCAAAAGCACTTAAGTCACAGACACAGAGAATAGTCTTCTTTGGAACACTCATCAAATTTGCCTAAGTGAATATGGAAGGGAAGAATCGTTGCAACTTCATAACACATTGAATCACATTAGTTTTAGCCTATACAAAATACATAACCCTTTCCTTAATGGGTGTTGCTTGGTTATTGTTGCCTTTATCTTTCTTTCTTTTTCTACTTCTGAACAAATATCCTATCCCACTTCCTGCTAATGTTAAGGTAGAGGTTAGAGGGTAAAATATACACTCGCAACTCTGTAAAACAAGTAAGGCACCAGATATTCAGTTTTGGATTATCATATCAAACTGAAGTCAGCTCATTAATCTACTATTTTCTCCCTAAGATTCCAAATCGACACTCTTACGCAATTTAGTAGTTACCAAAATGATTAATAGGTTTCTCTGGTGCTAACCTAATTGCTATGACACTAAAGACAAGAACATTACAAAAGATAAAGCATTGAGGTGAGAATTACCTCCCTCCTAGGCAACAATCAGCAGTTCAAGGCAATTCGCCAGCTTCTTTGAGCAACGAACAAATTACTGTCACCAACTATGGTTTTCGCCTTTCTGGATTCAAATGGAAGATGTTATTAACAAACCCTCATGACCAGGTCACTATTTTCTGTCTTATCCAAAGCTTATGTTATAAAATTTCTCCTCCGGAAAAAAAAAAATTCATTAAAAAAATTCTAATTAGTATTCTTACATTTCACTTTCACATAGCATCATATTTCCATATGTGCCATAGACTGAGTTTTACTTAATGTAATATCACTAACCTAAAATCAAATGAATGTGTAGATGTATTTAACAAACAAGAAGTGAAGTGCAGAAAAGGCAATAATCTGAAGACTCTATGCGTTAGTTCCATTTGTGCCATGTGTATATTTCCAAGGAATGTACTTTTCTATCAAAGTACCCACAGTATTGTTTTAGCTTTTTCATTTGCTTTTCTCTGTTTAGATGACCTATTCATAAAATGTCCTGTGGGCTATGTCGACAAAAGGAGTCAAACTCTTTGAAATATTTGAAGAAATTTATTCTGAGTCAAATATGAGTGACCACGGTCTGTGACACAGCCCTCAGGAGGGCCAGAGAACATGTGCCCAGGGCTGTCAGGGTGCAGCTTGGTTTTATACACTTTTAGGGAGGCATGAGACATCAATCAAATACATTTGAGAAATACATTGGTTTGGTCCAGAAAGGCAGGACAATTTAAAAAGTGTGGAGGGGGCTTCCAGGCTATAGGTAAATGTAAACATTTTCTGGTTGACAATTGGTTGTGTTTTTCTAAAGACCTGGGATCAACAGAAAGGAAATGTTCAGGTTAAGATAAAAGATTGTGGAGACCAAGGTTATTTTGAAGTCTCACAGTGGCTGCCCTTAAAGAGGAGAGATGACAACTGTTTCCTATTCAGACCTTTAAAAGGTGCTGGACTCTCAGTTAATCCCTTCAGGATTGGGAGGGCCTGGAAGAAAAAGATCTAGCTATGTTAATAGAGATTTTTTGCAGATGCAAATTTTCTCCCACAAAGGATGGCTTTGCAGGGCCATTTCAAAATAAGGCAAAGAAACATGTTTTAGGGTAAAATATTTTGATTTTCTTCTTAGTCATGTAATGTTATGCCAAAGTCAAATTGGAAAGTAAGTCACAATGAGGCAAGAAAATAGGGTCTGGAGGCAGGGAACATAAGGCCAATTCACACTTCAGCTATAACAGGAAATATCCTCTCCACAGGGCATACCTCATAAATGTAACTTTACTTCATCCTCTCCATTTACATAAGGTGTACCCAAAGTAACCAATGGAATCCTCTAGGATGTAAACTCCCCAAAATTCTGTAACGGGGCCTTTGAGCCCCTGTGCTCAGGCCTGCAACCACACTGTGGGGTGTACTTTCATTTTCAATAAGACCCTTTATTCCATCCTTGCTTTGTGCGTTTTGTCCAGTTCTTTGTTCAAGACACCATAAACCTGGACACCCTCCACCTTTAACAACAATATATAGAGTTCAATAAAACCTATCTGATGAGAATTTGTGGTTTGTAGGGCATAACTCCCCAGAACCCTTAGATCGGAATTTGGACAAGATGAGAAAAAATCAGAGCTTAGTCCTCAACTACAAGGCACCAAAAACACATACTAAAAACCGAATAATCAATAAAATCTTAAATTTTCTGTTTCTTTTTTTCTTAGTGTTTACAAATTTCTCACATTAAATTGAAATATGACTTTCAATTAGTTAAATGACTATGAGTTAGTTATTTTCATAACAAACCTAAGTCTCCTTTTATGCTATCTTCTACCAAAACCAAGTTCATTAATAGATGCCTGTGTTTTTTATTTAAATCCCTGAACACGAGTGATGGAAACATAAATTTCTAAATTGAAAAAAATGTGTATGTGCTGATACTGTTGACTACATGTTCTATCCTATCATCTTAATATAATCTGCAATACCTGTAATTTCCCCTAAAATAGAGTTTGTCAGTTAAAAGAGAAATATTTTCTTTCCTTTTGTACTTTGTGATTCCAATACTTTATTAATCTGTTTAAAAAAGACATCCTAGGTTTCTTTAGGTTCTCTACTTGGTGGCATTGCCACCACTGAGTTTTTATTATGTAAATTATTGCAATCTGGTTAGCTCCTTCCGTCTTGTTTCTTAACAAAAGGGGTCTGCAAGTGCTAATCAAAATGTTGCAATTTACATATTAATGAAGTTTTTATAATGACATTTCCTTCATACACAGGGTGAGCAAAAGGGAGACTTTTTATCCTTTTTTGAGAAAGCAACCACAAAATTTTGACCTTATGAAGTATCTTTGAAACTTTCCAAAGCTGATTAGAATAGCGTTGATGTATTTTAATCAGATACAGAAAGACTTTACAAAGTATGAGCTGCACACTTGCTGTCGTAATGCTTATAAGCACTAATTTTTTTGTATACATTCATGTACTTGTAATTGCACAAAATGCGAAGGACACATTTGGCGGTGAGGATGCTGTGCACAATCAACTCCTAATCATTTTCAGGAAAGGATAAACATTCCGCTAAAAATGAGGAAAGACAAGAAATGTTCAAAAGCATGTCAAAAGTGTCCAGCTGTTTTCATAGAATATAGGTGATTTCCTGGTGCTAGCAAAATCCAGAAGAAACGTTATAATAACTAGAAATGTCTATAATTGTGAGGAAGCCCAAGTATGAAGATTCACAAAAATAGAATAAGTGGATGAAATTAGTTAAAACAACCTTCTTAGTAATGAGGTACTCTGATTATAAAAGTACTTTGACTCTTTAGAATGTGTCACTGAACACCAAGCTGAAAAAACAAATTAACAGTCTGTCACTAGAGCATGATCTCCCACAGACAATATGCTCATAAATGAAAAGACAGAGAGTCCAATATTCATTATTATTCAGTCAATGACATTATTAGGAAATTCAGGCAAGGAACAACTTGTGTCATATTTTCTTTAATTATCAAATGAGCGTATATAGGCACAACATTTGTAATGAGAATTATTTTTCAATCAGTAACATTCTTAAAGACTATTTATCTACATAAATATATATATTTAGTGTAGTTATAGATATATGCTAAAAGAGAAAAAAGATAAAAGTGGCCCAAATATTTTTGTCTGATTTCCTAATTATACTATACAAAGTATTTTATATGAAAAATTTATTGTCGCTAACAAGCCTGAAAAATTGCACTGTTTTTCCAAATTAAACTCCTTCCCCCCCCAGAAAATTGGTGTGAAAATTAGTAATTTGTTAGTTATTTCTAAGAGTAACAATGTAATATTTGATTTGTTTCCTCTAAAATAATTTTGTTATAAGAGACAACTTAGTATCTAAGATCAGCAAAATTTTTAGGATGTTGAACACTCTTAATAAATGTTAAAAATTAACTAATGTATCATAAAATAGTTCCTAAATCTGAAAAAATAAATATATATGTAGGTCAACTTACCTTGAATTAAATATTAGCTAAATTTTTTTTAGAAAATGGCAGTTGATGAGAACAGACAATTTGTGTTTTAGATTCATGGAAAGACACCCCAACGAGTGAAATAATAAGACAGGTCTTACTTCTTTTCACAACAGGACAAGGACACCCATTCAATTGGATTAGATGACGTGATGCCAAGAGCCATTAATCCAATCATTGACTTGTGCCTGCAAGTGCTGCCATTTAGACACATGGAACCACTTCCAGTCACATCTGGCCACTTGGGCATGTGAGTTGGCACAAGCATGCTATGGAAAGAATAAATGTCCCTGCCCAAACTACTCCAAATCGTTTAATATTTTGAGGTCATTTCTCTTTACAAAGAAGAATCCTTAAAACTAAAAAACTCTCAGCTGGGCATTTATGATCCACAGAAAGTTTATTTTTCTTTCTCTTCTTCACTTGAGTGGTTTGGTTTCTGAATAGCTTCAATCTAGCTCCAGGCTTTTGAACTGTTGATTGCTCATGTTCAGGCATTGATTTCAGGTTTTGCCAATTCTTTGAAATTGTACTTAATTTCAAAGGACTTCCATCACTTGCTAGAAGACCAGTTAGTGTAGAAGTGGACAAATGACTTCCCTCTGGGGAAACTGACCTTTTCCAACCACAGGTGTACATAGGCCTCTCAATGACAGAGAGTAATGGTTCTAATCTTTTGCTGATTTTCCCACAGGTCTCACAACTATTTCAGTCTCCAAAGGGGAAAAAAATATTTGCTTAATTTTGTTTGCTATTGTGTATCCCCATCCCCATTTATAATTACTAATGCTAAACATGACTGAATTTATACACTTGAACTGTTTTAAACACATTAAACTATAAACTCTGAAGAACCGAATGATATACAATTGTTAGTTATCTTTTTTTTATAGTACATGGTCATCCAAAATTAAAACCACGCGTGCAAACTTATACACATACACATACAACACACACACACACACACTCTTTCTCTCTCTCTCTTCAGTAACTCAACTAAAGCAATACAGATGCTTTAGAGATTCAATTATTTTCTAATTCTTTCTTTGCAATCATCAAATTCTGAACCACTCTTTGCTGACTTGGCTCTTTTATGAAACCTCACTGTGCCTTGTCTGTTTACCTCAACTTTATGCTGTGATTGTTTCTGGTACTATTTGATTAGAATACATAACAGCTGGAACTTGTCAACTTAATACATTTTTCCTCAAGAGGTATATTTGGGGTTATTTGACTTTAACTTAATCAAAACAGCATCAACATGGTTTCACCCTCCTTTTCTCATCTCAAAATGAAAGTGTAGGAGACCAGAGAGTAAAATCATGTTGTACTAATCGGGCTTTTTTTTTCCTTCCCCCAAGGCTAATACCTGGTACTCACAGAGTTTTGCCAGCCTAAGACTTATAAAATTATAAGTATATGTCAGGGTATCTGAAAAGAAACAAAGGAAGCATTTGGTTCAACTTGGATTTGCTGCAGATAAACAAATCTGGAAACACATTAAGACTCTATTAGGCAAATCCTATTGGAAAAAAAAAACTAAAAATACCATTAAACAATGTCACCAATGCCGAAGAGTGAAGTCATTACAATTTTAATTGATCTTCTGTTTGACATTGTAGGGGAGAAAAAAATTTTTTTTTCTCACCCATCACTAGGTTCATGGCTAAGATACCTATAACAAAAGACAGACTAACAAGAGAAAAGCCTAGAAACTTCCTCAATATAAGTTTTTTGCTAACAAATTAAGTTTTATGTGACACACAGTCTTCATAAATAAAGACCCAAAGAAATAGGGAAACCTGTTTTGTTTTGTTTTTTTTTGTTTTTTTTTGCTAAGTTAGATAAAGAAGTAGATAGCTGTGGACAAGTATGACTGGAAAAAGGGGGTATAATCTATTAATAATAAACAGAGGGAACGAACTTGGTGAGGCCTGTTTGCTCAGACTCGTTTCTATCTTTCTTTGCCTTCAGAGATAAGGATATATTTTTCTTCCAGGCGTAGGGTGAGCATTTCCCAAATGAAGGCCTTATAACCTACTTTAAAGGAAGAACAGGGAATTCTTTTATGGCCTATTTCAGGGGAAAAGGGTCTGGGAATATCAGAGTGACCTTCCGGCTTCTACTGTTTTTCTCAATGCCATATTTCAGGGTAGCGTGGTTCTGGACCCCAACAACATTGTATTTGTAAGCCTTATTTTCTATGTTTAAAGCAAAATGTATTTAAAATATTTTAAACAGAGGCTCAACAAATTCCCTAATAGCACTAGAAAATAATTATTTCACTTTTAAAGGGCTTGTAAGAGCTTAATAAACCAATTTTCAAAAACAAATATATACAGAATTCACAAATGAAAATGAATAAGAATATAATACTAATAACACACTTACTAGAAAACAGCGATGCATTAGACACATCTTGACAGGTTGCAAGCTCTTTAATTTTTTTAATATTTTTTCTTTTCTTTCCTTCCTTCCTTCCTTCTTTCCTTCCTTCCTTCCTTTCTTTTGCTCCTTTTCCCCTTCCTTCCTTCCTCCCCACTTCCTTCTTTCTTTGAATTACTTCCTCTCAAATTTTTTTCTATACTATGCCAAGCCAATCATAGAGAAAAGTTTCTATAAATTTTTCCTCCATCTCACTCCTCTTTACAGGTTTCTTGTGCCCTACCTAATGAAATCGGGAGACTGTTATTAAGGAGGTCTCTGACTGTACCAGCATTTTGCAGTTACTCTTCCTATTCTATCTCTCATCTCTTCATAGGTGGGATGTTCTCAAGTCTCTCAGTTTCCTAGTAAGAGCAAAGCTTTATTTCAATTGTTTGAAAAGGTTTCCATTGCGAAATCTTCTCACAGTTTGAAATTCTGGCATAGAATCTTGGAAGCAGATCATAACTAGACATGATATTTAAAAACCACATTTCGCATTTTTAGCACTAAGTCAAAATGTAAAAATACTAAAACTTTTCACTGGGAATATTTTTTTCCTTTAAATGGAAAAATATGAATTATTTACATTTATTAAATAAACTGCTCAATACATATATTATTTACAGCACTCTTCACAGGTTTCTGAGTTTATTCACGTAGAACATAAAATATATTGTATGTATCAAATGATTTGTGTATTAAATTACTGTTTTCGAGGGTTTTACTTACCAGTCAGAATTTCCATTCTTATCTCCTTCTTTGTCAATGTTCCTCCATCTTGTTCTTAACCTATAGTTTTGTTAGGGCTCAGAAAGTGATACCTCAGAGACTGACACTTTGGCTGAGAGTCCTTAGACACTTCTCAGAGTCAAGGTCCATCTAACCTTATTTTGTTTCTCCCCACCCCCAACTGTAAAAAGAGACTCTCTCTTTCTCTGGAATTTCCTTCTTTGACCAAGAAAGCTTCTTTTCAAAATAAACACAATTTCCTTCCTTCCCTCCCTGAAATTTTATTTTCTTTCTCAGAAGAAAAGACTGAGGAATCCAGCCATACTAACCATACCTAGAGGGACTTTTTTTTTTTTTTAAACAAAATTACAATGCTTGCATCTGGGATTCATTCAAATTACAAGGAGAATTACTTATAAGTTAATCTCTTTTCATCCATTCTCCTGAATAATCATTTGCTGCCACTTGAAATCATTATCTATTTCCCCACCTTTCCCTGCTCCCATGAAAAAGAGTATTTAAGCTTTTATACCCCATTTGGTTATTGGTTAATCATTTTTCCAGCGATTTTTCCCATGCTATGCTCATTAAAATAAAATTTTGTATGCTTTTCCTTTTATTAGTCTGCCTTTTGTCAGATGCAGATTTTCAGAATGCAAAAGGGAAGTTTTCTCTTAGTCTCTATAGTTCATTGACTGGGACCTACATAGCAGCTGATTTTTGCAGGCACAACACAAACACATACATGATTCCTATAGTGTGGACTCTCCCTATGATTCACAAAAGCATATCTGAATGGAAAAGTGTGAAAAAGATATCACCAAAATAATTTTAAAAATATTTTCAATAGACAAAAGAGAAGTAATTCACTTGTAAACTTTAGAATGTTAGTTAAGATTACTCATACCACTAATGATAATAACATATAGCATCAATGACACTGATTGAGTTCCATTGTTCTGCCCTACCAATTCAATAAGTACCCTATCTATTTATTTTATTGTCTACAACTTCTTGGGGCTTAGAAACAATACCTCAAAATGAAGACCTCAGAAATAGCCTCAGAAGTTAAGTTTTTCTTTGATCTTCTCCCGTACTCCTTCTCTCAGTCCCATTCCCCCTCGAGGCTAGCCGTAAAAAGTAGAATCCCTCTTTCCCAAGGTCATGGAAACCAGAACTCCTTTTCCCCAAAGCCAGGCATAAAACCTATGAGGAATAAGCTCTGATTTTCCTTTTTAATCTTGCCCAGATTCCTATCTAAGGGGTCTGGGGAGTCATGCCCTACAAACCATAAATTCTCATCAGATGGGTTTTATTTAGCCCTATATATCGTCATTTACTCTTGCATAACATTAGGAAACAAGGAAGAAAATAAAAATATTTTACCCCAAAATGTATTTCTCTGCCGTATCTTGAAATGGCCCTGCAAATCTGTTCTTGGTGGGGGAAAATTTGCATTTGTAAAGATTCTCTATTAAAATAACTAGATCTTTTACTTCCAGATCCTCCCAATCCTAAAGAGATTAAGTAAGAGTCTAGCACCTTTTTAAAGGTCTCAATAGGGAACATTGTCATCTATTGTCTCTAAGGGCAGCCACTATAAGACTTCAAAAGAATCTTGGTCTCTACAATCTTTTATCTTAACGTAAACATTTCCTTTCTATTGATCCCAGGTCTTTAGACAAACTTAACCAATTGTCAATCAGAAAATGTTTAAATTTACCTATAGCCTGGAAGCACTGCCTACTTTGAGTTGTCCCGCCTTTCTGAATCAAACCAATGTATTTCTTAAATGTATTTGATTGATGTCTCAGGCCTCGCTAAAATGTATGAAACCAAGCTGTGTCCCGACCACCTTGGGCTCATGTTCTCTGGATCTCCCGAGGGCTGTGTCACGGGCCATGGTCACTCATATTTGGCTCAGAATAAATCTCTTTAAATATTTTACAGAGTTTGACTTTTTTATTGTCATCTAAAAATATAACTCTAACTGTCCTTCCACCTTTTTATATAAAATCTAGTCATAAAGAAATTATCCATCCTAGCTTGTTGGACTGTAGGTCATAAGATCTCCATTCTAGAGAGGGTCCTGCCCCACAGCCAGATGGAAGAAATCCATACTTAGAGAGGGCAAGGAGACTCTGCGCAGATAGGCCTTACTACGTTTCCCCACCAAATCTACTAGTATTACACTATGCCTGTTTGTCCATTTATATTTCTACACAGCTGTTCATACTTTGTTGAACCTAAGCATAAAAATGGACCCTTTATCCTCAGGTCTTCATTCTGAAGGCTCTCATGTATATGTATTAAATAAATTTGTATGATTTTTCTCCAATTGGTCTGCCTTTTGTGAACTGATTTTTCTTTTTCTTTTCTTTTTGAGACAGAGTCTGGCTCTGTTGCCCAGGCTGGAGTGCAGTGGCGCCAACTCGGCTCACTGCAAGCTCCACCTCCCGGGTTCACGCCATTCTCCTGCCTCAGCCTCCCGAGTAGCTGGGACTACAGACGCCCGCCACCACGCCCAGCTAATTTTTTTTTGTATTTTTAGTAGAGACGGGGTTTCACCGTGTTAGCCAGGGTGGTCTCGATCTCCTGACCTCATGATCCGCCCGCCTCGGCCTCCCAAAGTGCTGGGATTACAGGCGCGAGCCACGGCGACCAGCCGTGAATTGATTTTTCAGTGAAACTTTAGAGGGCCAAGGAACCTTTGGCCCCTACACACTGCTTATATTTTATGTGATTATTGATACACACGAGCTTAAACATTTTTATCTTAAATAATAATAATATCTTAAATATTAATAATAACAATAATAAACTTTCTTAAATCCCATATCCCACTCTGTATGTTGTCTTAGCTCTATTTAAAAAAAGTCTACCAGTTGGCCGGGCATGGTGGCTCACACCTGTAATCCCAGCACTTTGGGAGGCCGAGGCGGGCGGATCACGAAGTCAGGAGATCGAGACCACCCTGGCTAACACGGTGAAACCCCGTCTCTACTAAAAAATACAAAAAATTAGCTGGGTGTGGTGGCGGTGCCTGTAGTCCCAGCTACTCAGGAGGCTGAGGCAGGAGAATGGTATGAACCCGGGAGGCGGAGCTTTCAGTGAGCCGAGATCGCGCCCCTGCACTCCAGCCTAGGCGACAGAGTAAGACTCCATCTCAAAAAAAAAAAAAAAAGTCTACCAGTTATTCACAAACCTGGCTGCATATTAAAATTACCTGGTAACTTTCAGAAAATACCAATACTAAAGCCGATGAAACAGGACAGTTCGCAGAACTAGCAAAGGGGTTGTCTTATTTACTCAGCTTGCAGCTCTCAACCCCTTGTGGGAGGGGGAGCATGCAGATGAGTGGGTGCAGAGGCCAAGACAAGCTGCTTCTGGGCAACTGGCAGGAGCAGAACTTTGCGCGGCCCTGCAGCAGCATCTAGGGGTTGCCTGTGACCCCTGGAGCCCCAGAGGGTGTGTGTTACAGTGTGCTCTTTTGGCTTTGCCATCCGTGGATGGCTTAAGTATTAAACAGCTCAGTGGAGGGTCAGTGTGACAGCCTCTTGCATCTGCACTGGGGCCCTTGTCCCGCATCCAGGAAAAATCAGGTTGCGTGAATGAATTGAAGGGTGTTGAATATGGAGGATTTTATTGAGTGGTGGGAGTGGCTCTCAGTGGGGTGAAGAGCTGAAAAGGGGATGGAATGGAAAGGTGGTCTTCCCCGGGAGTTCAGCCATCCCCGGCCAAACTCTCCTCTGAAGCACTGACATCAAGCCGTCCCTCTGAAGTCAAGGGGCTTCTCTCCAATATCCAGCTGTTTATTCTCTTCTCTCCTTTTCTGCCACTCTGCTGCTCCACTAGTGGGATCTGGGGTTTTTATGGGGCCAGGGTGGTTTTGGAAAAGGCAACATTTGGACACGAAAACAGGAATGCAAGTTCTTACTTTGGGCCGCTGGTCTAAGCTTGAGGGTGTGGCCCTCACCAGGGACCACCCTCTTCTACCCAGTATTTCCCTGCCTCCTGTTCATCTCACCACCATACCAGGCTGACTAAATCGGAATCTCTCAAGGTAAAAACCTGGCAGAATAGCTTGAGAAACAAAGTTCTACATTCTTGTCACTATCTCCTCATTTCTATCCATGCACTCCTCATTTAACTGCAATCTGGCTTCATTACTCCACTGAAACTTTTCTATTCAAAGTTATACTTTTAAATTGCCAAACACAAAAAGTATCCTGTGCATTAAATACACAGTGTAAATCATTCTTGAAATTCTCAGCATCCCATCCACAAGAATTCAGCTACCCTTTGAGTATTTGTAATTCTAAAATGTACAGCTCTAACTCAATTCTCTCTCTGGGCATTAGATAAAATATTCATTTATTTAATAAACATTTACTTAGCATTTACTATTTGCTCAATATCCCATAGGCTTCTTAGACTCTAAGAATTCATACATTAATTAGTTTTCTTCTCTTTTCCCCCTTTTACTACTTACCTCCCCAAACACAAAACAAATAACTTTTAAATAAAGCAACATAGCACAGTCTGTCTTTTAAGACATAAACATAGGAGTAATTTTTCTTGGTTTCTTTCTTTGTCTTACTTCCAGATCCATTAAATTATTACATCAAATTCAATCTCACTTGCTGGAATCTCCCTAATTATATTTATTTATTTATTTATTTTTGCCTATTTTCATTGCCACGCACACACACACAAAATCCAGGTGCTCACAATGCTTTTCTTGGATTTTCCCAACTATTTTCTCACTAATTTCCTTAGGCTTGATATCCATCTAGTTATTCTTTCTAAACACCGTCGCTACTTTGAACTCTTTAAAATAATAGTTGGATAACATTATTTCCCTGCTTAAAGTCTCTCATTGCCTTGAGGAGCATTTCCCAGATTTCTTGGTGGAACACATTAAGGTGTTAATGTGTTTAATTTTTTACAAAGATTGATATCAACAATGTTATTTTATTCTGATATCCAGGAAATTATATTTGTTAGACAACTACTATTATCATGCTAAATATGATTTTAGGAAATGGAGAACCCTAGGGAATTGCATGGAAATTGTTTTAGGTGTAAATATATATGCCCAATCTGTGATTAATGGCAGATTCAATGTTTCATTAATTGTCTATATAGAATTGCCTATTTGATTATATGCTTATAATACATATCTTAATATTACAAAAATATTTTGATATTAGTTTCATTGTGCATAAAAGCATGTTTATTATTTATCAGAGCAAGTAATTTGTTCCAATGACCATTTTGCTGTTGTTGCTTTTTACTGTAATATTGTCCCATACGCTGTTTTTTTCCAACATGTTACGATTTTTAAAATATTAAAATACTTCCATGATCAACTCAGTTTTACACTGTTGTCTTACCATATGGAATCCAAAGACTCTTCATTCTTTGTTTGCCTTCCTGTATAGCTAGATTTCTCACAGTTTCCATTCTCTCATATCTCTCTATTTTTTTTTTTGGCACATGACATTCTCTCTATTATTGAGTACTCTGATTCTTTGAGTTTAGTTTGGATATACAGTGAGCTGCCTATGCTCGTGTCTCTTTACACCACTCTACTATTATTTCTGTTGCTTACAGCAGATAGCTAATATTGAAAATTTGATGAGCTCTGGTTGCAATAGACTAAATGTTTGTGTTCCCTCTAAACTCATTTATTGAAATCTTAACCCCCAGTGTGATGATATTAGGAGGTGGTGCCTTTGAGAGGTAATTAGGAGGATGGAGCCCTCATGGGATTAGTGCCTTTATAAAAGGGACCTCAGAGAGTCCTATCACTTTCTTTCTGCCACATGAGGATACAATGAAAAGAAGCTGTCTGCAATCCAGAGGAAGGCCTGTACTAGAACCTGACCATGCTCTCATCTTGATCTCAGACTTCCAGCTTCCAGAGCTATAAAAAATAAATTTCTGTTGTGTATAAGCTACACGGTCAATGTACTTTGCAACAACAGTTTTAACTGACTAAAGTATTGGCTAAGTTAATATATTATATTGATTAGTATTTGACCACAATTCAAACTTGAAAAAGCATATTTATTTAGTTTTTTAAAATGAATTATACCATAAATTATTGGACATGGAAATATATATATATATATATATATATATATATATATATATAAACTTTTGTTAGTTTATGACAAAATAGGCAAAAACCAAACAACGAAGAAACCAACAGCATATTAACAAAACAAAAATATAGGCTTTTATTTCCAATAACTTATTATTCTCGAAAACATCAAGTATAAACTGAAAACACTCATTGTATCAGAGAAACAGCCATTAGGAGATTGACTTATTCTTTTTTAAAAAAGGCTTAAACAATTATGGAGACTGATAACTCCCAAAATGTGCAGACCCAGGAAAGCCAATGTGTATAGTCCAAGTTTAAAGGCCTGAGAATGAAGAGAGCAGATGCTGTCAGTTCTAGTCCAAAAGCAGGAAAGCTCAGTCCTCCAAAAGAGCTGATGTTTCAGTCTGAGACCACAGGCCGGAAAAGACCAAAAGCTCAACATGTCAGGCAGGAGAAGTTCCCTTACTTGGGCTTTTTGTTCCATTCAGGTCTTCCACTGATTGGGTAAGGCCCGCCTTTATTAGGAAGGGCAATCTGCCCTACTCAGTCTACCAATTCAAACATCAATCCCGTTTGGAAACACCCTCACAGACATACCCAAGATAATGTTTGGCCTAATGCCTGGTCACCCCATGGCCCAGTCAAGTTGATGCATAAATTAATTGTCACAAGTCTACCCCTTGTCAACTTGGCATACACATACCTCTCTTTAAACCATACTTAAGCTCCAAATAAAGGAAATTAGAAGGTAATTATTCCATTTCACATGGTACAACCGTGCTGTATATAATTGAAAACTCACTAACACCCTACCCAGAAGAGAAAGTAAAGTCCTTCAGTGATCTTTACTCTTCTTTTTAATATCTCATAACTTCAATAGTATCATGTAAAACGTACAGTACTTAAATACCAGAATATAAAGTCACATCTTATGTCACATGATAAGGGAATAAAAGAGGGAAGAAAAAATGTATTTGCCTTATACATACACACATATACACACACACAAAAACCTATTAAATACAAAATAAGTAGAAAATACTTGGCCAGGCATGGTGGCTCATGCCTGTAATCTCAGCACTTTGGGAGGCCAAGGTGGGTGGGTCACGAGGTCAGGAGTTCAAGACCAGCCTAACCAACATGGTGAAACCCCATTTCTACTAAAAATACAAAAATTAGCCAGGCATGGTGGTGCATGCCTGTAATCCCAGCTACTCAGGAGGCTGAGGCTGGAGAATTGCTTGAACCCGGAAGGTGGAGGTTGCAGTGAGCCGAGATCGCACCATTGCACTCCAGCCTGGGCAACAGAGTGAGACTCCGTCTCCGAAAAAAAAAAAAAAAAAAAAATACTCTTGACAATTATGGTTCTCATTTTTATAACTTGTCACATGGTTGTAGCTAACATTTAAACCTACCATCTTCCATTACCAATTTTTAATTCCCTTTGCCTTCAGTAAGCACTGCAGTTGGTTGTGGTTCTTTACCTGGTAGGGTGACTCAAACACTCATTCCTGAGGAGTCTGAACTATTAGTAGAACTATGTGGGTTGGTTCATTGTAGTTGTCCACTGACCTTAATTACAGGACATGGTAATACTAAGGGACACCCTATGGGGTCTCCTGTATTTCAAACATTCTCTTCCTTATCTCTACTATGGAGAGGTAATCAATTTCTCCTTGGTAGTTAGAATCAACTAGCTAAGGTAACACAAAAATTCCTTTCTCTGTCTTATAATTCAGAGGCATGAGGAGCTTAAAATGGCTGGGTGACAGTCTTAACTTCCAGTCATATGGAATCATTGTTTGATATTCTGTTGGAAGCATTCACCTCTCTGGAACTAAGATTTCTAAGCCTGCAGAACATAAGGTCACTGGAATAGGAAGCAATAATTTTTCTAGTGGATCACTAGGTGTAATAGTGAGTGGCACTACTTTTATTTCCACTCTTCAATTTCTGGATCCATGAATCCTGGTTATGGAGGATACAGGACAATATACTGGGTGCTAATTCAGAGCACATTCAGCTTTTTAAAAAATCTTGCCTTAGCCCTGCAAGGTTTTACCCCCAGCTGACATTGTGAGTCTTCAAAAGGCCATTCTATCGTTCTATCAGAATGGTTGCTTCAGGATGGTGGGGAACATGGTAAGACCAGTTGAATTCCATAAGCCTAAGCCCATTGCTTCACTTGTTTTGTTGTGCTGTGAGTTCCTAGATCAGAAACAAATGTACGGAATACTATGGTGGTGCATAAGGCACTCTGTAAGTCCAAGGATGGTGGTTCTCATAGAAGCATTGTATACAAGGAAGGCGAATCCATATTCAGATAAAATGGCTATTCCAGTAAAAACAAAATGTTGGACCTGGCTGGGCACAGTGGTTCATGCCTGTAATCCTAGCATTTTTGGAGGCTGAGGCAGGTGGATCACTTGAGACCAGTCTCAGCAACATGGCAAAACCCTGTCTCTATGAAAGTTACAAGAATTAGCAGGGCATAGTGGCATGCACCTGTAGTTCCCACTACTCAGGAGGCTGAGAGGCAGGAGGACCAGTTGAGCCCAAGAGGTCCAGGCTGCAGTGAGCTGTGTTCGCACCACTGCATTCAAATCTGGACAACAGAGCACTACTCTGTCTCAAAAAAAAAAAAAAAATTGGACTTTCCAAGATGGAAGCAGTTCAATGTAATTGGCCTGCAACCAGGGTAGCTTGCTCATTACCCTTGGAGAATAGAACCACATTGAAGATTTAGTGTTTGTCTCTGTTGTTGGCACATTGGGTACTCAGGAGTGGTTGTAGTCAAGTCAGTGTTGGTGAGCGGAACTTGAGTGTAGTCAAGTCAGTGTTGCTGAGCCCAGCATAATTTCCATTCCTGCCACCACAACCACTTTGTTTATGAGCTCACTGGGAGATGACAGGAGTGGCTGAGGAGAGGCGTTGACTGATATCCACAGAAGAGATTATCCATCCAGTTGATTATTAAAATCCCCCTCTGCACAATTCATCCTTTGGTAAGCATTCACATGGCATACAAATATCGGTATCTTTCTGTTTATTCAGAGAGGTCCATTTACATATCTATTCTCAAAATTACCTTGTCATCAATTTTTCTAATCATGGTCCCTCCAAATCCCTGATCATCCAGCCATATCATTGGTCACAGATCATGAATTGGTATATAATCACGTGTCCAGCCATTTCTCCTTTCAAGCAACGTGAACAACCAGGTGCATTGCTTGAAGTTCTGCCCACTGGGAGGATTTCCCTTTATTGCTGACCTTCAGATATATCCCAGAAAGGAGCTATAGTGCTGCAGCTGTCCACTTTTGGTGGTGCCTGCATATTGTGCAGAACCATCTATAAGCCAGGCCTGAGTTGTCTCTTCCTTTATCAACTGATTATAGGTAATTTCTCACGAGGCCATAGCTGCAGGCGGAGAGAAACAAGGCAACGCAGTAGCAGCAGGAACCATAGCTATTTGGGCCACTTCTTCAGGGAATTTACTTGTGCTTTTAGGGCCTCTCTAGTCCAGTCACAGATCTCTTCCATTTAATGATGAAATGCTGCTGTGCATACCCAACTTTATGACTAGGTGGGCCAGACAATACCCGTTTAATGATGAGCAACTCAGGTCACATGTTAACTTGGTGGCCCATGGTTAAGTGTTTAGTCTCTACTAAGGCCCAGCAGCAGGCCAAGAGCTGTTTCTTAAAAGGGAAGTAGTTATCAGTAGAAGATGGCAAGGTTTTGTTCCAAAATCCCAAGAGACTAGGCTATGATTCATCTATGGGGGCTCCAAATAGCATCTCTGTCTTCCACTGACACTTTAGAACTTACGGAACATCTAGTCCAAGTTGCAGAGCAGTTTACATGGAAGCATGGACCTGATAAACAGATGGTTTTTGTTCTGGGGCCCACTCAAAGCTACTAGCTTTTCAGGTAACTCAGCATATGGGTGAGAGTAACACACCCAAATGAGGAATATGTTGCCTTCCAAAGCAAAAAGGCCCAATAGGCATTGTGTTCCATTTGATTGTAGAACGGGTTATTTTTTATCTTAAGAAGAATATCTCTACATGTCCCATATTACTAGACCCTTACAAATTTCACTGAGGTAGAAGGCCCCTGAATTTTTGTTGGATATATTTTTATACACAATTGCACATATCCTACTAGTAAATCTAAAGTGATTGCTACTTTGTGTCCGCTAGGGAGATAAGCATAATATAATCAGTGTAGCAGACATTTTATAACGTGATATCTTGTGGAAAGGAAAGACAATCAATCAAGATCCATGAAAACTAAATCACGACACAGGGCTGGAAAGTAGAGATGCCCCTGGGGTAGGATAGTGAAGGTGCATTGCTGGCCTTGCCAGCTTAAGGGTAAACTGTTTCTAGTGAACCTTATTGATAGGTATGGGGGAAAAAAGGCATTTTCCAGATTAATAGCTGCATACCAGATACCACGGAGTGTGGAAATTTGCTCAATCAATGAAATCACATCTGGTACAGCAGCTGCAGTTGGGATCACCACCTAGTAAAGCTTGAAATAATATTTTTGTAATTCTCCAATCTCTCTCTGTCTTCTATGTAGTCCAAATAGATGAGTTGAATGGACTGTGGTGGGAATCACCACCCCTGCATCTTTTAAGTCTTTGTTGGTGGCACTAATCTCTGTAATCCTCCCTAGAGTACAGTATTATTTTTGGTTTAGCATGTTTCAACATAGCAACAGTTCTATTGGCTTCTACTTGGCCTTTCCCACCAGAATGGACATCACTGGGAAAAGGAATGTGGAGACTCTGCCAGCTGATGAGCATATCTATTCCAATTATGCATTTCAGAACTTAGAAAATAACCATAGAATAGGGCCAGGGACCCACTGGACTCACTGACATGGACCTGAACTAAAACTCTATTGATCATCTGGCCTCTATCAGCTGCTACTCTGACTAATGGATCACCATGACATTTTGTGTCTCTTGCAATTAGTGTTAGTTCAGTGCCGGTGTCCAGTAGTCAATGAAAAGTCTGATTATCCCTTTCCTCTGATGCAAAGTTATCCTGGTAGAAGGCTCTGTGCTGCTTTGGGGGATGCTAGGACAAAGAGTAACAGTATAAATTTTTGGTAGGTCCTGGGATCCTCTTCAAGGAAATGCAGCCTCCCTTTGCAGGCTGGAGTGCAGTGGTGCCATCTCGGCTCACTGCAGCCTCCACCTGCCAGGTTCAAGTGATTCTCCTCCCTCAGCCTACCAAGTAGCTGGGATTACAGGCATGCACCACCACGCCCAGCTACTTTTTTTTTTCTTTTTCTTTTTCTTTTTTTTTTTTTTTTGTATTTTTAGTAGAGACAGGGTTTCACCATGTTGGCCAAGATGGACTCGATCTCCTGACCTCGTGATCCGCCCACATTGGCCTCCCAACGTGCTGGGATTACAGGTGTGAGCCATCATGACCAGCTACCTCCCTTTCATATAAGGGTTTCTGGGTCTGTAAGCTGGTTCAAGTGTTAGAATTGATTGAAGGGCTGTAATTCTCCATTTGTATTATTCAAGTTAGCCTTTCATTCACTTGACCTAGACTTTTTCTTTTTGTTTTCTTTTCTTTTTTCTTTTCTCTTCTTTTTTATTTTTGAGATGAAGTCTCACTCTGTCACCCAAGCTGGGGTGCAGTGGCATGATCTCAGCTCACCGCAACCTCTGCTTCCCAGGTTTAGCAATTCTCCTGCCTCAGCCTCCCAAGTAGCTGAGACTACAGGTGCCTGCCACCACACCTGGCTAAGTTATATATTTTTAGTAGAGACTAGGTTTTGCAATGTTGGCCAGGCTGGTCTTGAACTCCTGACCTCAAATGATCAAACAGCCTTGGCCTCCCAATGTGCTGAGATTATAGGTGTGTTCCACCGCACCTGGCCTGACTTAGACATTTTCTATTTTTACAGACCAAGTAAGAATTTAGTAGGCTTTCTATTGATTTTACTGCCAGGAACACTGTGATCACTAGCCAGTGCCAGACCTTTGAGAATCAGATGATTCTGATTACTGGTTTGACAATTATGGTTACCAAGCTTACCTTACCTATAGCAGTTGAGTGACATCACTTTGCCTCAGACATAACAGGATCCAATCTCATCCATTGCATTTAGGTTTCCTACTTCCATTGCCACAGTTCCGTGTAAGGCCTGATCCACAGAGAAGAGTAATCGCAGAGCTCCTCTAGGATGCTAGCATTCCCTTCACAAATTTATTTCTCACAGTCATGAAAAGTGTGTCTTCTGGACTTTCTCAGGATGAGTGAGGAGGTTTTAAATGGGTCTAACATTTCAATCTCTCTAAAACTTTGAATTCCTTTCTCCACCTTAAAAAAAAGATAGGTCCAACATTTGTAACTTCCTCTTATGCGCTATCTTCTTGTCCAAGTTTCAGCAAACCAACCAAACAAACCATTATGGCCCTTTCTAACTCTTCACACTGCAACATTAAATGAAGAATATCTGCTTAATAAGCCCATATCAACGAATTCAGCCTGATCCAACTTTGTGTTTTTTCCACCATTTTCCCATATGCCTAATGTCCTTTCTCAGACCATGTTCCCCAGATTTTTGTCTGTATAAATTAAAAATTTCATATAGCTCTTTTGTAATGTAGCACACTTCCTCTTTGTTCACACT
Source organism: Homo sapiens (assembly GCF_000001405.40). NCBI lineage: Eukaryota > Metazoa > Chordata > Mammalia > Primates > Hominidae > Homo > Homo sapiens. Next base: position 78,364,624 of record NC_000003.12, read on the forward strand.
TAGTACCTCACCTTTAGGATCCTGCTGGGTCTTGAATCTATCATAGGTCTAGATGCAAAGGGGGCTGGTCATGTAGGTCCTGAGCAGAATCAGCATTGTCTTGAAAGGCAACTGCTTCAGGAGAGGCCATTCCAATTTCTTCAGGCAATGTAAGGTTAATCTCCCTCAAACAGGAGTGGAAAAACCATTTCCACTGAGCCTGTAGAGGCTGCTTTCACTGGCAAAATCAACTCATCAAAATTTAGGGCTTCACTATCCCCATCTTCATCAGTGACTTCCCACACATCCCCATTTCAACTTTAACATCTCATTTTTTTTCCAATCAATGCCCTCATTTGAACAGTGAGCACCCTGTGAGGCTGAGAGTTCAACTTGTACTATAATTCAGCCACTCAGAGGATAAGACTTTAGGTGCGTTTTCAGCAATCGCAGTCCTGTGGCTATAAAGAAATAAGTTTTGGGGCACACAAAAAAGCTTTCAGTTCTTTTATATGGCTCCCTAGCTGGGAATTCAGATCCCTGACCTTATCTATTTCTTTCCCCGCTTTGTCCAATGACATTAGAACAACCAGCCAACCCATTCTACTCATTAGTTTGATAAAAGTATTGAGGATATCATATACATAGTCACCCAGGTCTTTGCTTCTCATAGGTGTTTGATTAGGAATATCCAGTGGTGACATTTTGCAAGTCTCTCTTGCCAGATCATGCCATGGACTTTCAGTGCTTTACTACTAGAAATGGATTATTTTAATCTAATCAGATTAGAGAACCAGTTCAAAAAACCACAGAACCAATTCACAACACTTATTTTTAAAATGTTGTTCCTCTAGCTTCACTCATGGTACCAAAATCTATCGTCAATTAGCACACATTATTATCGAGGATGAGAAGTGTCAAGATGTGAAGTTGGCAAGCTAGAGATCCAGGAGAACTGATTCCCAATGTCAGAGAACCAGGAGAGCAGATGATGTAAATTTCAGTTCAAAACCTGGGAGGTGGTAGAGTTAAAAAGGACTAATGTTTCAGTCTGAGTCCAAAGACCAGAAAGAGCAATGTCCCAAGTCATACAGTCAGGCAGAAAACGTTCCCTCATGCTCAGCCTGTTGTTTTATTCGGGTCCTCAACTGATAGGATGAAGCCCATCCGCATTATGGAGGACAATCTGCTTTACTGTCTACCAATTCAAACGTTCATCTCATCTAGAAACATTCTCACAGACGAACCCAGAATCATTTGTGGCCAAATGTTTGGTGGCCCAGTCAAGATGACACATACAATTCATCATCATAGTCATTTTTAGAGAGGAGCTGAATAATAATAAAGGAAAAACAAAAAATAAAGTAAATTAACTTTAAATAAAGTAAATTAACAAAATACTATTTTACATTTGGAAAAAAAACCCACTTAATAATTTAGCTACTTGAAAATTTACCCAAGATGAATTAATCTCAGTTTTGAGAAATCTCTATTAGTAGTTTTTGCTTTAATATTAATATGCTGAAATATTAATTATATCTAATTGATCTTATTTTTAAACATCTAAGTTCGGACTAGAGGTGGTGAAAATCTCTATACAATATTATGTATTTGTTTATTGCTTGAGTTTCTATGAACGTTTCCAAATATCAGCTTTTTACACATTCTAAACAACAAAAGAAACTCAAATGTGGCCATACGAGTTAAAGGTTGTTAGGAGCACACAGTGGGTGGCATGTGCCTGGTAAAATTCCAGACTTCATTCCTAGACTAAACACTTGAACATAAACTGTGTTGTATTAATTCATTTTATAGAACTTCTCTCTGCAAGACGTGACTTGAAGGGGTGTGTGTGTGTGTGTGTGTGTGTTTATTGGCTGAATATCATTCTGAACTTCATGGGGACAGAGGTCCTGTTTCTTTTGTTCATTATCATATATCAGGCACCTGGCACTGTCGCTGGCAGGAGAAAGGAACTCTGCAAATATTTGTTGAATGACCGAATGAATAAAGATGAATTATGCATTTTCTAGGTGTTCTTCTATTTTCTACCCAAGAGCAAAATTTGTAGGCCAGTTACAGCACATCTAACTGTAATTCTTTTTTGCCATTTAGAAAAACAAAGGGCAGGCCAAGATTGAGCCATTGCACTCCAGCCTGCGCGACAGAGCGAGACTCCATCTCAAAAAAAAAAAGAAAAAGAAAGGGCAGGCTCAAAGCCTTTTGAGTTAGAATTTAGGCTGGTTTGTCCCTCATTGTTAAAATTCTATGGGTAAGTTTTGCACATAAATTAATATAATAGAAGATATAAGAACAAGAGTAGAGCAATCAAAAGATATAAACATGCAAAGGACAGAGTTAATAGATTCTATGTCTCCAAAATTGTATTATGATTATTTTACATGTTCTAAGGAGTGACTTGTTTTATAATCTGACTGCATACAGGGTAGAGCTACCACCATGTTTGTTTGTTTGTTTGTGTTTTGAGACAGGTTCTCACTCTGTCACCCAGGCTGGAGTGCTGTGGTATGAACAGGACTCACTGAAGCTTTGACCTCCCGGGCCCAAGCAATGCTCCCACTGCAAGCTCCTGAGCAGCTGGGACTACAGGCCTGTGCCACCATGCCCAGCTAATTAAAAAAGAAAGAAAGCCTGGGCGCGGTGGCTCATGCCTGTAATCCCAGCACTTTTGGAGGCTGAGGCGGGTGCATCATGAGATCAGGAGATCGAGACCAGCCTGGCCAATATGGTTAAACCCCGTCTCTACTGAAAATACAAAAATTAGCCAGGCAAGGTGGCAGTCGCCTGCAGTCCCAGCTACTCGGGAGGCTGAGACAGGAGAATAGCTTAGCTTATACCTGGGAGGTGGAGGTTACAGTGAGCCGAAATCATTCCACTGCACCCCAGCCTGGGTGACAGAGCGAGACTCCGTCTCAAAAAAAAAAAAAAAAAGAAAGAAAATAATTCTAGAGATGGGGTCTCTCTGTGTTGGCCAGGGTGGTCTTGAACTCCTCAGCTCAAGCAATCCTCCTGCCTCAGCCTCCCAAAGTGCTGAGATTAGAGGTGTGAGCCACCACACCCATCCTACTATCATTTATATTTGCTTTTCTGTTATCTAGGAACAAATATGCTACAGCATAAATTGACTAGCAATAAAATTCTTCTCATTCTCTAATAACTAGTTTCACTTTTATTTTTAATTGTATATATACACTAACACTAAAAATTTCAAAAGTAGTTTACAGAATCTTATGGGATGAACTATCTTACATAAATTATAAAAATTATACCAGGAGGAAGCCAACAGTGACCAAACATAGCACTAGTATTTAGGCAATCTGTATTACAAACCCTTTTCAGCTGGATGAGCATAGTCAATTTTCTTGCATTACCCGGCTTTTTCCATCTTAATGTGGGGTAATGAAAGCACTTTGTAAACTGAAAAAATGTATATAAATGAAAATTATCATTACTGGTCATAAAAACTGATTGCTGTGTAAAATTTTAATTTGGAAATATTCATTTTCTAAATAAAGCAGTAGGATGGAGAAAAATTTCAGAGAGCAATGTAGCAAAAAGTCATTTTGAAAATTTTATGTTTATAGAAAATTCAGGCTGGGAGCGATGGCTCATGCCTGTAATCCCAGTATTTTGGGAGGCTGAGGCGGGCAGATCACTTGAGATCGTGAGTTCAAGACCAGACTGGCACCAGCCTGGCCAACAAGGTCAAACTTAGGCTCCATTAAAACAAAAATTAGCTGGGTGTGGTGGCACACGTGTAGTCCCAGCTACTTGGGAGGCTGAGGCAGGAGAATCACTTGACCCTGGGAGGCAGAGGTTGCAGTGAGGTGAGATCTGCCACTTCACTCCAGCCAGGGCAACAGAGCAAGACTCAGTCTCAAAAAGAAAAGAAAAGAAAAAAGATGGAAAAGAAAATTCAATTTCGATAAAGCAATAAAACCTCTTACCTTTTCCCCAACCCCAAAAAGATGTAGTAATTTATGGAGTATTTCTCCCTTTTAACAGAAATGCAAATAATGGTAGCACTGCTACTATAATAAACTAGATTACAAAACAAATTTTAATCGCATATAGAATAGTGCAGGAATGATGCAACAGAGAGGCAAAGTCACGCCTTCTCTGCATTTTCATAGAGCATTGCTTAACTCTCTAATTGCTCTTAGAATGTGTCATTGTTTTCATTTTATGGCAACTATTGTGAGAGCTAATCTTTTACTATATGTATTAGCGACTGGAGTTAGGCAAGTATCTGAACATAATGTAGAAAAACATAAGAATGTCTTCAGAATTAACCAGGAAAAGATAAGTGGTTATCCTTATCAAAACCTTAATCAAGGAGTATTATGTTCCTAGTACATTATATCTTTAGTGCACAAAATAACAACCGTTGTTCTTTAGTGCCCACACATAATTAGTTATTTCCTTTTCTGATATGCCAAGCAAGGTGACTTAGCTCGAAGGGTCACCTTCCATTCAAAAGCCGTCTTGGCTACATGTTTGCTAAAGCGATTAACTTATAACAAACAAAGGCTCTGCTTTTGTAAAAGTGTACAAAGCCTTGAAAGAGCTTTCAGTTTTGGACAGTCACAATTGAGTTATTTGTAGAGGTATAAACATTCATCAAAGACCACCCATCTCTATCATAGCACAAGGCCAACCAGTTTAATGGTTGTTAAATCTGTGTAGCAAGAATGTGATTAGCAGCTCTTGTGATAGCGCTTCTTTATTGTTTGCCAAATATGTGCTCAGAATTAAACAGGATGATAATTTAGATATGAGATTCTGATAAACAGGATGTGACTGAGGCACTTTTCACAGGAGAAAGTGTATAGCTATTTGGCGAAAGCTAAAGTGGGGCCATATTTTTACAAATCTCAAGCCCTACTTAATATATTTGTGCTGCCTTTAATTTTGCATTGGAAATGTCAGTCATTAATAGGAAATCCTTCACTCTTCCACAATCAAACAACAAAAATACCTATGTTTACTTTCGTTTCTTCTTTCTCACTATCATTACAATAGAGGAATTGACCTTTCCTCTCTCAAAGGTTTTCTGTCACTACTCTTGATCTCATCTCCCCTAGCTTTGACAAAATTAGCCATCCTTAACTGTCCCATCTAAAATATATCTTATTATAATTGTTTTCATAGCCCTTATCAAACCTGGTACTACTTTTCTTAAATGTCCATATTTTTCTGCCCATCTAGAATTAAGCTATATAGAGACAGATATCCTAGTTTGTATTATGTCATCTGGTACATAATGCCTATCTGACACATTGCAGGTGTTAAATTTTTAACTGAAAAACAGAAGACTATATGAGATGGTTACTGTGTTTGAAGATACTACAAATTGGCTTACCAATGAATTCTAAGGTTATTGCCAGGAATTAATAAGTTAATGGATATAAAATATTTAAAACAGCTTGATCAAAATAAGCTATAATTTGCTAGTAATAACACTATTTCCATGAAAAAATGAGCTAGATTTTAAGAAACTGGATATGAGACAGCATTCTGGCAATTAATTTGAAAACAAAAAAAACTATTATTTATTATCGTCTCACGATACGACTTTGAAATGTGTAGCACATACGTGGGTTGGGCCAATGGATATCTTACTTCCTTTTCAACTAAAAATTCAGCAGCTTTGCAATTTGAGTCATTACAAAATGACAACATTATTATGGCTAAATTCAATAACAAAGCTTCCAAGAGGATCTGTGATATAAAATAGGCTTCTTAAAACAACCAGTATTAGATAAAACCTTCCAGATCTAAGGCCTAGTATATAACGCACAGATGGATGTGACTCTCTTCCCACTTGCTGGGAGCTCAGCATCTGATGAGCCTGTTATTTAAACTAATAATCAGAACACAGTGTGATCAGTGCTAGCCTATGAGAGATGTGTGTAGGAGTTTCTGTTAAAATCCAGTGGAGGAAGAAATTAATTTAGCTTCAAAAGTCTGGAAAGGCTTTATGTACAAGCCAGGAAAAGAGAGTGGGAATTTCCTAGACAAGTGAAACAGTGAATGTTAATCATAAGGAATAGAATAAATAGATATATACAAAACTATGTAAGTACTTGGAATGTTTGAGAAATGGCAGTAGTCTAGAGGATACACTATTTCAGAAGAGGAAATAGAGAAATGACGACTGTAAAAGATAAGGCAGGAAAGTGAGGTTGGAAGAGGCATATTTATTTGAATCAGTCAAGAATCTGTATTGACTGACTGTATCTTCTAGGAAAGGGGAAAACAGCTCCACAAAACAGAAGAAAAAGACAACAAAAAACCTCTAGCAATTATGAACAGGTATAAGGGCTTACAAAATTGAATGGAATGGTCTGCTGCAATGATAAATATGAAGTCTGAACTTTATTTTGTAGGACGCACCAAAGATTTAAATGTGAGGCCAGGCGCTGTGGCTCATGCCTGTAATCCTAGCACCATGGAAGGCCAAGGTGCCGTGGAAGGCTGATCGCTTTGAGCTCAGGAGTTTGAGACCAGCCTGGCAACATGGCGAAACCCAGTCTCTACTAAAAATACCAAAGTTAGCCAGGCGTGGTGGCACGTGCCTATAATCCCAGCTACTCAGGAGGCTGAGGCATAAGAATCACTTGAATCTAAGAGGTGGAGGTTGTAGTGAGCTGCAGTAGCGCCACTCCACTCCAGCCTGGGAGACAGAGAGAGATTCTGTCTCAAAAATAAATAAATAAATAAATACATACATACATACATACATACATACATACATACATACATAGATAAATAGATAATGTGAGGAGTTTCCAGGATAGATTTGAGAAAAGAGTTCGGGTAAATTGATGGTATAGTGAGAAGGGCATGTCTATACAAAACTGAGAATAACCAGCTGAATAAAACGAAGTTAAGAAAAATAAAACAGGATTATCCACAAACTTGGGGGGGGGGTGTCTTAAAATATAGGTATTATACATGGAATATGATGTAGATGATAAGAGGGAATTGTTATCACTTTTGAGTGAAGAAGACTCAAGATGTTAAAAGTGCTTTAGGAAAACTACTACTGAGTTAGTGGATGATTTGAAGGAGAGACTTGGAGTTAGTTGGAATCAGCTGTATCTGCCTGGGAATGTTGCAAAAAGGTAAGTCCTTTCTGTAGGACATTGGAATAATCATGTGTTACATAGCAGTTCAAAGAAATATAAACTTCAGTGTTTTGTTCATTTGGTTCAAATTTGGAATGCTAACTATGCTTCATGTTTAGTAAATAGATATTCATTATTATTCTCATTTTACAGATGAGGAAATTGAGGCACTGAGAGTTAAGGAACATGTCCATGGCCACACAGCTAGAAAGTGGTGCAGTTAATTCAGTAAAGATGAATATGGTGACTTTTTTACTAGTGTGCTTCAAATATACAGTATTTCACATATAAAAGCATAGGTGAACATGGTTTCTTTGTTATTATAAATTCTGACATGGTGTATGTCTTGCTTTCGACCAGGCAGAAATGGAGAGAAATATTTTAACATAAGGTGTAAAAGCACTCTGTTAGGGCTACCCTGTTTTAATCTTAATTTGAGGCTCCCCACAGTTTCCCTTTATGCCTATAAGTATTATTTTGTCAGAAGCCAGTGTCTGAACCTCCTTGCTGCCTAAAGATGCCTCAACAGTTGACTTCACTGTCCCTTTCTTTCCAGCTAGTTATTGGAAGAAAAATTGCATTACAGTCTCAGACTGACAAATGAATAAGAGGCCAATGTCATTGTGAGTGTCAATTTTTCTCTAAAAATTATAAAACCAAACCAAAATAAAGATAGCTTTTATAAAAACTACAAACCTCATCCAAGCAAAAACAAAAAACCGAAACAACAACAACAAAAAATTAGTCTTTCAGATCAAGGACTGTAGCTCTGAAGATGATATAGATCTGAATGTCACTTCATTTTCAAACCATCAGCTTTGAAATTCTACTTCTTAGCTACATTCCAATGTCTGGGAGCTGGGTCCTTGTCAACTACAAAGCAATGGAAAACAAGTGGGAATGAAAGAGTCCCGATAGTCTGTCAAAATCAACGAAATTAGGTACGAGTAAAGAGTAAAGTCTCTACTGTTATAAACGGCCTGGATTTGAATCTTAGCTCTGCCACTTTTTAGCACATGATCTTGGACAAATTATTTGAATACTCCATGCCTCAGCTTCATTATCTCTAAAATGGGAACAATAAATATATCTACCTAGTAGGATTGAAGTAAAGTAAAATGAGTTAATATATGTAAGCACAATTAGAACAGTACCTACATATGAGTGAGCTCTGTAAGCTTTAGCTATGGATGTGATTGTCCCCACTCAAAGAAAAACTTCTTGAAAGAGTGATCAATAATAGTTGTCTTCATTTTCTTTCCTCCTTTCTATCTTCAACTGAGATCAATTTGTTTTCACTGACTACCAAGCCATTGAAATTGCTTTTTTAAAGATTATCAGTGATATTCGTGTTTTCAATTCAAAAGTTATTTGTTGTTCTTTATACTACTTAATGTCTCAGTGACATTCTATATATATATATATTTATATATAATATATAAATATATATATTTATATATAATATATAAATATATATATTTATATATAATATATAAATATATATATTTATATATAATATATAAATATATATATTTATATATAATATATAAATATATATATTTATAATATATATGTTATATATATATAATTTTTGTTGTTTTTGAGATGGAGTTTCGCTCCTGTCGCCCAGGCTGTAGTGCAGTGGCATGATCTTGGCTCACCACAACCTCCGCCTCCTAGGTTCAAGCGATTCTCCTGCCTCAGCCTCCCGAGTAACAGGGATTACAGGCATGCACCACCACACCCGGCTAATTTTGTATTTTTAGTAAAGATGGGGTTTCTCCATGTTGGTCAGGCTGGTCTCAAACTCCTGACCTCAGGTGATCCGCCCACCTCAGCCTCCCAAAGTGCTGGGATTATAGGCCTGAGCCACTAAGCCCAGCCCCACCTTCAATATTTTTAAGCACTGCTTTCTTATTAAAACATTTTGTTTCCTTGGCTTCCAGGAGATCACATTTTCCTGGTCTCCATCTTATTCAGGGACTCATTCCTGACACTTCTAATTCCTCCTTCACATTAAATAAATATTTGAATGCCACAGAACTATTAATGGATTGTAGATTCTTTTCACATATACTGCCTTATTCCAGGTAATCTTATACAACAATTTCAATAGCATCTTTACATGAAGACTGAATTTATAACTTTAGTTCTGACAGCAGTTCAGACTTCTCTACAGACCTGCAGATTCATACTATAATCATGCAATCACTTAAGTGTTATCTCCACTTGCAAATATAATAGAAATCATGAACTTAAAATGCCCAAAACAAAATACACCCGATCTGCTGTTTCAGATCTCCTCAAAAAGAAGACTCACTTCATCTTCCTATGAATCAATTGTTGTAGATTTTGTTACAACTTCTTTGGGATAAACATCAAAGAAAAAAATGTAATATGTATTTAGATTACTCTTGTGTTACAAGTTTCTGAGCGTTAGAAAACTCTTGTTTTACTAATCTTGGCATCAACTGAAAGCTCAGGAGATTTTACTACTAAAAGGAAGGAGAGAATGAATAATAGAAGGCAGCTGTTTCTGCAACAGACGTGATTGATAAATATTTTGCTAAATAGAAGAACCTGATGTCTTCAGTTTAGAAAATAATCATTAAATTAATCAAAATTAACATGGCCCTGATTTTTGTTTTATTTAAAAAGCTATATTAATAGTGAGATTTCTCATTTAGGCAATGACACATATGAAAAATATTTCACATTATTGTAGTATTATAATGCTAGAAAATTCCTTATTTCTTACACAGAAATAGGAAAAGGAAAAGGCCAAAGCTACATCTGTTCATTGATTATATTAGTAATAGATATAATGTATTTGTTGATATGTTTTCAGATTAAAATATGTCAGAATCGAATGGCCAGAAATAATGTTTCTATCTTACAATATAACTACATGAAGAACATGCTTGCTGTTTCTCCTCCGTGAATTTGCAAAGCCACCCAGAGTCACATCATCTCCACCTTCGCCTCCACAAGAAAACAAAAACAACAAAAAACAGAGAGGCATCACTAGAAACCTTAATGTCTAGACTTGATTTACAAGGTACAAATGCTCTGGATTTAGAACCAACTTCTTTTTCCTTACTTCAAATTAACTTACTAATGTACTTGGCCCTGATATTTGTTCACTCAGGCTTACGGTTTTTTATTTCTACATTTGGAGTTGAAAAATGTATAAATATAATAGAAGCAATAATAACCATGGTATCCAGTCTTAGGAGTCAAAGACCAGTTTCGATTTAGCCTTGACTCGAGGCCCTTTGATTGACATTTCCATTGCTAGAGTTAACTCAAGTCATTTTAAGATCCAACTAAATTTTATTTTGCCTTATCTGCAGGTTATCATTCTTGCAAGAATCATCTTATCCTGGCAGGATCTTGATTTAAGGCTTTACAATTTAGTGAGGCTCCAAGGTCGTAAACAGTGTAGGTTTGTTTGGTAATACAACACCTGAAGATGGAATGCCAGCTCTTGAAAAGTCTGGGCAATAGTTAGACATGTCACACACTATATTCTCATTTACAATCAGGATGACTTTTAAAGTGTCTGATTCACAGTTTTCTCTTATGACCTGATTTCAATATTTCTTTCAGGTATACACTTCTTATAAAATTTTGTTTCTCCCCAACTCACTCACCTCTAGGGAGGATGTCAGGCAAGATATTAGTATCAGTGAACACTCTGACAGTACATTCCAAAGGAATATTCATTTATCACATTTTTACTCAAAAAAATAAGTTTTCCTCCTGTGGAAAGTTGCTTTTAGTCCCGTAAGTCACATATCATATAGAAGCCACTATAGATATACAAGCATCTATGGATATTCAGTTAACACTTGAACAACACAAGTTTGAAATGCACAGGTGCACTTATACGTGGATTTTCTTTCACCCCTGCCATCCTTGAGATAGCAAGACCAATTCCCCCTCTTCTTCCTCCTCAGCCTTCTCAATGTGAAGATGATGAGGATGAAGACCTTTATAATGATCCACTTCCACTTGTCAACAACAAGGGTCAAACTGCAAAATATTTGAAGAGATTGATTCTGAGCAAAACATGAGTGACCATGGCCTGTGACACACCCCTCAGGAGATCCTGAGAACATGTTCCCAAAGTGGTTAGGGCACAGCCTGGTTTTATATATTTTGGGGAGACATGAGACATCAATCAAATACATTTAAGATGCACATTGGTTCGTGACAACTGAAAGTGGGCAGGGGCGGGATTGGGCGGAAGGAGTGTTCCAGGTTATAGGTAAATTTAAAAATTTTCTGGTTGACAATTGGTTGAGTTTATCTAAAGATCTGGGCTCAATAGAAAGGGAATGTTTAGGTTAAGATAAAAGATTGTGTGGACCAAGTTTCTTAAGTCTCATAGTGGCTGCCCTTAGAGACAATAGATGACAAATGTTTCCTATTCAGACCTTTAAAATGTGCTGGACTATCAGTTAATCTCTTCATGATTGGGAGGGCCTGGAAGCAATAAGATCTAGCTATGTTTACAGAGATTCTTTACAGATGCAAATTCCCCCTGCCCCCGCAAAGGATGGCTTTGGCTTTGCAGGACCATTTCAAAATATGGCAAAGAAACATGTTTTGGGGTAAAATATTTTGATTTTCATCTTTATCTGTCATGTAATGTTATGACAGAGTCAGGTTGAAAAGTAAGTCATAATATATAGGGTTAAATAAAACCCATCTGATAAGAATTTCTGGTTTGTGGGGCATGACTCCCCAGTCCCCTTAGATAGGAATTTGGGAAAAATAAGAAAAAATCAGAGTTAGTCATCACACTTAATGAGTAGTAGTAAATATATTTTCTCTTCCTTATGTTTTTTTTTAATAACATTTTCCTTTCTCTAGCTTTCTTTATTGTGAGAATACAGTATAAAACACATATAACATACAAAATATGTTTTAACTCTTTGTGTTATCCATAGGGCTTCCAGTCAACAGTAAGCTATTAGTAGTTAAGTTTTTTGGGGGAGTCAAAAGTTATACACTAATTTTCAGCTGTGCAAGAAGTTGGTGACCCAACTCCCACAATTTCAAGGCTCAAATATACACATAGAAGCATCTATAGACGTACAATTAGATATTAGTAAAGAGAGTTTGTTAGAATGTTGTCACTCAATAATAATATGTTGTTATTAGTAGTAAGATGGGTAATAAGTTATTTGATATTAACGTTAGCAAAAGTTCTGAAGTTTAAAAATATGAGAAGTGATATAAAGGGGAGAAAGAAGGCTAAAAAGGCATTTAGAAGCCTCACTGAAATATATAATTGAGAGTATTCACCTGGAAGTGGTATACGGGCTGACGTTTATAGACAACCAAATTTTTTGCATTCATGTGGATATGTCACAACTATTTTTGCTATAATTTCATATTATGCATCTATGGAACAATGATGTCATCTTTCAATTTCAAGATGGATAATCTGGTATTTTAAGTTATTTTGTAATTTATATCCATATTGAGGATTTAAGGACGGTTTAGTTAAACTGTGTCAATATGTCACATAATACAAAAAGGAGTTAATTGTATAGACATGCATATGTAGGTTAAAGAGTTAATAAGCCATCAAACTTCTCTTGCTGCCTGGCATAAGCAAGATAGCAGGGTGAAGAAGGGCACACATTTGAAGTCAGGTTGAGTTCAAATCAGGTTGACTTGCAATCAGATCTAGCATTTGCACTTAGTGTGATCTTAGTCTGATTTCATAAGCACTCTAGGCTGCAGATTCTTCATCTATTAAATAGGGACATTAAAACTTACCTCAGAAGATTATTGTAAAGGTGAAATAAGTTAGCATATATGTAAATCGCTAGGCACTTAATGGTTGTTCATAAATGCAGATTTTTTTTTTCTTTTTGAGACAAGGTCTCTCTCTGTGGCCCAAGCTGGAGTGCAGAGTTATGACCTCAGCTCATTACAACCTTTGCTTCCCAGGCTCAAGCAATCCTCTCACCTCAGCCTCCCAAGTAGCTGGAACCACAGGTACTCACCACCACGCCCAGCTAATTTTTGCTTTTTTTTTTGTAGAGACAGGTTTTCTCCATGTTGCTCAGGCTGGTCTTAAACTTCTGGGCTCAAGCGATCCACTCACCTTGGCCTCCCAAAATGTTGGTATTACAAGCGTGAACACCGGGCCCGGCAATAAATTCAGATATTTTTAAGTTTCTGATAAAGCTTGGTAATCTTGGAGGGTGTAGGTTAAGAGTAGTATCATCCAATAAGGTATATGGTGATCACTAGTGGGATGAGCAACAAGTCATTTGTTAATGTTAGCAAAAGTTCTGAAGTACATAAATGTGGAGAATGGTATAATGGAAAGAAAGAAGGCCACGAGCCCTGCCACACACACTTCATGATCAGGATTCCATGTTCCATTAAAAAATAAAAGGTATTGTTATTAATTTACAGTGCATATTGTTGAAGTCATGTTGATCCAGTGTTAGCTTTTTTGCTATAATTATCGTTCCATAACCACAAACTAATTATTTTGTAATATGTCTAGATATCTTACAAGTGTGTATTTGGCTTTAAGGACAATCATGTGGGAGAACATGTTAGAAACCACGTAAACTGTCTTTAATGCTGGAAAAATCTCAGTGAACCTCTTCATTGTATGACTTAGACATTTTCTATGTTATTCTGTCATGCTGCTCGAAAATACTTTAGAGAAAAATGTTTAATGAGATCAGGCCTTTCCTTAAAATATAAGTCTTCTCTTAAATTTTTAGAACTGGAACAAAACAATAAAAGTGCCCCAGAATCATCATACCTATGGAACAATAAAACAGTGGAGTTTGTGGGGCAGTGGGGAAGAGAGAGAAAGGAGGTAATAGGCATAGAGGAATAGCTAACAGATAGAGGGTCCTGATGCTGTTTGACTCACTGTCTCCAATTATTCCTGTGGTTCAGACTTATTCCCCACATTCCTGAATCTCTTAAGAGTACCCCATATGCTTGCCCCCCGAAATCATTTTCTTGCATAGTCTAATTTGAATCAGATTTCTGTCTTGTGTAACGGACACTTGTGTAGCAGAAGCAAGAAACATGCTTCTTGCATGCCCTTCTGTATACACACCTTTCTCCTAAACAATCCATTTTGCTCTATTACTTTAAGTTGTCTAAGAGGAACCATATTTCAAGTCAACTGCTATCTAAATGGCTTCATATCATATTCCTTCTGCTCCCTCAAAAATTCTCTTTGCCTATACTACTATTTTAGGACAATACAGTTTGCCCATTCTCCTCAGCCAGAATCAGAAACTTTCTCAATAGCTCTTTTTCTTTTTTTCTTTTTTTTTTCTGGAGATAAATAATATTTATTACCATCTTTAAAATCAAAACTAATGCAAAAATATCCACGATGAATAAAATACCACATTTATAGATAAAGACAAGATTACTAGTGTGCTGTGTGGAGCCATCCTTTTCTTTTTGAGCTCCACTTTATCTCCTCTCTCTCCTTACCTATACTTATCTTTTTAAAGCTATTATCAGTATTTTCCCAGCTATTAAAATAGCTTTCTAACGGTTCTCCTCACCTAGTCTAAAAGCCCTTCAATTTGTCCTTAACTTAGCTAACAAAGTCATTTCTAAGCATGCAGATCTGATTATATCTCTTCATTGCTTAAAACCTTTATAATGGTCTCCATTTTCACATGTTTCTGAATGTGCTATATAAAACATTTTATGATCAGGTCCCTAAATCTCCAGCCTCATCTCCTACTACTTTCCCTAGCAATACTGAACTTTACCCTTCCACAATACTAAACTTCCTTTTGTTCTTTAAGTGCATTGTGGCACTTCACTCACCTCTGCTTTTTTTACATGTTATGCCTTTGACCTAGGCAGTTTTTTTTTACCACTTACCCCCAATCTATCTATTAAGCACTTTCATCTTTCAAACCCAGTCCAGATTTGCTTAATCCAGGAAGATGGGTATCAAATATTATTGCTCTATAATTCTGTTTTATTTTTTTCCTTGTTCTTTAGCATTAATACACTTTCTCCTTGGATTATCTCAGCCACTTCCCATATCTTCAATTATTGATGACTCCCAAAGTCAAGATATGACCCCACCTTCTGAATTTTACACACATATATTCAATTGCAACTTATATATAAAACAGACAGCTCAAGTTCAATATGGACAAAAATAAAATTTTATTCCCCCTTGAATTGCTTCTTATCCAAGATCTCTGCTTCAGAAAATTGCACAACTCCATTACTTAAGGAAAAAAATGAATGGAAATCTTCCTTGACCCTTCCTTCACCCTCAAGATGAGTGTTATCCAATATGCAGAACCCTGAAGATACTCCAGCCATCATGTTGGCATTGCTAAGGTTTACATCTTTCCCAATGCCATGGTCACCAATGCTGCTGCCAACACTGTTGCTGACATTTACATAGAAATTTCTGCCAATGCCATGCCCCAGTAGTACTGCTAACACCATCAGCACCAATGCTGCCAATGCCTCACACTCTTCATATCCCACACCAATTACAGAGCAATAGCTCTTCTTAACTGGAGCTTCTTAGTTTGCGTTTCAGTCCTCTTGTCCAAGGATTTGTGTGTGAGATAATGAGATCTGGGCTATGTAACAATCTCAGAAACACAAACCCTGCTCAGAATCATCCCTTCCTTCTGTGTACAATATGTGCCAACAATCCTTCAATAAAACCTACCCATCTTGACTTTCTTTTCCCCTAGGATAAATTTTTTATTTTTCTAGGAGGTTTTTTGATTCTCCGTGTAAGCACACCGCTGGAAGCTATTCCCCAGTTCTACAAATTATGCCTGAACATGCATGAATCTGACAGTAAACACAACTTAGGCTCATGCAATTACCATTGTCATATAGAACAAGTATTTGTTAGTTAGTGAATTGTTGTTGAAAACATAAGTGAATATTCACTTTATACTTATGTTAAGTTTTGCAGGGTTTTTTGTTAGACCTTTATTCTTGTTTGATTTCCTTTTTCTAAAATACTAATCATGCTCCTAATGAATTAAGTTTTCTTTTTTTCTGAGCTCTGAAGGATTATTCCTAAAGAGCTAGGACCATGTATATCACAATTATCATTCAACTATACACAAATTGAAAATATAGGTAAATATTATCCTGTTCATTGTTAGAAATATAGTTTCTTTTTTCATGCTGTAGCTAACCTGTTAAAAGGTATAAAAGGTAAAAGACAAGATATCCAATCCTCCTGAGGGCAAGCTCTTTGTATGCTCAGTGCTTAGCACATTATCTGGCATATTTTATTTTAGGTCCTCAATATGTATTTGTGAAGGGAAGAGCATCTTAGTCCATTTTCTGCTGCTGTAACAAAATACCACATGCTGGGTAATTTACAAAGAAAACCCATTTATGTAGCTCACAGTTCTGGAGGTGGGGAAGTTTAAGAGCATGGCACCAGCATCTGAAAAGGGTCATTTCATGGTGGAAGGGCCAAAGACAGAAGCAAGAGCACACAAGACAAAGAAAATGGGGGCTGAATTCCCACAATAACTAACCCACTCCCCAAGTAATTACACTAATCTATTCATGAGGGTAGAACCCTCATGGCCCAGTCACCTCTCAAAGGCCCCACCTCCCAACACTGCCACACTGGCAATTAGGTTTCAACATGAGTTTTGTGGAGGGACATTCAAACCATAGCAGAGTGTTATGTTCCTGAAGCTTGACTTCTGACAACCTAGAATCACTTGGACAAGGAAGCAATGTGCTATGGTCTGAATGTTCCCCCAAATTCATGTGTTAAAACTTAATGGCCAATGTGATAGCATTAAGATGTAGGGCCTTTATGAGGTGAGTAGTGGGATTGAGTGTTTTCACCGCTTTTTCCTTCTGTCCCTTCTGCCACGTGAGGACACAGCATTCAGGGCATTATATTGAAGGCCGAGTCCAGGCCATCACCAGATACTGAACCTTCCATTGCCTTGATCTTGACTTTCTTAGCCTCCAGAACTATAAGAAATAAATTTCTATTATTTATTAATTACGTAGTCTGGGGTCTTTTTTTTTATAACAGCACAAACAGACTAAGACACCAGGTCTCCATCTTTCTAATGGGGTTGGAGCATGTGATGGTTTTCACTTTATTGTGTTTCTTCGATGGGCTTGAGAGAAAATAAGTTGAGAGTCATATGATATGATAATGATTACCTACAAAAGAATCTTAAAACCAGGTAAGATCTAGTTAATGTGAGAAAATGCATCATTTGAGTCAGAAATGCCACAAACATTAAAAAAATTCCCTTCCTCTCTCTTTTTTTTTCTTTTTAAAAAAAGACATGTAGTTCCAACAATAGATCATCCAGATGTCACAATGAATCACAGATAAAGTAAATTCACTGGGCATGAACAGATATAACACTATTTAATTAATGCCATTTATTTGAGGTAATGTGGTCCTATCTACACAACGATTACCTGGAGTGCTTGTTAAACATGCAGATCCCCTTGGGCTCTGGGGCCCAGGAATCTGGGTTTTACCAATACTCCGGGTAATCTGATGCACACATAGTTTAAAAGCTACTGATTGAAGGAATTTATAAGAACAACATAGACCGTATGCTGGTGAAACTGGCACATATCTAATTAATTTATATTGAAAAAAGTATCATATATTTAAATTAACATTAAATAAAATTAAAAGCATAAGTGAGAGTTAGGAAGAATTTTGCTTGATGATAGTGTTGCCTTAGTACCTGCTTCTGCTCAATGTCAAGATTTTACTTTATGTACTAGCTAAAACTTTTTATGACTTTAATCGCTTTCTAGGGATAATACCAGTCAAAACGTTAAAGTCAACTCTTGGTCAAAATTGTGTGATGCAACCCAGATGAGATAAGATTGATATTTATGTTTTAGGTACATAATAGATGCAAGAAGGTTGAAAGGCTAGTTTTTAAATAACTACCACCTTCTGTTATTTAGAAAACTTGTTGATATAAAATGTAAAATTGTGGTTTTCCTTTTCTATGAAAGAAAACCAAGTATTTATATGATTGTAACCAATCTTCATTCTACACTGTATTTCTTTTCAGTCAGATACCCTTTGCCCTAGCTTCTCTTTTTGTACTCTGAGAAACTTCAACATTTTAAAAATCTCTTTCCCTGTTGGAATAGAGAACACATACCTGAATCACACTTAGAAAGTCTATGAATTGCATGCCCAAAAATGGAACTAGCCCAGCTAAGCAACTCTTTCCATTCCTTGTTGGATATTAGTGTAGGTTCTAATGAGCTGAGTCTCCTGGGGAGCATTTTAATGGTTTTTTCACCTCCCCTGATGACCATATTTATGCTGAGTTTTGATACAGTATACAGGACTTGTGCAGTAATTAGCATTCAAATGGACCAGTGATTTCCCTTTTAGTAAGTGGGTTGTACATTTTCAAGCTTGGAAATGGAATCTGATGAGTTAGAGCTTGTAATAATCAAGATATATTAACCATTCAAATCCTAAATTAAACATCCAAGAGAGAAAGTGCAAAAAGGAAGCATCATCCATGTCATGGACTGCTTAAAAAACCAAAAGGGAATAAAATAACGAAGAGGGAAAACTATCAGGGCTAATGTTTATTAGCAAAAGTGAGTAGTTATATATGTATATATAAAAATACAATTCCAAAGTGATATTAAATGATGAAATATGTCACTTTTAAGGTTTAAAATATTCATATCCTTAACCACTGGTTGAAATATTTTCAATATAGTCATTGATAAAATTTAGGCAAGAAAGTAATGAAATAAAAATTCAGTATACCTGGCTAATAGATATTTTAGGGCATTTGAGGGAATTACCTACAACATTAATAAAGAGCTGGCACATATTCCATATAAACCTTGAGTATCAAAATAATTTTGCAGTTTTCTCAAAGCCCATTATAGTATCTGAAAACATTTAACTTTTAATATGATAATATTTTTAGACATAGATCCCCTGTCAAATCTAGTGAAATTCTTGTGCTTTTTCCTTAGAAAAATGTACATCTATTCATACAGCAACTT
Organism: Homo sapiens; assembly: GCF_000001405.40. Lineage (NCBI taxonomy): Eukaryota > Metazoa > Chordata > Mammalia > Primates > Hominidae > Homo > Homo sapiens. The sequence continues at coordinate 78,383,808 of NC_000003.12, forward strand.
ATTAACACTCTCTTTGTGTCATTATATTAAAGAGGTGGAGCAAATAAAAGTAAAACGACTTTACACTTCAAGTCTTCAGTAAATAATAGTCATATAATTTATATACATATTATTGATTTAATTTTGATTTTCTTTTATTCCTAAAACTATACCTATAATGAATGGTTAAAAAAATAAAACAATAGCAACAAAGATATTGAATAAAAACATATATAAAGATAATTTTACTAAATAAATCTCTCTCAAACACAAAATAATTAAAGGATTATTGTTTGGTAAACAGTCACCTATCAGGTTTGCAAAACATCGAAATAGTCACTATTATTCACATCTACAGATGAAAGGGAAAGCAGAAGAAATCAAACTACTGTAAACTACCCATATTTTATTTAAAAAATACTTTTGCTACATTTATGCCCTCCACAAAAAGCATGAATATATTTTTAGCACAATTAACCAAATACCCTTGAGCCTACTTTCCTGTTCATGGCTTTAGGTTGGTTAACATGAAATTTAATTTGTGCTAATCTTCTCAAGGTCAGTAAAGTGTGAAATACACTGTACACTGGATTTACCCAACTTACAGTAGCAATGCAATTATAAAATTCTAGAAAATAATGTCTTAGAATTTTCTAATAAAAAAAAGAAGCATTGAGGACCTATTACCAGGGTTGAAACTATGCTAAAATTATAAAGGAGAGGGAGTGTTCCAGGTAGGCCAAAAGAGACTGCAAATGAGCTTTTCAAATGAATTTAGGAATTATGGAAGGACTCTACTTAAAGCTATGGTTACAAATTATTTATTTATAAGCTGAAACTTAAGAGGGATGGAGAAGTCACCTGAATGTTACTCTTAACAAAATGTACCTTCTAATCTAAGAAACTATATCCTCTAATAACATCTAATAATGCAATTGTCTGGGATCAATTCGTCTAATAGTGAAAATTTGAAATTTCTCTTGTATAGGAACTAACTGTCCTGGCTCTATATAAGCTAGAAAAATACGCATCTTATATTTAGGGGACTCTGTGAAATCATTTAGGTGGCCAATCCAGTTACATACCTAATTCATCTAAAAAGCATTAGTCAGTGGCACATATAAATAACTTTTAAATGTACAGTAGGTGGTAAAGAAAATGGATGTGGTGTACAATTTGTATTCTAAATGCACAAAGCTATTACATTAGAAGAAAATCCTACAAAACACTTAATGGATTAAACTTGAAAAGGAGTAATGATGTGAAAAAATATACAGGAGAAGAAGCAAATTGCATGCAATAAGGCAGAAAATAAAATTCAGTGATATTTAGATTTGTACACAGTTATCTCAAAGAAGTTCCCATTTTCTGGGAACTCATAACAGAGCTATAAAAATGCAATAAGGGTTGAATAACTTGATCCTACAAAATTAAAATACATGTGTGTGCATATGCATGTATATCTACACCATTTAGATGAATAGTATTGAAAGCCATATTTTAACCATATACCAGCATTTAAAGGAAACACAGAGCAAATAAAGTAGAAATTTATTCAAAATAATTCACAGCAACTCCATTACAGTATTCCATGATGAGCTCAGTATGGTCAGATAAAATATATTAAATTCATTGAAATCTAATATATCTGTTATTGTTTCTATCTGAAGATAATTATATAATACCACTTTTAACATTATTAACACTTTTAGTTATCCATTAAGAAAACTAGTTAATCTGGAAATAAAAAGATAAATGGAAAAATATTTAGAGTCATATTTAAAATGGCTTTACTTATAAGGGAATAATAGGAAAAAAGAGGAATGTGTTTTAAAAATAAACTTTATTTCCCGATTTCAAAAAAACTTCAGATTTTAGATTTATTTTGTGATAGATGCAAAAAATTCTTTTAACCTGCTTAGCCTAAACTGTCCAGAGAAGACGTTGAAAAATACACCACTAGAACTTTAAACTAGACTAGAAAGCACAACCACTAATATACCTGGAAGAACTTTCTATATTAATCAGCTTATTGAGATGATGGGAATAATTATCTTTATTGTTCAGAATTAGAAAAATAATGTAGCATCTCAAATAATGTACTATCTCGAGATATTCAACACTTAGCTATGGCTATACTTTTCTTATCATCATAATTATTCATATGTGTTACAAAACGGTTGAAACCTTAATTATATGTAACTTCACAATAATCATGTAATTCTGTAGCTTAATGAGTGATTTGAATATTCAAATAATAACAACATAGGATTTTAGTGATGACTGCAAGACAACATAATATACGTGCATTACATGTTCTTAGGCATGTCTCCAAGTTAGAAAGAAAATGGCTGTAACTTTTCTATACGCATTTACATTATTTTCATCCTTCAAAGATCAGTGTTGGGTTTCACCTCCTCTATGAGACATTGTCAATATTTTCAGCCAACACTGGTTATTTTCATTTCTGATAATCTAGATGGCCTGCTTAAATAATACTGGCAAACCAGAAGCTTTAAAAAAACAGACAAAATTGATGGCATAAATATTTTTTGAAAAACATCATAAAGTCAATAGACAAAAAAAATTAGAGGGAAGATTTATAATTCAATGACATAAGATTAATACATATAAAATATAAGGAGCTTGGCAGTACACTGAAGACCAAATGCAAATATCAACAAATAAGAAAAGACTCTCAAGCTCATTAAAATTTAAGAAAACATAAATACATATATACACACACACTTACATATACATATTATATATGTGTATATATACGCACACTATATGGATATATATAGTGTTTAATGCAGTGTTATTGATAAGTACAAAAGCAAAAAAAGAAAAAGGTGAATGATCGTCAATAGAAAAATGGAGGAGAAAATTTTTGTACATCAATTATATTAGTTTGTTTTCACGCTGCTGATAGACATACACAAGACTAAGCAATTTACAAAAGAATGAGGTTAAATGGAGAACTCACAGTTCCATGTGCGTGGGGAAGCTTCACAATCATGGCGGAAAGCAAGGAGAAGCAAGTCACATCTTATGTAGATGGCAGCAGGCCAAAGGAAAACTTGTGCAGGGAAACTCCACCTTATAAAGCAGATCTGGTGAGATTTATTCACTAGCACAAGAACAGCACAGAAAAAACCTGCCCCCATGATTCAATTACCTCCCACCGGTCACTCTCATAACACATGGGAAGTCAAGATGAGATCTGGGTGGAGACACAGCTGAATCATATAATTCCACCCCTGGCCCCGACAAATCCCACGTCCTCATATTTCAAAATCAATCATGCCTTCCACAGTCCCCCAAAGTCTTTTCTCATTTCAGCATTAACTCGAAAGTCCACAATCCAAAGTCTCATCTGAGACAAGGCAAGTCCCTTCTACCTATGAGCCTGTAAAATCAAAAGCAAGCTAGTTATTTCCTAGATGCAATGGGAGTACAGACATTGGATAAATACAACCATTCCAAATGGGAGGAATTGGCCAAAACAAAGGGACTACAGGCCCCATGCAAGTCTGAAATCCAGCGGAGCAGTCAAATCTTAAAACTCCAAAGTGATCTGCTTTGACTCCTTGTCTCACATCCAGGTCACAGTGATGCAAGTGATGTGTTCCCATGGTATTGGGCAGCTCCACCCTTCTGGGTTTGCAGGGTACAGCCTACCTCTCAGCTGCTTTCATGGGCTGGTGTTGAGTGTCTGCAGCTTTTCCAGGTGCATGGTGCAAGCTGCCAGTGGATCTACAATTCTTGGGTCTGGAGGACAGTGGCCTCTTCTCACAGCTCCACTGGGCACTGCGCCAGTAGGGACTCTGTGTGGGGGCTCCGACCCCACATTTCCCTTCTGCACTGCCCTAGCAGAGGTTCTCCATGAGAGCTCTGTCCCTGCAGCAAACTTCTGCCTGGACATTTAGGTGTTTCCATACATCTTCTGAAATCTAGGCAGATATTCTCAAACCTCAATTCTTGACTTCTGTGCACCCGCAAGCTCAACACCACATGGAGACTGCCAAGGTTTGGGGCTTGCACCATCTGAAGCCACGGCCTGAGCTCAATGTTGGCCGTTTTTGGCCATGGCTGGAGTGGCTAAGATGCAGAACACCGAGTCCCTAGGCTGTACACAGCATGGGACCCTGGGCCTGGCCCACAAAACCAGTTTTTCCTCATAGGCCTCCACGCTTGTGATGGGAGGGGCTTCCATGAAGACCTTTGACATGCCCTGGAGATTTTTCCCCATTGTTCTAAGAATTAATATTTGGCTTCTCATTACTTATGCAAATTTCTGCATCTGGCTTGAATTTTTCCTCAGAAAATGGGTTTTTCTTTTCTATCACTTTGTCAGGCTGCAAGTTTGTCAAACTTTTATGCTCTATTTCTCTTTTAAAATTGAATGCTTTTAGCAGCATCCAAGTCACCTCTTGAATGCTTTGCTGCTTAAAAATGTGTTCTGCCAGATACCCTAAATCATCTCTCTCACATTTAAATTTCCACAAATCTCTAGGGCAGGGGCAAAATGCTGCCAGTCTCTTTGTCAAAACATACCAAGTGTCAATTTTGCTCTAGTTCCCAACAAGTTCCTCATCTCCATCTGATACCACCTCAGCCTGGACCTTATTGTCCATATCACTATCAGCATTTTGGGCAAAGCCATTCAACAAGTCTCCAGGAAGTTCCAAACTTTCCCACATTTTCCTGTCTTCTTCTGAGCCCTCTAAACTCTTCCAACATCGCTTCCACATTTTCAGGTATCTTTTCACCAAAGCCCCACTCTACTGGTACCAATTTACTGTGTTAGTCCATTTTCACCCTGCTGATAAAGACATATCCAAGACTGGAAAATTTACAAAAGAATGAGGTTTAATGGAGAATTCACAGTTCTACATGGCTGGGAAAGCCTCACAATCATGGCAGAAGGCAAGGAGGAGCAAGTTACATCTTATGTAGATGGTGGCAAGCAAAAAGAGTGCTTATGCAGGGAAACTTCACCTTATAAATCCACCAGATCTCATGAGACTTATTCACTATCACCAGAACAGCACAGGAAAGATCTGCCCCCATGATTGAATTACCTCCCACTGGATTCCTCCCACAACATATAGGAATTCAAGATGAGATTTGGGTGGTGATACAGCCAAACCATGTCATCAATGTTTTGGAATTTTATACAGAAAGAAAAAAAGTCAAGTGTCTCCTCACTCCCATAGTGCAATTAAATCATTCCATGTTCTTTAGGTTTCCTCACTTTCTAAAGGTAACAATTGTTAACCTGACCAAGAAAGCCGTGCTACTTTATATGGTTTAGCTGTGTCCCCACCCAAATCTCATCTTGAATTGTAGTTTCTATAATCCCTGCATGCTGTGGGAGGGACACAGTGGGAGGTAATTGAATCACGGGAATGATTACCCTCATGCTGTTCTCGTGATAATGAGTGAGTTCTCACGAGATCTGATGGTTTTATAAGGAGGTTTTCCCCTTTTGCTTGGCACTTCCCATTTCTGCCTTCATGTGAACAACGACATGTTTGCTTCCCCTTCTGCCATGATTGTAAGTTTCCTGAGGCCTCCCTAGCCATGCTGAACTGTGAGTCAATTAAACCTCTTTTCTTTATAAATTACCCAGTCTCGGGTATCTCTTTATTAGCAGCATGAGAATGAACTAATACAGTAAATTGGTACTGGGTAGTGGGGTGCTGCTGTAAAGATACCTGAAAATGTGGAAGCAACATTGGAAGTGGGTAACAGGCAAAGGCTGGAACAGGTTGGAGGGCTCGGAAGAAGAGAGGAAAAGGTGGGAAATTTCAGAACTTCCTAGAGACTTGGAAGGCTCAGAAGACAGGAAGATGTGGGAAACTTTAGAACTTCCTAGAGGCTTGTTGAATGGCTTTGACCAAAATGCTGATAGTGATATGGACAATAAAGTCCAGGCTGAGATGGCTCTCAGATGGAGGTGAGGAACTTATTGGGAACTGGAATAAAGGTCACTCTTGCTATGCAAAGAGACTGGCAGCATTTTGCTTTTGCCCTAGAAATTTGTGAAACTTTGAACTTGAGAGAGACGATTTAGGACATCCAGTGGAAGAAATTTCTAAGAAGCAAAGTGTTCAAGAGGAAGCAGAGCATAAAAGTTTTGAAAATTTGCAGCCTGAAGATGTTATAGAAAAGAAACTCATCACCTTTTCTGGGGAGAAATTCAACCTGGCTGCAGAAATTTGCATACGTAATGAGGAGCCAAAAGTTAATCAACAAGACAATAGGGAAAATGTCTCCAGGGCATGTCAGAGACTTTCACAGCAAGCCCTTCATCACAGGCCTAGAGACCTAGGAGGGAAAATGGCTTTGTGGGCCAGGCCTAGGGCTCCCCTACTCTATGCAGCCTCGGGACATGGTGCCCTGCATCCTAGCTGCCTCAACTTCAGCCATGGATAAAAAGGGATAATGTACAGCTCAGGCTGTTACTTCAGAGGCTGCAAGCCCCAAGCCTTGGCAGCTTTCACGTGGTGTTGGGCCTGTGGGTGTACAGAAATCAATAACTGAGGTTTAGGAACCTCTGCCTACATTTCAGAGGATGTATGGAAATGCCTGCATGTCCAGGCAGAAGTTCACTGCAGGGGTGCAGCCCTCATGGAGAACTTCAGCTAGGGCAATGCAGAAGGGAAATGTGGGGTCAGCAACCCCATACAGAGTCTTCTCTGGTGGACTGCCTAGTGAGGCTGTGAGGAGAGGGCCACCATCCTCCAGACCCCAGAATGGAAACTGACAGCTTGCACTGTGCACCTGGGAAAGCTGCAGACACTCAACACTAGGCCATGAAGGCAGCTGGGAGGGGGGCTGTACCGTGCAAAGCCACAGGAGCAGTGCTGCTCAAGGCTGTGGGAGTTCACATCTTGCATCACCATCACCTGGATGTGAAACGTGGAGTAAATGGAGATATTTTCAGATCTTTAAGATTTGACTGCTCTGCTAGATTTCAGGCTTGCATGGGGCCTGTAGCCACTTTATTTTGGCAAATTTCTCCCATTTGGAATGGGTGTATTTATCCAATCCCCATACCCCCATTCTATCTAGGAAGTAACTAACTTGCTTTTAATTTTATAGGCTCATAAGCAGAAGGGACTTGACTTGTCTCAGATGAGACTTTGGACTTGGACTTTGGGGTTAATGATAGAATTAGCTAAGACTTTGGTGAACTGTTGGAAAGGCATGATTGTGTTTTGAAATGTGAGGATATGAGATTTGAGAAGGACCGGGGCAGCATGATATGCTTTGGCTGTGTCCCCATCCTAATCTCATCTTGAATTGTAGTTCCCATAATCTCCATGTGTCATGGGAGGGACCCAGTAGCAGGTAACTGAATTATAGGGCAGTTACTTCCATGCTGTTTTTGTGATAGTGAGTGAGTTCTCATGAGATCTGATGGCTTTATAAGGCATTTTTCCCCTTTTGCCTGGCACATCTCCTTCCTGCCATAATGTGAAGAAGGGCATGTTTGCTTCTCCTTCCACCATGATTGTATGTTTCCTGAGGCCCCTCCTAACCACAGTGAACTGTCAGACAATAAAAGTTTTTTTCTTTATAAATTACCTAGTCTCAGTAATGTCTTTATTAGCAGTGTGAGAATGAACTAATACACTACTTAATGAAGATCAAAAGTTACTAAATATTCTTTTGGAGCAAAACAGAGTGTAGTTTTGTTGTTGTTGTTGTTGTTGTTTTTAACCAATACTAAATATAAACAATATAGATCAGCCACCTGATCCTTCTGTCCTCTTCTCTCTGGTAACATGCATGCCTATGTCAAAATATTTTAATTCTTTCTATAATCTGGGTTGAGCATGTTTGAACCCAGCATCAGTAGGAAAGGACAGTCTTCTTCCTCTCAAATCCTACCCATGTCAAGGAGCTCAAGAGAATTTAAGTTGATGAATATATCATGAACAATACAGCTGAAACAGACATCACACTCCCAAGTCACAACCAGAGTTCTTCTTCTTCAAAGAAGTTAGTGTATATAAGTAAAGTCTTTCATATGAAAGAAGTCCAATAAATTTGTTTGTAATTTTTTTTTAAAAAAGCATGCTTTGCTGGGTGCAGTGGCTCACGCTTGTAATCCCAGCACTTTGGGAGGTTGAGGCAGGTGGATCACCTGAGGTCAGGAGTTCGAGACCAGCCTGGCCAACATGGTGAAACCCTGTCTCTACTAAAAATACAAAACTTATCTGGACGTGGTGGTGGGCGCCTGTAATTCCAGCTACTCGGGAGGCTGAGGCAGGAGAATTACCTGAACCCGGGAGGAGGAGGTTGCAGTGAGCCAAGATTGTGCCACTGCACTCCAGCCTGGGCTACAGAGACTCTGTCTCAAAAAAAAAAAAAAGAAAAAAGCATGCTTCTTCATGTTTCAAGATTCTATGCTAAAATATAATAAGAAAAAGAAGTAAGTTGGAGAAGTGTGTGTGTGTGTGTGTGTGTGTGTGTGTGTGTGTGTCTTTCTTAAACTTAAAGCAAATGCTGAATATGTAATTTGTCCTTTCAGCTTATGTGGGTCAAGTCAATATCATCTCCCAAATTCAGTATTTCAAATTGAGATGTCATAAATTAGTTTCACTACTTCTTATTGTATAACGAGTGGCATTAACCCAGGTGGGCATGGTTGTGTGAATATATGAGCACTTTTTTATGAGGGAAAGTCTCTCTTATGTTTGTGAAGAAGATGAATGCATTAGCTGCAATTATGAACTTGAGTTAAATCTTTCTTCATTATTCATTCTCAAGAGAATTTGAGATCATATTTTGTTTCCTTCCTGAATTCTCTTGGTATATATAATGGGGGCTTGATTAATTCATTTTGATTTTTTACATTTTCTTCTCAGTTCAATGGCAAAAAATAAGCATTTTTAAAACTCAACTTTCAGAATTTTGGTCATTAATATTATTTTTAGTTTAAGTTTAAAAATATTGCAAGTATGGATTTTCTTTTGAAGCATGGCTTTGAGTGAAAGGAGGGTCATCAAACCCATTTATAGCATTACTTTATGCTCTCTCTTCTGTTTCAAGACTTCCAAAGAATTAATTAAAAGTTGATAGGATTGACCCTAAAACCAATTATCCTTTGGTCTGAAATGCTGAGCACACATTACTGAGTTTTCAAATAAATTGAAAAAAATTTTAGTCAGGCATCAGCATTATCTTAATTTATAAACATTAACACAAGAAAATATTGGATTTGTTTTAAATAATTACTCCACACTGCATTACCAGTATTATCTCTTTCTGCTGTTTAGATGTGTACCAGAATACATTCCCAATCTATAACAATGAACAACCATGCAAAATTTCTCTGATATTGAATAGAGTGTTCTAGTCGAGGTGTTTCTGGAATTTAGTGACAGAGCATTTCACCAGATTTATATTGTATTTCAGTTTCTCAGTTGATGAAGCCCTCTAACCTGTTTGTCTTTTCGATCCTGCAATATGGAGGACTGATGGCTTCAGGGACTTTGCCCTCTAACCTGTTTGTCTTTTCGATCCTGCAATATGGAGGACTGATGGCTTCAGGGACTTTTGCCCTCTAACCTTTAAATCTGTTTTCTTGTCATTGTAACATGATTGTCCCATTTTCCATAAACACATTTAATTTTTCTTCCTCCACATATATGCACACAGACACACACACACACACACACACACACACACAATATGAGATTTATAAAAATTACAGGCAGAGACTGAGTTTACTTGCACTGTAAGTTTTTATTATCCTAAAAAATGTTAAATGAAAGAAAAAAAAGAGAGACACAAAACTTCTTGAAAGCAATAGCTAATATTTAGGTATCCTTATCATGTTAGGACACTGTTAAAAGTCTAAATGTAATCCTTTAATGTAAAGAGGAGGGGCTAAGACTCAGAGATGTTGAATAAGTTGCCAGGGTCTCCTGGGAGAATAAGTTTTCAGACCAGGATCTAAATTGAGGAAGTTTGATTCCATCTTTCATTATGGTACCATGTGTTAGTTGTTTAACAAGGACACTCTCTGCTCAATACAGAGCTGAAGAAAAAGCATGATGTGACACCCTGTCTTTAAGACCTCCAGTAAGTCACCATTCTTAGTTTCTACAATAACTTGCAAATAGTTTGGCTAAATAAAATTTGCTGAATCAATGAATAGTTGAAGAAAGAAACAAGATCTGCACAAGCAATTCCCATTTTAGGAACAGAGTCAATTCTTACTGTTCAGTAACAACACTGTTATTTGAACTTCATATTAATTTACATTTAGAGGCTTTATCTGGGGGTGAGGGGGTTGGAGTATGGTTTCAGTGACATTGGGAGATAGTTCTCAATGTGTCATTTAAACATTGACTTCAACGACATTGAGAGAGAGTTCTCTACTTAATAACTGATATTTTAGCATGTTCTGTATTCACTCTGTGACCTTATATTACATACTCCCTGCATACTCTCACATAATCTTGGTGATATGCTTATTTTCATTTGACAATCAAAGGATAGGCAGTGGGCAGCCAAAGAAGCAGGAATGTAACATGATGAAATCTCAGTAAAGTCCCCTCTTTCTCCAATCTTTTTTCTTTTCTTTTTTTTTTTTTGAGACAGAATCTTGCTCTGTCATGCCCAGGCTGGAGTGCAGTGGCGCGATCTCGGCCCACTGCAACCTCAGCCTCCCAGGTTCAAGCAAATCTCCTGCCTCAGCCTCCCAAGTAGGTGGGACTACAGGCGCACACAGCCACACCCGGCTAATTTTTTGTATTTTAGTAGGGACAGGGTTTCACCTTGTTGCCCAGGCTGGTTGTGAACTACTATCTCCAGCAATCCGCCCTCCTCAGCCTTCCAAAATGCTGGGATTACAAGCATGAGCCACCATGCCAGTCCTCTCCAATCTTTATGTAGTAATATATATTAGCATTATACAATTGTTTGAACATGATTTATCCAGTTAATTCTAGTTTCTCCTTTTATTTTGTGTAGTTGATGGGAAAGATCTTAGAAGAATTTCTTATTATCTCCATAAACCTTTGTAAGAAATCAAGAATAAAATTGCCTCAACCTATTACTAAACTTCCACAGTTCTTTGTCTGTGCAATACAACTATAATTCTAATAAATCTCCAAAATTTTGCCAACAGAATGGTTGATTTCCACACATACATTGTTGTCTCCCAAAGAATAGGAAAAAAGTGAAGGAAATATTGCCTAGCTTTCTGTATTGCTGCATCCTAAAATTTCTCCATATATATCTCCATTTTTATACATAGCAGGTTCTTCTGAATTATTTAGTTGTTTCCAGTATGTTTAGCACTTTCCTCTTTGAGCCACCTGAGAATTGCATCAATGTGCTATTTCTGCTCACTAATGAAAATGTCAAAGATCAGGTTTAAAAATGTTAAATAAAACTGAGCCAATCAGTCCCCTACCGCTGTTCATTTTGAAGCTGACTTTATTCAAAGACTGCTTTACTCCCTGTTGTTGCTTCTTAGCTAAGCCTGTAATTGTCAGTAAACATTATCAAACAGGTTTGGCATTGCCACTGTGAAATAGATGCTCTTGACTATGATTACAAGTAACCATTCAAAGGCAGGATTAAGCAAATATCACTAATTTAGACTACTAACCAGAGGAGTTCTAAAAATTACCCAACACTCAAACATCCAAACCACCCTCTCAAACTTACTAACATGTTCTCAAAGATTCATTTTATGAAGAATATTTCTGTGGAAAGTATCAGGAAAATAGTGAATAATTTACAAATATATTTGTAACTGTAAAGAATAAGATATAGTTCTTTTAAAAACTTTATAAAATTCAGGAAATCACACTGGTAGTGATAACCACTATTAACGTATCATATTTCCTTCCAAATATATTCATAAATTTGGGACATAAAATTGTATGTTTATATCCTGATTCTTTTTTACTTAACATATATTCCATGAGCTTTTTTATATCCTTAAGAATGTGTAATATATAATATGTTTATAATGCAGGATATCCACAAAGTTGAGAAACATAGAATAAACTTACCTTAAAACAATATGTAAGTTACAGTTTCAAATAATGCTCAACATGTTTTCAGGTGAAGTACCTTTAAATTTACCACAATGGAACCAATTGTTAATCTGAAAGCAGTATAATAAATATAACACAGAATGTCAAAAGTGTCTAGATAGAAAAAAAAAGGGTGTATTTATTGCACTCTCTTCAGATTAACACTTGTACACACCACTTTAAATTTAGAGATGCTTCATCAGAAAAGTGTCTGAAGACTAAAGAAAAATAATTTGGGTGTATTACTTAAAAACACAGCCAATATATAATTTAGAAATAAGTTTATCTTACATTTCTCACAAATAGTTTATCTAGTTAAAATGACATAGTCACAGTTAATATTTTTGGTATCTCTCCTTTTTACTGGTAAAATGCATCACTTGTCATTTTACTTTTACAACAACTAAGATTGACAAACTTTCATCTCATCAATACAAACTCTCAACCCTTTTCTCTGTAATCCCTTTCTCAAATCAGATCTATGAAAACATAAAGTCACATTTAAACCACATTCTCAGAACTCTCATGACTATCATGTTGAACTTTTTCATTATCATTTTTAACCTCTTGTCAATACGAAGACAAGATTACCACATATAATGATTTATGTTTATGTTTGACCATCTGATAGTGAGATTTTACCATCAGACCATCAAATATAAATACTTCACCAAGAGAGGATACCAAAGAATTGTTTACTTTGAACTTTAAGTCCCTTATTAGATCATATAAGGCATCTGCTTTCATTATTATAATAACAGTCTCATTTTTACTTTTTTGCAAAGGTGCTCTTCTATTAACCTGGTTAAATGTGGAATAGGGGCCCACAATGGGGTTATATACTTCACCCTAGGAATGAGGAGTGATGGGACAAATCCACATTTCATCAAATTTTATTCAAAAGATGATGCCTGCTATGCAGGAGGCACCTGCCAGGCAATAAGGATATGAAGTTTATCAAGCCACAGTCTCTGTCCTTAAGAAATCCATAGTCTGATGTGTGATATAGACAAGGAGGTCACTAATTATAGAATATCATGTTAACAAATGAACAAGTCACAAGAGTGGATGATTCCTAATTCAGACTGTGAGATCAGAAATGGATTCCTGGAGATGATATTTGAAAGCAAATAGGAAATAGATAACTCTTGGGCAGGGGGCAGCAGGAGCAGTAGCTATATTGCATGGGCAGTGATGACATAGAACATTCCAGAAAAAGAGTAGAGGTGAATGTAAGGGAACCATTATTATAAGTTTATGAGGTACTAGGGGAGGAGAAGAAAGTAAAGCAGGTAGACAGGCACTAGAAAAAGAAAGGACTTAACACTCTAAGCTAAGATGTTTACCTTTACCCTGAAAGTTTTGAGCAGGAATTTAGCAGTTTTAAAAAAGAGAATTGTATGATTAAATTGACATTTTATCTGCAATATGAAAAATGAATTAAGCACAGGGACTATCATGGATGTGGTAGACCATTAAGAAGAGTACATTATCCTCAAATCAGTCCTAAGACTGTGGGGGTGGCAATCGAGGACAAGATTGGTTAAGGGAGGGGATTAAGATGCTGAATCTACAGTGCTGGAGGATTGAGTGGTTTGGTGGGGACAGTGAAAGAAAGTGGGTATCTCGATTGATTGCCATGTATCTAGTTAGGCCCTCTGGGAAGTTAAGTAGAGAATACAGGACTATGTTGGAGGGGAAATATGAGTCCAGATTTGGAAATACTGAGTTTGAAGTGCTTGTAAAACTTAGATGTTCCTTAGGCAAACCTATGCATTTGAGACACAGATCTGAGATCCATAAGAATATAAACAGTAGTTAAAGACATGAGCAAGAAGAGAACACTTAGAAGGAAAAACGAAAACAAGATCAACATTAAGGGAACATTAACTAATAAAGTATGGGTGGAGAAAAAGATCTTGTGAAAGAAGTTTTAGAGGAAGTAGCAAGAAAAAATAGAAGGCAAGGAAGCAAATTAGAAAAGTAAGATTTGCAATCAAAACCAATTTTCTTTAGATTTAATATTAAAGAGGGCTTTGGTGATTCAAATAGAATTGTGAAAAATGAGAAAAATGAAGATCCAGAAAAGACAGGTGCTATTCGATGGAGAAAGGGACTAAAAGTAGGCAGGAGGGGATTGGACCCAAAGCCCAGGTGGAGGGCTTGCTTTAGGTTTGGGGACACTGCTTCCACTGATAGGTGTGAAAGGAGAAAAAGATTTTCTTTTCTATTTGTGGCTAATTTAAAATTGCCCTAGGTAATAACCTGGAAATTATAAAGTTAGCCCCATCTAGAGAGAGTGAAGAGCTGCATAGAAGAAATGTGGGGGCTGATTAGTTATTGACACTTACACTACACTTATACTAGATTTGTTTACAGGCATCCATCCTTTTATTGTGCATTGCTTTATTGTTTTTCACAAATTGAATATTTGTGGCAAGTCTGCATTGAGCAAGTCTATTGGTACCATTTTTCCAACATCATGTGCTCGCTTTGTGTCTCTGTGTCACATTATGGTAAGTGTTGCAATATTTCACACTTTTCATCATTATTTTATCTGTTATAATAATCTGTGATTTGTGGTCTTCGATGTTACCATTGTAATTTTCTGGGAGCACCACTAACTGCACCCATATTAAAGGTCAGACTTAATCCATAAATGTTGTGTGTGTTCTGACTGCTCCACTCACCAGTCATACCCCATCTCTCTCCCTCTTACTATATAGATATTAGGTTAATGAATAACCCTATGGTGGCCTGTGGTATTCAAGTAAATGGAAGAGTCCCAGGTTTCTCACTTAAACGCTAGAAATGATTCATCTTAGTGAGAAAGACATGCCAAAAGCCAAGATAGTCTGAAAGCTGGGCATCTTGCACCAAATAGTCAAGCTATAAATGCAAAGGTAAAGTCTGAAAGGAAATTAAAAGTGCTACTCCAGTGGACAGTTTTCAAAAATTAACCCACAATCCTGTACTTCAAAAAACAGGGCACACCATGGTTAATTTGAACAAAAATAGAAGCAGATGTTATTAAGCAAAGCCTACACAGAGCCACACTTTAGCCTGGGCATGGTGGCTCATGCCTGGAATCCCAGCACTTTGGGAGGCCAAGGCAGGAGGACTGCTTGAGCCTAGGGATTAAAGACCAGTCTGGGCAGCATAGTGAAATCCTATCTCTACAAAAGATTAAAAAATTAGCTGAGTGTGATGACGCACGTCTACCGTCCTAGCTAATTGGGAGGCTGAGATGGGAGGATTGCTTGGGCCCAGGAGGTCAAGGTTGCAGTGAGCTGTGATCACACCACTGCACTCCAGCCTGGGCTACAGAGCAAGACCCTGTCTCAAAAACAAAAAACAAAAACAAAAATAAAACAGTATGCACACGCAAATAATCCCATAGTTGGGTACTCAGAACAGGCTTCACCTGATTCGGTTTCTCAATGTACCTTCAGCTGGGAGATAATCATAGAAAGAAAACAGAATTTTTGTGGAGGGTTTTGGGTCCTAAACACTCCCCTCTTCCAGACCCATAGTGTAAGATCATGAATCCCCAGGGAAAATAACAGTACACAAGGTGCCTTGTCAAGAACTCTTCATGGTCTGGTTATTGCTCCTGTCATGTCTTGTCATATCACATTTTAGCTCATCTTTCAGGAAGCAAGTTCAGAATGACAGAGCAACCCACAGAAGCTCTTTGTTCATTTCATTTGTTCAGAGCTTTGTGTGAGCATGTACACACACACACACACACACACACACACACACACACACACACACACGGAGGCACTTCAAACCTCAAAGGGGAATACACCTCTACTGTTGCTATTCATTTCTATTAAGAGCACAGTCAAAATTTACCCAAGCATTTCAGACATTCTTCCAATTAAGATTTTGTATATTTCTTTTTGTAATGATCTTGTTTCTTTCCTGACCTCTCAAGAGTATTTTTAAGTGAAGGTTATTGTGATTACAGTGTGAGATAGCAACTTTCTTCTATTTCAGCCTTATTTATCTTACTCAGAGCCATTTCTAGGCTATCGTCCAAAATAGCCTCTAACCACCTAAGTTGTTCACTGAAGTGATCGGAAAGCAATCCTTGAAACAGCTCTCGAAATATGTTCTCTTCCTTCATTTCAACATAGTTGCATGCCAATCAACGGCAAAGCAATTAAAATCCCGCCAGGATCAAAGAACGTGCCTTTGCCAATCTATGAAAACATTTCCCCATCTCCTTTGTTAAGGCCCTGGTGATCTCCACTAAAGCGATATCCAAAAATCTACTTATGCTCTTTATAGTACTTGTTTCCAAATATATGTCAACAAATTTCTTGTTGCAAAATACATGCTATCAGTTTCCAGTTTTTCCCACCTTATGTTTCTCTACTTCATATACCCCCATTTTTTTAAAGTACCTGTCTTAACAACTTCAATATTCCTCCTTTTATCATAGATATACATACATTTTATTTGAATATTTTCATTAAGGCTACACCATTTGAGGACTTGTCATGTACTCTTAGCTATCACGTATATCAATTTGTTTTATGTGTTCTCCCTCTGCTAATAAAATAATCTCTTCGCAGATCCATTGAACCGAAGTACATTCTAATATCAGCATCCTGGAGTTAATCAGAGAATACATTGCTGTGGGAGGTACACAGTCCCTTTCTGGATTATTCTGCCTTCTCATCAATAATCGAAAGCACCAGTTAAGCAATTTTCCATACTGTCTCCTAATCCTTTTGCTCCCCCGCTGAGTGCAGTAGATATACAACTTGCTAATAGCATTATACTCAAGAGTTTTGAAGTTTTAGGGTACTCAGAGCATAGCTCTCTGACAGAATGTCAAGAAGCAAGCAAAACTATTTCTATGAATCCAAAACTGTCTATAAATGCAAAGAGACATGGAGAATTGCTGCAATTAATATGAATAACTCAAGTCAAAAGTGTGTCAGCTAAAAACACAGGCAATTGACGCAACCTATGTTCTGGTTTAAATTAGATGAATGATAGCCTATATTTCCCACTTTACTTTGTATATAGTTAAATGCTACATTACTAGAAATTTTTGATTCCCACAAATTCTAGGGACTGTTAAACTCCACTTTAAAGCTCTTTGCAACATAGGCATTAGCTTAACTTTATCATACCAGCATTATTTTAGGCTTCTAATGTATGTCTAATAATTGCTTCTCAATTGGCTATTTGCCCAAAACATAGCTTTACTGAGTCAAAATCAAATATAACACCACAAAATGTGATTAATCCTTCAGTCCTTTCATCGGATTAGCCACACACTACTTAGCTTTAAGAAAAAAATGACCTGTAAGATTTAACATTTTTTTGAAAATACAATATTTTGTGTTTGTCAATTTAATTTTAATTCTGCAAGTCTGATACACTATGACTTTTGGCATAATGGTATTTATTTCTATGTACATAAATAAACCTCATTAATTCTTTCTCCTCTTCATCATTATCTGCCTGTGCCAAGTTCTCATGCTGTTACTCTGCTTTTTGCTCGGAATTGAAGAAGGGGAATAAATTTGGTCCTCCTGGTCTAGCATTTCTCAACTGAGGCTGGCACTGGCCCACAGAAAAGCATTTGGAAATGGTGTAGAGCACTTTGCTGGTCAAATTGATTGTGAAGACCGACTCTTGTTGGGCAGGGTCATGCAAACTGAAAAACTATCTCTAATTATCTCTAATTATTATGGTGTTTTTGTTTTAAATGTAAAAACATGTTTGAAAAAATTTAAACAACTCCAAGTTGAAATATGGGGAATTCAGGTCTTATATTTAATCCCTTCACTTTTCCCACACACATAGGCTCACTTACAGAAGTGCCAAACCCTAATATTTTATTCTCTTCCACTTGCTTCTCAAATATTTTCTTTTTAGTATAAGGTCAGTACTTTAAAAATTATATTTCTCCAGAGCAGTTCCTTTGTCAAATCCATCCTGAGCTTGTGGCATTAGAAATTATCCTTAGCTGCTGTCAGTTCTTTAGAGGCTGAAAGTAGTTATGTGTCATGTCATCGATGACGCTGAAATGAGGCTGAAAGTAGTTATGTGTCGTGTCATCGATGACGCTGAAATGAGGCTGAAAGTAGTTACGTGTCGTGTCATCGATGACGCTTCCATGTCCATTGGTTTTTCTGAAAACATCAAATGACCTCAGTAAGCAAGTGCCACCACTGAAAGTGCTCATACAATTTTTAGAAAAATTTAGACTTCCTTTAAAAAACCATCTAATATCCAGTATATTACATCTTTCTTTTAAAAAAATTTATGCCATATTATCTCATCCTACTATGTATTATCAGTCTTTTTAAATCCTAAGTTGAGATAATCCAAAAGAATTTTTTCTCTGCAGCTTAAAAATAAATATGGCAATGAACTATTTTGTGCTTTATAAATTCCTTTTAAGACTCATCTTTATTTTTTAATATGAGTTAATTAAAAGAAATAATTAGAGTATAGTATGAATATTACCTTTAGAATAAGTTTTCAGATTCTTCCAATAAAACAAAATTTATACTATAAAAATTACAATGATTAACAGACAGATACCATCAATACACTAATACATAAAACATCAGGAATTGATACAATGTCTTCATATAATGATACCACAATCTAACACAAAAGACCTGGTGATAAACAATAAGATAATTTCTTAATTTTTTATAATAGGTAATTACATGCTTGATATATATGATACCTGATGCTATAATCATTTATTTACCCCTACCCCCTCACTTTAAAGGTAGAAATCTTAAAGATTATTTCCTCACTTTATTGCCATGTTTAAAAAACTGTCAGTAATTCTCCTTGTTTACAGGGTGAATTTCAAGTTACATAATGTTGTAATCAGGGCTGTCCATAATCTGAGTCTACACTGCCCTCATTCTTGGCAAGTCCTTGCCCAGTGCAAGACTACTCAACTCCAAGCAGAGTTTATGACCATACTGCTCTCTGATCTCCTGCATTATTTAATAATTTATTCATCCAGTCAACAAGGCATGAACCAACCACTATATGCTTCACACTGTTCTCTAAGGAGGTAATACATGACCTGAGACCTGAAGAGCAAGGCGATTCAGCTATGTTGAGACTTGAAGTGGGGTGGAGACTGTAATAGGCAAAGCAAACATCTGGTGCAAAAGCCTTCAGGCAGGAAAGAGTCAGCATGTTTGAAAAACAGAAGCCAAGCAAGTACAATAGAAGCATAAGATTTCCAGGGACATTATGTGATAAGAAGACAGAGACTATACAATCCTTGTCAAAAGTAAGAAGTTCAGAGGAATTACACAGTCTAAAAGCTGGGTAGGGAATGGGGAAACAACCACTGCAGCAATGTTAATCAAAATACATTTATATAAATTTTGTTCTAGCAATAACTATCTCTAAGATATACTAGCACGTGTGTCAATTATGTGTGAATGAGGTTATTTATTGCAGTATATTACCAAATGATGATAAACAACTCAAATATCTGTCAATAGGGGCCTGGGCAAATAAATTAAGATACGTCATTCAGTGAAGTATTATGCAGCTGTAAATAAGAATACAAAAGTCTCTGTGTACTGTTATGTAAACCTCTCCAAGCCCTGAGGTTGAGTGGAAACAAGTTAATGCAAACAGTGTAATACCATGATTCTCTTTGTGCTGGAAGCAAAATAAGATTGCATTTATTTTCTATTTTTTGCCGTACAAGTTACCACAAACTCAACAGTGTAAAAAAAAACCATAAATTAAATTATTTATTTATTTATTTTTATTTTTATTTTTTGAGACAGAATCTTGCTCTGTCACCCAGGCTGGAGTGCAGTGGTGCAATCTTCCCTCACTGCAACCTCTGCCTCCCAGGTTCAAGCTATTCTCCTGCCTCAGCCTCCCAAGTAGTTGGGACTACAGGTGCATGCCACCAAGCCCAGCTAATTACTGTATTTTTAGTAGAGATGAGGTTTCACCATGTTGACCAGGCTGGTCTCGAACTTCTGACCTCAAGTGAACTGCCCACTTAAGAACATAAATTTATTATCTCGTGGCTTCTGTAGGTCAGAAATCTGTGTTGCCATGGGTGGTTATTCTTGGTAAGGTTCCTCAAGAATGAAATCAAAGTGTTGGCTGGCCTGGCCTCTTACCTGGAGATTCCAGAGGAAAAATATACTTCCAAGCTCATTTAGGTGGTTGGCAGAATTCAGTTCCATGTGCTTACAGTACCAAGGTCTCCGTTTCTTGCTGGCTTTTGGCTGGATGTTGTTCTGAACTCTAGAGGCTACACAGATTTTTTTTTTAGCCTATGGGACCCTCTGTCTTCAAACCAGAAATGGCAAATTGCATCCTTCTTACTTTCCAAATCTCTCTGGTTTCCTCTTCTGCCTCGTATTCCTGCCTCTTTTTCTCTTATTAGACTTTTCTGCCTTTCGTTTTTGTCTTTAAAGGGATTTTTGATCTTGAGTCCAGGATAATTAAAATAATCTCCTTATTTTCAGTTTAGCTGATTAGTTACTTTAATTACATGTGCAAAGTACCCACAGTAGTATCTAGATTAGTATTGGATTGAATAATTAGGGAAGAAGGATCTTCGTAAGGCACCTTCAGAATTCAGCCCACAACAAATATATTCTTATGTGCTTTATTGTGAGAAATAAAATTCTGAAAAAATATATGAGAATGTAATAATACTGGCTACCTAGGTGTGTATGTGTATAGTAGTAAAGAGAAGGGGACAATATGCAAATGAAAGGGAAGAAAAGAAGTTTAATTTTTTAAATCATATTTGAACCATGTAGCAATGTGAGGAATTCAACATATTAGATTTTTTAAAGCATCATAAAACTAATAAAATCATATTTAAAACATTTCATTTTGCTGATTACAAGTTCACACTGGCAACATGGATATGATACTGAGAGACATAGCTCGGTTTCTTTCAAATTTGGTATCATTTATTAATCAATATTATGTGTTATGGCATAGATCTACAACTTTTCCATATTTAAACTCCTGCAAAACATTTTTTCTTAGAACCTACAATATACTATTTGTCTTTAATTTGGGGTAGACATTTGTTTTCATATCAACATTGGCTCTGTTCTTTTTCTCTTTGGCATGGAGCAACTAAAGTAATAGCATCTGAGACATCCATGATAATCAAACATGCAAATATAGAAATCAAATGACTATATAAGATGGTCATGCAAGTAATTCAGCATATGCTTACCTTATCTTTTCTAGAATACATCAAATTGAACTACAATATTAAAATTTTATAGATACCTGTGACATTCCTAGGATATGTCCAAAAACATGAGAAGTCAGTGAACCCCAGTTTGTGGAACATTTAGTTAAATGACACCAAACAGGAAACATGTCCACTTTGAAGGATTACCAGAAGCCTCTCTCTAATGCCCAAGTCCATGAGCTGCTTTCCAGAGCCACCCTACCTTCTTGCATCAGTTGATATTCTGGCCATACCTTCTCTGAAAGTTTCTATTGGAAGAGTCTTCCATGGGCTAATTATTCTTTTTGTTGAGTTTGACCAGAAATGCAAGGACCTGACCACTCTACCAGTGCCATTCCTCAGGTTTCTGTTTGCAACCTCAATGGGATGAGGTAATGTTTCCCCCTGGGACAAAAACCAGGCTTATTTATAGGGTGCAATGAACCAGTAAGTTTCCGAGGGCCAGTGTCCTTCTCTTGTAATGCAGCCTACTGTGTGTGCAGACATCAATCTATGCCCACTTGCGTTACCCCCATGGGAACTGAAGATCAGAGAACCAACATGACCACGCAGACAATCAGGCTACTGCTTTGATGTGAGTAATAAAGTCTTTCATCTCTGACCTAGGAGTCTTGTGGCATCTGTCGGCATCCAGAGAATAGCAAAAGGCCAACTAGTTACCTTCCAAGTAAGGTAAAAATGTCAGGCCTTTCACAATTCTTGCCACTCTCTCAATATATTTTTGTGAAAATATACTCTCGTTTTTAATTTATCTCTCTGACTGCTCCTCCCTCCTCCTTCTTTCAGCTGATCATCTTCTCAGCCATCTCTGAAAAATTGATGCTACTCAGGGCTCTGTCCACGGTCCTGCTTTACTTTCGTTTAATATGCTCACCTTGACAATCTTCCTTTTATCTATCATTTTTATTCTAATATTTGTACCCAAATGTTTTTAAGCATATATTCCAGCAAATTAATCTCTTTCTTGAGCTTCAGACTTCTTTTTTCAACTTCTTAATATATACTTTTAGTATAACATGCTCTAGACCTATCAAACTTAATTTCATTTAATGTAATCTCAATTAACTCATGTTCTTAAGTGGAAAATATTGTAGTCATCCTCAAACTCCCTGAGTATTTTATCAATCACACAGCTAAATATCTTAAGCCTCATATTTTCTTTCACAGCCATTCCACTCTCACCTGACATGATGTGTGATAATATTAACTCCTGATCAAGCTTCCTCATTTTTTCACTCTCCTGTATATTTCACACTCCCAGCTCAGGTTTGCTTCTTAAACACAGATTTGAATACATTACTGTAAATCTCTGTTTTGCTTTTAGGTCAAATAGAAATGGTCATGGAATGACAGCCCAGATGCTTTACAACGCTTCTCATTATACTTTTCCAATTTCATTTCAAATCACTTTGACATTATTACTATGCCAACTGGTGCACATGCATCCACAAGCATGCACACACACATATCCACCCACTTTGTACTGTACACCGCACCCTCACAAGTCATGACAGCCACCTTACTATTCTTACTGTAGTCTCTTCTGTCTTCTTTGTACATGCTCCTTCTTGCAGAATTATAGCAGCCTTTTGAATAATTGCTACTCCTCCTTTAAATAATAGTAGGAGAAGCATTTCCTCTCTCTCTTAGCCTCCTTACTTGCTTCCTCAATTATTCATCTTACAATACTATATTCTCATTTTTATTATTTTCTGCACTTCCTTTCTTTTCACCAAATCTCTTACTGTTGCCTTTCAAATGTTTCCACTACTCCCATGAAATAGCAAACAAAATAATGTCTATTCTTAATCTAGTTTTAAATGGTTTCTACACTAGATGTTTACTGAACTCTAGCTCTTCCCCACATCACATAGCTTCTATCCATGCTTCCAAAGGTAGTCTATTCATTATCTCACACACCGTGTGCCTTTAAGTGGGAGATATATGAACATGCTTTCAGCTTTCCAGGACTGCTTCCACATAACTATGCAAAAAAAAAAAAATTCCTTCTTTTCTTCTCTATCTGTACTTATCTTTGGCATTTACTCAAGATCTATTAACATTAACACATTAACTGAATTCTTTAATCTCTATACCAGTCTTCTTCTCCACCTTAAGTCCAGCCGTCAGCTAGATGTCTTCAAAATCCATGGAGATAATTTTATCCAAAACTTTAGCCCCATGGTTTAGTGATGCTCTCACCCGTATTTGAGCCATCCACTCCCATGGCCATAATATGTAAAAATATTTTGCCTGTAACTGTGTTACTTCTGAAATTCTGAACTGAACTGTGCACTGATCAAAACCTTCTGCACTTTATTTTATAATCACACTTCATCTGCTCTTTAACTTTATACTCATAATTCCTTAATCTCTCAGTTTTCTTTCCTCAAAACATCTATTCTTTGCTGAGTTAGCCTAAATCCTATGAATATTAAACTACTTTTTCACCACATCCTAAATTTCTTTCCCTTTTATCCTTAAAGGTATTCACCCAGTAAAACGGTAACATTGGCAAAAATTACTATTCATTTTCACTGGTTCAAAGCCTAGAGGGCTGAGCCCTATCTGTAGAAAATTTACATAGAGACATCACTCCAAATGTCTACCCTTCAACCACAGTTATTTTGCCTAGTACTATCTGTCAGTCCTTTCATTTATCCTCACTTATTTCTCTTCCAGATATCCTCCAATAACAAATGTTCACACTTCTTCTCAACCTCTTCTTCAGTCCCTGATCTCAGAACTCTCAGCAGGCAAATGCGCCCCTTATGTCAGGATTCCACCACACTCAATCTCCACTCTATTATTTACACATTTATTGACATTTTCACCCCTCCTCACCTCGCTTCTGGTTTTTGAGAATGAGATTTACCTCTAACATTTTAATACAAATCTGCCTTGTCTTCAGCTTTCTGCAACGCCTTGATTTTTTTATGAGAATTTTATTTTTTACAAAGCGTTATCCCTCTTTTTTCCTTCCCTCTTTCTTAATCTCTTTCCACATGTAATTTTTCATCCTATTTGCATCCTTAAAACTATCATTTCAAAAAATTACTTCCCTTGACATGAAATTACCAACTAGCTCACTCCATTTTTCCTTTACAAAGAACTATATAAACACATTGACTCTACTTCCTGACCCTCTATTTACTGTTTGGCACTTATTATTTAATCTGGCTTCCTCTTTGATTCCACTGTACATGATTGCCTACAATGCAACATGAATTGTGCATCAGGCGTATGGTTATTAAGAAAATAGATTTTGCACTGCCCTCCTGGAAGTTACCATCTCCACCCAAAATTTTAACTCAACATTTTAACTCAACATCTTTTTCTATGAATCCATTGCTTTAAAATTGTCTTTTCCCTAAAGATTGAGATATGAAACTGCTTCCTTTCTCTTATTCACCTCATCCCATGTAATCAATCACAAATTCTTGCATATCTGCATCATTGCTTAATGATTTCCTAACCTTTTATTCATACTGCCTACCACTCTCTTCATTCATCTATGATCATTACAGGGCTGCTCTAATACACCAGCCCTGTAATTCAGCTCCCTGCTTTATATCTTGTACCAAGCAAATTCAGCCTGATAAAATGGTGCATCAAAATACAAATACAGTTACGCTGCTCTTCTGTTCTAAACCATTTTTTGGACCAAAGGGCAAATGTCAGTCTGATATGACAGTCAAAATCCTTGAAAATCTGACCCTGTTTGATTCTCTGACCTTGTATCTCACCACTTTCTGCACTAAATTTTACACTGTGTCAACCACAACTACCAGTATATCCCCGTGTGCAATATATTTTTTCTCACTTTTATATCTTTATAATCTGTGTTCTACTGCATAGCTAACAGTTCCTCCAGAAAAACCTTTCCTGACCCATCAAGCCTGAAACTAGCTCCTCTTTCTTTGTGTTCACATAATATTCTTTGCATATCTCTATACTTATACATAAATATAATATATTATATTGATCTTTGTGTATGTCTGTCTCCGCAACAGGCATTGAGGTGATTGAGGCCAGAGACTATATTCTGTTCAGCTTTGTATCCCTAGAAGCTGACAGTGTTTAGCAGATAGTGTTTAATAATGGTTAAAGAAAGGAGTAAACAAATGCTACTCACTTTTTATAATATTATCTTTATCCTAAGTTATCTTAGTTCCTTGAGTGCATGAAGTATAACCTATTTATCTTAATACTTCCACTTCTTAGCAAGTGCTTGGTATGTAATAGATTCTTAGGAAATGTTCATTCTATGAAAACTTCTTGATTAGAATTGAATGGCAATGTATGGTCACTTGGGGCATGACATGATATACAACGGAAAATAAGTGTTACCTGTGAAAAAAAGAAGGAAAAAAAAAAGCAAGATCAGTCATCAATTGTTAACAAGTATACCAATCTGCTGGGGAACACTGACAATATAATGGAGAGGCTACGCACATGGTGGGGCAGGGACTATGTGGGAAATCTCTCTACCTTCTGAACAATTTTTCTGTGAACTTGAAACTTTTATAATAAATGAAGTCTTAAAGGAAAACATTGACAAAGGCAAATAATTTTACCTTAGGATATTAATTGCTAGAAGTCAGTATTTTAGGCTGGGGGTGGTACCTCACGCCTGTAATACCCACACTTTGGGAGGTTGAGGCTGGTGAATTGCTCAAGTCCAGAAGTTTGGGAACAGCCTGGACAACCTGGTGAAACCCTGTCTCTCCAAAAGAAAATAAATAAGTAAAATAAAATAAAATAAGAAGCCGATATTATATTCTAAAAATAACTCTATAGTTCTGATTGTACTAAAGAGAGCTTAAATAGAGCATGAGGAAATCTTCACTCAAAGCAAACCCAAATTATAAAGTTGTTCTTTTAGGGGATCATTTTTAGATAGATTGATGCCAGTTACGTGTTTGATTTTCTTTAAGACAACCCTAGCACTTTCTACCATTTCTAAACCAAATCTGTTCACCATCATCAACACATATGCATCCACCATGACAAACAACAATAAAGTTAAAGACAAAATTTGCACTAACCTTGATAAAAACTCATTGTAGCAGCAGTAGACTCTTACAAGCTGATCGCTGTGGGAAGCTTGAGTGTACATGGCTGTTATGATTCTGAAACCTAGAAGTGTGTCATTAGCTGCCACAACACTGACAAACAATAGCAATGTACCGATTTTCCTCAACCTCTGTAAAGAGTAGCTAGTGATTGTCAGGATTGTATTTCTGATGGACAAGCAATTTATTTTAATCTGGGATGTATTTGATAACAGCAAAAAAGAAGCAGCATTTTATTTATTGTATTGCTTTTTGAGCAAGTACTAAAGGATCCAAACAAATAAGTTAGGATCTAGTGTTGAAAAGGCACCACATTATATGTTCTAAATGGTATTAGAGACAGAAATCAGTTACTAACTGTGAAGAAATCCAAACTGATTACTGGAAAATTGACTTGGGAGCAAGAGAAACTGGATTCTGAAACAGAATCTACCATTATTTAACTCTATTGACATGGAACAAATCCATTTAAATTTCTGAGCCTCATTTTTTTTTCCTTGTGCATAAAGAGTTGAGCCAATGGCTTTCTCAATTGTATTTCAAATATCACATTTCACAAATTTCAAGAAAAACCTGGAAAAAGTTGCCTACTCTCTTATCATTGGGCTCCGTAATATTTTCTCCTCATGGGAATTACGGAAATATAGATGGAGAGATAAAGAAAAGGTGGACTGCCATTATTAACCTGTTTAATAAAGCATTTAAATAATCAAAGGTCTTTTGCATCCCCACATTGGGTTATGGGAAGAGCTGATCTGCACTGATTTTATTTCAGTGTGAATAAACAGATAGCCTAGTCAAGAACTTGTGGCTGTGTTGGGCCTGGAAGGGAAAATGTAGTACAGTTACAATCAGTGCCATAGACAACTCGGGGCAAAGAATTTCATATCTTCTGTCATTTTGTCCATTTCAACCTTATGTCTTGTGCCCACCACTTGGTAAAAAAAATTGGTTTTATTTCAAGTGTGGTAGAATACTATTGAAATTATAAGCAGGAGAAGTTTATAATTTAGTTGGTTTTAAAAGTCACCCTGATATTGGAAGGTAGCCATGCCTGGTTAAAGAATGAGCAGTGAAGTGAAAAGTAGGGTAAAGAGTAGGCTTAGAGTAGGGTAGTTTCCATGAGATGAAAAAAAAGGACTAATTTTGGATAAATATTTAAGGTACAACATTAGGTTTATTCTCAGTTTGTCCTCTTAATCCTCCAAACTTGTTCATCCTTCTCTGCAGCACTCAGCAGTTAGGAGGCTGATCATCCAGACTGTGTCACCCATGCTCCCTTTCCAGGTGACTTCTAGTTGGATTTGGCCAACAGGACTTGCTAGCAGTAAATTGGAAGGTTCAAAGGTATTTCTTTTTTCACATACTTCCTACTTCAGGCCTGAACTTCTGAGTTTCTGCATCTTTTCAAGAGTATAATTCCTCTTGCATGGGCTCTTTTTCACTTCCTTGGGTATTTCTGACTCTTGCAACACTCCTTTTTCCCTTTGCAATGGTATGAATGTTTATGTCCCCACAAAATTCTTATGGTGAAATCTTAGAGCAAGGTGATAGTATTAGATGGTGGGGCCTTTGGGAGGTGATTATGTCAGGAGGTATTCTCATGAAAAGGATTAGTGCACTTATAAAAGGGACTCTAGAGAGCTCTTTACCATCTTTCCACCTTGTTAGGATATGACAAGATGGCAGTCAGCAACTCGGAAGAGGGCCTTCACCAGACCCCAACCATGCTGGCACCCTGATCTCAGACCTCCAGCCTCCAGAACTATGAAAAATAAATTTCGTTGTTTATAAGCCACAAGTCTATGTTAATTTGTTATAGCAGCCCAATGAAGACTGACTAAGATACTCATTATCCCTTCAGCCCCTGGGACATTCTCAGCTTTCTACTATTGCTAGTCTCTGGTTGCCTCACCACTCCTTATTTTATCCATAATTCTGCTCACTTCACTGTGAGTAGTCCTTTCACTGAAGTATTTTTATTTGAACCATTTGTGTTGAATTCTGTTTTCTCTGGTGACTCTGAATAAATGAACAGCCGGTGCTTGCTGATGTGGCAGATGTAGAGAAGTGACGAAAAGTGAAGCGTCAAGGTCAACTCTCACATTTCAGGCTGAAGCAGTTGGGTGCACAGGGTTGCATTGAATGCAGTGAAGAGGACTGAGAAAGAAATGGTTCACTTGTGAAACCAATATACCATCATATAACAGTATACATATCCCTAATATGTGCCCGATGAATAGCCACATGAGCCCAAGACACTGATAGCTGAAGACTGTATCACCCAGAGTTATGCTAAGTTTCGGAAGAATCATGATATGAGTTTTTTTTTAGTACTACAGCAACTAATACATATGTGTACTTTTCTGCTTTTTTATTTATTGCGTTATTTTATCACATGATCTGAAAAATATTAGAAAACACATGAATTAGGCATTTGATAAAACATGTCAAAAGAAAACACCAAATAAATTTTAATTTCAATTATGTAAAGTAAAAATAATTGTAGCACATGACTCAGGGTAAGGGGAAGTGTAAAATTATTGCCAAACACAAAAGTTGAGAAGAATAGATGCATCTTCACTCAGAAGAAATTTAGTTTAATAAGAATCTAATGAATCCCACACATCTCCAAAATAATAACAAGTAGAGATAGGGTCTTATTATTTCTAGATAAAACATTTACTAATATTTAACTACATTCGGGAGATAGATCTAAGAACTCCTAGAAACATTTGCTTTACTTCCCAAGGGATAGGAACATAATTATTAAAATTCCTTATAATAAAGTGTTATGTGATTTAATCAGAAACCTCATAGAGAAAGTTATCTTAATCTAACTACTCCAGTTTTTTGTTTTTTTTTTTTTTGTCTGACTCAATGTTTGTTAAAACATTTCTATCACCCCTTACTTTTTGGACATTATTATCCAAAATGGTCTAGATTTCCTAACTTCCACATATAACTAGTGATTTTTTTGTGTCCTAACAATTAATACTTACATAAATAGAACTAAGATAATATTATAGGAGAGTACTGAAAAAGTATGTTCTACAGAGACTTGAAAGAGTTCATCAATCTCCAAATATATATTTCTTAATTCCACATTTTATCTGATTTCTAAGGTTTCAACACAAATTTTACCATCTAATTAACGTCTTATCAGGGGACCAGTCTAGCTTGAAAGTCTGGATGCCAACTGAGAGCACTGCGTTATCCTGGGAAGTGGTCTGTAGACTTGGTAAATATATGAAAATCAGTTGATAGTCATGTCACAGCTACTCCCCTTCTAAGTCCCATAATTTCACAAAGGCAGAGAATCTACAAGTACCACTCAATCTGACAACTACTGCCAACTTCATTTCCAGAAGGCTTTTGTATTTCATAAGTTGCTTAGTCAATTGGAATTATAATTATGTCATTGAAGTGGAAATTACTGTAAACTATTTGATCAGTAAACTGATAGTTTACTATTTGATTACTGTAAACCATTTGCATGAAAATGTTTGTTGGGTTTTTTGTTTTATAAATATATGCCAAATTCTATTATACTCATCAAAAGTGGTCAGTGGCTGGAGAATAATACACGGTATTTTGAGAAATTTTAAAATTTTATGGCTCCTTTCCTGTTTATTTCTTTTCCTCGGGCATTATCCAAGAATTTTAAAAAGCGGATACCAAAATATAAGCAGAATTCCACACAGAAAACAGAATTCTTTTAGCTCAGATTATTGCCTTCTTGTTATTTGAGTTCCCAGCTGGGTCAATAATGGTCCTTTTGGGGAATGCTCAATATTTTCCCATTTAAAGTCAAGTAAGTTAGGAAACCAGTGCCATCAGAAGCCTCAATTCTTTTTTCTGCCCTTCAAATGTTGTGACTTTGCATGGGCTTTCCTGAGATGATTAATGACAGGTGTGACTGGGAGAAGTAATTATAGGGAGTGACAGGAAGTTTAAGACTTTGGGGATAAAAGTGAACGATATGAACATGAAAGTTTTAGTGATGAAGTCAACTTCTGACAGGCACAACATGATCATTATGGAAATTTTGAAAGAGAATAAAGATCTAAAAAGTACGTTTGAAATGGAAGAACATAATTTAATCATTAGCCTCTTTACTATGGAGACTAAAGGCATATCCTGTGTTGAAAGCATTTGTGACTTGGAAGGCTAATTATTCATACCCCTACAATTTTATTCTATTTCATGCCTAAGTTCTTTGTATATTTTCATGGACTGTGCAATTTTCTCTGGTATTGAGGTTGCGTGGATGGCTACTCACATGGACTGGAAATTCTAAATAGAAACCACAAGTCAGTTAATTTTATACCAATCTCTTGTAGGCATCAAATTAGCTCATATGAAGAAGCCCTAAGTGACAAAGGACACTTCCAAGCATCTGCTGACTTTCTTCTTGGTTGGTCCTTCAATAGCACTGAAAATTTAATTAAATTGTAAATATCTGGAGAGCAAGGATCATATTTTATATACTGTACCTCAGATAGCATCTAGGTTTGTGTTTCACCAATAATAGCTTTAAAATGAATATATATAATGAGTAACAAGTAAGATTATATATTTTTTGGAAGAAGATTTAAGAAAGGACTGAGTGAGGATATCTGAGCATGGACTTTAGAAAATAGAGTTTAAATAATGTCAAAATAAGTTTATTTTATTTATTTTAATTTGCCAAGGACAGAGTTACTTCTTATCTATTACATCCATAAAACTATTTGTGCTTCCATAAGAATCATTTTCCACTGATGCAAACTAACAAGAACATAGGATATCAAATTTAATTTTTCCCTAGAAGTAATACATATTGAGAAACAACAACCAAAAAGTCAGGGAAATAATAATGTTTTGGTAAGTCTTTTTTTCTGGAGAGAGTCAGGTAATTTTCAGGGAACAAATTTACTGACACTGAACTTCAGTTATTTATGGCATACACCATTTCATAGCTAATGACAAGTGACTTTCTTTTATCAGACTCTCTGATTATTCTATTTGTTTTTGCTCATTCTGTTATAATCTGTTGTTTATGCCACAAGCACTGGTAGATGCTATGAAATGGTATATCCCATAAAGAACTGAAGTTCAATGTCAGCAAGTTTGTTCCCTGAAAATTACCTCTCTTCAGAAAAAGAGGCTCTTATTAAAGTCTAATGATTTAGACTAATTCCCACTTAGATTAATTCCCATTCCTTGAATTAATAACTCTTCTCACTTTTAACCCATGAATTTAGGTGCGACTTTGCTCCTAACTCAAAAAGTAAAGAATACGAGTCAAGCCTGGCCAGCCTGCCCATTGCATTACAAAGTCTTCAATTTTTGGGTCAAGCATGTAATCAAATCCAAGCCACTGGAGCATGGTTTTGGAAATAGTTTGAAATAATCACAGGCTGAACCCACAATCAACCAATACTGCTGACACTAGACAACTCATAACCAGGAAAAACGAAGTTCTGATCACATCGTTTGAACCCTGATTCCAACTGTGCCTGAAATTTGAGCTACTCTAACCTTATCCAGTTTTATGAACCGTAGATTTTCTTTTATTTCTCAGTCAAAGCTGAGCTGGATTTTCTATCAAGTGCACCTGAAAGTGTCCTGACACTCTCTTGCTCAAAGACAACATGGCATGTAGTTGTCTGTTTCTAACCAACGCCAACAACCTATGTCAGCTGCAGATATGGCTGGATGACCATAATATTCTGAGTGAAGGGTCTCCCAGAATCAAGTGCTATCTATCATTCCCTTGTGGATAGAGTCTCAAGAGAAGGAGGCTGCATGTAATTTTTGCTGTCTGCCACAAATTAGATCTAGATGAGAAACAGCTCCCTTGCTTCAATGTTAATAACACTCCTCCACAGGTGACAAATCTGTCTATTATCTTTAGCAAGGTTAGCATGCAGTGAGTGAATTGGTGGTAGTCCCAAACAAGAGTGGTTTGAGAAATTCTAAGCTGGCTGAAGGTTGTAGGCTTTCCAAAAGAGAAAACTCAAGATCATTCAGCCAGGGGAGACAAAATTCACAGGAGAAGATCTAGAGAAAGTGACAGTCAACATTGCCTCTTAACAGAACGCCCCATGATCATAGATCATGTGTAAACTAAACAGGGGACATTTTTTAATATCCATTGTTAGGTCAAGTGGTAATGCAAGACATGCCAAATTAAAACTTGGTCCTGAGAGCTTCCAGAAATCTGCAAGTTTATACATTCATCAACTGAAAATCAAATCCCTATCTCCTGCCCCATACAGAGTTCCACTCAGAAATATTTTTTCTTTTCTTTTCTTTCTTTCCTTTCTTTTTTTTTTTTTTTTTTTTCTTTTTGAGGCCAGGGATAAAAATTGGAGACAGTCAGTGTGTAGTCCAGTAACATAGCAGTACATTTCAGCCAGTGGCAGAGACTGCCAGGCACGTTCTGATAGGTACGTTGTGATAAACGAAATGGAATATGAAAGAGGGGCAGGGACTAACTTATAGATTTTAAATCTTGGAGCCAGGTATTACTGAAAGAATTTGGTAAAAATCAAGTTCAAGAACAAAACCATCCAAAAGCAAAACCAATTCAAACCGCTAAGATGTGGAAAGCTGTTGAGGGCTAGTGAAAGGCAGATCCATAAGGTTCTTAAATATGGATGCAAATAATATTTGAAGGAGAATCTGAGACTGCACCCATACTCTGGAAACAACCAGTAAGCTTATGCAGCTACCCTGATCTCTAGATCATTCTTCTTTGGTTAGAATTAAAACTACATCATTATTTTAACTCACAGCTTTTCTATATATTTTTAATGAGTGTATTCACAGAAAAGAAGAGTATGAAATGTGCTCTTGCAAAATGAGCCACTCAGCTAGTTTCTGAAGAGTTAATGTTTAATAGTAGCATCCGCATTGCTACTATATATTCTTCAATTGCTAATGTTGTGATTTCTATCAGAAATACTTCATTCATGTCATCTGTTCAGCAGTCCATGGTGAAATGAAGAAAAGTAATAGCAACTAGGTTGTCAAAAAGCTGTGTATTGAATTTAAAAGAGAACGCAGGATTCTGAGATTATGTTATTCCTACATTTTAGTGTTAAAACTTATTTTCTTTTGTGTAATAATAGTGATAAAAATTGTAGTTGTTGTCATAATAGTCTTTGCTCTGTAAAATAAAAGCTGATTACACTGTACTGATTTCCAACTTTTATACACATGCAACAAAACACAACACAACCATATACAAAGCAAAATCCAAATCTATTCAAGAGAACTCAATGGTATCACAGGGGAAAAAAAGGTTCAAAATTAGGGATTTGAATTATTCTATGTGAAGTTATTAATAATATTTTGAAGTGCAATTGACAGTCACCTAGAAGGTCAAAAACAATTGTTTGAAACAGATTTCTCCAAATCAAGTGAAATAAATCTCCCCCAATCCCCATATCACGACATAATGTATATTGAAACTGATGTTGCATAAACAATATATTCAACTGGCAGGTTGTGAATACATTCAGAAAGTTATTGATAACCTTTCATCATGATTTTCTAACTTTGTTTTGCTCTACCACTCCTGAGTTATAAGCTCATCAACAACTCATTGAAAAAATGATATATATAGAGTGAGTGAAAAAAAATGATGTATATCTAGTTAATCCAGTTGGTAAGAAGCAACTTCTCTGTATACTACTTTTGACACAAATTTATAGGCCATGTTGAACACTCTCTTTTTATAAATATTCTTTTGTTACTACATATACTGGTATTTGATTTACAAATATTTATAAGAATGATTTGAGAATTTGAAAAGTGAACAAAAAAAACATATTAAATATACTTTAAGATAAAATATAATTTTGTTTTTAATTCTCAAAAACAATTAGTGACAATGTAAAACATTCTATATAGATGATATCTAAACACGTGTAAGAAAAATAAAATGGATCAATTTTTTTCTTAGCCAGATATGTTTGATTTAAGTAGACATAACTTACGTACATTATATTTGTAATGTTTGGTGTTTTTATGATCCAAATTAAAAAGCACATTTTAAAATTTACTTTTGACACCTTGTAGTGCAAGAAAATAAATAAATACTCAAAAATATATGTATAATGAGGTATATTAGAAGACACAGACCGAAGACGCTCCCCTTAGCCAAATCTGGAACAATTAGAGCATGATAATAACCAAAAATAAAATGCTGATTGTAATGGATTGCAATCCTTAGAATAATATAAATATCCTTGGATCTAGACAAAATAAGTAAATAAAATAAATAAATAAGGGATGGTACTTCGTTACAGAAGAATTTTGATTAACAAATGTAGAAAAAAATGATGTAAACAGAAAATCACTATTTGGAAAGCACATATCACCAAATAGTGATGATTTTGAATTTATGTTTAGAATATTTACAATCACCAATAGATGTTAAAATTACTGAGTGAAAGCAAAATGATGAACAAGTATTTGCATAGTCCCAAAGTATCTCTTCACAAATCACTTATTCGTTACAACAGGAAAAACAACTTTATAGTAGAGAAATCTGGCAGAAACCACCCTCACCAAAGAGTCAAGTTTTACTACAAGCAATGGAATGTGCTAATATTAAGAACCACTGAGATATGAAGCAGTAAGGACTAAACATCACTTCCATTATATTATTGCCAAAAAATGCCTACCATGATTTTCATCACAAGGAAACCTCACACAAGTGAAAATTGAGGGATGTTCAACTAAATATCTTTTTCAGTACTCTTCAAACATGAAAGGGTCTCAAAGATAGATTGAAGAAATGTCATAGATGAGAGAGAACTAAGGTGATAGTTAAATGCAATATGTGACCTAGACTAGACTTTGAACCAGAAATTGAACATTTTTTGCACAATTGGCAACATTTGAAGAAAGTTTGTAGATTAGTTAACAGCATCATATCAATATTAATTTCTTGGTTGGATAGCTGTAGTGTAGTGACATAAGATGTTAACATCTGGAGGTGTTGGATAAAGGGTACTGCCAGTGAAAAACACACTCACAGTGCTATTTTTCTATTCTCTCACTGAACAATAATCAATAAAATACTTCTATGACCAAATGTGTGGGGATTTCTCCCAACTAACAAGCAATTAATCAATTTTGCAACAGACATCAGGTGGAGGTCCTCTAATTCAATTCCATTTTGACACTATCTACCTGGGTATAGCATCAGATCCCACCAGTGGAGGGCTTAGTCCTGCACTTCCAATGCCAATTGCAAGTCCCTGGTTGTTTTACCTGTGCTTTGGACTAACTGGCTATAAATTAGGGATTTCATGACTCTTTCTTTTGTTTGATTCATTTGCTAGAGTGGCTCACAAAACTCAGGGAAACAATTATGTGTACTGGTTTATTATAAAGAATATTACAAAGGATACAAGTGAAGAGATGCATAGGGCAAAGTATGGGAGAAAGACCACAGACTTCACACACAAGGTTTGGGAGAGCTTCCATGCTTTCTCCTCTCATACCACCTTCCAGGAACCTCCATGTGTCCAGTTATTCATAAGCTCTCCATACCAATCCTCTTGGGCCTAATGGAGATTTCACTGGATTAGCATGATTGAAGTGTGAACTGTGTAGAAATGTGATTCGACAAACAAGGAATAATCTAATACTAGTAGACTGAATGGGAAAACCCAGCAAGGCCTATCTGTTCAGATTCTTCTTGGCCTCTGCGCAACATTTCTTCCTCCAGGTATGAAGCAGGGCCCCTTCTGAAATGAAGGTCTTATGATGGGCAATCAGACAAGATAGGTCAGAGAATGTCCTTATGGCCAGCTCCAAGACAGAAAAGAAGGGGAGGCGTCTTGCCTTGGGAAGAAAAAGTAGCAGGTGAAAGGAGAGAAGGAGAGGAATAGAGAGAGATTCTGCTTTCTGAGGTCTAAATTGTCCCACGGGAGTTGTTAGCTAGGAAGCGTGGATGAAAACCAATACATATATCGTAATATGACAGGTACACAGGAATTCATTGTACTCTTTCTGCAACTTGTTGTTAGTCAATTGCAAATTGAAAATAAAATAATAAAAATGATTTGTTAAAGTTTTTGTAAATTTTTAAGAAAGTTTATCCAGAGCTCCATGGGAACATCATACATAAGGACCTTAATAGGAATTTAGAGAAAAGGAGCTGTCTTGTTCACCTGGAGAATCCCATGCCCTGCCTACTCCCCGGTCTTTGCTGCTTCTCCCTGAACACAGCTGAGACCGATTCATCCTCTGCAAGATCCCCACAGACCATGTCTTTAGAACCAAATCTTACTTTAGACAAGAAGGTGGTACAGAACTCTAATCGCCACAATCAGTTTTAGCCACATGTGAATGGTATTGCTAGTTCAGTCCTGACCTTGTACCCTAGTTCCAGTAAGACAGTGTCTGCTTTGTCCTACTAAACTTCTCTAGGTGACCATTTTAGTTCTTCTGTCCTTTTAGCAGTATAGTCCTTCCTTCCTCTTGCACTGTCACCTATTTTTAAATGATAGACCTCCCAGATGCCAAATACTTGTCATCATATCTGTGCAGACATGATTCCTCTGAAATCCTTATCTCTTATGCCATCTCCATTACCTCACAGTAACCCTCACCAAGAACCAGCTCCTTGTTTGCATTTTAGGTTATTCCTTGTCTACCTTCCAGAATCTATGGATGTATGCCATCATAAACTTCCTGTAGTATATTAATTTCCCCAGCTCATGCCTTATCCCAGCAAGTAGCCTGAATATGGCTACAAAGGGTTCCCAGCCAAGCTTCAGTGCTTCACCCACTGCCTTCACATGGGTGCTATGGTTCTTCTTACATACCCAAAGTGCCCCCAACAACCTAGATGATGACAATACGCATCATGAACTACCCACCCACGAGGAGCCATTCTAATAGGGACTGGGGAGGGATTTTGAGGCTATAATGTTCAACGTTGCTTTTTGTGGCCACGCTATGAAAAAGGTAGCTGCTATCAGGGGAATAGAAACTAAAATTAGATAACTCAGCAAACATAATCAGGAACAGAGGGTGCTATTTCCTAATTTTGTTCTCAAAAAAGATCTACACTGCATTTTTTTTAATATGGAAATTTTACTCGATGAATTGAACCTTGTCTGTTTGGACTAATTATAAAGAACTTGAAGGGCCATGACACACTGTAATTTGTGCTTTTTCTAAGTTGTAGACCTTATAATGCACATAAATGGAATTGACTGCCCATCCCCTGCATTTCAGCATGATTTTATTGTTCTCTAATACAAACATGTGTGCAGCAGCACTCATGAGGAATGTGAGAGGCAACATGTTGCTCAGAGATACGTCACTGCAATTTAAATGCCCTAATTGCTTATTCTAGGTGTATATTCGAAATTACAAAATTGACTTTTTTTCTCATTATATGAGTTGTGAATGGCAAAGACTTTATGCTTAGCTGTATTTTATTTTTTCTTATTTCTACTTACGATTTTTTTTCAAGTTGACTTACTTTTTTTCCAGGGGTAAAGGGTTCAATAATTTGAGAGAAGCTTCATCCTGTGCCGCTGCGTTGTTCAATGGAGTAGCCACATTTAAATAACCACAGGTGGCTATTTAAAGTAAAATTTAAATAAATTAAAATTAGAGAGAGTTAAAAATTCAGTTCCTCATTTACACTAGACACATTTTAAATATTCAATAGCCACATGTGCCTAGTGGTTACTGTATTGTGAGTGCATTTCTGTGATGGAGAAAGTTCTCTTGGACAGCATGTAAATCTAAAGCGTAAAGAATTTTAGAGGTTTTCTGATGGTAATATGTATGAAATATATAAATGATATCACAGAGAAATGGGTAACTCTCAAAACGACGTGGTAACATCATAGTGAAAAGCAGCAGAGGTTATAGAATGCTAAATGCACATTTTTTCCTTAATAAAAATATTCATGACCTTATGAATTGAATTATGCTAAATTTCTATATAATGTTGTGTGCTATTGTGAGATGATTTTCTCTGCAATGATATTAGTCAAAAGCATATTTTTTGCTATAAGTTTTAAACATCAAATCACAATTTTCTTCTGACTCATTAGCAGCCCACAGTAGCTTGAAAAATGTAAGATATCTGTCTTACAAAATTGCAGTCTAACATATAATGCCTCATTTAGAAAAATATATCCAGACTGTTTCATACAAATTTGTGTAGGTCAATTTTCAAACCTTTTCAAGTGTTAAATCCCATATAGTATTGAATTAAATCAGATTTAAAAGAAATAGCTATAACAATAATAATATCCATTTACATGATCTCAATATGTAGAAAGAATTTGTTTTGCCCACACATAGCTTAAAATGTTAAACACATTGAAGATGAAAAGTATAGCAATTAAAATAGATGTAAAGCTGGGAATTTTTTAAAAAGTATGTATAGTCATACCATGATTTTACTAGAGAAAAATCACTTTGATTCTTTCATACTACTTCTCACATAATTTTAACTTTGTAAAACAAAAATGCTGGGCAAGCTAATGGAGAGTTCTCCTGAAAAGAACCACAAAGGTGAATAACACACAGAAATGTCCTTTGAGAAACTCACAGTTGGCTGATGTAGGCAGACATGCACACAAAAGTAGGATGCTTGATACAATTTAGTCTCTTCAGCAGCAGTGGTAGATCATTTACAAAAGTGGCTGACTAGACAGTCTAACAGTTTGCCTATTTTGACTGGCTGCAGTTGTCAGGTTTATGCTAAGAGTTGGCCAGTCATGCCTAATATGTCATACCTCAACTTCAGATACAAAATTTCTGAAGTGGGGAATGCTGATACAATTTTCACATGCCTTGACCCTGCTATAAGCTCTGGCTTCCAAAACTTTCATTTATATGTCTTTGTCATTGCAATGGTACCTTTTCATAAGTAGAACTTTTCATATATTCTAGTAAGCGTTTTTCTTCGAACCCTCAATTGCTTCATGCATCTCATTAATTAGTCATTTAGTTTCTCATTGATGTGGATCAGTCCCACTGAACACTCCTCAAGAAGAATTGGTACTTCCTTCCTTAACCATTCTATTGCAACTGTTAAAGATCACAAGTATGGTATTCTGTATTGCATTTATTTGTTTAAAATCCTGTCTCCCATACTAGATAATATTTTATGGCAAGAAATTATGTCTTAGTAACTTTGTCCCTCAAGTTTTTCAGTCCTAAATCTTTGTTGAACAACAAATAAATAAATATGCTGCTACGAATAACTTATTATTTTTTCAATTATGTTATTTCCTGAAGGAAACCTTCACTGCCTCACCTAAACTAAATTCTCCTGTATGTCTCTTTTGTGGTACTTATCAAAATATAGATAACACTTTTATAAATTGAGGAATTTATTAATGTTTGTTTCCTACCTTGAAAATAGGTCCTTGAAAACACA
This sequence comes from Homo sapiens, assembly GCF_000001405.40. Taxonomy (NCBI): domain Eukaryota; kingdom Metazoa; phylum Chordata; class Mammalia; order Primates; family Hominidae; genus Homo; species Homo sapiens. The sequence continues at coordinate 78,423,603 of NC_000003.12, forward strand.
GACCCCATCTGCTGGATGGAATAGCAGAACAGTTAGCTAAGGTTATTATGTGGAAAGTCGAAACAAATAAGAACAGAGCAGAAAGATCACAACTGGGATTGGAGGTTTGGTCCTCACCTAGTTTGAGTGATATTTATAGCATTGAAATTAAATGACTATGTGTACGGAGAGAAAAAAGAGGATCAAGGAACCAGTGCTGGAGGTTTGGGTGACAGCCATATTTAAGAAATGAGGAAAGAAAAACAAATGAAGGAAAGAAGTGGAAACAGTGACCAAAGGGAGGAGAATTAGAAAATGCAGAGTGGTGAAAGGTAAGGAAAAAAGACTTTCAAGGAAGGGGGGTTTAATGACACCGCATGCCATAAACAGGTCGATTAGCACAAGAAAATAGTAATGAAATGTGAACATTCTAGGTGATACTTGAGAAATTAATTTCAATAGTGCAGTGGGAGTTTAACCCCACATAGAGAGATTTATAAGAGATGGATTCTTCAAAGCAGCAGTTTTGGAGTACATGTAATATTAACGGAATTGGGCAGTCAGTGGAAATAAAACATTACAGTACTTTAGTAAGAAATGAGATCAAGTTTGAAGTCAAATCTGTGGACTTAAATCAGTCACTCCTGCCATGGGAAGGAGAGTTGAGTTATTTCTACATTAACAAATAGCATATTACATATGTGCCAGGTGTGAATAAAAATTCTGATTTTCTGCAAACTTATTTTAAACTATAAGCAATATAGCATATGTAATAAAATAGAAAATAAAAGTTTGATATTTATTAGCAAGTACAGTCTTTTGTCCAATCAAATATTATAGAAAAATCTAATATTACCTTTGAAATACCCACAAGACAAATATTAATACTTAATACATGTACATTTTAAAAGTACATATTTGCCTGAATAGTTTTCAAAATTAAAACAAAAGTATTGGGATTTTCTGTTTTGTTTGTTTGTTTTTTTACTATTTGGTATATTCAATAGACATTACCCATTCACTCAAGAATTTATTGCAAGCTTATTTTGAACCAGGTATTGCTCCGGGTGTTTTCATGTTTTCCCTAGGGGCAATTGTTCAGTATTTGTTAATTCATTGGTCACAACAACATTACATATAAAATACAACTACTGCAAATTAGAAGAATCGATTCTATTTCATTTGTAAGTTGACATATGTTTCCCTCATTTGGCTAGAACTCCTTAAAGAAAAAGATATGTTATCTTCATTTTGTATTCTCAGCATATGGTCTGGTGCCTGGAGCAAAATAGCTCCTCAGTCAGTGTTAGTGAGTAAGAGAACAAACAGGCAAAATAAAGTAAAAATGTTAGGTTTTCTGTTTCAATTGAAGGTCCATCCAGAAAAGACATGGTTTCTGCAAATAGCAATTTCACAGTTTACCAACTTCAGAAGTGAAAAACCAGGAACACTGAATGGTGAACCAACCACAGAATGCACCAATAAGTATGTTCATGAAACGTAATTGTCTTTGTATTGATTGGAAATTTTGTGAGTGCTTTTGGGTCAGGGATGGGGGAAAAGGAGACAGGTCAACTAGACAGTAAGTGGCCTTTGGATGGTTAAAGAAACACATTCTTCATAGAAATCCCTTTGTACTGTAGATACAGACCTTCTGTCCTCCCATTAAAAAAAAAAAAACGGAGGTGAAGTTGTCATTTGAAGAAGCTTGAAGCTACTGCTTATGTAACATGCTGGCTAATGTCCTCCAGATTTCATTGGTTACTTCCTTGAATTATTCTTCTGATGCTCTCCTTTTCGCTACACATTCTGTTTTCCCAGGTTTCAAAATCACCCTTCTTACACACCTCTTTAAAGTCAAAGGTCTTTTTTACTTCAATTTCAAACACCATCCCAATACTTCCTTCCAAGATTTACTGAAAGAGTATGTCCTCTGAGAACTAAGAGAACTGAAATCTTCACATACAGATGCTAATGTGCTAAACACAATTTTAAATGTAGTTTAAAGATAACTTGATGTCATTTCTGAGATGTTTGGCTTCCTCAGTATTTGTGCCTGGAATTGTATGTGTCACATTCGTGTATAATACACTGTGATTTAATTTAAAAATTTCAGAAGGACAGGTATTGCCTTGTCCTTGTTTTCACAGTCCTCAATACAGATGATGAATATGCATCTATTCAGTCATAAATTCACAGCTTCCAATGAATACCTGTGTGACCCATGCAGTTTAACCTCCATGCAGTTTAAAGTCTATGCTGAAAAATAGATATTAACTGTTGTAACTATATCATTTATTTGACAAAGAGATACTTTTGTGAATGGTAAATAATACCAAGTACTCTAGTAAAACCGGCATAAAGCTGGACTGTTCAAGATAATCCAGGACATATATGGTCACCCTACTAGTAATAGTGTCTAACATTACTAAATGAGAAAACACCCAGAAAACACTTAGACTTAGAAATTAGAACTATAGGTACTCAATAGGTGTTAGAATATTATTAATATTTGTATATATTATTATTGGCTTAGAAAAACCCTTGAGGCCACTGTTGATCTATACTAAGAGTCACTCTATTGAGACAATTAGACAATTCAGGACAGTGTAATTATTAGTCCACTTTTGTTTCTTTTACATTTTTTGACAGCATATTTCAAAGTTAAACAATTCTCATCATCAATACATTTCTATCATCTGAATGCAGTGAATAAAATATTTTAATGAACTAAAACACTGTTTGTTAGAATTCTGTCCTTGTTGTGGATTTAGAAGAGCTGTTCAATTTTTTGAATGAGCCTGAAAGATTATTTTGAAATGTTTCTCAGTCTCCTGTTTTAAAAGCAGAATCATTTTAATTCCTTTAAGTTCTCCTCCTGAGTATAATTTTCCAGCTCTCTCATTTATGTGACTCTCCAGTGAATCCTACACAAAGTTCATTAAGCTCCTTAAGGACCTCAAATTGGACAGTATCCTTATCTAATAACACCAAAATGTTGAGTACAGCAAGAGGATAACACTGAAATTGCTATATGCTAATTTGGCATTCTAGTAAAGCATTTCCATATGTATATTGAGTATCATGCTTTATTTGTTACTGTGTATGGAAATAAATACAGCTCTTGTCTCTGAAGAGTTTACAATAATAAAACAAAAAAAACTACAGCCTTCTTTAGGTCATTAAGATCTTTACTGTGTTGTAGACGCTGGACTGAAAGCTCTGCAAGGACCCAGATCTTGTTTGTTTTATATTATTACTGTGTAACAAGCTCTTATCCATGACACAACATGGCCTGCTAGCAAATATTTGCTAAATAAATGAATGAGAAGATGAAAAAATGAATAGAACACAGATGAGAGAATACTAAATAAATGTGGTAAATCGTATATTAAAGTTATGTACAAATAGAAATATCAGATGCTAACATCTATTAATCATTTAATCAAGAAATATTTATTGAACACCTCTCCTGCTAAACACTAAAAATATAAAAGAAAACTAAGATACTGTTGTTGCTCAATTATTAACATAGAAAAAATTATAGATTAGATAAAATGATAGCAAATAATCTCATATATGTGAAAAGAATAATGCAATATGAACAATCAAATTCAGCCCATAATTACAAAGTTAATTTAATAATAAGAAATTAATTTTTAGGTCATTATGCTGCTAATTAAAAGTGAAAAATTAATCATGGCAGTACTTGACAAAAAGTCTTTGGATAATACCCAAATATTTCTGGTATTTGTGTTAGCAAAATGGAAATAAAATAAATTATTCTTAACACACACAGTTTAAATTAGAAATACTGATAGAGATTATTCTAAAAGGATGAGTCATTAGAAAATGTCCCACTCAAACCAGAAACAAAGCCTCTACATTGCACTATGTTTCAACCATCTGGAAGTTATTATTTTTTTAAGGAAACAACAAGTTTATAGATACTAGAAAGGAAGAGATGCAATGATAATTGTGTGTGTATGTGGGTGTGTGTGTGTGTGTCTCTGAGAGAGAGAGTGACTATGCAGAGATAGTCATCAAAATGTCCATAATTACTATCTTGAAGAAGATGAAACTGCAGGGGCTGTCATTCTGTTTACAATTTTGTATTTGGGATGATGGGGGTGGTTGTAGCTTTGTATTAAAAAACACATCCCTCACCACATGGACCTGCGCTGAAAAAGAAAAATGTAACTATAACCAAATAACCCGCATTGTAATATGTAACATGATAGGAACCCTTACAAAGAGAACATGGGAGGAAATAACCAATGGAATGCTAGGACATATCTTGGAGACAAAAGAAATGTTTTCAAGAATGTAAAAATAATGTGTGAAATTAAGGAATATATAAACATGATTTATTCTGCAAGAGCAAACAATTCTATATGGTTAAGAGTATCGAGTATGGGGGAAGAAGAGAAGGAAGACAGAGTAATATATTTGAAAAGGGGGATTTGGCCAGATTGTAAAACTTGCCTATTATGCCAAACAGATTAGGCTTAACTTCATACCACTGGTAACCATACATTTTTTTCATGTATACGTAAATGAATTGTTAAAAACTATTTATTCTTTGTAATACGGCTATATCAGATACAGTCTAGCTTAATCTTTAATTCACATAAATTCACTTCTGAGTGAGTAAGGTAAGTAGGTACTTAGACAGACAGGTAGGTATGTAGGTGGATAGATAAACAGTCAGATAGATGGATTAGAAAAAAATGTATTACCTGGCTAAAATAAGGAATTGCCCCTTCAAAATTCCTGAACAAAAGAAGAAGCTCTTTTCACTTTGCTCTCAGGGAAATCACTCTTAGAAGCTATAAATCTTGAAATGACCCTTTGTTTATGACCCTGGAGATGTTTTTACCTGGGAAATGCAGAAAATATCATCCAGGTGGATGACAAAATAGACAAGGATAATTATGAAAGGAGTTTTGGGAAAGGAGACCTGTAGAAAGCAAATTGTTCTCAGAAAGATTTATTTTAGGGGAAATATATATAGAAATGGAAGATCTAGAAATGTATTTCATTAGAAATATCTATGACCTCATACTGTATATCCTAGAATGTCCTCCCGTGGCCAAGAGGTTAAGGCATCTTAGTTTGCAGACCACTTGCATTGACAAGAAAATGCTGCTATCTAAAAATACTTTATATAAATATAAAAGTGACCTGATGATATTTGTCTTTTAGAAAGATGCCTGACTATCCCATCACTATTACATCTCAAGTGCCTAAATCTGAGCCAGAGACCTAGAAAGTAATTAATAATATCTATAATTGGTATCAATAAAGTAATCAATAAATAAACTGATAAGCAAGTGAGTAAATTAGGAAGTACAAAGACAGGAAAGATGTGTTTCCTAAACTTGGAACTCCTCCATCCACTGTCTTACTTGTCTGTCTAGATAACATCTATCTTTCTGTGAAGTTTTACGTCTTTTGAAAAATTTCCCTCAAGTTACACTGTTTCTCTCAGTATTCTCTGTGAGCCTGTTGTGCTTTGTGAATATCCTCTGTCATATTAATTTTCATATTGTATTGTAATTGTTGACTTCTATGTCTGTTTTTTGCTCTAGCTTATGATAACATGAATCACTCTGGCCAATATATTTGCAGTGTCTGGATCTAGTACATATTTAATAAAAATTTAATGAATAATACAAAGACTTGAAGATTGTATATTTAGATCCTTAGTGTTGTCACTAAAAAGACTATTTCCTGGCTTCCACTTTATGGGGAGATACAAGTAAATTCAATAATTGCATTTTCCAGTCTTAATTTGAGGATCTTCAGGAGGCAAATTTCTTATTTCAACACACAGTTTAGTTAAATCTTTTTCAGAGCTACTAGTCTGCTTTTGTCTTTGAAAATTATGAATCATATAAATGGTCAGATGTCCATCTTTGTTATGAATAACAAAAGGCTTAAAATCAAGTTTTTCATTACTAGAGAAACAATACATGCATATTTCATACAACTGTACTGCTGGCTTCATTTTATCTTCTTGTCCTCATTTTATTTTAGTCCTCATTTTCATCAGTGAATTTGTAGCAATGAAAAATATTTTTTATAAAACACAATTTGTATAGGTAAATAGAAATAAAACTATAATAAATACAAAGGTGAAATTGTTTTCTACTCTTGACTCACAGACCCCTTCCCAGAGGCAACCACTCTCACCAGCATCTTAGTTATCTAGTATATTGCTTTTGAAGGTAATCTGCACATACACAATTTACATAAGCATATTGTATACTTTACATAAATTATGGTGTAACGTAACTACTCTACATTTTTTCCACTTTGGCAATAGATATTATATATTTGTTTATTTTCCATCTTTCTTATTGTAACATATTTTTGATATATTTTGGATCTTCTTATTCCAGTTTCCACATATCTTAACCACTCTGATACTAATCATCTGTTTATCTCTTTGTATTGCCTTCTGGAAAATTCTCTCAGCTCCATCTTTCAGTTCATTAATTATCTCTTCACCCACATCTAATCTGCCTATTGCAAGATCTCCTTGGATTGCTTGATGCCAGAAGCTCAAGACCAGCCTGTGAAACATAGCGAGATCCCGTCTCTACAAAAAATTAAAAAATTAGTCAGGCATAATGGCACATACCTCTAGTCCTAAGCTACTTAGGAAGACAAGGTGGGAGGTTTGCTTGAGCCCACAAATTAGATGCTGCAGTGAGCAATGATCATGCCATTGCCCTCCAATCTGGTAACAGAGCAAGACCTTGTCCCTTGTAAAAAAGAAAAAAAAGTTTGTCTTTCTGTGCCTGGCTTTCACTTAACATAGTGTCTTCAGTTCTATTCATTGTTGCAAATGACAGGATCTCATTCATTTTTTATGATGGAATAGTACTACATTATGAGTATGTACCACATTTACTTTATCCATTCACCTGTTGGTGGAAGCTTAGGTTGCTTCCAAATCTTGACTCTTATGAATAAACATGGGAGTGAAGATATTTCTTCAATACACTGATTTCCTTTCTTTTGGGTATATACCTGGCAGTGGGATTGTTGGATCATATGGTAGCTCTATGCTCAGTTTTTTGAGGAACCTCCATACTGTTCTCCATTGTGTGCTCATAAAAATTAAAAATTAAAAAAAATACCTCCTTCAAGTTGTTTAATTTTATTGACTATTATATTATTTCTAGAAATGATTTTGGGTTCTTTTGAAAATGGCTACGTTGTAATTCAAATTGAATCTGGTTTAGCCTGAGAATTTAATCACAGTTTTAGACATTTTAACATTTTCTTCTACCAAAAAATTTATGTGAATCATAGAGAAAGAAAAAGAAGGAGAAGTTGGACTGTTTCCAGTACTCATTGCTGTTGCACCAGTTATTTAGTCCCTGGTTTGTGGTTTCTTTTTCATCAAGATATTTGCTCTTTCTTCTACCCTTTTATTTAAATAAATAGGACCAATAAGGAAATAATTCATGCATGTTATGCATATAACATCTATTTTAAAACTTACCTGATGTTTTTCAGATAGACTTGTCATGTATTGTGTTTTTAATTCTTATATTTACATGTCAGATTAATGACTACTACACATTTATTTAAATAGGTGTTTGTTTACTTAAGTAAATACACTTATTTTATAGTTGTGTCTGTGACCTTTTTGGCACTTAACTGCTCCTGCTGGTTTTGTCTAGTGACAATCCCAGGAGATTGTTCCCCAAGGTGCCCTGTAATTTTGAACAATGACCTTGTAGGGGGAGAAAAAGATTTATTCCTCTCCTCATCTTCATAAAGGTCATGTCTAATATCCCTATAACAAAGATAGGTTAACAAGAGAAAAGCATAACAGATTTATTCGATCATAGTTTTATGTGACATGAGAGCCTTCAGAATGAAGACCCTAAGACCCAGGGGTGAACTATTCATTTTTATGCTTAAATTCAATGAAGCATGGAAAGCCATGTAGAAATATGACTGGACAAAAGAAGGTAAGATCTAATGCCAATAGACAGTGGGGAAACCTAGCAAGTCCTGTCTGTTCAGATTCTTCTTGCCTTCTCTATCATAATATTTCTTCCTCCCATGTATCAGGCAGGACCTGATTGGGGATTGGGGGTTCTTTCTGAATTGGGGGTTCTTATGACCTACTATCAAACAACGTAGGTTGGGTAATTTCTTTATGGCCAGCCCTTACACAGAAAAGTAGGAAAAGGTTTGAGTAATATTTTCAGGCTTGATGGCTGGCTTTGACATAAAAGGTTTCTGGTATCTATGACTGCCATAGGGAAGAAGGATTCTAGTTTCTATGGCTAGCCCTGGGGGAGAATGAGGGGTGAGGAACACGTGGGCAGGGCAAAGTGAGAGTAAAACTCTAGTTTTGAGGCTGCTTCTGAGGCCTTGATTTGGGGATATCATTTTCTGAGCCCCAACTATCTGAACTTTAGTAAGAATTTAACTGAGGTTTCTTGTTTAACCTAGGGTGAGATAGTCTTCCGAAGCAGTTTTTCATGTGTTTCTTCTATCTACTCACACATGTCAACCACTTTGCACCACTTTTTATTTTAAAATCACAGTTTGGAGAACCTTTTTTGTTTCCCTCAAAACCCAGACAGAAGTAGAAAATTTGTTTGTCAACTTGCTGTACCTGCAGATATTTTATTTTTTCAAACTCATATTTCATGCAATGTGGAGTTCTTCAGATATTCTGGCTTATGTAGGGATCTTTGCTTTGACTTCACTCTTACAATCCAACAAAGCCTTGTATCTTGTCCCAATTTAGACATTAAAACCAAATCTAGCTGGTTGCCAGAACAATACTTTCCCTTTCCTTACACTGCCTACCACAAAGCTACGGAAGCATCAACTAACTCCTGCACTTATGCTCTGGTTTTCAATTTGCTGGTTCTTTTCTCTGTTTCTGGAACCTAGATATTGTGTTCCTTTTGTCTTTCCAAGATTAACAGGTATAAAAATGAATTTTTGACTATATTTTATTCAGAATTTTTATGCATTTGTACAGACAGAATTTTGAAGTTTTCTTATTTTACCATGTGTCATAACAAGTTATGCATTCTGGTTTTACTTACATGTGAACATTTTCAAATGACTTTTACACTCAATTTGTCAATAATTCTGTAGTTTATATATAGATTAATTTAAAGAGTATTGATTAGAGGCAATGCATACATTGATCCCTTACCGGTATTTTCCTATGTTGGGAATTGCATTGTCCCAGGTTGTAAATTGAAACATGTAAATAATTAATACTAATAACTGACCTGTAATTAATACCACAGATCTTTCATTTGTAGAAATTTGTTGTTGCTACATTTAAATAGAGGCCCTACTTTCTTTTCTGCATCAAGATACTTTCTCAGGCCAAAATAGTAGTTAGTGAATTTTGCCTTGAGTTTGAAGTTTTCCAAGAATTCACTATAACCCAAGTAGTCAGGCACCACTTAAATGTACATGTCATAAAATTTTTTTATTCCTAGTTTAGATTATAACATTGCAAAGTTAGCCTGGTCCAGTTCCAATAAATTGTTTCTAATTATTACTAGAGTTTTAATGAATTCATTATGAGATTTTCTATTTTAGCTCCAGCATCACTTTTTCATTTATGTTTAATAAAAATAAACTGTTTTCATTTTCCAGATATGTTTGACTACGTTCGTATTTTAATTATTCCCAAATCATTATACCTAACTTCCTGCTTAAGCTACATTGTCCCTACAAGTCTGTTTAGTTATCCATGCACTGTAGTGACCTGCTTTACTTCCTCCTTTCAAAAAGGTGTTCATTACTACTTTAGCAATCCTGACACTTTATTTTCTCTTCTAGATCTCCCAACTGTCTTGTTTTTAGTATAAGGATATGGAATGTTTTATTCCTTGATGCTAAACTCATTTCTTTTTGCTCCTACATTTGATGCTTTTAAAATGCCATATCCAAAAACTTATGTTTCAGGTAATGAGTATGAGTATTCACGACCTTTTGCTTTATTGTAGACAAATTTGCCATTATAGTTATTATTTACTATAATAAATCATAATACTATATGATCATAATAAATAATTTATACTAAATTCTGTGCCTCAACAATTGACAAATTACCAAGAGAAAGTCACAAAGTTGTATTCATAAGAAGACTCATCAGGACCAATCATCACTGTGTGGCTTTACTTGGTGTAGGTTTCTAAAATACCTGGAGCTCTAATTTTAGAAACTGTTAGCACAAAATGGATAATTTATATGTATGCAAATACTTGCTAGTAAAATACATCTTATTCAATATCTTCCTTAGGTAAATAAAAATGGTAAGTAATTTGAAATTAGGAGTCATAGTTCATAAATGTATTTTTCCACATCACCAACTTCATTAATTTTCTCATAGTCACCCTTTAATAATATTTATTGAATTAAATTCTGTTAGAATCAGCCCATCAAACACAACTCAGAGGTTCTATACTCCTGAGCCCTTCACCTCAGCGATGTAAAGTTAGAAAGGTCAGTTGTTTGGTGCTTTTCATGTTCATCTGGATCACCTTAACAGTTTTTGTAAATCTGAAATAAATGAGGTATATCAGGAAAATGTCCTGAAATTACTTCTGAAGAGCTGGAGAGTCCTTTTATCCAATATGTTAGACAAATAATTTAACAACAACAAAAAAAAAATCCAAGTCACTGAATGTATCTATAAAGAACTCAGTTTGGAGTCAGCAGTCCATTCCAAAGCTTTTTGTTGTTTCTTTTCAATGAATCCAGGATCTTTCTCCATTTTCAATAACTTTAATGGAATGTAACTTTTCCAGTGATTCTCATATAAAACTTTATGAAGATCTTGTTGAAATACAGATTGCTGGGCTCCATTCTTAGAGTTTCAGATTCAGTAATTGGGAATTGGGGTTCAAAAAGTTGCATTTTCAACAAGTTCCTGAGGATTACTGATGCTGATGGTGTTTGTGCCTGCCACACTTTGAGAACCAGTGAACCGCTATATGCATTATTTCTTACTTTATGCATAGATTATTGAACCCCTCCAATTAATATCCTGTAGAATGCTATATTTTGTATTTGAATATAACAGTTAGGACTCTGTTAGTCAAAGTTTAGCATTTTCTTTCTTTCTCTTTTTCTTTCTTCTTCTTTTTAAATATGCACTTATTTTTAGCTTATTGCCCTTTATAACATTTTTGAGATGACCGATTAGTAGTGTTCACTAGACAATGGGTCAAAGATGACTATGATCAAGTTTGTATTATGCACTTACTTATTTAGCCACTCTTTGTCTCTCATCTTGTTCCAAAAGGATTTAAGACAGGTCAATCAAAGTAAAGCTAATGAAACCACAGACTTAACAAAACTGGGACTTGATTTCTGCAGCCCCTTTTTCTGGACTGAGTCATCCTGGTCCTAATTAACTTACCACAATTCAAGAAACCACAGTGGCCAAAAGAAGAATCATAATGATGATGGTGAGTGAACCCGGAACTCTTGTCTCATTTTCGAACACATTCCAAATACATATTCCACAGCATGCCTGATTTTACTACACAACAATCAGCAAGAAAGTCACCTTAACACCTCCATCTATCTGCCGCTTGCCATAAAGCAGCTGCAATGTATTTACCGTCAACCGAGAAAGAAATCTATATTTATCCGGATGTGGAAGATGCTGAATTTACCGACAATTGACAAATTAGTCTGGAATGAGAATGCATATAAAAATAGCCTACAGTGTGCCATTATGTTGTGACATAAATATATTGTCTCTTCCCTCAATTTATGCCAGAAGCAAATGAACAATGTTTCTGCAACATGAGTAATTTCTCATCCACATTAGTCTGCCTTTATTTTTTTTCTTTTATCTCTCTGAGTTTTCAACAGAGATAAGGGAAAATCATAATAACCATAGTGAATATCTACCCAATGAAATCCATATACGTAATTAGTAAAATCTCCATAGGCTATGTGTCTAATTTCTAATTTAGTAGAAAATTAAATTTAAATTTATCATTTCTCACTCCCCATAGCTATATATTTATTTGTATATACGTAGGCATATACTCATATTTCTGTAATAACAATGTACTCTGTATCTTAATATAAAATTCTTAGGCTTTTCATAATGTAGTCAGACAGATTTTTGCTCTTGGCTACAAATGAATGATTTGACATTTTTCGCCCCAAATCAAATCATTTTCAACGAGGCGGTATAGTTTAGTAATTAAGAATATAGATCGGAAATCCTTGTTTTAAAAGCCAACTTTATTTTTACTCTCTGTGTGATATTTGGTTAAGTTAGCTATCCTCTCACAACCTCCATTTCCTTACCTTGGAAGCAAATATCAACCACACAGTCTTATTTAGGTACTAAATCGTGATTATATACAAACCTATAGTTTAATGTGTGATATTTAATCTTATTGAATTACGAGTAGTGCTAATATTAGTAATTATTGAATACTATTAGTCTTAAAATAAATATAGCAATAATATAGGCTTATTCAGTATACTTTGTCAATCATCCTGGCCACTGATCCCAGCATGGTACTGAAAACATTTTAGTTTATTTTCCTTAAAGATCAGCTTTCCTTAAAGATCATAAAGCTACCATATAAACTAGATACTCATATATCTTTCTCTTTTAGATTTTGCAGAGCTTTGCTTAACATATGTGTAACTTTAGTTAATTCTATAACAGCCAAATCCTACTGAAGCCAATGTAACAGATCCCTCCTACTCCCATCTTCCATAATCATTCACTGCATTCTCATTATTTATCAACTACATTACAGATGTAAACTAATGTTTACAAGAGCTGCTGAAGATCATAGAGACTGGTTCAGTGGGTGCTCATTATACACTTTTGAATAATAAAGCCAAGATCCGCACAAATCTACTAGATACGGGAAAGATCACAATGTTTGTATAAATTATTCTGTGTAATTGTCACTTCAAACTTGGGAAATAAAACATTTTTAACATGAATGTCAGTCAATGTTAGGTCAATTTTTTTTTTCAGTTTGTATTATGGCAGTTCCTTAATCTCAGATATTTGAATGTAGAAATAAGATATTTATTAGAGAAATCCTTTATCTAAAGCTCAATAGAAGAAGGTTTATGCCCATATTTTGACCCATTTTTGAGGTTGCTTCCAGATCTCTTTGTAAAAATGCCTGATTCAAGGAAAGGACAGAAAATGCACAAGAAAAGCCTGGAGCATCATAGTTCCAGCAAATAAGAAAGTATAAAACAAAAACGTAAGGAAACAAGAAAAAACACAGAATGATGGGGTATGCAACAGAGATAACAGGAGCCAACTGAAAGAGCTCCCAATGGCCAAAGTTGGAACAATTTGAGCAAAATAAATAAAGAAGTAGTATTGTATTATAACCTGTTGTATAAAATAAGTAACCACCAGTTCATACTGACATAAACAAGTTATTAGCTAAATAAGTACATGAAGAAAAGAGAAAAATCTCTTGTTCAGAAGAATTTCAAGAATTTATATAGATATTCCACCCTAAAGGAGATGGAAAACAATCCCCACTCCTTAACTGTAAGCTGTACATAGTAAATTTCTTTCAATGAGTAGAATACATAAAGACAATAAAAGAGTAACTTTACAATGTAAAAACCTGGCAAACACTACTCTGGCTAGGTCATCAAGGTTAACATTAACAGTCACAAGTCATGCTGATAGAATATACCCTTGATATGATATGATCAGAATGGCACAGCCTTAGTTCATTTTGTGTTATTATAACAGAACACCTGATACTTGGTAATTTATTTAAATAAAACCAAAACAGAAATGTATTTTCTTATAGTTCTGGAGGCTAGGAAGTCCAAGACTAAGGCGGCAGCATCTGGCATCTGGTGAGGGTCTGCTACACCCTCACATGGTAAAAGGCAGTAGGGCTAATGAGAATGAACACTATGTCCTCACAGAGAAGAGAGAGAACCTAACTGCTATCCCTTTTTAAACAGCATTAATCCACTCAAAACGGCAGAGCCCTCATGACCTAACACCTCCCAAAAGGCCCTGTCTCCCAGCACTGCTACTTTGGGGATCAAGTTTCCAACACATGAATTTGGAGGGAGACATTCAGACCACAGCAGGTAGGTTACTTTTATAGTATTCCTCCCCAGAAGCTATAATCCCAGTCAAATCATGACAAAAACATCAAACAAATTTCATCTGAGGGGCATTCTACAAAACATCTTACCAATAATTCTTGAAATTGTCAATGGTATCAAAAACAAGGAAAGTCTGAGAAACTGTCTCAACCAGTAGGAGCCTAAGAAGGCATGACTACTGAATGTAATGTGGTATTCTGAATAGGATCCTGGGATACAAAAAGAACTTTAGAGATAACCTGAGGAAATACGAATAAAGTATGAAATTTAATAATATATCAATATGTCTTCAGTAATAGTGACAAATATACCATACTAATGTGAGATGTTAGTAACAGAGGAAGCTGGGTCTTGTATATACAATAACTGTCTGCTATCTGCACAGTAATTTTGTAACTGTAAAATGTTCTAAAGTAAAAAATTACTTTTTACAAGATCCATTTGTGTCCTATTAGAATAATTTAGTATGCATTTCAAGAGTTTCAAATTCAAAGTCTTCATCAAAGAAAGAACTTTCTGTTGTTTTCTAAAATTGTATGAATATATAGGTAGCATTCATTCCCATATATCGACTCTATGACACAAAGATATTTAACAAATTATTTGAGTGTGGTATAATTGAGCAGAAATGGTGGGTGGGTGTAATTTTAAGTATCACAAATACAATTGCAATTGATTTTCAGTAATTCTCCCTCTGAGCAGAGTTGGTTTTGTATTTGAAAATTGCTCTGAGAGAAAACTAAAGCCACAAGCAGACCTGACACGTTATCATTGTTATTTTAAAGGAAAAGTAAAATCCGCAAATCACAAATAATTGAGTTTTTCTTCTCCCCTAGTTCTTTTCCTCAGTTACATTGAAGGTACTTGTAAGAGTATATGCAATACTGTGTGTAGATTCTTTAAGAAAGCAATTTTTAATAATTATTTTAACAACAAGAATTATTTTCTACATTATTCATTTTCCTGGAGCAATTTCTCTCCTTATTTGGTTATACAATTCACTAAAATGATGTTGAATGTTATGCCTTTAAAACAAAACTGAATTAAATCATAATGCAGTAATCCATCATTTCTAAAGAGCCTACCGATGGATCCAAATGACTTAGCATGTAGACACCATGTTGAATTCATATTATATTTAATGCTCTGTACTCACCATTATAGCAGGGAACAAAATATTGTTTTAGTTAATCTCTCACTGTCAGTGCCTGGAAAGTTTAATTATCAAAAGGACTATTTTTTACCTATATGTGAAAATGGACAACACTATTTGACAGCCCCTTTAAAATATTTCAAATTCCAGATTCACAGCAATAGTCAATAGTCAATAGGAAAAAAAGATCATTTAAACCTAATATTAGTTACCAAAACAACTATTTATGATCAAATGTATTATACTATTACATTTACATTCCTTTTTTTCAAGGCAGTTTTTGTAAAAAGCACTTTCAATAGCTTCGTATTTGTGTATATATGGAATAAATTTTTAATATTTCAATTATAACTCTATAAACAAACTGTATAATGAAATTCCAACTATGAATGTGCTTTTGCTTTACACTAACCAAAAACACCTAGTCATCTATAGATGGTATTTCATTCATCAATGAAATACTTTTATTAATATTTCTCCACTTAACTAAAGTCACTTTCACCTGAATGGTTTTATAATTCTAGAAAGTAACACTGAGCTCTGCAGAAACAATAGAACATCCCTTGCAGTTGAGAATTTCTGAGATTCTTGAAGGCCATACATTGTCTTTAACATAACTTTAGTCCAGAATATTCAACACTTCAGGCCACATTTTATTAGTTGTGTTACATTTCCTGCAAAATTCAAATGGGGATACTTCAAATAGCAAACCATGTAGTCTGTTCCACATTTACAAATTCTCTTTTTTATTTCTGGAGGAATTTCTATACATCAAAAATATACAGTAATATCTAAACATATTTACTGTACAAGGAAAACATTAATTGGAATTTCTTTACCCCTCCTTAGCAATAAGATTATGGAACAAAGGTGGAAACTTAAGGGAGGGGAGTCCGCTTGCCCAACTCTTCTCATGGTTCAGATCCAGCCTTGCAGAGTCTTCTCACCCAAAGTGACATACTTTGAATAGCATAGTCATTTTTTTTTTCCTTCGTGGACCCCAATCATGGGTCACTTACAGTGAAATGAAAGGAAGACCTTTTCTTCCTTAATTAAAGAATACCAAAGGAAAAAAGGAGACACAAGAAAAATGACCACCATGAAAAGGAAATTAAAATAATTTTATTGAACTGGCTGCATTCCTAGCCACCTACTGTATGAAGTAATAACAATCAGTCACACTACCGCACATGATTAATACTTATGGCTAATCCTTACATCCCTTACCATCTATCCATCAGTATCTCCAGGAGGCGTTAATCATATTGCTTCTCAGCAGACTCTTTTCTGTTGCAATGTTGCCATTTCACCTTCCTTGTATGCAACAGTCTGCAAAATGCAGCATTTAAGTCAGTTAAGTGTGGTAGAGAATGGAGCTATTTTTAAATGCTACACATAACTTTTTAGGAAATAATGGTGTAATCAAATAAATGGCAAATCCAAATTATTTTATTTTGATATACACCTAAACACTTAACATGTGGCTGTAATTTATCACCAAAGAAAATGATGAGGCAAAAACATTTTTAAAATCTACATTCTCTTTTCTGTGCTCTTATAGAACATTTTTGCCTTCAATGTAATAAATTCTCATTTCCATTAAAGTAGAAGTTTAGGAGTAGGTTAGCAGTAGCCCTCAGAATTTAGGTTGCAGCATCCTTCACACAGGATCCTTTAGTATTTAGGGGAATAATAGCCTATAAGTTATGGAAGTAATGATAATAGCTTTCATTTGTATAGTGCTTAAAGTTTCACAGTACTTAGGCATATATTATCTGATTTTAGTGGTAGGTTTTGTTTTTCTTCTTTTAAATATGGAGAAACTGAAGTTGAGAGATCACACAACTAAAAATGACTACAGTTAGACTTTTTATTAAATATTGACTACACATTTTGTATTATTTTAACTCCACATTTTTAAACACTGGTAAAAGAATGGCATTAATTATAATTTTATAAGCTGCCTTTCTTCGATATAAAAATTTCTGTCATGGAAGAAAACTTAGTAAGTGCCAAAGCTGTGGTAGGTGTATGGTATTTTCACACTTATTAAATTAATTGGGGAGAAACCCAATTATTCTTTAAAAATGTCCCATTTTATGAATAGGAATAGGAGTTATGCCAGTAGAAAGATAATTAAGAGATGTCATCAAGATGGCTGACTAGAGCACCCAGGACTCACCTTCTCCACAAAGAAGAACCCAACAGAAAATAGACAACGATATATCAAATAGAGCATTTAAGGGAGAATGTGAATTCAGCAAGGAAGTGACAAAAACCCAGGCCCAATAACTCCTGCATCTCCACATCCAACCATATCCACCCAAAGACATGGAAACTCAAGATGGCAGCATAGAGAGGGAAGTAAAGCAGCCTGGAGGATCAGCTCAAAGCCACAAGGGACTACACATTGTGGGGAAAAGGAAAGGAGATCCCCAGCAATGATATTCCTATCATAGACACTTGTAATCCTTACTATAGGAGAGTCCCTCTGCCCTCACAGTCTCTGAGCCTAATATAGTGAATTGCCTGGAGTCCACACAACTGCATTGGTCCAGAGAGAAAATTCATACTGGGCTTCCAATACCCCTCAGAACCCAAGCTACTCTACTGCAGCACCGTGCTATTTTAAGAGTGGAGACATGACCAGACTACATTCTGCCCTGGGGTCCAATGTCCTCTGCATCTCCATATCTTTGGATTGCTATCAACATTCACCCCAAACCACCCAGAGGGCTGTAGCATCACACCACCAGCTGGGCCTTTCAGTACAGCCACATCTCTGGCACTTGAGCCCACACAGCATCCTGCACCCCAGAGAACATGCAGTCCCACACATCTGGGAGGTTGCCCTCAGGACATAGGGAGCCAAAGTACATGCTCCCCAGAGCCTCAGAGCCACATGCCTGTACCCACTGCCAACTAAAACAACCTCACTCCCTCCAGCAATGAGGTTGCCATGCACAAATGCATGCTGCCTGGGGATTCAAAGTCAGGTCTGCCTGGCCTGCTCGTTATGCCACAGAACACCCCTCAACCCCTGCATGTGCCACCCAGAGGCCCAAGAATTGGCTCACTCAGGACCACTCCCAGCACCCATGTGCACTCTTTGGGAGCCCAAGGACCAGCCCATTCAAGGTCCACATGTGCCACGCAGGGGTCCAAAGACCAGTCCAAGTGTCAGCCTGTCCAGGGCTCAAGTATGCCATCCCAGAAGCTCAAGGACTGGCACATCCATGGCCCACCACCACAACTCCTGGTGTGAGCATTCACTGTTTGAGAGCTTGAAGATAGGCCCACCCAGAACCTGCCACCACTACTGCTGAATAAACCCACGCCTGTCAGTATCAAAACTACCATAAGCCTTCATGCACTGACCAGGATCCTGAGGACTGACCTACCCTGGGCCCACCACTATCACCGCTGATGCTTCTGCATGCACCCCAGGGGCTCAGTGACCAGGCATTCCAGCATACCAGCCCCTGGAAGAGCTGTACCACAGCCTTCACGAACAACTGCTGAAGAAATCATATGGTGAGTGTACTCCCACACTGACTCAGAACCAAAGCCAAAGTACTATACACAACTGACACTATAGATACATCTACAGAAAAAAGTCTTTTCATATGAAATCTCCTTCATAAAATTGGAAGTGTTTATACCATATGGGCAGATATCAATGTAGAAACACAAACAACATGAACAAGCAAGAAAACATGAAACCTCTAAAGTAACACTATAATTCTCCAGTAATAGGCTCCCAAAATAAAAAAAATGTATATGCCTGAAGAATAATTCAAAATAATAATCTTAAGGAAACTTCATGAAATACAAGACAACACAGATAAACAATACAAAGAAACTAGACAACAATTCATGATCTGAATGAGAATTTCAACAAAGAGACAGACATAATTAGAAAAGAACCAAAGAGATGTCCTAGAACTGAATAATTAAAAGAATATAAATACAAATACAAATCAACTACAATACAATACAATACAAACTACTATCAAGTGCTTCATCAATAGATTATATTTCAAGCAGAAGAAAGGATTCTCGAACTTGAAGATAGGTCTGTTGAAATAACTCAGTCAGAAAACAAAAAAGGGAGAAGAATAAAAGAGAATATACGAAGCCTACATGATGGTGGGACATTAAAGCAAGCAAATATTTGAATTTTCAATTCTTCAGAAAGTGAAGAGAAAACAAAATGGATAGATAACTTATTAGTGAAATAACGGATTAAAACCTCCCAAGTGTAGCCAGAGATTTAGACATCCAGACACAGGAAACTCAAGAGATCTCCACATACAGACAATTTAAAAGATCTCCATGTCACATTATAGTCAACCTGTCAAAAGTAAAAGACGAAGAGAGAATTATGAAAACAACAACAACAACAACAAAATTAAGTCAAATGCAAGGCAATCCTCATCAAACTAACAGCAAATTTCTCAGCAGACACCTAACAGGCCCAGAAAGAATGGGATGATATAATATGCTGAAAGAAAATAACTGGCAACCAAAAATGCTATACCCATTGAAGATACCCTTCAGAAATAAAATATAAATAAAGCCTTTCCTCAAAAGCAAAAACAGAAAATTCATCACTACTAGGCCAGTTCTGCAAGAAATGCTTAAGGAATTTCTAAATCTGAAAGTGAATAGACCATATCCAGCATCCTGTAATCACAAGAAAGCATAAAAATTAATGATAGAGCAGATACACAAATAAGAAAGAGAAGGGAATAAAAAGTTACCACCACAGAAACCACTAAACTGTAAAGATAAACAATAAGAGAGGAAGAAAAGAAAAAAGTATACACAAAACAATCAGAAAACCATGAACAAAATGACAAGGGTAAGTCCTCTTCTGTCAATAAGAATTTTAATCTAAATAGTTTAAACTCCCCAATTAAAAAATATAGACTGATTGAATGAACAAAAAAACAAGACCCAACTGTATTTGGTCTTCAATAAACTAACTTCACCTGTAAAGACACACATAGACATAAGTGAAGGAATAAAAAAAGTGTCACATATTTATGATAATATATAATATTATTATAATGATAAATCATCAGTTCAGCAAGAGGCCATAACAATTATAAATATATCCAAAATAAAAGCACCTACACATATAAGGCAAATATTATTAGAACTAAAGAGAGAGAGAGAGTCCAATTCAATAATAGTTGGGGACTTTCAACTCTCTACCCTCAGCATTAGAAAGATCATCTAGACAGAAAATCAACAAAGAAATGTTGAATTTAAACTTCAAGTTAGAGCAATTGTATATATAGAGAGAAGACATTTAAAGAACATTTAACCCAACAGCTGCAGAATACACATTCTTCTCATCAGCATATGGAACATTCTCCAGGATAGATCATATGTTAGGATACAAAAATGTCCCAACAATTTTTTAATCAAAATAATTAGCTAGGTGTGGTGGTGCACACCTGTAGTCCTAGCTACTCAGGAGGCTGAGGTAGGAAGATTGCTTCAACCCAGGAAGTAGGGGTTGAAGTGAGTCATGGTGGTGCCATTGCCTTCCAGCCTGGGGCAGCAGAGAAAGACTGCATTAAAAAAAATTTAAAATTATGTCAAGTATCTTATCTGACCACAATGAAATAAAACTAGAAAATAATGAAAAAAGGACCTTTGGAAATTATACAGATACATGGAAATTAAACAATAATCTCCTGAATGATCAATGCATTGATTAAAAAAGAAAATCAAAGGATTTCTTGAAAGAAATTAAAACAGATATACAACATACTAAAACCTATGGGATATAGCATAAGAAGTACTAATAGGGTAGTTTATAGCAATACATATCCTACATCAAAAAAAATTTAACATAAACTACATAATGATGCATCTCAAGGATCATAAAATCAAGAACAAACCAAACCCCAAATGAATATAAGTAAAAAACTAGTAAAAATCAGAGTAGAGCTAAACAAAACACAGATTAAGGTATTATAAAGAATCAATAAAACAAAAAGTTTTTTAAAAGAACATAAAATTTTAAAAACCACTAGCTCAACTCACTTTCAAAAGAGAGAGAAGACCCAAATAAATAAAATCAGAAACAAAAACCACACAGATGTTATAAATCATACCACAGAAATATAAAGGATCATTAGAAAACAACTAGAAAACCTAGAGAAAACAAATACATTCCAGGACACATAAAACCTACCAAGGTTGGGAAAAAAACTGAAAGCTTTTTCTCTGAGAAATGGAAGAAGACAAGAGAGCCAGCTTTCGCCACTCTTATTCAACATAATCCTGGAAGTCCTAACGGGGCTCCCAGGATTAAGCTAGAGAAAGAAAAAAATGGCACCCACATTGGAAAAAAGAAAGTCAAATTGTCTCTCTTTGCAGATGACATAATCCTATATATAGAAAAACCTAAAGATGAGAGAATTCCTAGAGTTTATAAACAAATTTAGTAAAGTTGTAGGATACAACTTTGTAGGTTAGCAATAATATACTATATACTTTCATATAGCTAGAAGGAGGATATTGAATGTTCCCAAGATAAAGAAATGATAAATGTTTGAGGTGATGAATAAGCTAATTACACTGATCTGATGATTATGCATTATGTGTATTGAAACATCACTACGTGCCCTATAAATATGTACAATTATCATACGTCTTAAAAAGAAAAGAAGACCAGGTGCAGTGACTCACGCCTGTAATCGCAACACTTTGGCGGGTGGATCACTTGAGGCCAGGAGTTGGAGACAAGCCTGTCCAGCCTCGACAGCATGGTGAAACCCTGTCTCCACAAAAAATGCAAAAATTAACCAGACGTGGTGGCGGGTGCCTGTAATCCCAGCTACTCGGGAGGCTGAGGTGAAAGGATCGCTTGAACTCTAGCAGGCAGAGGTTGCAGTGAGCTGAGATCATGCCACTGAACTCCAACCTGGGTGACAGAGCGAGACTGTCTCAAAAAAAAAAAAAGAAAGAAAAAAATATTTTTATGCTGTGAGACTTTGATGTGATAGGCAACTCAGACTATAGCAAACAATTCATTATACAGAATTTTCAAACTAGAAACACTACTAGATTGCTCTCAATTACATTATTAAAATTTATTAATTATATTGACTATTTATATAAAAAATTAATTAGATTTATTTGTATATGACATTCAGTGTAAACAAGGTATACATTTACTATATTCAAGCAAGTATTTAAACTGCTTACTTATTAGTAGATTGAAGAAGAGGTGGAATTTGGACCAAAATATGACTTCATTTTATGATTTTATACTTTAACTGTATCACATATAACGTAATATTTGTGTTACATTACATGTATTTATATATAAATGTATTATATATAAATGTGTTATAAATATAAATGATAATATAACTTATAAATGTATTAATTATAAATATAAGTATTAATTAATATTTCAATAATTATAAATATATTGTAAGTTTACATTTATGTATATAAACATATAAATGTGTATATATGTAATATATAAATGCAAATTCAATCTATATAAATATAAACTTATATTTCTCAAAATATAAGTATTTATATTTATAATCCAAATAAATAGTTTATCCTTGAGAAGACATAGTCATGATTATATTTTTTAATTTCTTATTAATGTATTGGCACAGAGCAAATATTTTTAGTTAAGTGATCTATTGCTGAAAAAAT
Organism: Homo sapiens; assembly: GCF_000001405.40. NCBI lineage: Eukaryota > Metazoa > Chordata > Mammalia > Primates > Hominidae > Homo > Homo sapiens. Next base: position 78,446,575 of record NC_000003.12, read on the forward strand.
ACTTTTTATGTTTAATAAAAGTATGTAGATGTCCTCCTTTCTGAATCAATAGCAACGATAAGGAAATCACATATTTAGATGTTGAAATGTCATTTAGGGTGCTGTCTTCTATATGAGATTACCATTTAACTATAACACTTTTAGAGATACCATCATTATCTTAAACAAGTCTACTTTTTAAAATGTTATCATTTTCATATGGTGTTGAGACGCTTTCGATGAGGAAAAAGCTATAATGTTCTGACTCCAGAGTCCAAGATTCCAGTGGATTTATATTCATAGTCATAGAAGAAATGCATGCATGCATTTATTATTGATAAAAGAAACTAACAAATAAACAAAAGGTTTATTCTATCCCGTTGGTTATTTCATTGAATAATTAGGCAGATAATTAGGCAGACAATGAGTATGATATCATTAATGATACCTTCTTCAATTAGCTACAATTCTTGTGAAGTACAATAAAGGGTTAAGCAAGAAACTAAATGGTTCAGGATGGGCACAGTGGGTCATGCCTGTAATTCCAGCACTTTGGGAGGCCTAGGTGGGTGGATCGCTTGATTGCAGGAATTTGAGACCAATCTGGGCAACATGATGAAACCCCATCTCTACAAAAAATACAAAATCTAGCTGGGCATGGTGACAAACACCTGTGGTCCCAGCTACTTGGGGGGCTGAGGTGGGAGGATTGCTGAAGCCTAGGAGTAGGAGGTTTCAGTGAGGCGAACTGAGACCCCTGAAGGAAGGAAGGAAGGAAGGAAGGAAGGAAGGAAGGAAGGAAGGAAGGGAGATAGTTCAGCTACTGCAATTAAAAATCTTTCTAGAATGGAGCCTGTTTGTCAGGTAGATTCCTTTTAGAATTGTTTCCAGTCTGTAAGCCCTCCCTACTCCTTCCCTAAGTGACTTCACGTTCACTGAGAACTGCTGGCTATCCCAGCAAGGTGACCCTGACTGCCTAGGTTGTAATAAATGTCCCTGAGAAACAGTAACAGGGCATAAGTTGGGTAAGTTTGCAGAAAATATCCAATATGCTTTTTTTGCAGAAAATACCCAATGTGCTTTGTGAAGAGATAGAGAGAAAGATGAATAGACAATCTTGTAATACTGTGTGCTTTGATAAGGGCTTGGTTGACATGACTGACAATACATTTCCAGTTGCCCTATTCTGTGATTTTTTTTTCCCTCCAGCAGTGTTTATCTGATCAGCGCAAACACAGAGAAGACAAATACTTCATCGGGGCTTGAGTTCTGGCTCTACATCTCACTAGGTGTGGGCCTCTTGGCTTTAGTGTCCTGTCACTGAGGATGCTACTAGCACTTTATAGGTTTCTGTAAAAATCAAATGAGATACATGTGACAGAATAATACTACACTGAAGAACATTTTAGGAACCTTATGGCTAGGTATAATTCAGTTTTAGGAATGCTCTAGCTAGGTGGAACTCAGCTTGAAAGCCACAGATGAAATAATCTAGCAAAACTCTAACCATTTTTTAAATTTGAAATTCTTTATTGATTAATAAAGGATGAAAACTGGTGGTCCATCAGCATTACAGCCTTACAAATCATAGAGAAAACAGTTCAAGAGAAATTATAAAAGATGTTCTATGTGCATTTAAATAGATACATTAATCATGAAATTTTACTCTTGTTTGTCTCTTATTTCATTCTCTCGTATACGCAAACATACATACACAGAGAGAGACACAGAGAGAGACAAAGAAAGAGAAATGGAGTACATATTATTTATTGTTCCAGTATGCTGCCAAATGTTGCCTGCTCTACTAAGTCAAAAACCAAGAGACAGCGTACTATAATTTCCACATAATATCTGTGACATTTGATTTTCATGGGCTTGGTGGAAATAGTCATGAGGAATTGCACAAGTCGGCATTATTAGCAGGGGTGTTACCTGTGGCTGAAGTGACTCTTGTTTTCTAATGTGTATGCCTGTTGTCTACGTCTTGTTGTTCCATCTTCACCTTAAGCCAAGATGTGCATGTCTCACCGAGTGACAGCTTCAGGTCCACTGTGGCTTGTCAGCTAGTCCTGCTCTTCTCCCAAGTGGAATCTGAGAGACATTCTTTAAAAGAATAGAATCAACAGTGTGTTGAAATATTGCTTTGATTTTTTTCTGTTTTGTTTACTTTCCATATTTATACACATTTTTTACACCCTTATAGATTTATTTTCCTGGTAGAGACTTTAAAATAAATTTTTTTTTGTAATTTATGCTTGCAGAGGTATGACACAATACTATTATAACTATTTTATGGTATCCCACATTTTAATCATTATTGTCATAACTATTAATGTTGAACTAACATTATCACAAATATCAGTGTTGAACTAAATGCCTGCCCCCTTGTTTGCCATTCATTTCTTCCTCTTAGTCTTGGTGACTTAGTTTCAAATAATCCACTGTGTCACTGATCTGGATTTATCTTAAAATGCAGATGCTTGTATGACTCCTCAGTGAAGCATCTCTAGGAGCTTCACCAAGCATCTCTGTCTTACTGTGTTCTGGAACTTTGGACTCTGTTCTTGCTAGGCTCACAGTAGGACTTAGCGTTCTTTACTAAAGCAATAGGATTCACCTCCTGAGTACTTCATTATGTAAACCAAAAATAAAATTTGAAGGCCCTCCAACCATCTGAATAAACTCCCTCCTCTTGGCCAGGGCACTTCAAATGTAACCTAGAAGACTGGTTCAGGCCATGGTGGGAAGTGGGGGTCGGACATGTCTCATTATGCCCTCTTCCTTTTGGAATTCAGGAAAAGCTGACCAGCATTTAACAGCAGCACAGACCTTAAGTCTGATAAGAAACATGTACAATCTATTCTCTCTGAAGCCTGCTACTTGAAGGTTTCATCTGCTTGATAAAATTTTGGTTTCCACAACCTCTTATCAAAACCAAGACTTTCCTTTCCATTGATAATAACTTTCAACCAATTACCTATGAGTAAATGTTTAAATCTACTTATAACTTGGAAGCCCCAACATGAAATTTTTCTACATTTCTGGACCAAGCCAATGTATATCTTAAATGTATTTGATTGATGTCTCAGATCTCCCTAAAATGTATAAAACCAAGCTGTGCCTTGACCACCTTGAGTACATATTCTCAGGTTCCCCTGAGGGCTATATCATGGGCCATGGTCAGTCATATTTGGCTCAGAATAAATCTCTTTCAATATTTTATAGAGTTTGGCTCCTTATGTCAATAGTTAGAACTTTCAAAGTGTATTTTAAAACAAAAATCTTCTTGGGGGGAAAGAAACAAATGTACCTGAAAACACAAATTATTTGTGTATTTCTAGATACAAAGATATACATTAGTAATTATGCATACTGTGTTATATTTCCACGAATGTGTGCATTTTAACAGTAAAGAACAAACTGTTCTCCAGCTCTATTGAACAGATATCAGAGATGAAATAGAGGCATGGATCAGAAATTTTTAGTGGGGCTACTGGTTTGAAATAATATATATAGTATTAATTCACATTTAGATCAAGATTATTATTTGTGATGATGAAAAATATCTTTAGACCTTTCCAAATATCTCCTGGGAGCAAAAAAAAAAATCACACAATCAAACCCTATTGAGAACTACCATCCTAAAGTTACGTGAATAAATTTTTGTGACCTAAGATAAAATTTACAGTGAGATCATGTCATACAAATTCAAAAGTGTGTCTCTATTAACTCAGATCATAGAGAATTTGATGTCTTCCAGAAAATGATTAGAGGATTCTAGGGATGACAAAGACATGAATATTGATAAAATTGTTTTATAAAATATTAGTGAAAAGTAATACTTTATTTACTATATTATGTGAGGGACATGTACTCTTAAATATGTGAGGCAACTAAATTGATAAATTATCTATCAGAGGCAGACATTTGACTCTTTTATTGATAGCACTACATTTGGAGACTATTTTTATTAAGCAAATGAATCAATTCATATTTTGATTTTCTCTTTATGTAACAATATAGTAGTTTTCTCCTGCCTGAAAGCGATAGGATTTAAGCATCGAGAGTGCAGCATTGCCAGTCCATTTGTGTTGCTGTAAAGGAATACCTGAGGCTTGGTAATTTACAAAGATAAGGGGATTTGGCTCACAGTTCTGCAGACTGTACAAGAAGCATGGTACCAGCATCAGCTTCTGGCGTGGGCCTCTGATTAGTTCCATTCATGGTGCAAGGTGATAGGGAGCCCATGTGTACAGATCACATGGCAAGAGAGAAAGCAAGAGAGGGAGAAGGTGTCAGGCTCTTTTTAACAGCCACCTCTTGCAGGAACTGCTAGACTGAGAACGCACTCATTACCATGAGGAGGGCACCAAGCCATTTATGAAGGATCTGCCCCCATGATCCAGACACCTCCCACTAGGCTCCACTTCCAACACTGGAGATCCAATTTCAACACGAAGTTTGAAGAGTCAGATATCTAAACTATAATAGTTAGTAAAGCACTAGTAAGGCACTAGCCACATGTGACTGTGAGCCAAGTCCAAATACAGATATTCTATAAATGTAACATGCACACTGGATTTTAAAGAATTAGTATGAATAAAAATCATCTTATTTACATGAGTTAATTTTATAAATGTTGAAATTATAATATTTTGGATATATTAGTTTAAATCAAGTATATTATTAAAATCAATTTTGCCTGTTTCTTTTTACTTTTTTAAATATGTCTACTGGAAAATTTAGAATCACACCTGTGGTTCACATTATGTTTCTATTGGACACTGCTGACTTAAAGTATGGTCATACAAGTGTTTGCAAATATAAGTCATTTGATAAAGATCTAGACATTTCATTTTTTATTGGTTAAAAAATACATTATAAGTTTATGTCAGATGCTGTAACATAGATGAAACTTGAGGAAGCTGAGTGAAATATGCCAGTCACAAAAGCAAAAATAACATGATTCTACTTATATGAAATATCTAGACTAGTCAAAATTATAGAAACAGAGAGTAGATTGGTGGTTTCCAGGGACCAGGGTGGGGAAATTGGGGAGTTGTTCGATTGGTGTAGAGCTTCAGTTTTGGAAGACGAAAATGTTCTAGTTCTGTAGTCACAACAGGTAACTACAATTAACATTGTTGAATTGTACACTTAAAAATTGCTAACAGAGTACATTTTATATTGTATTTTTATTAAAATGTAAAAATTAAATAAGTACATAAAAAGAATGTGAAGACCAAGTAAAGGTTATTTTTCTCATTTTCAAGAAGTAAATCAGATTACCTAAGGTCTTCTTTCATTATCTAGGGTCTTCTTTATACCTTTGTGTTAATTATTTAACACTACTATGGTAGGGGCAGGCAGATACTTAGGACCATTTGACTTCATAGTAATAGCAGCTAATATGCACTGAGCACTAGACAGTGTGCTAAGTACTGAAGATATACACTAAGATAATCCTCACAACCACCGTATGAATTGATGAGGAAACTAAGCTTTAAAGATGTTGATATTTATAAGGTATAGTGTTTCCTGTTCATGTGTTTGAGCTACTATGGTAATAAATTATTCTGGCTTAAAATCCCAAATGTAATACAATTCAGGGTTGGTTGAGCCACAAAGGTTGGACACCTGTGGCCTAGACATGGCAACAGAATATAAAAAAATCCTGGTATCCACATCACTGGCATTAGGACAGAGGGACAATTTGAAAGAAGTTGCCACAGCATTCTCAGGGAAGACTCATAAATCTGCGGTAGGTCTTCAAGTCTTTCCCTCTTTATTTACAATTTTGGCATATGATTTGAAGGAGTTTGAAGAATTTCATAATATTTCTATAATTAAACTGCTTCTATGTCCATCTATTTAAGTAAATAAAAATTTAAGTATAAATATCAAATATTTTTATAAGTAAAAAGCATTTATTTTATTTAAAAATAAAAATAAGATAATTTATACAGAATCTCGACTCATTTAAGAAGTATTTCCCACCCACAGAAAAATGGTCATTAATTAAGGAGAAAAAGACCTATTGATATCATTAATATTTACATCTTCAATACAATGTGTATATTTTATAGACTTCACAATTCATTATATATTCATGTTGTTTTGTATATTTTATACTAGTAACAATTATGATACTAACTGAATCCTGGAGAAATTTTTTTAATGCTTAGAGTTTTGTGAGCCCAGAAGAGAAAAATATTTCTAATTTACATATATTTTTGTTGAATAGATATATGTAATGGTGGCAATAAAGGATGATCAAGCATAAAAATATATAACAGTAAGATTCTGCAATTCTCTGAGGAAGAAGAAATAATACTAAAATGTCTCATCATCAGAGAAAAGTTGCTTTAATGAATGACAAAACAGGTAAAATTAGTATGTTAGATTACTTTGAGATACACTTCAAAGTGATGTAATGGTTGGATGTTAAAATTATATATTTATTATGATTAAAGGTTTAAAGTGAAAAGAATAAATTTTAGCAACTTTGAAACATTTGAAAATATACGGATTTTTTTCAAAATTCCAGACAAAAATTTGTTTGGTATATGAACAAAACCAACTTTTTAAAAAGAACACAGCTATAGGTAATAGAGAGCCATTAAGGAATCTCAGTACAGAGGAAGGTGTTGTTATGGTCCTTATGAGCTTCAGGAGATCCATCCAATTGTGTGGGAGATGAGAGAGGTGAAGTTAGATGAGGAGAAACAGTCTGGAACAAGATCCAAGGGCAATGATAATAACCTAGGAAGATATAATGGAAGAATAAATAATGATGGCAGCATGAAAATGGCAAGCATATTAGTGGGTTTGACATTGTAAATGGCTGATGCAAGCCAAGGTGATTCCATGATTTGGGACTCCAAGAATGGAGGTTTCATTTTTTAAAGGATGGAATGAAAGACTGAGATATGTTGAAAGGAGTTGAATGGTTTTGGACATGTGTTGACAGTATACCCTGGTGAGGATATCCAGTAGATAAACATTGGAACCTACAATAAATGCCATTCACATTTTCCACAAGTCTTTCTTTTAACAATCATTGGTTCTAGTATTCTAATTTATACATCTTTTTAGTATTAATTTGTCAGAAGAAGAAATCAACTGACATTTTAGTCACTATTTATTTATTTATATTTCTTTTTTTTTTTTTTTTTTTTTTTTTGGAGACAGGATCTTACTCTGCTGTCTAGGCTGGAGTGCAGTGGTGCAATCATGGCTCAGCACAGCCTCAACCTTCCCAGGCTGAGGTGATCCTCCTACATCAGCCTCCTGAGTAGCTGGGATGACAGGTGTGCACCACCACACGCTGCTAATGTTTGTATTGTTGGTAGCAATGAGGTCTCACCATGATCCTCAGACTGGTCTCAAACTCCTGAGTTCAAGTGATTTGTCTGTCTCAGCTTCCCAAAGTGCTGGGATTACAGGTATGAGCCACCACACCTGGCTTGTCCCTTCTTATTTAATATATTTTTGAAGTAATGACAATTTTCAAAACTGTGTATAAGAAATTGAATATAAGCACCCTTCCTGCCAATCTATTTCAAAAGACATCATCAATGATTTTTCACAGGGATTACTAAAAAAGTTGGCATAAACTCTTCAGTCCAGTAATATTTTTTAGGTATCTGCAATGTGTGTAAAGTCAAGCACAAAAATCATTATTACATTTTGAAAGATCTGTGACTTTTGTCCAAAAACCATTTATTTCACCATATATGGGTTTTGTGTAAAGATTAAAATTAATTATTAGCAATAAACACTTTAAATATAGCACTTAGATGAACTCCTGTATTTTGCTTAAGGCCTAGCTTCAGAACTATTAAATGGACCCCTGAGCCTTACAGGAAGCTATTTCATTCCCTAGAAGTTTCACAAATATCAATTGATTAAAATAAAAAAAATGCTGTCCTTTTCCAGTGAAACATTCAAATCCAGTATGCTTTCTATTATAAATGCAATTTTAAGGTGGAAATTAGTTACCCCTGCCACATCAATCTTTACAATCAAATTAAAACTAATAACCATAACTTCTTATTGAAATAGTTATAATTCCTATTTGCTGAAGTTCTGGAAATTAATGTCTTTGCATGGAGCACCAACAAAATACATGTTATACAAATAAAATTCATGCTCTTCATGAAAAAAATTGAATCATCTTCTGAATTTATTACCATAATTTATGTGCTCTCTTTTAGAACATGAATTATAATTTGACATATTGAAAGAATCCTAGATCAATAGACGTAATATCCTCAATATTGTAACTGTAAAATTCTGAAAGGAATGCATATAAACAAATAAGTGTGTCATTGATTGGACAATCACGAAATATAAAAATCTTCCTCATAAAAAGAGACATCCCATTAGTCACTAATTAAAATCTAGCCTTTCTGCTATTGTAGCTAATGAGTGCAGACATAAAAAGAACACACCTTATAAGGTTTATACACCAAAGACATGGTTTGCAGGCAAAAGATAAAATTCAAGTAGAAAAAAAATAAATCTTACTGCCAATTACACGTTTAAAATGGTATTTGTTAACGCTAATGCTTTTAAACTAAGGCTTTAGAAAACAAAGTTGAGTGCAGTTTAAGAAATGAAATTAACCCCAGAAGGTCTGGAATCTCAAAATTCTATGAAATCTTAACTTTGTGCTGATTTCTTTGTTCATGCTTTGAGAAAAATGGAAAGCATATTGCAAATTACATAATGTTGCATACAAGTTCAGATTTAACTCAGACTCTGTCCTGACATTCCTCATTCCAGCCAGATTGACCAATTGCCAGCTCTGTAAAGTAGTGTGACTTGTGTCAATTCACAGATTTTGGGTTGATTGTGCCATGAAATTGGCCCACTATCCAGTAGAAAATATACAAAACCGTCCTGAGTGAGACAGATATTTGGCTTAGTTGCAGGGTAATTTCCTTCCTTGTTTCTCACATATACTGCCTGGGCTATTTCTCTGAATTCTTCTCAATTACTGTTTTCCAGACTACAAAATTAGATTTTAGATTTCCTTTGTTGCAGACTCTGCTATTGGCCTGCCCAATACCCATTTTTCCCTCTTCCCTTCTTTCGTACTAACGTTTTTCGTTTTTTGTTTTTCCCCAAAGCAGCACCGAGTCCAGCTAAAATATTCTCTCTCCAAGACTCCCTTGAAGCTAGGATATCTATCAGCAAACTTCTAGTTGGTAAAATGTAACTGGATTTCTTTCAGGAAGGCCTAAGGCTTTTTACTTTTTGTTTCTGAGAGAGAGTCCTTTGGCTTTTTGCTTTTGGCTCTTAGCTCTTAACCAGTGTTCTTTTTTCCTGTCCAAAATGTTAATGTAATGCCTGGAGGTATAAGAGACAGCTTGCAGTCATAAAGATTAGAGCCAAGTGTAAACAGCAGAGAAGGCAGATAGAACGATTCTGGGTCCTTGGGAAACCTTGAACAGTCGCACAAGCTCTGAACTACCTACTGCAGAGTCTTATGTGAGGAAAATCACCCCTGACTGGTTTGTGCTTCCACATTGTTTTCTGTTATATAGATAATGCAGTCCCTAACTGACACACAATTCATTGTGGTAATTTCCATTTGCCTGTGTTGTAATGTAACCTTGAACCTATTCAGTGAGACATGTAAGTATCTCCTGTTCTGGGAACCACCATTGTAGTGCACCATTTCCCTGTAATGCAACATCTATTGCCACATGTGAAGCACCCATCATCACATGTTTTCCAGTTAGCTGACTTTATACACATTTAGTGCCTCTCCTTCAAGCACCACAAGCTGGGCCAGCTTCCCTAATAGTTGGCCCATACAAGTGGCCAGGGTGAGGTTTCTAGTTCACAGTCTACTCCATTTAAGCCATGACTATTACATCCTGAAACACATTAGCCCCTAAGTCACTTGGTCATCTTTTTTGCTGTAATTTAGAAAGACAATTTTATTTAAAACTCTTTTTATCTGACTCTGTTCTAGTTGTAGACGAGCAGTTCTCAAATGGGGGTGACAAGGGATATTGCTAAATAACCAGCAGTGCCCAGGAAGAAAGGAAGCCTCCCACAACAACAAAAAAATTATCCAGCACAAATTGGCAGTAGTGCCAAGGTTGAGAAAGTTTGATCCGGAGCAATGATTTTAACCCTGGCTGTGCTTTAGAATAAAATGAATTTTTAAACAGTCTTTACTCCTGGGATTTATTCCCCTTTGATTTTGATTTAAGAGATCTGGAATGTAGTCCACACGCATTTGCAAGCACCCCAGTTGATTTAAAATACAGCCAAAGTCAAGAACCACTGAGATGAGCATAACCCTTCATTCTGGAAAACAGTCCGAATCAGAGAGTTGGCCAGGGGTGGGGAAAAGAGAGGCTAAGTTCACAGAGAAGTGGGCTGAGAATAGGACACAAAGAGGAGGCTCTCTGTGAAAGAATTCATCCCAAGATGAAAAGCAAAGAAGGTCAGGAAAGGTTGTTCAGGAAATCATGAGGTGTGTTAGGAAAAGTTCAGGATTGACAATGAATAAATTGAAGGTGTCAGAGGCCCTATTTAGATTATTAAAATGTAATGTCTGCTTATATACCTATATTTGTGGCTTTATAGCTATACCTATAACTATCTAGTTGTCATTTATCCTGTTTTTAAGAGTGATACAGAAGAAAAAATGAAAGCGATTGTATGCCAGGGCAAAATTTGTGCTAACCTCTTTTGTTATTAAAAATACTTGATATCATTGTGCTAAAATTAATAATTATATTTAAAAGTTAGAAGTCAAAATAAGAATATAACATTAAAATTTTGAAAAGCAAAAAGTGATAAATAAATTTCAAATTACATCAAATACCAGCTTGTAGAAACAATATGAGTTTTTTTAGTCTTTGCTTGTTTGTTTTTTGCCTTTGTTTTTGTTTTCACTCTTAAGAGATGTAACCAGAGTTTAACAACACTGAACGGGAACCAAGTTATCGTCTCTAATTCCACTTTTCCAACCTGGCTTTAAACAATTCTGCCACAAAAACCCCAATATCTGAAATTTTAGACTGAAATGGTTATGATTGTTTCTACCAGCTTGTAACTACTAGCTTGTCCTCATTTCACAAAAAAAAAATTTGAGTTCAATGTCATTATAATTATCAAATATTGCACCCAATTATCAAATATTGCAACTAATTCAAATATGAAATCATTACCAATGAATCCATGCTCTGAGTTTCTCTGTTCTCAAGGACTTTTTTTAATTTTCAAATTCATAAGAATGTGTGGTGATTGTTTTACTGGAGTGTTGTATGTGGCTAAACTCATCTTAATTTTGCAGCATCTACAGCCTGTATTACATCTTTGACTTCTGTTTAGTTTCATAATTCATTTGAAATATGGTTATGAAATGAAAATATGTGCCTGTAATATTCCAATGCCAATTAAGTAATAGCCAGATTCTTCTCTCGAGGATGTTTTTCATCAACGATTGATACATAGATCTCTGACAGTAAAATGATTAAGTCTAACACTTCATTTTTCATTCTAAGAGGTGATTCATCAACCATCATTGAAGTCTTGATTGCCTTTGAAAGTGGACCACTTGATCATATTCATTGTATTGAGACTCAGAAAATGACACCCCAAAGTAAAGCCCTAAGAAGCAAAGTCTCTCATTGACCTTCTCCCATTCCGTCTCGCCTCTCATTCTCCCCAGTGACAAGCCATACAAACTAGAATCCCTCATCTCCGAGGCCGGTTAAAGAAAGAAGAAACCATTTTCTCCAAAGTCAGCAATAAAGCCAAAAAATATTACCCTATCCTCCCCCACTGCTTCTTTGTATAATAGCTAGGGATAAATAAATTGAAATCCTCATTCCAGGGAGAACTTATCCCATACTTGGGAGGAAAAAATGCTGCACAGAGAGGCCAATAAAAATCTAAACAGACAGATCTTGCTGAATTTTCCCACTCAGTGTCTTAGCAGATCATACTCTTCTTTTCCAGTAATAGTTCCACACAGCTGTTGTATTAGTCCGTTTTCACGCTGCTGAAAATTTACAATAAAAAAGAGATTTAGTAAACTCATAGCTCTATGTGGCTGGGGAGGCCTCACAATCATGGTGGAAGGCAAAAGGCATGTCTTATATGGCAGCAGGAAAGAGAGAATGAGAACCAAGTGAAAAGGGTTTCCCCTTCTAAAACCATAAGATCTCATGAAACTACGACGAGAACAATATGGGGGAAACTGCCCCCATGATTCAGTTATCTCCCACCAGGTCCCTCTCACAACACATGAGAATTATGGGAGTTACAATTCAAGATAAGATTTGGGTGGGGACACAGCAAATCCATATCAACTGTCCATACTTCATTGAACCTAAGCATAAAAATACAGTTGACTCCTGAACAACAAGGATTAACACTTTGTGGATCTACTTATATGCAGATTTTCTTCTGTTCCTGCTACCCTTGAGACAGCAAGAACAACCCCTATTCTTCCTCCTCCTCCTCCTCAGCCTACTCAACATGAAGACAATGAGTATAAAGACCTTTCTGATGTCTGCTTTCACTTAATGAATAGTAAATATATTTTTTCTTCCTTATGATTTTCTTAACATTTCTTTTCTCTAGCTCACTTTATTGTAAAAATACACTGTATAATAAAGATAATATCAAAAGATGTATTAATTGACTGTTTATGTTATCTGTAAGGCTTCTGGTACGTAGTAGGCTATTGCTACTTAAGTTTTGAGAGAGTCAAAAGTTTTATGCAGCTTTTAATTTCATGGGGGGTTAACTCCCATAACTCTTGAATTATTTGAGGGTTAACTCTACATAGTGTTCCCTGTATCTTTGAGTTTTTATGTTGAAGGCTCCCATGTCATGTAAAACTATGATCAAATAAATTTGTTATGCTTTTCTCTTGTTAACTTATCTTTGTTATAAGACATCCCCTATAGGGATGTTGGCTGTGCCCTTTATAATCAGGAAGAAAGGACTCCTTTCCTCCCCTTGTTTCCTGTACAGCTCCTCATCACCACTACAGTTCTGGCGATGAGTATGGGAAGGCTGACACCTGACTCATTCCAAAGCCTACAGATGAGATCCTGGGACAACTGACAAAAGCCAGCAAAAAGAGGTAAGAATTTTTACTAAGGTCAATTCTCCCAGATCTCTTCCTATGGTAGCTGCTCAGGAATGGAAGGTAAAAGTTTCTTTTTATCTTTTCCTTTCAAAGTTCAGGTTAGCAGGAAAAAAATCATCTGTTTGGATTGTGAGTCTTACATAAATTTGGTTTGGGGGTATCCATTTGCTGTTGATCCTTTTCCTTCCACAGACAGCTATTGTTTTCCTGTTTGTCTCATTTTGTGTTCTGAGAACGCGGCTTGGCTTGCTGCCTGTAGGCACATACAGATTGTCAGGTCTGTGTGTGCAGGCAGCCAACTGAAAGTTTGGGGTCCCCCATAAAAAGAATATAGCCACACAGAAATGTGAGTGGAATGCCATTTGTGGCTGGCATACCAACTGTTGCCAGCTCTCAAGGATAACTATTGCCATGTACTTAAGCCTCTTCTTTTTTCTTTTTTTTTTTAGCTGTCTTTGGGGATGGCTCTGGATTTTGTGAGAATGCTTATTTGCATCTGTTTGGAGGCACTTTGTGTGTCTTTAAGTCATAAAGGGCTTCTTGACTTTGGTTCTGAGTCACTTGATAGATACTTTTGTTTTAAAAGAAAAATAAAATAAAATGAAAAGAAGAATATTACTGTTTGTTTCTGATGAAATCTGATAAAAGATTTGAGAGGGATTTTTTTTAAAGAGCTCTATGGTCAGAAGTTGGCTTAATTAAAAGCTGAAATTAAGGCTATAATGTTTATAATTTCAATAGTTTTGGGGGTTCTGGTGTTTTTTAGTTATATGGATGAGTTCTTTAGAGGTGAATTCTGAGATTTTAGTGCACCCATCACCTGAGCAGAGTACACTATACCAAATATGTAGCTTTTTATCCCTCAGCCCCCTCCCAATCTTCCCCACTCTGCTGAGTCCTCAAAGTCCATTATATCAATCTATGTCTATGCATCCTCATAGCTTAGCTCCCATTTATAAGTGAGAACATATGGTTTTGGTTTTCCATTTCTGAGTGACTTCACTAAGAATAATGGCCTCCAGCTCTGTCCAAGTTGCTGCAAAAGGTACTTTTTTTCTTTTTTATGGCTGAGTAGCATTCCATGGTGTATATATACCATATTTTCTTTATCCATTCAGTCAATGGGCACTTAAGTTGGTTCCATATCTTTGCAATTGTGAATTGTGTTGCTATAAACATGCATGTGAATGTGTCTTTTTCATATAATGACTTCTTTTCCTCTGGGTAGATACCCAGTAGTGGGATTGCTGGATCAAAGGGTAGATCTAGTTTTTATTCTTTAAGGAAGGTCCATACTGTTTTCCATAGTGGTTGTACTAATTTACATTCCCACCAGCAGTGTAAAAGTGTTCCCTTTTCACCTCATCCATGTAAGACTATAATTTTTGTAAGGCCTCTGATTCCTTTATTGGGGATCCATGGGAACATCAGAGTTCTGCCTACCCTATAGAGGGAGTTAAAGTTAACTCCTTGCAACTCTGAGACCCTTGAGGAACACAGAAAAGGTGCCACTGACCCCCTTTTTGGGGTCCCCTGTCTTCCTCATGGAAGAGTTGTGGGTGATTTCTCTCAAGTCTAAAGCTCTGCTTTCTTTCACATTGAGCTCCCTGGTCACTTTGGCTTTCAGGGGTACCAAGGCTTTATATTTTGAGAGGACACTTGGCCTTTGGGTATATGGTAATTAATGAGTCACTGGCAAGGGCGGCAATGAGTTGCAATGAATGGTCATTACTTCAGGGGGTGAACTCTGGCCTTTTATCTTCTTTGTTTCTTTGCATTAGAAACAAAGAATTTGAGAAAAGCCTCAGATTTATGACTGAGCCAAACAGAAACTGACAGTAAGTGGAAATTTGGTACAAGAAAAATAATTGGCTAAGTTAATCAAGGGGATCTCAGGGCCAAAGCCACAACTTGACAATGGACATGTTTTAGGCATTTAGAGGCTGTTGGAGTGCTCCCAGGGTGGGTGGGCTAGTCACAAAGTGAGCTGGATGATGTTGGGTGGCTCACCAGCCTCAGAGGGGATATCCCTGGAGTGAGACGCACTGTGAAACCACTGCACAGCACAGCCACTTGGTCTTTCCCTCCTGGGCTTTTGTCTCAGCTCTGAACTGGGATTCAACATAAAAACTGAATCCTTGATTTCTGGAGATCTAGATGCTCTGCCTTCTAGCTGCACCTGCCCTTCACATTTATAAGTATTAGGCCTCCAGAAACTACAAATGCTTTGTGGGTCCTTTTCATTAGAGCCAATAAATTCAGTAATCCAGTTAAGAAATAAAAGTTAAATTAAAAAGTCACCTCCATACCTAGATTTGTCTCCAAAATATGACTTTCTGTCATTCAGCTGGTTATTTTGAACAGACTTATACATTTTTTCCTAGGCTCACTTGTATGTTTTCTTGTAAAATCTTATAACAAATTTCTATAATTTTATATTGCCTGGCTATCCGTCATTGAATCTTCCTTTCTGTCTAATCTAACTGACATACCTAAATCTGATTTGTCTCCTAATCAGGGCTCTCCTGGAGAGTGTCTAACTTGATAAACCTGTCAGGACAGAGCTAGAGTTTACAGACACTTTCCAGAGAAAAACCTCAAGAACAATTTAAAAAAAAAAATCCAGTTTTAGCAGAAATGAATATTTTGTCTACCCAGATGGCCTTTGAAAACATTCAGACCGAAAACTTAGTCCACAGCCTCCATAAAATTTCTGGAGGTTCTTAATATCTGATAGTAGGCAATAACCCCTAAGTTTTTTCTGAGAAAAAAAATACATAAAATAACATAAAAACTAATTCAAATGCCTTTTAGTTTATGTGATCTGAGATAATCTTTGGTAAATAAAATTTGTTTTAAAATTGTTAGTAAAATAAAAATAGAAATGACTTCAGAATTATCTGCATACATTTTTGCCTGGGTTTGCTGGTTAGACAGGTTTGTGCTATCTCACCTTGAGTAAAATGCAAAAGCAACCACGAAAATAAAAAAAGAGGGGAGAGGGAAAACATATTCCGTATGCTGCATCATCTTTTTATTGTTTGGAAAACTGAGTCACCTTTTTATCAATGATCAAGTGTTTTTTTTTATATTTTTATTTTTATTTTTTAATTATACTTTAAGTTCTAGGGTACATGTGCACAACATGCTTGCTCGTTCCATGGGTATACATGTGCCATGCTGGCCTGCTGTACCCATCAACCCATCATTTACGTTAAGTATTTCTCCCAATACTATTCCTCCCCCAACCCCCCACCCAGCCAACAGGCCCCGGTGTGTGATGTTCCCCACCCTGTGTCCAAGTGTTCCCATTGTTCAGTTCCCACCTATGAGTGAGAACATGCAGTGTTTGATTTTCTGTCCTTGTGACAGTTTGCTCAGAATGATGGTTTCCAGCTCCATTCATGTCCCTGCAAAGGACATGAACTCTTCCTTTTTTATGGCTGCATAGTATTCCATGGTGTATATGTGCCACATTTTCTTAATCCAGTCTATCATTGATGGACATTTGGGTTGACTCCAAGTCTTTGCTATTGTGAATAGTGCCACAATAAACATACGTGTGCATGTGTCTTGATAGTAGCATGATTTATAATCCTTTGGGTGTGTACCCAGTAATGGGATCGCTGGGTCAAATGGTATTTCTAGCTCTAGAGCCTTGCCTCCAGCTTTGTTTTTTTGCTTAGGATTGACTTGGAAATGGGGGCTCGTTTTTGCTTCCATATGAACTTTAAAGTAGCTTTTTCCAATTCTATGAAGAAAGTCATTGGTAGCTTGATGGGGATGGCATTGAATCTATAAATTACCTTGGGCAGTATGGCCATTTTCATGATACTGATTCTTCCTATCCATGAGCATGGAATGTTCTTCCATTTGTTTGTGTCCACTTTTATTTCATTGAGCAGTGGTTTGTAGTTCTCCTTGAAGAGGTCCTTCACATCCCTTGTATGTTGAATTTCTAGGTATTTTACTCTCTTTGTAGCAATTGTGAATGGGAGTTCACTCATGATTTGGCTCTCTGTCTGTTAATGGTGTATAGGAATGCTTGTGATATTTGCACATTGATTTTGTATCCTGAGACTTTACTGAAGTTGCTTATCAGTTCAAGGAGATTTTGGGCTGAGATGATGGAGGTCTCTAAATATACAATCATGTCATCTGCAAACAAGGACAATTTGACTTCCTTTTTTCCTGATTGAATACCCTTTATTTCTTTCTCCTGCCTGATTGCCCTGGCCAGAACTTCCAACACTATGTTGAATAGGAGTGGTGAGAGAGGGCACCCCTGTTTTGTGCCAGTTTTCAAAGGGAATGCTTCCAGTTTTTGCCCATTCAGTATGATATTGGCTGTGGGTTTGTCATAAATAGCTCTTATTATTTTGAGATACGTTCCATCAATACCTAGTTTATTGAGAGTTTTTAGCATGAAGGGCTGTTGAATTTTGTCAAAGGCTTTTTCTGTATCTATTGAGATAATCATGTGGTTTTTGTCGATGGTTCTGTTTATGTGATGGATTACATTTATTGATTTGCATGTGTTGAACCAGCCTTGCATCCCAGGGATAAAGCCGACCTGATCATGATGGATAAGCTTTTTGATGTGCTGCTGGATTTGGTTTGCCAGTATTTTATAGAGGATTTTCGCATTGCTGTTCATCAGGGATATTGGTCTACAATTCTCTTTATTGTGTCTCTGCCAGGCTTTGGTATCAGGATGATCCTGGCCTCATAAAATGAGTTAGGGGGGTTTCCCTCTTTTTCTATTGATTGGAATAGTATCAAAATGAATGGTACCATCTCCTCTTTGTACCTCTGGTAGAATTCGGCTGTGAATCCATCTGGTCCTGGACTTTTTTTGGTTGGTAGGCTATTAATTATTGCCTCAATTTCAGAGTCTGTTATTGGTCTATTCAGAGATTCAATTTCTTCCTGGTTTGTCTTGGGAGGGTGTATGTGTCCAGGAATTTATCCGTTTCTTCTATATTTTCTAGTTTATTTGTGTAGAGGTGTTTATAGTATTCTCTGATGGTAGTTTGCATTTCTGTGGGATCAGTGGTGATATCCCCTTTATCATTTTTTATTGCATCTATTTGATTCTTCTCCCTTTTCTTCTTTATTAGTCTTGCTAGCGGTCTATCAATTTTGTTGATCTTTTCAAAAAACCAGCTCCTGGATTCATTGATTTTTTGAAGGGTTTTTATGACTCTATTTCCTTTTGTTCTGTTCTGATCTTAGTTATTTCTTGCCTTCTGCTAGCTTTTGAATGTGTTTGCTCTTGCTTCTCTAATTCCTTTAATTGTGATATTAGGTTGTCAATTTTAGATCTTTCCTGCTTTCTCTTGTGGGCATTTAGTGCTATAAATTTCCCTCTACACACTGCTTTAAATGTGTCCCAGAGATTCTGGTATGTTGTGTCTTTGTTCTCATTGGTTTCAAAGAACATCTTTATTTCTACCTTCATTTCGTTATGTACCCAGTAGTCACTCAGGAGCAGGTTGTCCAGTTTCTATGTAGTCGTGCGGTTTTGAGTGAGTTTCTTAATCCTGAGTTCTAATTTGATTGCACTGTGGTCTGAGAGACAGTTTGTTGTGATTTCTGTTCTTTTACATTTGCTGAGGAGTGCTTTACTTCCAACTATGTGGTAAACTTTGGAATAAGTGCAATGTGGTGCTGAGAAGAATGTATATTCTGTTGATTTGGGGTGGAGAGTTCTGTAGATGTCTATTAGTTCTGCTTGGTGCAGAGCTGAGTTCAAGTCCTGCATATACTTGTTAACCTTTTGTCTCATTGATCTGTCTAATATTGACAGAGGGGTGTTAAAATCTCCCATTATTATTGTGTGGGAGTCTAAGTCTCTTTGTAAGTCTCTAAGGACTTGCTTTATGAATCTGGGTTCTCCTGTATTGGGTGCATATATATTTAGGATATTTAACTCTTCTTGTTGAATTGATCCCTTTACCATTATGTAATGGCCTTCTTTTTCTCTTTTGATCTTTGTTGGTTTAAAGTCTGTTTTATCAGAGACTAAGATTGCAAACCCTGCGGTTTTTTTGCTTTCCATTTGTTAGGTAGATCTTCCTCCATCTTTTTATTTTGATCCTATGTGTGTCTTTGCACTACAAGATGGGTCTCCTGAATACAGCACACTGATGGGTCTTGACTCTTTATCCAATTTGCCAGTCTGTGTCTTTTAATTGGGGCTTTTAGCCCATTTACATTTAAGATTAATATTATTATGTGGGAATTTGATTTTGTCATTATGATGTTAGTTGGTTATTTTGCCTGTTAGTTGATGCAGTTTCCTCCTAGCCAGTTTGCCAGTCTGTGTCTTTTAATTGAGGCATTTAGCCCATTTACATTTAAGATTAATATTGTTATGTGTGAATTTGATTTTGTCATTATGATGTTGGCTGGTTATTTTGCCCATTAGTTGATGCAGTTTCCTCCTAGCATCAATGGTCTCTACAATTTGGCATGTTTTTGCAGTGGCTGGTACTGGTTGCTCCTTTCCATGTTTAGTGCTTCCTTCAGGAGCTCTGGTAAGGCAGGCCTGGTATTGACAAAGTCAGCATTTGCTTGTCTGTAAAGGATTTTATTTCTCCTTCATTTATGAGGCTTAGTTTTTCTGGTTATGAAATTCTGTGTTGAAAATTCTTTTCTTTAAGAATGTTGAATATTGGCTCCCACTCTCTTCTGGCTTGCAGGGTTTCTACTGAGAGATCCGCTATTAGTCTGATGGGCTTCCCTTTGTGGGTAACCCAACATTTCTCTCTGGCTGCCCTCAACATTTTTTTCCTCATTTCATCCTTGGTGAATCTGACAATTACGTGTCTTGGTGTTGCTCTTCTCGAAGAGTATCTTTTTGGTGTTCTCATATTTCCTGAATTTGAATGTTGGCCTGCCTTGCTAGGTTGAGGAAGTTCTCCTGGATAATATCTTGAAGAGTGTTTTCCAACTCGATTCCATTCTCCCTGTCACTTTCAAGTACACCAATCAAATGTAGATTTGGTCTTTTCACATTGTCCCATATTTCTTGGAGCCTTTGTTCATTTCTTTTTACTCTTTTTTCTCTAAACTTATCTTCTGGCTTTATTTCATTAATTTGATCTTCAACCACTGATACCCTTTCTTCCATTTGATCGAATCAGCTATTGAAGCTTGTGCATGCGTCATGTAGTTCTTGTGCCATGGTTTTCAGCTCCATCTGGTCATTTAAGGTCTTGTCTACACTGTTTATTCTAGTTAGCCATTCATCTAACCTTTTTTCAAGGTTTTTAGCTTCCTTGCGATGGTTTCGAACATCCTCCTTTAGCTTGGAGAAGTTTGTTATTACCGACCTTCTGAAGCCTACTTCTGTCAGCTCGTCAAAATCATTCTTGGTCCAGCTTTGTTCCATTGCTGGTAAGGAGCTATGATCCTTTGGAGGAGAAGGGGCACTCTGGTTTTTTGAATTGTCAGCTTTTCTGCTCTGGTTTCTCCCCATCTTTGTGATTTAATCTACCTTTGGTCTTTGATGTTGGTGACCTACAGATGCCATTTTGGTGTGGATGTCCTTTTTGTTGATGTTGATGCTATTCCTTTCTGTTTGTTAGTTTTCCTTCTATCAGTCAGTCCCTCAGCTGCAGGCCTGTTGGAGTTTGCTGGAGGGCCTCTCCAGACCCTGTTTGCCTGGGTATCACCAGTGGGGGCTGCAGAACAGCAAATATTGCTGCCTGATCCTTCCTCTGGAAGCTTCATCCCAGAGGGGCACTGGCCTGTATGAGGTGTCAGTCACCCCCTACTGAGAAGTGTCTCCCAGTTAGGCTACACGGGGGTCAGGGACCCACTTGAAGAGGTAGTCTGTCCATTCTCAGAACTCAAACACCATGCTGGGAGAATGATTGCTCTCTTCAGAGCTGTCAGATGGGGACGTTTAAGTCTGCAGAAGTTTCTGCTCCTTTTCTTCAGCTATGCCCTACCCCCAGAGGTGGAATCTACAGAGGCAATAGGCCTTGCTGAGCTGCGGTGGGCTCCACCCAGTTCAACTTCTCTGGTCGCTTTGTTTACCTACTCAAGCCTCAGCAATGGCAGACGCTCCTCCCCCAGCCAGGCTGCCACCTCGCAGTTTGATCTCAGACTGCTGTGCTAGCAATGAGCAAGGCTCCGTGGGCATGGGACCTGCTGAGTCATGTGTGGGATATAATCTCCTGGTGTGCCGTTTGCTCAGACTGTTGGAAAAGTGCAGTATTTGGGTGGGAGTGTCTCAATTTTCCAGGTACAGTCTGTCATGGCTTCCCTTGGCTAGGAAAGAGAAATCTCCCAACCCTTTGCACTTTCTGGATGAGTTGATGTCCCGCCATGTTTTGGCTCATCCTCTGTGGGCTGTACCCACTGTCCAACCAGTTCCAGTGAGATCAACCCAATACCTCAGTTGGAAATGTAGAAATCACCTGTGTCCTGTGATGATCACACTGGGAGCTGCACACCAGAGCTGTCCTATTCGGCCATCTTGGAACGGAATCACAAGAGAACCAATGATCAAGTGTTTTAAACCTTTGACATATGTGACAGATTTTAAAAATCAAATTTCAAATTCTAAGTTAAATCTTTTGACCTCAAACTAACTTTAGGATGTTTCAGAGGGCATCTAAAGCATCAGAAGGAAAGATAACAAACCAATTCAGACTTATTTGGTATGATGTTATATGGGAGGTGTTGTCACATAAGAAGTGATGTTTAACTTTCTTTGAGTAATATTTGTATGGATGTGTTATTGATATGTGTTTTATAATGTTATGAGATTCATAAAATTCTGATATACCAAGGTATATGTTATTAGTCATTATGACTATTATGTTAAATTATTGTAGGCCATAGAGGAAAATAAACACCTTTTTTTGTCAGTTGCATCTTTAACCATGGCCATTTTAAGTTTTGTTGTTTACAGTTAATTGCTTTATTTGGATACTTTGAAAAGCATTTTACTATTGGCTACAGTCCAAAGTTATTTTATTTGTCAAAAACATTATGGAAAGAACCCTGACAAGTACTTGTCAGTATAATTTTTGGTTGCTTTAGGATCATAGCATTGGAGTGGGTAAAAATTTCAAAACCCTAGTGAAAAATGCTAGACTCATAATATTGCTAACCTAATATGAAGCAGAACTAGAATTAATTACAAGGGAATAAACTAATACATGATTATGTTTTTAATGGCTTTTTGTTTGAAACATTGCTGATGCTTTTCATGTCTGGATTTCCAGAGTTAAGAAAACTTTTTTTCTCTTGAGCTATCTATGGATTTACAATAATTTGGTCAAGTCTACTTTTGTAAGCAGAATTAGGACATTTAGCTTTCTCTCTGCTTAATCCACCCAAAATTTGGAAACTATTTGTATCTTATTTTATCCCAATATAGTTATTTATATAAGTTCAATAAGAATCTACTCTTCTTGTAACAGGACAATTGAAAACACTGGTTGTTTTACCATGGCTGTTACTGAAATGTCATATTTTCAGATATGATTAGACTGCTTTGAGGAATGGAAATTGGTTGACTCTTCTGGAGCCAATAAAAAGACTCTAGGAAAAACTGGCCTGGTATCTTGTCCATACAGTTCTCTGACACCCTCCGTAACCCTGTGGTAAGTAAAGAATGTCTTATTTATTTATTTGTTTATTTATTTATTTATTTATTTATTTATTTATTTTAGAGATGTGGTTTTCCTCTCTTGTCTGGGTTGGTCTCAAATTCCTAATCTCAAGCAATCCTCCTGCCTCAGCTTCCTGAGTAGCTGGGATTACAGGCACAAGTCATTGCCTAGCTCAAGAATGTCACTTTCTGACAGACCCAGCAATCTAAAGATATTTTTAAAACCTCAAGAAGAGAAGAATTCACCCAATTCATACAGATATTACAGACAGAATTTGAGGATATCCTTGGCTTGGCTCCTAAGCCTTGGGAGGCTTTTAAAAGTCTAATCTGAGATTCCTTAAAAAAAGTTTCAGCAAAGCCAACTTCTAAAGAGCTTATATGGTAAATAATTATTTTTATTATATTTTATACAAATAATCAGACCAAGTTAATTAGACTAAACTTACTTTATAAACAAATTAGTCTTTCTGTGTTTATCTTTGGTAAAAACAGAGGGATGGAGAGGAAAAATTAAGTTTCAGGAGAAAAACTGTAGTGCACCTGTTATTAAATTCTATCCCTGTTGATTGTTTTGAGTTTCTTTTCTTTTACTTTTTTAAATCTGGACTGAATTCTAAATTTTTAGTTTTCTCCAATATCTGGGTGTGACATTCTAACACTTCCAATTTGTTCCCGCCATTCTGGCTTGGGATCATTGAAATTAAAACTATTTTATTTTCTGAAGCTCTATAAACTGAAGTTCTACTAAACAAAACAAAAGAGAAAGCTGAGTTTTGCAGTTTGTTTTAACCATTAATCTTTTAATATCTTATTAAATATCTGATTGCTCACACCTAAATTTGGTGGAAGGCCATCTACACCACCACTACCTGAAATGAGACACAGATGTTAACTGTTTAACTAAACTGGCCATTTCTCAGGAATAAGAGACTGATTTAGTAGCTTATGGAAGAATCCACCCAACTAATTTCTGGACTGTAAAACTTCTTGGGGAATCTTTAGACCAAGAAATGTAGGGACTCAAAATATGACGCCCTGAAGGAAAGGCCTGAAATGCGACCTCAAAAGCAAAATCTCTCTCTGACTTTCTGCCATCCTGCCTTTCACCCCTCGTTCTCCCCAGAGGCAAGCCATAAAAACTAGAATCCCTCTTCTCCAAGGCAGGTCATAGAATCTAGAAACCCCTTTCCTCAAAGCCAGCCATAGAGCCTAAAAATATTAGTCTAACCTTCTCCATGCCCCCTCCACCTTTTTGTGTTAACAACTGTCCATAAATAAAGACCCTCATTTCAGAGAAATCCTACCCCATACCCAAAAGAAAGGAATGCTGCACAGAGCAGCCAATAAAAATCTGAATAAGCAGGTCTTGGTGAATTTTCCCACTCAGACTATTGGCATTAGATTATACCTTTTTTTGTGCAATCATATCGTTACATGACTGTCCATACTTCATTGACCAAGGCATAAAAACAGATACTTTTCCCTATATCTTTGGGTCTTCATTCTGAAGACTCCTGTGTCAATAAAACCATGATCAAATAAATGTGTTATTGATTTTCTCTTGTTTACTTGTCTGTTATAGGGATGCTAGCCATAATCCTTATGATGGGAGAAAAAAACAGACTATCCACTATCTGCTCCTATAATTGTGTGTACTTCAAAATATACATAAAATATAGCAAATGAACTACTGCCACCAGTAGCAGAGTATAGACAAAGTATTCTTCGGTTACCTTTCATCAGTCCAGTGGCTTTTTAGTAATATTTTATGAAAATCTACAGTAAGAAACTTAAGTTTCATAGTGGCCCAGTACAGATAAGTGAAGCAAATAGTTTCCTGAAACTTATCCGTAGAATAAAGCTAGGCACTCTAATACTTTTTATTCTGTGGTTATGAATTTTTAAAAATTCTCTGTGTCTCATTAGTGAACTTCAACCTTCAATTTAAAAAACAATAAGCAAGACCACATAAAGGAACTTATAGTCTATAAAGAAAAACTTATTTAATTTTTTTCATAATTTCAACTTTTATCTTACATTTGGGAGGTACATGTGCAGGTTTGTTGCTTTGTTATAAGTGTGATGCCGAAGTTTAGAGGTGATCCTATCACTCAGATAATGAGATAGATATTACCCAATAGTTAGTTTTTCAACCATTTCCCTGGCCACCCTCCAACCTGTAGTAGTCCTCAGTGTCTATTGTTGCCATATTTGTGTCCATGAGTATCCAATGTTTAGCTCTCACTTATAAGTGAGAACATGCATTATTTGTATTTTTGTTCCTATATTAATTTTCTTAGGATGATGGCCTTCAGCTGTATCCATGCTGCTGCAAAGGACATGAGTTTGCTTTTTCTCACAGCTGTACCATATTCCATGGTGTGCAATTAGCACACACATTTTCTTTCTCCAATTCACCATTGATGGGCACCTAGGTTGATTCCATGTCTTTGCTATTACATATAGTGCTCCAATAAACATACAAGTGCATGTGTCTTTTTGGTAGAATGTTGTATTTTCTTTTTGATATATATCGAGTCATAGGATTGGGAGGTCAAATGATTAAAAGTAATTGCAAAAACTGCAATTACTTTTGCACCAACTTAATGATTCTCTTTTATGCTCTTTGAGATATCACCAAACTGCTTTCCACAGTGGCTGAACTAATTTACATTCTCATCAGCAGAAGAAAAAATTTTAAACAAACAAGAAAAACAAGTAAATGATGAAGGTGATTATTTCTAACATTGAAAAATAAATAAAATAAATCAATAGTTCACTATTTTCTAAATTGTTATAATTCCTTAAAAATGTAACATTATGAACATGTACTTTTCAATATAAGAGAATTATGCTTTAGTCTCCCATAGGGTGGGGTACTATGTCAAATATTACTTTTTATCTTATTGTTAACTTTTTCTAAATTATTCTGTTTTCTGACACATTGCCACCATTCATTTACTCTGCTTTATTCAAACAAAACCCCCCAAAATTGAGGTTTTTTCATTTTGACTTTCCATCTTTATTACTTCTAAATACAGCTAACGATGAACTAAAACATACCAGTCATAACAATGTTGACATAGAGCCAAGTAAAAGAATAGAATATATTCTCATTATTAACTTTCCAAATTACAAAATATTATTTCATTGCATAGTGCATTATCTTTGACAACACTAAGTAATCATGATAAGAAACAAAACTGAGAGGATATCTTAGTCATTTGTTTTCTTGATAAAGATGTTTGTAAAATAACAAAGTTACATTTTATTTCATGTAATTAATATCCTATGTGAATATTTTAGTTAAATGTAAAATATATCAAATAATATGTTCAAGAAATAGGTTGGTATTATTATTTAAATTGAATAATATTAAGATTCTTGGGGGAGCTGAACCAAGATGGCAGACTAGAAGCAGCTCATGTGACTCACTTTTACGGAGAGTAAATAAAAGGGCTAGCAAACACAAACCTTACAGGCCAATCATCTGAGAAACCACATTGAGATCCATCAAGGCAGCATGAGGACACAGAGAGCAGAGAAGAAAAGGAGCAAAGTTGGACACCAGCCTGTCTGGAGTCAGCGTGGAGCCTGTCTGCCAACTGCAGACCCTGCCTAAAGGAGCCCCATGGAACAGAACACCCAATAAAAACAAAATGTGGGCATGGAGACAGTAATTGGACTCCTCCTAGACCCATAAGTGGACTAGAATCAAAGTCAGTCAACGGAACCCATCTTATACTCTAATCAGACCCCCAAAGACATCAAAGAAGATAAAATAATACAAAAAAAAAATCCAAATGACAGCAACTTGAAAGATTGAATAACCACCAACCCACGCAGCTGAGAAAGAACCAGTGTAAGAACTTTGGTAGCTCAAAAAGCCAGAGTCCCGTTATCTCTAAATGGCCACACTAGTTCCCAAATAATGGTTCTTAACCAGGCTAAAATAATTGAAATGTCAGAGACAGAATGCACAATATGGATAGGAATGAAGACCATTGACATTCAGGAGAAAGTTGAAACCCACTGCAAGGAATCTAAAGAATACAATAAAAAATACAGGAGATAACAATCAAAATGGTCATTTTTAAGAAAGAACTAAACTGAGCTGATAGAGCTGAAAAATTCACTTCAAGAATTACATAGTATAATTGCATATATTAATAGCAGAATCAACCAAGCTGAGGAAGAATCTCAGAGTTCAAAGACAGTTCTCTGAAATAACTAATCAGACAAAAATAAAAAAAAAAAGGAGAGTGGACAAAACTGAAAAATATACTATTATGCATAGGATCCCATATGGAATCAACAAGTCTATGACTCATTGGTGTCCCTGAAAGAGAGGGAGAGAAAGCATGGAAAACACATTTGGGGAAATGAAAATTTCCCCATCGTTGCTGAAGAAGCCAATATTCAAATACAGGAAATCCAGAGAGCCCTTGTGAGATACTATATAAGATGACCATCCCCAAGACACATAGTTGTCAGATCTCCAGGGTCAAAATGAAAGAAAAAATGTTAAAGCCAGCTAGAGAGAAAGGGCAGGTCACCTACAAAGAAAACGCTACCAGACCAAGAGCGGATGTTTCAGCAGAAACCACATAAACCAGAAGAGATTGGGGGCCTCTATTCAGCATTCCTAAAGAAAGGGAATTCCAACCAATAATTTTATATCCAGCCAAACTAAGCTTCAAAAGCTAAGGAGAAATAAGATTCTTTTCAGACAAACACATGCTAAGAGAATTCATTACCACTAGACCAGCCTTACAAGTGGTCCTCAAGGAAGTGCTAAATATGGAAAGGAAAGATAGACACTGGCCACCACAAAAACACACTTAAGTATGTAGTCCACTGGCACTATAAAGCAACCACACAATGAAGTCAATATAATAACCACCTAACAACATGATGACAGAATCAAATCTGCACATATCAAAATTATCTTTAAATGTAAACAGGATAAATGCTCTAATTAAAAGGCAAAGAGTGGCAAGTTGGATAAAGAAGCAAGACCTACTTGTATGCTGTCTACAAGACACCCATCTCACATTCAGTGACATTCATAAGCTCAAAGTAGAGGGATGGAGAAAAATCTACTAAGCAAATGGAAAACAGAAAAAAAAACCAGGGATTGTTATTCTAATTTCAGACAAAACAGACTTTAAACGAACAATGATCAAAAAAGACAAAGAAGGGCATTACATAATGGTAAAATGTTCAATTCAACTAAAAGATCTAACTATCTAAATATATATATGCACTCAATAATGGAGCACTCAGATTCATAAAACAAGTTTTTAGAGAGCTATGAACAGACTTAAAAACCACATAATAATAGTGGGAGATTTTAACACACCACTGTCAGTATTAGAAAGATTATTAAGGCAAAACACTAACAAAGATGTTTAAGACCTGATCTCAATATTTGACCAAATAGGCCTAACGGACATCTACAAAACTCTCCACCCCCAAATAACAGAATATATATTCTTTTTATCTGCACATGGCACATACTCTAAAATCAACCACGTAATTGGCCACAAAACAATCCTCAATGAATTCAGAAAAACTAAAATTATGCCAACAATACTGTCAGATGACACTGCAATAAAAATAGAAATAAATACTAAGAAAACCATGTAAAATCATACAATTACATAGAAATTAAACAACCTGCTGCTGAATGACCCTCAGGTAAACAATGAAATTAAAGCAGAAATCAAGAAATTATTTAAAATGAATGAAAACACACAACGTACTAGAATCTCTGAGACACAGCAAAAGCAGTGTTGAGAGGGAAGTTTATGGCACTAAATTTCCACATCAAAAGTTAGAGAGATCTTAAATTAACAACCAGAGGAACTGGAGAAACAAGAGCAAAACAACCCAAAGCTAACAGACGACAATAATTAAAGTCAGAGCTGAACTGAAGGAAACTGAGACACAAAAACCATACAAAAGGTCAACGGATACAGGAGATATTGTTTTGTTTTGTTTTGTTTTTAAGAATAAATAAGATTGATTATTATTAGCTGCACTAATAAAGAAAAAAAGAGAGAAGATCCAAATAAACACAATCAGAAAGGAAATAGGGGACATTACCACTGAACCCACAAAAATACAAAAATCTTCAGAGACTATTATGAACACCACTATGTACACAAACTAGAAAACCTACAACAAATGGATAAATATTTGGATATATACAGTCTCCCAAGATTGAACCAGGAAGAAACTGAATCCCTGAACAGACCAATAATGAGTTCTGAAATTGAATCAGTAATAAAAAGCCTACCAACCAGGAAAAGCCCAGGGCCAGATGGTTTCACAGCCAAATTCTACCAGGTGTATGAAGAGGTGGTACCATTCCTACTGAAACTATTTCCAAAAATTGAAGAGGAGGGATTCCTCTCTAACTCATTCTGTGAGTCCAGCATCATATAAATAAACAAATAAAGAAAACTTCAGGCCAATATCCTTGATAAACATTGATGCAAAAATAGTAATGTTTCCTAATCCTTAGAAGTTCTTAGCTGGGACACCTTTGTAACAAAAGACAAATTAACATAGAAAAAGATACACAAATTTATTAATGTGCATATAGAAACAAGAGTCATACACAAAATATGAGCCTCAAAGTATGGCCTAGATGCCTAAAATTTTTATACCATCCTAAGGTTACAGAAAGAATAGGGGCTTGAGGCTTCTGAAGGGGTGGGGAAGTGGAATAACAGGTTAATGGGAGAGTGAACACAGAAAAGTATGTCAAACCAAGGCTCTTTTATTATGAAGATAAAAATATATCACGTAATCTCAGTGCTGTTCTGAAAAAAAAAATAGATGGTAGCCCGTAGTAAAAGTTTCTCTATGGGATCTTTAGTCTCCTTTTCGTGTGAATTAATCTTTCCTAGATCCATATAAGGGGATATGAAAAAAGCCTATTTACATCTGCTGTTTACTTCATTTTACTAATGCAGATTTCCTTTACAGATGCAAATTTCTCCCCACAAAAGAAGACTTTTCAGGGCAGTTCTTGTGTTTGCAGCCCTTCAGAATATCCATCTAAAAATATTCCAAAGAAATATATTTTAGGGTGAAATAATCTGGCTTGCCTCATAAGAATGTTTCTTTTCAATTACTAAGATAAAATACAAGATACTATTTGGCCTAAGTCCAAATATTCATCTGTATTTTTTTACTATAAAACTATTAAGTTATTTTAAAGTTAAAAAACAATAAAGCAAAGAAGTCAATATTTGTGCACCAAAAAGTGCTGAAGTTTTAGAGCTGGCCACATCCAACCGAAAATTTGTGATAGGGAGGTGTAGAAAAAAAATACTTGGATTCTCTTTTGGTCACTTTCATACAGAAATTTAAGAACATATTTTCCTTTAGCTGAGAAGTTAATTATAGTAAGGTAAAGGATTTGAAGGCAGTTTAATTTTTTAACAGAGAATATGTCCAAGCTATGTTCAAGAACAAAAAGACAACAATCAACTTTAAATACTAATATTTAGAAATATGGTCAAGTATAGAGTTTATTCGAGCCTAAAGTTGGAAATTGCCATCCCTGAAACACGGACTCCAGAGAAATGGGTTCAGTGCTTCAAAGTTAACACTTAAGGTCTTGTTTATATAAGAAGGAAAAAAAAATAACAGGATTACAATATTTTCTATGCAAAGCATGTTCCAATTTAATTAATTACACTTTGTTTTATTTTCCCTGTGGTTTTTTTTTTCTTTTACAGACTTTTCACTTTCTTTCCAATTTAAGAGGGCATATCTAATAATCTAATATTCCACTTTAGATAATGTGATAGTCATGAGGTCATTGTTGAGAAAAGTAAGAGGGAAGTTAATCTTCAATGAAATCAACAGTAAAGAGGAAAGGGGTCTTCCCTGATACCTATAGTAATTTGCAATATTTTAAGACACAATGTAGGTAAGAAAAAAGGCTAATCTATAATCAGAGAAGCAAAGGTTATGGCTGCCTTGGTTATTGCTGCCTAGATTACAACTGCCTATCATATCACTCAGGTCACATATCACATTCCCTTAAGGCTCAAAATATTTTAAAGTTTCAACAGCTTAGATTTTGAATAATTTATTTTCACAGAGCATTAGAGTATTCAAAAGCAACATCATCTATTT
The DNA here is from genome assembly GCF_000001405.40 of Homo sapiens. Taxonomy (NCBI): domain Eukaryota; kingdom Metazoa; phylum Chordata; class Mammalia; order Primates; family Hominidae; genus Homo; species Homo sapiens. The sequence goes on from NC_000003.12 coordinate 78,477,474, forward strand.
GTCATAGCACTGTGAACCTATGCACTATTCTCAGATAATATGTATACTATAGGAAATATGTATACTATAGGAAATATTACAATCCAAAATGTGGCTCCCTGGTGTAAATATTACAGGATTAAAGGCCTTTAAAGTTCAACATACACTGGAAGAAACTTTTTCCCTGCTTATGTAGAGATCAGATTAACTCACCAAGGAGAACAATTATTTTTTCCACCTCCTCCATGTTATTTCAGTATCTATTGCAGAAAAGACTTTCTACCTGAAAACCACACCTGAGCAGACCCTTTCACAAGATAATATCTTTCTCTCAGGATCATTCCATTTTCACAGAGAACTATTTACAGGTGAACCTCTGTTCCCTGATCCATTTATTCGTCTTAACAATCTTTTCATCATCCCTCAACAGAATTACCTATATTCCTCATCTCCCCTTCCCCCTCTGAAAAAAGATATATAAGTATCTGAGTCCCATTGAGATATTTGGAGTGATCACGCTGTGGTTTTCCTCCATGTACATTAAAAAATTTTTATTCTTTCTCTCCTAAAATTAAAAAAATGTATTCCTCTCTCCTGTCTTCGGTGAACCGATTTTTCAGTGAACCATCAGAGAACAAAGGAGAAGTTTTCCCTTGGTCCCTACGATACTGAAAAGTATTTTGCATATTTTTAAATATGTGCATACGTATATACACATATATAGGTTTTTGATAAGTATGTACAAATATACATGTACTTTTTTTAGCCTTCCATATTTTGATTTTTAAATAATTATTGGATAAGTTTTAGGTGTTTTTACATTTCCAAATATAAACTTAAACATACTAAAGGTAAAAGCTGATAACCAAGGTATAATTTTCACTGGGCCTTGGGAGTAATAACTGTTGGCTTTCATATAACCTCCTATTCTCAACACTTTCACAAACATAAACATACTGAGTCAATCTCTGTGATCAGTTACTCACGCCCAACTCCAAAGCTGAATCTGGTCCTCAGCAGCTTCCCCAGGGAGTCAATTAGAATTACACAGCAGCTGCAGAGGGCAACATCTGGACATGACATTTTACCTAAGTTAGTGACAACTAACTTTGCCCTAGCACTGTCCATATTGTTCTTGCCACTTTGACAATAAGTGCGGTAAGATATTAAAGCATTTAAAGACTGTTTGGGGCTAACATTTAGTACTGACATTCAAAGTGCTCTTCAGCATTCAAAAAACAGAGAGCCTATTTTAAACTGAACCACAAATTCAGTATTATAATTTTTTTTCCCTATGGTAATTCATATGGATAAACAAATCTCAATATTTCTTAAATGAAAAGTATTGAATTTAGTTAGAGAACAAAAAATAATGCCTTTTCCATGTCAAATGACATTTGTTTCATAGCCCAATAGGGACCAGCCTGTGTTCCAAGAAAACAATTGTAGCCAACATGGTTTAGTTTTACACATAATCAAGATGACTTTTGTCTGATTTAAGTTTAAAACCAATCTGTTTGACACCTAACTTTAATTATTTAAGGACTTATTTAATAAAATCTTTACATTTTATGTATTTATTCGGAAATAATTTAACCATGTAAAAGATAAAGGATTCATAACTTTCCATGGGAGAGATAGCTATTTATAATAAATATATTCTCCTCAACTTCATCTGTTTCAAATTCAGTCATCAAAAATGGTGATTAGAATGTGCACATTCTAATACCAATCTCTATCTTTATCTATTCAAATATCTCCTAACTGGTGATGACTTTCCTCACAATTTTTTTGAGAATTCCAATATCTCTGCTTGCAGCACTTTAAATCACCTGCCTCCACCTTATTTTTCTTTACTGTACCTACTGCTAATCATCTGACACATTACGTAATTTTAGTTGTATACTCCCACTGGAATATAAACTCAATGTGGCAAAGATTGTTTTTTGGTGTTCATTCATTCATTGATGTATCTTCAATGCCTAGAACAGTGCCAGTACATAGTAGGCATTCAAAAAATATTTGTTAATGAATAAATAAAAGATTTTTTTCTGGGAGCAAAGGATTTTGCCTAAACTAAAGCATGTGTGATTTTTAAAGTGGTAAAACTGATAATAACAATTTGGCTGAACAATATTCTTTTTAGGCAATTCTGGTATCTTATGGGGTAAGGTGGAATAAGCACACCCTCTTTATTGTCTCCCATTAGAATGTAGCTACAAAATCTGGAAAGAATGCATGAGCAGCCATTGGAGAACTCTGAAAAGTAAATTATAGCAGGTCAATGACACTGTACCAGAACTGCAATGCTGACAAACTCATAGGGAAGTTACCTTTTTTTTCCCTCCTTCAGTATTTTCCAGCTTGGACTCAGGCAGCAAAAAAATCAGAAGGGAGTACTGACGCAGAGTGCTAGAAGCCCACCAGGTCTAGCTTGATGCAGTGAAGATAGACATTATTTTTCAGTGCACATGTGCATTTACCGTGCACATGTGCATTTTCCATGCACCTAACCTGGGTCATAAAACAAACTTTAACAAATTGAAAAGAACTGATATTATACAAAGTATGTTCTTAAATCATAAGGGCATTAAACTTAAAATCAATAACAGAAGATGAAAACTATTAGAAAAGTTTTTTTTAACCACACTTTTTTTTTTTTTTTTTTTTTTTTTTTTTTTTTGTGAGACGGAGTCTTGCTCTGTCACCCAGGCTGGAGTGCAGTGGCGTGATCTCGGCTCACTACAACCTCCACCTCCTGGGTTCAGGCGATTCTCCTGCCTCAGCCTCCCAAGTAGCTGGGATTACAAGCATTTGCCACCATGCCCAGCTAATTTAACCACACTTTTAAATAACCCATTGGTTAAAAGAAGACTCAAGGGAAATTAGAAAATATTTTGAACTAATAAAAAATCCTGAAAATGCAGCACATCAGAATTTGTAAGATGTAGCTAGGTAGAGAACTTATAGGAAAATATATAATGAAATGCTTATATTAGAAAAGAAGAAATGTCTAAAATTAATTACCTAAGCTTCCACTTCAAGAAAGTAGAAAAAGAGGAAAATAAACCCACATCAGACAGAAGAAAGATAATAATAAAGATAGGGCAAAAATAAATAAAGTAGATTCCATTTATATGACATTTTCAAAAGATAAAATAATAGTGATACTGAGTAGAACCATGGCTGCCCATGGACCAATCAGCACTCAGTTCCTCCTTTCTGAGCCCATAAAAACCCTGGACTAGCCAGACTCAGACAGATGTGGGGACCACCAGCTGTGGGAAGGAGCTCCCCACTTCGGATCTCCTCCACTTGTTGGGATGACCTGCCTGTGGAAAGGAGCTACCCCCTTTGGTGTCTGTCACTCAGTGAAGCTCCCCTCCACCTTGTTCACTCTCTAATTGTCTATGTACCTCATTCTTCCTGGAGGCAGGACAAGAACTTCGGACCTGCTATATGGTGAGACTGAAAGACTGTAACACAAACAGGACTGAAACATGCCTCCACCAACGCTGGCCAAGTTATGGGTGACAGGAAGGAGAGAAGTGCTGTGGCCCTCTGGGGAGCCCAGACCTGGGGGCCCCCTGAACCAGGGCTGTGACACCCTATTTTGGGGCTCTGTGGCTCCTGGAATCTCCAAACTACTGGGCACCACTTCGTTGCCCTCTTCTAGATGCAGGTGCCCGCAGTGGAAGTTGCAGCCACTCATGGAGTTGGCACCTGTGCCGGTGCCTGGAACTGCCCGTCTTACTGCAGCAGCTGGCATGCCTGGCTGTGCGCAGTGGCCAGACCGTTCGCCCACACACCCCTCGCCATTCCATGCCTGGCTTGCCCTTGGCAGGTGTGGGATCTGGGCCAGTGGTGTGAAGCAAGTGCAGCCTGCCAGGCAGAGTGGGCAGAACGAGCCCAGCGGGCGTGAACAGTACTCAGGCAGAGGTTGCCACTGGCCACAGAGGTTTTCAGCTGGCCAAGCATCACTCCAAGGATCCTGTGACAAAATTAAATGTAACACATATCTCACTATGATCTGTAAAGTCAATACCCCAAATAAACTGATGAAATTAGATTTACAGTTTTTACATTCTGTAAAACAAATACTTCAACGCTGAATTATTTAACAATTACGTATTTCTATAGATGAATTTTGAAGCACTCCACCAGAAAGTGAAAACCAAAGTATAAACTGAAACACAAACAAAATCTAAATAATTACCTCTGAATTCTTTGTATGTGTATTCTATTTTTAGAGACATTGTAAAAGACTACACTTGGTGAAGGAAGAGAAAGCAGTTTTTTCTCCTATATCATTTATACTTTTTGTGTTACAAAGAAAGAAAACCAAACGATGTGAATTTTTATTGGCTTAAACGTGTGAAATTTTAGAGGAAGCACAGGTCTTTGAGCGTGGCCTCGCAGCCCAACAATATTACCGCAGAACAAGTTCTCTCTGATCCTTCATCTTGCTTTTCATGGGTCTTGCCTTTTCCTCAGGCTCTGTAAGGTGCCTGTTCCCCAAAACTCGAGGCACAACCCTGATTTGAATCATAATGATTATAATAATGCCATACTGCATATCTTCATGCCACACAATCCTATTCCTGTGAAAGAAATAATTCCTATGAAAGAAAAAAAAAGATACCTTCTATTAAACTCTATAAAGAAAAAAAAAAGCTGAAGTTTTCCCTTTCTCAGAGTCTCTGTAAAATTCTTGCTTCTCATTGCCCCAGTTGGGTTATAAGCCCATTTCTCAAAATAAAAATTACTTTGGCCGGAAAGTGGCATTCCTCACTGGCTGTGGTCCATACTAAGCCATGTGTAATGTTATAGGTAGGTTAAACCTACCAGAAACCATATCAATTTAAAAAAAAAAATTAGAAAAAACAATGTGAGTATTCATATGCTACATCAGTAATTGTTAATATTGCAAATAAATTATACATAACTCTGGAATTCACAACCATTGGAAATACATAAGAAGCAGCAAGTGTTATTAAGAATCAATACAAAATTTCAAGCTCTTTATCCAAAATATTTTATTGTATATATGCCAACATGAAAATCCTAATTACATATTTTGACTGAACTTTTAAGCTGATGTAGTTAAATAAAATATTTTATATTTTTCTTTAATGTGTTTTGAAATTATTCATTTCATTTATTGAATATGTACTGAGTACCTACTTTGTGCTAATCACTGTTAGGAACACTATAGATATGGTGGTGAACAAAACAAAATTTTCCTGTCTTTATAGAGCTTACATTTTTTGGCCAAGGCTTATATTCCAGTCCATGTATTGTGTTCATATGGTTATCATTTATAGAAAAATCTACAATTACGATGAGCTAATTAAAGAATGTCATTTTCCACATATTCTCAATTTTATTAGTAAACTTTATATGTTGAAACTCTGAATTGTATTTATACATCTATTCTTTTAACAAATAATGTTGTAGACTTACCATGAGCTAAACATTCTGCCACCTGCTAAGGAAACAAAGGTAAGCATGTGAGCAGTGTCCTTTTTTTACTATAATTGTGGCTCAAGGGAGAATGTATATTCTAAATCTAAAAGAGTTGTCAGCAATTTTATTCACCAAAATATTAACTTCAAATTTCTCAGAAAGTAATTGCTAAAAAAGTGAAATTGCCAATTTAAAGAAAGTAAAGATAGGTAGACAGATATGAAATATACATATAATGTATTTTATGTGTAATTTTAAAGATACATGCATATTTAAAGACTATAGTTCAGTTTTACATCAAGTAGTTGCTTCAGCTCTTCACAAATCAGCCCAGTCGTCGTTTCTGCAAATCTCTGTGTATCCATATGTAGTACCTATGGCAACAGAGGTGCTAGCACAAACACTGGCATCCTGAGCTCTTGTGGAGAAATTTCCAAAAGGGAAAGTCTCTTGGATGGACTTCGTTTCTAAGAAGGCATAATTTTTGTTGACACAGAAATTTAAAGTTAGAAATGTAAAATTTAAAGCCAGATTTTTATCTTACACAGGACTTTGAAATTACAAAACAAAAATGAAACAAAACAAAAGTCATTTTCCACGTCAGCCCCAGGAGTTAACACAATGTTCAGGAGACGAAAAGAATGGGAATTTTGCAAAGCCTCTATGTGCACAAACTACAAGTTTCAAGTAAACTATATTCTTAGATCAGGAAAAAGTCATATGGTTTCATATGGATTAAAGAGTTACATCATAATTTATAATTTAAATTATAATTTATAATCTAACTAATTATGTTTTCTTCCATGAAACAAAATGCAGCAATTAAAAATAAATAGATTTCTGTGTGTTGAGATACAAATATTTCTAGGTTATATTAGTAAATAAAATGGCAAGTTGCAGAACAATATTTATGAATTTATATTTCTGGTTTGAAAAACAAGAGGATTTATCTTTATTTCACGTGTATATTTCCTGGAATAATAAGATATTCCAGGTTTAGAAGGAGCTAAACTAAACCATGCTCTGTGGGTATTAATAAGGACTTTCGATTATGTTAAAGATAAAATGGTCCACTATAGACTTTTAAGAGGAATTGATATAACCTAATTTTACTTTATAAAAAAGATGCATTACACACATAGGAACAAAGATAACAATGATAGTAGATTTCTCTTTGGAAGTGATGTAAGCAAGAAGACATTGGAGCAACAACTTTAAAGTTCTAAGAAAAAAACTGTCAGTATAGAATTGTATATTTAGAAAAAATACCTTTCAAGAACAAAGTCTAAATAAAGATAATTTTAGATGCACAAAAGCTGGAAGAATGTTAAAGGAAATCCTAAAGGCAGAAGAAAAAATGATTCCTGATGAAAATACAAATCTACATAAAGGAATGAATGATTATAAAATGATAAATGTGTGAATAAACATATCCATTTTTCTCATTACCTAAACATCTTTAAATGACAATTGGCTATAAACAAAATGTAATGTGGAGATTACATTACATTTAATAGATGAAATTAAAATGTTTTACAAGAATGAGACAGAGGCTGAGAAGGAATACATAGAAACACTATCTTATAGGATTCTTATACCATACATGAAGTGGTATATATAACTTGAAGGAAGACCATGAGAAGTTAAAGATAAACACTACAAAGCAAATAATAACCACTGGAATAACAAAACAAAGAGTTACAGCTAATAAATTGATAAAGGATATAAATTGGAATAATTTTTTAAATCCAAAAGAAGTCAGAAAAAGAGAAAACAAAGCAAAAAGAAATAGAACAAATAGAAAACAAATAGCAAAATGATACACTTAAAACTAACCATGTCAAAATTACATTAAATGTAAGTAGGCTAATCATCCCAATTTAGAGGCAGACATTGTTAGATTGTATAAAAAAAGAGACCCAACTATGTGCTTCTTCCAAGAAATGCACTTTAAATATAAAGACACAAATAGATTAGAAGGATGGAAAATCAGTATACAGGGCTTATACTGGTACCAAAGAAGAGTTTGACTAAGAATATTACCAAGGATAAAGAAAGTAATTTCAAAATACTGGGTCAATTTATCAAAAGTACGTAGCAATCCTAAATATTTATATATGCAGTGACAAAGCTTCAAAGTATATGAAGCAAAAACTGATAAAACTTCAAGGAGAAAAACTCAAATTGACAATCAGAGATTTCAAGACCACTCTCAAGAACTGGTAGATTAAGACAGAAAATCAGGAAGGATACAGTAGAAAAAACACTGTCAATCAACTTGGTCTAATTGACCCTTATAGAACACTCAACCCTGCAAGAGCAGAAGACACATTCTTTTCAAGTGCACACAGAACATTTACCAATAGAAACAATATCCTGGGCCAAAAATGAATTTAATACAATTGAAATAATATAAGTGGGCTGGCACAGTGGCTCACGCCTGTAATCCCAGTCACTTTGCGAGGCCGAGGCAGGGGATCACAAGGTCAGGAGTTCAAGACCAGCCTGGTCAACATAGTACAACCCCATCTCTACTAAAAATAATAATAAAAAAAAATTAGCCAGGCATGGTGGTGCATGCCTGTAGTCCCAGCTACGCTGGAGGCTGAGGCAGGAGAATTGCTTGAACCCGGAAGGCAGAGGTTGCAGTGAGCTGAGATTGCACCACTGCACTCCAGCCTGGGTGACAGGGCGAGACTCCATCTCAAAAAAAAAGAAATAATATAAGTGATATTATCCTAACACAATTGGATGAAATAAGAAATCAAGAGCAGATCTCTGGAATATTCTCAAATATTTGGAAATTAAACAACACTTCTACATAGTTCATGCATCAATGAACAAATCAAAAGGAAAATTAGAAAGTCTTTTGAATTAAATAAAAATGAAAACAGAGCATATATGAATTTGCAGATGCCATTAAAGTAGCAGTTAGGAGGAATTTATAGCATTAAAAGCTTGTATTAACAAAGAAAACCTAAATCAATAGCTTTAGCTTTCACCTTTAAAAAAAACTATAAGAAGAGCAAATTAAAAGTTAACAAACATAAGGAAATAATAAAGTGTCACATGAGAATCAGTGATACAAAGCCAAAAACAAATAGAGAAAATTGATGAAACCAAATCTGATTCTTTTTGAACATTGATGAAATTCATAATCCTCTAATCAGGAAAAGAAAGAGAAAACTTGAATTATTAATATCAGAGGTGGGAGAAATTTTATTCCTACAGACAATATTATAAAAGAAACTCAAAGATTATCTTGTTTTTGTTTCAATCTGAGTAATTTTTAATATCCAAAACCTAGAAACAATTGAAATGTCTAACAGCAAGAGATGGGATGAAGACGTTGTGGCATACCCATACAATGGAATACTACTCAGCAAGAAAAAGGAACAAATGACAATACCTACAACAATCTTGCTGAATCTCAAAATGATTGTGCTAAGAAGACAGACAAAAATAGAGTATATATTGTGTGATTGTATTTAACTATAATTCTGGAAAATGCAAACTAAGCTACAGTGATCAAATGCAGATCAACAGTCAGCCAGGGAGAGGGGAGGTGCTGGGAAGAAGCAACAGGAAGTGATTACAAAGAGGTACTACCATACTTTGGGGGTGATGCATAAATTCACTACCCCAAAGGTAGTGATCATTATACACTTTAAATCTTTGCAGTTTATTATATATTCATATTTAAATATCTGCAGTTTAGTTATACCTCAATAATGTTATTTTTAAAAGGAATATATAGGAATAATTAATAATAGCTACCACTAGGATGTGGGAGTAAAAGTGAATATGGCTAAAAAGATTTTCTGCTGTTCTTTTAGGAGCTTACATTCAACTTTATAGAACTTAAAAATTGTTTATAATACATGTGATTTACTTTTCAAACTAAAAAAAAAAACTAGTACCAAAAAGAACATGACAAATTAGGGATGTATTCATAATATTAGTGGCTACCTATAGTGTATACATGCACACACACACATATATATACATGTATAGCAGTATACAAGGCAATAATAATCCCACTGGACAAAAATTTATTTCAAATTAATAAGCTGCCAAATTTCAAATGGCCAAAGGATTTATAAAAGTAATTCACCAGAGGGGAGGAGCCAAGATGGCCGAATAGGAACAGCTCTGGTCTACAGGTCCCAGCGTGAGTGATGCAGAAGGCGGGTGATTTCTGCATTTCCATTTGAGGTACCGGGTTCATCTCACTAGGGAGTGCCAGACAGTGGGCGCAGGACAGTGGGTGCAGTGCACCATGCACCAGCCGAAGCAGGGTGAGGCATTGCCTCACTCAGGAAGCGCAAGGGGTCAGGGAGTTCCCTTTCCTGGTCAAGGAAAGGGGTGACAGACGGCACCTGGAAAATCGGGCCACTCCCATCCAAATACTGCGCTTTTCTGACAGGCTTAGGAAATGACACACCAGGAGATTATATCCCGCACCTGGCTTGGAGGGTCCTACACCCACGGAGTCTCGCTGATTGCTAGCACAGCAGTCTGAGATCAAACTGCAAGGCAGCAGCAAGGCTGGGGGAGGGGTGCCCGCCATTGCCCAGGCTCGCTTAGGTAAACAAAGCAGCCTGGAAGCTGGAACTGGGTGGAGCCCACCACAGCTCAAGGAGGCCTGCCTGCCTCTGTAGGCTCCACCTCTGGGGGCAGGGCACAAACAAACAAAAAGACAGCAGTAACTTCTGCAGACTTAAATGTTCCTGTCTGACAGCTTTGAGGAGAGCAGTGGTTCTCCCAGTATGCAGCTGGAGATCTGAGAACAGGCAGACTGCCTCCTCAAGTGGGTCCCTGACCCCTGACCTCCAAGCAGCCTAACTGGGAGGCACCCCCCAGTAGGGGCAGACTGACACCTCACATGGCCGGGTACTCCTCTGAGACAAAACTTCCAGAGGAACAATCAGACAGCAGCATTCGCGGATCACGAAATCCGTGGTTTGGCAGACACTGCTGCTGATACCCAGGCAAACAGGGTCTGGAGTGGACCTCCAGCAAACTACAACAGACCTGCAGCTGAGTGTCCTGTCTGTTAGAAGGAAAATTAACAAACAGAAAGGATATCCACACCAAAAACCCATCTGTACATCACCATCATCAAAGACCAAAAGTAGATAAAACCACAAAGATGGGGAAAAAACAGAGCAGAAAAACTGGAAACTCTAAAAAGCAGAGCACCTCTCCTCCTCCAAAGGAACGCAATTCCTCACCAGCAATGGAACAAAGCTGGACGGAATGACTTTGATGAGTTGAGAGAAGAAGTCTTCAGACAATCAAACTACTCCGAGCTGCAGGAGGAAATTCAAACCAAAGGCAAAGAAGTTGAAAATTTTGAAAAAAATTTAGACGAATGTATAACTGGAATAACTAATGAAGAGAAGTGCTTAAAGGAGCTGATGGAGCTGAAAGCCAAGGCTGGAGAACTACGTGAAGAATGCAGAAGCCTCAGGAGCCAATGCGATCAACTGGAAGAAAGGGTATCAGTGATGTAAGATGAAATGAATGAAATGAAGCAAGAAGGGAAGTTTAGAGAAAAAAGAATAAAAAGAAATGAACAAAGCCTCCAAGAAATACGGGACTATGTGAAAAGACCAAATCTGCCTCTGATTGGTGTATCTGAAAGTGACAGGGAGAATGGAACCAAGTTGGAAAACATTCTGGAGAACTTCCCCAATCTAGCAAGGCAGGCCAACATTCAGATTCAGGAAATACAGAGAACTCCACAAAGATACTCCTCCAGAACAGCAACTCCAAGACACATAATTGTCAGACTCACCAAAGTTGAAATGAAGGAAAGAATGTTATGGGCAGCCAGAGAAAGGTCGGGTTACCCACAAAGGGAAGACTATCAGACTGACAGCGGATCTCTCGGCAGAAACTCTACAAGCCAGAAGAGAGTGGGGGCCAATATTCAACAAGCTTAAAGAAAAGAATTTTAATTTCATATCCAGCCAAACTAAGCTTCATAAGTGAAGGAGAAATAAAATACTTTACAGACAAGCAAATGCTGAGAGATTTTGTCACCACCAGGCCTGCCCTAAAAGAGCTCCTGAAGGAAGCACTAAACATGGAAAGGCACAACCAGTACCAACTGCTGCAAAATCATGCCAAAATGTAAAGACCATCAAGACTAGGAAGAAACTGCATCAACTAACGAGCAAAATAACCAGCTAACATCATAATGACAGGATCAAATTCACACATAACAATATAAACTTTAAATGTAAATGGACTAAATGCTCCAATTAAAAGACACAGACTGGCAAATTGGATAAAGAGTCAACACCCATCAGTGTGCTGTATTCAGGAAACCCATCTCACGTGTAGAGACACACATAGGCTCAAAGTGAAAAGATGGAGGAAGATCTACCAAGCAAATGGAAAACAAAAAAAGGCAGGGGTTGCAATCCTAGTCTCTGATAAAACAGACTTTAAACCAACAAAGATCAAAAGAGACAAAGAAGGCCATTACATAATGGTAAAGGGATCAATTCAACAAGAAGAGCTAACCATCCTAAATATATATGCACCCAATACAGGAGCACCCAGATTCATAAAGCAAGTCCTGAGTGACCTACAAAGAGACTTAGACTCCCACACAATAATAATGGGAGACTTTAGCACCCCACTGTCAACATTAGACAGATCGACAAGACAGAAAGTTAACAAGCATACCCAGGAATTGAACTCAGCTCTGCACCAAGCGGACCTAATAGACATCTACAGAACTCTCCATCCCAAATCAACAGAATATACATTTTTTTCAGCACCACACCACACCTATTCCAAATTGACCACACAGTTGGAAGTAAAGCTCTCCTCAGCAAATGTAAAAGAACAGAAATTATAACAAACTGTCTCTCAGACCACAGTGCAATCAAACTAGAACTCAGGATTAAAAAACTCACTCAAAACCGCTCAACTACATGGAAACTGAACAACCTGCTCCTGAATGACTACTGGGTACATAATGAAATGAAGGCAGAAATAAAGATGTTCTTTGAAACCAATGAGAACAAAGACACAACATACCAGAATCTCTGGGACACATTCAAAGCAGTGTGTAGAGGGAAATTTATAGCACTAAATGCCCACAAGAGAAAGCAGGAAAGATCTAAAATTGACACCCTAACATCACAATTAAAAGAACTAGAAAAGCAAGAGCAAACACATTCAAAAGCTAGCAGAAGGCAAGAAATAACTAAAATCAGAGCAGAACTGAAGGAAATAGAGACACAAAAAACCCTTCAAAAAATTAATGAATCCAGGAGCTGGTTTTTGAATGGATCAACAAAATTGATAGACCACTAGCAAGACTAATAAAGAAAAAAAGAGAGAAGAATCAAATAGACGCAATAAAAAATGATAAAGGGGATATCACCACCGATCCCACGGAAATACAAACTACCATCAGAGAATACTACAAACACCTCTACGCAAATAAACTAGAAAATCTAGAAGAAATGGATAAATTCCTTGACACATACACTCTCCCAAGACTAAACCAGGAAGAAGTTGACTCTCTGAATAGACCAATAACAGGCTCTGAAATTGTGGCAATAATCAATAGCCTACCAACCAAAAAGAGTCCAGGACCAGATGGATTCACAGCCGAATTCTACGAGAGGTACAAGGAGCAACTGGTACCATTCTTTCTGAAACTATTCCAATCAATAGAAAAAGAGGGAATCCTCCCTAACTCATTTTATGAGGCCAGCATCATCCTGATACCAAAGCCTAGCAGAGACACAACAAAAAAAGAGAATTTTAGACCAATATCCTTGATGAACATTGATGCAAAAATCCTCAATAAAATACTGGCAAACCGAATCCAGCAACACATCAAAAAGCTTATCCACCATGATCAAGTGGGCTTCATCCCTGGGATGCAAGGCTGGTTCAACATACGAAAATCAATAAACGTAATCCAGCATATAAACAGAACCAAAGACAAAAACCACATGATTATCTCAATAGATGCAGAAAAAGCCTTTGACAAAATTCAACGACCCTTCATGCTAAAAATTCTCAAGAAATTAGGTATTGATGGGACGTATCTCAAAATAATAAGAGCTATCTATGACAAACCCACAGCCAATATCATACTGAATGGGCAAAAACTGGAAGCATTCCCTTTGAAAACTGGCACAAGACAGGGATGCCCTCTGTCACCACTCCTATTCAACATAATGTTGGAAGTTCTGGCCAGGGCAATTAGGCAGGAGAAGGAAATAAAGGGTATTCAATTAGGAAAAGAGGAAGTCAAATTGTCCCTGTTTGCAAACGACATGATTGTATATCTACAAAAACCCCATTGTCTCAGCCCCAAATCTCCTTAAGCTGATAAGCAACTTCAGCAAAGTCTCAGGATACAAAATCAATGTACAAAAATCACAAGCATTCTTATACACCAATAACAGACAAACAGAGTGCCAAATCATGAGTGAACTCCCATTCACAATTGCTTCAAAGAGAATAAAATACTTAGGAATTCAACTCACCGGGGACGTGAAGGACCTCTTCAAGGAGAACTACAAACCACTGCTCAATGAAATAAAAGAGGATACAAACAAATGGAAGAACATTCCATGCCCGTGGGTAGGAAGAATCAATATCATGAAAATGGCATACTGCCCAAGGTAATTTATAGATTCAATGCCATCCCCATCAAGCTACCAATGACTTTCCTCACAGAATTGGAAAAAACTACTTTAAAGTTCATATGGAACCAAAAAAGAGCCCGCATCACCAAGTCAATCCTAAGCCAAAAGAACAAAGCTGGAGGCATCACACTACCTGACTTCAAACTATACTACAAAGCTACAGTAACCAAAACAGCATGGTACTGGTACCAAAACAGAGATATAGATCAATGGAACAGAACAGAGCCCTCAGAAATAATGCCGCATATCTACAACTATCTGATCTTTGACAAACCTGAGAAAAACAAGCAATGGGGAAAGGATTCCCTATTTAATAAATGGTGCTGGGAAAACTGGCTAGCCATATGTAGAAAGCTGAAACTGGATCCCTTCCTTACACCTTATACAAAAATTAATTCAAGATGGATTAAAGACTTAAATGTTAGATCTAAAACCATAAAAACCCTAGAAGAAAACCTAGGCATTACCATTCAGGACATAGGCATGGGCAAGGACTTCATGTCTAAAACACCAAAAGCAATGGCAACCAAAGCCAAAATTGACAAATGGGATCTAATTAAACTAAAGAGCTTCTGCACAGCAAAAGAAACTACCATCAGGGTGAACAGGCAACCTACAAAATGGGAGAAAATTTTCGCAACCTACTCATCTGACTAAGGGCTAATATCCAGAATCTACAATGAACTCAAACAAATTTACAAGAAAAAAACAAACAACCCCATCAAAAAGTGGGCAAAGGATATGAACAGACACTTCTCAAAAGAAGACATTTATGCAGCCAAAAGACACATGAAAAAATGCTCATCATCCCTGGCCTTCAGAGAAATGCAAATCAAAACCACAATGAGATACCATCTCACACCAGTTAGAATGGCGATCATTAAAAAGTCAGGAAACAACAGGTGCTGGAGAGGATGCGGAGAAATAGGAGCACTTTTACACTGTTGGTGGGACTGTAAACTAGTTCAACCATTGTGGAAGTCGGTGTGGCGATTCCTCAGGGATCTAGAACTAGAAATACCATTTGACCCAGCCATCCCATTACTGGGTATATACCCAAAGGACTTTAAATCATGCTGCTGTAAAGCCACATGCACACATATGTTTATTGTGGCACTATTAACAATAGCAAAGACTTGGAACCAACCCAAATGTCCAACAATGATAGACTGGATTAAGAAAATGTGGCACATATACACCATGGAATACTATGCAGCCAGAAAAAATGATGAGTTCATGTCCTTTGTAGGGACATGGATGAAATTGGAAATCATCATTCTCAGTAAACTATCGCAGGGACAAAAAACCAAACACCGCATGTTCTCACTCACAGGTGGGAATTAAACAATGAGAACACATGGACACAGGAAGGGGAACATCACACTCTGGGGACTGTTGTGGGGTGGGGGAAGGGGGGAGGGATAGCATTAGGAGATATACCTAATGCTAAATAACGAGTTAATGGATGCAGCACAGCAGCATGGCACATGTATACATATGTAACTAACCTGCACATTGTGCACATGTACCCTAAAACTTAATGTATAATAATAATAAAAAAAAGAAGAAAAAAAAAGAATGCAGAAGATAGAATCACGAGAATAGAAAAATAGTGCATACCAACAGGACAATGTTGACTTGCTCTAGGAAAGAGGTCATACTTACACTATTACCTACAATTTTATTAATTTTGCGATAATTAAATGTCATTTTGCAAGACTTAAAAAAAAAAGTAATTCACCGAGATGGATACAAATGAACAAGGAAAATATGAAAAAAGTGCTCCACCTTATTGGATATAAAAATGTCTATGCAGAAAACAGTGAAACACCCCTTTTATCTATCAGATTATCAAAGATTAAAAAATTGATTTTTTTCAGATACACCCAAGATACTAATAAAAGTGTAAAAGATACAGATTTCTCAAAACAATCTGAACTTTTATATTAAAATTTTAAATAAATATGTTGACAAATTAATTTTCCTTCCACGGATTTGTAGAAAATGATAGAATAATATAGAGAGAGATGCTCATTGAGTATTGTGAAAGCAACAATAAATTTTAAATAATCCATATGATCATCAACACGACTTGGTTAAATAAAATGCAGTATCCTCTCTCTGTAACACGGAATACTACACATTATTACAAATTAGGAGAAGAGATAAGCTAGATCCAGATCTGTAAACTCAAAATATATTAATATTATTTAGTAAGTCATTTTTGAACTAGCATGTATTTCATAATCCCATTTATAAAAATATATATGTATGTTCATGTATAGATACGCTTTCAAAGTTCAGAATATATATTTTTTCAGGCTTAACTGTAGCTATTTTTTAAAGATCGGGAGAGTATTAGTGGCAGGGAGTACAGGTAACATCTGAAGGGGATTTTCACTTTTTGCATAAATCTCTATAGTTAATTTTTTAAAATAGGCAGATACAATAATGACTTAAAGATATTATTATTTTGGAAAAATAAATATCAATCCAGTAGCCTAATGAAAACTAAGAAAAAGCCGTTTTGGGAGAATGCATACAATCAGCCTTTGTGAAAACAGAAAAGGATTTAGAATCACATACTGGGTTAGAATCGTTATTCTACCACATACAAGTTGTGCAGATCTAGAAATTTATTTAAATCCTCTGATTTTCGGAGAATTTACAGTGTACACAGCAATAATACTACCCACGTCAGAGAGATGAGAGGATTACAGAAGTCAGTAGCTATAAAATGTACCACAGGTGTTCAAGAAAGGCTGGTTTCCTTATTTTTAATGTGATATGATCTAATGTACTCATTAAATATTCAAATAATTAGAAGATTTTCTAAATATCTAAATTATACCCAAGAAATGTCTGAATAATGCACTGGAACTTTCTTAGATTGCCATGCTTTAGCTGCTAGACAAGGACATCACCTTACAATGTAGCATTTTGATATTTCGAGACCTGCATCCAGAAAATGGAATCCAAGAAAGGTAACCTTATAGTGAAATCTATCTATACAAATGGCATTAGGCACAGTCCTAATGGGCGGAGAAATGTTATTAAATTTTCACAAGCTGAATATGAATAAAGCTGATATCAAAACTATAAAAAATATAACAAAGAATGAAACCGTTTATCTTTTACATGGACACATGCCCTGTTCCTGCTGTTGCCCGTAAGCAGGCAGCATACACTGGTACAGGTGGCCCTTTATAATTGTGTGCATAAAATAACTGAGTCATTTTCTGATTGGTAAATAATATGCAATGTCAGACTCTCCACACCATCTGTGTCACTCACCACCACAGTTTTCTGCAAAACAGCCAGCAGCACAAGCCCAGCACCTCATTGTTGGAGAAGTCACAGGAAGAAGTACTTGGCATCCTTCGCAAAACTTAAATCTGTTCACAGTATTGAACCTGACATATGCCCCAAAGCAGAACGTGTATGCTACCCTAATGATCTCTCCTGCTGTTTTATAATCAGAGACATAGATGGAGGGAAGGCTGCCATTTTTTCATTTGGCACTGGTCAGCCTCCTGGACTGTCTTTTTGGCCAACAAAAAAAACCCTCATATTTAGGAGAGCTAATATGCAGATTACTGAACACAACCATGTTGCTATTTTCATCACAATTTCCGAGATGTAAGATTTGTGCTTATTGCAAAATCCTTGCTCCAGCTTTCTTCAATTTGGGGGATTCTTCTTCCACATCACATGAAGGAAGAGTTGTTAACTGCCAATCATTTGTCTTGACAGTTTAGACAGGCTCCTTGAAGTTTGAGAGAGCCTAGGTGGTACTTGCCTTGTCAACTTCTCTTTTCATTGAAGGAAAGGAGCACTGAGTCAGAGGGCATATGTTGGCTTCAATCTCAACAAGTCTGGTACTGACAGAAGCTAAAAGTCATGGCCTCAGCATGCACCACGCAGGGAAAATCCTGGAAAGACTTCTCCTTCCATCCTTCTTTTTTGTTGTTTCCTTTCATATTATTCACAATGAGCCCTATCCATATGGTGGTAGTGCCAGATCCAGGAGATATTAGGTTTTGCCAAATCTCTTCTAGACTAAGGCTTTCACATTATCCTTTGGTACTAAAATTAGCTAAAAAATTAACATGCTTTGAGGACCTCATGATTTCCATAGAAACACACACACACACACACACACACACACACACACAAAATGTAATTCAATAGAGAAAAACTCGGAATTTTCACACTGACTTTTAAAAGTAATTCACACAAAAATAATATAATTCTAAATTATAAGTAGATTTCATAAGCAAAACCAACAGCTAAATGCAACTGATCATCTAGATGCAAGCAAATCTGAAAAACCACACAAGGCACATATATCATACTATAACAAAGCTGTCATAAACAGGCTTGCTTGAGGATCACTATTCACTTTTTTATAGTGATAAGAGTAAATGTCATGATTATTATATTAATCCATCTAATGCTGAACATGATTTGAAGTCTGTTCCTAGAGATAACTATAAAAATATGATATCTAAAAAAAAGTGTCATGATATCACTGTACAGAATTCCATGTTTATTATCAATGAAATGTAGACTAATCCAAGCACAGGTAAGAAAATAAAGTTAAAGCTGCAATTATAAACTTAAAATGATATACACAGAAAAAAAATTTTATAGCTCTTTCCAAATAGACATATTTGTAAACATAAATGTAATATCACACTAGTTATTTCACACTTAAATTTGCTCCATAGTATTACATTTTTTCCATGTAAATTAGTAAAAGATGATATCCAGAAAGTACACACTTTAAAGACAATTTATTAGGCTCACTCTGATCTCTACCAGCCTGCGGCGGTGTGTCCTTGAACGTAGTTTTCTGAACATTTAGCTTCTATATTCTTATTTTTTCACTGGATTCCTAGAATCTGGTTGCTGTTATTTTGTGTTTGTGTGTTTGAGAGGTAGTTCTCCCCAGTGCCTTTTATTTAATGAATGATTCACCAAGTGTCAGGTGCTAACTGGGTCCAGATTCTACACTGTCCACTTCTCTGACAGTTAGTTATGGCTGTTCGTGATCTCCTGCTGTTCCTATCCTGCAGGCAAGTATCTGAGGGTGTTGTGTAGTCTTTGTTAAGACGCAGAGGGAACGTAGCACCCTCAGTGTTTTATTGCATACTGAAACAGCTCTTACTGTATACTGGCACACAACCAAAAAATTTTTGAGGAGATCAAGATACAGGGACCTGTATGTAAATCCTGTGTGATACAGGAGTAAAGAAGACCCATCGACGGAAAGGAGTGGGTGGAAAAGGATTTGACTCCCCTGATTACTTATAATAGCAGGTGAGGTCATTAGCCCCCACAGTACTTGTTTGAAACCTAAACAGGTACAGCAACTCACCATTAGAATCAATCCATTACTGAATTAGAAATATGACTGAATTTAGCAACAAATTTGTGCCAACATTACTTCTAGCAGCAGTAGGTTTTCAGCAGCAGATTGGCACCGTGACAGAGTCCATAATTTTCACAGTATGTGTTTCATAATTTGTCATGCACACTCTGATTGCTTGGCATATTGGCAGAGTCCACAGCGCTCTCTAAATGTCACCAAACGCATTTGAGGATTTGTCATGCATGGTCTGAGCAAGTGACACAACACAGCAGAGTGGCCACGTTCAGAGCTGATTTTTGCACTCCCTCTAAGTGAGTGCTCTTGAGCTCAGCCACCAGTGATGAGGGCCTGGTGGGAGCTGCACAGCCCTTCTCTTGGAGCTGCTGATTTTTAATTCTGTGTCAAGTGATCATATGGATGCTGCCAGGAGAAAATACTATTACACTGCAGGTGTGACATGCATAGTACAGAGATTCTTGCCTGATAATATTCTTTTCAAATCATGCCTTGTAGTGTACTTAACATTTTTTTTTCACATAGACTCAAAGAGCATTTCGCAAATTAGGAGTAAGAAGTAGGAGAGTAATAAATATGAATAGAGGGTGGAGAAAGCTATATTATAAGAAACTCCTCAGTTAAGAGATCAAAAGACGAGATATCTTGGCTGATTTTAACAGAAAGGTAAAGAATTGTTGGGATCAGAGAATCCTGAGTTTGTCGTAATAACATCTGGTTTCTGTAGAAACAGCTTCTGAGTTTAGGCAAACCATCCTTTTTATTTATTTATTTATTTATTTATTTTTTTGGCCTCAGTTAATGAGGAGGTTGGATGAGAGCTCCTCTTTGGATCTATGTGTTCCATTGTTCTAAAACAGGAGCATGAGTTTATTAATATCTTTTAGTCATCTGACCTGTTTTCCTGCAATGATTGCATAATGATTTTCCAGTATTTAGTAAAAGCTTCAAGAGCTACATCTGCTGGAAGCTTTTAGTTGTCTGGGATTCCAGTCATTATCTTATCACTTTTATTCACTGTCTTTTAGGGGGAGAAAGAAAATTAGTCTCTTTTGTACATTTGGGTCCCGTGGATGCACCTGTTACTATGAAATCTGTTTGATGATAAATAACTCACATATGCTCAAGAGCGTTGTCTTGACATGTGCAGGGAAAGACCTTCACAGACATATGTTGTAAAAAGCATTCACTGTGACTTTGTATTTGCTCATGGATCAGTGAAAGTAGAAGAGGACTTGGAGGCTAACAAAGACTATAGAGGCAGGGAGGGAAGCTGAGGTTTTTACTGGGAAATTTTTTGAGAGATCCACCGTCAGATCTGCACTTAGATACAATACACAAAAATTCCAGATATGGAAGCACACAGACATACACTACTCACAAACATATACCTATTAGCCAAAGATACAATATATAAAAAGTGTTGTGAACCATGTGGAATTTTTTATTCGAAAAAATACAGAAAACTAGGGTCATTTTAAAAAGAGATATAGCTTTACCGAGAAAAAAAGTATTGCCTCCTCTGAAAAGGCCTCTAAAAATTATATTTATTGAAAATGTTTATTCTAATTTTTCTGTGATCAACTTTATTGGGGCAAAGAGAATCATCACCATTCTTCCTTGATTTCTAGGGGAAGAAAAGGTTGTTTTTCCACTAGCACTTTTATGTGGAAAATTTTCTACCATTTACATACATTGCCAACCCCTTACTATAAACCAGGTGACCACTAAACCTTATATATTCAAATCTCACCACAGCACACATGAGCAAGTGGGGAATTGATTAGGTTCTATTATTTTTTTCCCCTAGTGTCTGATAAAAATTGGATTTCTTTTGAAATTCTATTAGAGTGATTTGTGTAACTGATTCTGTGCCTTATATAGTGAAGTTTGGAAATTGTTTTGTTCTGATCATTAAAGGTTCAATTTTATTATTCTAGAATGCATCCCATTTTATTTTCCAAATATCTTTCAAAATTATATCCCAAAGTAGAAAACTAATACCTTTCATATAGATACAGATGCTTTACATATGCAGGTAGTGAACTACTTATAAATAATATTGAGCTTAGTGTACTCAAAAAGGGTTCAAAACTTTTCGTGCAACAAATATCTAACCTAATCTCTTCTCTGAGATGTCATCCTCATAAAATGTTTATGAATGCACCAAAATCAATCTGCAGCTTCTGCTCAATTGGCCACACAAAGCCCTCACACTCGTAAAGATCTTCCTTTTTAAAATAGCTTTACTGAAATGTCATAAAGATCTTTTCATATGCATTTATGAAAGATACCCATCTTCAGTTTTGCCTTAAATATACATGCATTCACATACACATAAACATGCCGGTCTAAAATTATTTGGTCAATAAATTAATAAGTTGAAGTATTTGCTTGAACTGAAATACGTGCTTTAAATTTCTTATCATTTCCTCAATTCAAGTCACCTAGAAAAATGAACAGATAGAAAATAAAAAGCCAAAAAAGACAATAATAAGCCTCATTCAATTGAAATGAAGCAAAGTATTTCATGTTCTAAGCTGTCAATCTAATTAATTCTCAAGAGGATATTAGTGTGTAACCATTACTAACAATTTGATAACTTTGGGGGCTTGTTTGGTTTGGTTTGGTTTTTTGTAAAGGCAACAAAAGTCTGCATTAGTTTTTTACCTATGTTCTTTTCAGTCCATTCACAATTGTTTGTTTACCTTTTTTTTTTTCAGTTTGGAAAGTTTATTTTATTTTTATATATATATATATTTATTATACTTTAAGTTCTAGGGTACATGTGCACAACATGCAGGTTTGTTACATATGTATACATGTGCCATGTTGGTGTGCTGCACCCATTAACTCATTTACCTTTCTATAACTACTTGGTGTTCACATGCAAACACACACAGTTTTACTCCTGTCCTATTTTCCTGTGATTTCTCACTTGCATTAGAGGACTGTAAAATGAGTTCCTTTATTTAGTGCAGTTTCCTTAACCAGAATTGTATTAGCTCATCTCTTGCATTAGCTTTAGAAATCTAAACTTTTGTTTAGTTTTTTCTTTTTTTTTTTTGTATTGAAAACTCATTACCTGGATAAAAAAGCTAATACAAACTTTATTTGTCAGAGCCATGCTACCTTCCATCACTACAGAAACAAATTTTTTACAATAAAAATCACTTCTAGAAAGATAAGCAATAGGCCGGGCGCGGTGGCTCACGCCTGTAATCCCAGCACTTTGGGAGGCCCAGGCGGGTGGATCATGAGGTCAGGAGATCGAGACCATCCCGGCTAACAAGGTGAAACCCCGTCTCTACTAAAAATACAAAAAATTAGCCGGGCGCGGTGGCGGGCGCCTGTAGTCCCAGCTACTCGGGAGGCTGAGGCAGGAGAATGGCGTGAACCCGGGAAGCGGAGCTTGCAGTGAGCCGAGATTGCGCCACTGCAGTCCGCAGTCCGGCCTGGGCGACATAGCGAGACTCCGTCTCAAAAAAAAAAAAAAAAAAAAAGAAAGAAAGATAAGCAATAGCCTGCATTAAGAAGCAAAAGGGAGCCGCCAGGCGCGGTGGCTCATGCCTGTAATCCCAGCACTTTGAGAGGCCGAGGCAGGCGGATCACGAGGTCACGAGATCGAGACCAGCCTGACCAACATGGTGAAACCCCGTCTCTACTAAAAATACAAAAATTAGCTGGGCGTGGTGGCACATGCCTGTAATCCCAGCTACTCGGGAGGTTGAGGCAGGAGAATTGCTTGAACCTGGGAAGTGGAGGTTGCCGTGAGCCGAGATCATGCCACTGCACTCCAGCCTGGTGATGGAGTGAGACTCCGTCTCAAAAAAAAAAAAAAAAAAAAACAAAAGCAAAAGGGAGCCTACAACTTCCTAAAACCTCCCAGCAATAATCACAAAATCACTTTATAGTATAATGTTGCTATGGTTTGCATATGGATTGTTTGGTCCCACTAAGTCTCATATTGAAATCTGATCCCAGTGTTGGAGGTGAGGCATAATGGGAGGTGTTTGGGTCATGGGGGTGGATTCCTTGTGAATGGCTTGGTGCCATCCTCGTGGTAATGAATGAGTTCTCTTCTGGTTCTCACAAGACTTCCCCAAAGAACTGGATGTTAAAAAGAATCTGGCACCTCTCACCTCTCTCTCTCTCTCACTTCCTCTCTAGCCATGTGATCTCTGCACACTGGCTCCCCTTTACCTTCTGCCGTGAGTGGAAGCAGCCTGAGGCCCTCATCAGAAGCAGATGTTGGTGCCATGCTTCTTGTACAGCCTGCAGAACTGCGAGCCAAAGAAACCTGTTTTTTTCATAGATTACCCAGCCTCAGGTATTCTTTTATAGAAACAGAAATGGACTAAGGCAAACATTCTGAGTTTTCAGATAGCAGTTTGCCTACCAAGATAGATTTTTCTCAGAGCAGAGTGTGAACTCTGAGAGCTTTTGTCAACTTTTCACACAAACTGCAGTTGCAACATCCATTAAAATCATGGGTCTTTCCATTGAGAGTGACACATTAAAGTGACATCATGCATTTTCAGAAGGGATCAGGAAATTATACATTTCTTCTTATGCAAATTACCAGAGAAGCTGAGAAAAAAAACACAAATTGAAGATAAATTTTAAGGGCTTTCTGAATCTTAGTCAATAATTGTTAGTCTTCTTTTACTTTGCAATGTAAACAAGGTTTACAAGGTTTTTGCTTTCATGAAGCTTATGTGTTCATGAGGAGACATACAATAAACAAATTGTCAATTTATGTATGTATGAATATAGATGCAAATATGATACATATATTGTATATATACACATGCACATACAGATATACACATATCTACCAATGTATATCATATGTATGCATATCTATTGTGTGCATATGCATGGGGATTGTATACCAGACAGCAGCAAATGATTTGCAAAAAAAAATTAAATGAACAACGGGAAATAACACATGCTTTTTTTTTTTTTTTTTTTGCAGAAAGCATATCTCATGTACTACACGGAGGGAGCAGTGAGAAACTATGGGAAAGGCAAAGGCCATCTTGCTCCTTCAATGGGCCTTCTCTGTTCATCTTTGTGGCAGGATGCCTATTGGAAGTCAACAGAAAGCTACTCTTTCTCTTTTCCCTTTTATTCTGCCTTCAGAGAGCAGAAATTGTTTCACTCTTTCTTGCAATTGAAGATTCACTATTCCCAGCGTTTTCCAAACCTACATCCCATTTCTGCCTTCTATGACCATTTCAGTGGCAAACTTGTGGAAGGTGAATCAGGTATCACTGGCCTGCCACCCACTTCATTAAATGTGTCACTATTCCTTTTAATATTCTGAGTGAAATCATTCTAGCAAATGACAAACTGTGAAGATGGCACATATATTAGCTTAAAAGAAAATAATGTTATCACAAATTATATTCAATATACAATTAATACAGTCAAATGTTTATTAGCTACTGCAGTTAGTGATACTTGTATTTAGCCAAGGCGAACTCTTCTGTTCCCAGTAGAGAACAACTTTTGTACTGTAATGGTAAACAAACACTATTGCTGATCTCTCCAACACTTAATACTAGTTCACGTCAAAAGGAAGAATCTATTACCATTTAACTTACCTATTCCTATTTTAAATTAGTATTAGAAAGATGATTTTATCTTAAGCCAAATCATCTTCAGCAGTGCATCTTGCGCTGCTCCAGATTCCACTAGAGAAGGTAGAGGAAACTCCTGCTGTAACCACCTTCATACAAATACTTTCACTGCTGATGGCCTAGATGGCTACTTTTCTGGATTACCAAGGGCATACTAGAAATCTCCACCTCCCTTACCACAGGTATCTTGAACGCAATGTAACCACAACAAATCCATTATCATTTTCCCCCAAAGTCCTCCTTCTCTACATTTCTTTTCTCAGTCAATGGACCAGCATTTATCAAGTTACCCAAGCCTTATACACTCACTCAGTCAGCCCCCAATACCAATTGCTTCTATCCCCTTAAGTCAACTCACAAGTACTCTCTCATCACATCTACATTTTGCAGCACTGTGGGTTTCCCACCTAATACTCATTCCCTTTATCCTTCTAAGTGAACCATGATTTTATTCAGGTAGAAGTTCATATGCTTCAAGAAAGGCTCAGTTTCTTTCTAGGCCCTAGAGTGTGGGTCTTGATTTATCCAAACCAGCACTATACAATGGGAATTGCTGTAATGATGGAAATGATTTATAATCTGCTGTGTTCAATATGGTAGGCACTATGTGTGACTATTAAGCATCTGATTTGTGACAAGAGCAAATGATGCACAGAATTTTTAATTGTATGTAATTTTATCTAATTTAAATCTAAATAGTCACATGTGACTAATGACTGCTTTATCAGACAGTGCGTATACCGATCAGGGTGTTTCCTTATCAATCACCAATGACTCATGCAGGAATGGACATTTGACAGAATTTTGGCTAAGTTAGACATGAGAAGGAGCCTGACAGAGAACTTCTGGCAAACTTCTCCCTCTTCAAAAGAGATAAAGAATGGGACATTCTTCTGTTCTCTAGGTGTTGTGTAAAGACAAGAGAGTTAGAGCTTTTATAGGCATCTTAAATCCATGAGGAGACAATCCTCAGGACAAATGACTGACTACCTACTGAGGAGATACAAGAAAAAAATGGAAATAATCTGAGTCCTCAATCACATCTAAAATAAGCTGCTGAATTAACAGCATTGCCATCTCTCTTCTGAAATTATTTGTGTGAGATAATAAACCTCCTTATTTTTAGATCTGTTGACTTGGCAATTCTATATCTTTAGGTAAAAAAGCATTCTCAGGTGCTAACTTCCTAACCTCAATTCCTTCTAGTCTATTATTCAAGCATCCATTATTTTTCCTTCACAAGACTTAACAGTTTATAACTAGATATTTTGTGTCTTAGTTGTGTGCTTTTTGTCTATTCCCGCATCAGCTTTTAGCCTCTGGAAAACAGATATCATGCATGTTTGACCCTCCATTGTATGTCATCATGGCATAGCACACATACTGGCAGTATGTGGGTCCACAATAAATAGATCCTGAATTAATTAATTAATTAGTTCATGAATTTTTGTGTACAGTTCTAATCATAATTTTGCTTTTTAAAAGTCTTTCTGCCTTTCCACACAAGTTACAGCATGGATTCTACATTTCCTAATCTAACATTCAAAGATATTCACTCTCTGGCTAGGCCTAGCTTTGCAGCTTCTTCTCCTATCACTACTGCCTCCCCATCACCTTGTGTTCCATCTCAGAAATAATAACTGCTCACTCTTCTCAGATTATCCAAGAATGGCTCAGAGACATTAAGCGAGTGATTCTGCAGGCTGCTCAGGCAAGTTCCATGCAAATAATTTATTCCTATGTGAGAGAATCAGCTATGTGAGGGTAGACTGAGTCAAGATTTTAAAAAGACATAAACAAAATTTATAGAAGGAAAAAAATGAGGGAGGGCCTATATATAGCCTGAGAATAGTGTACTTTGTTTACATAATTTTTAATTAAACTGATTATTTGGCCACTAAAAGAGAGGACAGTGTGGACATTGTGTCCTTGACTAGTCTAAGATTATAAAGAAAACATTTCCATGCGTTGATGATTGGCTAGAACACTGTGATAGTTTGGTTGTGGAAAAATGTGAGAGGGTAACTTGATGTAATATTCACCAGGATTTTCCCATGGGCACCTCAATCTTAGCAAGTCCACGTTTCCATCAGAATTTCTCAAGATTAGTTCTTAGATTCTCTCTGTCTTTCTTTCCATGGAGAAGGCACATCCATCCTTCTAATTCTGGCTATTTTTAGTTGTAGATTTTGGACCCTACATACCTGAATTCTAAATTTTTATATAATCCTACACATTTCTTTTTAGAGTGTTCAACATGGTTCCATAAACATTTATTGAGCAACTCTGTATGTCAAGAATTCTCGTTGGTACTGCGGGATATACTAGTAAACTACATAGACTCAGCCACTTACAACTTACAAGTGGATACATCCAATTTAAAAGACACGAGTTAAAAAAAAAAAAGAAAAAAGCAGTAGTCTCACACCGGTACAATCTGTTACTAGCAGCAGAGTTAGTGTAGTTAAATGTTGAGAAATTGCAATTAGCAAGAAATTTTCAGTCTAATCAAAAGAAAAAAACTGAACGCTATTCAGCAAGAAAAAAAAAAAAAAGCTAATCGCTGGGCTTAGGAAGTATGTGAACCCCTCTAGCTAAGGTTTTCTCAAGTTGGGTTCCGTGTAGAAAAAACATCCACAGCCAGCTATGAGATTCCTGGACTAGCCAAAGCCTCGATTTCAATAAGTGATCAGTAAATGATCATAATTTTTTTCTGCAAATTCTTCTTTACTACAAATTCTGGTAGGTGTAGGATGAAAAGTATTATATGAAGTGCTGCCACATCCTTCCTTGAGAGTTTTTCAATCAATCCGGCACTGTCTAGGGAGCCTTCCTCAGAATTTGTAAAACTAGATACACCTCACTCACAGCTATCCCACGTAGGTTATTGCCCTTGTATTTTCATTTCTCAGTTTTATTTGTAAAATTTACTTCTTACCATTTTATTTTTATTTTATTTATTTATTTATTTTTTGAGAAGGAGTCTCGCTCTGTCACCCAGGCTGGAGTGCAGTAGGCGGCTCACTGCAAACTCCGCCTCTCGGGTTCCCGCCATTCTCCTGCCTCAGCTTCCCGAGTAGCTGGGACTACAGGCGCCCACCACCACGCCCGGATGATTTTTTTGTATTTTTAGTAGAGACAGGGTTTCACCGTGTTAGCCAGGATGGTGTCGATCTCCTGACCTCGTGATCAACCTGCCTCGGCCTCCCAAAGTGCTGGGATTACAGGCGTGAGCCACAGCACCCGGCCCCACTTCCTGCCATTTTAATGTTTTTGGTCATTACGGTAAGTGGTATTATTTGTTCACAATCATTTGCCCCACCCCAGGCTTTGTCGTACTTCTTTATCGTCAGAATATGATCCCTATGCACTTTGGCCTTGGTCATGTGACTTTGGCCAATGGAATAGGAGCAGATAGGACTTATACAATTTTTGAGCAGAAATGTTAAATGTACTTTTGTGGTTTGGCTCTGCCCCCTGAGCTTCTGCCTTCTAAAAAAAGACCAAGCTATGAAAAAGATCATGACCCAGATTAGGGTTGTTCCTTTACCCCTGAGACCTGGAATACAAGCCACCTGGAGCCAAGGCCGGCTACTGCCAGGGAAACCCAGCTGAACTCAGCAGTGTCATAGCTGACCAATGGTTCTCATAAACCAGGAGTGAGAAATAGACCTTTGTTATAAGTCACTGAGATTGCGGAGTTGTTTGTTGCTATAGCAAAAATTAGTACAATCTTCCATTTTTTAAAAATTGCGGATCAGATTGATAAATGTTACGCTACATTCAAAGCTATTTTCTTCATACAAATTTTACACATAATTTGGGTTGATTAGCAGTACAATAATTCTTTGCAAGCAGGCCTGATGCAACCCCCTCCCCTCTGCCGCCTTTTTTTTTTTAAAACAATCTAGCATTCAAGAAGATAACTTTGATTTATGAATCTTGGCGACAATGTTAAATTCCAGGCATATAATATTTTGTGGTGTTTAACTCAATCAAGATAAAACAACCACATTGCATTCTTAAGATATTTGCTTTCTACCAACTTCCTCCAAATAAACATCTTCTAAGGCCTAATAAACTCTCTCTCTGCCTGGTTTTAATCCTTCAAATCTTGAGGTCAGTCATCTCCCTCCTAAAACCTCTTAGTTTCTCTCTAGAAAATCATGAAATTGACCATATAAATATTTTCTGCCTCCTTATCTTCCTTAACCCACAGAGAAAGGTGATATCTTCTAAGTGTTGACAAAGGGTTGAAGTATTGAAGTATTTCAGTAAGGTGATAGCTCTGCAAAAGCCACCTATCAAAATACCCATGAAACACAAACCTCCCTATAATTAGTCATCAGAAATAATAAATCGTCACCATGCCAGCCTTTATATTCTCTGAGAGAACTGACCTGAAATATTCACTGTCCCTCCCTCACTTCCCATCTCCTGTGACTGCCAATCAAAGGGAGACAGTCCTGTCAGGGAGCTGAGCTGACTCAGCAAGGGTGGAAACAAGACCTGCAGTTACTTAACATTTAATCACACAAAAGGCCCTGGAAAAAAGAGATCAAAATGTGACAAAAATTAACCTAAAACCAACAGAAACGGGGACGTCTAAATACACATTGATGTGAAAGTGCTACTCTTAGAATCTGGGAAACTAGTCAAACAGTCTCCTGTTCAGGGACATAGACGTTGGTTTTCTTTTTGTTTCCCTCAAATTCACTTTCATCTTCCATTAAAAAACTTTGAATGACTTAAGAAACAAAGTTCTCCTGCTATAAACAAACACACACACAGTGTGAATGCAAATTTCTAACCTTCTGCTAGGTCTTCAGGGGACCATTGCCCCGGGCAGTTCTGGCCTGCTGGACTGGAGCCTGCTGTGTCAAGGTTGAAATTTGCTTTGAAGTCTGACACAGGGCCTCAAAAATCTCTTCCAGGGCCCACTACCTGAGTCTCAGAATTAGTCATTAATTCGGTTGGGACAAGCTGAAGTGTACATGAACATTATTAAATACACATTCCTTTGTTGTGATTATTATGGTAATTTTAAATGGAGAGATGTTAACCGCAGGGATCTTTAGGGTTAGATAATCTAATGATTCTTTTGAGGAACTGAGATAAGATTTAAAAGAAGATAGATCTAAAACTGACACTCCTGAGAGTACACCTAATTTTGACCTTGACTTATTTTGCAACCTAAGGCTAGTGACAAAACCTCTGAATCTCTGTGAGGGAGCTATAAAATTTTGATGAGATGCTATTTTTAAGAAATTCTGAAAAATTAACCCTTACCTAATTTTTGCTTTTCTTTCCTAGGTATTCAACAATTAACACACTAAGGTCCAGCCCTTATACCTACTCTCTCACACACACACATACACACACACACACACACACACAAATAAGCACATATAAACACCTAAAAGTTCAGTCTTGTCTTGATTCCAAAACACAACAAACATGTATCAAGAATCTCCACACCACAATCTAGAAAGAATGGACTTCACCCTTATATCTACTGTCTTTCACAAACACACAAATATGTACACATACACACTTAAAAGTTCAGTTCTGTCTTTATTCCAAAGCACAGCAGACATGTATCAAGAATCTCCATATCACGATCTGGAAGGAATGGACTTCAGCCGGTCACACAGACTCAGTGGGCCAGAGTAAACTGCTAAGGTTTTCATAAAGCTCCTGAAGAGATTCAGGACATGCTACCTCACACTATTTTAACTAAAGAAATTTGAGAAGACCACAGAAGCGGGAAGGTCATTCTCACCTTCCCATCATCTTTCGATGAAGCAGATCATAAAAGCTAGAAAGGGTTTTCTGACCTCCTCCTGAAGCAGATCATAAGAACTTCATCTGGGAAGTGGCCTCCCTCCACATGGAGGAAGAGGGAATTCTTATCTGTGAAGACACAGGGACAAGGAGAATAATCTTGGTGAGTAACAGGCCTTGCTAAGCTCCCTTCAGTTTACTACCAATAGATCATATTTTGTATCCAATCAGAGTTCTCCATGACTATCCGCCTTTTTATCAGACTTAGCCAAAAAAAAAAATAGGTTTTCCCATTTTTTCATATCTTCATTCCCTGATGACGATAGCATCTATAGAGTAAAAGATTACAGAGCCATTATTATAGTTTTAATATAGTTATTTCAACAGCTTCTTGCCAGAAACCTAATAATTCTTTGTAGTGACATGAAAACCTTTTGGGTGGTTGACAGTTCTTCCCTTTTGTTTATTGTGCTGTTAATTGTTAGTAATGATTTTTCCCACAAGTTGCCAAAAAAAAAAAAAAACCAAACAACATAAACAACCACATAATATTTATATTTTCCTATAAGTAGAAATCTTAAAAATTATTTTTAGATTGCACAATTCAGAAGATCAACAAAATTTCATGAGGAAGGCAGCTTCAATTATTAGCTCTGCTGAACTGAACATATTCACTCCCCTGTGGTCACAAAATGGCTGCTCCATTTTAGGCATCACATCCCAACACAGCAATGTCCAAGGAAAGGGCAGGAACGTGTGATAGGCCTATGCCTATACCCACCCCTGGTGAGGGTGATATGGTTTGGCTCTGTGTCCCCACCCAAATCTCATGTTGAATTGTGATCCTGAGTGTTGGAGGTAGGGCCTGGTGGAAGATGATTGGATCATGGGGACAGATTTCCGCCTTACTGTTGTCATGGAGTTCTCGTGATATCTGGTTGTTTAACAGTGTGTAGCACTTCTCCCTTTGCTTTCTTACTCCTGCTCCAGCCACGGAGGAGATGCAGGCTTCCCCTTCACCTTCTGACATGATTGCAAGTTTTCGGAGGCCTCCCCAGCCATGTTTCCCATATATACTATGGAATCATGAGCCAGTTTAAACCTGTTTTCTATATAAATTACCCCGCTTCAGGTAGTTCTTTATAGCAATGTAAGGATGAACTAATGCCAACGGGGATGGGATAATCACGACAGGTTTATTCTAATAATGTTTCACTGACTGCCTACTGCTGGGGCTGCCACCCCACCATCTACTCTACTGCAACACATAGCTCTCCTGAAGAGGTAGGGTGTCTGTTGGAAAAGTGGAAAGGTTGTGAATGGTTGGTGTCTGCTACATCCAATGACTGTAGTTTGCTTTCTAGATGTTCAGCACCCTACATGAGAACACACCCACCCTGCCCACCACCCCACTCTCAAAAAGTTCATCTTGCAAACTATGAAGGGTTCCCATTTCTCAAGAAATGCTCTGAGACAGACTCTATGAGGTATTGTGCCAGGGATACAACAGGATTACATAACATTCATTTATTCATTTAACAATCATATATTATACAATTGTTGTAAGAGATCGAGACCATCCTGGCCAACATGATGAAACCCCGTCTGACTAAAAATACAAAAATTAGCTGGGTGTGGTGGTGCTGCCTGTAGTCCCAGCTACTCGGGAGGCTAAGGCAGGAGAATCACTTGAACCTGGGAGGCGGAGTTTGCAGTGAGCTGAGATAGCGCCACTGCACTCCAGCCTGGGGACAGAGTGAGACTCCATCTCAAAATAAATAAATAAATACATACATACATAGTGGAAATTTATTTCTCACACTTCTGGAGGCTGGAAAGTTTAAGATCAAGGCACCAGTAGATTCAATGTCTGGTGAACACCTGCTTTCTGGTTCAGAGATAAAGCCTTCTACCTGTGTCCTCACATGGCAGAAGGGACAAACAAGCTCCCTTGGGCCTATTGTATAAAGGCACTAATCCCATTTATGAGGGATCCAGCCTCATGACCTAATCCCCTCCCAAAAACCCCTCCTCCTAATGTGTCTACCTTGGGTATTAGGGTTTCAGCGTATGAATTTGACAGGGAAACAAACATTCCGACCACAGCAGAAACAAATAATGATTTTGTATTACCAACTACTATTAATAATAAAATAATAAACATAAATTTCTTATGGAATAATAATAAATAACCAATGCTTGTATAGTGTTTTCATTTTTTTACTTTACATAAAACAATGCATTTAATTCTTTCAACAACTCTTAGATACATACTATTATTGTCTCCATGTTACAGAGGGAAAAACTGAAGATCAGAGGCATAATAACTTGGCCAAAGAAGCATAATAACTTGCCAAAGATATACCATTTGTAGATAAAAGAGCTAGATCTGAATGTAGGTGGTTTGATTCCAAAGTCCACATTATTAACTACTACAGTGTAATCTTTCTCTGCATATAACAAAGTTTATCTGTCAATCAAGAAGGCAGCATAAAATACAGGGGACTAAGGAACCAGAGCACATGAAGTTGAATAAAGAGGTAATGTCCAGTTCATGGAGGTTTTAGTCTGCTTTCCTGAGAATGCAGAAATATTATTCTTCATTCAAAAATCTACTTATACAGGAAATGATATTTTGAAACCTGCGGTCAAATATCCCCAGTCACATCATAGTTCAGCATTAAGGAGTCAGGCGGCCGCTAGAGCTCCTCTCCGGACCTGCTACAATAGTAATAGGGGGCACAGAGCCACGGGCAAATGCCCATGAAGGGCATCTCATCTGGGTCACCACTAAATTGTAACTGTAATAGGTCCATTTTCCAATGCGTGTGGCAAGTCAATTTGCAGAGACACCAGGTTACAGCAGAAAAAGACATTTAATTGTAGGGCCACTGAACGAGCAGATGGGAGGAAACCTCAAATCTGTCTCCCTGAGGAATTTGGGGCAAGTGTTTTTAAGGGTTTTGGAATGGACCAAAATGTGGAGACCGTTGATTGGTCAATGAGTGCAGGGTAAAGTCATGGGACAAGGAGATGAAGAAACTATTCTCATGCTGATTTGGTTCTCTGTGAGGATCACTGGAAGCCAGGTCTTAAAAACATCTTAAGCAATTCTTAAATAAAAGCTTTATGATTCTAACATCAGAGATCCTATCCAAAAGAATAACAGAAGTGCTAATTAATTATTAAACATAAATCCTATCCTATTCTAACATCAGAAATCCTATCTGTAGAAACAATCAGGGATGCAAATGGTTAGCATCTAGTGCCACCTGACTTTCGGTAATAAGAAAGTCGGCCAAAATATAGCCTGATTAGTGCTTAGTTAAAACTCTATTTCTGTCCAGAATTCTTGTAAAGCCTGTGAGGATGTCACTGCTCTTCTACTAGATCTTGACACTTCCACAAACTGCTAGGATGATAAACCCAGGTCTTTATCATGTCAGAACCCACAGTCTCTCTTCCCTCTGCTCTTGCATCCTGGAAAGTTTTCCTACTCTGAGAGAAGAGCTCCATTCTCCTTCTTGCTTTTCTAAGACACTCTGGTTATAGCTTCGAATCCATTTCTTCATTTTATTTCCATAAAAATGATTAGAAATTGCCTAAATGACTCAGCATTTTAAAAACAAATCCAGAAAGACTTGCAGACTACCTTGGTTTTTACCCCTTTCAGGTGCCTTCCTTGAAGAGGTAGAGTAGGGAGCAATTCTCCCCACTTAATCCAGGGAAAGATTAAAAGTAAAAGGAAAACAACATAAAGCAAAGCCACAAGAAGTTTTTTCTTACAGCACTGAGGAGCGATAAAAATTTTTAAGCTGATGGCTAATATGATTAAATTGGGGTTAAGGAGAAAAATCGAAGGACAGTATGGAGAAGATCTTCCTAGAAGCAGGGACACCACCAGTGAGGAAGCCCTTAGAATAATCCAGAACAGAGGTAACTCATAGAATGTTAGTAAAGATTGAGAGTAAGGAGTGGTTAAGAGAGAGATTAAGGGAGCATGAAACTAACTTTTACAGGGTTTACAATTTATTTAAGGAGATTATAAGTATGATAGCTAGATTTATTGAGCACTTATTACATTCCGGTTTCTCTTGATAAGTGTTTGCATGCAATAATTTTTAAAAATCTCATTATTAATTTTCATATTGATTATAAGTTGAAATAGGAATATTTTGCATATATTGGGTTAAACAAAGTATACTATCAAAATTAGTTTCTCTGCTTTAAAATTTTTTAATGTGGCTACTATATTTTTAAAATTATGGATATGACACACATTTGTGGCTTTCATTTTTTTTTCTTTTGAACAGCACTGATGTAGAATGCATAGTTCAGTCCTATTTTTTCTTTGGTTCATTCCCTTAACTACAAGAAAGCTTTTTAATCTTTGGAAAACAAAATATAAAAATCTTGTCCTCTTTTCAAAAGACGTTTATGCAGCCAACAGACACATGAAAAAATGCTCATCATCACTGCTCATCAGAGAAATGCAAATCAAAACCACAATGAGATACCATCTCATACCAGTTAGTACGGAGATCATTAAAAAGTCAGGAAACAACAGGTGCTGGACAGGATGTGGAGAAATAGGAATGCTTTTACACTGTTGGTGGGAGTGTAAACTAGTTCAACCATTGTGGTAGACAGTGAGGCGATTCCTCAAGGATCTAGAACTAGAAATACCATTAGACCCAGCGATCCCATTACTGGGTATATACCCAAAGGATTATAAACCATGCTATTATAAAGACACATGCACATGTATGTTTATTGCGGCACTATTCACAATAGCAAAGACTTGGAACCAACCCAAATGCCCATCAATGACAGACTGGATTAAGAAAATGTGGCACATATACACTATGGAATACTATGCAGCCATAAAAAAGGATGAGTTCATGTCCTTTGGAGGGACATGGATGAAGCTGGAAACCATCATTCCGAGCAAACTATCGCAAGGACAGAAAACCAAACACCGCATGTTCTCACTCATAGATGGGAATTGAACAATGAGAACACTTGGACACAGGGCAGGGAATATCACACACCGGGGCCTGTCATGGGGTAGGGAAAGGGGGAGGGATAGCATTAAGAGAAATACCTAATGTAAACATTGAATTAATGGGTGCAGCAAACTAACATGGCATATGTATACATATGTAACAAACCTGCCTGTTGTACACATGTACCCTAGAACTTAAAGTATAATAATAATAAAAAAAAAAAACTTGTCCTCACCTCTACCTCTCTCATCAAGCAGTTGCCTGACTTTTAAAAAATGTATTTGCCACTTCTTGAATGAAGCAGATAAGAATGTTTTACTTTCATTGAGAGCCTCCTATGTGTGAGAGTTGGGGGTAGACACTTCATATGTCCTTTACTAATTCTCACAACAACGAGATCATTTCTGTTAATCACTCCAACTTACATATGAGGAAACTGAGGCCCCAAGAAAGTAATTATTTTAAATAGGGTCTCACAGAAATAGGTATTAATGAAGTAATATTGCAAAAAATCCTTGAAAGGATATATGATTCCAAAACCCATCCAAAATTTTTCAGATCCATGATGTTGCTCTTTGGCATAAATATCCTATATTTTGTATTTTAATTTATTGTCACTTATTCAATTTTCTACATGAAGATTTTTTCTTCTATCTTAACTATTTTAATACTGTAAACTTTTAGATCTCATATCACTTAAGCTGCTACACTTTTGTTAGAGTTAACCACACCCTTAAATTTTTCTCCTTCTTTGACTTCAGAAACATTCCTATCACTTGTAAAGGGAGTTATTGGCTTGTCTCCTATGTAACCATACACTCTTATCTTTTATTAAAGTATTGGCTACACTACATTATAAGTTGTTTATCTGGACTCCTTATGTTGACATGCTTATGAGTATGCATTGTGTTTTAATCATATTAATATCCTAAGAATCTACTGTAATATCTGAAAACGTAGCAAGCATTTGATAAATGATAGTTGAATTGGAATGAAAGGATGTTCACATTCAATTGATAGTATCTATGACTTCTTAAATATGAAGGAAAAAGATTAGTCAAAAATAGTCCATAGTTTTAAATCTACATTATTAGAATGGCAGAGTATTTTACAAACAGAGGTTGACAGGGATGCTTTAATGAAGAGAGAAGATAATATTTTATAGTGAAAGCATAGAATCTGTGGTAGTGATGAGATATACAAATGGGCATAGAAGTCAGCTACAGTCTGGGTTCCAAAGTTCTGCTGACATATATATTTGGATGGATGTCAAGGCATAAGGAGCCACAAATAATAGGTGAAATGTTGATGTGTCTGCTATGGGCTTGGATCTGAATAAGAAGAACATAATACTGGTTTTCTTTCACACAATGTTCACAGAAATTCTATGATATAGGTGTTACTATCCTTATTTTAGAAAAGAGGAGAACTTAATATAAGTTGTCCAAGGATACACAACTATAAGTGTCAGAGCAAGAATTTAAATCCAGTCATGTTCCCTGAACTGTCCCAATTCACTACAGAGCATAAGGCCTGAATTAGAACTGAGAAACCTGGGTTTGATCAACCCATTTTTGCAACCACGTTTTTTGACCACTTTTGTTCATTAGAGGAATTGAAGGATAGAAACATTTTGCAAAGCTCCGCATTCCCGTCTACTTCTAACCACATTTGATGGGAGTAACCTCTTTATCATTTTGCTGAGTATCATCTTTTCAGAGGTTTAGCAACTTGCTTTTTCTTATTTATTTAAAAAATGTGAATTAAAATGTTTTCTATATCAGTATTTTCCTCATTGTATTCAATGAATGCCTAATATTTTGTGGAAAATGTAAAAATGTATGTAACTTTCATAATTGATGGTTTCCAATTTCATGCTATTGTAATACTATGATAATCATTCACGTACATAAATATTTGCACACTTACATGTCTGTGAGATAAAGTCTTAGAAGTTGTATTTCTGGGCCAACTGATATAAACTTTAAGTTATGGCAGATACTACAAATTTACCTTCCTTTAGAATCTGTGTCGATGTATAATCCCACCAACAGTGGATGGCAATTTCTGTAGGCATATTTTT
Source organism: Homo sapiens (assembly GCF_000001405.40). Lineage (NCBI taxonomy): Eukaryota > Metazoa > Chordata > Mammalia > Primates > Hominidae > Homo > Homo sapiens. Next base: position 78,515,513 of record NC_000003.12, read on the forward strand.
AAAGATCCAATCTTACTCTTTTAAGGCCATCTTGAGGGTTACTCTATGCAGGACCCCTCCCTGGTAAAGCTTTATTGGGGAGATCCCTATATAAACATTTTGAGTCACCAAAAATCAACATGTCATTCCTATTCTGACAGCCCAATCTCATGCTATCTTGGAAAAAAATATCTTGCAGGCCAATAGAAATAATCTGCTCACTGGGCAACTCTTTTGAACCAGGACCCAACTATGGGACCTTGACTAATCCCCACAGGCACAAACTGGAGCCCTAGGGGCATCTGATCACCATGCAAAGTAAAGGGTCAAAGAACACCTCAAAAAGGAGAAGCAGGGACCAGAGCCTATGAGGGTCCTTGTTCCAGATGAGAGTACCTTATCCAGAAGGCACTGTGACTCACAGTCAGCCTAGTCCTTAGAAGGAAGCTTACAAAATTTTAAGAAAGACATTTCAAAATATGAGATTTCCTGTGAAGTGGAGTGGGTCAGTGGCCCCCTAAGCCAGTATTTGCCAGGATAAAATTGTGTTATAGACTACACCAATTAGCAGTGAAATCATTAGAATGAATTCAATTTTGGGGGAAAAAAGTGGAAATAAGTGCTCTAAGGCAAAGGTGAAATAATCTGATAGAGAATTGCAGATTGATATGCTAAAGATAAAGAGATGTAAAGAAGTGAACTGAAAGGCCTAGTCCACTTCTTCTAGAAAGACATGCATATGTCAAAAACACCTTTTTGGAAATAATCCTGCCCACTACTCTTACTATTTATTACCAAAGTGACAATAAATTTTGATCTAGTAGGGACAATAGAAAAAAATGCCTTGGATTTCTAGTTGATAGAGGTAAAAACTTTATTATCATCTCGTATATTGTACTTTATTAATAGTTGTCTATTTCCTTCAGGTAATGTCAAAAGTTATGAAATTCCTTTTCATTTAAACCAACTTTCTCACACTCAGGCTCCCATGACTAAGGTCAAAGGCTCTGATAGGTGGAGAATAGCAAAGGTCTAGGTCTTCTCCAGCAAGTCGGACTTCTTTTCCCATTATGTTATTCAGTTTGTGATTATATATTGAGGTAGAGATTATATATTGACAATAACGGCATGATAATGGCTTAGTCAGCAAAATATCATGGACTGAATGGCTTAAGCAATAGGAGCATATTCTGACAGTTCCAGAGACTGAAAGTCTAAGATCAAAGTGTCATCAGGGTCAGTATCTGCTGAAGGCCTTCTCCTCGGGTTGTAGGTGACCACCTCCTCACTCTGTCCTCACATGATCTTTTCTCTCTTTTTCTCTTCTTATAAAGCTACTGATCTCATCATGAGGGCCCTATCCTCATGACTTCATGTAACTCTAATTACCTCCCAAAGACTTCATATCCAAATACTATCACATTGGGGCTTAGGGCTTCAACATATAAACTTCAGGGGGACACAAACATTCTGTCTATAGCAAATGTATAGTTTTATGTGTTGACTTTGCTGGGCCATGGTGCCCTGATATTTGTCAAACATTATTATGGATATTTCTGTGAAAGTCTTTTTCAGATGATAGTAACATTTAAATCATTAGACTTAGAGTTCAGTAGATTACCCTCCATAATGTGGGTGGGCCTCATCCAATCAGTTGAAGGCCTTAAGAGAACAAAGGCTGACCTGCTCCAAGCAAAAAAGAATTCTGCCAGCAGGTTGGCAGGTTTGGACTCCAGCTGTAATTGTTTCCAGGACCTCTATCCTGCAGGGCTACCTTGCAGATTTTTGACTGCCAAGCTTCACAATTGTGTGAACCAATTTTTTAAAATCTCTCTCTTTTTCTCTCTCTCATGCACACACATATAAAAATACTGTCGATTCTGTTTATCTGGAGAATGCTGACTAATAAAAATACCTAACAGTTATTGAGGATTTATCATGTAACAATTACTTTTCTAATTATCTTACAAGTGCTATCTCATTTAATTCTTATAGCAAGTAAGAGGTGGTTAGATAGTGGTTAATGCCAGCTCCACTTTACAGAAGAGGAAAAAGAGGCATTCCCAGATTAATTGGCCAAAATTGCACTGATTGTGGCATATTTCATTTGTGAACTAAGGCAGTCTGGTATTAGAGCCCACACACGTAATCACTATTTCATCACTTGCCAAAATACAGGGTATTAGAAGAGATATATTATCAAATCTTTCAAAAATGGACACTGGTGAAGTAGAGCAATTTTCATATTGCAATTAGGAGATGTCAGTTTGGGAAAATATTTATGTTGTTAAGTAAGTAATAGGAAAAAGAGGTTTTGTACTGGGAATGCAATCAGCCCCATTCGAGACTTGAAAGTTCAGAGCCTGAATTGAGTTGATTGCAAGCCAGACTCACAACACTCATAAAACAATCAAATCACTCCATTTCTCATAGATGTTTTCTTATTTAACTGAGCTGTAAGTGACATCTTCAGGGCAGATGACATTTCAAATTATTTTTTTTTCTCTTGGTTATGCCTGCTTGAATAGTGTTCTAGGCCAGCAAACGGGTCTCTACACCATTGAAAGAGTAAGTGACCTTATTTTAAGCTTTGACCTTGCCTGCAGTGTCTTCCCTGTTGATTTGTTAGCTATGAGTGTGGTGTATTGTTTCAGTACAGCAAGGTCTTTGAAGCTCCATTTTTTTTGCCACTACCTCCCTCCCTAATGATTTCAAGCTGTTCAAAGAAGCTTTGAAACCCAGGCAGGAGGGAAATGTTTTGTAGTAAAGCTGATTTAAAACAAGTCTAAAATAATTCTTACATTTAGGGGACTAAGGGTGCTGGAAATAAATGAACAGAGCATACTACTTCAAAATCTCCTCCCTGCTTGATCACTCAGAAATGGGTTTGCTTTTCATTATGTGTAGGAAGAAAACAACACAGACTTCTGATACTTATAACAAAGCAATAGACGTAATACATATGCTTTCCCAGGATTTAAAAGCAGAGCAAATGAAATGTTATAATATGCAAACTGTTTCAGGGCAAATATGATGCCAGCAAAGGGATGAAATCATTTATTTGTATTGATTTTTTTCTTCTAATATAGGGGAGCCTAGAAGGCAATATATTTGCTTCTTTAAAAGATGCAATAAAATCAGAATTTAATTTGTGTAGACAGTCTTAAACATATTAGGACAATAGGGAGATCACTGTCATATTATTTTTATTTAATACTTACTAAATAACAACTATGTCTAATAAATGCCTTCAAAGCAGATTTCCCGGTGCCTGGATTTTGTTTATTAGAACCCATCAATTAGGCTCATATCTTACAAGAAGATTACTTTTCTATCAGTTCTACAATATAGACACTATTTCTTATACAGGTATCTGTAGCAGTACATAACATTATGCCCTATCCATAGTGACTGTTAAATAAATATTTCCTAAATGCATGATATTGGATAAAATCAGGAACATACTTCTTTGTAAAGCCATGGACCCAAAGGTGCTCACACTAGAAATATGTAAAACTAGAAGCAGAAAATAATTAAAGAAACGTTTTAAAATAACTAATGTTCATCATTAATCTCTAAATGAAATATCCAAGATTAGTCAGAATTACTTTCCCTTAGGATCACCAATTAATTGTAGGAAAGGGCAGGGTAAAATTGTAATTGGTAAATGGTCATGGAAAAAAGGTTTCTCATGAGAGAGGTAAGTAAAAGATGTAAGGAAGACATGAGAAAGAAGAAGAATGCATGAATTAATGGAGATATATATGCTGCAAGCAATGGTAGCACATAAAGTGTATATTAGTTTCGTATTGCTGCTGTAACAAATTATAGCAATTTAGTGCTTAAAACAAAATAGAATGTATTATCTTACAGTTTTTTAGATCAAAAGTCTGAAGTTGGTGTTACCGAGCTAAAATTAGCAAGGCAACATTTTTTTCCAGAGGCTGTTCTTTGCCATTTCCAGCTTTGGAGGCTGTCCACATTTTTGGTACTTGGCCCCCTTCCATCTGCAAAACCATCAATGGCTTAGAGTTTGCAACAGAAGAAATAAAAGACAAGTAATACTTTTTAATTGGCAGAACTCTCACAGGTTATCTAATAGTAGCACTGAAGTTGTTTCTAAAGAAAAGGGGGATTTGGGCACACAGTTCTGTCTGTCTGTTTCATCTGTTTATCTTCTGTCTCTTCCCAGTAGAATGCAACCTTCATGAGAGGTCTGGCACATAATAGGCATGCAATAAATAGTTCTGGAATGAATGACTTGATAAGGATAAAGCCTTTTCTTTTGGATCCTAGATAGGTAGAATGTGACTAGATGTCTCCAGGTAACCAGCTTCTCCAACATATTATAAGTGTTTGCCTGAAGTTGGAAAGGTAGAAACCAACTGTCTTAGTCCATTTGGACTGCCAAAACAAAATACTGCAAATTATGTAACTTATAAACCTCAGAAATTTGTTTCTCACTATTCTGAAGGCTGGAAAGCCTAAGATCAACACAGATTCCATGTCTGGTGAAAGTCTCATTTTTGGCTCATAGATGACACCTTCTTGCTGTGTCCTTATATGATGGGAAAGGTGAGGGATTTTTCTCAAGCCTTCTCCAAGGCCTGTTTATAAGAGCGCTAATCTCACTCATACGGTCTCTGCCCCATGACCTAATCATATCCCAAAAGCCTTACCTATTAATACTATCACCTTGGGGGTTAGGATTTCAACATGTGAATTTGCAGGGGATGTAGTCAGACCATAGCACCATTCCTTTGTTCAAGAGAAGCTGAACAAAAAGATGTATCAAGAAAAACGATAACCTTGTTTGGGTCTCCTGATGCTATGGCTTGAAATTGTTTCCTACCAAAATTAATAAGTTGAAAGCTAACCCTTCAAAGTGATAACATTAAGAGGTGGGTCTTGGGGAGGTGATTAGGTCACAAACTGGATTAGTGTTCCTATAAAAGAGGCCTGAGACAGCTTGTTCACTCCTTCTGCCATATGAGGACACATAGAAGGTACCATCTATGAGGAGCAAGAGCCCTCAGCAGACACCTAATCTTCTGAAGGCTTGATCTTGGACTTCCCAGCCTCCAGACTTGTGAGCAATAAATTTCTATTATTTATAAATTACCCAGTTTAAAATATTTTGTTATGGCAGCTTGAATGGCCTAAGACTCTGGCTCTCAACTTCTCTGAAATCAGCCACATTTCAGAGCTCTCAACTACCAAATTCAATGTACCAATAAGTTATATTTTATGCCTATATTTGTTGAGCTGAGTTTTTGTCTTCTATAACAGAAAGAATCCTGGTAATACATTCACTATTGCCCTATCAAGTCTCTTTCCCTTTCCTGAAATTATTTCTAGTTTTCTGCTTCACTATGTTAAGAATACATAGACGCTTGTCAGTTAGAAATAAACCTAGTTTTTTTCTCCCTGCAAGATCGACTGAAAATTTTAATAAAAATTAAATATAAGAAAAAGAAAAGGGGAAGTCTGTGCCCTCTTATATTATCCTTACAAGCTCTGTCGAATGCCCTGAACATGTAGGAATGTGCTAATTTGCATGGTTGCTACTGCAGTATATAATGGTGATTTAAAATGAGACAGGGAAAAACCTGGATGAGATCCAAGTTCAAATTTCAGAAGAGGGACTGCTTGAAATTAAATCCCCAAACCTAAGTGTCTCTTAGACTTTAATTATGCCTCTTGGTGAAAAGCACCTGAATGTTTTCAGATCCTAATCAGTCATATCCTAGTCATGTCCACACCAAAAAAAAAAAAAAAAAAAATCAAATTGAAAGTTATTCTTGATAATAGTGGCCAATCCCCCCTGTAAATACGTCAGCACTTCAGCTTCTACTGTTTTTGTTTTTTCATCACCCCCAAGGACCAAGGTCAATAAAACATTTGGAAGAAATGAATATGCTGTATATATCCAGAGATATACTGTATGCATCTGAACAACAGACTTGTAGTGCACCATTTTATTGAACTCTTATTTCATTTCAAAAGCTGAGAGGAAAAGAGAACCACTGCAGATCTATCAAGTATGCGGGCTTTAATATTTACTTTAGCCATAAACAGCAAGAGACATGATGAGGGCTTACTACCTAGTAGAAACTCAGGTTGTCAGTACCAGAAAATGAAATTTTTATTTATGGAAGTTGCAAGCTCTAGAAATGATATGTATTATTTTTCTGTTCTTGGTGATTTATAGATTAAATGAATTAGTAGTCACTAAGTTGCAGCTTCATATTTTTTCTCCTTAGAAACCAAGATTTTAAAGATGTTTAGGTAAAAAGTTTTTCAAGAGACAAGACAAGGACTGATTAAGTGCCTAAAATCTTTTAGAAAGAATGATGGAATTATGAAGATTAGACTTACTGAGAGGTATTGCTATTATGTGTTGGTTTCCAGAAGATGAATAACATTAAATCATCCATTTTCATGTAAAATTTGTTACATAAATGTATTTTCTTTGTAGAAATACAAGACTGGCATCCATTTCATGAGTCTCTGGAGTTCAAAAGAATATTCCTAGGTTACAATGCCTATATTATCCCAATTTTTAAACAGACAATTTTAACTTTAAACTAGTATCCATCTTCTTTAAATGGGAGATAAAGCCATAAACATGCTCCTGTGTTTTTACTTTGAAGTTCTTTTTATTGAACCATGCTGGCTTCGTATCTTATTTGTGCAAAATAAACATCTAAAGCCATTTTATTAACTAATAAACGTGATTGAGAAACACTAGGAGAAATTATGTTCTTACTTATTCAAGTTATTAATTTTAGTGTATTCATGGGTTTCTTTATCTAATGTTTCTTAGCAATGTCATTTGAAGATGATTTTTCTTTTATTTCACTTAATTTCTTAACGAGGGATCAGGGTAGGGAGCTTCTACTACATGCTAGGCACTGTTAAAAGAATTGGAGACCCAGAAAAAAAAATAATAATAATAATAAAGAATTGAAGACCCAGTGCTGAGTAAGTGAAGTAGATTTTTATCTTCACAGAGTACATGGGCTAGAGGAGGTAATAATAAATAAGTAAACAAATAAACAGTATGGTCACCAATTATAATCAGTATCATGAAATAAATGACCTGGGAAATTTATCAGAAAGTAAGTAGTTAAGGAATCAACAATGCTGAATTAGATGGGATTGTAAGAGAAATTCTCACTGGGGACGCGACATTAAAGCTCATTCATGAAGAATGAGAAGGGGCCAAACATATGAGGAAGAGGAGGAATATAGTTCAAGTAGAAGAAACAGCAAGTGCAAAGGTTTCATGTGGGACAGAGCTCGGCTAATGCATAGAGCTAAAAGACTAATTTGAATGAGTATAATACATAAGGAAGATATGATGAGAGGAAACCAAAGAGATAGGCTTTAGCCAGATATCTGCATTATAGCTGTAATAATATGTTTTGATCTTTTTCTAAGAATAGAAAAAGTAAAATAAGTACAAAAAACAAAGTTATAAATAGAAGTAAAAGGATATTAAGCAGAGGAACAATATCTGGCTATTTATTTATTTATTTATTTATTATTTTTAAAATGTAGAGATGAGATTTCACTATGTTGCCTAGACTGGTCTTGAACTCACAGCCTCCAGCAATCCTCTCACCTTGGTGTCTTGAAGTGCTAGGATCGTAGGTGTGAGCCACTGTTCCCAGCCTCTCCTTTACTATTTAAAAGTCGTCCTAGAGCTCTGTTTCACAACAATGTAAATATATTTAATACTACTGAGCTATACACTTAAAATAATTAAATGGGGAAAATATATACGTAATATTTTCCTTGTTTAGAAATTCTGCCTAAATACAGAAACTATTACACCTCTAAAAAAAAAAATCACTCTGTTGTGTGGAGTATGGACTTTGGGGAAGAATGAGTGGAAGTAGGAGACATATCACTGCAGTGATCCAGAAAAGAAATGACAGTGACTTGGATTAGAGTGGTGACATAGACAGAAGAGAATGAAATTATTTTGGAAAAAAACATAACCATAAAAGATGAATGAAGTGATAAGGAAAAGGGAGGAATCTATGTTAACATCTATTCAAAATATCATTGTCATAAAGGATAAAAAGTGGTGAGATGGTGAGGTTACTCTCATAGATCAAAGAAGAGTAAAGAGACATGACAATAACAGGCACCTTGAATTGCACACTAGATCAAAAGCAAAAAAGAATGGGATTCCCAGCAATAGCAAGAAGTTGGCAAATCCCTCACAAAAAGCTTATAAAACTTTATTTGTTTTTCAAATCACCCATTTCAGGGCTCTAAAAATCAGCCCAAAAGAAACAATTCGTTGAGACATATTTATTCATGAAAAATTGCTAAACTTTTGGAAAGAACAGTGGGAGTCTGTGGCTTTCTTGCCTGGCATTGCTGCCATCCTCCCCCATGCCCAGTCGGTGATGTAGTTCTAACATAGTGGGGCTGGCTATAAAAAACAGAAACTTTGCTGCTGGATGAAGTTGATTCGATTGCATCCAGAGAAGAAAGCATTCACACATACAGGACTTGTCAGTAAAAGGAGAAAACTTGCTAGTAAAATGGCGAAAGCACACATCTATACAAGCTGGAGGTTTTGGAGTTGTGTGGGATCAACAGAAGATCAGTGCTTGGCCAGACACTTAACATGGAGATCCTGAAAATGGAAGAGCCATAGCGGAGTTTAATAGGTTATCCTTGTATCTTCGGCTGACTGGGAGACTGTGCACATGTACAGAAGAGACCTGAGAAGGCCCATGCTCTCTACACAATGCTGACTGCCTGGGAATTTGTTCACAAGTCACTCAGAGATAGAAAAGATATAAGGTTCCAAAAAATGTGCTCCCTAACCCACACAGATTTATTGGCAGAAGATGGAAGGCTAACTGGCTCCAGGTATTTGAACACAACTTCTGATCAACTATTAGCTTACTGTTTAGACACACAGATTTAGAGGTTACTCCTAAGAGTCCAGGCTGAAAAATAAAATTAAAAAAATAATAAAGCTATGTGGAGACATCAGCAGCCACGCACTGTGGGTAGCAAGATTCTGCAGATTAAATCCCAGCAAATTGATAAAAGAACAACAAAAACACAGCAACTAAAACAACCCTTAGAGAAGGAAAAAAAAAACCACTTAGAATTCTGAGTTGTCATTATATATTAAATAAAATGTCTCATTTTTAACAAAAAAATTACAAGATATGCAAAGAAACAGGAAAACATGACCCATACTAGAGGAATAAAAGGTCAATAGAACTTCCCTGAGTGGGCCCAGATAGTAAATTTAGCTGATAGATTTCAAATAAGCTATTACGAGTTGATGCAAAGAATGAAAGAGAACTATGTGTAAATAGTTAGAAAACAATTTGAAGACAAGAGAGTTACTAGGTAGGGAATCTCAAATTAAAAAGCAGAAATCATATTAAAGAATCAAGTGGATATTCTCGAGTTGAAAAGTACAATAACCAAAATAGAAAATACACCACATGGGCTCAACAGTAGATTTAAGATGGCAAAGAATCAACTCAAAAATAGGCCAATAGAGCCAGCAAGTGCTCCAACAGCCATGCAACAGAACAATAGAGCTAGGAAATAACAAAAGCCACATCATGTCGATAGCACAATCATCTGATCATGCCAAACAAATAACGGGGAAGGTGATTATGACAGCAATGCAAAAAGCTACTAAAGTGATAGTGACCAGGCTTGTTCTGGATTCCTATTTAATAAGGTATTTTAATAAGTGAAAGACCTGCTTCACTCAGTGTTTTTCAGCAGTGAACAGTTGAAGACACTGCACTTCTCAAACCTTTATCTGTTTCATGAATGAACAGTGTGAAACATGAACTGGCTGAGATAATTTTTATATTTGGAAAAGTCATAGATCCAGTGACAGGAAAACTCTGTAAGAATTACCAACCTGGAGAGTTCAGTCAGTTTGGGAACTATCCAGCTAAACAAAAATCTAGAAGCACTCAAAATCTTTTCAACACTGAGGATAAGAAGGAGCCAAATAATATTTAATTTTCCTTTATATGTTTTATTTTATTTTATTTTATTTTATTTTATTTTATTTTATTTTATTTTATTTTATTTTATTTTGAGGGACAGGGTCTTGCTCTGTTGCTTAGGCTAGAGTGCAGTGGAGTGATCATAGCTACTGTAGCCTCAAACTGCTGGGCTTCAAGTTATCCTCCTGCCTCAGCTTCCCAACTACATGGGATTACAGGCATGCACCACCATGCCCCATGTCCAGCTAATTTTTGCATTATTTGTAGAGACAGGGTCTCGCTGTGTTGCTCAGGCTGATTTTGAACTGCTGGCCTCAAGCAACCCTCCCACCTCAGCCTCCGAAAGCATTGGGATTACAGAGCCAAGCCACCATGCCTGGCCCTTTTGTTAATATTTTATTTTTAATTAATGCATAATAATGGTACATATTTATGGAGAACAGTTGAATGCTTCAATATATGTATACATTGTATAATGATGACTAAATAGGTTAATTAACATTTTCATCACCTCATTTATCAGTTCTTTATGGTGACAAATTCCTCTTGTCAAGCCTTTGAAATATACAATGTATTATTGTTAGCTACAGTCATCTGTATGATCAGAACTTATAACATTGTACTCTTTGTCCAACTTCTTCCCATTCCTCCTCCCCTCTCCTTCCCCAGCCTCTGATAACCTATAGTCTATGTTCTACTTCTAGGAGCTCAACTTTTTAAAATTTTGCCTATAAGTGAGACCATGCAGTGTTTATTTTTCTGTGCCTGGCTTATTTCACTTAACATGATATCATTCAGTTTTATCCATATTGTCGCAAATAATAGGATTTTTGTAATGGCTAGATGGTGTACCATGGTGTATATGTACCACATTTTCTTTGTCTATTCATTCATTGGTGGGCACTTAGGTTGATTCATATCTTGATTATTATGAATAGTGCTGCAATAAACATGGGAGTGCAGATATCTCTTGGATATACTGATTTCATTTCCTTTGGATGTGTACCCAGTAATGGAATTACTGGATCACATGGTAGTTCCATTTTTAATTTTTTGAGGAAGCTTCATACTGTTTTCCATAACAGTTGTAATAATTTACATTTCCAACAGTGTAAGAGTTTCCTTTTCTCCACATCCTTGCCAACACTTGTTATCTTTTTACTTTTTTGGTAATAGCCATTCTAATTGGAGTGAAGTGGTATCTTATTGCAATTTGGATTTGCATTCTTCTGGAAAAATAATTTTTTCTAATTTTCATCACAAAGCATTTCTAATTTCTCCACTGGTATTCATCAAAGAGCTATTAAAAAATAATGGCAAAACATGCAATTACTTTTACACCAACCTAATAAAAGTAAATGAAGTGAAAATGCTTTTTTTAAAAAAAAAATTCATGGTTATATTTCTAATTCCTTTTTAAGTTAACATAGTTTCCTATTACACTGAGTGTACTTAGCAACCTGTTGCATTATTTATAAGCTCACTGGTTTAGAAGGGTTTTTGTTTTTCATTCAAAGGAATTATTAATTTATCTTAGAACCATTATTTTGGTAGAAGAAAACCTTTTGATATAATCAAAAGATAAGACCACACTAAGTAATGTTTATTTTTGATGGCATATAGACAAAATTAATTCATTTTTTTCTATCACTAATACCAAAGGGAAATATTCAACATCTTTGTGATCAGATTTTATCAGGTTTAGCTGTATCAGTACAAATGTTTAATATAGAAAATAAAATTTTAAAGTTCTGCATTATTTCTTTTATATCTTATATCCTATGCTAGATTAAATAGGCATGTGTTCTTAAAATACGACACATATATGAGGTTATAGGACTTCTCACTTGTGCATTTGATTCCAGTTTTGTTGGTGCTCATTAATGAACCATGATAACTTAGATTTTCACTTAAGGAAACATTGAGCTATATATCTCCATTTTCTTGCACCTAGAAAGAGCCTTGGAACAAATTTAACACTCAACTAATATGTGTATTGTACAAGCACAGGTTTCAGTGATGACCATAGCCCATCTTCTCAGAGCTCACAATCTAGTGGTGGAGGTATGCACAGGAGTTTCATGGCAAACAGAGGGCTGCATGGATGAGGGAAAGATTAAGGTATTATCGCAGAGAGATGAGATGATGCTAGAACTGAATCCTAAAGAAAGGTCTCCAAGCAAGTAGGTGAAAGATGTAGAAATGGCCTTTTAGGGAGTGTTAAGTCCTCAGAGTGCAAGAGAAAGGAGCATGACCAGGGGTTCTGGAAGCAGGTGAGGATTGCTGGAACGATTTGAACAGGGTTGGAACTGAGGTAGAGAAATAGACAATAGCTATATTGTAAATCATGGTAGCTTATTTGAAGCTTTTGAAGAAAATAATATAATTAGATTTGCATTTCAATACAAGTAATAGCGTAATTGTAGAGAATGGACTGGAAGAGGACATATTGGGGTAGAAAGACAGAACCTATTCATAGACTGGTCCTAAGAGCTGAACCGAGATAAACAGGGACAATGAAAAGAAGTTGGATAGAAGATATTCCGAAGTGGAATTCTCAGGGCTAGGTGCCAGCGTAGATGCATAAAACGAAAGCATCTGAGAGAGTGTCTAGATCTTTGGCAGATGGAGAGAGATGGTACCAGTTAGAATGGAAGGGGTTCATGGAGAGTACTTTAGAGGATGGCTCCTATGTCAGCGCTCTGGGATAGAGTCCAAGCCATTTTTAAAAGCTCAAATATTTTTAATTTCAATATGTACTCTAAATGAATTATATTATTTTTATTTTATTTTAATACAAAAAAATGAAAAAATAGATCAATAAAAATTATCCAATCTGAAGAAAAGAGAAAAAACTAATGGAGCCCCAGAGACATCAAACATAACAACATAAGTGTAAGGAGAATCACAAAAGAAAACAAGAAAGTCGGTGAAAATCATTTAAAGAAATAATGATTGAAAAATGTTCAAGATTTGATGGAAAACATGTGTCTATAGAACAAAATGCTCAATTAACTCTAAAGGGGATAAATCCAAAGAGTTGTACACCTAGTCAAAGTGTTGAGAGATAAAGATAAACAGAAAATTTTGAAAGCAGCAAAAGAAAAATACTCATCACGTTTAGGAAAACAGCAATGAAATTAGCATCTCACTTCTCTTTAGAAAAAATTGAGTCCAGCAAGTCATAGGATGGATCATTCAAAGTTCTGAAAGAAGAAAAAAAAAAAAAAAAAAAAACTATCAACCAACAGTTAGAGATCCAAAAAAAGTATCTTCTGAAATAAAAAGGAAATAAAGATATTTCCAGATAAATAAAAGCAGAATTGATTTTTGTACAGTACTGCTTTAACAAAAAGTGTTCAAATAAGACTTTCACATGCAAACATAATGACATCAGAGAGTAAATTGAGTTCCTAGGAAAAAATGAAGGTCATTAGAAAGAGTAAATATGCAGGTAAATATAAAACAACTGCATATATATTTTATTATCTTCTCTTAGTTTCTTTAAAGGGCATAGGTTGAGTAAAACAACTGTAACATTGTATTTTGGGGGTTATAATGTAGATAAATTATATTTATATGTATATATATAAATGCATGTAATTAATACCACCAGGAAAAATAAGAATTATAACTTTATTGGAGCAAAGTTTCTTTATTTACCGGAATTAAATTTTTATTCACCCAAAGTTGAATTTGACAAGTTAAAATGTATATTGTAATCTCTTGAACAAACACTAAGAAAATAATTAATTTTAAAAAGGAAGTAAGAAATAAAAGACTATCTTAAAATCACCAGAAGACAAAATGGTACTCTAGAGAATATTTTGATAACAACTTATTTCATCAAAGGGCAATTCAATGCAGAAAGGACAATGTATTTAGAAAACCTAATTCTCCCAGGATCATTTTTTTCTTCAAAATTTTTTAAAAATTTGTTTTATATTTATGCATCAATTGAGGTAAGCATCTAGGTTTATTTTCCTCCTTGCCTCAAAGCTTGCATAAATATTAACTCAAAGTGTGTCATTGACATACATTTAAGAGTTAAAACTATAGAACTTCTAAAAGAAAGTTTAGGAGAAAATTTTTTGACTTTGGGTACTAGGCTTAGTACCTGGGGGACAAAATAGTTATTGTTTTTACATGTACAGAGATGGGGAAGACTGGGGGAGGAAGAGGTTGGATTTGGAGCCGCGGAAAAAGTGTCTTCCTTTGGAAAATTTTCAGAGGATGTGAATCATCCAGGTGATCAGGAATGAGACAGTGAGAAAAGATTTTAAATTCTTGAGTGTTGAAGCTTTGGTACCATGTGGTAATCTACAGTACATACATATGGGTTGGGAGTAGCCAACTGTGCCAAATGCCACCGAGAGACTGCATGGGATGAAGACAGAAGAGTGTGTGTTGGATTTAACAACATGAAGTAATAACATGTCACTGACATTAATTAGAGCCATTTCAATGGAATAATTATGACAGGAGCCAGAGAGGAGTGGATTTAAGAGTAATGAGTGAATAACAGGAGAGATTGTGGGCTTTCACAACTCTTGAGGGAAACACTGCTCTAAAAGGAACAAATCAATAGGGTGGTAGTGGAAGAAATATTTGAAGTCAAGTATATATAGTTTTTATGATTGCTTGTAAGTTTGTTTTTAATGTGAGTTACTAGAACATGTTTTTAGAGGATTATGAAGAGAGAGTGAAAAGAAGGGAGGGAGGCAGGGATGAGGAGGGAAAGACAGAGAAAGAGATACAGAGAGGGAGAGAATGATGGTGTCACAGAAGAGAGATAAATGATGGGAGCAGAATTGTCCATTGCTCCTTGTTGCTCTTAGTGAGGTGTGTTTTTTAATTCTAGGTACTTGTACTTTAAATAATAGCTGAAGAATACTGTTCATTGGGATTTAAATAGCATTTAATTGAACATCATCTCTGAGGACCTCTGTATCAGCTCATTTTCATGCTGCTGATGAAGACATACTCAACAGCGGGTAACTTATAAAGAAAAAGAGGTTTGATGGACTCGCAGTTCCACGTGGCTAGGGAGACTTCACAATCATGGTGGAAGGCGAAAGACACATCTTACATGGCAGCAGACAAGACAGAGAATGACAGCCAAGCAAAAGGGAAAACCCCTTATAAAATCATCAGATCTCATGAGACTTACTCACTACCATGAGAACAGTATGGAGAAAACTGCCCCCATGATTCAATTGGCTGCCACCGGGTCCCTCCCACAATATGGGGCTATTATTATAGGAGCTAAAATTTAAGATAGGATTTGGGTGGGGACATAGCCAAACCATATCAACCTCCTAATATCTCCTGGATCATGGGATTATTGTAGAAAAGAAAAATTATGGTTTTTTTTCCTAGTTACATCTTTTCCTGTATTTAGGCTTAACAGATTCAGTATTTGGTCATCTCCCCTTCCTGTACTCACTATATTGCCTAAGTCAAGAAGCTCAGCATTCATTTTTGTGATTTACATAAGCACACACACACACACACACACACACAAAACAAACATACAAAAAATGCATTTGGGTTAGCAACAGATTTTTCTGAAAGCCTGACAGTGATAGAAAATTAAAACAACTTAAAATTGACAAGCTCTTTCTAAATGCTTCTTTAGTTTTCTCCTCTGTTCTCATTTCTGTTCTTCATTATTATAAGTGAAAGCAGTACTGCTAATTTCTTATTTTATTTATTTTATTAATTCTTTCCAGCAAATGCTCACAGGTACTCATTTTCCAGTTCTTATTCGATTTGCCATGATGTTTGACTAAATAAAACATTTTCTTTCATAATCAAGCTATAATAGTCTTCGTAAAGATAACTTTTTTAGCCCTCCACAAAAATTATTATTCCCTTTCTAGTCATAGCTGGTATATCTTCCCACCCTTGTACAAAGTAATTAATGCCAAATATATTTGGTATTGGTAAACCACTACAGAATTTTCTGTAAGAGAAACTTTTGAAGACTAGCCAACATCTTCAATCTGGGTAAAAATGAAGGTGTGTGTTAACAGTTATTATTATAAATTGGAACACCTGTTAAGAAGTCTGTATTCCAGCTTTCTCTTCAATTCCAGATGCAATTCAATGCCTTCACTTACTCACTAAATAATGCCAGAAAACATTACATGAAAGGATAAGCCAACATTCGCATCTGTTTCCAAGCAGAGTTCTCAAAAACTGTGACTTCCTCCAATTTAACTTTTATGGAAGGACTTCCAGAATACTGAGCAAGTGGTATTTGAGGATTTGATCGAGAAAGCACATGGTGGTTAATAATTCTGGGTATTACATTTTATTGTTTTCTTTTTCCCTTCTTATTGATACATCTCACAATTGAAAGGCAAATTTATACATACAATTACTGTATGTATTGTTTAGTACAAGCATGTTATTTAAGTATAACCTTATTTTTAGTTGTTTTACGTTTCATGAAAAAATTCTCATTTTTTTCCTTCTTTCCTACGAAATTCATGAATGTTTGAGAGAAAGAAAGAAATTTCAACATAAACCATTTATCATGTGCCTGTTTTTGATTCACATTTTGTTTACAAGTAAAGTAATTCCTATATTTATAAAGGCATCTTAAAAGGTAATTAAAATCAAAAAGACACATAGTTTCTTGAAGTATATAGTATGTTAAATCTGAAGTTTTCCCTAAAGAAAACTGAACATAAAGTTAATTAAAGAAATATTCTTAAATAAAGATGCTCTTGTTTGGCCAGACGTGGTGGCTCACACCTGTAATCTCGGCACTTCAGAAGGCGGAGGATCTCCTGAGGTCAGGAGTTCAAGGCCAGCCTGGCCAGTGTGGTGAAACTCTGTCTCTACTAAAAGTACAAAAATTAGCCAGGCATGGTGGCAGGCACCTGTTATCCCAGCTACTCAGGAAGCTGAGGCAGGAGAATCACTTGAACCCGGGAGGTGGATGTTGCAGTGAGCCGAGATCGTGCCATTGCACTCCAGCCTGGGCAACAGAGGAAGACTCCATTTCTAAAACAAACACACAAACAAAAAGATGCTCTTGTTAATAGAAAATAAAAATATGCAACACTGTTATTTTTGTAAATACAATTAAATGTCTGTCTTTATGTCTGTTAACATGGCACACACCAAAAAATAAGTCTAGGTTTTTTCCTAAAATTTGGCATATGTGGGATGGTTGCCTTAATATGTCAGCTTCATGGTATAAAAGGAACTTGCATTAGGTGTCTCTAGTTGACTTTACAACTTTATCTTTCCCTTACAGACACAATAACACATCATTTAAAAGGTGTCAACAAGCTGACATTTGAAATGTGCATTTCTTTTTAATTTTATCTAATTTTATAGTTATATTTCCAAATATTTATTATTTCAAAGCAATATTTTTTACTGTGCCCATTATGCCTTAATGATCAATATGCAGAATTATGTGAGCTAAACATTTAAAAATAAGATTTTTTTAAGATTCCAAAGAGGAAAGAAGTGGGGGCATTAAGAGTTAAAAGCCTCAATTAAAGGCAAATGAAATTGATGTCCAATATAAGGACAATTTGGCAGCCAATAGGAAAATTAAGCATTCTCAAGATAACCAAGACTAACTGAAAAATGCCAAGAATGATTGAGCAACAAGAGAAATCATCAGTCATCTTACAGAGCCACTGAAAAACACAATTCACGATGTCCAATTAGGGCAAGATACAGCACTTGAAGAAAATTGACACCTAAGTACAGCATGAAGGATGCCAGGCCACTCATCATGCAAAACATGCCATGGATATTAAGGTGTTATGGACAGAAAAGCAATGGAGTTTCAAATACAAGCTCAGACTCATATTTTCTATGAAATTTAACATCACCTTAGTATCTGAAATTTGCCATTTTCACATTTTCTTAAAGTAGAAATATGGATCTAAATCACAAGTCTTTTCTCTAAAGGGCCAGATAGTAAATACTTCAGGATTTGTAGAGCATACAATCTCTGCCTTCTCGGTTCTAGCTTTGTTGCATGAAAGCAACCACAGACAATGCATGAAAGATTGAGCATGGCTGTATGCCAATAAAATGGTATTAATAACACTCAAATCTGAATTGCTATATTTTTCACATTCAATGAGATATTATTCTTCTTTGTATTTTTTTTTAACCCTTTAAAAATGTAAAAGCCATTTTCAGCTCAGCCATACAACAACCAGTGGTGGGCTAAATTTGACCTGTAGACTACAGTTTTCTCAGGCCTGGAATAATGATACATATTGTTTTGATAAAAAGGTCATTTTGGGTTCAGCTATTGAGTGTATTGGTTAGCTTTTGCTATATCACAAACCACCACAGATCTTTAATGACTACTAATACAACCACCGTTTATTGCTCATGATTTTGAGGGTAATTTGTACCGGGCTCAGCTAGACCATTCTTCTGACCTTGGCCAAGCATGACTATTCTTGATTGGGCTTATGCTATGTCCAAGACTTCATCGAGGAATAGTGATTTATGATTAACTTATGTAGGATAGCTGGGACTGTGAGAGCTTTTCTACGCATGGCTTCTCATTTTTCAGAAGTTTCCCTGGGCTTGAACAGGGCAGTCAAAGGGTTCCAGATGCATGAAAGCAAAAACTTCAATACCTCTTAGGCCCAGGCTTAGAATGTCACCTCTCTTGCAATCTGTTGGTCAAAAGCAAGTCACAAACCCGCCCAGTTCTAGAGGTGAAGAAAGAGACTACTTCTTGAATGGAGAAATAGCAAAGAATTGTGGCCATTTTTACAACCTGTCACAATGAGTTTCCAAAGGCATTTAAGTAGTTAATGATGCCATAGGTTCTATCACAAAAGATTTTAATGGGATGTAATAAAGAATATTCAAGTGTATCCCCTGTGTTACTTCATTTATGCTACTGTAACAGAATGCCTGAGATCAGGTAATTTATTGTGAACAGAAATGTATTTCTTACAGCTCTGGAGGCTGGAAAGTTCAATATCAGGTTCAGACATCTGGTGAGGGACTTGCATCGTCTCATGGTGGAAAGGCAAAGAGAGGGTAAGAGAGAATGAGAAAGGCACAAAAGAGGGCTAAACTCATCCCTTTATGAGGAAATCCATTCCTGAGATAACAAACACACTCCCGCTATAACAGTATTCATCCATTCGTGAGGGTAGAGCCCGAATCTCTTCTTAAAGGTCTAACTTTCTTAATTCCTTTATAATGGCAATTAGATTTCAACATGAGTTTCGGGGGAATAAATTCAAATCTTAGTTATACTTCAAAATCCAATACCATGGAGTCCTTGCAATGATCCATTTGCTTCTTTTTAGATGGCTTTCTTAAGGTATAATTGATATACCATGAACTGCTCATATTTAATATATGTAGTTTGATGAGTTTGAACACATGCAAACACCCATGGTAACATCACCACAATCAAGGTAATTGGTAATATCTATATCCAACACATCCCAAAGTTTCCTTGTGTCCCTTTGATTTACTGATTGATTTATTTATATTTTGGTAAGAATACTTAATGTGAGATCTACCCTCTCAACAAATTTTGAAGTACACAATACCATATTTTTAACTATAGGCACTACACTGTACAGCACATCTTTAGAATTTATTCTTCTAGCATAACTGAAATTTCATTCCCATTGAATAGCTCCCCATTTACCTCACCTCCTCAGCCCTTGACAACCACTATTGTGTTCTTTGCTTCTATGAATTTGACTATTAATTCTATCTCATATAAGTGGATTAAGCAGTGTTTGTTTTTCTGTGACTTGCTTATTTCACTTAGCATAACGTTCTTCAGTTTTATTGTTCTCACAAATGACAAAATGTTCTTCTTTTTAAGGCTGAATAATGTTGCATCATATGTATATACCACACTTTCTTTATTGCTATATCTGATAACAGCTAATTTCCATTTTCATAAGGAATGTCTCCAACTTAACAGCAAAAAAACAAATAATCTAATTAAAAAGTGGACAAAGGACCTGACAGACATTTTTCCAAAGAAGACATACAAATGACCTATAGATATTCACAGAGATGCTCAACATCATTAATTATGAGAGAAACGAAAATCAAAAATATTTTGACATATCCCCTTCCACTTATTAGGATGACTATTATTAAAAAAATAACAAATGGTGAGGATGTAGAGAAACTGGAACCCGTGTACACTGTTGGGGGGATTGTAAATGGTGTTGCCGCTGTGGAAAAGAGTATGGAGATCCTTAATAAATTAAAAATAGAACTCCCATATGATCCAGCCATCCCTCTTTTGGGTGTATGTCTAAAGAATTAAAATCAGGATCTCAAAGGAATATCTGCACTCCCTCGTTTATTGCAACATTACTCAAATAGCCTAGATATTGGAAATAATCGAGGTGTTCATCAACAGATGAGTGGATAAAGAAAATATAATTCATATGATTTGGCTGTGTCCCCACGCAAATCTCATCTTGAGCTGTAGCTCCCATAATTCCCACATATTGTCGGAGGGACCTGGTGGGAGGTAATTGAATCACGGGAGCAGGTCTGGGTATGTCTTGATCAGTAGTGTAAAAACGGGCTAATATATACACTATATAGAGATATACAATGAGATATTATTCAGCCATTTTCTTTGATACGTCTTTAATTCTGAGCTTCAGTTTTGCTATGACCTTTGTTATATTATAAGCTCAGTTCTTCAAGTTAACAAGTGCTGATTTGTAATTGATATGTTTTTCTTATAGGAAATTCTGCATTAAGTGCTTCAAAATACTGGCAGATATTTTTAATATCTTAGGTAGTAGAATGACAAAAGTTTATACGAAGAGATTTAGTAAAAAAGAAAAATTACAATTACTCTATTTAAATTATAAGAATCATAGAAAATCATAAGAATACCAATCCTCATTTATTTTTAACATTTTTATTAAATGTTGATTAATACTTGTTAAAATTTGCCCCAACTAATGATAGTATTTATTGCTAGGTTTTTCAATTGTTATTTTAAAAAAATTAATATAAGTCCTTCACATTCAAAATAAATTTTCTTCATATTCATGCACTTTAGAAATAAGAACCCTGAAGTTCAAGGTATTAATATAAATATGCAAGTTTTTCTTTCTTGTATTTGGAATTTGCATATAAATTCCCAATATTTGAAGCCAAATATGGATAGAAAATTACTCTTCTACTAAGGAAGGATTTTAAATCTTTTCTCCTCATGATGTAAGCACCTATTGCTGGGTTCGGTATGTAGTGTAGTCATTTCATGTCTACTAAAAATTTTCTCACTAAAACCATCAGAGATAATGTAGTTTGTTATCAGTAACCAACAAATACTTGAAAAGCTATGAGTTTCCCATGAGAAGTCATCAACAAGAAAGCTATAAAATCATTTTTAAACTATAAATTACACTCAGAGGGTCAAATTATCAAACTATATCACATCAAACATTTATGAATTGTGTTTTAATTATGTATGGGGTTCAACTCTCCAGGAGAAAAATGTATTCTTAGAATGACATTGTTAAGGTTTCTTTTATTTTATTGCCAATATTGAAATTTTTGAAATGTTGCAAATTTATTTGTACATATAATTACTAAACAGTATTCTAGTAGTCTACTATGGTGCAACATACAAGTCCCTAAAAGTAAGTAGTATTTATTTTACCCACATATCTGCAATTTGGGCAGGGCTTGGCAGTGCCAGATTATCTGCTCAATTTGGCATCAACCAGGGTGGTTTATAGTCTGAGTTTAGAATCAAAATCAACTACTTGTTGATGAGGACTGTTGACTATGACCTTGGCTGGGGCTGTCACCCAGATACCTAATAGACCCCCAGAGAAATCCACATCCTATTCCCCAAGACTTATCACTATGTTAGGTTACATGATAAAGGGGAATTAAGGTTATGTGTGCAAATACAGTTTCTAATCAGCTGACCTTGAGATAGGGAGATTATCCCGGATTATTCAAAGTCGTTAAAACTATGAGTCTTTAAAAGTGAAAGAATAGTGTTCCCTTTTCACTGTGTCCCCACCAACATCTACTATGTTTTTATTTTTTGATTACAGCCATTCTTGCAGGAGTAAGGTGGTATCACATTGTGGTTTTGATTTGCTTTTCTCTGATCATTAGTGATGTTGAGCATTTTTTCATATGTTTGTTGGCCATTTGATTATCTTCTTGTGAGAATTATCTGTTCATTTCCTAGCTCATTTTTTAATGGGATTGTTTTGTTTTTTTCTTGCTAATTCGTTTGAGTTCTTTGTAGATTCTGGATATGAGTCCTTTGTAGGATGTATAGATTGTGATTTTCTCCCACTCTGTGGATGTCTCTTTACTCTGACGATTGTTTCTTTTGCTGTGCAGGAGCTCTTTAGTTTAATTAAGTCCCACCTATTATCATTGTTTTTGTTGCATTTGCTTTTGGGTTTTTGGTCATGAAGTCTTCACCTATGCCAATGTCTAGAAGGGTTTTTCACATGTTATCTTCTAGAATTTTCATAATTTCAGGTCTTAGATTTAAATCCTTGATCCATCTTGAGTTGATTTTTGTATAAGGTGGGAGATGAGAATCCAGTTTCGTTCTTCTACAGGTGGCTTGCCAGCACTATTTATTGAACAGGGTGTTCTTTCCTCATTTTATGTTTTTGTTTGCTTTTTGAAGATCAGTTGATTATAATTATTTGGCTTTATTTCTGGGTTCTCTATTCTGCTCCACTGGTCTACGTGCCTATTTTTATACCAGTACCATGCTGTTTTGGTGACCATGGCCTTATAGTATAGTTTGTAGTAAGGTAATGTGATGCCTCCAGATTTGTTCTTTTTGCTTTGTCTTGCTTTGGCTATGCAGGCTCTTTTTGGGTTCCATATGAATTTTAGGATTGTCTTTTCTAGTTCTGTGAAGAATGATGGTGGTATTTTGATGGGAATTGTATTGAATTTATAGATTGCTTTTGGCAGTATGGTTATTTTTGCAATATTGATTCTACCCATCCATGAGGATGGAATGTGTTTCCATTTGTTTGTGTCATCTATGATTTATCTCAGCAGTGTTTTACAGTTTAACACTATGGAAAACAGTGTGGAGATTCCCTAAAGAACTAAAAGTAGAACTACCATTTGATCCAGCAATTTTGCTACTGGGTATCTACCCAGAGGAAAATAAGTCATTATACAAAACAGATAATGCATATACATGTTTACAGCAGCACAACTCTCAACTGCAAAAATATTGAACCAGCGCAAATGCCCATCAGTCAATGAGTGGATAAAGAAAATGTGGTATATAAATATACCCTGGAATACTAT
Organism: Homo sapiens; assembly: GCF_000001405.40. Lineage (NCBI taxonomy): Eukaryota > Metazoa > Chordata > Mammalia > Primates > Hominidae > Homo > Homo sapiens. Next base: position 78,538,816 of record NC_000003.12, read on the forward strand.
TCAGCCATAAAAAGAAATGAAACAATGGCATTCTCAGCAACCTGGATGGAATTGGAGACCATTATTATTCTAAGTGAAGCAACTCATGAACAGAAAACCAAACATCGTATGTTCTCACTGATAAGTGGGAGCTAAGCTATGAGGATGCAAAGGCACAAGAATGATACAATAGATTTTAAGGACTTGGGGGAAAGGGTTGCCGGGGGTGAGGGATAAAAGACTACAAATTGGGTACAGTGTGTACTGGTTGAGTGATAGATGCACCAAATTTCACTAATTACCACTAAAGTACTTACTCATGTAACCAAACACTACCTGTTCCCCCAAAAACCTATAGAAATAAATATAAATAAAAATAAAATTTAAAAAAATGGAAGAGTAAAAGACAAGATTTAGAGTGATACAGTGTGAAAAGGACTTGACCCACTATTAATGGCTTTGAAAATGGAGGAAACAGACCAAGAAACAAGGAATGTGGGAACCTCCAGAAGCTGGAAAATCAAGGAAACAGATTAAGGACATAGCCCTGCTGACAACTTGATTTTAGCACAGTGAATTGTGTTTCAGACTTCTGACCTACAGAACTGTCAGATAATAAATATGTGCTGTCTTAATTCCCTAAGTTTGTGGTAATTTGTCACAGCAGCAGTGAAAAACAGTACAGATACACATGCCCTTTCCATGTGACCTATGTGTCCTCCCAACATGGTGGATGGGTTCCAAAGGCAATATTTCTGAGACAGGAATAAGTGGAGGTTGTATTACTTTTTATGCCCTAGCTACCAAAAGCATGCGGCATCACTTCTATCAATACCCATCAAGGCAGCCATAATGTCCCACCGTCTTTGTCCATTTGGGCTGCTGTTTAAAAAATACTTTAGGTAGGATAATTTATAAACAATAGAAATTTACTGCTCACAGTTCTGGAGGCTGACAAGTCTACTATCAAAGTGCCAGCAAATTCAGTGTCCAACGAGGGCCTGCCTTCTGATTCATAGAATCTCACTGCATCCTCACATTGGGTAAGAGGCAAGAGATTTTTTACAGGCCTTTTTTATAAGGGCCATTAATCCCATTCATAAATGCTCTATCCCCATGACCTAATCACCTCCCAAAGGCCCCACCTCTTAATCCACTGCATTGGGGATTAGGTCTCAACATTTGAATTTGGGGAGAACACCAATATTCAAACTATAGCATCCCTTCATACTATTTTCTGCTTAATATATTCATTTAAAATACAAAAGGTTGTTTTTAGGTAAATTAAAATACATATACTATTTAAAGACAGGAAAAATTATGAAAGTGTTTTATGAAAAACTGAAGCCTGTGCAACTTTTTTTTTTTTTTCAGGCAAAGTCTCCCTCTGTCACCAGGCTGTAGTACAGTGGTACAACCACAGCTCACTGCAGCCTCAACTTCCAAGGCGTATGCTATGGTCTCACCTTGGCCTCCCTAGTAGCTGGGACTACAGGCACATGCCACCATGTCTGGCTAATTTTTTTAAATTTTTTTTTGTAGAGACAGGGGTCTTCCTGAGGCAAGGTAGGTAATAAAGGAAGTAACCGTATCCTCGGGATGCGATGATCCTGGTGACTATATAGTCAACACCATAGGCCCCAGTATTTGCATTGTAGTCCAGCTCATGCAAACAAAACTATCTCCAGTAAGGAATTGTCCCTGTAGGGAGCATGTGTATTTTGATTTTACCTGTCCTTAAGACTACCCTTTGCTCATTATAATAGTAAGAAACACACCCCTGGGTGGAGATTGAAGATGCTAATGAGACATGTCATTTATGAGCAAGCATCTATAGCTAGTGTGCATGTGCACCCAGAGGAACACCCAGAACATTCTTACTAGGAACACCTCTTCCCACCCGCTTATGAATAATCATGTAAACTCCCATAAAGGGAGTCTCCCTGGTGCCAGTCTCTGCTGTCTTATTCTTACAAGCAACCCGCCCTGAAATCTCTCTCTCAGGCTGTACTGTCTATTCAGCACTTAACTTTCAAAATATTCTTTCTCCTTTGTAATAAATTATTCTACATTGCATCTCCTTTGCTGTGTGTCTTTTGTTTAAATTCTTTGAAAATAAGACAAGAACTGAGGTTTCACAATAGCTGTCAACATTTCTAGCACGTGACACAGAAGTTTGTCTGCTTTATTGAATTCAGTTTCCCTTCACCTGTGGTAAGTGCTATGGCAGTCCCAGACTAGTTGGTTGACTGTCACTGCTTCTCCCAGCTCTATGTTATTAGCGTTTGTGAGGGGACCCTTTAAATCACTTAGATTCTTTGAGCAAGAAATTGTGATTGCTTTCCATTTAGCTACTGCATTTGCAATGTCAATGATTACCTTCTTAGGATGGCATGCCCTGGTTATTCAATGTTTGGACTCTTTTGCTGTTTCTGTCTCACCTTTTGTTTTGCTGTCCCTCCTGGGACTGCACCTGACCAGTATTTATAGGCTATTGTAACTTGTTTGTTACTCATGTAATCTCTTCAAAGATTTTTGTATACATTGAGGGACACATTGAACCTACTTTTGCCAACAGTGCCCCTTCCCTCCAGGCTCTCTGTGTTCTGAGACTCCTTTGGGAGATTTTCCAACAGACCATCCATGTTGAGCACAGTATGAATGGCTATGTGAATGCATAGTCATGGGGACTACACTCAGGCATTCCAAGCATTATAAATGGGCATCAAAAATGGCAAATTGGAGAGGTAAGGAAAGTCTTGTCAGAGAGACATCTGGGAACCCCAGCTGGCAGCTGGGGCCACTTTGGTCAGGCCTGGAGACATCCAGCACCAGTGAGACCTAGGTGGTTTGTGGCAAATGCCCGTGACCTCCTACAGCCTCAGTTTCATGAGGATTCAAGGGGATGCCCTGAACCCCATCATGGTCTAGCCTGGCTCATGGGGGCACCCATGACTTCCTGGACTTCGGTCTATGTTTCTGTCATTGGATTCTCTCAGCACCTGGGGAGCCACCTCTTTTGCTGTCACTGAAACTTCTGTAGGGTGTATATAAAAACTAGAATATTCTTCAACTGTATACATTAAGACATAAAGAAAAAATGGCCAAAGAATAAAACGCTTGTTTCCATCCTCACCACTTTAAGGTTTTTCTTTTAGGGTTTCTTTTTTTTAGGGTTTCTTTTCCATCACTGAGTCTCTCCCTTTCCTTTCATTCTTCCGCTTACTTATATACACCCCCAAAACAATTTCCCTCAACCACTGTGACTTTGCTTCCTTCAGCTGACTTCTCAGTTCATCCTGACAGGTGACAAGCAGAGGTGGGAGGAATCCAAAGTCCACACAAAGAGTAGATCTAGGTCACTGTGGCTCTCCCTGACAGGAGGCTTGTGAGGGTGGCAGGGCCTAAGCCCAGGCCATGCAATATCTGGAGACCTTCATTTTTCCCTACAAATAACAACCATCTTATTATGTTTATGCTTCTCTGCATTTCACCTACATGTAACAACCATCCTATTATGTTTATGCTTTCTTTTCACTTCTTTGCATGTGAATCCTGTCCTTCCATGAAAATTTATCTTGCTTTTTGGACTATCTGTGTTCATAGACTTTTGTCTGTTTTCTTTCTATCTCTAACCCCTAAGTCTGATCATAATTGTCCTAAAGGTTCTTTCTGCTGTGTGTCAGGGTCCTTCTGCCTTCAGCTGGAGTTCAGGAAGTTTTGTCTTTACGTAGAAAAAAACTTTAATTGCTGGGTCAAACACATTTTCTGCCAAATTCCTTTTATGAGACCTAGAAAGCCTAATGAATATAGCCACTTCCACCTTCTAAGATGTTATTTTAAGGCCAAAATTAAAACGTTAATGACACATATATAAGGCTGGCCATTACTAACCTGAAAAGAGAGATAAATAAATGCTCCGTAATTAGCTCTATTCAACACAGCATGGGCCCAAACATTACTGTTTTACAATCAGACCTTTCTATAAAAAGAAACAGGATGATAAGATGCTCTCGAAGGGCGCAGGGGAACCTTACATTATTCTTCCCTTCAACCAAACAGCTCTATAATAAGACAAGTCCTTTAAAGAGCAATACTAAATATATTATGCCCATGTTATTCAAAAGAGTTTGGAAAACATAACATAATTAATGACTCTATATTAAGAAATGTGCCTCCCAACAACTTTCCTTCCTTAAAATCTAGCCTAGGGCTACTCTTCAAACCTCTCAAGCTCCTTCTCCTTCTAGTGGTCCTTCCTTACTTGACACACAGTCCTCTGCACTCCTTTTGTATAAATTTGTTCACCAAACACTCCCTGAATATTCCAGCCCCACTGGACCAACTTATAGTAGGGTAACCTATCGCCCACCTGAAAACAAAACAAAACAAAACACAGAAACCAAAAATGGCTGTTATCTTTTTCAGGAAGGTAACAAATAGAGAAACAGACCAAATCTTCTCAGAGACTTACTTCATTAGTCAGTCTGCCCCAGAAATTAGGGAAAAGTCACAAAAACCTAGCCATGAGTCCTCAAACCCAAAATAAATGAACTACTAAATATAGCTTTTGGGGTCTTCAATAACAAAGACAGAATGAAAGGCACATGAAGAACAAAGGGAGGAAAAGAGAGACAAGACGGGCCCAGTTGGCCCTCGCTATGGGAAAACTCCCACCTCCAGGTCATCCTGGGTGGAACCCAAAGGGCTATGGCCACATTTAAAAAAGGCCTGAACACGGAAGCCAAATAAGTAACAAGAGTCTTCAAGCTTGCAAACCCTATGGAGCCCATCATCAATGTGGCAAAGAAGGGCAGTGGGAGAAGGACACACCCCAACTCCAAAGGGAGGACAGGATTCCTAATTCCCTATTGTCCCTAGCCAAAGACTAAAGAGGCCCAAGGCAAGCAATGGCTCCCATGTGGCAATCGGTCCCAATAACAGCAACAAAGCCTTGAGTCATCCTGGATAAGACAGATGAAAATATCAATTTCCTGTTAAACATAGGGGCTGGCTTGTCATTCCTCACTTGCTGCCCTGGACCCCTGTCTGCCAAACACTACACTGTTATCAGTGTTAATAACAAACCCCAAACTAGTATCGTCACATTACCCCACAGCTGACCAACTTCAACTGCAGTAAAACATAGAGGTGTGGGGCATTGGATGCACTTTTCAAAAATAAAAAAAAATTATTCCTTTTAAGTCACACAGAAACCCACAACACAGACTGCAAGTGAGTCCTGAAAAGCACTGGAGGATCTAAAGCTCTTGTCCAAGAAACAGCAAAGACCCAAAATATCAAACAATTAATATTGCCTCAACATAAGCTTTGATTCAAGGAAACAACTTACAATGAGACTTAAAACATAAGTAATGTTTTGATTTTTCTCCTATTTACTCTCTGCACGTTAGGCACTCTTAGCTATCTTATTAAAATTAATTCAGCCCTGCTGGCTTTGCACAACTACCAGAAGTTGAAAATATACCAAATCTGTGCCTCAAGAAGACTGAGCCAACATTCCTATACACCTCCTGGAACAAACCTATTGGCCCACAATATGAGACTATCTGGCTAAACAAACAATATGAAGAGACTTCCTTGGATCTGACCATGGCAAGTTCAAACTCTGACTTTTAACTATTAATAATAGCCCCACTTTGCCAAGAGGAAAATTGCTTTCCTACCTTACCCACCGGGAGCAAGTCCCCTTCTGCCTTTACAACAATCATGCCAGTTCCACTACTTTCATAAAAAAACTCCGAGAGAGTCACTGTAACCCAGCCTTTGTCAGTGAGTCATCTATACACCTTATAATGGGACCCTAAAAGGGGAACCTTATTTTAAAAACTTATTGACACCACCTGAACTCTACTGTCCTCTAATTAGCCCAGAGACAACCAGATTTTCGTTACTTTTACAACCTTAATGCGAAACACCTTTGCAGCAAAAATTTTGCCATCACATGGAATTTCGGGGGGTTTGTCAATCTTTGCCGTCTACAACTCCCACTACTGTGGCAGGGACAATGCTCCATTGCTTACATTTCCTTTATTTAACTTTCACATGGGCTAACACATCTCTCTTCCCCATGTACCAACAACACATGATCCACCTCCAAGTAGGACCCCTTGTTTGCTTGGGTTTAGTGACACCCTCTTTATTGGGATTAGCAGAGTCGGTTATGGGAAGCAGAGCTTTGGGAATCCAGTATAAAATGTATCAAAAAACAAGAGTGGCCTTTCAATAAATGGCAGAGGACCTCACCAGAGGTCCAACAATGGCTGGACTCTCTGGCCCCATAGTCCTACAAAACCAAAGGGCCTTAGTTCTTCTCACAGCCAGAAAAGGAGAAACATGTTTGAGTCTTTTTTATTATTATTAAAAAAAGTTGTTTTTACATTAATCAGTCCAGTTCCTTCCAAGAAAATATTAAAAATATAATTACCCAGATAAATTTATATAAAGACTTAATTTTATACTTCCTTGGATCTGACTAATTTATAAAGATAAAATTAAATCTTTTAGAACTTCCAGGGGAACTTGGAAGCAATGGCTATAGTCTGACTTGCTCCTTTTAATAGTGCCAATTATTACCATACTTTTAGCTTTAACTTTTAGTCCAACTTTGTTTAAAATGCTGATTTCTTGCTCTCTCACTTACAGCAACAAGTCTCCATGATAGTTTTGCAAAGCTTCCAACCTTTGGCTGCTAATGAGCTATCTCACATCTCACCCATTGGTTCTACAAAAAGCATGGCTTATACCTCACTAGACGAGGCAGGAAGAGACTTTAGGGCCCAGGCTAGGCAGGGACAATGCCCCACTCAGCAGGAAGCAATTCAAGAAGAAATGACCTAGCCCCACAGCCTCCAATATGATTATAAACCCTAAAATCCCTTAGTGGGGAATTGAGGCAGGACAGGTGGTCAAGGAAATGATCATGTCCTCAGATGTGGCAACCATGGTGACCATACAGCAACACAATAAGCCCCGGTATTTGCACTGTAGTCTAGCTCATTCGAGCAAAGCTATCTCCAGCAGAGAATTTTCCCTGCAGGGAGCAGGCGCACTTTGATTTTACTTGTCCTCATTACAACAGGAAAAAACATACCCTTGGGTGGAGATTTAAGATGCTAATGAGACATGTATGAACAAGCATGTACAGCTAGTATGCATTTGCACCCAGTGGACTACCCAGAACATGCATACTAGTAACACGTCTTTCCATCCCCTTATGAATAATCATGTAATGCTCCCATAAAGGGAGTCTACCTAGTGGCAGTCTCTGCTGTCTCATCCTTATGAGCAGCCTGCCCTGAATCCAGTCTCAAGGTGTACTGTCTATTCTGCACCTAACTTTCAAAAGAGTTTTTTTCCTTTGCAATAAATTGTTCCATGCTGCATCTTCTTTGCTGCATGTCTCTTGTTTAAATTCTTGTAAACTAAGAAGACAAGAACCAAAGCTTCACAACAGCAGTCCACATCCCTATGTTGCCCAGGTTTGTCTTGAACTCTTGGGCTCAAGGGATCCTCCCACCTCAGCCTCCCAGAATGCTGGGATTACAGGCCTCAGTCAACATACCCAGCCAGAAACATTTTTTAAAATATGGATATCTTCTGGAGATTGTAGAAAAATAAGGCAGAGTCAGCTGTTCTCATCTGAAAGTGATCACACCCTCTTAGTCTTGTCCCTCTCCCACCAGTCTACTAGTCACTTATAAGGGATCATGAGACTCATTCCTGTTCATCCTAAACACAGTTCTCCAACACCACGCTTCATTAAACCACAACTAATGTGCAATATTTGTTGTTAACATCACACTCTATTTGCCACTCTTACCGTAAACTTGTTTTTCAGCCCTGTAGCTGCGAAAAGATTTAAGATATTGAGAATTGAGAGCACAGCAGGAGAGTGGAGGACAGAATGGAGTCTGCAGGTATCAGTCACAAGCAGCCAGAAGGCACAGTGAGGTTGTTGGGCTCCAAGTCAAAAGGCTGGAGAAGAGAGGCAACTATGACATAAGTCTGACAATGGAGTTTTCCTGTTTCCATCCACCTGAAGGCTTGCTGTTTTTCATAGGATGAAGTCCAAACTACTTAAACTGACATTACATTCAAGGCTTGCATGATCTGGCCATGGGCTACTAACCCATCCATTCAACTTCAGCAACCACCACTGTGCCTTTTCTCCCACATGCAATCTGTCTTCCCCTCACCAGACTGCTTGACTTCTCCATAACATTCTGTGTACACCTATGTTTCTGAGATTTAGGAAGACCCCTATCCAGATATCCTGCCCCTGCCCTGCCCTCACCCTGCCCAACTCATTCTATTCTCTGCCTATTAGTCTACTAATTATTTAAGGCTTAACCCACATATTAGTAAGCCCTTACAGCATGTATTTCCTCCTCTGATTTTCCATAGTAATTTGCTCATTCCTCTGGTTTGAAAACCTTCATGTGGTATAATGGTTATCCATTTGTTGATCCCTAGTTCAGGGAACATAACTAGCTCTGGATCTTCAGAACATAGTATTGCCCATAGTACTAAATACGTCTTTGAATCAAAATTGTCAGATTCATCCAGAGGAGACTCTATTTTGATAGTAGCAAATGCTTTATCAGTGACAAGAAAATATTTGATTTCTGGTATAATAAGTGGACCCTTTCCTCTCTTAGACAGGCTGTGCTTTGCTAGTGGAGTTGCAGAATAAAAATTAGCCTTTCTACTTGGGGTCCATTGTAAGAAATCACAAGTGGGCATGTTAACTTTTACAAATAATGGAATCATGCGTAGCAAAGATATTTGAAATACGGCAGTGAATAAAGCAAATGATTTTCCATTTTAACATAGAACTATCATCTAAAAAAACTGATGTCAGAAAGAAATGAGGTAGCCATTTAATGAGGTGAATTTGTAGATCTGGCAGATTATAATATGTTTCGTGGTACAGAAAGGCATTCAGGAGAAATAACAATTCAGGAGTAACTTGGTTTGGTTTGATTATGTTTGTTTGTTTATTTATTTATTTATTTATTTATTTAATTTTTACTAAGAATGGTTGTTTAGAATTAGAAACTATTTTGTTCTTTACACTTTTCTTCATTCTCAATCTGAATCTGTAGCATCATAATGTCTTGTATATAATAGGTACCTAACAAGTATTTGCTGGAGAGGTGGATACGTAAACAAATGTTTACCTTAACTTAAATGTGGTCTATCAAAAAATCATAATATAGTATTCTTTAGAACTTATCATCTATCCTGGAGCATAGTTCCAGATTACAGCTATAGATTCAATGTATTAGTCTGTTCTCATGCTGCTAATAAAGACATACCCATGACTCAGTAATGTATTAAGGAAAGAGGTTTCATGGACTCATAGTTCCGCATGGCTGGGGAGGCCTCACAATCATGGTGGAAGTCAAAGGAAGAGCAAAGTCACATCTTACATGGCAGGAGGCAAGAGAATGTGTGCAGGGGAACTCCCCTTTATAAAGCCATGAGATCTCATGAGACTTATTCACTACCACAAGAACAGCATGGGAGAAACAACCCCCATGATTCAGTTATCTCCACCTGATCCCATCCTTGACACGTGGGGATTATTACGATTCAAGGTGAAATTTGGGTGGGGACACAGCCAAACCATATCACTCAACATACAATTTCTAACACTATTCCTTTTCACTCACATATAGTCATTAGCTCCTCTAAAGTGCATTAAGTGCCTAATCACAAGCCAAATTCAGTCTAACTTTATTTCTCTTTTTTCAGGGATTGCTCTTGGGTAGAATACCTATATATCATGATCCATTATCAATTAATTTTATGTTTTCAAGGTTCGTTTCTTTCAACAAAGTTATATTTAATTGTCTTAAGATTATTTATAGTCTATAATATTGAAAATGCCTGTATCTTAGTTTGTTCACATTGCTATAAGAAAACATCATAACTGGGTGGCTTATAAACAGCAGGCTTATTTCTCACAGTTCTGGAAACTGGGAAATTCAAGACCGAGGCACCATTAGGTTCTGTGTCTGTTTAGGGCCTGCTTTCTAGATAATAGATGGTGCCTTCTAGCTGTTCTTCCCATGGGGCTAGCTAGGTCTCTGTGTCTCTTTTATAAGGGCACTAATCTCATATATGAGGACTCCACCCTCATGATCTAATCATGTCCCAAACGTCTTACCGTCTAATATACAGTTACTTCTTTGTGTCAACATTGGGTGGCGTTGGTTTGAGGCCCCTCCCCACCCACCATACATAACAAATCTGCAGATGCACAAATCTTTTATATAAAGTGGTTGTAGTAGAGTTAGCTCTCCTGTATTGGCAGGTTTTTATCCACGTTAGGTTGCATCCAAGGATGAAAACCTGTGAACACAGAGGGCCAACTGTAACTCCGACCTTGAGGGTTGGGATTTCAAAACGTACATTTCGGTGTGAACACAAATATTCAGACAATAACAGTCTGACTTTGAATTGAGAATTAGGCTTAATTCAGATGCAAAAAAGATAAAAGGATCTGACAGAAATAGAAAGAAATAAATTAGAAAAAAGCAAATGTGTGGCTCAAGAAAAATATGCTAAAATGTAAACAGTTGTCATTGAGCTGTGAAACTATGTCATTTTTTTTCTTCTGCTTTATTTTTTTCTTCCTTCTAAATTTTTTAGAATGGACATGAATTAATTTTATAATCATAAAACATTAACCTCTTAAAATTAATTTTAATTTACTCAGAGCAAGCCTTTCTTGAGATGAATTCAACATAATGGTGGTGGGAGTAAAATGAACACACTTGGCAAGCCCTTGGTACCCTTCATAGCAGAGCCTTCCCACCCAAGTGTGCTCCAAAATAATTCGCCGCCTTGTGTGAGATCCAGAGAATTTCCTACAACCTGTATCACCACTGGGACATGACTCAGCTGTCACAAAGACCTTTGTAAATTTCAGACTAAATTTTTGTCTTAGATTTTACTAATCTCAGATTACCCTTACTAAAGACCATTTGGAAGAATTATTGTGTCTCATAATTAACATCTCCCCTTCCTAAAATTAAGCAGATTGGACATAATCCATACTACAATCTGCACTGGCTAACCACTTGCTCCCATGTGCATTTCCAAAAGTGATACTCTAATTTATCTTGTGATGTGCTATTAGAACTGTTTTAACCTTCTAGAAGTTGCTGCTGCAATTCTCAGAAAAAAGGAAAAGAGGAATTTCCAAAAAGGGTTTATATCAAAAGATTCCTGTTATCTCAAAACATATGGGGCATTGTTTCTTCCTTTCCTGATTATTATATATCCTCTGGGGAATCTTATGACCTTTCAATTTGGTTCAAGAATATGGGTAGAACCCATATTCCTATCAGAGATTTTCATAAATCTAGAGCAGTAGCTATTTTTTTAACTCAGCTCTTGAGGCTGAGTAGTGACTTTTGGAAATGGTTAGAAAGACCACCATACCAAAACAAAATCAGAAAATTGTTGTTTTGGTAACTTGCTAAATAATTTTGAAACTCATTTTGTATGTAGCTGAATAATACAACCAAGGAACAAGTATCACTTATCTTTCCTGCCAGCCTTGTTCTCTGTAGAGCACAAAAATACTGCCAAGTGTGAAAATGTTACAAGAGACACAAAATAAAAATAGCAAAGCTAAAACACACCTCTGAGACTTGATTTTAGCATTTATTAAGATACCTGGAAAATCTCCTTCTATGCAATAAAATTACTTAAAAAGAAGCATATCTCATTAGCCTCCCTTGGGAGATTCTTAACTTAAAAAAATATTGATTCTGGACTGTCCTGATTTTTTTTAACCTATAATACTATAATAATCACATCATTAAAGAGCTAAAACTTCACATCAAAGTTGATATTTGTTGGTAACTACTATGCATTTGAGACTGTTAATTCAGATTTGATTTTGTGGACTATTCAAGAAACTGTAGCATGCTCTCTTTCTTCTTTCCCTCATGATGGAATACATTAATAGATTTATTTCCCATGACCATAGATCAGAGAGAAGTGCTCTTGTTTTGTTTTCATTTTATCAACCAAACACATCTTGGAAGGTAAAGACCAGACAGTGTTATCATGAGTCATCAGTATGACTAAGATCAGGGGTTGGCAATCAGAGAGAGGCCTTGTGGACCAAATTCAGCCATGAACTTTATTGTATGAACTGTAAACCAGTATTAGCTTGCTTTTTTTTTTTTTTTTTTTTTTGAGACAGAGTCTTGCTCTGTTGCCCAGCTGGATTGGAGTGCAGTGGCGCCATCTCGGCTCACTGCAAGCTCTGCCTCCAGGGTTCACACGATTCTCCTGTCTCAGCCTCCTGAGTGGCTGGGATTACAGGCGCCCGCCACCACGCCCAGCTAATTTTTTGTATTTTTAGTAGAGACGGGGTTTCACTGTGTTAGCCAGGATGGTCTCGATCTCCTGACCTCGTGATCTGCCCACCTTGGCCTCCCAAAGTGCTGGGATTACAGATATGAGCCACTGTGCCCGGCCTAGCTTGCATATTTTTAAGTGACTTAAAGAAAATCAAAATAATAACATTTTGTGACACAAGAACATTATATAATATTCAAATTTCACTGTCCATAAATGATGCTTATTGGAACACACCCATTCACACTTGTTTATTTTATTAGCTATGACTGATTCTTCAATACAGTGAGAAAGTTGACTAGTTACAACAGAGACCTTGTGGCCCTGAAGCCTGAAATAGTCATTATCTCACCTGCTATGGACTGAATTGTGTCCCTCCTAAATTCATATATTGAACCCCTAACCCTCAATGTGACTGTATTTTAAGATAGGGCCTTTAAGGTGGTAATTAAGGTTAAATGAGGTCCTAATCCAATAGGGCTGCTGTTCCTAAAAGAAGAGGAAGAGGCGCCTGGAGTGCACCTTACAGGGGAAAGGCCATGTGACAACGCTGGGAGAAGGCAGGCATCTGAAAGCCAAAAAGAGAAGCCTCAGGAGAAACCAAACCTGTAGGCACCTTGATCTTGGAATTCTAGCCTCCAGAATGGTGAGAAAATAAGTTTTTGTTGTTTAAGTTACCCAGGTTGTGGTGTTTTGTTATGACAGCCAAGCTAACTAATACATGGTGATATTGTTTGGCTCTGTGCCACACCCAAATCTCATCTCGAATTGTAATCCCCACGTGTGGAGGGAGGGACCTGGTGAGAGGTGATTGGATCATGGGGGTGCTTTCCCCCAATGCTGTTCGCAGGATAGTGAGTGAGTTCTCACAAGAGCTGATGGTTTCAAAGTGTGGCACTTCCCCCTCGGTCTCTCTCTTCTGCTACCATGTAGGATGTACCTTACTTCCCCTTCACATTCTGCCATGATTGTATGCTTCCTGAGGCTTCCCCAGCCATGTGGAACTGTGAGTTAATTAAACCTCTGTTGTTTACAAATTACCAAGTCTCAGGTAGTTCTTTATAGCAGTATAAAAACAGACTTATACACGTGGCCTTATACAAAAATGCATCTCAATCCCTGAACAAGATGAATGATACAAAACTTTTTAAATTATGAGCTAAATCTAAAGACCTGAGGAACTCGCAGTATTTACCTGGTGCTATAAAACCCAAAGCAGGAACCCTATTGAACTCAAGCAGAGAAAAAGAGATAAATACAAGGAAAGTGCCTTTCTTCTAACACCCTATTATAGAAATAACGTGTGGGAGAAAGGAGCTTCTATAATTAGGAAGTTGCTTTGCATCTCAAGTCTTGGTTAAGCCTCTTATCTATTTTCCCAATGTTCTTGCCCAGCAAATGTATGTGGGTCTCTCTCTCTGTGTGCCTGTTAACTGGAGATTTGTTTGTTAATTTTTTAGCTAAAATAACAGTCCACTGAGTAGAAGACTTATATTGCTTTCTCAATTATTTTTCTGCTGCTCACCTAAAAAAACTGTTTGTTTTTGTATTATTTTGGTTCTTCTGCATTTCTTAAAGCTATGCTTGATTAAAAAACAAAAACAAAATTGAATTTCAGATGTTTTCATTTTGTTGTGTACCACATGTAATATTTTACTTTTTCTTCTTTCCTCGGGAAATATTTATCTGAGCCAGAAGAACTTAGAAATGTAGCCCAGAGATGGCTGTTAACAAATCAAATCAAACCTAAGCAGCTCCCTTTTCAGTTCTTCAGTGCTCTCAAGAAGCAGAAACCTCAGGATGTTTCAGGATGATGAAGAAATCAGAAACTCTGCCTGTGGCTAAATCTGCTTTTTGTTTTGTTGTTTTGTTGTGTTTTTTTAAAGGAACCTCTAAATGAATTCCTCTGTGTTGTATATTGGTGACTGGATTATTCATATAGAAAACAGGGAACAATCTATTGTGCATAGAATCATGAAGAATATCAGGAGTTGGAAACAACCTTTGTTGTTCCTCATAACTTTTTAGATGAGGAACAATTTTAAATGCTTCGATCTATGTCATTATCAGTCAGCCTGCCTAGGCTAGGGACACTGCAGTAAAAGCCAAACCCCAAATCTCAGTATTAACAAACCATAAGGTAATTTCTCTCTCATTCTATATGCTCAAGTGGGTAGGTAGATATGATGGTTAATACTGAGGGTTAACTTGATTGGATTGAAGGATGCAAAATATTGATCCTGGGTGTGTCTGTGAGGGTGTTGCCAAAAGAGATTAACATTTGAGTCAGTGAGCTGGAGAAGGCAGAACCACCCTTAATCCGGTGGGCACCATCTAATCATCTGCCAGAGAATATAATGCAGGCAAAAAAGCGTGAAAAGGAGAGATGGGCCTAGCCTCCCAGCCTACATCTTTCTCCTGTGCTGGATGCTTCTTGCCCTCAAACATCAGACTCCAAGTTCTTCAGTTTTGGGACGCGGACTGGCTCTTCTTGCTCCTCAGCTTGCAGACAGCCTATTGTGGGACCTTGTGATCATGTAAATTAATACTTAACAAACCCCCCTTTATATATATATATATACATATATATATATATATATATATACATATATATATATACATATATATATATACACATATATATATATATATATATAATTATTCATAGGAGATATATATCCTATTACTTCTGTCCCTCTAGGGAACGCTGACTAATACAGTACAGGAGTGCTGTGTGCACACCATGGGCGCTCTGTGCACCACATTCCCTAGGGTACTGGGGCTAGGGCAGAGGCTCTATCTCAACACAAGCTTCCATGAGCACCATAGCAGAGAAAACAGAGCACTATCTTGCACTACTATTTAAATGATCTCTCCCAAGAGTAAAATGTCACTTCCTCTCGTATCAGTAGTCAATGCAAGTTGCAAGACTACATGACAAATACAAAAGGAACAAGAACATGTCATCCTACTGTGCCCAGACAGACAACTAGAATACTTGTGAAGAGTCTCAGCAGCTGCCACAAACTCCAGGGTTTCTTGTTTGTCACTTGTAACTAAACTTACAGCTACCAGATTATACCTTCTCCCTGAACAGAAGAAGACAGACACTCTGTTTCCAATAAGATACTTTAAAAATTATTTTTTCTACCTGATGTTGTATTTGCTGCCTGCACAGAAACAACAGCAGATGAGGGATAAGTCAGTAGAGGAGGAGGATTCCCCTTCCATAAATATATATATATATTTATGTTTATATATTTTTTATTTATGTTTATATATTTATGTTTATATATTTATGTTATATATAATATATATTTATGTTTATATATAAATATAAATATTTATGTTTATATATAAATATAAATATTTATGTTTATATATAAACATAAATATTTATGTTTATATATAAATATATATATAAAATGCACACACACACTATATATATATGATATATATAGTGTGCATGTGTGTGCATGTATATAGTGTGCGTGTGTGTGCGTGTGTGTGTGTGTGCATTATTTAGAAAGTGAAAAACAAGAAACCCTGGAGTTTGTGGCAGGTGCTGAGATTCCTCACAAGTATTCTATCTGTCCCTCTGGGCACAGTAAGATGACATGTCCTTGTCATGATGACATGAGTAAAATACAACTCTCCATCTCCCTTTTATATAAAAAGGAGTGTTGTATTTTACTCATTTCTAAATAATGCACAGAAAAAAGCAGAGAATCCTACCTACTTTTGGTTCTTTCTTCGGACATTCAGTCTTGATCATGAAAAAAATCTCCAAAAATTAAAGCTTTCATCTTACAGCCTCACTAAAACATTTTCAACGACAGTCCACAATCTAGCTATATGACCTACCACTTGAGGTTTTAGGAACATAAGGATTCCAAGTAGACGGGCCAAAGCTATAGAATAGACAACATATGATGACGATAACATGAAGGTACTTTCTTAAGGGAATAGGAGACACTTGCTCACACCCCAACTTCCTGGGTGGTGGGGAGGATATAACTCTTATATGCATGACAGATCTGACAAAAGCACACACAAATCGCTACGTCAGTTGGGAAATATCACATATATTTTATTAGTATGCAACTATGTAAAAATTCTAACTTTTTTTTTTTATCAAACTGGAAAATAAAAACAAATGTGGTGAGAGCTAAGTTAGCCACCAGTGTTCAAGGTCAAGAAAAATGTGACCTCTTCCAAAATTATGATGTGTTTCGTTACCACAAACAACAGTCCATGTAGAAATATTCCCTTCCCACACACGTGCGATTTCACCAAGTCTCTTCAGAGAAGAACACAGTTTAACTAATTTGTCTAAAATTGCAGAGCAAGTAAGTGGCCCAGTCAAGGTTAGGACTCTCGTGTGCTCACTGCTAGTTCAAAGTTCTTTTACTACACATTCTTTGCCTTCAGCAATTAACTGGGTGATTCCATCAGAATGCTAATCTATGGCATTTTTGAGTTTCCAAGAAATGATGTCCCACAACTATATTTATGGAATTACATGTCAGTGTAAAACATAGATGATTTAACCAATTCACATGCAACGTCACCGAAGGTTTCTGTGAATTATCATTGCTGTGCCAGGCTTTCTTCACTCCCTCTTAATACATTTATTCATTGTACATTCTAAGACTATAGGTAATTTACCTCTCTGGTTTCCCAAAATCTGTTTATGTAAAGGTGTATTACTTTCTTGTGTCTGCGATAGCAAATTACTACAAACTGGGTAATTTAAAACAACAGAAATTCACTCTCATAGTCTGGAGGCAAGATGTCCACCATGAAAGTGTGGGCAGAGCCACACTCTTTTCTATAGGTTCGGAGGGAGAACACTCCTTGCCTCCTCCAGCTGCTAGTGGCTGCCTGAGCATTCCTGAGTGTTCCTGGGTTGGGAACATAGCACTTCAGTCTCTGCCTCTGTGTTAATATCACCGTCCCCTCTTCTGTCAGTCAAATCTCACCTCTGTATCTCTTGTAAGAATACTTGTCATTGGATTTAGGGCCCATTCCAAAGATCCAGGAAGACCTTCTTCATCTCAAGATCCTTAACTTAATTATATCAGCAAGGACCCTTATGCTAAATAAGGTAACATTCACAGGTCCAGGATTTAGGATTTGGACAAATCTTTTAGGAGTCTACCATTCAACACCACTACAAGGTGTTTTTCCTAACATAATCCTGTCTTTATTCAACTGTCTCCTTCAGAGTAGAAGAATAATCTCTTTCTCAGTGTGATTACAAATTAATATTTGGAGGAGGGGGAAGAGGAAGAAGACCAAATTAAAGTAGAATGAATCAAAATACAATTATTTGGTTCTGAGTCCTCAGCTACTTTTTAGTGTGAACTTGTGAAAATGACTGAAACAAAAAGAAATGGCTAATCCTGCAGTGTGCTGACTTGGATTTCAAATAGAAATCCTCTTTGATTGCTAAAACGTAAACAAGCTTTGTCTAACCCTGGGGATAAGTTTGCTTAGAGAAGTCAATGTACAATTTCAAGATGATGCTTTCCATGAATAGTGAATATTTGAGAGGCTTATAAAATCTTTCTATTTCTAAAGAAGCATGTTCCTCTTACTTTCATGATACGATTCTTAGAACTGACACAAAAGTTGAACCCCCTCTTTGCACAGAAATGTATAAGGGCTTGGAATAACATTTTAAATTCTGAATGGGCTACTTAAGAGTCATTTCATCTTAGTCAAGCCTCAGTTTGTCATCATCTGTATGATGGATGGAATGTAATAATAAGAATATTAACCCTAAGAGTCATTTCATCTCAGTCAAGCCTCAGTTTGTCATCATCTGTACAATGGACGGAATGTAATAATAAGAATATGGACAACAATAATGATGATCAAATCTACTTTATTTTTTTATGTTTTTTTTTAGATGGAGTCTCACTCTGTCGCCCAGGCTGGAGAGCAGTGGCGCGATCTCGGCTCACTGCAAGCTCCGCCTCCCGGGTTCACGCCATTCTCCTGCCTCAGCCTCCCAAGTAGCTGGGACTACAGGCGCCCACCACCATGCCCGGCTAATTTTTTGTATTTTTAGTAGAGACGGGGTTTCACGGTGTTAGCCAGGATGGTCTCGATCTCCTGACCTCGTGATCCGTCCGCCTTGGCCTCCCAAAGTGCTGGGATTACAGGTATGAGCCACCGCGCCCAGCCCAAATCTACTTTTTAGATTTTTTTTAAAACCTAAATTAGATAATCTTTGGTGAATATGTCTTACGTTAACAAAAAAATGCTCACAAACTTTTTGTTATTATTATCATTATTATCAATGTAACCTTGAGCCACATATACTAAAATGTTTTTTACCAAAAGGACATTTGGCAAATCATGAAGGTAAAAGCCATTTGTTCCCATACTAGAACCCCAGCCTTCTAAGTCACTATCTAGAAATCTTTTAGCTACACTTCATCACTATTCATATGCTTAAATGTCTTGAAGCATGCATCTAGTATACTTAAATTATATCTTATAATTATTAAGCCTTGGCCAGGTGTGGTGGCTCACGCCTGTAATCCCAGCACGTTGGGAGGCCAAGGTGGGCAGATCACGAAGTCAGAAGTTCAAGACTAGCCTGGCCAACATGGTAAAACCCCGTCTCTACTAAAAATACAAAAAAATTAGGTGGGCACATGGTAGCCCATGCCTGTAATCCCAGCAACTCAGGAGGCTGAGGCAGGAGACTCGCTTGAACCCAGGAGTCAGAGGTTGCAGTAAGCCGAGATCGTGCCACTGTCTTCAACCCTGGGAAACACAGTAGGACTCCATATCCAAAAAAAAAAAAAAAAAAAAAATCATTAAGCCTCTAATATGTGTAATGCAACAATGAGATATTCAGATAATATGAGAAGGGTGTTTTCCACTACACATTTCCAGTCACTCCATAGTAACTGCAAAGTTATTCAATAAAGACCCAATGTATGAACAGGTTTATTATATCTGAAAGCATTTAATGTAACAGGTCTTGAACAGGGAGAAGCCCTTTAGGAAGAAACCATAAATCAGTAAAGTCAAATGCAATAAGCCAGTAATATGATGAAACTAAAAGAATAATTGTAAACACATTTAATAAGCAGATTAAACACAAGGAGGAAATTGTTAAAGAATTCTTAATGATTTGTGTTGATGGAATGCCTGAATAACAAAGTAGACAATTAATCAAAGACAAGTGGATTAATGTTTGTGATTTGTGGCCTAGAGTTAGAGGCCTAGTAAGAAAGAAAGATGGAATGGCCCTGCAAAGTACAGAATGGCAGGAAAAAAATGTGTAGAATAAATGTTGTTGTTTTCCTTAAAACAAAAATGTTGATGGGCTATAGACAATCTCTAGGTCAGAATAACTGATTACTAGCCACTAAACCAAGGATAATTATTTAAAAGTATCTGGCTGCTAAAACAACTGAATACAAGGCAGGAAAAACCTTACACAATGTCAACAATCGTATTGCAAATTTTGGGACATTTATCCTGTCCTCCATTGGGTGCAGGCTTGCATGGACTAAAAACTCTGTCCAGATCCTGGGAAGGAATAGCCATGCTCTGCTTGACGAATGTTCTTCATGACTTCATTTATTATTTTCTGAATTTCTGTTCCTAAAATAATGCATTATATACCAAAATATGTTGTGTGTCACTGCTCTTGTTCTGCCGAAATATACTTAAATAAAAATATATAAATTTTGACAGAAATAATAAAATAATAATAATTTCCACCATTTTCTCAAAAATCAAAGAAAGTCTTTTCACATCTCAGAGCAATTTCCCAGCTGAATAGGTAGGCTTTATCTTTTATCTTCTATATATCTCTATCTTTAAAAAAACACAAATAAAAACTTGAAGAAAGTTAAACTTTACATGAAGAATTATGGTGAAAAAATTTAGATAAAATGGCTTTTAAAATAACCAGTTTAAAAATAAATATTTCAGAATTAAATGGCATAATACAAAGGTTATGAGAAAACCGTCCCTTTTAATTTGTCACCTTGCAGTCCCCCTTTGATTTTTTTCTTGTTTTTTTCAGATTGATCCTTTTTCTGATAGTATACCTTCCCACTGCTGAGCTCTAATTCATTAAAAGAAAAAATGTGGGCCACATTTCTGCAGCAGCCCCTTTCCTTAGATTGTAAATTCTAGGGGCAGACTTAGCTGAGGAAGGGAGGTGAATGCACAGCGGGCAGTGGGAATTGCAAGAGGTGGCTTTGCCTGCCTTGACTTTTTTTTCCATACATCTTTCTGAAAAAGAAGGTTCTGGATTTTCCTGTTTCCTTTTTATTTTTTAAGTTCATTTTCCTCAAACTCCAATTTCATAGGGATGTAAAATGTGTTTCATATCTGGCTTATTGTTTCCTCCCAAATAGTAGGAAAGGAAACAACATTTTCAAACATCTCCCATCACCCACCAAGATGTTACAGTTTGAACGTGTCCCCCTAAAAGCTTGTGTTGCAAATTTAATTCTCAATGCAGGAGTGTTGGGAGATGGGGTCTAATGAGAGGCTCCATCCTCATCAACGGATTAAAGTTGTTATCATTGGAGTGGGTTCATTACCAAGGGGGTAGGTTTGTTATAAACTAATGAATTTGGCCTCTCTCTCTCTCTTTCTCTCCCTCCCTCATCTTCTCTTTAACCTTTTGCCATGGAATAAAGGAGCAAGAAGGCCCTCACCAGAAGCCAGCTCTACCATCTTGGACTTCTGAGCCTCCAGAACTGTGAGGAAATAAATTATCCAATCTCAGGTATTTTCTTATAGCGACACAAAATGGACTGAGACACGGGGAATCATCTTCTATATATTCCCTTCTTTATTCCATTCTAATTCCACCATAAAATACTTTCTTGGACACAGTTCTGTCCATTGAACACGAGCTTAGGAAAGGTCCAAATTACCTGAGAACTTTGAGAATGTCTAGTTTGTTCTTTTGTTTCAGTGTCAGTCCTACAAACAGATGCCCAAAATATTTCATAAACTCCAACTCTTTTTCCAAACAATAATCAAATTAACAATTTTTCTTTTTTGATTTACTGTAGTAAGCTCTGTATCATAGCTCAAAAGCATACAATAAGGACTATTTCAAATATTATATTATAGTATCCAACTTGTATTGATATATTTTCTATATCCTGGTAGAAGATTTTGCTTTCTCATCTCTGCTTCCACGCACTCTGTGAATATACCTACTGTTTCATGAATCAAACGGTATTATCAACGTGTGTTTATATGTCTGCCTCTACCACTAAACTTAAAGCTTTTTGAAGGCAGAAGGTGGTTTTATTCAACTCTATGTTCTGATGGCCCACACTGCTTCTTAACAAGTCATGAGGCTCACTGGAACCATTTGAATCAGTAGGCAACACTGGCTGAGAGTATGTGTTAGCTGATTCTTACGTTGCTATAAACAAATACCTGAGGCTGGGTAATCTATAAAGAGAAGAAGTTTAATTGGATAATGGTTCTGCAGGCTGTGTATGAAGTACAGTGCTGGCATCTGCTTCTGATGAGGGCTTCAGGAAGTTTATAATCATGGCAGAAGGCAAAGATAGAGTCAGGGCATCATATGACAAGAGGGGGTTGAGGGAGGTGCCACACATTTTAAACAACCAGATCATGCATGCACTAACTGAGCTAGAACTCACTCATCACCAAGGGGATGGCACTAAGCCATTCAAGAGGGATCCCCTGTCATGTTTCAAACACCTCCCACCTGACTCCACTTCCAACATGAGATTACATTTCAACATGAGATTTGGAGGGGACAAACACCCAAACCATATTAGAGTTTGCATGTACAATGTCTTTGTCTTGCTGACTTAAATATTATCCGGTACTACTTAATATTTGTCTAGCACCTTAGAAAAACCCCACATATAGCCTACTAAATTTGGGTATAACCATAGTTCTCTGCAACAAGTACAATATTCCAAATATTACAGTATTTGAAAAGACTCAAATAATGAATTAACATCTCAAGCTCATCATGTTTTTTTGTGGTAGGGCAAAGCTTGATCCTAGATTTTAAAATACAGTTAAAAAATTCTTTTCTCCATAATCCATTCTAGTCTAGTAAACAATGAATTCTCTTTAAGAAAAATTCTTAAATTTCTTATTTTTTATTGACATATTATATAATTTTACATATCTGAGGAGTATATGTGATATTTTGAGATCTGCATGCAATGTGTAATGATGAAATCAGGGTAATTAGGATATCCATCACCTCAAACATTTATCTTTTTTTTCTGTTCTGTACATTACAATTCTTCTCTTCTAGTTATTTTGAAATATACAATAAATTATTGTTAACCATAGTTTCCCTACTATACAATCAAATATTAGAACTTATTTCTTCTATCTAACAGTATTTTTGAACTCCTTAACTGACTTCTTTTCATTGTCCCTCCCTTTTCCCTTCCCAGCCTCTAGTAACCACCATTCTACTCTCTACCTCTGTAAGATCCACTTTTTTAGTTTCCACGTATGAGGGAGAACATGCACTATTTGTGCCCAGCTCATTTCACTTAACATAACAACCTCCAGTTCCATCTAGTTGTTGCTGTCTTAGTCCATTCTCACACTGCTATAAAGAGCAACCTGAGACTGGGTAATTTATGAAGAAAAGAGGTTTAATTGACTCACAGTTCTACAGGCTTAACAGGAAACATGGCCAGGAGGCCTCAGGAAACTTACAATCATGGCTAAAGGCAAAGGAGAAGCAAGCATGTCTTACCATGGCGGAGCAGGAAAGAGAGAGGGAAAGAGAAGGGAAGTGCCACACACTTTTAAACCATCAGATCACATGAGAACACACTCACTATCATGAGAACAGTAGGGAGGAAACTGCCCTGGTGGGAGGTGAGATCTAATCACCTCCAACCAGGCCCCTCCTCCAATTATACGTGAAATTTGGATGGGGACACAAATCCAAACCATATCACTGCAAATGACAAAATTTCATTATCTTTTATGGCTGAATAGTATTTCATTTTGTGTGTACACCATATTTTCTGTATCCATTCATCCATTGATAGACACATAGGTTGATTCCATATCTTGGCTATTGTGGATAGTGCTACAATAAACGTGGGAGTGCAGGTGTCTCTGGACACACTGATTTTCTCCCTTTTGGAATACATTCCCAA
Organism: Homo sapiens; assembly: GCF_000001405.40. Lineage (NCBI taxonomy): Eukaryota > Metazoa > Chordata > Mammalia > Primates > Hominidae > Homo > Homo sapiens. Next base: position 78,562,371 of record NC_000003.12, read on the forward strand.
GAGTAGGATTGCTGGGTCATATAGTAGTTTTGTTTTTAAGGTTTTTTTTTTTTTGAGGAAACTCCATACCATTTTATGTAATAGCTGTACTAATTTACATTCCTACCAACAGTGTACAAGAGTTCCTCTTTTTCTACATCCTTGCCAGCGTTTCTCATTTCCTGTCTTTTTGTGAAAGGCCATTTTAAGTGGGGTGAAATAATATCCCCTTGTGGTTTTGATTTGCAGTCCCCTGATGGTTAGTGACTCTGAGTATTTTTTCACATATTTGTTGGCCATTTGTATGTCTTTTTTCTTTTTTTGAGAGATGTCTATTCAGGCTTTTTGCCCATTAAAAAAATCTGATTATTTGGTTTTTTTGCTACTGAGTTGTTTGAGTTCCTTATATATTCTGGTTATTAATCTCTTGTCAGATGGATAGTTTGCAAATATTTCCTCCCATTCTACAGGTTGTATCTTTATTTTGTTGTTTCCTTTGCTTGCAGAAGCTCTTTCACCTGATGTAATCTCATTTGTCTATTTGTGGTTTTGTTACCTATGGTATTGAGGTCTTACTTAAAAAAAAAACTTTGCCCAGATCAATGTCCTGTAGTGTTTCCCTACTATATTCTTTCAGTAGTTTTACATTTTCAGGTTTTATTTTTAGTTTAATCCTTTTTAAGGTGATTTTTGAATATGGTGAGAGACGGAGATTTAGTTTCATTCTTTTGCATATGGATATTCCTTACATTTCCTATATTTTGTTATTATTGTTATTATTACTAAAGTCAGAGTTGTATTTTCTGATAGTTTTATTCTAAACTACCTAATTCCTATGCTCTTATATAAGAGCATTCCTTCAGGATTGTGTATTGGTAGAGATGAACAAAGTAAAACATGAGGAAAATGGATAAACATTATACCAGAAAATTAAACCTAAATTTTTGCATAAAATTACATGAAACATGTATGAAAATAGGATTGTGTTCGTAGGTTCCATGGTTCTGATAACAGGTATTTAATAAATGTTAGTCTCTTCTCTCTCTTGAAATATGTCCCCTTAATGAACTAGAAACTTAGTGATAAACTGAAGGAAGGCTTTTCCCCCACACTCCTACTTCATTCATTTATGTAATGAATTACCTGGGTGATTTCAGGCAGTTTTCCAACTGGGGCACACCATTTGCTGTGAACAGATTATAGGTGAGTGGAAATATTGATCATCTCAGTCCTTGAGGTATCTTTTAGTTAAGATATTGCTAGGAGTTGTAATAAGCTCCAACATTCTAATAGTGTAACACAGTAGTAGTTTCTTGCTTATGAAAGGGTAAAAAGTTAATGTTTCTGGTCAGCAGGTGGCATGTTTTCATGGGATAATTTAGCCAGCAAGGCCCTCCTAGGGGTCTGACACTTACTTTTTCACCACCTTCATTCAATCGTGCCACAGATTATTTCTGTTCATAATCCATTGTTAACCACACTTCGATACAAAGAAAGCTGGGACATATAGTCCAAAGCCAAGCAGCCACTTCTCAGAAACAACAATCCTGTGGAAAAAAAAATGCATATTTAAAGTTAGCCAGCTTTGTTACAAGGGCTTGAGCCATTGGTTTGTTATTTGCAGCCATGAACAATTATATCCACTTACCTAACTGTACCACTTAAATATTATGATTTTCTATATGCGCCATGATGTAAAGAAGGTTAAGAAGCATTAAGGGTATCATTCACTGTTACCCATGGTCTTGAAATTTTTCTGCTTGGTTGTCTTCAATTTTCTAAATTGCCAAGTATCCAATAATTGTGGATTAGGCCTAACTTCATTTCTAAAACACCATTTTGTCCCCTTTACCATTTAGTTTAGCATGTGTGGGGGAAAAGAAATGTTTCTTCCCATCTTAGTTTCATGGTAGAGGCCCCTATAATGCAAGATTAACAAGAGAAAAGCATAGAAATTAATATAATTTTTATGTGACTCGGGAGCCTTCATATGGAAATGAACACCCAAAGCTAAGTTCTTACGATACAAGACAAGACAAACAGGAACGTTATTGCCGACCTTGAGGGGGAAAAAAAAAAGACTACCTAAAACTAATAGGTACCCCCAAATCAAATTTAATCAGAGCTACAATGCAAACAAATGTTTTTCTCCTGCTTTGCTGAATTTGGAAAGGAAGGGAAAAGGAGGATTTTACCTTCTCTTGACCAGACACTACAGGCAGAGATCCAGGACATCTGACCTTGGTAAGAGTTCTTACCTTGCACCAGCTTTTTACAGGTACTCCAGGATCTCATCTGCAGGCTCTGAAGCAAGTAGGGTATCTCAGCCACCCCTTATTTGGTGCCAGAAACAGTAGGAGAAAGGAAATATCCTTCCTTCCCATCTTAGGTTCGTGGTTGAGACCCCATAACAAAAGACCTTTTAACAGGAGAAGAGCATTAAAATTGATTTAATAAATGTTTTACATTACATGGGATTCATTGGAAATGAAGACCCAAAGAAACAGATATATCCGTGTATTTTTTATGCTAGGTTTGATGAGCAAGTGGATAGTTGTGGCGAGGTATAATTCGATAGAAAAGTGTAATCTAATGGTAATAAACTAGGGGGAATCTAGCAAGGCTTGTTTGTTCAGATGTTTCTCTCTATACCTGTTTCTCTCTGTACCTTATATCTACAAAGAAAGATAAGGTTGTTCCTTTCCTCTGGGTATAGGAAGAGCACCTCTCAGATGAAGGCTTTGTGCCCAACTCCAGGGGAAGGTCAAAGAATCCTTCCTAGGTTTTTTTGGCCTGTTTCAGAGTAAGAGCAATAGGAAGGTAATGGGGGCCATCCTGCTTCTGCTGTTTTCCTAAAAGCCAAGATGCCATATTCGGTGATAGCATGTCCTGAACCCTATCACATTGTATCACTCTTGTTTCTTTTCTTCTTCATCTTGCCTTTGTGTAGTAGACACTTCACGCTTACCCATTGTCTTGTGTCTTTAACTATGCTGGGACCCTGATCTTATCCGTCAAAGTCATTGCCATTCATTCATGAGACATGCAATAATAGTAATGCAATTCTCCAGATACAAAGTAGAGAAATTATTTATCTAAATTTATTCATCTTTTAATATATAAGTAGTTACATTAGAAGAAATAGATGGCATGTAAATGCCTTCATAAAAGTATTTTCTATGAAGTAAAAATAAATAAATTAAAAATCTACTCTTTATCCCTTTCTCACTTTATCTTCAATTATATCACACTCATATTTCCATTATGCTACAGAATAAAAATATAATGTTTTATGTTATGTGAATTAGCTAAGTTAGCTCATTCTTAGACAAGCCCATAATTTCTGTGGCTAAGATTATTTTTTATCAAGGAGGCATTATTTTGTGGCTCAAGGTGAAACCCTCCATTAACATTCATTGGTGACATCTTATTTTCTTCATCCAATGTCTATAGACTTTCATACGCTATGCTACATTTGGTCTTAGCCTATCAAATCCCTGGAAGGTTGCTTAACCATTCAGTTAAGCACATAGTCCAATTCTTTGTGTTCCTTGTTACAAGAGAGTAATGTGCTTCATACAGTCATCAAAGACTCAGAACTCAGATACTGAGTCATCTTTAACACTTTGCTTTCAAGATCATCCTAAGCATTACCATCCAACAGGCAAGAGAAGATGGAGCATGGAGGGTCCCACATAGGATTTGGCAGGCCAGTCCTGGAAGGGCCTCATATCACCTCTGCTCTATTTCTACTGGGCCAAATTCAGTCCTTCAACCACACCTAGCTACAAAGAAGACTGAAAATGTGATTTGACTAGGGAAATGATTTTGGTATACAGCCAGTGAGTGTGCCATACTGTGACAACTGGCCTTTAACAAAAATCATTTTATCCATTTGTCTTGCATATTATATTAAATTCAGGCTTCAGAGTCTTCAGTCCAGCAATAATTCCCACCCCAATCTTAACGAATTAACTTCTCATTATACATGCGAAGACCTTCCTTTTCAGCCAAACTAATTTACTTTCTATTCACCAGTCTTATTACTATGCCTTTTCATAGGCCATTTTAATTCACTGCATCTGAATATACTTCCTTCATCTTCTATCATCCACTAATTTTTTGGAAACATGACTTATTAACTCATCTTTTCTACAGAAATTTTCAGGATGAATCAAGCTATACTCCTGACCATACTTACTCATGTAGCCCTTCAGTAATATACCAATTTCCCCTCTCCTTTCTTCTCTCACTCATATTTCCAGGAGCCTTGGGAAGGGTAAGAGTTAGGGGTAGAAATTCATGAACAAGTTCCATAATCTGTGTGGCTCAAGGTTAAACCTTCCATTAATGTTCCTTTGATTGCATCTTACTTTCCTTATCCAACGCCTATGGACTTCTCCATAAGCTAATGCTATATCTGGTGCTAGCCTATCCAATTCCAGGGTGGTTATTGAGTCTTTCTATAGATATGCCTATCATTTTACTCTTCCAATTCATATTATTCAGAATAGATTGGAGGAAATAGGAACATTTGGAGAAAAAAAGGCACAAATAATAAATGAATGTTTCTCATTCTTTTGTTTATCACCTCTTATTGAAACGAATGCCTGTTTTAAGTTTTCTTATGTGGGTATTTGGAGGTAAAACATTCTGGGAGAGAATGGGCACGTGCTGTCCCCAAGACAGTGGGAAGGACCCAGCACCCACTACAGCTAAGAGCAGCTGGCTTCTGTTACGACCATGACACCAGGTCTTAAACCATACCAGTGCTAAACAAATTTTTATTTTTCTTTTCTTTCTCCCATGAGGGATTCTCAATCCTGTTTCCCATTAGAATCACCAGGGAAGCATTTAAAATGCTGATCACCACATCACACTGTAGCTTCCAGCTGATGACCTGACTGATAGTTCCACAGTTCCTAAGTGAATATCCCCACTTTGCTGTCCTCTGCAGCAGGGCCTTCTCAAAACTCACTTGACTTTGTTTCTCCTCAAAGCTCCCTGGGGTAATGTCTGTTCACTCTGGCCTGTCTCTAGCTCTTAAGAGTAGAAGGAATTCGAGCTGAAAGATAATTTTCTTAAGTCAGTCCTGAAACTTGTTTTATTTTCAATGTTCTAAAAGTGACTCTAGAAAATGAAAAAGCAAATATTTCCTTTTAAAAATCAGCTTCCTGAGACATTTTTACAATCTCAAAATATAAAATTAATCATTTGTTTTATTGAGGAAATTTATTTTAAATACTTTAAAAATAGAAATTTTCCTAATGGTGAAAGTAAGCATATTTTCTAGAAAATAGATCATATTCCCACCTTTGCATGAATTAATTTACTGGTATTTACTGGGCACCTAACCAACGACAAAGATTCTCTGCTTCAACAAAATTTAGTCAGGCTTCCACATCTTCTCTTTTGTCCATCTGTGCATGTCCTTGTAAAATCCAGTTTTAGCAAAGAACCCTATTAAGCTGGTTTAGTGAGAAACCCCCGTCGTCAATATCTGATCACCCACCATAATAGATTCAGTTCCTCCTCCTTCCCCAGGTGATGTCTGCTCACCTGGCCTGTTTTCAGCTAGAATACTGTTAGGTTGGCTTAGCCAGAATCGCTCTTACCTCTGATGTTTCCTCTTCGTAATTTTCCAGCCTCTGACCCCACTTGATCCTTGACTATAAATTGCAGTGGTCCCTGTACCTTTCTTACAATGGTCCTGAATAAAGTCTTCTTTATTGTGCTTTTACATATATAATTGAATATTTTTTATTCTTTAATATAAGGATGTATTACCTTGTACTCTGCCCTGTGAGAAACGAAACAGAAGCCAAAACTAGACCGAGTTCTTTTTTAGAAAAAAAAGATAGATAAAATAGTTAGGATAATAGTACAGAAATATGTTAATATTCACTGAAAATGATTGACATTAAATAGATGATGAAGAACTCTCTCAGAAAAAGAGACAGTAAGTGGCTGACAATAGTGAGGAATAGCCAGAGGAGTTATCTTGATAATAAGAAACTACGCTGTGTTTATTGGTCTTGAGAAGCCTAGATTTCTTGTTGGGAAGGAATGGAGGAGGAGGTTGAATTATTACACCTGGGCCATTGGTGAAGTTACATAAATGCAAAAACTGAAGAATTTAGACGTTACGCTGTAGAAAATAGCAAAATTGGTTAGAAGAGAGGCAGTTATGGCCTGTAGTTCATTTGATTAAAATAACAATGACGTTTATTATGCATATTATTTTACAGCGTGGCTGGAAATACTCAGGGCAGGTGGTGGGAAGGTGTGAACAAGTACCTGAAAACAAATTATCCAGAGATGATTGGCTTTTTAAAGCATTTAGATACACCTGGGCAGATATATGCAAAGTATAACAGGCCAAAATGTTTACCAACTGCTCCCACTCATATGTTAACAAATCTTTATTCTGATGGACAGATCCACCTCTTAGGAGATTAGTCAGTGTGAATCTGACCTGAAACGTAAAAACTCATTTACAAAACTCTTTGGGTGTGTTAAGCCTTGTGCTAAGGATTTTATAAGTACTAATTTATTTAATACTCCTTTATTCCATAAAGTGGGTACCATTATCCCCATTTTCCAGATTGAAAAACCTGAGGTAGAGAAGCTTAATCACAATCCTGCAGGTCTTTAGCTAGCAGCTTGTGGTTTATGGCTTTGAACCCTCATCTACCTGATTTCAATAACTACGCCTTTAGCTAACTCATACATTGACAAAGTTAAGCTTCTGAGACCGCAACGGTGGGTAACAAGCCTCAATTATGATAAATTTGCCCTCGTGCTTGACACCCTTTGCACCCTATTGGCAAAATCAGAAATTTGTGCCCTAACTGTGCAGTGCATCTCATCATTTCAAAAGCTGCCTTCCTCTTCAGCCTCTTCAGAAATGCTTCACCAGTCTCCATACCTGAGCCACTTGGGCCTTTCAGTTCTTGGGAAAAGCTCAATTCCCTCTTGCCTGAAAACTTTAATACCCTTCCCAGATTCTAGGAAGTTTCACTTCTAGCATCCTTCTCACACATTGCCTAAAGATAACTAAAATTTCATAAAACATGAGATCGTTATTTTCTACGGCCTCATTTATTCCCACTTCTCTCACAGTTTCCAATTACTACATCAGCTGAATTCTATCCTGTTTCTCATCCCAAAGTGAAGATGAGCAGCAAAACTTTCCTGCCGTATTTTTTAAAAAGCATAAGTATATTAGCAGCAGTGAATCAATATAGGTTTGCAGCAACCTCAATTCTTGCCTCCTCAGGAGAAAGAGTTCAACCAAGGGGGCTTAAGGCAGTGAGAGACAGAGGCAAGTTTTAGAGCAGAAGTGAGAGTTTATTAAAAACTTTTAAAGCAGAAATGAAAGGAAGTAAAGTACGCTTGGAAGAGTTGGCCCTCCAATCTCTCAAGCAGGTGACTTGAGAGACTGAAGCGTGGTGTTTGGCCTTTGACATGGGGCTTTATATGTCGTCAGGCTTCCAGGGTCTGCATTACTTTTCCCCTGATTCTTCCCTTGGGCTGTCCATATGCACAGTGGCCTGTTAGCACTTGGGAGGGGCCCAATGCAGTGTGTTTACTGAAGTTGTGCACATGCTCTCTCCACACATTTTTCCCTTACCCGTTGAACGTTGCTAGAGGAAGGTGATACACAGTGAAACGCTGCCCTTTTGCCTCTTAGTGCGCATGCTTGAGCACACTTGCCCAGCTCCTGAGATCTTATCAGGAAGCTACTGATCACTAGCTTTAGATGTTTTCTATCTACTGGGAGACTGCCTTTCCCTGGTGTCAGCTGTGACCAATTACTATTTTAGCGAGACAATTTAACAACCACTTGACCATTACGTGATGTTGCCTGACATTCCTGGTTTGCAGGGGGTGAGGGTGGGGTGGGTGGGGGGGTTCTCCTGCCCTGCTTATGTCTTCCCAACTACCTACTCTAACAAGTCCAGTGGGATTCTCCCTGGCTCACTTTCTCCGTGCTCTCTCCCCCTCACTCTTCTACTCCAAGTTAGAGCCCTTAGGATTCACAGCTTTCCTAGGACAAGGGAAATAAATGCTTAATGTTTTGATTTTCAAAGAAGGAATGGCAAATCTTCTCTTTCTGCTCTTGCTAAGCCCCAGACAACAATCCAAATTAGAGTTTAAAATAAATAAATAAAAATTATGTGAACCAATTCCTAAAGCACAGAAGGTAGTAAAGTCACCAAAATGTTGAAAGATTTCACTAATCAGAAAATTACCTCTTTGATCTCTTACTCACATAGAGCCACCTTAATCAGGCTGACCTGATACAAACACGCCTTTTGAAAAACAGCTTTAGGCAGGGCGTGGTGGCTCACGCCTGTAATCCCCGCGCTTTCGGAGGCCTAGACGGGTGAATCACCTGAGGTCAGGAGTTCAAGACCAGCCTGACCAAAATGGTGAAACCCCGCATCTACTAAAAATACAAACATTAGCCAGGTGTGGTGGCACATGCCTGTAATCCCAGCTACTCTGGAGGGTAAGACTGAAGAATCGTTTGAACCCGGGAGGTGGAGGTTGCAGTGAGCTGAGATTGCGCCATTGCACTCCAGCCTAGGCAACAAGAGCAAAACTCCATCTCAAAAAAAAAAAAAAGAAAGAAAAAGAAAAATTGCTTTAGCGATGATTTATTGGTTGTTTAGAGAATAGAAATTTAATTTCAGATTAAAAATACATAGGATTACGATGTCTACCTTCTAGCTGGTTGGGACCCTCAGGTATAGACTTCAGTATCGAGTTAAACAAGACCAATCATGGCATGTTTTAGACATGTTCAGATATGTAAATCAAAATCATGTTTATCAGCCCTAAATGTACAGAATCTAAATTTAATTCACAAGAGGAGGTTTGTGAGTTAATGAGCGTCAGTAATCTCATGGACTCTGAATGTGTTTTATTCTTTCAACATTCAACATTCAACAGAAGATCTGTTACAACCTGCAGATGGAAAAATTCCCAAATCCAGCCTAAAAATACGTGAAGGAGGGAGACAGAAGAAGGAGAAGCAAGTGAAGAATAGAGGAAGTTACTGGGACAAATACAGCAGATCTTCATACTATAATGTAGAATATGAAGAAACACATAAACCACTTGCATTTGTTCATTTCAAGGATCACTAGTTGCTCTTAATATGGGTTTAGGAGTTTTGTTCTACATATTTTGAGTGTGAAGGTAAAATACTTTCTTCCTTTCATTTTGGTGTCTGGAAATGGGCCCACTTGGAACTATCTACCATAGAATACAGACAGGACTGAACAGGCTTTCTAAAGAAATTAGCTGATTTTGGCAAAGTACTGGGTGTGCAGCACCAACTGCTTACCAGTCTATGAGTGGCTTCCTGTTCTTTCATTTACCACTAGGACTTCTTAGCCTTTGATCGTCTTTCTACTTCAATTGTTATTCTTTAGTTCCACAAATTATTCACACACACTACATTTGGTTTTCCCTTTCATCTTTCTTATCCACTCTTTCTTCTATCCACTAGTTAATCTTTATTGAATTACTGAATTATTTAGGAAGACCCCCTAATGTGTAATGTTATCCCAATCCCACTTTTCTTCGCTGAAGGTCATATAAATAACACTATAATTTGCCACAAAATATCTTGTCCTAACTATTGCTTTTAGATTTACAGTGCTCCAGAGTTAATATGAAAACTTTGAGAAACTCATTATTACTATATGTTTTGAAATCAAGAAAAATTGATCTTTACAAAATTCTAAAGACCTTAAATATTACAATCAGTGACTATAAAGAATAACAGATACAAGATTTTGTTAAATAACTTGGAATATAATTACAATTTGCCTTAATGAAGTTAATGTTAATTATATTTGAAAAATTAATCCCGGGAGGAGACTCTGAAAACTTGAACCATAGGTTCAGCCACACCGTGAATTTTTTAGAGTATTTGATACATTTTACACATCAAACAATATACCAGGTACTGTGTTAGATATTTTAGCTATTACAACATTAATACTCTGCAACTGTGTGTGGTAGATTTTATCATTCTCTACTTTTTCACAACAGCAAAGTAATGATCGGAGTAGTCAAATAACAAACCCAATTGACACAGCTAAGATGTACACAGATTGGAATCCAGTATTGAAGACATACCACTCTGCCTCCCTCAGCTAGATGCTACCTGATACAGATTTTTTTAAATTTCTCCTTTAAAATTTCTTTTGTACATAATAATATTGAATAACTTGTATTTTACTACATCTTCTTTCTATTTTTTTAATGAAATAAATGCATGTCCAATGTTCTAATACTGGTATAGGGGCAGAAAAATACCTTTTCCTTATCTGTCTTAGGTTCATGACTGAAGCCCCTATAATGAAAGACAGAATAACAAGAGAAAAACGAACTAATTTACATAATATAAGTTCTACATGACACAAGAGCCAACATAAGGAAATGAAGACTCAAAGAAGCAATTAAACCTGAGGGTCTTTTAAATATAAGGTATGATAAAGAGTAGATAGTCATGAAGGAATTTAATAGGGCCAAGGGGCGTGATTTAATGGTAATCTACTGGGGGAAACTTAGCAAATCCTGTTTGTTCATATTCTTCTCTGTGTCCCTGTGTCTTCCAAGATGAGAATGCGCTTTTCCTCTGGGGATTGTGAAGGCACCTCTCATATGGTCTCATACCCTGCTTCACAGAAGAAGGGCGAGTGAAGGTAAGAGTGAACTTCCTGCTTTTGTGGTTTTTCCCCAATACCTTCAGCTTAAAATATTCAATATGCCACGGTGCCATATGTTGGGATAGCGTGATGTCAGCCCCATCACTTGAATAACGCTACAAGGCTAAAATAACACCAACAAAAAGCAATACCTTGTTCACCTCTCCCCACCCAAGTTCTATTTTAGTTGTTTGTTTTCATATTTGTTTCTATATTTATAAATAACATTTATATATTATTTTAGTTTCAAAGTTTAATCATTTATTTCTCATTTTGAGAATTCAAATTTAGCTCTTCACTAGCCATTTCTCAAAAACATACACTTCCCCTTTCTACATCCATTTTTCATTTTTTAATGAGGCTTTTAAATTGATACTCAATGTTTACCTTATGGTGATAATAACAATATTGTTCATACCTTAGCCATAGCATACTAGAACATTTCCTTTCCTGTACAGTCTTTGTATAGTTTTTCTGTAATGAATGGTTACTAACAAAGGTTACAATTCCTTTTTTTAGTTTCTTATTCTATTGAGAATGTATTATGATATGATAAGTTGCATCTTACTGGTTTCTCTTGAGATCACAAAACCTTCATATTTCTCAGATCTGAACAGGCAGCCATCACTTGAAACATCTGCTTTCCATGTTCACAGAATTGACTAAGAGCTATTATAGGCCCTCATCTCACCTCTGTTCTCTTTGCCCATATATATTATCTCTCTCTCTCCATAGATAGATAAATAGATAGATAGATAGATAGATAGACAAACAGATAGGTAGATGCTGACATATGTGTGTGTATATGCAATTACAACATTTGTATGTATACATATATCAGTATGTATCTATCAGCATGTATGTATATGTATCATGTATATATATGTGTATATATATATGTGTGTATATATATATACAAACACACAAATACACATGCTGATACAATTTCAGCATATATATATACACACACACAAATACACATGCTAAGACAATTTCAGCATATATATATACACACAGCATATATAAATACACATGCTAAGACAATTTCAGCGCATATATATATATGCGCTGAAATTGTCTTTACCACATAATTTAGCTCTCATCACAGCAGCATATGATGTTGTTTTGCATAGTAGTATCTTACCCTTTTTTGGTATTTATATTATGGATCAGGGAATTTGTATTTTCATTGGATCCACATTTGTGCTGAGCACAATACATTTTGCAGAGTGGTCATTTTGTAAAATCTTATTGTTGGCAATTAATGCAGCAAAAAAATTTTTTTTTTTTTTGCCTTTCCTTGAATCTGAAGAAAAGGCAAAAAAAAATTGGTTTACTGCAGCATAAGAGGGGTGATGATGGAGCCGTTCTTAGCAGAAAAAGTGTAACCCAAAAGCAAAGCTTTTTATTTACAATTGTATTTGTTTTCAAGATTTACTTTTTATATATTATCAAAATAAATCTGAGATTTTTAAATGTTGCATGATAAATTATATGAAAAAAGGGAATTTCAAATTTGCTAACATAAAACAAGTAGACAAATTTGGCGTTTAGGCAATTTGCCATTGAGCTGGACTTTCAGCAGGATAAGTTATTCTGATAATTTAGTAAAATTATTGGTAATCATTTTAAAGGAGGACAGGAAGGATTAAATTAAAAATCTCTTCAAAACTTCTATTCTGAAATAGCAGGGTGTAGGGGACAAAATTAATATATTTTCTTCACTGATCACAAAGTTCATGGCTGAGGCTCCTATAACAAAAGACAGATTGACAAGAGAAAAGCATACAAATGTATTTAATATAAGTTTTATTTGACATAGGAGCCTTCAGAAATGAAGACCCAAAGAAACAGGGAAATTTGTGTATTTTATGGACAGTTTTGCAATACATATTATTTAAGGACAACAGGGTATGATCTAGCAGAAGTAAACTAGGGAGAATTTAGTAAGACTTGTTCATTCATATTCTTCTTGGAGTCCTTCTCTGACACTCCTTTCCTCTGGGCATAGAACAAAACACCTGTCACATGAGGGTCTTCAGCAAGGAGAAAGATCAGAAAATGACCTTCCTAGGTTTTATGCCCTGCTTCAGGGGAGAAGAGTGAGGGGAAGATGAGAGTGACCTTCCTACTTCTGCTGTTTCCTCAAATGCCAAGGTGCCATATCTTGGGGTAGCATGTCCTGTTTTTTTTAACAATACACGAAGCTAAAATTCTAAACTGTTTATAAAACTTCATGGTCATGTAGAAGCAGCAAATCCATATGGGTCTGCAGTAATTGGATTCTTACCTCCTGGGAGGAAAGACTTCATCTGAGGGACATAAGGCAGAGTGATAGACTGAGGCAAGTTTTAGAGCAGGAGTGAGAGTTTGTTAAAAAGTTCTAGAGCAAGAACGAAAGGAAGCAAAGTACACTTGGAAGAGGGCCAAATTGGCAACTTGAGGGATCCAAGTGTGCTGTCCGACCCTTGACTTAGGGTTTTATGCATTGGCATGATTCTGGGGTTTGCGCTTCTTCTCCACGGATTCCTCCCTTGGGGTGGGATATCTGTATGCACAGTGGCCTGCCTATACTTGAGAGGCACCACATGCACAGTATGTTTGCTGAAGTTATGCACATGCTCATTTGAGATGTTTTTCCTTTACCAGTTGAATGTTCCTAGAGGAAAGTCACAAATTAGTTAAACTCAGGCATTTTGCCTCTTAATGCACATGCTTGAGTCCATTCACCCAAATCCTGAAATCTTATTGGGATGCTGCTGATCATCAGCTTTAGGTGTTTCTATCTATTGGGAGACTGCCTTTCTCTGGTGTTGGTTGCAAACAATTAATTTAGAGAGCCCATTTAACAGCCACCTGACCACCACCTGATGCTCACCTGACATTCCTGGTTTGTGGGGCTAGGGGAAGGGGCATTTCCTGCCCTGCTCATGTCTGCCTAGCTACATACTCTAACAGTCATAGTTGGAAGAAAACATTTCCTCTTTAAATCAAAAATAATAAATTTAAGAAGAAAGGTATTAGGAGTGAATTACATTATGAAGTTTCTATATTTATTTTATGGTAAAAATTTAGGATCTCAATCACTTATTTCATTTATCTGTGATATTCCGGCTGCAGTGGAAAGAATTTTAGAATATGAAAATGAAAGAAAATTAAAATGTCAATAAAATACTGTTGTGTATTTTTTTCATGTTTTATCTCTCAAGATTGTTTTATAATCAAATTTTCTTTTCTATGGTTTTAGACTTATTACTGAAGATGCATTAACAGAAAACCTAGCAAACTGTCTTCTTAGAGCACTTCTTCTCAGTAACTTGGGAAGGTTGGCACATAAAACAAAAGCTGAATCCTTTCCTCTGTCTGAATTTTTTAACCTAAGAAACAATGCAAATAACAGGAAGACCAATTTTCAGAAACAGAAAGAGAAATAGAGAGAGGAGAGAGAAAGACAGAGAAAGAAGAAGAGAGACAGAGGCAGAGAGAGGCAGACGAAGACAGAGAAATGGAGTCACCCATGTCTTCTTTGCCTAAACTCAAATTAAAATTCAAAATGATTTACTTTCAAAAGTTGAGGAGAGAAGAAAAAAGTTAGGTTCAAGAAACGTGCAGTCCTACTAAATAAATAGAATGAAGACTATTGTGATTTTAGAATATTTCAAGTGTAAGGAGTCAAATAGAGTAGCAGTTGAGAACATAAGCCAAGTAGACACACAGCCTTGATTCAAATCTTCCTTCTGCCACAGCCTACTCCTCTGAACTCATGTAAGCCCTTGGACATTTCTAAATCTCTTTCCTCATTTATAACATATAGCAAAGAGTAATACATTCATATAATTATTGAGGCATCAATAAGACTACACATGAGACAGTGTTCTGCAGAGAACCTCATAAACTAGGAAGAAAAATTAACTATCACTCTTAGCAATTTCACCAATTAACTCAACAAAATTGTTCAATGCCTACTGGCAATGTCATAGAAGTTGCAGATAGAGCAGTAAATAGATCAAATTTTTTACCCTCTTGGAGGTTACCTTCTAGTGAGAGGACACAGCAGTAAACAAGCAAATATAAATGTCTGAAAAATGCTGTAGAGAAAAATAAAGCAGGATCATGTAAAATATTTTTCTCATGGATAACATTTTGATACTGATTACAAATGGTAAAGATTCATCCAAATGTATATATCTAGGTGTATACATATAGCCTAGGTGTGGAGTTGGCTATACTGCCTAGGCTTGTGTAAGTACACTCTATCATGTCCACACAATGAAGAAATCACCTAAGGATGATTTCGCAAAACATATCCCCATAGTTAAGTGACATGTGACAGCACAAAACACTTACAAGAGAAACAGAGAAATGGGGCAGTGGAAGGAGATGTAGGCACTAGAGAGAATTTTGAGATTGAAGATGTTGTAACATGTTTTTTCAGCTTATAATTGTATAAAAAAATGATTATGAAGAGAAGAGAATTGCTAGATTGATGACCTTGAATAGATGAGAGGGAGTGGGTTCAAATGGACAAGTCGAGGGGCTGTTGTTAAAGTGGATGAGCCAAGAGAGTTCATCCACTTTAACAGGACTGAGAGCGAGTGAGTGAGTACTAATGTGGGCGTGTTGGTGGTTGGTAGAAGATGTGGGGAAAATTCACCTCTGTTTTGTTTTTTTCCTAATGAAATAACAAGCGAGACCATTTGCTGAAGCATTAATCCTTGGGAAAGATGAGTTAGAAGTTTGGGGAATGAAAGTGAGAAGAGTGAAAAGTTGAAGAAAATACAGTAGAATTGACAAGAGTGATTTTAATGACAGATGATTGAATCCGAGTGTGTAATGAGAAAAACAAATGGATGTAAGGGAGTGATGGTCTGCTTGCATAAATCTTGCTAGCTTCTTATTTGAGGGAACAGAGGCTGAATCTCTGTTATTTCCTGCCCAGAAAGAGTTTGGGCTTTAAAGGTGTTGTCTCTTCTTTTTCCATCTCTTCAGAAAAGTGATAACTTTTCTCAAGGCCCACAGAAATAAAAGACTCCTAATCTTTCACTTAGGAAGGTGGGTGTCTACTTACTCTACACTGGCATATTTTAGAGACCCTCTCCAGGGACCAGCCCCAGAATAAAGGGTTTTCTCCTAAATAACCTTTTGTTATTGCTTGTGCTGCGTACAGTTGCCTTTCCTACTCAACTTACACAATATACAGTATATATTTTTAAGGGCCTATGTTATACCAGGCTTTGTTCTAGGCAATGTGAAGAAAACACAATAATTCCTACCCTGAAAGTGTTTTGCTTTTTCTGGGGGAACAGTTGATTAACAAGGAAAATGCCAAAGGGACAATTACTATGGGAAAAAATTGGCGTGAAAAGAGAAAGTATGGTTGGTGAGGTACAATTTGAAATAGAGTAGTCACAGAAGACCTTATTTAGAAAGCAAAGACATGACATAAGTGAGTGAGATATGGGGATAGCTAAAAAAATAGATCAGTCTTGGAATATCAGATGAAAATATCCAGAGGTGGGAGCTTAACAGATTTATTCTTGGAAGAGCAAGGAGGCAACGGCACTGGAGGCCAAAATTGTAGGTGATACAAGTAAGGAGGAGGAGAGCTCACGTTGTATTGCCTTTTTACTGTGAGTGAGACAAGAAGCCAAGAGATCTTTGAAAGGAAGAAACGGTGACCAAAACTATAATTTAGAAGTATACCTATGGTGGTTGCACTGAGAACACATTTACCTTGCATTAGAAGGTAATGAGATGTTTTTGGTAAACCAAAATAGCTCCAGACAAAAGCCTAATACAAAGGCAAACCAGACCCTGAGAAAATGGGGAACCTAAGCAGGAGATGTTGGTTCAATCACTAAAGGTTCTTGGGAGTGAGATATTTCTAGGCCAACATGCTATCCTGGAAGTCCATGGAATACAGTCAAAAATATGATCTATTTCCTTGACAGTGAGCATGAGAATGTACTATGTTTTAGGTAGATTCCTAGAAGGCAATAGCACCTGGAAGTTCATAAATAACTGTGCAGGACTAGTTATAATTCTGACCCCAGATTCCAAAAATGAATGGCAATATTCAACTTCAGTCCACTGATCTCTCTGAATTTTATGCTTCAGAATCCCCCTTTGGATTTAGTAATCTCCGGTAACTCCTGGATAATTTTAGGTGGGGAAAGACTAGCAATTCAATACCTGCAAAGGGATGAGGTCCTTAAGGAAATTGGGGAAGGTATTAAAATACATATGTTATTTAAATTGGTAATGCAGTAAATTCAGGTGATACACCGTGATGCATTTCATCACTCCATTAAAATTCTATTTTTACTCTCTATAAAACATTAATATAAGAATACTAATATATAAATTATAAATAGATGGAAGCAGAGGCTTGGTATACAATGTTTTGAAGTCAAATCTATATCAATACACTTTTTTTTGGAGACATGGTCTCACTCTGTTGCCTAGGCTGAGTGCAGTGGTGTGATCACAGCTCACTACAGCCTTCATCTCCCTGGCTCAAGCGATCCTCCCACCTAAGTCTCCCAAGTAGCTTAGACCACAGGACCACAGGAATGTACCACACCTTGCTCATTTTTTATTTTTATTTTTTTGGAGAGATGGGACTTTTCTATGTTGCCAGGCTGGTCTTTAAGTCCTAGGCTCAAGAAATACTCCTGCCTTGGCCTCCCAAAGTCCTGGCATTGCAGGCATGATGTACCACACCCAACCAACAATGGACTTTTGTCTGTGTATGAGTCCTCGCCTAATTGTGTGAGTCCTAGCCTAATTGTGTGACCTTGGGCAAGACATAGAGCCTCCTTGAGCCTCCATTATCTCATATGCAAACTAATATTTTAAGGTATGATGAATATTATATTTTAAAATCTGTTTGAAAATATGTTGCAAACTGTAAAATTCCAGAAATATTGTAAAGAAGCAGGGAAATACTCTACAAGTTTTTAATTTTATACTTTCCCTACTAAGCATTTATTTCTACTATGGGGATTAAATATTAGTATATTTTCTATTCTTATACCTGATGGTTTTTCTTGTTTTGGTGAAGTTACAAAGAAGGAATAAACAACAAAAAAATTAAAGATAGGAAGAGAAAGCAAGGGCAATTATTTGATTGTTATAATCAAGTGAGTGATTTAGGCCCCAATTATAAGCAGAAAAGTTTCCCCCTGAACTTCAGGTTTCTCTCAAAAACTCCTGTAGCTTCTCTGGCACATACAATTAAGAGGAAGAAACATCACATTTCTGGTTTATAAAGTAAAACCTGAGAACCAGTGACTTAAATTGCGTGTTAGGGGCAGCAGATTCTTTACAGCTGAACAATGTACTACTTGAATCATTAAGGATGATACTGGACATATAATATAGGGTTTTGTTTACCATCATCCTATTTCAAAAACATCATCCTCCCATCTCAAAACATATGCTATTGCTTAAATGCTTGGCAGCTCCCATTATTTTTAGATCTTTTTTCTTCCTTTTCCCAAGTTTATAGATTTTCTGTTTACTAGAGACATTTAAGAAGTTCTGATTACTGCTGTGTAACAAACCACTTGAAACTTAGTGGCATAAAGTATCATTAATTTTATGCCCATGGATTCGGTAGGTTAGAAATTCAAGGCACAGCTGGGAAATCTGTGCCTTGAGCTTACAGCTCTCTATGAAGTCTGGGGCTTCAGCTGGGATGTTGTGATACTGTGATGACTCAAATGGCTAAGAATTGGAATCTTCATCAGAATCCCATAACAGGCTGGACTGGATTGGGACTGTGGACCCACACGAGAGCTTTATTGGTAGCTAGGATTTTTACAGCAGAGCAGCTGGATTCCAAGGGTAAGCTTCTGCAGAGGAAATGTGGAAAGAACCAGGAGGAAGTTGTATGAACTTGAATGACCTAAACTCAGAAGTCAATAACCTTTCTTTATTAATTGGAGCAGTCACAATCTTACCATGATTCAAAGGGACAGGTCATAGACCTTGCCTCTTGATGAGAGAAGTGTCAAAAATTTGTAGCCATTTAAAAAGTCCCCATAAATATATACACTTATTATGTACCCACAAAAATTTTAATAAATACATAATTAAGTACATTAAAAAGTTACCGCATAAACTATATATTTTCATGCGCGTTCGTGTGAAGAGACCACCAAACAGGCTTTGTGTGAGCAACATGGCTGTTTATTTCACCTGGGTGCAGGCGGGCTGAGTCCGAAAAGAGAGTCAGCAGAGGGAGATAGGGGTGGGGCCGTTTTATAGGCTTTGGGAAGGTAATGGAAAATTACAGTCAAAGGGGGTTGTTCTCTGGTGGACAGGGGCAGGGGTCGCAAGGTGCTCAGTGGGGGTGCTTTTTGAGCCAGGATGAGCCAGGAAAAGGACTTTCACAAGGTAATGTCATCACTTAAAGCAAGGACAGGCCATTTACACTTCTTTTGTGGTGGAATGTTATCAGTTAAGGCGGGGCAGGGCATATTCACTTCTTTTGTGATTCTTCAGTTACTTCAGGCCATCTGGGCGTATACGTACGTGGAAGTCACAGGGGATGTGATGGCTTGGCTTGGGCTCAGAGGCCTGACATTCCTGCCTTCTTATATTAATAAGAAAAATAAAACAAAATGGTGTTGAAATGTTGGGGTGGCAAAAATTTTTGGGGGGTGGTATGGAGAGAGAATGGGCGATGTTTCTCAGGGCTGCTTCAAGCAGGATTAGGGGCGGCGTGGGAACATAGAGTGGGAGAGATTAAGCTGAAGGGAGGTCTTGTGGTAAGGGGTGATATCGTGGGGATGTTAGAAGAAACATTTGTCATATAGAATGATTGATGATGGCCTGGATATGGTTTTGGATGAATTGAGAAACTAAATGGAATAACAGAAGGAGAAAAACAGGTATAAAAGGTCTAAGAATTGGGACGACTCCGGATATCTGATTAGAGAGTGCCTAAGGAGATTCAGCACAGTCCTGCCAGCAAAGATTATTTATTTACTTCAAGAGTTAAGAGTGGCAGTTTGGGGATAGCACCAGGAGATATCAGCTGCGATGGCTTGGAAAAACAGTGTAAACCGGCAGTGTAAACCAGAGCAGGGCATGTATGAGTTAGTTGAGAATGGTGAATAGGAATATGACTAGACAGAAGATAGTAGGGATGACAAATTTTTTTTTTTTGAGGGGGGGCACAGTCTAAGTTGGTCTAGTGTCCGGAATGAGACTGGGGCCTAACAAAAAGGAGTATCCATACAGGAGCTCAAATGGGCTGTACCCTGTAGCATTCCGAGGACAGGCCTGAATTCTGAGAAGGGAAAGTGGTAAAAGTATTGTCCAGTCCTTTTTAAGTTGGTGGCTGAGCTTGGTGAGGTGTGTTTTTATTTTTTTATTTTTATTTTTTTTTTATTTTTATTTTTTAATTTATTTTTTTATTGATAATTCTTGGGTGTTTCTCACAGAGGGGGATTTGGCAGGGTCATGGGACAATAGTGGAGGGAAGGTCAGCAGATAAACAAGTGAACAAAGGTCTCTGGTTTTCCTAGGCAGAGGACCCTGCGGCCTTCCGCAGTGTTTGTGTCTCTGATTACTTGAGATTAGGGATTGGTGATGACTCTTAACGAGCATGCTGCCTTCAAGCATCTGTTTAACAAAGCACATCTTGCACCGCCCTTAATCCATTTAACCCTGAGTGGACACAGCACATGTTTCAGAGAGCACAGGGTTGGGGGTAAGGTCACAGATCAACAGGATCCCAAGACAGAGGAATTTTTCTTAGTGCAGAACAAAATGAAAAGTCTCCCATGTCTACTTCTTTCTACACAGACACGGCAACCATCCGATTTCTCAATCTTTTCCCCGCCTTTCCCGCCTTTCTATTCCACAAGGCCACCATTGTCATCCTGGCCCGTTCTCAATGAGCTGTTGGGCACACCTCCCAGACGGGGCGGCTGGCCGGGCGGGGGGCTGACCCCCCCACCTCCCTCCCGGATGGGGCGGCTGGTTGGGCGGGGGGCCGACCCCCCCACCTCCCTCCCGGACGGGGCGGCTGGCCGGGCAGAGGGGCTCCTCACTTCCCAGTAGGGGCGGCCGGGCAGAGGCGCCCCTCACCTCCCAGACGGGGCGGCTGGCCGGGCGGAGGGCTGACCCCCCCACCTCCCTCCCGGACAGGGCGGCTGGCCGGGCGGGGGGCTGACCCCCCCACCTCCCTCCCGGACGGGGCGGCTGGCCGGGCAGAGGGGCTCCTCACTTCCCAGTAGGGGCGGCCGGGCAGAGGCGCCCCTCACCTCCCAGACGGGGCGGCTGGCCGGGCGGGGGGCTGACCCCCCCACCTCCCTCCCGGATGGGGCGGCTGGCCAGGCGGGGGGCTGACCCCCCCCACCTCCCTCCCGGACGGGGTGGCTGCTGGGCGGAGATGCTCCTCACTTCCCAGATGGGGTGGCTGCCGGGCGGAGAGGCTCCTCACTTCTCAGACGGGGCGGCTGCCGGGCGGAGGGGCTCCTCACTTCTCAGACGGGGTGGTTGCCAGGCAGAGGGTCTCCTCACTTCTCAGACGGGGCGGCCGGGCAGAGACGCTCCTCACCTCCCAGACGGGGTCTCGGCCGGGCAGAGGCGCTCCTCACATCCCAGATGGGGCAGCGGGGCAGAGGCGCTCCCCACATCTCAGACGATGGGCGGCCGGGCAGAGACGCTCCTCACTTCCTAGATGTGATGGCGGCTGGGAAGAGGTGCTCCTCACTTCCTAGGGAGACGCTCCTCACTTTCCAGACTGGGCAGCCAGGCAGAGGGGCTCCTCACATCCCAGACGATGGGCGGCCAGGCAGAGACACTCCTCACTTCCCAGACGGGGTGGCGGCCGGGCAGAGGCTGCAATCTCGGCACTTTGGGAGGCCAAGGCAGGCGGCTGTGAGGTGTAGGTTGTAGTGAGCCGAGATCACACCACTGCACTCCAGCCTGGGCACCATTGAGCACTGAGTGAACGAGACTCCGTCTGCAATCCCGGCACCTCGGGAGGCCGAGGTTGGCGGATCACTCGCGGTTAGGGGCTGGAGACTGGCCCGGCCAACACAGTGAAACCCCGTCTCCACCAAAACCAGTCAGGCGTGGCGGCGCGTGCCTGCAATCGCAGGCACTCAGCAGACTGAGGCAGGAGAATCAGGCAGGGAGGATGCAGTGAGCCGAGATGGCAGCAGTACAGTCCAGCTTCGGCTCCGCATGAGAGGGAGACCGTGGGGAGAGGGAGAGGGAGAGGGAGAGGGAGAGGGCTGAGGTGTGTTTTTAAAAGACCTTTAGTCCATTCTACTTTTCTTGAAGATGGAGGACCCTAAGGGATATAAAGGTTTCACTGAATACTAAGAGCCTGAAAAACTGCTTGGCGGATTTGACTAATAAAGGCTCGTCTGTTATCAGACTGTATTGAGGTGGGAAGGCTAAACTGAGGTATTATGTCTGACAGAAGGGAAGAAATGACTGCAGTGGCCTTCTCAGACCCTGTAGGAAAGGCCTCTACCTATCCAGTGAAAGTATCTACCTAGACTAAGAGGTATTTTAGTTATCTGACTCGGGGCATGTTGAGTAAAGCTAATTTGCCAGTCCTGGGTGGGGCAAATCCTCGAGCTTGATGTGTAGGGAAGGGAGGGGGCCTGAATAATCCCTGAGGAGTAGTAGAATAGCAGATGGAACACTGAGAAGTTATTTCCTTAAGGATAGATTTCCACGATGGAAAGGAAATGAGAGGTTCTAAGAGGCGGGCTAGTGGCTTGTACTATAGCATAACCTGCCTTTGCTGGTGTGTGGCGATTAGGCCTGGTGGAACCGCCATCAATAAATCAAGTGTGATCAGGGTGAGGAACAGGAAAGAAGGAAATTTGGGGAAATGAGATGAATGTCAGGTGGATCAGACAGATACAGTCATGGGGGTCAGGTGTGGTATCAGGAATAATGTGGGAGGCCAGATTGAAGTCTGGGCCAGGAACAACAGTAATTGTGGGAGACTCAGCAAAGAGTGAGTACAGCTGAAGGAGCCGGGAAGCAGAAAGTATATGTGTCAGGTATGAGGAAGAAAATAGATTTTGGAAGTTACGAGAACTATAGAGAGTGAGTTGAGCATAGTTTGTGATTTTGAGGGCCTCTAAAAGTATTAATGCAGTGGCAGCCGCTGCACGCAGACATGAGGGCTAGGCTAAAACAGTAAGGTCAAGTTGTTTGGACCGAAAGGCTACAGGGTGTGGTCCTGGTTCTTGTGTAAGAATTCTGACCGCGCTAACCATGCCTAGGAAGGAAAGGAGTTGTTGTTTTGTAGAAGGTGCTGGGGTTTGAGAGATCAGTCAGACACGATTGGCAGGGAGAACACGTGTGTTTTTATGAGAATTATGCCGAGATAGGTAACAGATGAGGAAGAAATTTGGGCTTGATTGAAGTAATGGGGGCTGTCTGTGAAGCTTTGTGGCAGTACAGCCTAGGTAATTTGCTGAGCTTGATGGGTGTCAGGGTCAGTCCAAGTGAAAGCGAAGAGAGGCTGGGATTAAGGGTGCAAAGGAATAGTAAAGAAAGCATGTTTGAGATCCAGAACAGAATAATGGGTTGTAGAGGCAGGTTTTGAGGATAGGAGAGTATATGGGTTTGGCACCACGGGGTGGATAGGCAAAACAATTTGGTTGATAAGGCGTAGATCTTGAACTAACATGTAAGGCTTGTCTGGTTTTAGATCAGGTAAAATGGGGGAATTGTAAGGAGAGTTTATAGGCTTTAAAAGGCCGTGCTGTAGCAGGTGAGTGATAACAGGCTTTAATCTTTTTAAAGCGTGCTGCAGGATGGGATATTGGCGTTGAGTGGGGTAAGGGTGATTAGTTTTTAATGAGATGGTAAGGGGTGCATGATCGGTCGCCAAGGAGGGAGTAGAGGTATCCATACATGTGGGTTAAGGTGGGGGGATACAAGAGGAGGATGTAAAGGAGGCTTTGGATTGGGAAGAAGGGTGGCAATGAGATATAGCTGTAGTCCAGGAATAGTCAGGGAAGCAGAAAATTTAGTTAAAGTATCTCAGCCTAATAAGGGAACTGGGCAGGTGGGGATAACTAAAAGGAGTGCTTAAAGAAGTATTGTCTAAGTTGGCACCAGAGTTGGGGAGTTTTAAGAGGTTTAGAAGCCTGGCCATCAATACCCACAACAGTTATGGAGGCAAGGGAAATAGGCCCTTGAAAAGAAGGTAATGTGGAGTGGGTAGCCTCCGTATTGATTAAGAAGGGGACGGGCTTACCTTCCACTGTGAGAGTTACCCGAAGCTTGGCATCCGTGATGGTCCAGGGGGCTTCCGAGGCGATCGGGCAGTGTCAGTCTTCAGCTGCTAAGCCAAGAAGATCTGGGAAGGAGTCAGTCAGAGAGCTTTGGGCCAGAGTTCCAGGGGCTCTGGGAGTGGCTGCCAGGTGAGTTGAACGGTCCGATTTTCAGTGGGGTCCCACACAGTTGGGACGTGGCTTAGGAGGAATCCCGGGCTGCGGGCATTCCTTGGCCCAGTGGCCAGATTTCCGGCATATGTAGCAAGCTCCTGGGGGAGGAGGTTCTGGAGGAATGCCTGGCCGCTGCGGTTCAGGCGTTTGGAAGTTCTTGTGTGCTGGAGATGTGGCTGGGGTTTGTCTCACAGTGGAGGCAAGGAATTGCAACTTTGTTCTATTATTGTACACCTTGAAGGTGAGGTTAATTATATCCTGTTGTGGTGTTTGAGGGCCGGAATTTAATTTTTGGAGTTTTATTTAATGTTGGGAGCAGATTGGGTAATAAAATGTATTTTGAGAATAAGACGGCCTTTTGACTTTTTAGGGTCTAGGGCTGTAAAGTGTCTCAGGGTTGCTGTCAAACAAGTCATGAACTGGGCTGGATTTTTATATTTGATGAAAAAGAGCCTAAACGCTATCTGATTTGGGATAAAGAAAAAGGAGCATTAACCTTGACTATGCCTTTAGCTCCAGCCACCTTTTTAAGAGTAAATTGCTGGGCAGGAGAGGGAGGGTTAGTCACGGAACGAAACTGTAAGCCGGACCAGGTGTGAGGAGGGGAGGTGATAAAAAGATTATAGGGTGGAGGAGCAGAGGCTGAGGAAGAATTGGGACTTAGCTCGGCCTGGCGAGGAGCAGCCTGGGGAGGAAGGGAGAGGTCAGATGGGTCTGTAGAAAAGGAAGATTAGAAAGACTCAGCGATGCTTGGGGTTGGTACTGAGGGGACAGGCAGGAGGGAAAGAAGGAAGATTTGGGACGAGTTGCACTGGGCACAGAGACTAGGAAGAGACTGATGTGTAAAAGAATGCCTGGACGTCAGGCACCTCAGACCGTTTGCCTATTTTACGACAAGAATTATTTAGATCTTGCAGGATGGAAAAATTCAAAGTGCCATTTTCTGGCTATTTGGAACTACTGTCCAGTTTGTATTGGGGTCAAGTGGCATTGCAGAAGAAAATAAGGCAGTTAGGTTTTAGGTCAGGTGTGAGTTGAAGAGGTTTTAAGTTTTTGAGAACACAGGCCAAGGGAGTAGAAGGGGAAATGGAGGGTGGAAGTTTGCCTATAGTGAAGGAAGCAAGCCTAGAGAAAAGAGAGAGTAGAGAAAGGGGGGAAGGGGTTTGGGGGTTCTTACCTTCCAGAAAAGTGGGAAAAGGGGTTGGGGCACAGAGATAAGAGGTCGGGGTGTGGAAATAAGGGATGGGGCACAGAAATAAGGGGTCGGGGCACAGAAATAAGGGGTAGGGTCATGGAAATAAGGGGTCGGGTCATGGAAATAAGGGATTGGGGCACAGAGATATGAGGTTGGGGTACTTGCCCCTCCTCTAGAAAAGTGGGACTTGCCGCTAAGGGTGAAGGAGAAGGGGTTGAGGGGTACTTGCCCCTCCCCCAGAAAAGCAGAGAAGGGGTAGAGACGAGAGAAGGGGTTGGGGTACTTGCCCCTTTCCCAGAAAAGTGGGACTTGCCGCTAAGGGTGAAGGACCAAGGCAGGCGTCCCTGCGTGGTCTGACACCTTTGAAACGTGGGTGAATAATCAGAGAGGCGTCCCTCCCTGCAATGATTAAACACCAAGGGAAGGCTGCCTTCCCAGTCCGTGACCGGCACCAGAGTTTTGGGTCCACGGATAAAACGTGTCTCCTTTGTCTCTCCCAGAATATGAAAGGAATTGAAATTAAGAGAAGGGAGAGATTGAAGAGTGGAAAGGAGAAAGTAGTTGAGGGACAGTGAGAGAGGTTGGAGAAGAGAGTAAGAGGCTGCTTACCTGATTTAAAATTGGTGAGATGTTCCTTGGGCTGGTCGGTCTGAGGACCTGAGGTCATAGGTGGATCTTTCTCACGGAGCAAAGAACAGGAGGATAGGGGATTGATCTCCCAAGGGAGGTCCCCCCCCCAATCCGAGTCACGGCACCAAATTTCATGCACGTCCGTGTGAAGAGACCACCAAACAGGCTTTGTGTGAGCAACATGGCTGTTTATTTCACCTGGGTGCAGGCGGGCTGAGTCCAAAAAGAGAGTCAGCAGAGGGAGATAGGGGTTGGGGCCGTTTTATAGGATTTGGGAAGGTAATGGAAAATTACAGTCAAAGGGGGTTGTTCTCTGGTGGGCAGGGGTGGGGGTCGCAAGGTGCTCAGTGGGGGTGTTTTTTGAGCCAGGATGAGCCAGGAAAAGGACTTTCACAAGGTAATGTCATCACTTAAAGCAAGGACAGGCCATTTACACTTTTGTGGTGGAATGTCATCAGTTAAGGCAGGGCAGGGCATATTCACTTCTTTTGTGATTCTTCAGTTACTTCAGGCCATCTGGGCGTATACATGCAAGTCACAGGGGATGTGATGGCTTGGCTTGGGCTCAGAGGCCTGACATATATAAGGGCTAAATACAGAGCACAGACTAATTGCTAAATGTATGAGTGAGGAGGTGTGTGTTTTATTCACTGTTGGTTGCTTTCTCATCATTCATTCTCTTCAACAAACATTCCACATACTTCAAGGGTAACAGATAAGTCCATTCCAGTAGAGGACCTGATGGGTCTAAGGGAACACAGGCTTAGCCAAACAGTATATGGTGTTCTCTGGACACAGAATTAGTCCTGCAAAGAGCATGCATAACAATTCAGATGACTGGTATGCATTTTCAGAGACTGTTCAGAAGCTATCTAGCTTTTGTCGCTATGCCTCTGAATATCATCGCATGTGGCTTGAGACTGATCAGTGGTCTGTTGCAGCCATATTGATAACAGCTTGAGAAGGAAAGCAACATGGGGAGCCAAGTAGAGCAAAGAGATTCACAAACAAATGGAGGCAGAGCCTTGACTGAACCAAGTCTGCTCAGAGCCCTTTTGTTGTACTTCTCAGTTCCTGACCCCATAAATTAGCTACCCTGACTTGCTTAGCTACACTGACTTGGATTTTATGTGTTTTGTTACAATCTGTGTTCAGAAGCATTGTTACTGACACAGTCTACATAAAAGAGATAAATTAAATGTAAAGGGAAATGATTTAGTCTCCAATCCTCTTAAAGTATTTTATCACGTAATCCTTTTATGCTTTTATTGATTATCTCTTTAGATTTGTGTGATTCTAAAACTGTTTTAGTTGGAGAATGATGGAAATTGAATAAAAACAAATAATCCAAATCACATTTCTCAAACATAATTAATAACTGGCCTTTTTGTTTATCTAAATTTACCTTAATTTTAAAATGTATTCTACATGCTTTTTTAAGTAGAAGGGAGTATAATTTTGAGACAGGAAAGCTTTTTATGTTATAAATTAATTGATGACTTTTTCAGCCTTCATAATCCAAACAGAACATGTCTTCAATTCCTGTTTGGAGTTTCCACAAACTTCTTTATTGCTGCCTAAATGCTTCTGTTACATTGTTTACATTGTTATGTATGTCTGCCTCCCATTATGTTGTGAGCACTCCCAGAGTTTATCTTAGCTCGTTCACTGTGAGCACTCCCAGAGTTTATCTTAGTTACTAGCATGTAATGAATGCTCAATAGATTGCTGAATCAATGAATGAATACCCAGATGGAAATCAGAGTAAAGAGTATGAGAAAAAGGTGATGAGTAAATTAATTAAACTCTTTTGATTATGTTGCAGTGTGACTAATTTTTTAGAATAGTTCAGTAGTCATATTTTTGGCACTATATTATAGGGCAGAATGCTGTTTATTCAAAATGATTGTTTAATTATGCACACTTGAAACATGTGCAGCTTAATTAACAATTGATCTTAAATCATCCAGATAAATATATTAACTTTTGAATATATGTTAATCCTATGCATAGGTACATTATTAATCTAAGCAACTTAATAGTTTTCTTGAATTATTTTTCTCCAAAGTACTACAAGCATAGTACTTTTAAATGATAAGGTATTATTATAAATGTATTAGCTCATTTTAAAAAGTCAGATTTAAAAAAAATGTTAAAACCTCTCCAAAATATTTTGCTTTCCCATAGAGAGAGGCATAAGTGGGATCGATGAGATTGCTGGGTTTGGCAATGCAATTAAAAATTCTGACTTAAGAAGCAATGTTCCATAACCTTGAAAAACTTCTCAAGTTCTTTTTCGATAAAATGAAGGTAAGTATACTTGGAAGGTTAAATTGCTTTTAAGTCAAATTGTTAAAATTCTCTAATATTAGGAATATTAATATGGGATTGTATATCTTATATGCAAATAAATGCACATTTGCAATGCTTGGAAATTATCATTTGTAATTTCTTATTTTTAAAAGTGGTCTTTGGAAGCCTAAACAATATTTAAAAACTTACATATTAATGAATGATGATAGTGCTTTTAAATATTTGGCAAAAGCACCTTTAGCATCTATCTCTCTCCCTGTTGCCAACACGGACACTTTTTCTTTTTCACATTTCAGTTATAATTAATTTAAGAATGGAAGTTGGTTATTGTTTTAACGTTTGTTAACTTGATTTTCATTCTTGAAGGACAGTTTGTTTTTAATTTGATTGTAAATTGATATTATAATTGTATATATTTATGGAATACAAAGCTATGATATATATGTATAATGTGAAATGATTAAATCAAGCTAATTAACACATCCATCACCTCAACTACTTATTTTCTGTGGTGAGGACATGTTATTTGTTTGTTTTTTAAGTTTTAATTTTTGGAAAGAGTGCTAGACTTGAAACAATATCCACACTCTATTTGTATTTCTGTATTGTGAATTTCAGCAATTTTCCTAGTCTTTGAAAATATTACTTTCTTCATCTATCCAAATAGATTAAGACTAGACATTCCACATCAATTTTTGCTAAGATTTAATCTGATTGTATGTTGAAATTATAGCAGGTACGGAATAAATAACCAATTTTTTTAGTAATCCATTTCTTCATCACTTACTTCCTATGGTATTCCACACAGTAGCTTTTCCAAATGCCTTTCATGTTCCAAGCCCTTAAAGACATGTTGCATAATTTTGTCTTGTAGGTTTGAAAACAAAAACAGGTATAAAGCCCCACCTACTTCATTTACTCTATTTTTACTTCCCCACCACAATCACAGACACACACACACATAAACACTCACTTTTATACACCAAGAGAAGAGGCATTTTAGAGAGATGACTTGTGCATAACTTCTACAGAGAACAGGTAGGTAATATATTGAATACATAGTATCTATACTCCCTCATTGTGGAAAATATAAGGCCTATTAATAAATAGGCATTCCATATAAAAACTCAGGTTTTTATTAGGCTGGTTTTAAAAGACGCCCCTTCCTGATGTTGAGGGCTACTCTGGCCACCAGGTGAGGGCAAATGCTTCTGCAGGGCCTCTGTTTATGTCATAATTTAAGTCATCTCAAATCAGGCATGTCAGTACCATTCTGGTAGCATAACCTCACTCAATCCTATGAAAAAAATGTCTGCCATTATAAGCAATCAGCTAACAATTTGCTGTGTAAATACCTCTGTTACATTGTTTACAGTGTTGTACATGTCTTTGATATGGCTTGGCTGTGTCCCTACCCAAATCTCATCTTGAACTGTAGTCCCTATAATCCCCCTGTGTTGTAGGAGGGATCCGGTGGGAGGTAATTAAATCATGGTGGTGGTGACCCTCATGCTGCTCATGCTGTTCTCCTGATAGTGAGTTAGTTCTCATGAGATTTGTTGGTTTTATAAGGGGCTTCTCCCTTTGCTGGGCTCTCATTCTTCTCACTCCTACCACCATGTGAAGAAGTACGTGTTTGCCTCCCCTTCTGCCATGATTGTAAGTTTCCTAAGGCTTCCCCAGCCATGCAGAACTGTCAATTAAACCTCTTTCCTTTATAAATTACCCAGCGTCAGGTATTCCTTCATAGTAGTGTGAAAATGAACTAATACAGTCTGCCTCCCATTACATTGTGAGCACTTCTAGAGTTTATCTTAGTTTCTAGCACATAGTAGATCTCAATAGATTGCACTCTTCTGGAACCAGAAGGCCAGCTACAGGGTCCCAGGAGTACCCCACAGGTATTTATTCTGAATTGTGCAGCTCCTCAAATATTAATCCCATATGCAGGGGGCCTGGGCCTACATTAGTCCTCCTCCAGGCTCCAGTACCCAGTCCTATTGGCACTGCCTTCCCAGGCCCATCTCAGGCACCAGAGGAGGACTTGAAAGTTTCAAGGAAGGCAGGCCAAAGTACAGGTACTGGGCAGGAAAAGAAGCCCTACTTGCCCAGGTTACTTTTTTAAATTTCTGAAGCTGAGCAGGCTATAAAAGTAACTTGAACCAGAGGCATTAAAAGCTGTTTTACTCAAAGTTGAAGAGCTCAGAGTTTTTCCCAAACAGAAAGAGAATTTCTGAAAGAGGGAAGATTAACTTAGATGTGGAGCTAGTGATTTATGTCAAAGATTTGAATTTTAAAAAGAAGTACCTGTATTAGGCAGTTCAAGCTTCTGTAACGAAGTCCCATAGACAGGGTGGCTTGTAAACAAGAGAAATGTATTTCTCACAGTTTTGGAAGCTGGAAGTCCAAGATCACAGGGCTAGCATAGCTGACTTCTGGTGATAGCCCTCTTCTGGGTTGCAGACTGCTGACATTTCCTTGTTTCATTGCAGGAAGAAGAAAGAGCTCTCTAGGGTTGCTTTTGTTTGTTTGTTTGTTTGTTGTTGTTGTTGTTTTTTATAAGAGCACTAATCCTATTCATGAAGCCTCCACCATCAAAACCTAGTTACCTCCCAAACGCCCCACATCCTAAAACCATCACATTGGGGGTTAGAATTTTAACATATGAATTCAGGGAGGACATAAACATTCAGTCCCTAACAGTATCCAATCTATGTAAATATAATGAGTCCAATATAAGGCAATGGGATTGTATACATGTTACTTTTTAATGTAATTTTCATTGAATTTAAAAACTTTGTGTGTCACTGTGAAATGCTACCAATTTTTGTCATGATATAATGTCTCAACGATAGTTTTGCAAAACACATAAATTGGTTACACCATGCTCAACTTTGCTTGAAACTTTTTTTCACTTTATTTTGAGGAATTTCATAATTTTACTGGCCTTCAATAACATTGTATATGTGTGTGTGCATATATGTGTGTGTTGGAAGGCACAACTTGAATTACTGTGGATATTTTACTTTCTGTGGTACTGTAAAGCTTGTTGCTTTGCCAGAAAATGCGTAACTGGTTATTCCTCTAAGGATCCAAGTCACATCTCAATGGTGTTTCTCCATGCTTTTTGCTCGTTTTGTTTCAATGCTAATACTGTAAAAAAATTTTCAAAATATGTTAAATGTCAATTAAATTCAACACCTATAGTACCAGAAATTGATAACTGGTAAAAACTCCACCAATGTGAAAGTAATTTGAATACCTATAACTAACTTCATATGTGTACATTATGAAGGAAAATTTATCTTAAATCTGAAAAATGGTAAATTAATGATTGCTTGATTTTTATTACCATACTAAAACATTTTCCAATAATCCTGCCAGCAATAGATGCCTTTGAGGTTTTGCTAGGGCCAAAAGTTCCCTTTGATCCCAGACTCACCTCATTTTGGCACCTTCCCAACTCAACTACCTGCCATGTGCATGTCTTCTTTCTGCCTTAGGGTCTTCCATTCACACTTGGTCTGCTCACTAGTACCGGGAAGTGAAATCCCCTGCCCCGCCTGCAGCCTGAAACCTTCAGCTAATGGGGAATAATTTTGGGCTACTGTCCTTCAGTGAAAAGTTCTGTTAGGCATTCTGTGTGCTCCTGGGAAGAGCCGGTAGAGTACCTGGTAGAGGCACCTTCACCTACTTTGAAGGATCTATATTGAATTTTATTCCCCTCACACTCCCACTTCCTGGGATTCTATCCCAAATAAACTGTTTGCATCCAAGTCTTTGTCGCAGGCTCTGCTTCTGGGGAAACATGAACAAGAGTAAGTCACTGTCGAACCTTTATCTGATTCTCCTGAGTGAATGTAAATTACCAAGGTATATTTTCGACAGATAATTTCCAAATGATAAAGGTGGCCGACTTCAGACTTCCTGTAGTCTTGAAGGTTAATGGTTATTTAACCTAAAGAAAAAGATAGATGTCATGACTCTCTAGCCCAGTAAAAATTAGTATCATGTTTGTATTGCCCTGTAGAAAGTTTACTAACTCGGCTGGGTGCGGTGGCTCACGCTTGTAATCATCTCAGCACTTTGGGAGGCTGATGTGGGTGGATTGCCTGAGGTCAGGAGTTCAAGACTAGCCAGGCCAACATGGTGAAACCCCGTATCTACTAAAAATACAAAAATTAGCCGGGCATGGTGGCGGGCACCTATAATCCCAGCGGCTCAGAAGGCTGAGACAGGGAGAATTGCTTGAACCCGGGAGGTGGGGGGTTGCAGTGAACCAAGATCATGCCATTGCACTCCAGCCTGGGTGACAGAGTGAGACTGTCTTAAAGAAAAAAAAAAAAGAAAAAGAAAAAAAAGAAAGTTTACTAACTCAGCCATCATAGTTAAGTTTCTTTCACAGCTGCCATTTGACTGCTCTTTGTCTTTCTGCTGTTTACTGTATTAACGAGGTAAACAAAAGTTTGATGCATGCTCTGTTTCTTTGAGGCTTATGTTTTTAAACAGCGAGCAATGAAAAGGTGAAAGTGATTGTGAGACACTAATGCCTATAAGATTCATTTCAGTTTCAGCTGTACTACGATGAAACTTATCTTTGAGTTGTTAGGGTGGTAGCTACCAAACTATTTTTAACATAAATAGGATTGCCTCCAAAATGCAAATTATTAGGCTCTTTTCTTCAAAACTGCAGAAGTTGCTCTCACCCCTTCCCTCAACCAACACACAGTCCAAATGCAGCAAGCAGTTTAGGGGCCATTGTAGTATCTTGTGAGACCCCAAGGAAGTCTCAAGTCCTTAGAGCCCCAGCATGGCACAGAAGAGCATATGGAACTCTCCTTCCTTACTCTTTACACCCACCCTACATTGAAGGACTTAGAAGTATCAGGAGAGGATCAATGGATAATAAGAGGCATTAAGGTTGGGAGAAGAGGATACAGAGTAAAGTTCTGACAAAAATGAAGATCATTTAATGAAACTTGGCCAACAGCAATCCCCAAAGCCGCCTGCTTCCTGACCACCCACACATTCTACACATGGGGACAGCTCTGAAATTCAGATGTCACTGTGTGCAAAGAAGAAATCCAGACTATATATGAAATAATCAAAAAAGCCAGGTATCGTCGATTTCACCTGGAATTAAGATTATATCTTCTGCCACTAGGCAGAATAGCAGCCCAAAATAAACAACGAGTTTAATTGTTGAGAACTCCTGTCTGTACCCACGAATTGTGAAATGTGTGCTGCAGACACCATAACACCACCCGCTGTGTGGCCCTCGAATTCAAGAGCAACAAAACAAACAAAAACACCAATTATTTATTCCACAATTAGGAATTTCACAGTGAATTTTACTCACCGGAAATGAAACCACCCTCATCCTGGTACCACACTTATTCTTTGACTTTCGTGCAAATACTCAGAAACAAACTAGGTATGAAAAGCAGGGATTGCATGTGTAATGAATTTCAGTCCATAAATATAACAATATCTTGTATCATTGATGGAGTTTACAGAGTCCATATCATACACATTAACTCACTGAATCATGACAACGGCTCCATGAGGTAGGTATTATTGAATTTACAGGTGAAGTACCTGAGACTTAGAGGTTAAGTAACATCTCCGAGGAAACACAGCTGTGACAAAACTGCGACTCAAACCCAGGTCCTCTGATATACAGAATCGGTATGTATTATCACATATTATAAATAAAGAGAGAGACTAACTTATATTTATAGTCAACTCACCAGGGGTAAGAGAGAAATTACGTCACTACACATGTCCCTCTAATTTTTCCTTAAAGTAGCTTTTAGAAATTGACTTCTTGACCTGTGGACCTGTTCATCTTTAAGTAGATGCTGGTGATTACTTCATTTTTATAAAATTAAATTTCAGATTAAACCCCTTTTTTTCACTGTTTTCCCTCATATTTTCAAATTCTGATAAACACAAAATTTAGGTAGAAGAGCAATATATATGTGAAAGGGAAAAAACCTACATCAGATTCTGTTGCTCTTGGAACTTCCAAGACATGGTGCCCATATTGTTCATCTAAAGTTGAATACCTGGATACACTAACTAACTTTAATAATGTATAACCTGGTATATGATAGGTATTGTTAAAATTTTACGTGAATTCGTAACAAGAAAGCAGATAGTTACTGATAAGCATTTCAGAGTTATATAATTAATTTTCTTGCTGACAGAACATAGGTGGCTCAAACTTTACAAATCACATTTATCTAGTTGAATCCCAATTATTTTAGAAATAGATGAAATAGATTAACTGAAACTCAGATACACATACATAAACAAAAATAATATACCCTTAATATTAAAGAAGACTTAGTCTCTGATCCAATTATTCACTTCTAGGTCTTGACTGATCTTACATTTTTAATTTCAGAGGACTTAGGTAAAATTTTGCTTACAGTAAAGCCTGGTTATTCATACAACTAATTGAGAATTTTCACTCATCTGATAATACAGGGGTGAAATGTTAAGACAGAACGACTTTGTGATTAAATGGAATAAATTTGATCAGCACACAATGAAAAAAGAAATCAACACAAGAAAGAAAGATGTATTTGAGAACATTTTTAATAAATAATGTGACAAAATTACTTTTCTGATTATTGGATTTTCAGTATGCAAAATTATGGCTAAAAATAAGGGGCTTCTTACATGAACATAATGAAAACATTAATCACATGGATTGTTCCCTTAGTACTGCACGCCTTTTCTATGGAACTTTTTCAAATTATCTAAATGAACAAGTTTGGTTTTGGTGAACACCAGCCTTTTTTTTTGTGGTTCAGTTTTGTTTGGCTTTGTTTTCCACTGGGGTCAGACCTGATACTTATCTATCTATGAATAAATGTACATTTTTTTCTTCAAATAGCACCAATTATAAAATCAATGATATTCATAAAATGACAAAAAAGGATCATAGAAATCTACTAGTCAGAGGGCATCATTTGTCAATTGAAAGCAAGTAATGCCTCTATTAGAGATTTTAAGGAAATCTTGTAGGTTTCGACATTGGCCACAACAAACTTAAACCTCTTTTTTTCTTTAAGTCCAGGAAAAGTAAGAACCATTTGGTTCATGGCCCACAATAAAGTATGCATGTTACTTCACCATCTGTCATTATTCAAATATTCCAAATACAAACATAGAGCATTAACAAAACAGGTTAAAAACGCTTCTCAACATTTTTTTTTTCAATAAGACAAAAAAGGTTAATAGTTACAATGGTTTACAAATAAAGTTTAGTGATTGTGCTTTTAAAACCAAAAAAAAAAAAAAAAAGAGAGAGAGATTAAAAACAGTGCATTACAAAAACAAAAATCAAACTTCCTTAAGTGGCACTTCTGAAAGTTGAACTGACACTACCAGAAGAAATTTAGGCCAGTTAAGACAGGGATGTTCTTACTCAATTGGTCATTAAAAACATCCACTTGTTTGTAATACGTATTTATAATTACTTTTTGATGATTGAAAAATAGAACAAGGTTTTACTAGGTTTACTTATGACAATGACTAGACAACCAGAGATCCAACTGGCTTAGCCCTACTTATCCAAAAGTACATTTCCAATAAGAATATACTTCAATGATTGAAATGAAGCCAAAATAAAATACCACCAGGGTTTGCAAAGAGTAAATATTTACAATGTTTCTACCCCATTCGAATTGTTTGTGGTTCTGCATTTGCTATATTTTTAGTTTCTTCCAGCAAAGGGTAGTATGAAAAACTGATTTTGAAATCATGTTAAAATGAAATATGTTTTAATTTGCATTAGCAGTTGGCTATAGAAAGATTATACTTTGAGAGCCCTTGTGAGGTTGAATATCAACTTTCTATATTTGATCAATATCTTGCTATAAATTAGCTTGGCATATAAGCAGTGCAATGCCATATCTCAGCGGCAAAATGCAAAAGAACAGTTTTGTTCCCTCTTGCTGGCTGATGACTGAAGCAAGAAGTCAAAGCACTTTGCTTGCTGGAAGTAAGGTATAATGGTTTGCTCCAACAGCGAGGGGAATAGGAAGGCTCTTTGTAGGGTTAGGGATCAAACAACAACAATAAAAACCCAATAAAGTTTTTAAAATGATATCCCAATAAGAGGAATAAAAACGACAATTTGTACACTCTGATTGCACTGAACATTTTATCTGGCGTCATGTGTCATCTGACAGGAGGCATCTTGAGTGATGATTTTCACATTAGATCTCATAAGCCTCTTGGTTGTCTTCAGCTTTCAGTTTCCTGTAAGAGATACGTTATTGTCACATTTGAAAATAAATCTTAAGAGGATTGTGTTATATTTATTTATATGCATTTATTATTATTATAATTTAATGTGTCTTTTCATTTATTCAATGGACTATGTTGGAAAGGGCTCATGTCAACTAATTCATTCATCAACCTTAATTGGTCTTCACAGCAAATTCAACAAGTACCAAACTGGGTTCTGCACAGTGCCCCGGTGTTGCGTGGTGGGACACAGGGCTCTGAGAAGCGGGAAGGAATGTGTTGAGTTATCTAATCCCCTCAGCCCCAAGTCAACATTACAACTCTGCTTTTGTTGGTTTTAAATACTGGAGTTAACAGTAAGGCCATTCTGTTCCCCCAAAAGGCTACTTCTATTTTAAAATAAACTAAGACCTGAAAAACAACTTCTCTGTTTGCAGGAGGAAAGTCTTTCTCATTCTAAACCTCAAAATCGAAATACATTGAGCTTTATAGGACTTTCAATTAGACATAATGGCCTATACCTTTTCAGCTTCTACTATAAAAAGTTGTCATTTGACACGTATTTATCTACTTGAGTTTAACTATATTTATTAAAAAATTTTCCTCAACTTTTATTAAATTGAGAAAATACAATCTTTGAATGGGTGAGGGGAGAATTTATGATATGTCAAGGCTAACAAGAGAGTATATCTTTGACGTAAGAAGTTTCCTCCAACTGGGGAGGTCAGTGTCACAGACTAGGCATACACTTTCAGAAGTGTAAAGGTGAAGGACAGTTAGCCAAACCAGCCACATTACCCTGGTGCTGACTATGGCAACTTCCTCACTCACATCATATAACTCTGTCATCTTACTGGGTTTTTATAGCCTGCTACAATGCTATGAATTATAATAGCTCTAGATCAACAGCTCTTACTTCTTAACAATGTGTTTGCCATATATGTTTCTTATCTGAAAATCTGCAAATGAAGATAAACCCTAGCTAAACAAATAAACTGCCATTAACATTTAAAACTTTGGGACACATTTCAAGAAAATTCTCAAATTCTCAGAACTTCAGTTTCTGCCATCATAGACATTAGAGTACTGAAAAGTTTGCAATAAAACAGTAACATTTCTGTACACTGATGAAGGTTCCTAACTACATAAAACAACCACAGTCTAACATTGGTAAACTTGGGGAAAAATTATAGATACCTCTAATTCTTCATTATTATCTTCTCCTCTTTCATATCCTCCAAGTACCTGCATTTCTGCAATATTTCTTCGACCTACATTTGCTTGTTCTCTTTGTCTGCTTCCTGATCCTCTTGATGACATTGAGCTTGAGGAACTGGGATCTCTGGGATTATTTGATGTTGGAAAAGTAGGTCTACAATAAGGTAGAATATCCTCTGTGTAATGAAATATAATAAATGCAGGTGAGTACCATCATACACTTTCACTGTATATTGTATCACTCCTGTCTATCTGTAATTCTGAATAAGGAAGCATCAGTGATTTAAGGTATAAATGAGGACACTCTATAAGCATAATGAATAATGTAGCATAGTGTGTTGAAAATGAAAAGTATAAGCCTTGTTGTTTTCCTGTTAGTAGTCAGGGATTTGGATTGATTCCACTCATAAGCTCTTGTCCATCTCAAACTCACTACAGACCAATATCATTAAAAGAGGTAAACCAAACCTGGAGTCAGACTTGGCTTCCAATTCTGTCATTCACTATATGATCTCAGATTATTTTAGGCTTTAGTTTCTACTTTTCCAAAAAAAGTGATGATAACATCTATACCTAGAGGGTTTCTGTCAGGCCTCCGTTCACATGGACACGTGAGACAGTTTCTTAGTGTTGATATGAAAACAGATGAGATAATAAAATATCTACATAACTTATAAAATGTTATTATAAGGAATTGGTAAAAATCAAGCCCAGTCTCCTAGAAATATCAAACAGAACCAAGCCTGGTTTCACTCCACAGACACCAAAATATCAACCTCCACGTCAATGTCCTATTTACATTGTGGAACTCTGAATCTTAGAAGCCTGCTATTGTTGCTAACTTCAATAAGCAAGCCACTCCAATTAATTTCTGTCTCCTGAATTTCTACCTCCTTAACTGCTTGAAAATTTGGTGCTACTTCTACTGATGCATCAGCCAGCTGCTCACTTCTCTCCAAAGTCTGCCAACTCTGCCTTTTAGATGACAAACACATAAATACCTAACTCTTTGGCATGCTTTTCCCCACCTCCCCCAAATGCTTCCTCTACTATTCACATTGCCTGAGTGAAGCCTGATTTCCCTTGAAGTTCCCGCTGACGTTCTCTGTAGTGGAAGGGTAAGGCAGAAGGCTTCCCTCTAGCTCACCATCACCAGTTCTAAATTATTGCTCCTCTATCCTTGCACAAAAACATCTCCACCTCTGAGGCCCAAGCCATCGTTTTCTGAAGCCAGTATAGTCTTCCTTGATAGCGTCTTGTTCTTTCCATTCTACTCATCACAACTTTCACCCCTAACCCACAGTTCTGACACATAGGAGTTTCACAGTCCATGAGGATGACTGTTTCTGCAGCTTCTCTTCATAACACTTGATACCATGTGACCATCATCCTCTGTCTCTGTTTCATCAACAGCTTTCTCTCTACTGACTTTAGTTTTCTCAAACTACAATATGATAAAATCTCTCTCTTACTAAAAACTTTCCCCTTAAGACTGTGCTCTCCATGAAATCAACACCTTCTTTCTTTCCTCACCACTCAGCCAAGCTTCTTGAAAAGCAATTTGGATTCAATATTGATAGTCACAATTCCCATTCATTCTGCATCCCACTGAAATCTATTTATGCCTACATCACTACTATGAAACTGAGAAAATTGATAATGCTAACCGTGTTTCCAGCCTTGTGTCCCTGGACTTCTTACTGCTCTTAATCAATGCAAATATTATTCTCTCAGCTGCTAGCTTTCCTTCCTCCCTGGTCAATCTTCTGTGAGCTCTTTTTATGAAGCACCACAGATATGCTGATGCTCTACAGGTTTCTACTTTCAGCCTAATGTATATAATTCATATATATGTATAATATAATTATATATACGTTATACATATATGTATGTATATCATTCATGTGTGTGAGTGTGTGTGTGTGTGTGTGTGTATATATAT
Source organism: Homo sapiens (assembly GCF_000001405.40). Lineage (NCBI taxonomy): Eukaryota > Metazoa > Chordata > Mammalia > Primates > Hominidae > Homo > Homo sapiens. The sequence goes on from NC_000003.12 coordinate 78,602,076, forward strand.
AGATGAATGATATAGTTTGGATATTTGTCACTGCCCAAATCGCATGTTGAATTGTAATCCCCACTGTTGGAGGTGGGGCCAGGTGGGAGATGTCTGGATCATGGAGGCAGATACCTCATGGATCGCTTGGGCCATCCCCTTGATGATAGGTGAGCTCTTGCTCTGAGTTCACACAAGATCTGGTGGTTTAAAAGTATGTGGCACCTCCATCCCACTCTCTCTCTCTCTTGCTCCTGCTTTCACCATGTGATGTGCCTACTCTGCCTTCACCTTCCGCCATGATTCTAAGCTTCCTGAGGTCTCCTCAGAAGCCAAGCGGATGTCAACACCATGTTTCCTATAAAGGCTGCAGAACACTTAGCCAATTAAATCTCTTTCTTTTATAAATTACCCAGTCTCAGGTTTTTCTTTATAGAAATGCAAGAATGGCTTAATACTACATATATATTATTTCTTCTACTGACCCTAGGTGATTTTACCCAGTCTCACAGATTATAACCCTTTCTAAAATATAACTGTCATAAGGGGAGGTATTTTGTATGCTTTGCGTGCTGATATACTTTCATCTTGACCTGTAACACGTCATTAATACATTGTTTTACATTATTTTCATCATGCTGAATCATTAATTTATATTTTTAATTCCTAAACTATGCCCCAAACCTTAGGCTCCTATAGGCACCCCAGCTGAACCCCTACTCTTACATGTTCCTCAAACTCAACCTGTTGAACATTGACCTCACAATGCTCACTCCCTTAGATATCTTCCTTTGCTACATTCTCTAAGACAGTGAATGACATCACTAATCATTAAGATACGCAAGACAGAATATTGAAATTATTATAGATTCTTCCCTTTCAACAACCTTTCCATACATCTTAAGTGTATCCTTTCCACATGGTCCAACATACAACAAGTAAGTTTGATTTTGACTCTAAAAAGTTTCTTGGATTTTCTGAGTCACCCATTCTTGCTCCTATAACATGGTTTATATTTTCTACATTTCTTGTCTGGGGGTTGCACACATCTTCAAACATCCTTGAGCTATTCCCCTCTAAACTGTCTTCACTCAGCCACTTTCCTCTTATAAAATATCTATAGGCTTTTTATGACTTAAGCCTTCATGTACCTCAAGAGCTTCATCTTTGACCACTTTTATTATGTAGTAGTACTGAATTTCTTACAGTTCCCTCAATAGACCTTCGGGCTTTTTATGCAGATTATCCACCTAAATAAATCCTCTTTTCTTAGGAAAGAGATCTTTCCTAACATTCTCTCAGAGTCCTGAGTGAATTCTCTCTCTTCTGGACTCTCAAGTATCATGGCACTATGAAGGTTATACTGAACACAAAAATATCTATGAATTTATAGATTATCTGTCCCTCTCTCCCTGACTACAAGCCCCTTGAAGTCAAGGTTTATGCTTATACATAAATCTCAGGATTTAATACAATGCTTAATAACACAGTAGGTGTTTGATATATGTAGAAATAAATTGAACTAACGGAGGCAAATGTCAGCAAAATGATCAGAAATTCAAGTCCAAAAGACCACTCTCCTTAATGAAAAATAATCATTCATTATACACATAAATCAGGATACCTCTTTCACTATAAACAATGTAAACTGAATTATGAAGGTGAAAATTACAGCAATGCATAAAAATGATCACTTAATGGCATATATACATAGGGTTATGATCCAAATAAAAATTTGGAAAAGCAGAGCATATAAAATAATAACTCATCAGTGTACCTCAGTGATTTCCATGATTCCATGGGTTCCTTGTTTCTAGACTAATGGTCTAGTCTTACTTCGTTTGTTACAAATATTTTATAGCAGAAAGGACAACTTACTAAATTTCTGAAGATTGATTTTAAAAATTTTATCTCTGTTTTCTAAATCTGCATACAAGATATTTTCAGGTTTGTAAAATTTCCTTCTGAAGAATAATCTCACCTACTTTTTAATTTTTTAAAATATTTATTTATTTATTTATTTATTATTTTCCAAGACAGATTCTTGCTCTGTCGCCCAGACCTGGAGTATAATGGCATGATCTTGGCTCACTGCAATCTCCTCCTCCCGGGTTCAAGCAATTCTCCTGCCTCAGCCTCCCGAGTAGCTGGGATTACAGGTGCACACAACCACACCCAGCTAATTTTTTTATTTTTAGTAGAGATGGGGTTTCACCATGTTGGCCAGGCTGGTCTCAAACTCCTGACCTTGTGATCCACCCACCTTGGCCTCCCAAAGTGCTGGGATTACAGGCGTGAGCCACCACACCCAGCCAACTTTTAATGAAGCCTTCTTATAAGCAGGAATTGCTCCATACTTTCTGGCCAGATATAAACCTCGCAATTTACATCATCACATTCTATTTATGAATCACTATTTGGAGTCGAGTCACACTGAGTCAAAAGTTCAGAGCCAGATCAACTTTGGGTTAACTGAGAAAAATAAGTAAGTTTTTCAAGCTTTGGATTGTGGTGATATTATCAAGGACATTGTGGTCACACAATAGAGGCATCAGCCTGAAATGCACAGCTTTATTTATCACCTCACTTGTGAGTCTATGCCTGGATTAGGAGTTCATGCTGCAGTCACAGAACAAAGAGAAACTGCCCTCTGTGTTGAAAAGAAGTTAGCTAATGACCAGATGTCCATAATAAATACAACAATACACTGAGGTCAGATCTTACCACAATATATCTATTAAAATACAGTAGTTAAGTGCCCCTGTAGGTTTTTAAGTTTCATTCCCCTATCACTCTTTGCTGATTCCTCAACTAATAATCTTCCATTTCTTGTGTTTCTTCCTCCTACATGGTTTCTTCTCTTTAGTCTATAATAATGTTCAAATCCACAATCCTAAAACATTTCCACTGATTTGGCCTTTCTGTCAAACTCTATCCCAAGATTTCCTCCTCATCCCAAACTTCCAGAAAGAGCTTACTTGTGCTCATCACCTCCCTTCCAAAATTTCCATTCACTTTCCAACTCCATACAGGCTGGCTTTTATTCTAACCCACAAAAAACATATTGCAAGATCCCTTTTTTCCTCGCTTGGTTTACATTCAACTTTCACCACTGTGGTATTTTATATGCCTTCCTGTCTGAAAATTTCCCACCCCATTCTTTATAGGACACTATTTTCAATAGCTTGGATATCTTGATTATTAAATCTCTGGGTCGGTCAATCTGTTTCCTTAATAGGATGTTGATTATCTTGATTATCTGCCTACTCTCTAAGTATAATCATCCTGGACTAGTGGTGTGTTGGAGCAGGCTCAATATTTCACAATAGCTGAATATATTCATCTCTTCCTACCTCCACATTCAGTGACTTGAAATTGGCAATTTTGAGAGTATTCATACAACAGAAGTAAGCAAATGGCTACAAATTAGGGTTTGGTTTTGTTTTCTTCCTGGATAGCTGATTGATAAATAGTTACCGGCATTATCTCTGCTGAAATTCAGACTTTGTCATTCACATAATTATCACCTCTGTGTTGTGGGTTCTAAAATCCACTCTGTCCTCACAACCTTTCTCCTCACCTTTAAACCTAATTCTCTAAATTTTCGTTGGATTTTTTACTATCTGTGTTCTTGTTGGCATTTTAATCCATTCAAAACTGCAATAATTTTCCCCATGAAATTTAACATTTTCCCTGTTCTTTATTTTATTTTTTTTACACTGGTTAATACAATCATGTTTCACTGGTCATTCAGGGCCACCTAGTCAACCTATGAATAACTTTTTTTGTTTACTCTATTATTTCAACTTACCTTTGAACATTCAATTAGCCACCAAGTCTTATTGGGCCACTCTCTGAAGTGTCTGTACAGGCTGATCCTTCCTGTTCTTCTGAGCTATTTTAATTCAGTGCTTTCATATTTTATACTTAGAGTGTTACTGTAATGTTTCTGACACCTTCATCTACTGGTTTCCAGTCTCTTCCTTCACTGTATAGTGCTGCCAGTTATTTTTCTAAAACACATATCTGATTATGTCATTTCTCACTCAGAATTACTTGTTGGCTCACAAATGCCCTTGTTATAAATCTCAAACCCTTCAGAATAGTATCCCTGGCCTTTGCAACTTGGCCTAACCACCTTTCTAGTTTTATTTTTCACCCAGGCTACAGAACAGTTGTGTGATCTCAGCTGACTGCAGTCTTGACCTCCTGGGTGCAAGCCATCCTCCCATCTCAGCCTCCCGAGTAACTAGGACTAGAGGCATGTGCCAATATGCCCAGCTAATTTTTGTATTTTTTGTAAAGATGGTCTCTGGCCCCAAATATTCAATTCTCCAGCCAAAGTGGAAACCATTGTTCACCAAACATTCATTTTCACACATTCATGTTCTTTTCTCAACCTATTTATTTTCCCCAATATCCCTTCTCCCTCTTTAACCTGTGGAAATCATGCTTTCCTTTAAAATCTAACTCAGTTGGCACCTCTCCAGGTGATGTTGAGTATAAAGGCATATACTGGAGTGAACTGTATTAAAATTATTCGAGTACATGCCTATCTCCTCCACTGGAGAGCAAACTTCTTAATCTTACCACTTTTTACATGGCCATATAGAGCCTAACTGTATGCCTTGCAAACACACTCAATCTGTATTTATTTGCTGCTTGATTGGATGAGTACCTTGGATGAGATGAGTCTTTGCTGGTGGAAGGTCTCGTTTTGCTGCCTTGTTTCCACGTCCTTTCCCGTCATTTTGCTGTTCCTGTGCTTCTCTGGGATCACCTGGATTTGTTCGCATGTCAACAACCTGTCTTCCATCCAACACTTCTCTCCCCTTGTAACTGCTTCCTTTTCTGTCTGATGATCTGTCTGTTCTTGCATCCATAGAAGGGAGTTTTGGCACCACTACAGGTCGTACTTCCAGCTGTGTCTTGGATTGGGCAGTAGGTGACTTTATAGCAGGTGGCGGCACAGGAGGTGGTGGAAGATCTAAAAAGAAACATTAAAAATACTACTGTAAAAGTCTGCTGCTTATAAAATCATCAAACATTTGGATTATCATTGGAGCCACATTCACCTACGAGATACTATATCTTAGATGAACTAGAATACTTGAAGGTAACCAAGGAAAAATACCCACAATTTTTTAAAATTTATGTTTATTTATTTATTTATTCTGAGACAGGGTCTTACTCTGTCATTCAGGCTACAGTGCAGGTGCGCAGTCTCAGCTCACTGCAGCCTTGACCTCCTGGGTGCGAGCAATCCTCCCACCTCAGCCTCCCGAGTAGCTAGGACTATAGGCATGCACCACCACACCTGGCTACGTTTTGTGTTTTTTGTAGAGATGGGGTTTTGCCATGTTGCCCAGGCTGGTCTCAAACTCCTGGACTCAAGTGATCTGTCCACCTTGGCTTCCTAAAGTGCTAGAACTACAGGTGTGAGCCACTGCACCCAGCCAAGACCAACACTTTTAATGTACTCTTGTTATCTAGCACAGAACCATTGAATGACAAAGTTGGTACTTAGTGACATCTGCTCCTGGGATAGCTAACGCTGGGTATTTGTACTGTAACTTTCTCTCTCCCAAGTATGGTAGAGCTTCCTAATTGATTTCAGTATAACACTGCTAGTACCAGATGCATGCCTTTGCTCCTCAGAAAATCACTGCAAATTGATTGAGGTGGTACTTGAGTTGAGACTTATTTGCCATCTCTAATCTAGCCTAAATCTCTTCTTATTTTGTAGAGAAGGAAGCTCAAATATGTAGACCTTAAGCTACTGTGTCATCTCAAACCTAGATATAATCAGAACCAGGACTAACCAATGGTTCAGTGTTCTTTATATTACTACATTCAATTGCATGTTTATAATCTACTATTCATTGATGGCATCTCACCATTGTGTTTACGTACCCAGAGGTTTTAAACCAGATAATCACTGGTATAAATATATGTTAATTTCATTTACACACACACACACACACACACACACACAGTTACTTCTAGTTGTAGTTACATCTTAAGTAATACATATTACATATAATGTAACTTATATAATTTAATTTCTTCCCTTTTTTGGAGACAAAGTCTTGCTTTGTTGCCTAGGCTGGAGTGCAGTGGTGTGATCTCAGCTCACTGCAGCCTCTGTCTCCCATCAAGTGATCCTCCCACCTCAGCCTCCTGAGAAACTGGGACTACATGCCACCACACCCGATTAACTTTTGTAGTTTTTGTAGAGACAGGGTTTCACTATGTTGCTCAGGCTGGTCTCGAACTCCTATGCTCAAGCCATCCACCTACTTTGATCTCCTAAAGCACTGGGATTATAGCTATGAGCCACCACACCCAGCCTATAATTCAATTTTGTATATCATAGATATACTTAAGAATGAAAGTAGTCATAAAATTTGATATCTAGAAAAAATTTTTTTAATCAGTGCTATCTTTAAAAATCATTCCTCCGGGGAGAAAGGAAATATGTATCCTAATATTATTTGGTAATTTAGTAGAAGAATAAGAGTAGATACTAAGTTTCGGTTATTCCGGCTGCAGTATGGGGAATGTATTAATAAGAAAAGCTTCAATTCTGGAGGTCAAGAGATTATTATAATAACTCACATAATTAATGATAGGTGATAAAATGTTACTGGTGTCTGTTCAGATGGAGAGGAAAAGATGTGTTTGAGATTAAGGCAGAAAAATCAATATTATTTCAGGATCAATGAAATACAGTACAGGGGTGGGGGGAGGAAGGAATCTAAGATGACTTTTAGGATTTTTGTCACAGTTGGCTCGGTGAATGAAAAGAACATCACTGAAGGTACAGAATGCAACAAAAGGGAGAGTTTGTGAAGGAAGACTGTAAGTTCAGTTTTAAAAAAGTGAATAGGAGGAGCCTTTGGAGTATCAAAATAGAAAGGTACAACAGGTATTTGTAAATAAAATCTGACTTTCAGGAGAGATCAAAACCAGAGATACAGGGATTTTGGAATTATCAGCATAGCTATGTTTTTAAGTCATGTCTTTAGAAATGGTAACGTTTTCACATTTCTAGAATAATGTCTAGAATAAACTAAAACACATTCATAAAACATCTATTGCATGCTTAGTATTATAAAATTAGCCTTAAGATTTTAAATTAAAAAAATACAAATTTACATGGTAAAAAATTCAGTAGGAGTTTAAACTTGAAAGAACAACCTCCGTACCTCCCCACCTCCATTTCAAATCCCTAGTATTGACTATGCAGAGGTAATGGGCTTGAATGGTTTTCTATAGATCATTCCTGAAGTTGTTTATAAAGCAGGGCTGTCAAGTCTCATAACTGCAGGGAGCACCGTTCACATCAAGGACTATATAAAATGGCCACACCTGGGATGACACAGAGTACCTGTCTTCCCATTCACATGTGGTGACCAGATAAAAAGGACCACACACACACAGAGACAGCCTTCCTTCTTTACCAACATGAATGGATTGCGCTTTTTTCACCTAACCAGGTAGTTATACAGATTTCCATATGTGTACATAGGGCTTTACTCTTTTTTGGAAAAGTTTGCCTAATGTTATATTCTATGACTACATCACTATTTTTTAGCCAATCCCTATAGAGAAATATTCTGGTTGTTTCCAGATATTTTATTATTATTGACACTGGGCCATTGACCATCATTTTCATGTATCAGCATGAGAAACTGTTAAATATTAAAATTGTGTTTTGAAGATTCTTAGTATAACAGCAAATTCATGGCCCTAAGAAGCATCAGTTTTAACCTAGTATTTCTCATAATTACATATTTTTAAAAAATAAATGAAACTTTTTTGTTCCATAAATATACAATTTTTTGAAACTTATTTTCTTTTGGCATTATATGCTAAAGCTAAGGTGTTAGAATTCATTGTATTAGTTTTGAAAACAGACAGTCTGAGTTGCCATCTTAGTACCTACCAGCTGTTTTACTTAGGAATGATTATAAGAAGTGATCACACTTTTACTTGCATTCTTTTGTTAGTGGTTTTCATGGCTTACCATGTTCGAGTATCATATAAATAGACTCAACAGTTTAGCCAAAATGGTAGCCAATTATAGCCAATAGCACTAATTTTCCCTCTGATTTTATAAAATCAAGTTTTTTTGTCTTGCAAGATAGATCGACAGTGTCACAAGTGTGTTTTTCCTCCTTTGTCTACTACTTTAACAGATTTTTCAAAAAATAATACATAAAAATAACTACTATGATGTCCCCTCCCTTGATGTTACTTATTATTAAAGATAACCAAAAAGAGAGAGTTAGAAAACAGGCTGTATCAAGTAGCCTAAAGCCAAGGGACCCAAGGAAGAATGATTTTAAGTTCAGACTGAGCCTGGGATTGGCAACAAGGGGAAAAAAGTCTAATTCAGAACATACCACGAAGCAGAGAGAGTGAGTGACTGCAGGCTCATTTCTGCACTATCTGCTTGCTATAAACTTAAATTGGATTGCGAACGCAGATTATCAGGAAGCTGATGACTGCCACTATCATCAAATCATAAAATGTCTGGGCCTTTAAGATATCAAAACTGATGACTACCACTATCTTAACATCATACAAAGGCTTGGGAATATATGACTCATGAGACAAAATCTGTTACTAGATGTTCTAGATAGGTGTTATTTATAACACAAGTTAAAAAGAGAAGAGAACCTGATGATAATTTAAAGAATTCTAACTTCCTATATATATTTGTCACTGTACCTAATTGACAATTAGAGAGGGAAATGTTGACAGGTTTGATTTCTTATATAAACAGATTGCCAAATAAATTCTTTCTTAGGTATTACAAAATATCACCAAGCAGGGATATCTCTGCCTATGAGGCCAGGGATTATTATAGTATAAACAATCCCATATTCCACATAGTGATATATAGTGCTTTCACCCAATTTGTACCATGAGTAGTACAAATTGGATTTCACAAATTGGATTGTGGACTTGTTTTGTATGTATGTGTGTAGACTTCATGTAATCTTATAAACACTCATTCTTTCTACAAGACTTTCCAAATAACAGTATAATGCATGTAAAGTAACATATAAGAACATACGCATTCAGACAATTCTGCCAACATTAACCTGCTATAGAGATCCAGCACTCTATTTACTTGACCGCTTCAAGTCCTCAGACCTTGTAATTAATGATAAATCAAGTCAAAATAACATCATTCCAAAGAGGGTGGTGAATTTATAATTTATGAAAAGTAGGAATGGAGAAATAATGTAGATTTGGTTTTTAAATCAACTATGTAAATGCATTAGAGAGGTTGAAGAGAGAGGATGGAAAGAATCTATTAGAAGGTCCTAGAAATGCACTTATTCCTGGCTTTTACTCAATAAGACTCTGGCTAATAAATATTCATATATCCTAATCCTACCCTTTATCTGGGTTCAACTTGTAAGAGGCAAATATGGAATAAATAAATCATTAGATACCGCCTGTCAGTGTGACTGTAGCATGCAGCACTCTCCTTTGCATCGAGTTCTCCCTGCGTGCTTACGAGACCTTGGATTTGACCGCAGAGCAAGGTTTGGCCACAATGCCGGGTGTCAGGGGCTGGTGCACTGTTATGGGCTGAATTGTGCCCCCTTAAAATTCAAATGTTGAAGTCCTAACCCCCAGTACCTCAGAATGTGACTGTATTTGGAGTCTTTAAAGAGGTAATGAAGTTAAAATGAGGTCACCGGGGTAGGTCCTAATCCATAACTGATGTCATTACAAGAGGAGATTAGGACACACACATACACTGGGGGAAGATCAGGTGAAGCACAGGGAGAAGATGGCCGTCTCCCAGCCAAGGAGAGAGGCCTCAGAAGAAACCACTCCTACTGACACCTTGATCTTAAACTTCTGGCTTCCAGAACTGTGAAGAAATAAATTTCTGTTTTTGAAGCCACCTGGTCTATGGTACTTTGTTATGGCGGCCCTAGCAAACTAATACAAGGATTAACTGAGAAGGATCATCGCAAATTACTCTTTATCCGTTCAGACATGGCCACTCTTTATCCTTCTTTATATAGTTTTTAAAGACTCTACAAAGGAATGTCATAATCTGAACAAAATTTACAAAGTAAAGATGCTACAAAATCAATACTGACAAACCATATTCTGAACAATAGTTCACATAAATGTATTGACAATAATCAAACTCATCCATCATAATCCATACATTTTGCCCACTAAAAAGAAAAAAAACCCCACAAAATCCTTCATGTCTTACAAATATGTTCAATTCACATTTTAACAATCGGTAGCTCTTTAAATTTTTTCTTCCTCTCCCTTCTCTTTTTTAATAAATTGTACCAATTGTGTCTGCCATTGAGCTTCTTCATGAGTTGGTCTATGAATATTTTTTCCAAAAATGCAGTGTAGTACTTTGGGAAAATAATTTCCGAAAAAATGGCTTTTGTCTCTACGTCATAACCACTGCCATCCAGCGTGTCTGCATTTCTTTTATTTAGTGCATTAACAAGAATCTGCATTATATGACTTTAATCAATATGCATGATGGGATATGTATATAATAAGACACAGCATTGTTATTTTGTGTTTCTTTACCAAACAGTAAGCATTCAGCATAAAGACTTGTTAGTACAGTAAACATAACTTGAAGGATAGTTACCAAAATATTGAAAGAAAGTGAATGCTGTAATAGCTTTAGTCATTTCTCCATTTTATCTATTTTTGTGACTTAGAGAAAATAATTATTGGCTTTTACATTGCAGTATACACTATCATAATTTTGCATAATCACTTTTGCGGAATGAGCAATTAGAAATCCAAATAAACATTTCAGATTAACTTTTGGCTTCATAAATATTTCAATATATGTCTTTGGTATTTCTGAAATTAATTTAAAACATAACTTGGAGGCATCATCATTCAATTTAATAGTTATTATTCAGGGATTAGTTAGAATTATATTTAATTATTAACACTGAAACAAGTACTACGGAACGTGGGACAATAAATACAGACAATTTTCAAGCATAGTGTAATTTATAACTGTGATACAATATTCTTTAACTTGGCATGCTTACATTATTTAAAACATTTTTAAAAAGCATCACTCAATGCCAGATTCCCCTTTGAACAAGTATAAATATGTGGTAGAAAGATCTACACAAGGCTTTAGGCCAGATTTTCTCCCTTATGTATTCAATTTAGATGTGTTTACATCCAGGCTTGATGTTTGGTCAGTTTTTCAGTGAGAAGCACTCTCTTCTAGATAATAAAATTTGATAAAACAGCCATAAAACTTGAAAAATGCCATTCTGGTGGTCCCATAAATGTAAAATTGCTGGTAGAGTTGGGGGATTTATACCTAGTGTTTGTCCCTTCACAGAGGCAAACATGCAAAAAGCCACTGTAATAACCCTTCAAAATCAGATAATATTCTGACAGCTCAGTTTTACTAACAAAAGAGTCCTGGGCAGAAGCCAGGAGGCCCAGGTGCGCTGTGTCACGCCAGTATTTAATGTAGTCTAATATCAGATAGATGCCAGTGAGAGAAAATACTCAGAATAAAGTATAGATAATAGCATGGACAGCCACTCATTGCAAAATTACTTGTGCTCATCATGCTGTGAGCTTTGTATTAAATTCTTCTGTCAAGTGGTAGGAATCATAGGGAGAAGTACCTCAGAAAACCTTCCTTGCAACCTTGGATAAGGATCTATAATATTAGGCTTTCATATGATAATGGCAAATGATGCCCTTTTTGAAAAATTGCTGACTGGTAATGAAAGTCCTAATCAGATTTTGTTGCAGAGGACCAGGAGGTGGGGGAACTATGCCTGTAACATCCTTCCTCCTCCACCCCTTTAGCAAATGTAGCAAACTTGACAACAGCAGTGAGTCTGAGAGAATTTATCTTACATGAATTTCCAACAAAGCCTGTGGGGTTGTTTTATAAAATGAGAAGGTGGTGGTTTAATAAATGCTGGGCCACCTGAGGCACTTTCATTAAAGGCTTTTTCTAGACAAAATCACACTGTTTGCATTTTCCTCCTGTGCTCCCTCGAGAATATGAACGTTACCTCTTCAGTGAGAGTGGATATTGTATGTGAAGGCATGAAGAAAGGTGATTTATCTTTTGATGCCCAAAATAACTGTTCGTAACACCACTGTTGTTAGAATTAATATTCAAACACATTTACTGTCTTCTATTTGAATGCAAAATTGTAAAATAAAAAAATGAAGACACTTTGGAGGATTTATCAGTAAATCTGACAAAGGTTAAACCTATGCCATTACTTCAACTATCAGTTTCAACTACAGTGATGTTCATTTGTTTGAAACTATAAAATAACTTTCAAAAATATTAAGGATCTACAAATGGTTTTGTTTTTTTAAATAACAAGCTTATCAGAAAACTGCAAGGAGTAGAGATGCTTGACAAAATATGTAAGTAGGTCGCTTCTATAAGTAATATGAAGCTGATTGTTAATAAATTTTTAATGTAATTTCTAACGTCAGTGAATGCATTTGCTAGTCCTAGAGAGGCAGGGTAAATAGGCGAGATTCATAGACGTTTTCATCCGTGTCAATGGACTCACCATCTGTGTAGGTTTCTCTGCGCAGATGTCCTGGCTGGTGTTTCAGTTTCTTGGCTGGTCTGGTTTTCTGCATTACGGCGGCACTCATGTTGCTGTCTGTAGACACGGGACTTGTGGGCCTAGGGCACTGAGACGCATGAAAATGTCGACGGCCTAAGGAGAAAAAAAAAAAAAATCCAAGCCAAACTCATCAGTGAATTTTAATTACAACAGGAACAACAAAAAGAAAACATTAAAACCAGAAACAGCTTTAATTTTTCTGAAAAGCAACAAAAAAAGCTTAAACAAACTCTTCCAGCAAATAACAGGCTTGTTGTCACTCTGCTATTTACTGGAAAAAATACCCCAAAAGCATTTTCTGCTTATTTCATTTGTTTTAAACCGCAGTGCTTTTATTCTGTTAAAGTTCATGATACCTATTTATTAAAGAAAAGTATTCCAATTATTTTTGCAATTAGCTTCACTAAAACGTTATACTTAAACAAAAAATAGTAATTAAATGTTTGCATAATATAGCCAATGTTTGTTGCTTTTTCAAAAGAAGAGCTAAAGTTCTTAAGAAATTCATGTTCTAAGAAAAATGAACAGTACTAATGGCACCCATATTTTAATTAAACATATATTTATAGTATACTTTGAAGACAGACTCAGGTGTATTCTCTTCAGGTGGTCTGAAATTGATCTAGCTCACATATTTAGGTCTGCCAAAAATTACTTACATCTCTTTTCTATCTCTAAATATTTGCTAGTTCTGGATACTTAACGTGATCCCTCCAAGACTTCTGTTTTTTTTGGTGGTGGAAGAGGTAGATGTTTGGTTTTGGAGAAACAATAATCCCAGGTACCAGTGGGAACTGAATTTACTAATTAGACATGGCGTATTTCAAAGCTCCCACGTTCTCTGGTGCCTTACATAGATGCTGTATTACAACACCTACAACATATTTAATCCATAATCCCAATGGAGATATATTGGTCCTATGTTTGACTTTCACTGTTTTGGTTTCTAGAAATTCTAGTCACAAATCCAGAACTTTCTACTGTACCACAAGAAACTTCAAATGGACCGCGACAACATGTCTTTTGGCTATAAACAGAAGCCACATATAGTGCAATCAACACATTTAAAGATGATAACTGAAGCATATTAAATAATATACATTAACACAGCCAAGTGAGAAGCAGTGTGATTGGATATTCATATTAACTTCAAGTCACATGACAAGCACCGTCATTCCCTGAAAAGACACTGCAATAAGCAGAGGCCAATGCATGTTTAGTTAATTAAAATTATGAGCTCAAGGAAAACCAGAAGTGCCATTAAATTACAAAACAATAAAATTTTAAACCAACCTCTCTTTAGCTATGATGGAGACTATTACAATTAAAGTTACATATCCATGAAAACAGAGAATTAGGGCTGAGACTGAACCCATTATTCATTCTACTGTGTAAGGCCATCCACTGCTCACAGACTCTGAGCTATAAGGTTGTTTACAGATGAATTTTCAATGTTATTTCTATGTTTCGTCCATTTAATAAACTGAAATATTTTCTAACGTATTCTCAAAGCAGTGGTTTGAGATACTTAATTTCACCATTTTTTACAGAAGGTTAAAAAATAAGGAGAAAACAAAAGCCGTATGTAAAGTTAGATGTTATTTATTTATTAAGAAAGATAATTAGGTTTGCATAGTTTATTACATTCAGCAGCTACTAGAGGAATAAAAAACCATATTTGATTGAATGACATAAAATATAGGCCTGGCCAAAATAAATATATATTCTACAATAATAAGTTGAGAGATATTAGAAATCTTTTTCCTGTAACACATTCTTGATAAATAATATATAGAGATGACTTTATAATGTAATTTACATTTTATCTGAATATATTCTACACTGATAAAAAATAATGGCCAATCCAATATGTGAAAAGACCATGGAAGACTACCAATGTGGTAGTTATTAAATTAAGAAAAATAAAACAGTAAAATACCAGTAACTGACTTGTTGTGATGGCCTTTTCCTTCTCTGAAATGTATCTCTTTCTTGCTGATCATTTCACTCTACTATTTAGATTTTCTTGGCTATCAAAAATATAAACACACAAAAATATGTATGGGAATGTATATATTAATTCTACAGAAATGAAAATCATGTGATAAATAAGTCTTACATTTAAATTCTTTTCTTTCTTGAACTATTTACTTTCTAAACAGAATTGGGAAGAGGAGGAGATAAGTAAAAATATGTTGTAACATAAAGATGAATATATGGTAATTAAAAATGGGTTACTAGCAATGAAAGTAAAAATATGAAAAGCACTTGGTTTAGCTTGCTCTCCCAATTATTATATTTAAAATGTTTACTGTAAGTATGGAACGTTTATGCTTGAAAATGTATGCACATTACATATACCGTCATATCTTCCCAATTAATATTCTAATTTGAGAGGACATAAAGAGAATGGGAATTAAGGAGAAATAGCCCATTTTCCAAAGGTCAAAGTGATCTACTTGGATATTTATGTATTTTCCCTACAGAATTTTTATTTAAACAAGAGAACTATCACAACAAATTTGATTTTGGTGAGGTTCTACACAAAAAATTAGAGTATACATTCAAAAACACAAACTTCATCTAATTGACTGTATGTATAGTTTAAAGAAATTATATCAATTTGTGTAATACGTATATTTGCTATGGCTATCCTAAAAAATGAGGTAGCTCCCTATCACTCATATTATGTAAGATTTATTAAATAAAAACTAAATAGAAGATTTAAAAAGCCTTGTCAAGGAAAAGGGAATAATCCAACTAAGTCATATTCTTGGACTGTCATTTCCTTAGGCAGCTAAAAAAAAAAAAAAACTGTAAGAATAGATGCTTTTCAAATAGGACGTAAGATCATAGGACAGAATCAGCAACAAACATATATACATTGAGTTTTCTTTCCCAGCTTGGTGAAAAGTGTTAGGACTCACCAGCAGCATCCTGCATTTGCCGTCGTGCTACTTTCAGACCAGCATACTCTGCCGCTGCTGCGACTGCCTGGGCAAAGTCAGCATCAGTGAAAAAGGAGCCGTCCGAAGAACTAACACTGGAGCGTCCGCTGGAAATGTTGTCCTCCTCTGAGGCTGAGCCCCAGCCGTTGATCATGGACCCCGTGACAGAGCTCTCCAGGTCCCCAACACTGGAGGCAGGTGTCTGCTCAAGCCCACGTAACAAAAGCCTTCTGGTTTGCATCTTGGCTACCTCCATGTCGGCTTCGTCTTCTTCCTCTTCTGGCGCATCCGTATCCATATCTGAGACCAGGGGTCCTGAAATGTAGCCATAGGTATGTGGAGGGGAGATCGGCCGTGGTGGTGGAGGAGGACTCACAGGCTGCCGTCTGTATGAAGATGAATAAATAGGTCTGGCTCAGCTTGTTATTTAAGACATAAAAGGACAAATTACCCAAGAAATTCACAAGCATGCAGATTTGACCTTTACTTCTTTTGAGCTCATATGTTCAGAAAAACAACTGAATATCACAATATATTTAAGTTTGATTTTATATTGAGTTGCACTTCGCAACCAGAGGCTCCACCGGGTTACTTTCTGATTCAAGTTTAATAGAAATATAGTCAGTTATCTCTAAGCCTTCTTATGTTTTATCATTTGGATTATGTTTCATGAAAAAAGGAAAAGTAATACTTGTTTTGAAAACATACACATATGTATCTGTCCTAAAGCATTTCAAATATTATCCATAGTTTATCATTACTGAAGACAACTGACATTCATCCTGAAACACTTTGCTCCACAAACATCTGTTTCTTTCCCTTTTTTAAATCACCTCTCCTACTTTTTCAAGCAAATGAAGTCATTCATCTTCACTATAAAGAGTAAAATTTCATAAGATTTAAAAAAGCACACATTCAGCATATGACATAATTTCCTTTAGATTTTATTCTATTAAAAAAAAGCTATGGAAGCCAAGAGTAATTCTTCTCTGATTTATTCGCTATGAGTTTCATTAAAGATCATTAACTATTTTTAACACTATTGCATTTATTGTTATTCTATCTTTTTTAAAAATATATTTAAAGGTATTTTTTCTTATGTCCTGGAATTAATTTAAGAACCAGAGTTGAGGACAAAATGAAGTAGTCTCCCAAAATATAGGTAAACAGTTACCAATTAATTGGTTTCAACCAACTCTCTGCAGACATGAAGAATAACAACAGCTAGAAGCCATCCTTCCACTAACACCACTAGGGCTATGATCCACAGTGAATAGATGACCGAGAAGGTATAGAGCATTTTGACTTTAGTAGGAAGCAAGATTCGTGGAAGGAAGTCATCCCCATGGGAGGAGAATGCTAAGAGAATAACTCTTAAATTAAAAGAGTGCCATCAAAAAAGGAAGACATGGTTGGATTTCTAGTTGGAGGAGTCCTTGGTCAGTGACTTGCTCAACAGTCCTAATATTCTCTAAGCAAGGTTAAAGAGATGACATATGGAGGACTTTCAGATGGAAAGGTCATTAAAACACCTCATCAAATTTTGCACTCCTGAGAAGTAAAGAGGATAGATTCTACACAAGCTGCCAAACTGAGCACTGGTATTGGAGAGCAGCTGAGATTAGGGTCTAGGGTCATCTGGTGACCTCCACAGCTTGGGAGGCTAGGAGAGATACAGCATGAATGTCATCAACTGGTAGTTTACCTGAAGATATGGATAAATCACTTAAGAACTGCAAATGCCTAGAGATGGTGCCCAGGATTGAGGCCTTCATCAGTGGGATAAGTGAATGTCGGCACCTCTCCTTTAGCACCCTTATGATACTCATAGAGTAAGATGAGATAAGAATAGCCTTTAGAGCTAACCAAGCAGAAGACTGGATCCTCATCTAGTTTTCCCTTTTCTCATTCCATCTTCCCTGCCTTAGCCCTAGGAGAATGCACCTGGCAGAGGCAGGTGGAGGGAGGTATTTAAAAGCAGAACATGATCACTTTCTCCATGCCACCATTGCCACAGAAAAGGGCATTTGGCAAAGGATGTCTGGGAATGCACAATTGAGGTTTTAAAATTAACAGAAATGACTGGGCGTGGTGGCTCATGCTTGTAATCCCAGCACTTTGAGAGGCTGAGGTGGGTGGATCACCTGAGGTCAGGAGTTTGAGACCAGCCTGGCCAACACGACGAAACCCTGTCTCTACTAAAAATACAAAAATTAGCCGGGTGTGGTGGTGCATGCCTGTAATCCCAGCTACTCGGGAGGCTGAGGCAGGAGAATCACTTGAACCCGAGAGGCAGGGGTTGCAGTGAGCCAAGATCAAACCATTGCACTCTAGCCTGGGTGACAGAGTGAGACTCTGTCTCAAAAAAAAAAAAAAAAATTAATTACATGACATTAAATTCATAGAACTAGATTTTAACAGCAAGCAAACAAAACAAAACCATACAGGACCTGGTCAAGATCTAAATAAAGTTAAAACCAGTAGGATCTGCTCCAAGATCTCTACTATAGAGAGGGAAAAATAACTTTGATATGGCACAGTTTTTAGGGTGGCATGGGAGTTTTTTGAAGAAAAACGTTTTCAAGCTGGGCTTGGTGGTGTGCACCTGTAATCCCAGCACTCTGGGAGGCCAAGGTGGGTGGCATCAGGAGTTCAAGACCAGCCTGGCCAACACGGCGAAACCCCGTCTCTACTAAAAATACAAAAATTAGCCGGGTGTGGTGGCAGACACCTGTAATCCCAGCTACTCGGAAGGCTGAGGCAGGAGAATTGTTCCAACCCGGGAGGAGGAGGTTGCAGTGATCCAAGATCGTGCCACTGCACTGCATCCTGGGCGACAGAGGGAGACTCCGTCTCAAAAAAAAAGAAGAAAAACATTTTCTGCTTTTTATCCCAATGAATTTGAACTTTGATAAATCTGTTCAATAGAAATGGAAAACATTAAAAATAAATGATTATTAAAAATATTGCAATTAACTCATTTAATGAGCACTTACTTTGTAGCTAAGCATATTTTATAAGATTTACTCATTTAATTCAATAACTTTTTGAGTTACTTTTTAAATGATCATTTTACAGGGGAGAATATTGAAATTCAGAGGGATTAAGGGTCTTACCAAAGTTGCCACAGATCACATGTATCAAATGCAGAATTTAAAACCAAAGTTTATTTCCAAGGGCATGACCTTCCACACACATATATAAGTGTAAATATATTATATATATATATGTGTGTGTGTGTGTGTGTGTGTATACATATAAGCTAGGAGAGATATGTGCCATATACAGATGTATTAAAAAACTAAGAAATAAAAGCTAATATATTACATTGAAAAAGTATGCATATACACACATATATGTAATTATATATTATTATGTGTATATATCTGTTATATATACACACAACATTCTTTAATATAATGCATTATTTTTCATTTCTGGGTGGTTTTTAAAGTGTCTGTGTGTGGCACTAGGAGAAATATGAAAAATGTGCCAAAGCTGAAGTTATTTAAGAGATTAAAATAGATAATTGTTTCAATATGGAGTGTTATACACATAGGAGGAAAACCATTGTTTAATTTGGAATGCAATAAAATACCACACTTAAAAGTTAATTTACAGTCTTTGTCAGCATACAAACCCAAAATACCACAAGAAACTTCTTCCTTCTTAAAGACATGTAAGACTTTTTAGCACAAAGGAGACTATTTTGACCATCAATAAAGAAAGATGCAGAATGGCCGACTTCACTATGAAAGGATGCCAGCATTGTTGTGTTTGGATAATGCACATTCTGTAGAGCAAATACATCTTCATGTAAAACAAGGGCTGGCTTTTAACTACAACCACCCTTTACAAATATTGAAGAAAGACAGAAAAATTTATTCAAACCATCTGTAAATAAGGCAAGCCCAGGGAATGTGTGATAAACATGTACAGTTTGAAATATGTAATACATTCTATTGGAAAACAAAAAGCCATTTCAAGATGCTGCACTCAAGTGGGACTTGTCGCAAATGAACCTCAACCCTCTAGATTTCTCCCCGAGGGGTTTCAATGTCTTCTGAAATAATGTATAAGTATATGACTGTGTATCGCAACACTCTAGTCTCCTGCAAGAATGATGCCTTCATAAACATGTTCAAGAGAAAAGCGGAATGATGTCATTAATTTATCAAAGTAGGTGTTTATACCATTCACCATATAGCATTTACCAGGCAAAAGACAAAGGAGAAAAATGCACACCTTTGAGATTTTGTTCTAACACCAGTGTAGCTTCAGTTTCTTGTAAAAGTAACTATTACCTCAACTTATCTGTATTAATCAAACAAGTAAATGTTCATGTATTCCATATATGAACATAATTTTTACTTTTCTAGAGACTTTTACTATACTGCAATAAAGTTAAGCATACCAATCACTTTTTAAAACAACATATTTGAATAAGTTTAATTATATTATTTTCCCAGCTATTGTTTGAAAAAAAGAGAAGACAAATTCCTATTATGTTGATCACCTAGTTTACCCAGTTTTAGACAAAAATGGAATACCCTAGAAGTTCATTATAATACCAAAATTGAAATATTCATAATAATGCAGGTCTTTAATGTTTATATAATTCGACTTGCAGTGTTATAATGGTTTAAGTTCAGTAATTTTATTAATGTATCACACTATCTGCACCCCTTATCAATAAATATAAATGTAATCAATGTATTTATTCTTTAAACATTTACTGTGAGCCTACCATGGTAAAGACTGCTAGATTTATACCAAAAAGATCACAGGCAAACAGAGCTTAGGTAACATGCTTTATGCTTTATGACAGGTAAGGATTCAATTTTAAGGTAAACATACTTAATGTAAGCTACATATCTGGCCATGGCAGACTGTATTCTACAAAATGTCCATAGCAATATCTCCCATTCCAAATGCTATTCTGAAATGAGAACTCGCCATTCTCCCATCAAGAGAGGTAGATGAGTTCAACACTCTCGAATCTGGATGGATTCTGTGATTGCTTTAATTCAATGTGGCAGAAGCAAGACTATGCACCAGTTCTAAATGTTAACTGGCCTGGCAACTTCCCCTTCCTGCCTTTTGGATGCCAGCTGCCATGAAAGAGTTGCCATTAACCTGAGACCCCATGTTATGAGAAGTCCATACTATATGGTGAGACCTGGAGGATAAGACTCCATGTGGAAAGAGACAGAGGTCAAGGAGCACTGAGACATCAGACACATGAGTGAAGAAACTAACTTGGAAGTAGATCTTCCATCCCCAGCCAAGCAACTAAAGCCATATGGATTGGAGATGAATTGTCCAGCTGAATCCTTTCAGAATTCCTGACTCATGGGATTGTGAATAAAATGATTAGATTACTTTAGGTCACTACATTTTGGAGTGGTTTGTTAGACAGCAATAGAAACAGGAACTCGGGCACTATGTTAGGAATTCAGCTAAATGAAATAGATATCCATGTCTAAAGGGACTTTAGTCTAGTGGAGGAGACAAATAATTAAATATGCAATGACAGAGGATATATAGAGTGTTGCGGGAACACATAAATATGGCTCCTATCCCAAAGTTGGGACATCAGGGAAAGATTTACTGAGGAGGATCTGCCATTTAATCTTGGATCTAAAGGATACATAGGTGTTAGCTCCAAAAGGAGAGGAGAAAATGGTGTTCCAGGAAGATGGGAGAGCATGTGCAAAGATATTGAGGTGAGTGAGAATTGTGCTTATTCCAGGAACTAGAAGAAACTTAGAGTGAAGACATCACAGACATTGTTCGGGGAGTAGCAATGGGTAAGGATGGTAGGGCACACAGGGGTCAGATCACAAAGGGCTTTGATTGCTACATTAAGGAACCCTGCTTTTATTTTAAGAAAAATGGGAAGCCATTGAGAGATCTTAAGCAATGGAGAGACTTGATCAGTGTTTCAATTTAGGAAAATGCCTCTGCACAGTCTGCAGCAAGGAATTAGACTGAAGGAGGAGCAAGGCTGAAGCAACAAGACCACTTAGCAGAACATTACTGTAATGCAGGTGAGAGAAAACGGCTGTCGGAACTAGGAAAGTGCATTTATGGCTGGAGATATGTGTATCACTCAGAATGATATTTAGGCAGTAAAAACCTACAGGAATAAGTAGTTGGATATATGGGTCGGAAGCTCCAGAAAGAGATTTGTAGAGAAATAGCTATCTATATCTATGAGTGTACCATTAGGGAAATGGAAGAATGATAAGAATCAGAAGTCATCTACTGATGGGGCAGACATTAGAATAGATCAAGGGATCAAGAGGAGACTTCATTCAAATACTTAAGATGGAAATCACAACATTGTATATAGTATCAAAAAAGGTAGATACAATTAAAATGGCCAATATTAAGGAGTTGGTTAAATAGAGTTACACACTTTACACAAGTGTCTAAATAAAAAGATAACAACGTGAAAAAATGCTGTTCAGTGAAAAGGGTAGTTTATAAAATAATATTGGCGTATCATAAATCCAAGCAATATATAAGTAGAGAAGAAAGATTGAAAGGATCTTTATTGAGGTCTTCACAGTGATTTTTTTGATTACATAGATCACTGGGACTTTTATATTTTCATTTTGTTTATATGTATTTTCAAAAATTTCTATAGTAAACATATAGAATATACATTAATCATAAAAAAGCAGTTAAAGCACTTTTTAAAAATGGGCTTTCACTTACTTTTTATTAGTGCCCAGTGTTATTTCCAGCAATGACCCTGGAAATAAAATCCATAATACCCTTACAGATTGAAAATCATACCTTTGAGAAAGGCTGAAAATAGTCAAATTGATTGTAAGTGCACATAGTTAATGTATTACCCAATTACATATATCTGCCTCAAGTTCTACAAGCATCCATTTGCCTGAAACAATAGACAGTAGGTCAACTCCAATTATTCCATAGTATCCGATTCCATTCATCAAATACTTTACTGAAGAAAGCTCTGTGGAACTCAATGACATGAACGAGATGAGTTCTGCCTTCAAAGAACTTTTAATTTAAATAGGAAAACAGAGATACGAACAGCAAATACTAATGCAATATGAAAACTGGTTAGTGTGGTAACAGGGATGGGAACAGACTCTTATGAAGAGTAAAGAAGAGGGGTTGACTTTTGCCAGGCAAGCAGAGGACGTGTCCTTTGAATAGGGCTTTGAAAGATGAGGGATGCTTACCAGGCAATCAGAAAAGAGCATGTAGAAGACCTGGATGTTGATGAGTTTCAGGCAAATTTAGGAACTTTAAAACAGACTTATTAGAAAAGAGTGTATGTGATGAAATTGGGGGGAAAGTAAATAAAGGGAAAAGGATTGTGAAAACCTTTAAATACTGGGTTAAACACTAACTTGACTCTGAATGGGGGAACATTACCAGACTTCTTGTGTGCAAATAAAAATACTGTGAGAATGAACAGAAAAACAGAGAAGAAAAGTGGAATCCATTTAAGGATAAGGTGGATTTCATGGGACAGGGATGGAGGGCCTGCCCTAGCAGCTGTAGGAATGGAAACTAAGGAGCAAAATCAAGGGCCATTTTGGATTAAAGTGACTTCATGAATAACCTCATTTGTAGAATGCTAGGAAAAAACTAAATAGGAGGATAACTAAGCTGATTTCAAAATGACAAAGGTATTGTTTATGATTTTTGCCTATTTCCTCAGCCATCTTATTTTAAAACATTGGTCAAATAAATAATGGTTGAAAATTCTAAACAAGACAGCCATCAAAGTAAAAGAAAAGATAAGTTTAAAGAGTCAAGTCCAAAGACAAAGAATTTGGATTTAGACACATGGTGAAGTTCAACTGGAAATATTGTGGCATTCAGGAGAAGGGACTAGCCTGGGTAAAGAAATTCGATAGCCAACAGAATATAAGAGTTGAACAAAGCAACGGGATGATGGCGTAAAGGCGAGGGCTGTAGGGCATTAATATTTTTGAATACTTACCCTGCTTCAGATGCTTTACACACATTATCCATTGATTCTCACAACAATTTATAAAATGGCCATCATGGCAGAAAGCATAAGTATGATACAAACTGAGAAGTCTTTACATTTGACCATTAGGAGGTTACTTTCAATGGACTGATCAAAGCAAAACGTTATAAGCCAGAATGCAGTGGGCTGAGGTGCGAATGCGAATCAGGAAGGCAGAAGGAGTTCAACAAAATGAAGCAGCGGGAGAGAGCATGGAGCCAGAAGGGAGGCCAAGGAAGAGGAAGGCATGAAGGGAGCTGAGTTAACCAAGAAGAGAAGGAGAACTGAATGAAGAGGAAGAGGCTGGACATTCCAGACAGATAAAGGAAAACCGATTTCTGTTATCAAGGAAGGTGGAAAGGAGGACATAAGAGATACAAAAGAAGAGCTAGCCAGAAAGAAAATATTGGGTACCCTGAGAATAGAGACAGGAATGGTGAGGAAAAAAGGTAAGACAAGGGAACAAAAAAAACAATGCTTAGATATTTCAGAGCTAAATGGTCTCTTTTAGTCTCTCATTGGCTTCTAATAAGAGTAGCATGGATGGTCTGTGACTTTAATATGGGAAAGAAGTGCCTTATTTGCTCTCAATTTTCGTAACATTCCATGGGTTAATAATATTACTTTAAAATGTCTGACAATCCAACTTCCTCACTGCCAGATAGAAGAAAGCTTAACTACTTTCTTGTTTTTACAGTGTATGTAATTTGAATCTGGTAATAGAAGAGTTAATAAACATTGCAAAATTCTGTTTTAATCTACAGAGTAAAATTCAAGCCACAAAAATCGCAGTTTGTTATTCATTCGAGAATATCAAAGGAACCTCTTCTGAGGCAAATAATATACTCAATTTCAAATGATATTAGGAATACAGAAAATAATGTATACATATAATGTGTCAAGGGCAAAAAAACAGTATAAATAAAATCATCAACAATGAGAGAAGAGCTAAAATGGTGCAGGAACAGCTTTTATGTGGTAGAAATGCGAAGTGAAGCCATTGTATATAACAAATACGTATTGGTTGGGGATGCTCAATACATAGGTTTAAAAAAGTCTAAGCACACACAAGCACACACATACACACACACACACACACACACACACACTATATAATAATCTGACTAAACTACTCAAAACTCATATCTAAATCAAAGGTAGCTGAGGTCAACACAAAAAGACTATGAGAAACTCATTCTTCTGTGACATTATAGTTATGAGGGAATACATTATTATGTAAACTTAATTTTAAAAGACAGGAGAAAATCTGTTTTCTGCTGACCAAAGAAGTGACTTATTGATACAAAAGGAACACTAAAGTACAAAAATACCCACTGTCAATAATATGATACAGAGTTAGCAAACCATATACATGATCTCCATGTGGTTATGAATGTAATAGTTGTAAGTGGGTGAGTATTAATACACATTATTTTACGGTTGCAAGTTCACTAGGATCAATTAATCTAATGCAATGGTCAACAATATGACTTCATATGTTAATTGCCTGGGTTTACTATGGGATGATACTGCCAGAAAAGGCTTATGAGACAAGAAAATTACTTCGTGGGATAGCATTTGGTAACTTCCACTGAGGAGTAGAAATTATCTGATTTGTTAGCAAAGAAGGCTAGTGACAACATACCTCCTGTCGGGCTGGTGCTGCATGTGGCCAGTCTCCTCTGGACAATCCTGTAACATGGGCTGGAGTTCTTCCTGTGGGGAGGGAGTCAGAGTGGCAGTGGACTGATGGCTATAGGACACGGCAGCTGGAGAAGAAGCTGCTCCCCGAACAGGGGGAGTGGGGCCTCGTTCATCTTCCTCCTCTTCTAATTCATCTTGTTGCAAATACATCCTTGCTGGTGGCACGGGACATGGCATTTCTTGGTCATAGCTAAAATAAATGATAAGGATGTGTAGACTTACTTCAGGTTATTCAAATAAACTATTTGGATAGTAATGAAATGTCACCTTTAAATTGTTTTTCAAATCTGAACGTTCTCAGTCACATTAAGGAGATATTATTGAAAAAGGTTTTACCTCACAAGGTTTGTGAATTACTGCATAAACTATTTTTCTCTAAGGGATTGTAATTGACATTAGCATGTTATAGGGTCTTAGAAGTCATGCAATAAAAAAATTCACTTAACATGGCTTAATTTAGTACAGCCCAAATGTATTTGGTATATTTTGTCCCTCCAATATGTTCTCTAAAAGACTCAAAGATGGTATTACAGAGGACCTGAAGATGAGCTGCTACATTTAGAGAAAAATTACTCTTTTTTTTTTTTTTTTGAGATGGAGTTTCGCTCTTGTTGCCCAGGCTGGAGTGCAATGGCACAATCTCAGCTCAACGCAACCTCCACCTCCCAGGTTCAAGCAATTCTTTTGGCTCAGCCTCCTGAGTAGCTGGGATTACAGGTGCTCATCACCATGCCCAGTTAATTTTTGTATTTTTAGTAGAGATGGGGTTTCACCATGTTGGTTAGGCTGGTCTCGAACTGCTGACTTCAAGTGATCCATCCGCCTCAGCCTCCCAAAGTGCTGGGATTACAGGCGTGAGCCACTGTGCCCAGCCAAGAAAAATTACTCTTAACAATCTTTGCAGAGAAAGATATAATGGAGGTCAACCTGTTCAGTCCAATACAACCCATTTTTTTTTCTCTGAAATTATAGTAGATCACTATTTCTTCAGCTGAAAACAAAATGAAGTTGTTGGCTTGCATTTAGGCTGGTGAGTGAAAAACACAACACCATTCAACAATAAAATGCCCTACTCCTCTGCTGGAGATGGGTGGGAAGCACGATGGATCTGGGGAACATTCATGCCTTTCTCTTTTCTCTTATCCCAGGGCGTATGTTTATCGATTATAAGGGCAATGAAGTACTACATTATATAAACTGTGGACCCATTTCCCTTGTTCATTCTCTACCATCCACCTTGTTTACCTGAACTCAGGAAAGTTGATGCTCAAATAATATTTCTTTGCATCTTTCTTTACTTTCCTAATCTCACTATCTCCCTCTTTGCCTCTTTCTTATGTTTCCTTTATTAACAAACAGCTGAGCAACTTGCCTACTTATCCAAACTAGAAATGTTTTAGTTATCTTTGACTTCTTTCTTCTCCCTCAAACTACTCCCCAATTCATTTCTATTCTGTCAATAAAAACTCTCTAGAATCTATTCTCTAATTTTTATTTCTTGTATGTGCTACTGCAACAATCTTTTAATTGGTCTCCTAGCCTCCCAGTCACTCCATTGCTTCCAAAATTACACTAATATGCATCACATGCTGGCTATTCATGTGCTCTTCAAAATAAGAAATGGCTCTCTAATTGTTTAGAGAATAAAATATAAATGACTAAGCAAAACACTCGAGTATCTGCATAATCTGGCTTACATTTGCTGTCTCAGCTTCGTCTCGTTCCCTACCGTGTGTTTCATGTTAGTTTTCCAGGAGACCACATCTGTGTGGTCCCATGTCCATAAAACCCCTTCTTCTTAACTGAGAACCTTCTCATTTGTCCAGATCAAGAACAAATGTAGCCAATCACGAAACCTTCATTCTTCTCAGTTAGAATCAGTCTTTCTCCTTGGGGCACAGTTGCAGCTCCTATATTGCTTTTTTTTTAAAAAAAACCTATATTCACTTATTTCATTTTAGTCCTCTTATTTTTGTGAATGAAAGCAGCAATGAATGTTGTTAAAATAGCTTGGGAAATGCATTCAGGCCAAGTGGAATGGCTCATGCCTGCCTGCAATCCCAGCACTTTGGGAGGCTGAGGCGGGACGATCGCTTGAGATCAGGAGTTCGAGAACAGCCTGGGCAACACAGTGAAATATCATCTCTACAAAAAAATAAAAATAAACTTAGCTGGGTGCTGTGGTACAAGCCTGTAGTCTCAGCTACTTGGGAGGCTGAGATGGGAGGATCACTCGAGCTCTGGGGTGAGTCCCTGTTTCTAAAAACAAAACCAAACCAACCAAACCAAACCAAACCAAACCAAACCAAACATACAGTTTCGTTTTCATTACTTGCAGATTCCATATCTGCAAATTCGCTGACTTGGTGTAATTTATTTGTAAACCCCCAAATTGGTATCTGTGGCATTTTCATGGTCATATTCCCACAGACTCACAAAGAGGCCAAAAATTTGAGCGCCTGATGTGCATGTTCCCAGCTGAGGTAAAACAAGGATACACTTTGCTTTCTTGTGTCAGTTCTCACACGGTAAACAAGCGTCCTTTTCATGGTTTATTTAGTGCCATGTTTGTCGAAATGTTTTAAGCTTTATATTAGTGATTTCCCTGCTTAAAATGGCCCTCAAAAGAAGTGCTGAAGGGCTTGTTAGTGTTTCCACGCCCTAGAAGGCTGTAATGTGCCTTAAAGAAATATATCTACGAAATCAGCTTTGCTGAGGCATGGCTTATTGGGTTCCATGTTAATAAATGAACAATATATATTAAATAAGCCTCTTTAAAAACACATACATAAAACAAGGTTATGTATTGGTCAGTGGACAAATATGTTGTGGCTAGAGGTTAGAAGGAACCTAGCCCTGTATTTCTCCTAGGCCCAATGAATGGTTCAACATTTGCTAACTCACTGTTCACAAGAATTTTAAAACACATAAATATTGTGGATAATGAGATTTCCCTGTCAATATTTTTATATAAGAATTTTACTTAAAAATGCATTTTATAAAAAGATTATTAGAAACCTGAAGCACAGAGGCTTTGTTTCTGGGCATAGTAATACACTTCTCTGTGTGTGGAGAATGAAGGAATGATGTCTTTACAGCAGTCACAGAAAAAACTGTATTTTCAGGTATATTTTACGATTTATTCGTTAATTCTCCACCTTAAAGGAGTTTTCCCCCTTTGGTTATGTTAAAGAAGCAGCTGTTTTGTTTCATTTGGTGGTACCATGTCCAGTTCTACAGATTCTGGAGTGAGAAAGAGGTACACTAGCTTCCTAATTGCTATCATGTGGATTATTATACTTGTTAAGTCTTTGGGAGAAACAATCCAGTAAAGTTTACATTTCTACAGAGTTCTCAGCATAAGGTGATAATATCTAAGAACAAATAGCCTTCAGGATCCCATCGTTGTGGTATAAATTCACACGATTATCTTTCAAAAATTTCAAGACCTGTCACAGAAGTTCTAATACTCAAAAATCACAAAATTATATATCCATATGTTAAATTACGTATACACACACAGGATAGATACATGAGCTAATATGTATCATTTTTATATTCCATTCTAAGTTCCAAAAGAATCTTTCAAAGCACAGATTGCTTTTTTGGAAGCAGCAAGGAGAATTTTTACTTCCTGCTGACCAGCACTATTTTATTTAAAGGCAACTGTTTGTGGACCTTAGGAATCAGTCTTCTCTTGACCACCTAGTATAATAATTGCTGAAAATGGGCTGAAACAATCATATTACACTGTTTACATCTGTTTGGATGCTCCTCTTACCTTTCATCTACAGAAATGTTGTACTCTTCGCTATTGCTGTGTGGAGGAGGATGTGCTGGGGGAGGAGGAAGCAGGTCTGCCCAGTTCATGCCACCCTGTTTTGGTACCTTGGGTGTTCTTGCCCCTTTCTTGTGCCCCTGACTCCCTAGAAAGGAAATAAAATAGAAGCCATTGATCTCTGGCCTTTAAACTTTTTCCATTAGTCACAAGTTAATTATTTTTTGTAAATATGATTTTATAATTCATTTATATATACAGAGATAAACATGCTTTTTCATTAATTTTAAACAGAACTTTGTACAAGAGAACATGCAAGGTACTGCCATGAATAACTGCAAAATAAATAGCAAAAAAGCAATAAAACCATGAATGAATGTTTCAAGTCATATCATTAATAGTGATCTTCCTGCAGCAATTAATTGCATTATGGATTATCATCTCAAACAAATGAGCTGTAGATATATTTTCTCGAGTGCCTTTCTATTATTTAATTGCTGGAACTTAAAATACAATATGATACAGATACGATCTATTAGAGTTCCACTGTTGCATTAAATCACTGAATATATATAATTTGTACTTGTCCATTGAAATGTTTTAGGCACAATGAAATTACTAGTTCCCTTCAGAAAGGCAAGTACAGATGAAATAATAGCTGGAATAACTGATAGAACTAATGACAAAAGAAGCAGAAAAATGATTTTTAAAAGGGACAGAAGTGTTTTCAGCCACTGTTTCTGTACAATGATGGCTTATGGTAAAATGATGTTGCTTGAACATTCTTAGTAGTTTGACATAGCCCAATCATTCAAGTGCTCCAGTGTTCTCATTTTAGATCTGGCATATTTTTTAAACACAAGAGGCTATATATTTGAGAGCATTTATTTTAACAAAAACTTTAGGTCAACAAATATTTTGGGACAAAATATCCCCTTTCCAATATGTTATATTTTTGATTCATATGTGAATTATAGACAATGAGTCTATGATTATTTTTCTCATAAGTTCCCTTTATATCAGTGCATTATGTTGGCCTTAGTTTTTTAACCCTATCCAATCCTTCTCCAAGTCATGTAATATATGAATCAGGTCTGATCATATTCAATGAGCCTTGATTTTTTTGTCACTTGGGAATTTTCAGTCAAATGGCAGTGTTTGTTAAGCCAGATGTTCTTGTACTGGTAGGTTACCACACTAAGCGTGGGCTAGGGACAGGCTGTTATTAATAAACTACGATTATCAGTCCTATGTGTATGTCTCTCACTTCTCTCGTCCACCACTCCGGTGTCCAGCATTGGGATAACTGTGCATGTGTTGTAGACTAGACATTAACCCACATCTTCCTCTGGATTTCCTGATATACATCTACTGTAGCAACTCCATCAGTCCGGAGAGGCCTATCACAGATCTCTCCTATACCTTATTTACTTGCTTTGTTCTCTTCCCTAATTACCATCACGCATCTTTACATCTTTTTACCATATATTCACAGAATATCAAATGATATATAGCAGTAGAACACCCAGATCTAGGTATCTAAGCTGAGGGATGCTGAAGGTCAATTAAAGATTAATAACCTAGAATCATTGTTTATTTTCCCATTAAGATATGGTTTTCTCTATGTGACTAAAAATTCAAAGATCAAATGGCATAAGATAATCAAATATTAAAATATTTCATATGATTTTCTTAAAAGTAGATCCTTGAAATATTTCTCTTAATTCAGGATTGACTTAGCTTCAAAAAAGAAGTCATTTAATAAGATGTTAATTGTTAAAACAAACAAATAACATATAATAGAATCAGAGTAAATCTAAAAGGTAAAGGGCCATTTCTAAGCTCCCTTAATTCCAACAGAAACACAGGCTAGACAATGCCAGACCAGCGTGTTAGTTAAGGGAAAACTGTAAAATGCAAATGCCATATTCATTACAGAAGAAGGGTGGAGACTCTTGGCTAAAAGCCCCTAAGAACAACTTTAATCCAGTTGCTGGGAAGTGGCATTTCTACCCTCTCCTGGAGAAACATTGCTAGAGTCAAGATCAGTCGGTTTTGTTCTCATTGTGGTGTGATGTGCCACATGTTAGTTCTAATAACGAACTGCCTTTAATTAGAAAAACAGGACTTAAGTACCCAGCAAGCTCCCATCTGCAGCCCCTATCAGGAAAACAGCTGGCAAACAGCTGTAACAGCATGAAGACCACAGGGAAGAGGCCTCAATGTGGCTTTGGGAGGCACTTACAGACTGAGGTTGGGAGGTTGCTTTACGAGGCTTCAGAGCAAGAACTGAGGGATCGTAGAGGGATGATAAACTGAGACAGGCTCCTATTGTACCTGAATCTCATGTTATTGTCTCTCCGGCTTTTGATTCTGCTCAAGTGTCCTCAAACATTATGTGCTTTTATAGGCTCGTTTCAAATGGCAACATATTTAGCAGGTTAACTCTGTGCAACATTTTTAGTTATATTTTGGCCAACGGGGAAAAAGTTTCAACTGCCTTTAAAGATTAACCAGACATGTTTCTTCTGGCTTTGCTAAAGCTCATTAACAAGGAAGAAAATAGGACACTTAGTCTTTTTGCCAAATAGAACATAAAATGATTTAGTGAGTGGAAAGTCCCTCAAATTGCAGAGACAAGACACATGCCTGAGACTCAAATTACATACAGTGATTTAGACATGTCACCTACATACGTCAGTCCATTAGCACTCAATTTGTAATCTTGGAAAGTACCAGCTTTTTAAAGGAGAAGTTCTTTGGTTCATCTTACTTACCAGATGTACTACTGCCCCGGTCTGAGCTGTTGTAGGATCCTCCTGTGTTCTGGTCGTATGATTGGTTGTATGGGATAGTTGGAGGAACTGTGTCATTTGCTCGATAATCTAGACATATCAGATGAAAAAACAATAAACATTTATTTTCTCTTCATGAGCGATTTCACATCTCTGCTTTCTCTATATTTCTGAGTAACTAAAGAAACAAATTGGACCATTTATTTGCCTTTTTTCTCTTCTATTGTTGTATTCAGATTGTCAGGATATAAAAAGGCTTATACTCCAAATATATATAAACTATAAATAACTTTAATAATATAATATCAATATGATTTTAATAAGAATCACAAAAATGTCTGCAAATCATAAAAAATAAATCACAATACATAAAAATAAAACTGAAACCTGTCAGCAAGGTTATATCTAATAAAAAATATATCTATGATTAAAAAAAACAAATATCTTAATTTGCCCCAGAAATGCTTCTGCTTACTTAGGCAAAGGTGAAAATCCAAATGATAAGCTTGCCACTGGAATGTAGTCAGTAATAATCTGTCGTCTAGTTGCATTCCAGGTTCTTTATTATGGTCTGACATACCAAATCTGCTTACAAGCAGTATAAACAATAAATCAGAGTTCTGAAATATTTGTGCGGAGGCTCTCAGGGCTTTCCGAAGTCCACAGTAAAACAATATACTATGAAGGAATAATGTGACAATAGTTTGAATCACCACTGCAAACTCCATGATTACAGAAACTGTCCTGTTCATCTTTGTCAGTTTTTGTTATGAACTTATGCAGGAGTCTCGATCCATATTTATTAAATTGGGTTATTATACCAATCAAGTACTTTCTTAAACTTGAGAAAAGCCTAGCTGACTTCATTCTCGAGTTAAAACATAATATTAACTTAAATGAAATTTTTAAGTTATATTTTTGTCATCTTCAACTGTGATAAATCGCATTTTCAAAGAAAATGTTCCCAACCCAAACCTAAAGAAAATGTCTATGTCTCCAATTATCTCCAGTGTATTCTTTACCTGGAATAGGTGGGGATGCATTGCCCCCATCTATTCACATTAGAGCAATCCTGGTTTTCCTAGAGGTATAACTTTGCAAATCATGATATTATAGCAGTAGCCTAAAGGACTACAAAGAAACCAAACACCTATCTTTTCCAACTCATACACATTACAATACAGAAACATTTCCTTCAGGCCACAGAATACTATTCTGCGGCTTCAAGTTAATACTAAACTCAATTTATTTTAGGTTCTATACGGACAGACTTCAATCAGGTCAACCAAGGAAATTTAGGTTCTAAAATTATACACTGTAGCAGTCTTAATAACCACACGAGGTGGGAGACATACAACAAATTGAACCACTTCTCCAGTTCAAGTTTAATTTAATTATTTTATTTCAGGTTGATATAAAAATGCCATTGGTTTATATAACCACATAGAAGCAATTATCTTCCATCCTCTAGTGGAAAGAATGGGATAGTCTATTTATTGAAAATGCGAGGTATTGTGACAGTTGTACATCTGCCTCATGAATAAAAGATTGTCCGTCCCAATCCCTCACCTGCTATTAAATTTAAATTAATCTCAAAACCATTTGAAAATACTTATATATTATTATAAAATAAATTTTCCAAGGTTATTGTTGTGCTAATTAACTCTTTGACACTGGAAATTTTGAAACCAAAGAAATAAGAAAATCTCAGCGACAGAAGAAAAGATTTTACTTGCTAGTCGCAGACAAGTTTCAACATCTAGTCGAGGTGCTGAGAGTATCATACAGAAACAGATGGGAATACATGCAAGCCTCTTCACCTTTGTTCAGCTTGTTTTGCTCCACGATGTTGTACTGAACTGGTGCCACTTCTTGTTTCTGCTGTCCCAGTGGTTTCCAGTGCTTCTCGCCAGAGTCCCCGCTGCCATTGTTCATGTTGTTGCTGAGGTTTGACTGGATGAGCTGAGTGGTGGCGTAAGGAGTAGGCTGCCCTGATGGATTGACAAAACGCCCATCCTTCAGATTTGGGCTATTGAAGGTTTTCATCTCATTGATTTTGTTACTAAGGTCCACATCACCATAAACAGTTGACTCAGGGAGCATCAGATTTGTTTGTTTGTTATCCAGTTGGTTGTTATAATTTGCTATACAATCAGCTATGTGCAATGGAGAGGAAAAGGAAAAAATCATTCTGCGTGGTTATTCCTTTTAAATTTCTTTTTACGTAGCTTTGCGAGTCATCAGAAAATCGTTATGTAAAGTACAAGTGGGCTTAAATAAGATCAATAAAAACGGCCAAATATCCACATGTGCTTTCTAAAGAAAATTAATAATTGAAAAAATAAAAGAGGGTACACAGAATTTGTAGAGACTAAATAAATTTGAATTTCTGATAGTGCTGAAGTAAACAATTCATCCAATTTAAAATAATTTTCATTTAATAACCTCATTAATAGGAATTCCACTAAAATAATATATACATGTATATCTTTATGTGTCAACTTTTTATTTTCTAGTCTTTGGTTACTGAATTATTTGAAGCTACTGGTTAGCTGCTGAAGCAACAGACAAAGCACATAAATGAAAAATCCAAAGGAAAAAACTATTCATAGATCAAAGAACTTGAGATTTTGGTATTTTATAAAATACCTACATTTAAAAGATATGGGAACAGGGGTAAAATGATAGTAAATGGTACTAAGGAGAATTCTATTAGTTCTTGTTGTAGTCCTGTTGGATAATCATTATCCGGAAAACATGCTATATAATTATTTTCTCATGGTTTCATAATGACAACCAAAGAAATATAAAATGACAATAATAATAATAACAAAAGGAATCATAGTAACCTGGGTAATTGAATCAAATAAGCCTGAAATAATACTTAAATATCTAATATCTCATTTCCACTCCAGTTTTCTCTCTATTGAAATATTTGGACATTAAATAACTGAATATACATACATAATATATACATTCATTTTATATATATATATATATATATATATATATATATATATGGCCTGCAGTTGAAAATATTAAAATGGTAGGAAGAACTGAAATCATATTTTTAAATTAAAATAGATTTTAAATAGAAAAATTAGTTAAATTACAATGGTAAAAATGTCATTATTTTATGCATGTTGTCCAAAAGTGGTACCAACATTAACAAGTCACCTGTAGCATTGGTTTTTAACTGGATATGTTTAAAAATTATAAATTAACATGTTTGTTACTAAAGATGTAAATGTGAATATAATCTTAAGAAAAATGTGTAATTTCTCTATCCTACTGAATTCAACTATTCTGCATTTCAACCATGAACCGTCAGGGAACAGAAATATTTGATTCATCTGGACTTTGTGATTCTTATTTCTAATTTCTAGTTTTGTTTAACAGTGGTTAAGAAATACTATAAAGATCATGTGGTTTTTGCATTCTCATTTTGTTTCGCCAATCTGTCTATATTTGTGTTATCCAACAGAACTTTGGAGATATTGGACATGGTCTACTCCACTTTGTCTGATACAGCAGCCACCAGTCACACGTGGCCACTGAGCACTAGAAATGTAGCTAGTGCAAAAGAGGGACTGAGTTTTAAACTATATTTTATTAAATTCAATGTAAATAGCCATCTGTTGCCAATGGCTACCATATTGGACAACACAGCTCTACCTATTAAATGGGTATCGCCATTTTTTCTCTCCTATAGGTCTCAACCCAGTTTTTCTTGTACTTATGATTACATGAGTATCTATCTGTCTAGACATTCAGAATATGGGCCTCTAGAGGACAGAGACTTGGTCACATGGATACGTCACATCCACGTCCAGTGGACACTCAGGATTCGCTTTAAGGGCAGACATGCAGACTGCTCTATGATTTGTTCTTTATAGTGCATAGCATCTTTACTTAAATCCAACTTCTCTCTCGCCTTTCCGTAATTCCACAGGTTATTTTACTTCTATCATCATAGAGATTCCATACAATAATTTTAATATTTCCTATATTGGCAATATTGGGTTTTTTTTTGGGGGGGGGAGGGGTTGTTTGGTAAGAAATCTTTGGTAATTTTTATTCCTTTAAATCTTGCAGACTGTACATCTGATTTTTTACTATTATGTTTTGGCATGAAATTTTAGCAAGATAATTTACTCACACATACATCTGACTCAAAAAACAAACAATAGAAAATAAATGTATGCATGCACACCTGCAGTGTGTGTGTGTGTATATATATGTGTGTATGTGTGTATATATATACACTTATATACATATATGTATGTGTGTATACACACATACATATATGTATATGTGTATATATATACTTACATATAGGTGTATATACATACATATATGTGTGTATATATATACACACACACTTAATATGTACATATATATATATATCGTGTCCTCAGGATTTGCTACTATACCATAAAATCTGATTTTAAATTTCAGTTAATTTTTATTTAAATTTTTTTGTTATTACTGTTGTAGATTATTATTATTTTTGCTATTAAAGAATTTGGTTCATTATAACTATGAATTTATTTACCTTTTGATCTGTGTTACTCCCAAAATCTCAAAAATGATTAAATATGATTAAAGATTATTTAATTACAATTAAAAATTATATGCCAGGCACAGTAGCTCACCCCTGTAATCCCAACACTTTGGGAGGCTGAGGCAGGAGGGCTGCCTGAGCCCAGGAATTTGAGACCAGCCTGAGCAACATAGCAAGACCTGCATCTCTACAAAAAAAATTTTTTAAATTAGCCAGGCATGGTGGTGCGTGCCTGTGATCTCAGCTACTTGGGAGGCTGAGGTGAGAGGATTAGTTGAGCCCAGGAGGTGGAGGTTGCAGTGAGCTGTGTTAATGCCACTGCACTCCAGCCTAGGTGAAGAGCGAGATTCTATCTCAAAAAACAACAAACAAGCAAAAAAGGTAAAAGAAATTGTAATCACATACATTCTTATCAACATAAATACATTTGACCAGCCTGGCCAACATGGTAAAACCCTATCTCTACTAAAAATATAAAAATTAGCTGGGTGTGGTGTTGTGTGACTACAATCCCAGCTACTTGGGAGGCTGAGGCAGGAGAATCACTTGAACCCAGGAGGCGGAGGTTGCAGTGAGCTGAGATTGCGCCTCTGAGCTCCAGCCTGGCCTACAGAGTGAGACTCTTGTCAAAAAAATAAAAAAAGTTAAATACTTTTATGGCTGGGCACAGTGGCTCACGCCTGTACTCCCAGCACTTTGGGAAGCCGAGGTGAATGGATCACGTGAGGCCAGGAGTTCGAGGCCAGCCTGGGCAACATGGCAAAACCCCATCTCTACTTAAAAAAAATATATAAAAATTAGCTGAGCCTGATGGTGCAGGCCTGTAGTCCCAGCTACTCGGGAGGCTGAGGCATGAGAATCACTGGAACTCAGGAAGTGGATGCCACTACACTCCAGCCTGAGCATCAGAGTGAGATTCTGTCTCCAATAAATAATAAATAAATAAATAAATACTTTCACATGATTTTATTTTTCCTACTTGCTATTGATTGTAGAATTTATCTTCCCAATTCTCTGGGCAAAACTTTTTTGGTGGACTTTAGCAAAGTATGGAGGTTAAGGGATGGAGAAAATACTTAAATCAGGCTATTTTGCTAAACAATAGTCAGCATTGGATAAAATACGGGTCAAATTTTATCTTTCCCATGTAGGGAGAGGGAAAGAAAAGATCTTCTGGCTAGTTCCTTAAAAAGCTTATACATATCAGGCTCTCTCTGTGTCCCTAACCTGGGCGACTGTAGGTAGTGAGGTTGCTGTCGCTGTTTCCATTGCCTGCCGTGCAGCAGCTGATGGAGCAGTCATTGTGGTTGTTGCCAGTATTAGGCCACGTGTCTGCCAGCCATGGCTGCGCGGCAGGTTCACTGATGTTGAGAAGTCCAGGCCTAAATAAAAAAAAAATATTAAAGCAAATGTTATATGAATAGAGAGTAATATTTTCTATTTAAAATTCCAATAAATTCCTCATCTTGTTATGCTCACAAATCATCTGATGAACTATGCTGAATGACATTATTATCCCTTTTATTCTACACACAGGCAACTGTAATATAAGGTTCTGGGATGTGCCTCCATTTACATAGCCATAACTGTACACGGGAAGAGTTATGCATCAGACCTAAAATCTCGTATCATTTGCAATGTTCTACTCTGCCTTTAGTCATAATGGTTAAAAATCAAACATGGAATATGAACATATTTTTGAGTCTTTTAGTGGTTTAAAAAAATACCCTAGTTCAGATAGTTGGCACTTCTTCATTTTGACCCATTAAAAAATTGTGACTCCTTACAACTTCATTAAAAAATGAAACAAGCCTCTTTACTCAGACAATAGATTCTTCAAATTAAATGTACTGGCGTATTTTTCTCCAAAACCATGTTTCATACTTAATGAGTTTGGGGCTCTGTGACATTTTACACAGATCCTCATCAATGTTTCAGAGCATAGTTCTGTAAGCTTGTCAACATTTTCTGATGGTGACAATGTAAAATGTCATAAATCCCAACATAAGCAAAGGAAAGCTGATGAATTAAATCTGATAAAACAGAGATGTCCACTAAAAAGAATATTAGTGTTCATTTTGTTATTTTTTGGCAGAAGATGCTATTCCTCTTTTACTGTGCATTGGGAATGCCAAGTACATCAGCGATTATTAATGGGAGCCTTGGACCAACAGAGCCAGGGACTCAAACTGGAGTTGAAGAGTGGGATTCTTCATTTCCTTTTCCAGCACCGACTTCATACTTACCTCCATTCAGCAAAAGAGGTGACGTCCCATTCACAATAAACAGACTGGCATTACAGACTCTGCAAAGATTTTCTTGGTGGTTTTATTTTCTATGTTAAAATGCAATAATTATGTTTCTTATTTACCTGGGAAGCAAGAAATCTGATATTTCACCTTCCATGGTTCTTATTCTAGCACATAGTCTACTGAGTAAAATTTAGTATGCAAATGATGGTTGAGAAGTAATCCATTCTAAACAAAGGCTATGGACTTGTGATTCATTTTTGTATGCATATGTGGGTACATATAGTTATATAATAAAAATAAATATTTACCCTTTGCTTATAATGTGTGAGGCATTGTTCCGTTTGTTTGTTTGTTTGTTTGTTTGTTTTTAAACAGGGATGAACTCATGTGGTCATCACGACAATTTTACAAGGGAGGTACTGTTATCCAGATTTTAAAGATGAGGAAATGGGACGTCTAAGAGAGGTTAAGAAGTTTGTGCATGGTTACTTAAAGTGAGTGAGTGGCAGAGCTGAAATTCATACCCTAGCAGGCTGGCCCTAGACTTTACACTCTAAGATTTTATAAACACATACACTGGAGAGTACTAAAAGTTCCTAAAGCTCTGGAATATTCTTAATGAAAGGAAGAGTGGAGAAAATATCGGAAGTGTAAGCTGTTAAAACTGAGCCATCTTACTATTAAAATTGTTGATAAATCGTGATTTGAAGAGTAACGTTTCCAAACTGTTGAAATTTTAAACATTTAAATGCAAATTATAACACAGATATCTGGAGCCTTGAAATAGATATTAGTTATAGGAATTCTGCATCTAGTAATCTTTTGCTTTCTTATTTTATTTTTCTTTGAACTTAAACTATGAATGTTATCACTGTAGAAGTTATTAAAAATAAAACTCCATATGTGACACAGCAGAGATGTTATAGGACGTCTGAAATATGGGCCAAGAGGAGATTTTCCACAGACTGACTTACATGTTTCAAAAGAAATAGACAATATTTTTATGCTGCTCTGATTCCCTCTGAAAAACACTTTCATAGTGAATGCTTTGATATCATCATAGGCTGAGAGACCTTTTCATATATATGAGTGATTTCC
Source organism: Homo sapiens (assembly GCF_000001405.40). Lineage (NCBI taxonomy): Eukaryota > Metazoa > Chordata > Mammalia > Primates > Hominidae > Homo > Homo sapiens. The sequence continues at coordinate 78,641,867 of NC_000003.12, forward strand.
AACAGGAAGCTGACTTATCGATTTACATCCTAGTTTTCTGTTTAGACTTGAATTTGGAATGCTAGTTATTTAAGGCAGAAGGTGAGCCATGATTACTGGCCTATAATGAACCTTAAAATGCCATGTGTAGATCTGAGATGACTTTGAGGAAGTCAAGGTCATATGTACCTACTCTAATAAGGGTTCTAAGGTCTTTTTTTAAACAATTTCCCAGGCTACCCTTATATATTCGAGCTTAAGATATGAAGCAGAAAAAATACACATGGTGGTTATAGGGATTAACATGTTTCTTAAATATTATCATGTAATATTATCATATAATATAATAAGTGGATAGATTTGCGTCATGAAGAAAAAAGAGGGCAAATGCACTTTAGTAATTATATGGCAATTACCTTCAATTCCTACTCTTCTCTTGCTATTCCAATCACTCACCCCAAGAAAGCCTATTTGAACTGCTAAATCACAAAATAAAACACTACAGAGTCCAGGAGCTGCGGAAATGGTGAAGGAGGCTGGCAGGAAGCCTTGTCAGGCTATAGGCTGTCTCCCCTTCCCACTGGCAGATTGAATGAGCTATAAAGCCAAGGGCTAGATCTCAGAATTGCCAATATTTTAAAGAGAAGCAAAGGCTTGAGCTCTATTTCCTCACCTCCCACCAACAGGGAATGTGGTATTGGCATTCTCTACCAGGTTAGCCAGACTTTCCCATCCCACCCTTCTCAGGTTTTCTCTGCTTTCTTGCTTTATGCTGTGGTTTGGATTAAGTATGTTTTTTGGACACATTGCCTGGAATGTTTGAGGAAAGGAAAACAAATGAGTAGCAACGGCTACTTAATATTTCCATGATCATTTCCCTGGATTTTCTCACAAATTCTTTGCCCTTTTTAAGTTGGGAAGCAGTCTCTTTGCTTACCACACTCTTCATTCTCTCTTTTCCAGGAATAGCCACATTTGCAATGTTCACAATGATAACAGAGCTCTAGATAACCTTCTCCTTTTATCAGAGGAAAAAATACAGCCTCCACAATTTCTCTGAAGTTACAAAGGACTGAACTCAGGCCTTCTGACATTCATTTATTCAATGGCTCATTCATTTTTTTTTTACTTATAGGTGACATCTATCAAAAATTAATCATTCATGTGATTTATCGCATTTATTTATGTAATTTATTGCATTATTAAAAACCCATTTATCGATAAATAAACCACGTAATCTGCATCCTCCAGGAACTCACACTCTCTTGTCAGAGGCAATCATATCCACCAGGAGTTGCCAAACGTTTTTGGTAAAGGACCAGATAGTAACATTTTAAGGCTTCCCAAGCCATAGAGCTTATTTGATAACTACTCAACTCTGCCAATGTGGCTCAAACACAGTCATAGAAAATATGTAAACAAATGAGCCTAGCTGTATTCTTATAAAACTTTATTTACAAAAACAGGTGGCAGGCTGGATTTGGCCCAAGAGCCATAATTCACTGACCTCTGACATAAACAAAAGATAACCGCATCACCTTATGTTACGCACTTCATTGAGGTAATTCCACATTAGAGAGTTAATGGAGGGCATAGTAGGTGGAATTCAGTAAACTGAGAAGGGTCGCTGGGTGGGGAGACAGTCCAGACCTATGTAATACATGCACAGTGTAGTAAGGACACATAAGAGAATGCAATCTTGGCAAATGGCAGGTGGGGTGACACAGTGGATTGTAGGGTCTGGCACATTTTGAGGTGTGAAGTAAGTCTGCAGAGACCTAGAGCTGTGGACTTTGCATATTATGCCGAGTTTGGATCTGATATTCTAAACATGATAGGTCCTATTGATAATGGGATTTTCTGGAGCTCAGAAACATGATCAATATGCATTTCAAAAGATCGTTCTGTCTCCAGTGAGCAAAGGGAATTAGCAGGAAATAATGCTAATGAAGGTATTATAGATAAAGGTAGGACTCCTGAGAGCTTTTGTCATAGATTAGGCAAAGGAGAAGTAGGGCTTGAAATGAAACAATATGAGAGTGAAAGGAGTAAGAGACAGCATCAACAAAATGCAGTAATGGATACAGGAGGTCCAAGAGGATGGCTGGAAGGTTTTGGCTTTGGTGTCATTAACTATGTGAGGTAGGAGGTCCAGTGAGGACTCAGAAAGTCTGAAACACATGAGGGAAACCAGTGCTTAAGGGGCAGACACAAGAGAAGTCAGTGTAGGAGTTTGGTTCATTATTCCCTCTCTGATCTCACTAGATCACGAAACATAGACACAGACACACATACACACACAATGACACACACATCCGTAAGTGGCTAGGAATGAGGCCCCTTCGTAAAGCATCCTTATTGTCCTCATCCTATTTTATTTTTTCCGTAGCATTTATCAACTGCTGATATTGTACAGCTGACTTTTTAAAAAAATGTTTATTATTCATCTCGCATTTCCGCCACTATAATGTAAGGTCTGGAAGGGCAGGAATTTTTATACACTTTGCTTACTGATGCTTCCCAAGTAAGTAAACTAGCACCTGTCACATAGTAAGTGTTCAATATATTGCATGAATAAATAATTCTAAAATTTTGTATATAACTGACATTTTGAGCATTGACTCTGAAATCTTTATTGAACTGTTGCCTCCGTAACATCCCAACATCGTTTAGCATTTCATTTAGGAAAATGATCATTTCTACTTACTATTTGAAATAAATCAGTTTCACTGACAGGGATTTTATTTTTAACTTTAAAAAGCTATGTTTGTTTTGTGATATAGTGAGCTTTCCAAATAGCTCAGGAACTTTGTAATTTTTCCATCCTGCCGTGGCAACTAGCATTTGCTACCTATGCATTCCTGCCATTGTTTCCCATGTGCCAGTTTGCTCTATCCAGGTTGTAAATTCTTTTAGAGTAGGAACCAAGCTTATTTTTCTGTATGTGTGTGTGATACTTGTGTACACACACCCACGCACAGAGGCTAGTGAAGAACATATCAAAGACACTCAAGAAGCACTTTCACATGCTTTGATTAGTGAGGAGGTTGAAATATACACATGTAATGAAGTGGTTATAAAATCAGGTATTCCAGATTCACCCACGAGAAAATGTTCTTATGCCAGAGGCTCTTTCATGAATGTCTGGGCTGTGATTTAGATGGAATTCCCCTGGATGCACAAACATGCCCTGGTTTAATTCCTGAATCAAGTGGATTTATTCCTTATGAAAACCTCCCTAGCTTTGGGTCTGTCACTGGCTGGCTTTGTTTCACAGGTATGAAAACAGGAAGTTAGCAATACCCAGGAAAGAAAAGATTAGTACTTGTTGCCAAATTTGTACAGCATTGGCTAAAGGTGGTCAACCTTCTTTTTTTTTAAACCACTCTTTGTTATATACTAAATTCAGTAATTTTCTTATCCGGTGGTATGTTCCTTGAATTTAGGAATAATATCTTACTCATTGTTATCTTTCTAGTAGCAGTCATGTTATACAGCTGTACAAAGAAGGGAATTTAGTAAGTTCACTGAATTTGAATTATAAGATGGTTTTGGTTGGAAGATTTTTTTTTTTTTACACTGTAAGCTAGATGTTACTGTTTTGGAGAAAAAAAAAACATCTTATTGTGAAAAATTCTGAAGCTTGGCTCATCACATAACTTATACCTTATTTCAGCCCCTTTAAGCTGGTTGTCACATCAATTTGTGATTTCTCTGTGAATATATTAAAGTTCACTGAATAATAATTACTTTAAAAATCATAAATATGAGATTCATTTCAATTAGAGGAGGGAAAACATTCTTTGTTAACAAGTTACCCAGATTTCCTCTTTTATTTCAACACATTTTCCTGCAAATGGGGAAGTGAACTATGTTGAATTCATAACAAGAATAAACAAACATAACCTACAACTTATGAGCAATTGCTGTGTTCAGCAGGTTTTTCAAATGAACTCTTTTTCTTGGATAGTATTAGTTAACTAGCTGTATTTGTTAATCTTCATAAATGCCACCGCTTAGTCACTTTAACTCCTTTTAATCATTTGCTAAATCAGCAAGTCTCTTTCTCAGTTAAAGTCCTCCCTCTAGTGGTCACTGACTAAGATGCAACTACTCCAATCAACTACATTTGTGTGTAAACAGCTTGTTTCAACAGCATAGCTGAATGGAGTCTTCGTCAAGGAACTAAATAAATTCCACCTTTAAGTTAGACTTTTTAAGCAGAGAAAGTGGTGTCATTGAGGAAGATGAAGAAATATTTGGAATTCCCTGTAGGATCTACAAAACAAGCAAGATAATTACCTCCCTCCACTGCTGACAGCTTCGCCTCCTCTCTGGTAAGTTACTAGAATGTTACGAAAAAAAAAAGGAACAATTAATAGACATATTTATATATCAAAAGCTATTACATTCATGAGCTTCTTTCTAAAATGGAATTCCTTCTGTCTTCCTAGACAGAAGCATTGCAAAAATCACATGACGTAACAGATTGATTCAACTAGTGACATTTCTTTAAATATTGTATAGAATTAGATATACATATCATATATCTAATTATATATATAATTAGATATCTATATATCACTCTTATTTTCTTCAAATTCCAATAAGGTGGAGAATCAAGAAAAAGCAAAACATCAGTACACTTATTAAATATAACTGTTACACATCTGTACATTAGCATTCCGATGGATTTCCATTTTGAATTTATTATTGGAGCACATAATTTCATAATTTTATATAGGTGTAAACTTAAACTCAGGAAAAAAAAAAACTACTAGATTATTTTCCCGGAAGTATGAGTACCAGTAAGTCAAAGAGAAATGTTAAAATAAACCTTTCTACACACAAAGATGTATGCCAAGTTGTGACTATTAATTCATGTGACCTATTTTTTATTGTGGCTTCTGCAAATTATTTCTCATTATATTTTCATCAGACATGTATAGATAATCAAAATATATTATAATGCTCTTGAAAGCATCCTCAGCTTAATAAATTTGGGATGGAAAAATTTAACCATAACAAAAAAAAGATTTTCACATAGTTAGGCTAAGTGGTTAAGAAGATTAGCTTTTCTGTAAATACAGACACATTTTCTAAGAAGAAATGTGTTTTTAAAGCTGCCAAGTTCTGCTACTTAGAAGAACTCCAAACTGGAAGTCTGTTATAGAGAGATAACTGCTCCCAGTGATGACAATAACTGGATTAAAACTGAGAGGGCACAACTACACGTACATCTTTTCCTGGAGGTGATATGACAGAAGAGGACCCATTTTGAAAGAAATTGGATAGAACGGAATATTAGGATTCTGACTTAGGGAAAACGAAAAGTTCTATCTTTCACATGTGCTGGATATTGTGGTTACCTTTAACAATATTGATTCTGGGGACAGAGAATTATAAGGGAGAGAAATTTTTGTTGGAAAACTTGAAAGCTTAAGTTGAAAAATGCACTGTCAAGTCTGAAGTAGTCAATAAGATCATTAGCATGTTAAATCATGCTGAAGGTAGAGACAGTGTGTCTACTTAATGAAACACATGCAAACAAGGCCAAGATCCAGTGTGGAATTGTGAATAAATAATTGCATCGAATGGATGAAAAGCAACACCAACCATTTCTACCTTAAACACATGCCTGGTGTGAGTAAATCAAGTATTACATTCCACTTTAAGTTCTTTCCCCCAACTTACTGCAGAAAATGAAATAAAAACAGAAACACAATAGTGGAACACATGCCAAACTAACAATGGAAAGGAGGAGGGTAAGTGCAAATATATACCTGTTGGTGTGAAGGTAAAAGACGGGACTGAAAAATCAAAACAAAATATAAACCAGTTATTAAGCTGAAGAGAGAAAGGGAACATATCACATTAGTATAAATCAAGCAGACAGCTGAACATAAAACAAATGTAAATAACTAAGCCAGTAGTTCTGACAATCTGATCTATGAATAAAACCAATTCTGAGGTTAAAAAAAGAAGCTTGTCTCTACAGGTACCATTTTGAAGTGTCTGACATTCTAGTACACTCAGGAAGGGAATTATGCTAGGTTAGCCTGTGAATGACCCTGCATTTAGTAACACAGATTTAGCTCGTGGCTTTCGTACAAACAAGAATCCTCCACTATTAATCATCTCCAAACACAGGATGATGGATTCTTAAATAAGTATTATCAGAGTCTTGCTGGAACCTTATCTAGAAATCTGAAAGTAAATGCTTATTAAAGTGAACTACTAGGTGCACTTATGTACTTAACATTGAGAGAAAAAAAAGAGAGAAAGAAGGAAAAGAAGGAAAGGCAAGGAAAGGGGAAGAAGAAACAACAAACAAACAAACACAACACAAGTAAAGGAAAGGAAAGAAAAAGATGAACTGAATAAAAGAGAACCATAAAATTTAACTATTTCACTGAGTGGAAATGCCTGACATCTTATCACATAACTGACATTTTTTATCATCATAAAAACTTGTGAATGGACAGAAAAAACTGGAGTTTTAAATTTTAATTTCTTTGAGTTTACTTTTAGAAGCTTCCTAGAAGTAGGCTGGACATTCTTTTAATACCACAGTAGAAGCTAAACAATAGAACAATAACACCCTTCTGAAAACCTTCACTCTCTCTGCAGTTATAAATCTTAATCTAATCAATAATGCCTGAAATTGAACCGCAGACCTCAAAAGTAGCAGCCATTCCTCCCCCACTTTTCCTATCTTCTCCCATTCCTGGGGGGTTGGATAACGGCAGAGCAATTTCCATGTCATTTCATAGAGGGAGGAGATTGACTTATTTCCAATCTCTTCATGTTAAATTAAAGTAAACGCTGCTCTGGTTAAAAAAAAAAAAAAGCAAGGAAATATATGTTATTCCCTCTAAGATTAAAGTTTCTTTAAAATAATCTTTAGTAGAAACAAACTAGAATATTGATTACTTATCATGTATCAAAACACTGCCAGAATTATATTTTCTATTTCACATTTGAACATCTCCAAGAAATTTACTGTAGAATCGGAGCATTTGGGGTTTGCAAACCGAAACGCTATAGCGTCCTCTACAATTGTCACTTCTTACCAAGCCACTTTATCTCTGAGCATACTAGAAAGAAGAAAAGCAAAAACCTCAGTGCTGTGTCCCCAATTTATACCCTGGCCTTCGTGTGCAGCACAGCAGTCCCTGTCTTAAGAATCCTATTGTGTTTTTTTTCAGTCAGGTCTTTTCAGAGAGTCAATGTAATTTAGCTACATTCAAAAATTCAGAGCCATAGTAACAAGTCTTCATAAAAAAAAAAAAAAATGAAAGGTGCATTTGAAACTAAAGCTATTCAAGCAAGAATGGAGTGCCTGAACATTAATTTGCAATCACAAGGACACCGGGAAAATATGAAAGGTCCTTGTCATTACTTCTCCTAGCTAACTGCTAACCCCACTTTGAGGAACTGAAGAAGAGATGAAAAGGAGGTCAATCTAAATGAAATTTTCACTGCTAGCACACGAAATAACAACTTAATTTTCAAAGCTTCCAATAATATAATAAACTCTCTGGGTCCCTAAGTGATGCGGGTGCAATATGTGAATGCATGTGGACAGGGGGTACCCAGCGAACTGGCAGATGTCACACCGATAGCTAAATGTAAGGGGGAAATGTTAAATATGCTCACTGTTCCCCTGAAGTTACACTCTGGCTTGATGTTTTATAGGTCAGTAGGCTCTTTTACATTTTTTATTCTTTAAAATATTTCACTTTCTTTTTTTCTTAAAATTACTGGCATTGACTTTGGTATAGAAAATTTAAGATCTCAAAATGCACTTAAAAATTGCCTAGAAACAAAATTATGAAAATGTGCCAACAGGACAAAGTGAAGAAAGCAGAATCAAATGCTCATCAAATTACATTTGTAATTATGTTCTATGATTTCTGCTTAAACACAAGCTAAGTTGAAAGGGCAATGGTATTAGTTTAATAGGTTTTGCACAAAGAGCACATAGGCATTTGTTGGCATGCTCAAAGTACGTTAGTAAAGAAAAAGAAACATTTCAGTAGGAAGGAGAGTTGCATGTCACATTTTTAGAGTTCAAGACAATGTAGACCATTAAATTATTATAATCACGTAGCTATGGCACTTCATAAGAAACACAGGATTCCACTGACTGGCTATTTGCAAAACAGAGTTCATGATGGAGGTCTTTTGATGAAGAATTCAAGAGACTCCACATCTATATGTTAATTAGTCACTCTTTTCCTCATTCAAATCCAAACATCTTCTACCCCAAACACCCTACCCCTTCCCCACTCCACCACACAAAGACACCCAAAACCCCTTGTCTACAATTATTTTCAGTCAAAGGTTTTATATGGTAGCATGTGCCTGACATTCTTCTACTTTGTATACATAATGAGCACCAGTTCTCTTTTCAGTAACCTCCAAGCCCTCATTTTCCATTTCACAGGCGGGAATATTGACATACTGCTTCATCCCTAGAGAGGACACATATCTGAAAAAAACATATTTAAGGATGATAATGCTAAAGCAAATGCATGTACATGAAGAGATTGCTGCTGAGCCACAGGCAGGCGGCAAGGAGATTTATTTTTATAGTATTAGTGATGCATTTGTGTTGACTCTTGCTAAGTCCCCTTGTGACGGACAACACAAATATTTTAGACTGCTGTCCCATACTGTTTTGGTCTATGCATAGGGACATTCAAGTTCTAGCTAACATGAAAAATTCTGACTTTGTCATATAATTGGTCAGAGAAACAATCTGGCCAACACATGTAAGAAATGTTCACTTATGTAGAAAATTCGTGGGAAAAAGTTGGTGATGGTAGGGTAGGAGACTTTTTTAAATTGGAAATCCTCTTTAAATTTGCTTTGCAGCAAAGCAAAGCTGTTGCATTCGACTGAAGGATGGGCCCTATAATTTGTATAATCTGCCATTTAAGTCAGTACAATTTTGAGAGCAAGAAGGGGTACTAGAATTGATCTTGTTGGACTAATGACATAAACTGGGGTGTCTCTGAAAACTGGGACTTACAACCATCTAACCTAATCTACAGCCCAGATCTGAGGCCCAGAATTGATGAAGGTATCTAAGGGGCATGGAGGATCATCTGTCTGACACTGTTAACAATTTCCTTTGAGAATAAAAAACACAAAAATATCAGCAGTCTTCAGAGTTTAAGGATAAGTAGCAAAAGTATGTGAAAATCTTGGCATATTTGGGTCATCTTTAAAATTGTAAATAATAATAGTGGCCATGTAAGCTGTCTTTTTTAAAACTGTAAACACATTCGTAACAAAATCACCATCACTAAGTAACAGCATACACATATTCCATTTTGCAACTTTATAATAATAAAAAGGGACTAACCCTCTTCTCTCTGTAAGCAACAGTACATCACTCAGTCAGGCCTTCCATATTCACCAAGAAAGGAGTATTTTATAAATAATCAAACGGCAGTATTTTCTATTTTGCTTCACAAAGGGTAACAATGTCTCCCCTGAAACCATGTGAGACTGTTCAAAGGTTGCGTTTATAATTCCAATAACAAGAACATTAAAAATTTCCTTCAAGAATATAAAGCAATAAAATAATTCCCTAAGAGAAAAGGGAAAAGGTATAACAGCCAAAGGTAGACCTACCTTGGTGAAATCTATTTTAAAGGAACTGAGCCCTAAGAAACTAATAAACTCTATTTGTAGTTCTGCTATGTAAGAGAAGTTAATATGTGGATACCGCAGCACAATAAACGCACTTTTGAAAATCTTTATATATTAAAACAAGTTTTAGAGGATATGCATAATCATGAATAATTTGGAATCAAATATTAAAATCAAGAGTTTTATAAACATTAAAATATGAAAACCTTGGGAAAGCTAATACCTTTTCTGATACCCGCGTAGGTACTAGTAAGTCCGTTTCTCTTCTTGCGGTGTCGATAAAGCCAGATGCTGAAGACCATGAGGATGATCCAACAGGCTGCTCCAATACCTGCTATGAAGGCCGGCTGCTTCACCACATCTGAAATCTGCTGAGCGAGGCTGACTTGGTCCTCAGGTGACACAGGGTTTCCATGGGCATCTGAAAAGTCATCTTCCGATTAATTTGGGTTGAAGACTCAATGCAATAATGCACGCACTCATTTGTGGCTGCCATTACTTTGTTAATTTCTGGATAATGATTTCTGTTTTTCCTCTCACACCACTCACCATCATCAAATAAAATAGTTCATACTGTTTTCAGCAAAATTGGACAATTTTATTTATTTCTTTCAACTCAAAGCAAGTGTGACAATTGTATAGAATCATGCTTAAAAACAAAAGCAATGGCACACTGCTTCTCTTTTCGAACCAAAGAGGTTTGCAGGTTACTTCTTAGATTAAGTCTCACAGGACAGTGCTAACTGAGAAAAATACAAAAACATAACACTAAAGAATGAAGTACTTTAATACACACACAAATAATACATGTACACATAAGGAATATTTAATAAGTATTCACGGACAATAAACTTTCTCAGACTTCTACAGGCATGCTTAAATAGTATGTTCTAAAAAAAAAGAAATAAAATTTTATTTCTTCTCTAAGCTAGATATGGAAAAGTCTCTATGTGTGTGCATGTGTGTGTGTACCCCGACACTAACATTATATTGTAAGACATTTCATTGTCTTAGAAACACATTACTTAATGTAAGCTCAGAAAGACCTACACAATTCAGGATCAGTAAAACCCAATGAAATATTCAGATAATGTTACCATTGAAAGAGCCATGAATAATCTCTGCATTAAAATAATAATCATGGCGAGCAACAGATAAAATAATGTTAAATATGTAAAAGAATTATAATATCAAGGGTTATGAATAGTCAAAAGGGCTCATGTTTTCTGCTGGCCATTTTGATTCATTATTTAAAAATTGATGAATATATGGGTAATAAAATTAACTTAGTTTACATTTATGTTTTAAGTCTACTGAGTTTTTTTCAAGCCCACCATAACACCCAGCCACACAAGGGGCCTGCAAAGTTGCTGTAGAGAACTGGAGGCTGTATCATCAAAGCAATATCCAATTCTGTTGGCATTGAGTGATATCAACCCTGAGGGTGCCCACTGTGCAGAATTCCCACCTCTGTCTGCAATTTTGATGTTCTTCCCCCACCACATCTGGTGAAACAAGAAGGTGTTGGCCCATTTCATTAGGATTGGTGCTTTCTTACAATTATTAAATCATTTGAGTCTGATACATATTGTCGTCATGAGTTCTTATAATTTCATTTGGCCTCAGCATTGATTTTGAATCTAAGTTTAACCTTCTCATAGCAGAATCTGGGTTTTGACACCCTTGACAATTTCCAGTTCCCTGCCTCCCTCCAGTTCCCTGCCTCCCTCCAGTTCCTCAACATGGTCAATCCAGACATCTGCCTTACATGACTGACTTACGGTGGCCACCTCCCTGTGGGATATGTAGATACAACTTACTTGACTCACCCCAGTGACCCCACACCCCTCATGGACTGTGCAGATATGCCAGTGACCATTCTCAGACAGAATGTGACCTCCTGGAACTTGTGCCATTTGCTCTAAGAACCCACCAGTAGGAACTCCCCAAAGGAAACCTGCCTGGGTAATACCTTCAACAGCAAAAAGTCCTCAGAGCCTAGGTCTTCCCCACCTGGATTCCCACCTGCTGGTTGAGCAAATTGCCCTGGTGGCCTTCTCATCTGCCCTTGTCGGCACTCCCTCTGTCTCATGGGTCTGTGAGTAATAAACTGCTTCCGTTATTTCACGTGTTTTTGTTGTGTTGCCTCCTCTGAGTCTCATCTAAGCAACACACTGGGAGGTTTTAACCTTCCTCCCAGTCAAGGCTCTCCTAGGAGGGGGCATGTTGACAGGAATAAGCTGGACGCAGGTCAGATAAGAGCCACAGGGGCGTCTGCCAGTATAAACTAGTTTCCTGTGTGAGGGACACCTGGTCATGGGTTGAACACAGGTGTTATGCTGTCTGCCAGGATTAAAAAGCATCCTGTGAAAGGCACAAAGTGAACACCCACAACCAAATTCTCCAAAGCCCCGTCAGGGCAGGACTAGAGTTTATAGCCACTGTGCAAAGAGAGACTTTAAGACCAAACTAGAAAGAAATACAACAATTCTGCTAATACAATCTGCTTTAAGATAGAAAGATTTTTCAATCCAAAAATACATTTTTTTCCATAAAGATAATTGGTATAACTCATTACATATGAATAACATTTTTTATGGATTCTTCTTTCAATGGATTTTTCTCTTATTAAATGACATTGCATCTTGATAAGAAAACTGGAAGGAAAAATAAGCAACGTTCAATGATGAAGAAAACAGCCTTCAGGAAAACAGCACCCCTTTCAATGCAAAATGGCTAAATTCCTTCTCATGTTGTATGAGTGTGTGTGGTTTTTCAGTTTGCTTTGTTCTTTAACAGAATTCCAGATCTCATTCTATAGAGGGTCAAGGCTGAAAAACCTATTTTCATAAGCAGTTACCTGCCTTTCTCTGTTTGTTGAATGAAAGTTTTATTTCATGTTCCAGACTCTTTTATTACCTCTGGTTATCCTAAGCACTTCATCCTCTTAAAGTTCACCGAGCAGACCTATTCTTCTTATCCCTAATACATTCTTTGTATCTGCTAGGTTTATAGATTTCATGGCTATTTGTGCAAGGTTAAGATGGGTAGCCTCAGATAATATGGAAACAGCCAAGAGAGGTCCTATGCAAGCAACCAGATGGACTTAACAGACTCAAGTGTGGTATGACTAATGAATTAAAACAGCCACTCGCTAGCTCAGTCTTTGTCTCACTGCAGCTGAGCCTATATTAAGATATGGAAAAATGGAACTCATTTGTAATTTCAAGGAAACCAATTTGGCCCTAAAGCCCCCATGGTTTCAATCTTAAATAAATAAAATTATACATAGTCATTTTCCCAATTTATCTTCCAAAAAACAGAACTAAATAATCTTCAGTCATAAAAATAGGTAAACAACAACAATATATAGAGTCATCACAGTGTTAACTTATTTCAATGTTCATAAATTAATATTGAAATTTAATAAAATTGGGCAAATATTTGACTATCAACTATTTTCTCAATATAAACTGTTTTCCTCCACATCTCATATAAACGTTCAACAGATGCATCAAGCAACTTATTTTCTTACAGTTTCTTGTGTTGCTTGAAACAAACCAGGAGCTATTTTTGTTTAAAAGTTTTATTTCTATATATAATCATTGGTTTTTTTTAAAAAAAATATTTTCATAGTTTTTGGAGAACAGGATGTTTTTAGTTATATGGATAAGTTCTTTAGTGGTAACATGAGTGCAAAAATCAAATTTTAGCCTATGGCTATGATAGAGACAGCAAGTTTTTCCCTAAAAGCTTGAATGGGACTCTCATATAATAGAGCTGTTGGGAGGAGCCTTCCTAGCCAGTGACTTAGTTTTGAGGTTACCCCATTCATTTGCTTGCAGTCACACTGGGAGTAGTGATGTGTACCATGTCTAGACCTGTACCACTGAACATTCCCATAGACGATGTGTTTCTTTCCTCCCCCTGCTACAGGCCCAGGGTCCACTTCAGAAGCCCCATGATAAAGAGGCTAACCCATCCGCCTATGATCCTCAATGTGTGTGTGGAACAGAGTCCCCACCCCACAAGTGGACTTTGGTAGACGTTATTGTCTTATAGGACAGAAATTCTGCAAGTGTATCTATTACCGCAACTCACATTGTCTAAACAATGGAACATCAATAATATTCTTCAAAATAAATGTGAAGTTCTTTATGTATAGCAATGAAGTTTATGAAAACCAGGTGTTTCTTAATTTTGTTTTGAAATAATTTCCAGGATGTCACCAATATTATTAACATGCAAAACTAGTATGTAATTGTGAATTACAAAGCTTCATACATCTGATCCTTTTTGATGATTTAACAACTGATTGTAATATTAATAACATATACTAATATTTCGCTAGTAATAAAATACTACTAATGCTTAACTTCTGATCTGGAAGACAAAAACATAAAGGTGCTATATGCTTCTTGGCATCATTCATAATTTACATGTAGCTTCTTAATATTTGAACCTTTCTTCTTGCTTTTCAGTTACAATGGTATTTTGTCATTGTTTTGTTATTGTTTGTTTTAGATTTTACTAGCATGCACTTACTAATTTGTACTTTATGTTCATGCCATATTGCCCAGAGTGAATTGTGGTAATGAAGCTTTTGATGTTAGTTTTTTTTTTAATTCATCTAACCACGTTTGAGGCACAAATTGTGTTTAACTTTCTAAGCAATCAGCATATAAACATATTCCAATACTCTTTGACATCTCAATCTACCTTTTGTTATAATAAACAATTACAATTTTAAATAGACACTACCTGTGAATATAAATTGGTCGTTGCTATAAACTTCTAATACCTGGTTTAAGTTTTAAATTGAAGTTTGCTTATTTGATTTTTTTTTTTTTTTTTTTTTTTGATAGGGAGTCTCACTCTGTCGCCCAGGCTGGAGTGCAGTGGTGTAATCTCGACTCACTGCAAGCTCCGCCTCCCAGGTTCACGCCATTCTCCTGCCTCAGCCTCCTAAGTAGCTGGGACTACAGGCGCCCGCCACCACACCCAGCTAGTTTTTTTGTATTTTTAGTAGAGACGGGGTTTCACCATGTTAGCCAGGATGGTCTCGATCTCCTGACCTCGTGATTTGCCTGCCTCGGCCTCCCAGAGTGTTGGGATTACAGGCATGAGCCACCGCACCTGGCCTATTTGTTTGATCTTAAATCCAAGCAACTGTGAGTTCCATGAAGGTGCAGACTGTCTTTCATGTTCACGGAGGTATCCTTGGTGCTCAATTAATAGCATTTGTTGAATAGATAAAAAAATTATATAGGACAGGATTAGGATAACATTGAATATTGACAACCTTTTGCCTGAAATATCAAAAATGTGTGCTTAGATATGTTCAAGTTTAGTTGAGATATCTACGTCCATATATCTACATCTAGTCTGTCTCTCTCTCTCTCTCTTTCTCTCTCTCTCTCTTTCTCTCTCCTACATATTAAGTAAAGCTAACACCTTTTTGTAGCTCTAAGCCATATTCCATATTCTATTAAATTAGCAATGGTGGGTGGCTCAGCCACATGCAAAAAAGCAAAGTGGGACACATGGTAGAGTGAGAGATTGTCAAACTGGATCTGCACTGACACTCACCCAGCTGGATGAACTGAGGCTCACTCTTTACCCCAGACCCAGCCCCAGTGCTGGCTGCCACTTCCACACTGTATCGGATTCCAGGAACAAGAAAGGGAATGACCACGGAAAAGGTGGAACCATCCACTGTTTTGTTGATGTGGTATCGAGTTTCATTGCCCAGACACCAAACCTGTAAGAAGCACATCACAAAAATCAAGCTGGTAAATTACCTAAATGAATGCAAAGATCAACACAGGGTTGCAGTTTTAGACCCAGACAGAGTACTAAACTGTCATGCACTACCATAAGAAGTTTCCAAAGTCATTTTTTCCCTAAAATCTAGTTCTATGAACAATCTTCTGGTCAAGTTTAACGTTAAAAGTAGTTTCAAGGCATCTTTATTACTTTCTCATATACTTTTAAAAGGTTCTATCAGGTAAGTCTACAAATCTGTGCTTGAAGGTAGTAGTTTCTATCAGCCCACTTCATTTAGATTTCTTTTTAACACCAACACATTATCTGCCAGCTAAATAAGTACCTTGCAGATAGCTGTGTCTATGCAGATCAAGAATAATACTCATTCAACATTTGCATTCTAGGCATGACCCAGATGACCAGATATTGTAAAACAAAAATGAGTAGGAAACGCCAAGCCTCGTACTTCAACAGTTCTCTGGGATCAACCTGCCTGGCATGGGCACTGGAACATCACATTTTACAAGGAGTAGTTGATTGAAAAGGAAGGAGAGCTTCTGAATACTCTAAAGTAGTTTGCACAAATATGATTATTAAAAATAAAACTGCACACAAGGAGTGAGCCTCATCTCAGGATTTTATTCAACCTCTGGTACACTGAACTATATTATCAATGAGAGACAATTTGCCCTCTGCTCTTCTATTTAAATGGGACTATCAGTCCTTCACAGCATACATGAGAACATAAAGAATAGCAATACATATTTGATGTGAAAAAAGCATTCTTCTAATAACAAAGAGTTACCTGATTAACTTGGCTAATAATATTTGTGATACAAAACTATTCTCAAGAAATTGAGATTTTCAAACTATTCTATAATCCTTGTTTTAAATTTCACTAACAGATTCATCAGTGAGTGATCTTCTGCGATGTTTAAGAACTTGGATATGGTGCACGACAATGTTCAAGCTCAGTTTCCATAAGAAAATGATCTATAGAAAAACATGCTCATTATTATTAATTATTATCATTAGAGATGGAGTCTTGCTCTGTGGCTCAGGCTGCAGTGTAGTGGTGCAATCTTGGCTCACTGCAGCCTCCACCTCCCGGGTTCCAGTGATTCTCCTGCCTCAGCCTCCTGAGTAGCTGGGATTAAAGGTGTGCACCACCACACTCAGCTAATTTTTGTATTTTTAGTAGAGACGGGCTTTCACTGTGTTGGCCAGGCCGGCCTGACCTCAGATGATCTGCCTGCCTCGGCCTCTCAAAGTGCTGGGATTACAGGCGTGAGCCACAGCGCCCAACTGACATACTCTATATTCCTTATGATGTTCTCAAGCAATATATACCATTAACTTTAAGTAGACAATTGTCTAAACTCTAATAGGAAGTGAGATTTAAAAGAAATCTAAGCCTAGTCTCTTCCATCATTTATCTTTTTATATTTTCTTTGAAAGTTAATATTATTTTAATATAGTTTCAATACATAACACCAAGAAATGCTCAGACCCTATACCAGGAGCTGACCATTTGGAAATTAAGACTCTTTTGTGATTTTTTTAAAAATCCCATTTACATTATACAGCTGAACCAAAGCCACAAACTGATTTTGTACCAGTCAATCAGGTTCTGAAAGGCATTTTATTATTTTAAATTGACCATGAAGTTACGTGAAATCCACCCTTTTGCATTTCTTCAGGAGAGAAATGAGTTCTGACTCTTAGGGGAAAATGCCTACATTCCACAATTTAGCTTGAGAGCTGAGACATCACCCATTTTAAATCCTTAAAAATCTTCTATAACATTCTATTTTTCTAGACTAACACATAGTATCCTGTCACTCCTCAGTATTGAGACAGCCTTGAAACTCTTAAGAAAACACTTAAAAGTACAGAGACTTTTACCTTTTAATGCCTCAATTATCTAGAAAATCTTACTTGAAATATCTTAAAACATCCACAGTGCACTTATGGCAGTCTTTTAAATACTTTAAAAAATACACTGTTCATATACACAAATTTCATAAAGAGGTTTCTCAATTTGTTTTTAAAAATCTTTTGAAAATAAAATAAACTTAAAATTCTGCTCAGGATACTTGGTTACCGTACAGATTAATTTGCTCCTCAGAAGAACATGTATAGTCTTATTTGGGCCTTAACTAAGGATGCACATCAGAATCGCCAAAAGATTCACCAAGATATATGTGCAAGGGCCCCTGTCAGACCACCTGAATCAGAATTTCAAAATCACTGAATAAACAAGAAAGCGTTTTAAAAATAATTTTACATGTTGCTATTTGGACCAGCAGATGGCGCCAAATATCCATAAACAAATACCAGCCTGCTTTTTCTTTATGAATGGTGGGGGCTGCCCATCAGGACATTAATATATATATATATTATACTCATACCTTATACTCTTGGACCATTCCATTTTGAGTGTCTTCTGGAGGTGGCTGCCAACTAACTAGAATTGCAGTTCCGTTTCCATCATTCTTGGATACAGTTACACCTTGGGGTGGGGCACTGGGTGCTATTAAATTGTTTTAAAAGGTAGGTTATTAGAATGTGCTAGAGAACACTGAAAGCAGGTAATTAATATCAAACCCAATAATAGATGTATTAATACTATATCAATATATGCTTTTTTTTTTTTTTTTTTTTGAGACGGAGGCTCGCTCTGTCATCTAGGCTGTAGTGCTGTGACATGATCTCGGCTCACTGCAACCTCCCCCTCCCGGGTTCAAGCGATTCTCCTGCCTCAGCCCCCTGAGTAGCTGGGATTACAGGCACCCACCACCATGCCCCACTAATTTTTGTATTTTTAATAGAGATGGGGTTTCACCGCCTTGGCCAGGCTGGTCTCGAACTCGTGACTTCAGGTGATCCGCCCGCCTCAGCCTCCTAAAGTGCTGGGGTTACAGGCGTGAGCCACTGTGCCCAGCTGCATATGTTTTAAAGATGTATCTCATCCAAGTCTGAATAGTCCCAAACTACCTAAGTTGTTCCTCACTCAATGCTAATTCACTGCCACGGTGAATTTTCCATAACCAAAGTTAAATACCTTGTTTCCACCAAACATCCCAGGACAATTCCTATTTCTTCTACCGTGTAACTCTAGTCTCATGTTCTCCCCCGAAATGTTCAAAAGTATGAAAATGAATATTAATCATTCATGATAATTACTTATACAGCCAAAGTGACAAAGACATGTTGGGAAAAATCCTGTTGTTAGTTAATGTAATCTTTTACCTTTATGTAAATATTGTTTAATTTCTAGGAATAGGGTGGTCAGCTATAGTGATTTGTCTAGAACTGAGGTGTTTTAAAAGAGATGAGATTTAGGAAGAAAATGCTAATCCCACGAAGTCCTGGGCAAATCAACACATTATTCAAATCATGGATCAAAATAAACAAATAGAAAATGCTGAATGGAAAATAAACCAAACGGAAAACAATTTCATTTTTAAATGTGAATTTTAGTTCTGAATAATTAAATTTCTATATGCCATTAAGTAATATAATGTTCACATTTACACATTTGAGGTAGGCCACTATTGAAGCAAGTCAACTATTATAGCATTTTGCTTTTCTAGTTTTCTAAATAAACAAATACTGTTAGCAAAATGTATGTTCAATATCAAGAAAGTTAGTAATTAATGCCACTATTAACATTATAACAATTTAAATTAAGCTAATAAAATTCTAACAAATATACTGCAATGCATGGAAATCAAACGCTTCATCATACTTGCCTTCTTCCAGGGTTTTGGCAAACTTGATTTCACTATCTGCTCCTTGAAATTCATTAAAAAAAGGGCGAGCCTTAATTTCATAGTTGACTCCCTTTCTGAGATCAGGGATTACCACACTGTTTTTGGCTGGCGTCCTCACTTCAAAAACTAACCAGTCTGATTCTCCGTGGTTGGCTCCAGATGGCCGATAGAGAATTTTATATCCTTGTATATACTGAGACTGTTGATCTACCTATTAAAAAGACAAGTAAAATGTAATTATTCATATTATTGTATTGGTTCATCAGAAAATAATAAAAATTAAACGTTATAAAATGCACAAAATTCTGTCTGGCTTCATCCCACATTCTTACACAAGAAATGTGTAAGAATTAGAAAGGAAAAAATAAAAATCATTATTTGTGGACAACATGAGTGTGCTCATAGAAAATCCAAAAGAATCTTCAGCTAAAACATTCAAATAAGTAGAATACTGAAAAAATTCCACTATCTTTTGATAAAAATTTCGGTGGCATTAACTTCTATGCTTCATGCAGAAATGTGAGGCCTGATGGCAGCTCTGACATTGCATGTAGGACATCCCTGGGTCAAGGGGATGAGAAGCTAAAATGTTTGATGATTTTCTGATTTTAAAAGCCTACTTAATACTACTTGGAAATATTTCTAAGTTTAAAAGATTCATGTAATAATGATCCTATCACAAGTTACATAACACAGTTAATACTATCTGTTTCTTTCCTGAGACAGGTCAAGTTCACTACTGCAGCACAATAGGAAAAAAATAGGCTCAAGATGCAATGTTTTTCTGTTTAAACCAAACTAATAGCTACTGTAATAAACAGTGCTTACACTATAAAGTTATCATTAATGTACAAGTAGGCAACAGATAGTTACATTTTATATGCATTGCAATGATCTCGCAGACGCTTATTAAAACTGAGATCAAATATTGTAACAACTCACTGTCCAGTGCACTTCGATGGAAGAGGAAGAAAGGACGGTGGGGTTGTGGAGGTGCAGAACAGCATTTCCCAGCTCTCTCTGGACCTGCTTGTGGTCCACCCCCTGACTTGTTGGTAGGACATCTACAACAAGTCAAGAAAACTGTGTCAGGGTCTGCACAACGTTACTGAACGGAATGAAAGCATGGTGAAACAAACTGTTCATTCATAGCAACTCTCAGTAAAGAAGAGTCCAAGCCAGGCTGTGATTCGGAAAAAAAAAAAAAAAGGAATAATTTAACCTTTTTATTAGGATCAGGAAAGTAAGAGGGGATAGAGAGAGTAGAGAGAACGCAGAGGACATATATTATAGAAAGGCAAAAAGAGCAGGAAGCAAAGACAACAATGGCAAATAACAACATTTAGTGGCTCCTCCTATCATGTAACGATCACTTTCCTGATGAAAATGAGGGCACTAGGGCAATTCCCTGAGTTTGTGAAAACCTTCTGTAGTGATCCTAACTATGCAAGACAGAAAAGAGACTGAAATTGTAGCAGAGTGGCTAAGCAATGGAAAGAAAGGAGATATGGTTAGTGAAAACCAAGAACAGAAAGAAGGCAGATACTTTACAGCTTTTAAGATGAACTTGGATATTTTCTCATGGAAGGTATATGGTAAGTTAGTGGCTACAATGGAGGTGATACAGATGCCAGCAAGGAAGTAAAATAAAATAAAGCTGATTAGACTCATGAGAAAAAAGTACTTAACGTTTATTTAATTGATGATCCTTTAGTTTAGTTATTGTATCATAGTAAAGAAGGTTTAATAAAGAGTTCTTAATCTCAAAAGCCCCAAAATTTCAGGAAGGAAACTAAGAACACAGTAAGAATGAAGTGGCTACTAATGTTAATTTTTTTTTATAAGCTTCTTAAAGTCTACACTCAAAAAAACATTTGCCCATTTCTGAAGCGGTTTTCTAAACACAGATGTTTTGCTTTGTTTATAATAGTAACAGGGAATACATGGGAGGAAGTGAAGAAAATGTTTTTTGGACTTCAGAATTCTCTTTCTCAAAGAATTGTATTTTGGCACCTACATTCCAGATGATTCCCCATTACATAAAAAAATTAAAATGAGAATTTTAGTTTAATGAATCATTAAATACCGTCAAACAATTGATCTTGGGTAGAAAGCAAAAGCAGGAATACTAAGAATGAGATCGCTAAGTATCTCGGATGAAGTCCAGGGAAGCTAGGCAAGTGGAAGAGATGACATCGAGATTGATATCAAACACTCTTACATATTGTTTGGTTGTTTTTATACTTAACCTAGAAATTAAGCTGATAAATAAGCAAGATGAAAAAAAAACAACTGGGATAATTCTGGCATCCCATACTTCATCTTCCTTTACCAATATTTTTGGTTAGGACCTGCCCTCAGGATAACTATTATCACAGCCTCTACGGAGTAAACACTTGATTGTCACCTTTCCATCTCTTCCTTACCCACTGGTCTCAATTGCTCCTACGACTCAAGCTGTCACCCATCTCTAGGATAAGAGTGAAATACTTGGAATGAAACAGACTTGGGTTTGCACCCCACCTCGGCAACTTAAAAACCACGTAACATTGGAACAATTTCTTAATCTCACTATTCTTCAGTTTCCTTATGCTTCAGATGGTGGCATCAAAGGCAGCTAATCCTGAGGGCTGTGGTAAAAGCTGTCTTGTGGTAAGACATAAAAAGTGCTTTTCCTCAGAGCAGGGATTGTGGACCCATAGTATATAGCATAGTGCCATATACATAGGTGTTGCTTAATAAACATAGGTTCAATTAAAATGTATTCATGTGTGGAAAACACACATATGATGTCAGTTTCCAAGTACTTCCCTCATACGTAAGCTCCCATCCTCACAAAATCATCCCCCTTTCAGAAAGTATCTTCAAATACAGAAATAACCACTTTATACATAACTGCCATGATCTGCATCCCAATCCCAAATTCCTCTGATTTGAGATAAACCTACCAGTCAGTTCCTTCATGAAAATTGCTAGATTCTCCCACCTAGTACCCATGACAGCAACAGCAGTCTATAACATTATAATAGAAATGTTCACAGCAGAGAGAAAAAGGGAAAGTGACACCTGATAATATAATTTTGAGAAGTTTATGAATTGATCCTGTTACTGTTTTTGTTCTCCTTCTCCTGAAAGAAACGTATGACAATGTAAAAGGTCTTTCTCAACATTCAGAATTAGACTTAAAGAAGACCTAATTGCTCCAGCCAAACTGTTTCCCCCAACGTTAAAACTTCGTATACACAACCTCAGAGGGGAGCCTATCCAGGCCCCACTCATTGATAATAACTGACATCATCTTAGGTATGATATGTATCTGTATAGATTCTTTTAAAACTAGGGCTCAAGAATGATACACAGACAGGGCACATGGGTGAGGAATCATAGTAACTAACAATGGTAACAACAGCCGCACCTCTGCCACAATGACCACCACCCCTAACTGCCAGGTGCTCATCTCATCTTCCTTGCATAATCAAATCTTGTCTTTGGGAAAGCACACTTTGATTACCACATAACAAGGCTCTAACTCCAACCATGACATAGGTCTACCTGACTCCTGTACTCGGAACCTGTGCCCTATATCTGTGCACCTTTAGCTTTTGACCCCAGCTCATTTCTAAGTATCTACACTTGGGGAAGATTCTTTTGCAACCACATTGCAGAAATGGTTAGAGAAATTATGCCTGCTCCCTTATGAATCACTTTCCAACAAGTCCTTCTTGAATTTCCTCACCCCTCATTTTTCTCCTTGCTGTGTTTGCCTTCTGGTCCCTCCAGTGAAATATTTTTGCAGGTGATTCCCCAGGTTCTTATTACAGTTATAATCCAAGGCTTCCAGCCTCAAATGAAGTCCAAGAATAGGCAAGATATGTGCCTCAATTTTACTTCTTCTCATGGGCCCTTTTCTGTTGCCTCGAGCTAGAATAAGCATAACTCTTCCATACGGCAGTCTCTTAAAATGTTAAGGAAAAGATGTCATGTCTGCTCTGATGTTATTATTTTCTGGCCTAATCATACCTAGATCCTTGAATGTCTTTTCATATGATGTGATTTTCAGCCTTTCATGCGGCCTCATCGACTATCCCTACTGTCCTCCTCTTAAAAGTCCATCTGAAAATGTAGTCTCCAGAACAAACACATTACTCCATTCATGAACTGAATAGTTCTAAGTAAAAAGAGAAAAATTACTTGATCCAGGCATAATTCTAGTGCCAGCTAAGACTACATTTGTTCTCTTGGCAACTGTATCCGTCAGTCGGTTCAGATGGGTGTTTTATTTTAAAGTCAGATCACTCCGAAAGCCCTGACACACTCACATATACTTCCCGTAAGCCTGCTGTCTTTAGTCTATCCTTTTACAGCTAATTTTTTAAACCCAAGTTCAAGTACCAGACTTTTTAATTTGCTCTATTAACTTTAATAGTTAGCACTCTCCCATCAGTCCAATCTGTTGAGTTATATTTAATTCTGATTCTCTTATTTGGCATACTAGCTGTCTTTCTCAGTTTTACGACATCCACAAATTTTATGAACTTCCTTTACTTTTAGTCCTGACACTAAAAGAAATACAAGTCCAATAACAGATTTTATGGGATAAAACAGAAAACAAATCTGAATCTTATATACTTATATATTGATTGGTTAATGTATTCTTTGTCCAATCCCGAGGAATGGGTATGTTTAGCCCCATTTTATAGGTGAGGAAACTCAGAAGGGCTGACTAGCTTGCTCAAGGTCACACAGCTAGTGGATTGAGGAGCTGAAATTTAAAAAAAAAAAGTCTTTGATTTCACAACTGTATGCCTGTTTCTCTATATTTCCAGTATTCCAGTTAACAAGGATTCATTATACTTAGAGTGATGTGGTTTGGCTGTGTCCTCACCCAAATCTCATCTTGAACTGTAGTTCTCCTAATCCCCATGTGTCACGGGAGGGTCTCGGTAGGAGGTAACTGAATCATGGAGTAGTTACCCCGTGCTGCTGTTCTCGTGATAGTGAGTGAGTTCTCAGGAGACCCGATGGTTTTATAAGGGGCTTTGCTCACTTTTGCTCGGCACCTCTTGCTGCCACCATGTGAACCGGGACGTGTTTCTTTCCCCTTCTGCCATGATTGTAAGTTTTCTGAGGCTTCCCCAGCCATGCTGAACTGTGAGTCAATTAAACCTCTTTCCTTTATAAACTGCCCAGTCTCGGGGAAGTTCTTTATTAGCAGCGTGAGAAGAGACTAATACATTGTTCCACTAGCTATGCATATGCAAAGGCAAATTGACAGAAATGTTAAAAAGACTAAATGAATGTTCAGACAGAATGCTAACTTACTGCTCACTTACAAATGAGGTTACATATTCCAGAATCATGCATGTGAGTACAGGACAAAACGGTGTTAAGCTCTAGTCATCAAAACCTTTCAGTTAGAGTCTACTGGCTGGAGACCACTGTACTGGGGACAAAAGTTTAAATTCATTTTATAGCTATCATTGGGTCTACATTCTTTACAAATGTGTATCTAATATCAAAAACCTCAGACTGCCTTAAGGCAGGCTGCAAGTATAGTAAAGCTCCTGGAGAGGTGATTCATAATAGCAAATATGAGCTATGGGTGTGTTACATTCACACAAGAGACAAACGTGGGCATGTTCTACAACTTGGTGTGCTTTTTCTGCAAATTCTGAAACAAAAAGTGCTTCCAAAAAGACTGTTTCTGTACATACTTGAAGTAACAAAACAGCAACATGGCTGGCAGACCCCTCTCCCAAACCAGCAGCAAAGGACTTTAAGTCTCAGTCATCTTGTGTATAACTTGTTTCTATTAAAATAACCAAGTCTATTTTTTTTTCTTTTTTCCTTTGTTCCCTTAAGATAGAAACACTATCCCTCTGTATGTTGAGAAAATAATTTTATAGTTCGAATCACTCCCCTCTAGAATTACCTTTCTTTACTAATATAAAAACAAGCACATTTTATTTACAATGACGTGATTTTTTTCCAAAAATAAAAGGTATCCAGATATCTCTCATATTTATGTGATCTCAAGAGAGTATTATTTGATTAGGGTTGTAATCTAAAAATTCATCCAGAAGGTTGTGAGTACTGAACTTATAAATAAATAAAATTTGGTTAATTTTAAATACAATTATAATATGATTAAGATTGTACACCTACATGTTACCATATTTAAAATTCAGGAAATTGAATAGAATACACAAATATTCACATATTTTTAAAATTTATGGGTACTAACAGGTGTATATATTTATGGGTACATGAGGTATTTTGATATAGGCATACAGGGCATAATAATCACATCAGGGTAAATGGGGTATCTATCACCTCAATCATTTATCCTTTGTTTGTGTTACAAACATTCCAGTTATACTTTATTTAAAAATGTACAATAAATTATTATTGACTGCAGTCACCTTGTTGCTATCTAATACTAGATCTTATTCATTAGATCTAACTATTCTTTTTTTTGTACCCGTTAACCATCCCCACCCTCCCCACAGCCACCCTACTACCCTTCCCAGCCTCTGGTAACCATCATTCTACTTTCCATCTCCTCACGTAATATTTTTGTCTTGATATATTTGTAATTTTATGAGAAACAGTTCTCTTTGTTAATCCATCTTATGTTGGTATGCTTAGTCCAGAAAATAATAAAGTTTGTAGACATTGTGTTTGTATATTAAAAATTAATTAAGCAACTTGGGCAACTTGAACAACACACTGTAAATGTACAATTCTAGCATGTAGCACAAGTGATTTGTCAGTGCAATTATAACATCTAAGGATAAGTAGGTGTCACAGGTTTAAGTAAATCAATATTTACCTTGTGTTTTCACTGGATCTGATATTTGGCTTGGATCACTAATTCCATATGCATTAGCTGCCCTCACAAGGAAAAGGTAAATTGCATTAGGTTTGAGTCCTTTAATGGCAGATGTTTCTGTTTTCACATTCTCTGCTACGGTCTGCCAGCTGCTACCAGATGCATGGCTAAGGATAGACACACAGGTTAGAACATGCGTATTTAATGGAGAATCAAAAAAGAACAACTAGGAAGCATCTCCTTCACTCTACCTGAAGGCTTCTATAATATAAGATGTTGGAGTTGCTCCTGAATTCAAATTTGGTTGCCACGATAATGTGACTGTATTTCTGCTGACATCTGTCACTTCAGGTTTTGATGGGGCACTAGGGATTAAATTTGGGTCAGTAGGTCTTGGAGGCTGAACTGGAACTCCAAATTCTAAAAAGCAGGAAAAAGGCCAAAATAAAAGATGTTTACACATACACAGATAAGCGGATAAATGCAGATAACATATTCATACACCTACTCAGGGAAGAGGACATTTACTTCATCAATATCCCAGTAAGTAAACAACTGCATTTTAAGCTTCACTTTAAGGGAAACACACCATTTACTTTACCTTGAACTTCAATGTAAGCACTCCATGTTGCTTCACCACTGGGGGTTGATGCAATGCAGGTGTACCGACCAGTATCACCCAGCTGAGAAGGCAGACAAAAAATAAATATTTGGAAAAATCAAGAACTCACTGGGCTGGAAAAGCAATTACAGGTTTGTATATGATCCATGAATATGGATAACTGCATTAAAATTCACTAACCAGAAACTTCCCCTTAGTTGAATATATTTTTATTGAATGTGAAGGAAAATATTACATCAATATAGAAAAAAAGATTTTATATGATTGTTCTAATGGTATAATAAGAAATATTTAATTGCATTAGCATATATTATCATCAGTCTCAGGGACAATAATTCCTAAGGTAAGGCATACAATTCTTCAAATTTAGAGCGTTAATATTTATGGCTAAGATATATCTTTATGTTTAATAAGTTATATAATAAGGCTGATAAAGTTTAACCAATGCCTATTCTTGCTATTTCATATTTTACTTATATATTTAACTATATGGATATATGAGATCAACAGAAAAAGGATAGGCATCATAGAATTTTTTTCTTAAACTACTGACTTTTCCGGGTTTTAAAACTTGTAACTTAAGGCAGTTTAAGAAGTACAAAGCCAAACTCAAGCTGGAACGAACACTCTCGCTCCCTTTTAAAAACTGAATGTCAGAAGGCAAACATAGGTTACATGTTCAACTTTGAAATCAGCAGCAGGATAATAAACCCATCTACTTCTGCTCAAGCTAATAACTATCTTCAAGTAACATTTGATAAAGAAAGAATGTTGTCATCTTGCCCTGGCAATTGCAGGAACCAAGTCACAACAGTCACAAAGCAGCACAACATATTAACTGTTGTGGCACTTAAAGTGAACTGTGATGCTGATCCAATACTCCAAAGGAACCACCCACACTAGGAGATAAAGCAACTGAAATTCATGTTTATTGCTGTCAGGACTATTCTTTCATATGCCTCAGGAGCTCGTCTGATCTTGACATAAAAAAAGAAGAAAAATCAAAACAATAAAGTCCTGAAAGAGCAGGCATGGGATATGATGCCCTGTGAAAGTAAATCCTTAAATGGTTCCTACAGACCTGTGGGCTTTCCATCATTGAGCATTCTGATTTGAATTGTACACTCGGTGTGTACATTGCTTTATGGCTTTTGTTTGCATGTATAGTTTTGCCATTGCAAAATGCTGAAACAAACACTTACAATAGAAGAACTATCTAAATATATTGCACATAAAATGATACAGGTAAATATCTTAAAAGATGCTTTATGGAAGGACTGCTTCGTACCACTACTTTGAAGATATTTATTCTCTCACAAACCCTCATTTACTTTCCTCGGTAGGTTCTTAGAAATCCTTTCTTCTCCTCCATACAACCTTAAATTACCTGCCATGGACTAAATTATGAGTTAAATCATCTCAAACATATACAATGAAATATCTGAAAAAAATAAAACATCAAATTAAAAATATATTACTACTCTTCATTTAACACTTCATTAATTGCAAAGTTAGAAATTTCAATGCCAGTTGTTGGAGGCAGAAACAAAGTGAAACAAAACAAGAAACGCAAGGTGCCATTCCAAGTTACCTTAGCATATCGGATCTGCAGTACTCCATTCTCCAACTGTTTGATTCGAGAGTCTTGGGTTGAAACGAGGACTCCATCCTTTCTCCACAGAATGGTGGGCACTGGACTGCCTGTGGCCACACAGCTGAGGACGAAAGTGCCATCCACGGCTACAGTCTGATTCACAGGACCTTGTCGAATAACTGGGGGAGGCCGATCTGCAATCACTGCCAGAAGAAACAACAGGAAATAGATTTCTGCAACTGGAAGCAATTTTCTAATCATCCAAGCAACAGCAGTTGTTCTAGGCTTTGAAACAAACTAAAGATAATTAAACAAGTAATTAAAGTAGCAGACATGCATTATTCAAAATGCATTTATATGATGCACTGATTCAGAATACTAAAATGAGACACAATGTGCTACTTTCAAATGACCAGCCACTCACTGAGCTGGCTGCATCGTCAAGAGGCCTATTTAAAGAGTTCGGGAATTAGGATTGTGGATGGTGAAGTAGATACAGAGACGTGATCATGGAATACTGTACTTTTTAAACTCAAAAACATGAAAAAACACAACATAACAAAAAGACCATTCCTCTCAAGGAAACATATGAGATAAATTTTAATAAATGAAGCAAAGCCAAATTGACATTTCATAACTTGTACAACAGAAAAAAAGAAACAAGGTACCATACCAGCATGTTTAACAATTTTGGATCCAAAAAAGTGCATTGGATTTCGTAATTTAATAAATCAGTGTGATTGAGTTCCCTGTGTCTTTTTATCTTGTAATTCTTTCTATTACAATATACATGGGAGAAAATTACCCAACTGTAATGAATTCAAAGAAATTGGAAAATTGCCCAAATACATTGTTGTTTGGCTGATCCAAAGAGACAAGTCAAAATGATGTTCTAACTTGGCAAACACCATACTTCTCTATTGGGATTAATGGGATTGGGAATGTGCCTCTGCTAACTCCGTTACCTTAGATAATAGTTATAACATACTACGGAAAATAACAACGAGAGGCAATTTTATTATGTGTAAATACAATTAACCCTATGATTACATGAAAAAAATCTAAAATCTAAAAACTTTATCTGACATGAAGTCTTTTTTAGGGGAAAACATAGAACAACTGTGTTGGAACTAGAATAAATCCTACATTGAAGAGGTGTTCCCATCCCCTGACTTAGGCAATTTATATGAAACTCTATAGTTTTTTTTTAATGACTTAAAAACCAAATTTCAGAAATTTTCTTTAAATATTCAACTTGAAAATTCTGGATGTTAATGAAAAATTTTTAAAAGACACAAATGTACAAAGAAAGATTCTAAGTTGCCTGGTTAAAGAAAAGTGGTTGTCAGAGTAACTAAATTTTGGAAGCAATAATTTTCAAAGCTGGATCTGTCATGTTCCAAGCTTTATGCACCAAAGATTTTCACAAGCTGGAGTCACACTTCAATTTGCTCCTCATTTGTCATGCAATAAATATTAGTTTTGTGCATGCAAACTAAAAAAAAAAAAAGAAAAGATAAACAGGAAAGCAATGGAGTGAAATCAGCAGCTGTGCATTTCCACTCTACTCTTCCAATTCTCTTCTTTGTCTTGGTTACCAGGGTGAAATTTGCAATATCAAGGGGTGAATTAGAAGGCTAGAGTTTGAAACTTGGCAGAAGGAATATTCTTTATAACTGATTATAATTAAGTCCAGTAGAAGAATGGTTTAAATTTGGTAGTCTTATCATATTTAGAAACAATCCAATATCTGGGAATATATTCAATGTTCTCTATCTTTATGGTTCTTTGATATTTGTATTTTATTTAGTGTCATCCACACCTCCCCATTCCATCCCAAACCAGTTATTGATGCCATTTTTGTGGTATAATTTACAATGTATACTTAACAAAAATAAAGCAATAAAAGAAAAAGATCAGCTCTAGCATCTGCCATATGTCTTTGGGCAAGTTCCTTAAATTCTCTAAGCCTCAGTTTTGTATTGTTTTTAAATCCATCAACTAAGCATAATAATATTTTTTTCTAAATAGCTCAGGCAGGGTATTGTTATGCATATTTAAATGGAACAGATAAGGGAGTGCTTGGCTAATTGCAAAAGGCTAGACATATTATGTACTGTAGTATCACTAGTGTCCTCTTTGGTAAAAACAACAACAACAACAAAAAAAACTATTATGTAAATCAGAGATGAAAGATTTGGCCGGGCACTGGGGCTCACGCCTGTAATCCTGCACTTTGGGTGGCCAAGTAAGGTGGATTGCTTAAGCCTAAGAGTTCAAAACCCACCTGGGTAACATGGCAAAACCCCATCTCCACAAAAATAAAAATAAAAATAAAAATAAATTAGCCGGCCATGGTGGTGTGCACCTGTAGTCCCAGCAACTTGACAGACTGAGGTGGGAGGATCACATGAGCCCAGGAGGTTAGGTCTGCAGTGGTGGACTTTGATCAGGCCACCGCACTCCAGCCTGGGTGACAGAGTGAGACCCTGTCTCAAAAAAAAAAAAAAAAAAAAGAGAAATATTTAAGGGTTTATTAAAGCAATTTGATGTTTCCAGGTAGAGAAATGAAAGTTTTTGATGTCATGAAGTAGAATAAAATACTCGTAAAATGTTTACACTTACAGACACCAAAGAATGTACTGCATTTATGAGTCAAATCTTAATTTAGAAGGAGACAAACCTTATATTCAGGTCTAGGATCTTCTGTTGGAATTATTAGAATGAATTATCCAGAAATAAAATAGGAAGTGTAAGAATCAGAAATGTTTAACAAAGTGATTAAATGCACGGACTTTGGAGTCAGAAAATGTTAGCACCATACAACAGAAATGTTCCATATCTACAACAGAAATGTTCCATATCTACTCTCTCCAATACAGTAGCCAACAGCACCAAGTGACTACTGAACATGTAAGTGTAGCTAGAGTAATTGGGGAATTGGATATGCAATTGTATTTAATTTTAAGTAATTTAAATTCAAATTTAAATAGCCCCATATGGTAAGTAGCTACCTTATTGGAGGGTGCAAACATGTCAGTTCTGCTACTTATCATTGTAAGTTGGGTACACATCTTCACATTCACTGCCTCAGTTTCTTCACTGGTAAAATGAGATATGGTTAGATTTGAAATTGTTCATGTGTGAAAAGTTTCTAGTATAGTGCCTGGCCCTAGGTAAGCTTATCCTATAACTTGTTATTAGTCACTGTAGCTCATTATTGTCAGTATAAAAATAATAGTGGTGGAGGTAGTGATGGTATAAGCAGTGTAACAGGTATAACAGGTGCTGTAATATATATTACAGCAGGGTTACACCACCTGTTATAAATATATATATATATATTACAGCAAGGTTACACTACCTGTTATAAAAATATATATATAATATAAATATATAAAATATATAAAATAATATATAATATATATAAATATATATATATTACAGCTAGGTTACATATATTTTATATATATATATATATATATATATATATATATATATATATATACACACATATATTACAGCAGGGTTATAAAAGTTTAGCTATCTTTTCCCCACATTTAGTGAAAGACTTCAAAACCCGTCCAAAATAAGGGTATATAATCAGAATGTTGTAATTTGTCACCTCAAAAATAGCGATCATGAAGTCTATGTTAATATACATAAATATATTTAGGAAATAATTTTAAGAGAAAAAGAACAGAATATACACACATTGATTAGTTCACGTACAAAAAGTCACATTATACACCAATAAACATCGCAGATAAAGAGCATAATTGTCATCCATTTACAAACTGCAAATATTGTATCTTGGAAATTATAAATTTGGCTATAAAATATTATTATTCCATTTTAGAAATCAGGGAACTGAAACTCTAGAAGTTCAAGTGACTTGTCCAAATCAAGTAGTAACTGGCAAATCTTTTTTCTGTATAAAATATAACACTCTTTGCACTATGTATCTATAAATTTTGTGAGATGAATACGAATGATTTTAAATTTTATACATTATGTAGTAATCATTAACTTTGTTTTCTTACCTTCTGATATTATAGTAAAGAGAAGAAAGATGTTCAGTTAAATAGAAGACATGAATTTGTATGTTTCTAAGTCAAATGCTATTAGGGATAGGTCACAGCTACAGTCAACACAACATTTTAAAGGCAGCTGCTACTTCTGTGCTTCATGTTTGATTCTGCCTTTGTCTTTGTTCTGTTTGCAAACAGTAAAGAAGGTCAAGAAGCTAAAGACGAATAGTATCCCCAAAGTACTCTGCCTACTAGCCATCCTCTGGACTTGCTAATGTATAAATACCGGTATTTCCAGCACTTGCAATAATTCTAGTTTTACCCATGAAGAATGAGACCACAGTGTTAAATTGTTTTCACAATATCAATAAGCTCCAAAATAAAGCAAACAAAACTTAAAAAACAGTGCCAAAACAGCAAACACGAAATCACCTTAAAACGCCCAGAGTTTGCAGGGTGAAACAGGACATTTAGTGTTGAACTGGCTAGTAGGGAAGAATCCCAAATTCACAGATATTTAGAGATTTTGTTTTTGTTTTTTATAGTTTAATAAAAGGTCTATGCGTGATCTAGTCTCACAAATACAAGCAATTTGTGATAACGTCATGTCAGTTGGCACATGAAAACCTTTGCTTTAAATTATAATTATAAAAATTGGAGATATTTGAGACTACTTTAGCATAGGTTTCTAAAATCTTTTTTTATGTATACCTATATATAAGTTGCTTTACAAAGTTGCAATTATTAATGTGTGTATCACTCTATGTTCTAATGTCTCTATATATTGGTTATAGTAGTCATTATTGAATTCACTATATGGCTTTCACAATCATTATTTAATGGCTGTAATGTACTTAAGACATTATAAAAATATTTTAGGTCATACTAGCTTATTGGAGCCAGTACATGTATAATACGTATCATATACAGAGGTAAGAGTTTGAGCTTTTGAGAGAGACAATCCTAGTGCTCAATACTCACTTAACCAAAAGCTAGTTCTTTTTCCTTTTTTCTTTGTTTCATCCACTCATTAAAAAAAAAAAAAATCAGCTGGCAGCCAAGATGGCCGAATAGGAACAGCTCCAGTCTACAGCTCCCAGCGTGAGCGACGCAGAAGATGGGTGATTTCTGCATTTCTATCTGAGGTACCGGGTTCATCTCACTAGGGAGTGCCAGATAGAGGGCGCCGGTCAGTGGGTGGAGCACACAGTTCGCGAGCCGAAGCAGGGCGAGGCATTGCCTCACTCGGGAAGCGCAAGGGGTCAGGGAGTTCCCTTTCCTAGTCAAAGAAAGGGGTGACAGACGGCACCTGGAAAATCGGGTCACTCCCACCCTAATACTGTGCTTTTCCAATGGGCTTAAAAAACGGCGCACCAGGAGATTATATCCCGCACTTGGCTCGGAGGGTCCTACACCCACGGAGTCTCGCTAATTGTTAGCACAGCAGTCTGAGATCAAACTGCAAGGCGGCAGCGAGGCTGGGGGAGGGGGGCCTGCCATTGCCGAGTTAGTTGTTTGATTAGGTAAACAAAGCCACCTGGAAGCTCGAACTGGGTGGAGCCCACCACAGCTCAAGGAGGCCTGCCTGCCTCTGTAGGCTCCACCTCTGGGGGCAGGGCATAGACAAACAAAAAGACAGCAGTAACCTCTGCAGACTTAAATGTACCTGTCTGACAGCTTTGAAGAGAGCAGTGGTTCTCCCAGCACGCAGCTGGAGATCTGAGAAAGGGCAGACTGCCTCCTCAAGTGGGTCCCTGACCCCTGACCCCCGAGCAGCCTAACTGGGAGGCACCCCCAAGTAGGGGCAGACTGACACCTCACAGGGCCGGGTACTCCTCTGAGACAAAACTTCCAGAGGAACAATCAGACAGCAGCATTCGAGGTTCATGAAAATCCACTGTTCTGCAGCCACCGCTGCTGGTACCCAGGCAAACAGGGTCTGGAGTGGACCTCTAGCAAACTCCAACAGACCTGCAGCTGAGGGTCCTGTCTGTTAGAAGGAAAACTAACAAACAGAAAGGACATCCACACCAAAAACCCATCTATACATCACCATCATCAAAGACCAAAAGTAGATAAAACCAGAAAGATGGGGAAAAAACAGAGCAGAAAAACTGGAAACTCTAAAAAGCAGAGCACCTCTCCTCCTCCAAAGGAACGCAGTTCCTCACCAGCAACGGAACAAAGCTGGATGGAGAATGACTTTGACGAGTTGAGAGAAGAAGGCTTCAGACGATCAAACTACTCCGAGCTACACAAGGAAATTCAAACCCAAGGCAAAGAAGTTAAAAACTTTAAAAAAATTTAGACGAATGTATAACTAGAATAACCAATACAGAGAAGTGCCTAAAGGAGCTGATGGAGCTGAAAGCCAAAGCTCGAGAACTACGTGAAGAATGCAGAAGCCTCAGGAGCCGATGCGATCAACTGGAAGAAAGGGTATCAGTGATGGAAGATGAAATGAATGAAATGAAGTGAGAAGGGAAGTTTAGAGAAAAAAGAATAAAAAGAAATGAACAAAGCCTCCAAGAAATATGGGACTATGTGAAAAGACCAAATCTACGTCTGATTGGTGTACCTGAAAGTGACGGGGAGAATGGAACCAAGTTGAAAAACACTCTGCAGGATATTATCCAGGAGAACTTCCCCAATCTGGCATGGCAGGCCAACATTCAGATTCAGGAAATACAGAGAACGCCACAAATATACTCCTCGAGAAGAGCAACTCCAAGACACATAATTGTCAGATTCACCAAAGTTGAAATGAAGGAAAAAATGTTAAGGGCAGCCAGAGAGAAAGGTCAGGTTACCCACAAAGGGAAGACCATCAGACTAACAGCGGATCTCTCGGCAGAAACCCTACAAGCCAGAAGAGAGTGGGGGCCAATATTCAACATTCTTAAAGAAAAGAATTTTCAACCCACAATTTCATATCCAGCCAAACTAAGCTTCATAAGTGAAGGAGTAATAAAATACTTTAGACAAGCAAATGCTGAGAGATTTTGTCACCACCAGGCCTGCCCTAAAAGAGCTCCTGAAGGAAGTACTAAACGTGGAAAGGAACAACCAGTACCAGCCACTGCAAAAACATGCCAAATTGTAAAGACCATCAAGGCTAGGAAGAAACTGCATCAACCAATGAGCAAAATAACCATCTAACATCATAATGACAAGATCAAATTCACACATAACAATATTAACTTTAAATGTAAATGGACTAAATGCTCCAATTAAAAGACACAGACTGGCAAATTGGATAAAGAGTCAACACCCATCAGTGTGCTGTATTCAGGAAACCCATCTCACATGCAGAGACACACACAGGCTCAAAATAAAAGGATGGAGGAAGATCTACCAAGCTAATGGAAAACAAAAAAAGGCAGGGGTTGCAATCCTAGTCTCTGATAAAACAGACTTTAAACCAACAAAGATCAAAAGAGACAAAGAAGGCCATTACATAATGGTAAAGGGATCAATTCAACAAGAGGAGCTAACTATCCTAAATATATATGCACCCAATACAGGAGCACCCAGATTCATAAAGCAAGTCCTGAGTGACCTACAAAGAGACTTAGACTCCCACACAATAATAATGGGCGACTTTAACACCCCACTGTCAACATTAGACAGATCGACAAGACAGAAAGTTAACAAGCATACCCAGGAATTGAACTCAGCTCTGCACCAAGCGGACCTAATAGACATCTACAGAACTCTCCACCCCAAATCAACAGAATATACATTTTTTTCAGCACCACACCACACCTATTCCAAAATTGACCACGTAGTTGGAAGTAAAGCTCTCCTCAGCAAATGTAAAAGAACAGAAATTATAACAAACTGTCTCTCAGACCACAGTGCAATCAAACTAGAACTCAGGATTAAGAAACTCACTCAAAACCGCTCAACTACATGGAAACTGAACAACCTGCTCCTGAATGACTACTGGGTGCATAACGAAATGAAGGCAGACATAAAGATGTTCTTTGAAACCAATGAGAACAAAGACACAACATACCAGAATCTCTGGGACACATTCAAAGCAGTGTGTAGAGGGAAATTTATAGCACTAAATGCCCACAAGAGAAAGCAGGAAAGATCCAAAATTGACACCCTAACATCACAATTAAAAGAACTAGAAAAGCAAGAGCAAACACATTCAAAAGCTAGCAGAAGGCAAGAAATAACTAAAATCAGAGCAGAACTGAAGGAAATAGAGACACAAAAAACCCTTCAAAAAATTAATGAAACCAAGAGCTGGTTTTTTGAAAGGATCAACAAAATTGATAGACAGCTAGCAAGACTAATAAAGAGGAAAAGAGAGAAGAATCAAATGGATGCAATAAAAAATGATAAAGGGGATATCACCACCAATCCCACAGAAATACAAACTACTATCAGAGAATACTACAAACACCTCTACGCAAATAAACTAGAAAATCTAGAAGAAATGGATAAATTCCTCGACACATACACTCTCCCAAGACTAAACCAGGAAGAAGTTGACTCTCTGAATAGACCAATAACAGGATCTGAAATTGTGGCAATAATCAATAGCTTACCAACCAAAAAGAGTCCAGGACCAGATGGATTCACAGCCGAATTCTACCAGAGGTACAAGGACGAACTGATACCATTCCTTCTGAAACTATTCCAAACAATAGAAAGAGAGGGAATCCTCCCTAACTCATTTTATGAGGCCAGCATCATCCTGATACCAAAGCCGGGCAGAGACACAACCAAAAAAGAGAATTTTAGACCAATATCCTTGATGAACATTGATGCAAAAATCCTCAATAAAATACTGGCAAACCGAATCCAGTAGCACATCAAAAAGCTTATCCACCATGATCAAGCGGGCTTCATCCCTGGGATGCAAGGCTGGTTCAATATATGCAAATCAATAAATGTAATCCAGCATATAAACAGAACCAAAGACAAAAACCACATGACTATCTCAATAGATGCAGAAAAGACCTTTGACAAAATTCAACAACACTTCATGCTAAAAACTCTCAATAAATTAGGTATTGATGGGACGTATCTCAAAATAATAAGAGCTATCTATGACAAACCCACAGCCAATATCATACTGAATGGGCAAAAACTGGAAGCATTCCCTTTGAAAACTGGCACAAGACAGGGATGCCCTCTCTCACCACTCCTATTCAACCTAGTGTTGGAAGTTCTGGCCAGGGCAATTAGGCAGGAGAAGGAAATAAAGGGTATTCAATTAGGAAAAGAGGAAGTCAAATTGTCCCTGTTTGCAGATGACATGATTGTATATCTACAAAAACCCCATTGTCTCAGCCCAAAATCTCCTTAAGCTGATAAGCAACTTCAGCAAAGTCTCAGGATACAAAATCAATGTACAAAAATCACAAGCATTCTTATACACCAATAACAGACAAACACAGAGCCAAATCATGAGTGAACTCCCATTCACAATTGCTTCAAAGAGAATAAAATACCTAGGAATCCAACTTACAAGGGATGTGAAGGACCTCTTCAAGGAGAACTACAAACCACTCACTGCTCAATGAAATAAAAGAAGATACAAACAAATGGAAGAACGTTCCATGCTCATGGGTAGGAAGAATCAATATCGTGAAAATGGCCATACTGCCCAAGGTAATTTATAGATTCAATGCCATCCCCATCAAGCTACCAATGACTTTCCTCACAGAATTGGAAAAAACTACTTTAAAGTTCATATGGAACCAAAAAAGAGCCCGCATCGCCAAGTCAATCCTAAGCCAAAAGAACAAAGCTGGAGGCATCACGCTACCTGACTTCAAACTATACTACAAGGCTACAGTAACCAAAACAGCATGGTACTGGTACCAAAACAGAGATATAGATCAATGGAACAGAACACAAGCCTCAGAAATAACGCCGCATATCTACAACTATCTGATCTTTGACAAACCTGACAAAAACAAGCAATGGGGAAAGGATTCCCTATTTAATAAACGGTGCTGGGAAAACTGGCTAGTCATATGTAGAAAGCTGAAGCTGGATCCCTTCCTTACACCTTATACAAAAATTAATCCAAGATGGATTAAAGACTTAAATGTTAGACCTAAAATCATAAAAACCCTAGAAGAAAACCTAGGCATTACCATTCAGGACATAGGCATGGGCAAGGACTTCATGTCTAAAACACCAAAAGCAATGGCAACAAAAGTCAAAATTGACAAATGGGATCTAATTGAACTAAAGAGCTTCTGCACAGCAAAAGAAACTACCATCAGAGTGAACAGGCAACCTACAAAATGGGAGAAAATTTTCACAACCTACTCATCTGACAAAGGGCTAATATCCGGAATCTACAATGAACTCCAACAAATTTACAAGAAAAAAACAAACAACCCCATCAAAAAGTGGGCGAAGGACATGAACAGACACTTCTCAAAAGAAGACATTTATGCAGCCAAACAACACATGAAAAAATGCTCACCATCACTGGCCATCAGAGAAATGCAAATCAAAACCACAATGAGATACCATCTCACACCAGTTAGAATGGCGATCATTAAAAAGTCAGGAAACAACAGGTGCTGGAGAGGATGTGGAGAAATAGGAACACTTTTCCACTGTTGGTGGGACTGTAAACTAGTTCAACCATTGTGGAAGTCAGTGTGGCGATTCCTCAGGGATCTAGAACTAGAAATACCATTTGACCCAGCCATCCCATTACTGGGTATATAACCAAAGGACTATAAATCATGCTGCTATAAAGACACATGCACACGTGTGTTTATTGCAGCACTATTCACAATAGCAAAGACTTGGAACCAACCCAAATGTCCAACAATGATAGACTGGATTAAGAAAATGTGGCACATACACACCATGGAATACTATGCAGCCATAAAAAATGATGAGTTCATGTCCTTTGTAGGGACATGGATGAAATTGGAAATCATCATTCTCAGTAAACTATCGCAAGGACAAAAAACCAAACACCGCATGTTCTCACTCACAGGTGGGAATTGAACAATGAGAACACATGGACACAGGAAGGGGAACATCACACTCTGGGGACTGTTGTGGGGTGGGGGGAGTGGGGAGGGATAGCATTAGGAGATATACCTAATGCTAAATGAGGAGTTAATGGGTGCAGCACAGCAGCATGGCACATGTATACATATGTAACTAACCTGCACATTGTGCACATGTACCCTAAAACTTAAAGTATAATAATAAAAAAAAAATCTATGGAGCATTTGCCACATGAGGCATTCTGGTTGGATAGTAGCAAGCATTTAATTTGACTAGAGAGACATAGGTCCTGCCTTCATGGAACTTAATGTCTAACGAAGAACATAGGAAAATAAACAGAACACAAAAACGTATAGGATGCAATCTATGTTTATACTGCAGGGGTTGGAGTATAGAACCTATATTTGAAGAGTTAGGGAATGCTTCTTGAAGGAAATGAAGCTTCACGTTGGTGGAAACAACGTGCAGAAGACTTAAGACGGAGAAGCAGCCAGGCGCGGTGGCTCACGCCTGTAATCCCAGCACTTTGGGAGGCCGAGGCGGGTGGATCACGAGGTCAGGAGATCAAGACCATCCTGGCTAACACGGTGAAACCCGTCTCTACTAAAAATACAAAAATTAGTCGGGCGTGGTGGCGGGAGCCTGCAGTCCCAGCTACTCGAGAGGCTGAGGCAGGAGAATGGCCTGAACCTGGGAGGCGGAGCTTACAGTGAGCTGAGATCGCACCACTGCACTCCAGCCTCGGCGACTCAGTCTCAAAATAAAAAAGACGGAGAAGCATGGCAAGCACAATGATTAGGGCACGTGAGCAACACAGTATTCAGAGCTGAACCTGCAGTGGAGGCAGATAATGAATGGTAAAGCACGTTAAGGAATATACACTTTATCCTGAGAACATTAGAAAAGCAAATAATGAAACTGATGTTTTAGCAAATTCCTCCAGAACTTCTTGAAATTCAAAGATATCTACAAAAGTCCTAGCCAACATTGTATCTGGTGGTAAAATATTAAATTTTTCCCCCCTGAAGTTAGGATCAAGAAAAGTATGCCCATTACTGCCAGTTCTGCTCACTATATTGGAGGTCACAGGCAATGTAGGACAAGTAGAAGAAATAAAATGTATAAATACTGAAGGAAAGACATAAAACTTGAAATATATATATATTGAAAAAAAGACATAAATATTGAAAGACATAAAACTGTTTTTATGTGCACCTGACACACTTTGTACATTTATGTCATGTAAAAAATATATTACATATATCAAAAAATATATATACACACAAATATATATATTT
Organism: Homo sapiens; assembly: GCF_000001405.40. NCBI lineage: Eukaryota > Metazoa > Chordata > Mammalia > Primates > Hominidae > Homo > Homo sapiens. The sequence goes on from NC_000003.12 coordinate 78,682,433, forward strand.
TGATATGACTGTGTGTATATGTATATATATGTATATATATGACTGTGTATATATGTGTATATGTATATATGTATATATGACTGTGTATATATGTGTATATATGTATATATAGTATATATGTGTGTATATGTGTATATACACATATATACAGAGTCATGTCAAAAAATTTATATTTTTTGTTTATATATATTTGATATATAATAAATATTTTTTAATGTGACTGTGTATATATACGTATATATACACGTATATATACACACAGTAATATCAAAAAATATATATATACACAGTCACATAAAAATCATATATATTATATATAATATATAGGAATAAAATTATAATAATATAATTTTATTGTTGAATTGTATGAGCCAAGTGCTTGAATGTACAGTTGACTTTTTTATATTAACCTTGTGTCCAGCAACTTTGCTAAATTCACTCATTTTTAATAGTTTGTAGGTAGATTATTTTGAAATTTTTATGTACAAAATGTTTCAGCTGCACATAAAAACAGTTTTATGTCTTTCTTTCAATATTTATACATTTTATTTCTTTTACTTGTCCTACATTGCCTGTGACCTCCAATATAGTGAGCAGAATTGGCAATAATGGACATATTTTTCTTGATCCTAACTTCAGGGGGAAATAATTTAATATTTTACCACCAGATACAATGTTGGCTAGGAGTTTTGTAGATACACACACACACACACACCGTCACATCAAAATCATGAAACACCTAGGTATAAATGTACCAAAATATGTGCAAAGCCTTTAGTCTTGAAACTACAAACCATTGCTGAGAGAAATTAAAGACCTAAATAATTGAGAGATACATGTGGGATATTTACTGTTTCCCTGAATTGACTCAGATTAAGATGTTAATTCTTAAGTTATTCAACAATTTAAATAAAATCAAAATTAAATATTCAGATTTTTTTGTTTGTTTAGGGAGTGGGTGTGTACATGTGAAATTTTCACAAGTTTATTTTAAAATTTGTAAGAATATGTTGATGATCTTCAATAGCAAACTCAAAACAAGGAAAGAAAGGTGGAGACTTATACCACCAGTTTTTAAGACTTAGTATAAGCTACAATAATTAACACATATGGGCCGGGCGTGGTAGCTCATACCTATAATCCTAGCATTTTGGGTGGCATAAAATAGAATAAATAGACCAGAAATAAGCCCACAAATCTATGTTTATTGGAATTGTAATAAGATGCCACTGCAATTCAGTGGAGAAAGGATAATCTTTCCAATAAATTATGCTGGAATTATTAGTTTTCATATGGGGGAAATGAAAAGAATTTTGACTTTGAACTCATACCATACACAAAAATTAACTCAAGGTAGATAAAAAAAATTTGCATCACAAAATATCAAAGGTGTAAATAATAAAGCTTCTAGAAGAAGACATAGAAGAATATTTTCAAGGCCTCAAGGTAGGACAGAAGAGTAAACACACTAATCATAAAAAAAAAATGGTTTTCAGCAAAATTAATTACTTAATCCCTAAAACCATCATTAAGAGAATGACCAGGAAGAAATATTTCCAATATACATATCTGATGAAGACTTGTATTTCAAATACATGGGAAAACAAAAAGAAATTAGTATGTATGTCCACTAAAGGCAAACCAAGATAACTGAGTGCACCTGCCCAACAATGGACATGTACAGGAATAATGAGCTTTACTAACAAAAATCCAAAGCTGAAAATACTCCATCAATATGAGAATACATAAATAAATTGTGGTCTATTTATGAGATGGAATACTACACAGCAACAAAAAAGAACCTAAGTGTATTTTACTGACATTATTTTGAGGCAAAAATATACACAAAAGTCTATCTACTGTATGATTTCATTTAGCTGGATTTTAAGAATAGATAAAAGGAATCAATGATGATAAAAGTCAGAAAAGTTATTATCTCTGCTAGTGAGAGGCTTGTTGACTAGAAGAGAGTCAATGGAAGCCTTCTATGGTCTTGGAAATGTTCCATATCTTGATCGGAGTGGTCACGACATGAATAAATTCATCAAGCTGCATTAGTTTACTTACTTCACGGCATGCGTATTATACTTCAGTTTACGTAATCGGGAAAATAAGAGTGGTCTAGAGAAACAGTATTCTAGCAACAGTAAGAAAATGTAATTTGGGGAGAAGACCAGAAACAGGATGGAATTAGTAGGCTGTTACAATTTCACACTACAGATGACTAGCTCTGGGAGTTGATGAAGACAACTCGATGGATTAAAAAGATTATTGAATAGATACAGAGATAAAGAAAGATGAGGAGTCAAAGATGACTCCACAGATTCTAATTTAGAAAGCAACTGCTATTATATTGATTATTTGAGTCATTATCAGACGTTTTAAAAGATCAACAATACTGAATATATAGAGTAAGCATCTTTTATTCCTGCTTCTCTTCTTTTATTCGTGTTCCATTTTCTTCCCTGAGAGACAGGTTGTTTCTTTCTTTAAGTGCTCTTTCATCTACTTTTTGGAATTGATAGTGAAAATATTATTCCAATCACTACAATAAATTTAGCTTCAGAAGTAAGAAATCCCTTGCCACTGTCATGGCTTTGGTTCTATTTTTAATTTGAAAAATTCTTGTAACACTTTCTTGATTGCACACACATATACTATACATGTATATATATTTATATGTATATGAAATAAGATATGAAAGAAAAAATACATATAAATACAGAGAATAAAACATATTTATATGTGTTTTTTTCTTTTTCTTTCATCTTCTTCTCAAATTGTCACTACTGTCCATCTTACAGTTTGGAGATTTTGTTCAGCACTGTGTCCTTACAATAGGTTTGGCACTAATTGAGCATGTTTAGGGGAGTTGACAGAATGAAATCACATTGAAGAAAACTTGTTCATTATCATAAGTTGTGAGCTGTTAGGTTTAGGCTTAGGACCTAAAGATTTATCTTATGTACTAAATTATAGAGGAAAGAGAAGAGATGGCAATTTACACTAAGATATTACAAAATATTTTTTGTTTTTCCAAAACATAGATACAGTCCTATGTGCAGCCATTTAGTATAAACTTCTCCTTAGATAATTGCTATGCTTTTATGAATCTGATTGAATGCTACAAATTTATAATACATTTAGGTTAAAATAAGAATAATTTTGAACTTATTCTATCAACACCCTTTTAGGTTTTACACTAAAATAGCCATAAAAAGGTATAAAGTTGGAAATAAATATATCTACTGGCACCCTCTCTGGATCCTAAGTCAAACTTGGACATTTTGAAATAAAATGTTTTACACTTTACCATCTGTAACTTCCAAATATGCCTTTGTGATGATGCTTCCAGCAACATTTAAAGTCTGGCAGATGTAATAACCAACATCAGATCGCTGGACATTAGTAATTGTGAGGTCGCCAGTCTGGGAGACTGAAAATCGGCTGGATGACTGTGGTGGTTGATATGAGAAAAGTAGATTCTAGAACCCAGAAATTGGGATGGAGGAAAATAAAAATAGGTTAATTGTTAGGTTCCAATATTTTGGCACTTATGCATTTACATGTAAAAACATACATATAAAAGTATTCATACACATATGCATATGTATCCGTCTATATACACACACAAAAATGAGCTAAGTATTCTCCCATCACATGCCCACATATATACATGTCCATGCATGTAAATATCTACATATGTACACATATACATATACAAGGTTTAATAATCTAACCTCAAATAGGGTCATTTGAAAATTTAAGTAACTCTCAAGATTGATACATATTTTTCTATCTGTTTTTAAGCAATATTAGATATATAAGAATATTAAGTATCCGGCCGGGCGCGGTGGCTTACACCTGTCATCCCAGTGCTTTGGGAGGCCGAGGCAGGCGGATCACGAGGTCAGGAGATCGAGACCATCCTGGCTAACACGGTGAAACCCTGTCTCTACTAAAAATACAAAAAATTAGCCGGGCGTGGTGGCAGCGCCTGTAGTCCCAGCTACTCGGGAGGCTGAGGCAGGAGAATGGCGTGAACCCGGGAGGCGGAGCTTGCAGTGAGTCAAGTTCATGCCACTGCACTCCAGCCTGGGTGACAGAGCGAGACTTTGTCTCAAAAAAAAAAAAAAAAATTAACTATCATTATGGTAAAAAATGTTGACATATTTAGCAAAACAAAGACAAAAGTCTTGCTTCACCTGTATGTGACTACTAGGATTATTAATATTAAGACCTTTAATATATTAAAGAATTAAAATGTAAACAAATTTTGACACATTAAATTCAAGGATACCATTTTGGCACCACAATAAGCATCTCTGTTAGCTATCCATCATAAAAGTTCCATAACCTATGCCAAACTTTTAACACATATCTTGTTTCTCTTGTTAATTGGTGAGAATATCTGTTATGTATTTTCTAAAATTCATATGTTGAATTTAATTAAAAGATCACGCTTCTTAGAGTTAGTGTATATGTCACACAAAAAAATAGATCATGTTATTGAATTTCATGAAATAAAAAATAGTAACATTTTCCCTACCACAACAAAATTGATTCTTTTACAAAGCTTTGGTGCCTTTTAATATACATTCTTTTATAAACATTTAACTACTATTCCATGGATATATGTCTAATGACAACATTTTAGGGAAAAATGAGTTGTGTTATTGAATGAAACCAAAATTATTTGGAAATTTGATCTAATGTTTAAATAACTTAAATGAATCATCAAAATATCACTCTTTTAAGAAGAGGTTCCAGTGGATTTACTATTACTGCTACAAATATTTCCTTCTAAAATGCACTTAAAATTCTTCCTGTTCTATTGAAATATTTCATTCTTTCTTGTCTTTAATTTGCTGTCAGCAAATTTAGTTCTTTGAGGCCAAATGGAATGTGTTAGAACCTACCAAGACACTAGAATTCAAATAAGGGCCTATATACCATAATCAAATCAATATTTGGCTACTAAAGTGAAAGAAAAGGTGAACTTGTTAGCATTCCCTACCAAATATTAAATGCAGTCAGTAAATGACCTGTTTTTTATAAGAGCACATTAGAAGCAAGACCATGAAACAAACACCCACGACTGATTTAAGCAAAATTAAAAAAGGTCAGGAGTAAGTGTTAAAAATGGATGAGAATTGTTTATTTACACATATCAGAAACAAGGGAAACGTTCTGTTTTATACTTATTTTCTGAGACAGGTTCTCACTCTTTCACCCAGGCTGGAGTGCAGTGACGCAATCAGAGGTCTCTGCAGTCTCTACCTCGTGGGCTCAAGTGATCCTCCTGCCCCAGCCTCCAGAGTAGCTGGGACTAGAAACATTCACCACCATGCCCCACTAATTGTTTATTTTTAATGTTTTCTAGAGATGAGGTCTTACTATGTTGCCCAGGCTAGTCTCAAACTCTTGAGGTCAAGTGATCCTCCTGCCTGAGCCTCCCAAAGTACTGAGATTACAAGCATGAGTCACTGTGCCCAGCCGCGTTTTTGTTTTATTGAAGAAGGCAAACCATTAAGAGATGAGACAAAAATATATTTTAAACGCTTCTAAGATTTCCTATTTATTAAACTGAAGTCCAATAATGAACTTAGAGTTCAAAAGAGTATAAATCTCTGTATTTCAGTTTCCATATATATAAAAACTTGAAGTTCATAAAATAGAATTGGATTTTACAGCAAATGTTGACTGCATATGATAGTTTTCAACACATTTGAATATAACAAACTATATTTAACACAACATCTCTGTTAAAGAGAATTTCATATAGCTTAATGATTCAGAAGGCAATTTAGACTCCTGAAGCTTTCAAAGAAATCACTGAATAATTATCATCTGTTTTAAATGTACATAAATCTCTTTAATATATAATTCCAGATACCTGAATAATACAAATAATAATTAAATAATGTTGAGAAAATAGTGTTTTTCTTTTTAATGTGGCTGAGCTAGAAATAAAGGTTAATTTTATATACTACCTTGTGTACCACAACTAGGTGGAGAAAAATGCTTTCAGAATTCAAGCGGTGAAGACAATTTTGTCTTCTTTCTCATTGCTAAAATGTTCTGGGCACTCAGAGATTTGCCAGTTCTCTTAATGTGACAGCTGCATGACTAAGTAATATGTTGGTTTTTCTTCTCATACATCTTGGCAACCATCTTTGCTGATTTAAAAAAAAAAAGTTAGAAAAAGGTGGTACCTGACTCCCTTCTCTCCTCCAGAAAATAGCTGGTTGAGGATTTCCGGTTGCTTCACACTGAAAAGTTACAGTCCGTCCCAAAGCAACAACCTGGTCACGGGGTTTCACAACAAAATGTGGAGGTTCTGAAGGAGGTGAAACAAATTACACCGAATTAAAAGCACGTTGTTATTGTCCTAATTGAGACAATCTCTTATATTCTAAGTGCTGCTGTTATTTTATACAACATGTTATGTAAAACAGTCATGATATACCAATTCTTGTCCTTAATTTGAAACTAAAATGTTAAGTTCATAGTTAGAAAATGAAATAGAGTTGTTATATGAAGTTTTTTATTACCTGACCTTCTAAGATTTAACCCACATAATGAAAGGAATTCTAAAGCTACAATTGGACCCTACACATTGTAAATATACCTGAATTTTTTATGAACAAATATTATCTTTTCTCCTTTAGATCTGCTTAAAGGTGAATGAGCTTTAATCATACACACAAGGATCTCCTGATGCAGGCAGGTCTTAAAATTACTTTAACTCAAAATCTCCTGAAATGCTACCATGCAAATTATAACCATTTAAAATCTTCAGTCCAATTATTTGAATAGAAATGAATTTAAAGCAATAGTGGAATCAAATGCCTCTTTCATTTACATAGGCAAGGACATGTTCAAACAGAATATATATGGAAATGAGGGAAAATTTGAAACATCTGCTCATCCTGACATTATAAATACTGCCAGCTTTGTCCAAACTGTTTGATTTAAACCGATTTAAATGGCTACTTCATCCAGCAGTAAATAGTGTCAGAAAATTGTGTCAATTACATTGAATACAATGGTAGCTGAAAACATTAGGTGTGCTGATGGAGTCACTTCTGGGAAAAAAAAAAAAGGTATTTGTTTTTGGGCTGAGCTTTGTGCTCGGAAAAATGTGCACAGAATGTAAGTCTTTTTACCTACTGTTTACACTTTTCCAATTCATTTCGTATCAGCTCTGAAACACCTAATTATTCTCCTCTCTTGTCTCGGTTTAAATTGAAGCGAATGAATGCTTCAAGCGACATTTAATAGTTTCTACAGGACAGGGTTTGTCTACTCCACTTTTTAAGACTTTTCCATTATTTCTAACCTTCTCTTTAAAAGTACGTTGAGTTACTTAAATCAATCACTTAGGGAAACTCCTTAATGTGAATATGAATCAAATTAGATTCAGATTATGTTCACAAATGTCATCAGTCTGCTCACAAGAGTATAATTTCTTTGTTAATGAAGGTCAGTATTTGAAAAGATACTTTTCTTTGACTTAATATTTCTTGGTCAGTTGTATCTAATATACATATATATGTAAAATATATTTTAATATATATAAAATATATAAAGTTATAGATTTTATAAATTTATAAATTTTAATAAAATAGCTGAAATGTCCCTAAATCTGGGTATTTGAATTTATAGGCCATAAAGAAATATTAAAAGCTACTTAATATGCATATTAAAAACATGTATATATTTCAAATATAAAGCCCCTTTAAAAAAAAAGTACATGTAAAACGACTTGATGATTGCATGGGGGCAAAATTGAAGAAAGTAATTAGAACTCCTACCTTCTAGATTAGTGTTCCTTTTTCTATACTCTTTTTTTTTAAAAATTGAGGTTTAGTAGAAATTATAACATTTGACTAGAAAATTATAGGAGACCTGAAAAATCAGGTCAAAGGCTTTCAAATGTCCTCTAACTTATAGGGAAGAAAATAGGAAGTTAGGAAATATAGTTTAAGTTCAATTTGGTAACACTGAAGTTCTAGCTTATAATTTTTTTAAAACTGTGATTGTAATTGAATGGCTTACTCATGAATGTAGCAAACACTATCATTACCCAGGTATAATAATAGGCGAGGGCATCACTGCTTGGGGATTTTCCTCCAGTACAAATCCATACAGGAGCATTCTATTCCTTAATTAAAGGCTGGAATAATTGATGTCAAAATCAGACCAAGAAATTGAAAGAATTGACTGGATAATACACTAAATTCAGACTGGAGTTTGGTTTGCTTCAGTGAAAGAAATCCAAGTGATTAATTAGATGAGTGGGAGAATATGACTTTCCAATATGCAGGGAATTTGAGTAGGAAAATATAAATGTTCAAACCACTTACTTAAGTAAAAAACTTCGGGTGGTCTCTTTCCTAAATCTCAGAAGCATGTTTAAGAATGTGTGCCAGAATCTATGTTTCTTTTATAAAATGCCAGTTCTCCTCAAACCTCAAAGACTTATTTGAGAACAAGGAATACAAACCCTTATGCTAACTACATTCATCCTGAAGCAATCCTTCCACACAGGATATTTGCCTGGAAACAAATTTACTGTATTTTGTAGGCATATTCTGAAGCCAACATCAACAGTGACATCAGCCACAAGACATGTCTTAGAAACATAACTTTTAAAAACCCTCTTCTATATGTGTGTTAAATATCAGTTGCAGTAGATATATCTCTAAGAAAAAATACGTAATGGCCTAAATATGCTTCTATCTATCAATCTGTCATCGTTATCTATCAATTTAGATTGAGAACACCATTCATTAAATGTGTCCACTTGATGTTTATGATATTTATGATGAAATTTTGGATTTTTTTTGAAAGCTACAATTTTTAATTTAAACTTGCTGTAATCAAAAATACATAATCAGGTTACCAAGATCATTTATGTTCAGGGGTAAAAATTTGGAAAATTAGACAAAGGGAAGAAAAGAAAAGCTACCCACAATTCTGCCATAGAAATTGGGTCATACTATTTAAAAAAATTCATTTTAAGGACTGTTTAATAAACAAGCAAATTACCTTTAATTACTGAACCAATCTCAATTGTTTTAAATTTAGATTATTTCAACTTTTCACTGTTAAACATAATGGTAATGTCAACATCCTTCTGACAAGCATAATCAAAATTATTTGCTAGCTGTAGAGTTACAGGGTCTGAAAATATGCAAAGATCGAGAGTGTATTAATAAGTATAGCTAAACCATGCTCAGGAATGTTTTTGATCAACTGATACTTTCATTAACAGCATACAAATGGCTTTTTCTCCCAAACCTCACAAACATTGAAAATTAACATCTTTGCCAAACTAACAACAGATTCTCCTCTTAATTAACAATTTTCAATCTGAAATGTTAACATTTTTCTTCACACTATCTTTTCATTGAAATCTAATTTGTTGTGGATATTGTGCTCATGAACTCAGATTTTCTTTCTGATTTCTAAGAACTGTTGATAGGCTACAATTTTAGCCATTTCTCCTATATGTTGCAAATATATTTTTCCATTTTATTGCTAGTCTTTCTAGTCTATTTAGGCATTTTTGTTGTTGTATCAATAAAATTATATAATATAGATTATATAATACATAATAAAGTATATAAGTATTCAACTCAGTTATCATCCTGTGCTTTTATATCTTCATTATTTTACATTTATATTTCATTCTCTACATGTATTTTTGTAAGGTATCATATAGGAACCTATTTTTTTCAAATAGCCAGATATTACATTATTATTGAACAATCCAACCTATCTGTATTAATATGAAAAGTCACTTTTATAATATTATTGTAACTTTTTGTTTTTTTCTCTTTCTGAGGCAGGGTCTTGTCTCACTCTGTTGCCCAGGCTGGAGTGCAGTGGCACAATCATGGCTCACTGCAACCTCTGCCTCCCGGGTTCAAGTGATTCTCCTGCCTCAGCCTCCCGAGTAGCTGGGATTACAGGTGTGCGCCATCACATCTGGCTGACTTTTGTATTTTTTGGTAGAGATGGGGGTTTGCCATGTTGCCCAGGCTGCTCTTGAACTCTTGGCCTCAAATTATTCACCCACCTCGGCCTCCCAATGTGCTGGGATTACAGGTGTGAGCCGCCATGCCAGACCTATTGTAACTTTTTAACTTAAAAATAGTGAGAGAGATTCTTTTAGGGACAAAGTTATTCTCTGGCATGCCCGTTTGCATATTCATGTACAATTATCTAAAAATTGCTTTCTAGTGACCTTATGAAATGATTGGACCTTCCTCCAAGGTAAGCACTTAGAAACTTGATGGCTTATTTATTTATATGGGGACAAATGTTTATCAAAGTACGCTTTGATAAACTTTGGACATATCCTGGGATTATTTCCTACACAAAATAAAATGAATCTGACACACAGAAATGAAAATGAGTGCAAACAGTCCTAAGGGCAAGGCTATTATTCACCAACAGGACTTTTAATGACTGTTATAGAACAATAGTTATAAAAACTCAGAGAGATATACATGAATTCACAAATATATTTTGAACCAAAAGAACCAAAATCATTCTCTGCATGTATTTTTGTTTAATCTTACGATATATATATATTCGAACAGTACTTAACCAAGATGTAATCCTATCACTTATTTCAGGAGAGAAGAAATAAAAGGATGCAGATCACACATCATTTAATTTCATAAGATATAAAGTTAGCAACCCCGTTACCTTTACTCTTTTCACAGTTACCCATACTTCCTGCAGACTTTATTCTGTGCAGTCTGTCTTTGTGGCCAATGACAAGTGAAACATGGAGGCTGATTGGTTGAAGGACATGGAAGGGTATGGATGGAAAGGGGAAGAGAAGTTCCAGTCACAGTGACACGGTGATGAGAAGATGGCCAATAAAATGTCAACTTACCAGACCCAACTAAAACAAAACAAAAAAAGAAAACATGGAATAAATAAAAATAAGGAAACATAAAATGAAACAGAAAAGTAATAAGATTTGACTTAACAATGATTCTTCTTTTAAGATAAAGAACATGTTAATACTTGAATATATGGCTCACACTGTACATGGATGAATATTTGTTAGCATTTTAGGTATAATCATGATTAATTTAAGAAAAATAGAAATGAAGCTTAAATTCTCTACTATGATTAAATGGCAGAGCTACAATGAATGAGAGCTATAAAATTATAAAACATTTTAAAATAACTTTACATTTTGCTACCAGACAACAGGTTAGAGAACTAATACGTAATGGATTTTAAAACATTATAAATCTTAGCTGCTAAAACTACACAGAAATCAAAAATTGATTATTTTAGAAAAAAGAACATTAAATCCCACAACTCCATCATCAGTTCAATTTTTGAAAGGTGTATACTGCCAATAATATTCTATGAAACTGAAATCCATGCTTCTCATACGCAAATAGGCATGAGTCACCCTGGGAGCTGGTTAAAATACAGATTATGATTCTACAGGTTAGCGGTGTGACTGGAGATTTTGCATTTTTAACAAGCATCCAAGTTTTGCTGGCCTATGACCATAAATGGAATAGAAAGCCTATAAAAAGGTGTTGCATTTAAATTCTTGCATATTTTTAATTGAGATGGTGCATAGAAAAAAGTGAATAAATTACAAGAACTAAGAAAACTTTATAATCTTATCTATAAATCATAATTACATTTTCTGTTTTCAATGTTGAAACATTAGGCATCTTAATAGAGAAAGCTCAAATAATATATATTTAAAATACTAGAAATGGTTATTTCATTTCTCTCTATTTTATAAGCAAATATAATTACTGCCAAATGCAGAACTTTTTCATAATAGCCCCAGCAGAAACCTACAATATATTTTACTCAAATAAATAACTTCCATAGCTTTCAGCAAATCAAAATTAATTAGACCTGATACACATTCCTATAGTTTAAATAAATGCTAAAGAATGTTGTTGTTAAGTGGTACAGTTATAAAGCAAAGATAAAATTTCTCTTGCATACTTTTGTCCCATACGCAAAATTTAAAGGCAATTTAGAAACATTTTTAATTCATACGTTCCCTTCAACAGGAGTGAAATAATGTCTTTATTTTTCATTACAGAGAAAACAAAACTAAGCATAATTTTTCACTCACTCAAGTTAGAAAAGTTAAAAAGAAACTTTCTCATTTACATAGGCTTAATGTTTATTATAGCATCACCAGTTATGCTACCCAGACTCAAAAACACGGAATGGATAGAACGTGGTTACATTTCTTGACACCTTACAGATGATGCCTTTTAAATGACAGTAAGAAGTATTTAGGCACTACAAAAGAGAGGACCTGACAAGCTGTAACAACAGAATTTTGCTTTGAGATAACAATAAGTTATAGGATTACCGTTTGGATTAATCTGTGAAAATAAATTTGATCCCATTAGACTGAAGCAGTTAAAATAAACCCTTACTTAAAGTCAGAAAAGTAGAGAAATGATTCCTAAATATTTTCACGTATTTTCAGTAATTTAAAATTCCTAAAACATTTCAAAAATATATATTAAAAACAAAAAAAACTGGAAAGCACCTAATTTAAAATTTTTAATGCACCCTTTTCTTGCTTATAGTTTTTACTAGCCGTCAACCCATAGGAGTAGAATTCTTTTATTAATTAAAATCCAATGGGTTTAAGAACTTTAGGCTGGGGTGGGGGGAGGGGGGAGGACTAGCATTAGGAGATACACCTAATGTAAATGACGAGTTAATGGGTGCAGCACACCATCATGGCACATGTATACATATGTAACAAACCTGCACGTTGTACACAAGTACCCTATAACTTAAAGTATAATAATAAAGAAAAAGAACTTTAGGCTAATGTATTTGCATATCACATCAATGACAGATGACAACTGAAAAATATTTTAGGCTGGGTGACGTGGCTCTCGCCTGTAATCCCAGCACTTTGGGAGGCCAAGGCAGGCGGATCATGAAGTCAGGAGATCGAGACCATCCTGGCTAATACAGTGAAACCCCATCTCTACTAAAATTACAAAAAGTTACCCAGGCGCGGTGGCACGCACCTGCAGTCCCAGCTACTTGGGAGGCTGAGGCAGGGGAATTGTTTGAATCCTGGAGGCGGAGGTTGCAGTGAGCCAAAATTGCACCACTGCACTCCAGCCTGGCCAACAGAGCAAGACTCTTGTCTCAAAAAAAAAAAAAAAAAAGAAAAGAAAACAGAAAAATATTTTATAGCCTATTAAGGATCTTAAAAGTTATCTAAGAACATCAGCTAACATGGAAGCTTCTAAAACATGAGAGGTTTTGGAGAGGAGTCTATCTTGAATGGTCATTTAAGCTTTTAACAACTCTGATTATCAAGAAACCAATCCTGTTATCTAAAGGAAAGCCTGTCTGTTCAGAATTTCACCCCCCTTTCATTTGTTCTACTCTCAGTAAACAAATAGAAGTCATTAATATGGACTATGTAAAATCCTTTCACTCACTTGAAAAAAATTACCATCCCTAACTTTCTCTGCTAAAGAATAAATTATAGGAATTTATTTAAGTTTTCCTCATATTTCTCCTTTCTCTACATTTCTCCAAAGGTCAGGTAAAAGGATTTCCTTTCCATACAGAGAATATGGTCCTTTCTATGAAACAGGCAGATTTTAATTATTGTCCTGTTGGGCATGGCAGAAAGAATCAGAAAAAAAAAAAAAAAAAAAGCAGAGTAACTTGGAACCTGTTCATTCATTATCTTCTAACATTCGACATTTATGGGAGGCTGCACTCCTATCCTTCTCATAGCCCTTCTCAACTTCGTTCCTTTCTGCTTTTAAGGTTGGAAGCACCTGTGTCCCAAGTCCCTTTTCTTGCTAAGAGAGGGGAAAAGCCTGTTTGTTTCTGTCTCTAATAAAACTATAAAATGTTGGCACTGGAAGTGACCTTAGAACTTATCAGTCTAAACTTCTTTTGCATGAGAAAACAGAAAACCTAAATTGTTAAAGAACTTTATCAAGGTCACAGGGGGTTCACCATAGACTGGCTTCTAGGCCTCCTGACAATATCTAACTCTCTGTACAAATTTTCCTGCTGGCTAATCAATTAGTGGTGAAGAATATTCAATAGGATACAAAATACATTTGATTTTACATTTAAACTGCCACAAATAGTTGTTTAACCTAAAATCATTACTACCAAAATCATTACTACATGCATATATATATATATATACACATATATATACACATATATATACATGTATACATACATATATATATACACATATATATACACGTATATATACATGTATATATACATATATATATACACATATATATATATAAACTGGTTTTAAGGAATTCATGATGTTAAAAATATTTTAAGAATATTTAGCTATAGTTTAAAAAAGACCTGGAAACTAACAGGTGATAACACAGACTTAATGCTGGTTGAAAAATTTATTTTTGCAATTAAAAAGTATGGCAATCATTTTTAAGGGTAAACCAATTTTAATTATTTCATCACTTGAAATCTTTATATGTTGAACGAAATATCCATCTTTTTTGAAACATCAAAACAGTATATTTTGACAAGAACCCCCCTGTCTCTCTCTGTCACACACAGACACACACACACACACACACACACACACAGCCACTACCATTTAGAATAGAAGACTTTCTTCCTTTTTGAATGTGATATCATAGGTTCTAAATTACTTATTTGTTTTGAAATCTTCTATGTACTAAGAATATACATTGCTCAGACAGTAATCTTCAGGTATAAATAAGATAAGAAGAGAGCAAGGAAGTAAAAGAAAGGAAGGAAGGAAATAAAGGAAAGAGGGAGGGAGGGAGGGACGGAGGAAGATTCCTCTTTTATCTTCCAGCTGCTTGTCACATTCAGGAGACATGTGTATGAGTCAGAAAGATGATAAATGTTTGGAAAAACATTATACAGAGGTTGGAGGAAAAGACCTTTTTCATCTAAAGAAAATAAGTTAGTTGAACAGATACTTAAGAAGTCTTCAGGTTAGGTCTAATAAGTACCGGGACCAGCCAATTTTTATAACTACCAATGCCACAAGAAAAGATGATAATCGGCCTAAATAATAGCGTGAACAACTTAAAGAAAGTCTAGAAAAGAAGCAGTTAACAGAAAAGGTCACTGAACCATGAATTGCTTGCCAACTATGATGTCTCTAGAGGTCTTTTAAAATAGGATTTATTTCCATTAGGCCACAACAGTTTAGATATAACCGTGTCTGGCAAAGGGACAGAGAAATTGAATCTTAAAGTGCTTTCAGTGCTACGATTTTAATTGTATGGACATTCAGAAGCATTTAATTTTTAAAAAATATAATGACAGAAGATTGCTACAGTATTTGGGTCTAAAATAACTTAAGTATTACAAACTCCTAGGTTGACTCTATAGAATGTTATTGTAAAGCGAATGCATCTACAATAGGACCAATCCTATTAGTAAATATCAGAGAACAGCTGCTTTTTTTAATGGGCTAAATATGAAATCATCTCGACTATGGAATTCTTCTGCTAATTCATAGATATAAGTTTTCACTGCTAGTAGCTAAATTCTAATGAATCCTTAAATTGAGGCGATTTTTTCCCCATTCTCATCTACAGTACTTTTGAACGCAGAGCTCAGTTAACACATCTGATACACTAGAATTGTAAATACCACATTCCAGAGAATACAAATGAAATAAGGTAGTGAGTTAAATAAAAACTTTTGGAAGAAACACATTTTTATTCAAATACAAGAGCCCAAATTCTCAAGTAGTAAAACTATCTATATTTGAACTGACAAAATCCAGTCACTGGTATGTTGGAAAAATTATATACATAGATACTCATGAATGACAATATCGCTAACAATTAAAAACTCTCAGGATATTTTAATACTAGGTATGATTTCTTTTGGGGGAAAAGATTGAGTTTAACTTAAAAGCCTGTCATTATGTCTTTCAACTTTTAAGACATAACAATAAAGAGAT
This sequence comes from Homo sapiens, assembly GCF_000001405.40. Taxonomy (NCBI): domain Eukaryota; kingdom Metazoa; phylum Chordata; class Mammalia; order Primates; family Hominidae; genus Homo; species Homo sapiens. The sequence goes on from NC_000003.12 coordinate 78,698,436, forward strand.
AAAGGAGGCCATTTTTAGAATATATTTAATGGATACATAAAATACTATGAACTTTTCACCTCCTCTTAAATATCTCACATTATTCTGTAGAACAATGGTTCTGGAGACAATTTTTGCTGTCACAACTGATGTGGGGAAGAAGGGGAAGGCAGAGAGCTACTAGCATTTAGTGGACAGAGGCCAATGATACTGACAAACATCCTACAAAGCCCAAGACAACGTCCCAAAGCAAAGAATGATGTAGCACAAAATGTCAACAGTGCCAAGATTCAGAAGCCCAGCTGTAGATGAGCTATTCAACTTAAAGCTTATCAGAATACTAACATATATTTATTTCAACCCATATATACAAAGTACCTTGCACAATGCCTGACCTATCACAGGTACTCAGAAAAGGTTAGTACTCTTGCTCTTATTCTTCCTTTCTAAAAATATTGTCACTTTCCCAAAAAAGCAGTTAACAAACGTTGGTAGTTACTTGTCTACTAAGGAATCCACAATTCAAATGCAACTACCCAGCAATCTACGACAATGTGCATGTCACCCAACACATATCTTAGGACTATAATTTTGATGGTAATATTCCCTACGTCCACTTAGAAAGCCAGAAACCTACATCTTTCCTGTCTTTCCTCCTGGAAATACACAATCAACCAGCAAATTCCATAGTGTTTATACTGTAACCATTTATCCATTCCATCTACCTCCTTCTCTCTTTATTGCCACCATTCTGGCCCAAGCTATCCAACAGCATTCACCTACTATTTTGGTCTTTTCCAGTCCAATCTTATGATGTAGTCAGAGTGATTAAAACAAAATAAAAGGCTAGGCGCAGTGGCTCATGTGCTTAACACTGTAATCCTAACACTTTGGGAGGCTGAGGCAGGTGGATCACTTTGAGGTTAGGAGTTCAAAACCAGCCTGGTCAACATGGGGAAACCCCGTCTCTACTAAAAATACAAAAAAAAAAAAAAAAAAAAAAAATTAGCCAGGCATGGTGGTGGGTGCCTGTAATCCCAGCTACTTGGGAGGCTGAGGTAGGAGAATTGCTTGAACCCGGGAGGTGGAGGTTGCAGTGAGTCAAGATCACGCCACTGTGCTCCAGCCTGGGTGACAGGGCAAGACTCCATCTCCAAGTAATAATAATAATAATAATATTAATAATAATAATAATACAATTACACTTTGTTTTTACGTTTTGTTTTTTGCTTAAAATCCTTCAACATGGTCCTATTGCTTTTAAAATAGAAAACTAAATTCTTAACGTGGCCTTGCTGTGTAACAATTCAGTGTCTTCTCGTATCACCTCTTCTCCCTCTCCTTGACCTAGCCCTACTGGCCTTCTTTCAGTCCTTGAGTACACCACACACCATGTTGCCTCTAGTTCTGTTTATACTGTACCCTGGAATCTTCCCCTTTCACCCATATAATTACTATTCAGTCTTTAGAGCTCAGTTAAAAAATTACTTTTTCAAGAAATTATCTCTAAAGTGAACTAAATCATATCAGAATGCTACCTATTTTCATAGCAATCTTAACTTTCCTCTCAGAGCACATATTATAGTTAAAATTATACATTTGTATGTTTTATGTTGCTCCAAAATTAGCCTTGTGTTCCATGTGAGCAAGCATTTACTCATTTTGTTTGCCATTATTTCTCTAGAACTTCTCAAGGTGAGGCTGCTACTCACATTTTAAATATCGGTTGAAAGGTGGAAGAAATGACAATAATGTTCCAATAGCCCAGTTGAAAGCACTTAGTCCTATTTTAAGAGTCCATTTTTCATATTCTGCTGATACTATAGATATTTGTGTGTATCTCTCTTCTTCGCTAGGTTATAATAAGCTCTGTGAAGATGGGATCCACATCTTATTTATCTGTACATCCTTCATAGTACCCAGCGTACTGTTTTGTACATAGAAAGTGCTCAAGAATTGGTTTATCTGAAAAACTGGAATGTCTATCTTTAAATGGCATATTTCATGGAGGGTCCAGAGTTAAGGTACATGATGACAGAATGATAACGTTATTCAACTGGTAGTTAAACAACTTTGGATCAAGATCCTCTCCAAAAGGAATCAGACCTGTGATCCTGCATAAATTACATAAACATTCTCCATCTCAGTTTAATAGTAAGAAGGCATCAGGCTTAGCTAACTGTGTGTCAGATCATATATTAGGAACCCCTTCAGCAGCTCTGTAAGGAATTATTCAATATCTCGATTTTGCAAAAGAAAGAAAATGAAGATTAAGTAAATTTCATAAGGTCACCTATCAGGTAAGACAGGGAGTATTGGAATTCTGCTGGTATCTCCAGATCTTTTTTTCTTTTTTTTTTTTTTTTGAGATGGAGTTTAGCTCTTGTCTCCCAGGCTGGAGTGCAGTGTCGCGATCCCAGCTCACTGCAACCTCCACCTCCCGGGTTCAAGTGATTCTCCTGCCTCAGCCTCCTGAGTAGCTGGGATTACAGGCGCACGCCACCACATCTGTCTAATTTTTGTACTTTTAGTAGAGATGGGGTTTTGCCATGTTGGCCAGGCTTGTCTCGAACTGGTAACCTCGGGTGATCCACCCGCCTCAGCCTCCCAAAGCACTGGGATTACAGGCGTGAGCCACCATGCCCGGCCTCTCCAGTTCGTAAAATGTAAAAATAGCAACTGTTTACTACATTGGATGACTTGTTTGTAATTTTAAAAAGAGTAAAACCTTGCTCTAATGTAATTTTGGTTCTGAAATGTTTTGTCTCCATGACCTAAACAAAATGACTTTTAACAAGAAATGATTTAAATATACAACATATGTATTGATACATTAGATGAACATAGATGCATAATTACTCTGCTTGTATATGAGCAGTTCCATACTTATAAAAAGGTTTGGGGAAAAATAACTTGTTCTGCATTTTATTTTCTTATAGAAACAATGATAAAGCAGCCAATTCCGTGCCTGAAAAGCGATGTGAGGCAACATTTTAGAACACTCACTGTAAACGTCAAAGGCAGTGTGAAAGGAAATGCTTTATAAGCCCCCATCCATGTCTAAAGTTGAAAATTTCAACAATCTAGCATAGAGTTATATGATTTAATGTTTATTCTCAAGAAACCTAAATCAGGTCAAAATTATTTATTATCAATTATATTTAGTGATTAAGTATATTCTGGGGGAGTTAAAAGCCTAAGGAAAACCACAAAAGCACTTCTCATCTCTTCACTAATGACCTAAAAGGCACTGTGTGAAATGACTATTTCACCATCCACAAAATAACTTTTTAAAAGGGCCTTTGTAAAACGGCCTATCTATCAGGTTTAGTTGTGCAATGCTCTAAATCCTCTCCTAATAACATCGACCACACAAAATAAATGTCCTAAAGCTAACTTTAACAACCATTTATGGATTTTCCTACTCTCATAAATCTGTTATAAAGCAATTACTCAGCTATATTTTGTCTTATACTTATTTTAGTATTTTCTGCAGGTGTGTTTATACTGGCACATTATTTATCAAGTCATCAGAGAAACAGTTTAAAAGCAAATTAAAGTGCTCATGGTATTTTAATCAGTTGTGCAAACCTTAGGTATACTACACAGTGTGAACTTCTAATTTATACAAAATATTTTTAAAAACTAAAAAAGAATTGCTTTGTATTTTTAAATTACTAAGATAAGGCTCAAAGGACACCAGATGCTATGTAATTATCAAGTGTAACTACTCTAATGATGACCCTGATGTTTGGTATTTGCTAAAACGATTCGCCAGTCTAAAAACAAGAATTCTATTCAGCCTAATGATTCATGCTGTGTATATCTATCAAAATATTTAAAACCATAGCAAGCAAATAATAAAAAATATCCATACAAATGGATGCATAAACAGTCACATTTTTAGTTATCTTGTGTATTTAGTTTACTCAAGATTCATCATAAGGTAAAGGTGTTCTTCATGTGAACAGTCTGCAACTATTCTCTTTTAAATAATAAAATATCTTGATCACTTTATGTGCAAACAATTCTGGATAAAATACAAAATATTATGTGAATCAACTTAGAATTAACTTTTTCACATTGAATGATACTAACTCTGATAAAATAATTCCAAGTCTTAAAAGTATGTGAGGCTGTTAAAATGAACATTTTAAAATGTGCTATCTCTCAATGATAAGAGCAGAAAAGTAATTTATTTCTCCAAATTTCATTCTCAGGCTGAGCAGCTGAGATTGGATATATCCATACAACTCAATGACATTTTTCCACATTGATGCCATTATTTCAGAATGTTGGTTTGGTTTCTAAATACAGTTGCTCAGTTATACATCTATATAATTGGGCAGTGAGAAAACCTTACCCACTGTTATGTAGACGAATAAATCACAGTAAAACTCAGACCATCATGGAAGGCCTATGATGCGCTATTTACTAGTGTGGTGCTATGTCATTATTTGTCACTGAATCATCTTATGTATCAATTATTTCTTGTACCTGACTGCTCGACTTATTTCTTCAAATATTTGCCTGGCGTGCACAATTAAGAGAGCATTTCAAATTCTCTGTAGGAAGGCCATGAAGTGAATGCCTTTCTTTTGATTAATTTTTATGATTTATATCTGTTTTTTTGAAATAACTGAAAGCAACCCCAAATCTTTTTTCGTCGATGAAAGAAATCTAAGAGAATCCCACACATTCATCAGTCGTTAGGGTTACAATGGCTGTTTCTTTAAGCTATAAGTACACAAGAAGTTCTTTACTTTATTCCTCTAGGGAAAAACAAAACAAAACAAAACAAAACAGCCAAGAATCATAGGCCAAAAAGCTACTGGGTCTCAATCAAATGAAACAGCATTAAAAAACCCAGCAGGAGTGGTGCTCAGCATCTTATTTACGCCACTGGATCAGAACAGTTAGGAGAGGGAGTTATTCTCACAAATCACTCTCTTGTTAAATTCTGTAGTGGGACTTCATTAAATCTCTTGGGTGATGGCATTTTACTTGCAGCCTGCTCACAAAGAGCTCAACTGGCAGTACTGATTCTTCAAAAGTTTCCATCACATCTTGTCTTTTTTGGTTTTCTTTTTACCATAACAAATCTCTTTCCCCATCAGCCCCCCTAGTCCTCAGTTGAAAATTTTTTAATCCTTATTTTAACTACAAAATAAACAAGAGGAAGAGGAGGAGGAGGATGAGGAGGAGAAGGAGAAGAAAGACACACAAACCTCCACAACAAATCCCTTAAGGGTAGCATTTTGAATAAGACTCTTGAGATTAGTATTAAGAGTATCCATACATACAAGCAGTGGTAAATATATATTACATTGAATATGTGTGTATATACATATATCTACCCAATATATATAAATTTAATATATATATTTACCACCATTTTACACACACACACATATATATATATAAAATCCTCCAACCCCTGAAGCACTGCTTACTGTAGCACTAGTGACTTTAGTGGGCATCTGTGGATTATTGCCATATGTCATTAAGAATCATTCCCTAAAGATCCAGTTTGCTATGTCTTGTCAGAGTCTGGCAAAAGCAGCACACACATATCAAGGTTCTTAAAATTGTCAAATAAAGCCTTGGGGGGGTCTCATAATATGTGTTTCATCAAAATGTTGATGAACTCACAGTTCTCAACCAAGATCTTGGATTATACTAAACCTAAGCTGACTCTGCAAAAAGGTCCCTTGACACTATTAGTTTTGGCTTTGACTCAAATAACCACGTTAATGGTCAGAAACAATGCACTATTATATTGCCAGATTTTCTCAAATCAGCAACTTAAGGAAGCTGTTCCAACAAATGATTTAAATGAAGTCTACATCAAAGAAAGGAAATTCAGAACTGAAGGACCCAGTTTTTTCTCTCATTACTTATTTTATGCCTAGCTATCATACGAGCTCCAAAAAATCCTATGGATCTCACACAAAGATCTCATACGCTGACAGAAAGTTAAACATAGTGAACTCTATTTATGGAAACCACAGATTTACAAAGTAGGCCTTCTTTCCTCCAGAGGTGTTTTTGAATGCAAGTTTTTAAAAGTTTATCCCCTACTGGCAATAAAGTCTACAGTAAGCTATATTGTTTCACTTTTACCTAAATTTTAATTTTACAATATGAAATAATTATCTAATGGTTCATTAAACACACACATACACACACACACACACACAGACACACACACACGAGTCTGGACAACATAGTGAGACCTCATCTCTCCAAAAAAAAAAAAAAAAAAAAAGGAAAGAAAAGAAATTAGGCAGGCATGGTGGCATGCTTCTGTAGAGCTACTTGGGAGGCTGAAGGGAGAGGATTGCTTCAGCCCAGGTGGTCAATGCTGCAGTGAGCCATGATTGTGCCACTGCACGCTAACCTGGGTGACATAATGAGACCCTGTCTCAAAAAAACAGTCATACATTCACACAGTATGTTACATTAAGATTGGCATGTATCTTGATTATTTTCAAAGTTGCTAATTCACATGTTAGAAAATTATCAAATGCACATTTCTTTTTGTGGATTACGCCTGCTGATCCATTTTTTCCAGATTAAATTATATTGAAGTTATTTCTGAGTACAGTATATCTAAATTTGTTTATATTCAGTTAATTCAATTGTTCCACTATATGGACTACATGGAACAGGCAGTGATGGGATTCAATGTTATTCATTCTATCAGGAAATTTAGCAGCATTGAACATAGCAGGGAGGGATAGTAATTATGTTAAAGTAAAACAATAACCAAACTTCACATTAATCAGCTATAAAAAATGTCAAATCTCTATGGACAAAATAACAATTAACAGGGACCTGATGAATTTTTAATTTAGTTTTGGAAGAAGCTGAGAAAAACAATCATAGAAACAGTAACAACAACTGTATTTGCATAAGCACCCCATAATCCACACCCACTTTCTTGGGAATTCAACTATTTTATTCATTAGTTTATTTTCCTATTAGCTGACGGATATTTGTATTACATGTACACTCATTTTTCAACAGATGAGAACTCTGAATCTCAGAGAAGTTAGGCAATTTGCCTAGGATTCAACAACTGGTGTGTATCAGGATGAGCACTTAATTCACTCACACAGAAAATGTTACAAGAACATCAAGGTTTCTGTGATGGTGAATTTTATGTGTCCATTTGAGTGGGTTAGGGGATGTCCAGACAATGGGCAACATGTATTTCTGGGAGTGTCTGTGACGGTGTTTCTGGAAGAGATTAGCATTTGATACTGTTAACTGAGTAAAGAAGACATGCCTTCACCAATGTGGGCTGGCGTCATCCAATCCGTTGAGGGTCCAGGTAGAAAAAAGGCAAATGTGCTGTCTCTTCTGGAGCTGGGACACACATCTTTTCCTGCTCCCCCAATGTTAGAATTTTGCTCTTAGACTGAATTAAACCACCTGTTTTGCTGGTTCTTCACCTTGTAGATGGCAGATGGTGGGAATTCTTGACCCCCCCATACCAATACTTATAATAAATCTCTTCTTATTATCTCTATATGCTATTGAGTGTGTTTCTCTGGAGGACCCTAACTAAAACGATGTCTCTGAGACTGCAGTAAACAATGAGACTAACAAAGCAAAGTCAGCAAAGTGTGTGCCTAAGGAACTCACAGTCAAGCAGTTCAGACATTGAAATCCCATTAAGGGCAGTAGTAGCATCCAGTGGGTAGGTGAATGGGAAATACCTAACTCTCACTCGGATGGGGAGTGTCTGAAAAGCTTGCTGGAGGATGCTTATGTGAATCAAGTTCAAGAATAGGAGTAACTAGCAAGTAGAAGATGGGGCAGGTGGAGCTGGGGCATTTTAGACCAAGGAGCCAACATAACAAAAAGCCCAGAGATAAGCTACATGGTGGTGTATACACAAAAGAAATATAGGAATATAGCATATTATACTAAAGTGAGTAGCAAGAAAGGAGGCTAGTATCATCAAAAGTATTTTGGATCTTACCCTGGAGAGATGGGAACCATGGAAATCATTTATGGAAGGAATTAATATAATTATAACTGTGTTTTAGGTAGATAATCTTCTTAAAACTCTTTTTTAAAATTATTTAAAACAATTTTTTTTTAACACTGGGTCTCACTGTGTTGCTTAGGCTGGTCTCGAACTCCTGGGCTCAAGTGATCCTCCTATCTTGGCCTCCCAAAGTGCTGGGATTATAGGCGTGAACCATGACGCCCAGCTTTTGTAGGTACATTAATCTGTTGTGTGAAGAATAGATTCTATGAGACAAGGTGGAGGCAAGGAACCTGGTTAGAAGTTAAGAGTTTCCCGGAGAAATGATAAAGGCCTAAAATGGGGCAATGATAAGAAGGCAAGGGAGGTGGTGAGAGAGTTGAGAAATAGGTAAAAGGCAAAATAAGTAGGATTTTGTGATGACTGATTAAGAGTGAGATATGGGAAAATGGGAACATGAAGGATAAAGAGTAAAGCTGTCGACTGGCTGTGTGTCTGCAGGCTGCATTGCCAACAAGTCAAATAAAGAATATGAGGGAATTCAGCTTCTGATGTCTGGTCTGCTCTTATTTTCACTTCTTCACTATTATATTATGCAAACTAATGCTTACAGCCTGAGTTAGCAGAAACTTAAAGACTCAGACAAACCTCTGACAGCTGCTTCTTGTTTTACTGAAAGTTATAATTACTCTTCAACTCTGAGTTCATTGGGACAGTAAATAGGGGTCAATCATAAACTGCGGTGTCCTAGATATTCCAGCAAAGTTTCTTTTCTGAAGCATGTAGTTTACTAGCAGCAAGGAGAGACACTCTAGGAAGCATCCCATTAGTAGCAATTAAGTCAGGCAAAAGACAGCACGGGGCTTTTTTTCTGTCTTTGTGTCTCCCCTATTGCATGTCAGTCTCATACACTAAGGCTCAGACTCCCAGAAGCTGTCACTGGCTCATCAGTCCTAACGAGAAAGTATTATGCTCCTTCACTGCACAGTTGGCATTAATACTTAGGGGAAGCATCAGACAAAAATAACAATTCTACAGAATAGAATAGAATGCACATTCTTTTGATGTTTTAACATTCCTATTGTATGTCAACAATAAATTTAAAGCAATAGCAACATAATTCATGATACTGTATTTTATAGTTAAAAGAAAGCTGATAAAGTTGAGAGACTAGAGTGACTTCACATCAAGAGAAGAAAAATGGACAAGCTCTTATGAGAGAAGAGCTGGGATTTCACAGAAATCCCATTCATCTGATAACAGAGCATCACCTGGTTTGGCAATGTTTAGCACCTGCCTTTTCTTTGAACAGAGCTTCAAAAATTGACCCATTCTGTGAGAAGCCTGGAGAGGAGTATAGTGGGGTGTGAACTGAGATCTAAACATACCACTTCCTGTGACTGGCTGGCCCTGCACTCAGCCCTCAAGAGAAACAAGAAGACTAAGTGTCTTTTAGTTCCTGTTGTGAGAGAGACAAACAAAAATGGGATTGGATTTTCTTATACTTCAACTCAGGGAGATAAAAGGTGATGGCTTGGGAAATGGTTGGTCTGTTTTCAGGCCGTTCTTGGTTCGGTTTCCTGTGACTGATGGGACACAGCGATGGGAACATGATCACTCTGGTGATAGAGAGTCACAAATTTACTTTGGAAATGAAATTGTTACAGTAAGAAGAGCTGCTTTATCTGTGAAGTTACAAAAGGAGTGGAAAGATTAATAATGCCATCTAGTTCACCCTGTTTAAGCAATGAGTATCATTGAAGCAAGGAATCACAAGAAATCTTAGAGGCTGAGGACAAACTCAGAAACAGGAGAAACTCAAACTTTAAACTATGTGGCTTTATCACCTATCTTTCGTTTGGAAGAGCACTCCTCAAAAATGGAATAATTTAAAAAGCCACCAAGATGATTGTCATTGAAAGTAAATAATTTATAAATTTTATAGGGTTTGTTATTCATAATTGAGTAAATAGATTTTTTTTTCATTTTTAAGTATTTTGAAGCTGTATTCACCATGCTTTTCCTAAAGTCTACTTCAAACAAAGAAAAAAGCATTTGCTTTTCTTTTTAATCATTTTAGTTTAAAAATAAAAATAATAATATAATTTGGCCATCATCTGATTCTAAGAAGAACCTGAAGGCCCACCTTGTAAGCATCTAATAAATACGTAATGGATTTAGATTAAGATAGCAAAATAATATAAAAACAAACCTGCAACCATTCTTGAATACCAAGGGGAGGCATAAATTTTAGCAGTTTCAATGACACGCTGTTTAAAAACGTGGCAGGGTGCCTCTATGCATCTATGTTGTTCTTGTTAGATTTTACCTTTTATAGGTATGTCACAACCTATAAAATTGTTACAAATACTGTATGTAGTATATATCTTTTTGTCTTAAAAGATGGAGCCATGATGCAACATGAAACACCACTTCAGTGAATAATTCATTCCTATCAAGACAGAGCCAGCTATCCTAACACTCGTCAAATTGAAATGCTACAGTTCAAAAATAACAATGTAATAAATCAAAATAGAGGTGATAGGTCTTTAAAAAGATGCTTGATTTTGTTTGTGTATTTTAGGTTCACAAAAAGATTTCTTGAAAGAAAGGTATGTAGATATTATACACATGGAGAGGAAACAGGGATGCAGACAAACACTAAGTATAAATGTAACAACACTGATGGTTAACATGTATAGGTAATGAAACTTTGCTTAGTTTACAAAATGATGTAATGTGAGGTTCAGGTTTACTGAATTTTCTGGCTAACTCAAAGTTAAGCAGAAACACTTTTCTGTTGTAATTATCCCAAACAGCATTGTTTCACTATTTTGTATTGGTCATATAATGAACAGTAATTATCCTTTGATAGGTCATTACTGCTGAGCCTTTGGGTCTCATTCTGAGAATTAGTTTCAATAATATACCAATATTGGTATACCATGTATACCAATATGCAAGTTAAAGGAATCAGGATATTCTTTTTATTGCCTAAATATTTACAGAGCCCAGAAAAAATATATTTTTAGCCCAAACTTCCTAATATCACCAAAATTTTATTACAGTTTGCCTCTTTCCTAAGTAAAATAAAACCTGCATTATTAAGTAATCAATATCTTATTTGATTCAATATTTTAATTTGACTTTGGCATTCCACTGGCCAGGGACAAGTAATCCCATGAATGTTACACCAAATGTGGTACAGGTTTTAGTGGTGCAATTACTTTCTATTAACAGGGTGCAACCTCATATTTCATCCATGTTTTGAAATGATCATTAAGGAGATAAAGAAGTTTTTGAGGATATTTGCTCATGGATAATCTTACTAGTCTCTGTATGAATTGTGAGAAAGCACCACTATTTTACAGAGAGAAACAGAGGCACTGAGAATCTAAAAAATTAGAAAACAGTCACTCTTAGAGATAACGGAATGGAAATTGTGACAAAAAACCTTGGGCTGAATGTTCTTCCATTTCAATAACACTCCAATGCACATGTAATGCAATCTTTTTGATTCATTTTTCTTCCAAAATGGTCATAAATTTCAATAATTTATCTACTTATTTTCCAAAACTTCAATACATATCTAGGACTAGCTTCACTGGCGCTAGCAAAATCCAACACATTTACTATAATAGCCCGTAAGGATTTTTATTTTTATTTTATTTCTAGAGGCAGGGTCTCAATCTGTCACCCAGGTTGGAGTGCAAGGCAGGGTTCGCAGCTCACTGAAACTTCCCACTCGTGGACTCAAGCTGTTTTCCTGCCTCAGCCCCCCATGTCGCTGGGACTACAGGTGCACACCAACATGTACAATTGACTTTAAAATTAGTTTTTGTAGAGATGGAGCCATGAACTCCTGGCCACAAGCATTCCTCCTGCCTCAACCTTCCAATAAAGGTTTTAAAAAATGAAAATGTAATGCTTTATATTTGAGAAATGTCTTTAATAATTTGTCACATAATAAATTGTCATGACAATATTAGTACTTCAGATTCTTCATTTACAGTAGAAGAGCCACTGATCTAGAATTATCTAAAACTACTATTTTTCTAACCACCTAATAATTATTGAAATTAAGCAATAAAGCTATCAATAATAACACTCATAAGTCTAATGCTGTTTATTTACAAAATATGTACTGTATAACAGATAATATGTTAAATATCCTTATACAAAGGTTGGTATTACTGTGTCCATTTTACATATGGGTCAACTGAGTTTCATGAAATTTATGTAAACTCTTCTAGGTTACATAGTAGTAAATGACAGAATCATGATTCACCTAAATTCTGTCTGATTCCAATGTCCATTCTCTTAGCTACACCATTATCTTTAACACACTTCTTCTACCTTTCTAAGTCTCAAATTATAAAGACATTTTAAAAAGTCTTCTATTCTCCCTGTCAGTTCATCAAGTAACTCCTCATTCCTGAGGTTTGTGAAGTTGCTCGTTTAAAAATAAAAATAAATTTATGTGCTCCAACCCAGATCTCCTAAATTGGATTTTCTACAGGCCATGCCTGATAATCTGTATACTTAACAAGTAACTTCCGGTAAGTTTAAGAAACAGTGTCTAGCCCTAGATTTTACTCTGTTCCCTTTTCACCTCCATTCTTTTTAAAAAATACATTTCATTGTATATATTTAAAGTATACAACATGACGTTATGAGATACAGACAGTAAAACAATTACTGTGCTCTTTCAAACACAGGTCATAAGGCAGCATCATTCATAAATGGCAGTCTCTTCAAATTTGATCAAATGGAGCTTACTGTTGGCACTCAGAATTAAAACCACCAGAAGCTGCTTGAGTTTTCCCTAGGATGTCCCTGTGCTCTCTCTCTTTCTTCCTTTCTTTCTTTCCCTTTCTTTCTTTCTCTTTCTTTCTTTCTTTCTCTCTCTCTCTCCTTCCTTCCTTCCTTCCTTCCTCCTTCCTTCCTTCCTTCCTTCCTTCCTTCCTTCCTTCCTTCCTTCCTTCCTTTCTTTCTTTCTTTCTTTCTTTCTTTCTTTCTTTCTTTCTTTCCTTCCTTCCTTCCTTCCTTCCTTTTCTCTCTTTCTCTCTCTCTCTTTCTTTCTTTTTTTGAGGCAGAGCTTTGCTCTTGTTGCCCAAGCTAGAATGCAATGGTGCAATCTCGGCTTGCTGCAACCTCTGTCTCGCAGGTTCAAGCGATTCTCCTGCCTCAGCCTCCAGAGTAGCTGAGATTACAGCCGCATGCCACCACGCCCAGCTAATTTTTTTTGTATTTTTGGTAGAAATGGGGTTTCACCATGTTAGTCAGGCCGGTCTCGAACTCCGTACCTCAGGTGATCTGACCACCTCGGCCTCCCATAGTGCTGGGATTACAGGCATGAGCCACCACGCCCGGCCCCCTGTGCTGTTTCTACCATTCAAGCAGAAGTCTGAAATGCATATTCACATTTCAAATTTTAATAAGAATTTATTAGATAAAGTGCCTATTAGATGTCCAGTACCATGAAAGAACCGTGAAGAGTACACAAGTAGAAAAGCCACGGAAACCCCTAGAGTCAAGAGAGGAATATTTAAAGACATAAAGTCTAGAAAACAGCAGAATTTGGGATTACAAGAAGACCTTGGCAAAAAAAAAAAAAAAAAAAAAAAAAAAAAAAAACTCTCAAATCAGGGTTCTTTTTAAGATGCTGGAATTAACTACATCTGTGCTGGGGGTGAAAATCAAATGGCCACCCTTATGTAAGGTAATTTATTCCCACAGCTTCTACCTGCATTACTGGGCTTTATTGCCTTAACATCAATGATCAAAATTAAATACTCATTGTATGAGATGTGAGGGAGAGAAAGATTATGTTTGAGCTCGTAGTGACTCCAACACTGCCTTTTAAAAATGAGCTATACACAAAACACGGAAAGTTTTTTAACAATACAATTACACTACTGAATTTTTTTAACTGTAATTATTTCCTGCTACCAAATGGCTTCAATTCTGATTAGTTTCCTTTGTAGTAACTGGTGTTTTTCTACGTTCAGTCTCAAAAGACGAAAAAAGGCATATCTTCTCAGGTTTCCTTTGAATGTTTTTTTCTTATTTATCTTTTGCAGTTGGGAATCATGTTACTTTCTTTAACATACTGTGTTTATTATTCCAGCATGTTAAAGATGTTTTAACAGTGATGTTAATAGGCATATTTTATTTTAATATTGAATAATATATCCTCAACTATATAAAGATCTTTTAAACATTTATAGAAAACACAACGCAGTTGAAATGAGAACTTCTAAATTCAAGTAGTTTCTGGATTTGATCATTAGTGCCAATTTCCTTTGAAATCCAGGCTTAGAGAGCAAGATTTCCATACGGAAAACTTAAGGCTAAATGAATTTTGTAACTGAATTTAAAATTGCAGGAAGAAACTCTATTTTGATTTCAATGTCTACTGTATACACAGTAGAATAGCTGTTAGTTATAAAAGCATCAGGCTACCAAGGTAAAGTACTTTAAAACACAAAGTGAAACACATTTCACTGACTAACGTAATAGACAGTCAACCTCCTTATCACAATTGCCTGGAGATAGACACACCTTTTCATGTCTTGTATTCATCCTGGCTATTTTCACTCCTTCTGGAGGGCTTTTGAACTTGGATTTGACACCTCTTATATTTATGCTTTCTGTAAATGTGAAGAGGTTTTCTTTTCTTAGTTTTAGCCTTACTTGGAGTTCAAGTCTAACTTAGATTAAAGAGTAGTCTTGGCCTTAGAAACTCAATGTTTGTTCTTGATCTTTCTTTTTTTCCTTTTGTTTTTATGAGATTGAGCTAAAAACCCCAAAGTGGGACATAATGGCTTTAGAGACAGGAAGGAAATATTCTTTACTCTTTTTTTTCTAGTGTAAAAAGCCCACAAGGCTCTTTTGTACAAAGCCCACAGTAGAAATGCTCCCTCAAAAGCCACCTTTTTTTTCTAAGTAGTCTTAGAACAGACAGTGTTCAGAAAAGATGACAGCATCAAGTGTTGCTAATGTTAGACCCCAAAACAAGCTAAATGGTTTATGGCCAGAACTTCCATTTACTATATATACTGTCAAAACAGGAATTTTTTTTCCAACCAATAAAATGTTTTTTAAAGGTCATTGCCTCTGAAATTCCATAATAGACAACTTGCCACTTAAAAAGAAAAAAAAATAGAGGAAAGTTCTCAAATGGGATATAGTGAGAAATAATCAGTACGACATCACAGAGAAAAACAAAATGGGATTATGAGAATGAAAAACTTCTGGATTATGGATGGAAAAGGGGTGACAGATCCATTTCCTCCTATCAGCTTAAGACGTGACTTTGACTTTCAAAAACCTGGTAGCCATAGAACACGGTATCCACTTGGGCTCATACGATGCTAAATAATAAATCTGTATCAAAATTAGCAAAGTACAACTGCAATTCGTTCAATCAACTGATATTTATTGAGTGTTTGTTATGATGCAGGCACTCTGTGCGCACAAAACAATTGCAAAGTCCCTGCTCAATAAATCCTACATTCTGAAGAGTAATAGAATCTTCTTTTTCTGTTACAAATTGTACAGGCCCCTGAAAGTGGATGATCTTGAAGTAATGAAAGACTTGTTTTCCTCCAAAGACAAAGTTTCCTCCAAGACAGCAATAGCTGTCATTTAATTAAAAGATTAGAAGGGCTCTATGTTTGAAGACCTGGAGTTTAAAGCACATTCTTCGCCTCTACTTGACCAAGATAGTTTTTGAACTATCTTGAACATTTAATTCAATTTTGAACATAATTTTCAACATTTAATTCAATTTCCTGTAACACTTACAGAGCTCCCATAGGCAAAACAATATGTGTTCTTTAAATATGTTTGAAATACATTATTTAGAGCAATACTTAAAGTCTATATGTAACATAGCCCTATACATAATATTTTCTTCAATTATCAGCACTATATTTTGTATGCTAAAACCACCAAAACAAAGCCTTTCCCAATGCCTACCTTGAACAGTCAGAGTAGCAGATGCTTCAGCTTTGCCCACCATATTTTCTGCAACACAAGTGTATGAACCCATGTCACCAGCTGTCACCTTCCTAATTTTCAAGGTATGATCATCTCGGATTTCATATCTAATGACATAACAAAAGAAAGCACAGTTAAGTGACTTTCTACTTGAAAGATCTCATTATTATACACACAATGCTTCAAAGCACATGCTACATTCTTTTCTGATAACTTAAAACAAAGAGTAAAACATGGTATTCCTCTAAGTCAGCTGGCAGAAGAAAAGCTTGTTTTTATAATTATGTGGACTAACATATTAAACTACTTTCTAAAAGAACATTTTGGGGTAAAGTTGGCATTTATTTACTTATTTCCTCAAGCTCCTGTGCTCACACTAAAACAAAAAGATAGTGACCATTAATTAAATTCTTACCATTTGCCAGACTTTAAATGTTTTATAGATTTTATCCTTCTAAGTTTGTATAACAATGGTATGAAATAACTGTTATGCTCACCTCCATTTTTTGGATGAGGACACTGAGGTATAGGAGGTAAAGGAACTTGGCCTTGGTCCTCATCTAGTTCGGTGGCAGAGTCGAAATTTGAACCCACTTTCATTTTTGAGTTTACTTGTCTTGCCTCATCTTCCCTCCCTCTAAGTGTTAGGTTTTCCTTGAACTTTCACTTTAGTCCTCTTTTTACTCTACATGATCTCCCTGAGTTAAGTTATCTACTATAGTTTACATACTGATCTACCACACAAACATTTCCTATCCCTAATTCATCTAAGTTCCAAATTTGGATTTCTAACTAATAATTAGACATCACATCCCATAGGCACCTAATATTTAATGTATTAAATAAAACTTTCTGTTCTTCCCCTAACATAAACCAACTCCTTTTCTTAACACATTTACGTATCTTCTTTCACCAGCTGTCTATATCTAACAAGTCATCCAATTTGTCATTTTAGTCTTAGAAATTTCTCTTTACTGTTGAGCCCTGTCTCTATCTCACCTCTCAGTTCAGACAGTTTACATCTCTGATCTGGACAACCACAAAAATCGTGTCCCTGCCACTAGCCTCTCCCCAGAATAATGTAACACCCATAGTGCTAACAAAATTAATTTTTCTTCTTATTATTTTTTTGGAGATGGAGTCACACTCTGCCGCTCAGGCTGGAGTGTAGTGGCGCAATCTCGGCTCACTGCAACCTCCGCCTCCAGGGCTCAAGCAATTCTCCTGCCTCAGCCTCCCGAGCAGCTGGGATTATAGGATTATAGCGTGCCACCATGCCCGGCTAATTTTTGTATTTTAGTAGAGACAAGGTTTCACCATGTTGGCCAGGCTGGTCTCGAACTCCTGACCTCAGGTGATCCGCCCTCCTCGGCCTCCCAAAGTGCTCAGATTGCAGGTGTGTGCCACTGGGCCCGGCCAACAAAATTAATTTTTCTAAAGGGTACACCTATCTATACTAACACTCTTGGCTCACCAATGTGCATATAATATTAGGAATTCTTTATTACACAAAGCCCCTCTTAGTTTCAACCTGATATCTCATAACTTCTCATCATAAATCCTATGCCCTACCTAGCCATGCTAAACTTTATGCCATTCAAAGGAGATGACATTCCTTCTCAGCTTTGTGTCTGTGTTGTGATAACCCATTTCCTGGAATATTCTTTTCTTCTTCCTTGCTTATCAGACTGATACATACTTTTCAAGACATTACTTATGTGTCATGATTCTTTCAGAACTCTCTCCCAAATTCAAATTCCCCCCTCTGAGCTGGCACAGGTTTACCTTTATGTGACAAAAGAGCTTGTATATTAGTCTGTTCTCACACTGCTATGAAGAAATACCCGAAACTGGGTAATTTATAAAGGAAAGAGGTTTAATTGACTCACAGTTCCACATGGCTGGGGAGACCTCAGGAAACTTACAATCATGGCGGAAGGCACCTCTTCACAGGGCGACAGGAGAGAGAATGAGTGCCAGCAGGGGAAATGCCAGACGCTTATAAAACCATCAGATCTCATGAGAACTCACTCACTATCACAAGAACAGCATGAGGGAAACCACCCCTATGATTCAATCATCTCCAACTGATTCCACTCTTAACATGTGAATCTCAGGATTCAAGGTGTTGAAAGATTTGGGTGGGGACACAAAGCCAAACCATATCAGCTTGATATTGTTATTCTGTATCTATCAATGCATTTCCTTTTGTGAGCTCCTTGAGAGCAGAAACTATGTCTAAGCCACTACTGTAATCCCAACACCTAGACAGAAGGCTCAACACATGTTTGCTGAAGGAGTGAACATAATGGAGAAGACGGCCCGCTGACAGTACCCGAAAGCCTTTATTTGAATGGCACATTCCCTAAGGCTCCCTGATTCGTGCATCTCTGCTCCTGGCCAATTTAAGGACTTGACAGATATCAAGAAACTCCAACCTCTTCTACCATTCTCTGGTGGTATTTTAGCTGAGGAAAAGGAAGCCTGATTTTTAATTGGCTCATAGATACATCCTTAAGGCTGTATCTTTCTTCCCTTTCCTGCCTACTACCAAACCAAAAAACTAGTATTAACTGTCATCTGGTTGAACAGAAGAGAAACCTGTGATATTAAAGAATATCATATTTTACAAGGGTTCCCTCTGCAGCCCAGGGTCACGAATGCACAGTTCTTCTCTGAAAGCCTCAGAGAAAGCAGGATGGCAACCTCCTGCTTCTAATTATCTCCAGTATTGTATCTGGCCCCTGATAGAGGATTCTAGAATGGACTATTCTAATGGCCCGGATGTGGAGATGATGTGATGAGAAACGTAGAAATGCTGAGTTGACAAATCATATCATGAAACTCTGATGTGTACCTGGATTTGGGCAGCTCTCCATCATCTTTCCTCCATCGTACTGTAGGTACAGGGTCACCTCGGGCCTCACATTTAAATTCTGCACTGTCATCCACAGTTACTGCCAAGTTACTGGGTCTCTTCACAAATGATGGTCTCTCTAAAATTAAAAAGAGTCATCTTAAGGTAAAATTTTAAAATGAACCAGCTGAAAAACACTTTAGGAGTTCAGTAAGAGCATATTTTTAATTTAAAATATCAGCGAGGAAATTATTCCACAGAGTCCCCTCATTCTAGAAGCTTCTCCCTAGGTTTAGTGCTTCCTCCTAGTCCTCCTCCCACATCTTTGGCTATTTTATCTCAAGCTGCTTTTCTGATTTCTTCTCTCCTCTTTCTACCCACCCCCTAAAAATATTTGGCTTAACAATTTTTCTTTCCCCCTTGTATACAGACACAAAATGATAAGAGATCTATTTTTCAATGAGAAGATTAAATAAAATTACACTTACCTAAGACAGTCAGCTCGGCTACTTCACTCTCACGTTCCCCAACCATATTGGTACCAACACAAACATATTTGCCAGCGTCACTTTTACGGGTGTAAGTGATCATGAGCTTTCCTCCTCGTATCTTAAAAAAAAAGTTTCACAGGAATACTATTAAAATTGCTTCAGCTATGTTTACATGACAGATGTCTTCATAAGTGAAGACTGCTTTCTAAGCATATAAATCAAAGCATAATTACATCAACAGCTGATATGTAGTATTTGCTATTTTTAGGTAGTACCCTTAAAGAGAATTGACTCCAAAGGTACAATATAAAAGAAGCAAAAATGTTTCTCCTTACTTACATTTCATGTAAAGTTATATTCTGTATAGCTAGAAACTTGTTGCCCAATCGGCCAAGTTATTTCATATTATTTAGTTAAGTGAAAAACCATAAAAAATTGCGTGAATAATTTAGTTAGCAAGAGGAAAGAGAAAAAGAAAATTCTTAATACCATATGACTATAATTAATATAGAAATATGTATTAGCTATAAGTGATTTCAAGAAAATGTATTCTAGCATTATATGAATTAATTAAAATGTCTCTAATAACTTAATTTGCCAGAGTTGCTTTAAAGAATGTATCTTCATTGCGAAAACATAGTAGAACCTGTTATTTCCTTAAAAACGTGATGTTGCTGCCACCCAAGCTGGTTTTTGGGGACTTGAGAGGCAGAGAATGAACAGGTCCCAGTAAATCATCAGGAAAGACATGCTTGGGTACACTCTTGAACATATAATTAATTGAATAAAAATTAATTTTAAATGTAAGCAGACATACAGTATAAGAAGTCGACTGAAACTAAACATGAATTAAGATTGGACTATCCTTAATTTAACACGCTTTTGGATGAGAGTTGAGTTCAATTACCCATGAATATCTACAATGTCCTGATCTTAGAAAGGTTTTATTAGGGAAAATTTCCAGAATGTTTATTCATAGAGGTTTTTTACCTCATAGTTACCAACCAGATAAAGGAAGAAGGAAGGAAGGAAGGAAGGAAGGGAGGGAGGGAGAGAGGGAGAGAGGGAGAGAGGGAGGGAGGGAGAGAGGGAGGGAGGGAGAGAGGGAAAAAGGGAGGGAAGGAGGGAGGGAAGAAGGGAGGGAAACATTCTAGCACATTTTTTTCATAATACATTATGGAGTTCATTGAAACTACCACTTTGTAAAGGTGAGGTCCCCTCACAGTTTTGAATGCCTAAATGGCTTTATTTTAATCCAGGCATCCAAACTAGGTATTCTGGCCAAGTCTTTAAATATTAGAGGAAACAAAACATTAACAAAGTTTTTAATTTTTATGAGTTTAGAACTTGATTTTTTTTCAGTAGCATCATAAACAAATGATCAGCCTGCTCCAGATTCCCATCCAGGGATTTTTCTCTGCATCGTTCATCATTCTATCCCTCATAACCAGAATGACGCCTGCACGCAGTAGTCACTCCAAATACTGTTGTTGAACGTAAACTACTATTGTTAGTCTGTTATCCAATTTAAAATATTTCTATAAGGTTTGTAACAGTTATGTGTTAAATTGTTTTATTTTTTCATACATATTTAAATTTTCAAATAGAGAAATATAAAGAAAACGTCACACAAAAAAAACACGTTAATTATTGTTAGTACTTTTGAACATCCGTCTTTCAATTATGTGTGTATACATACACACTCACATACACACATGCATATATATACACATTTACCATGAATATATGTTTATATATACATATACACATATAAACATATATACATACACATAATTTTTCTAAAGTAGAATCACATGATATGTGCTGTTTTATAAGCTGCATTTTCAAAAGTATGAGGCATTACTATATTTTAAATGTTCAAGAAATTTTACACAGATCCTCAGCATCAATTTCCAAGGCTACATACAATTCTAACATTTGGGTTTACTACATTTTACCTAACTATTCCCATACTGATAGATATTTAAGACATCAGTGCTAGGTAATTTAGAAATCTCATTCTTCCCGCTTATGAACAGCACTGAAATCAGCATTCTTTTGTATATATCTTTTCTCATATGTGCAGTTATTTCCTTGGGAGGTATCAAAGTGGGATTCTTAAAGGTATACCCAACTTAAGGCTATTGGTTTATATTACTAATTATCTTATGTTTCATAAAGTCATTTTAATATAAATATATCATTTAAATTTTTGTCTTTATCATAACCCTGCTGTGAGACTGTTTGGGAAGTGTTAAAATAACCTCACTTTTCACTAAAGGGAACAGTGGCTCAGAAAAGTATAACCTCTTCTCCCACATACCTCTGGTATGCGCATTGTAAAAATATGTTTTAATTATGCTTCCAAGTGTCAGTCCCCTGACCTTAGTATCAACATTGAGGCAGAGAAGCATATGTAATTCCTCATGGGAGCCCCTGTTACAATGCCTTGTAAATAGTAAAAATTTTGTGGGAGGAAATGACTTGTGCAATGTCACACAACAAGTGGAAACAAGGTGAAGACTTTAGGTCAGATATGTGTCTTTGCATTTATGCAGCCAACAGACACATGAAAAAATGCTCATCATCACTGGCCATCAGAGAAATGCAAATCCAAACCACAATGAGATACCATCTCACACCAGTTAGAATGGCGATCATTAAAAAGTCAGGAAACAACAGGTGCTGGAGAGGATGTGGAGAAATAGGAACACTTTTACACTGTTGGTGGGACTGTAAACTAGTTCAACCATTGTGGAAGACAGTGTGGCAATTCCTCAGGGATCTAGAACTAGAAATACCATTTGACTCAGCCATCCCATTACTGGGTATATACCCAAAGGATTATAAATCATGCTGCCATAAAGGCACATGCACACGCATGTTTATTATGGCACTATTCACAATAGTAAAGACTTGGAACCAACCCAAATGTCCATCAATGATAGACTGGATTAAGAAAATGTGGCATATATACACCATGGAATACTATGCAGCCATAAAAAAGGATGAGTTCATGTCCTTTGTAGGGACGTGGATGAAGCTGGAAACCATCATTCTCAGCAAAGTATCACAAGAACAAAAAACCAAACACCACATGTTCTCACTCATAGGTGGGAACTGAACAATGAGAACACTTGGACACAGGAAGCGGAACATCACACACTGGGACCTGTTGTGGGGTTGGGGGGGGGGCGGTGGAGGCATAGCATTAGGAGATATACCTAACGTAAATGATGAGTTGATGGGTGCAGCACACCAACATGG
This sequence comes from Homo sapiens, assembly GCF_000001405.40. Taxonomy (NCBI): domain Eukaryota; kingdom Metazoa; phylum Chordata; class Mammalia; order Primates; family Hominidae; genus Homo; species Homo sapiens. Next base: position 78,721,033 of record NC_000003.12, read on the forward strand.
CACATGTATACATATGTAACAAACCTGCAGGTTGTGCACATGCACCCTAAAACTTAAAGTATAATTAAAAAAAAAAGATATGTGTCTTTGGCTATACGAGTTGTACAAATGAAAATAAATGCACAGCTCACATCCTTATTATCTTAATTACTGCTTAATAAACTTGAGTTTAAAAAACTTGAGTTCTTGAGGTCCAGAACAATTTGAGTATCATCTTATCAAAATCTTCCTAAGAACTTTTGTAACCTTTCATGCGCTGATTTTGGAACACTCGCATAAGCATTTCCAAAAATCCTAAGGAAACAAAATTATTACAGGAAAAGAGGAAGATGAAAAATCCAATATCTGAAATGGAAGTTAAGTGAGCTGAGGTGTAGCTAGATGTTTCTTTATTAGTTCTATAACTTTGGATAGCACGCCGAGCCTCTTCTTATGCCTCAGAATCTAACCTTGAAGTCTCTGGATATTTAGGAGACAAGTTCATTGCTGAAAGAATTGTACAATGATACATAAAAGATATACCAAAATAAGAGGAAACAAACACATAATTTAACATTCTCTTTGTTTTAAGAGTGAGTAAGTGTTCAATGTTTTTTATCTACTATAAAATGTAAGGCTTTAAGGACAATTTTAAGACATATTCAAATACATAGAAAAATTGTGAGTCAAAGGATAATAACATATAAATAATTTGCAACAGCTTAGATTTATTTCTACAGCTTCAGTATAATACAGTACTAATTTACTGTTACAAATCTTAAATACTTGGGAATGTAGAGTTTTAAATCAACTTGCTTATGCACACGTGGGCCACCAATTAACATTATATATTACAGCCCAATGCTATTATATGTTGAAAGAATCTATACAAATGGAGAAGGAGGGGGATTTAGTTAACAAGAGTAATGAGGGCACTGCCAGGAGATTCACAGACATGAAAAAATTCCAATTTCAAGATGAATGGGAGGAAACAATAGCTGAGGTAAACCAAAATTCAAAGACAGCTATAAAGGCCTAAGGAATTTGTAGTATACACCCTATTACTATAGCTCCAATTATATATTACACTTGGCTTAATCATGAAAAAAATTGTATAACTGAATCTATCAGACCTATTCTTTGGGAGCACATATCCATGTGTTTGGTATTGAATATAGATAGAAAAACTGTTTCTTTTCAATAAAAATTTATTTTACAGCCATCTTTTACAACTAAATCACATTGGCTGTGTAAATTGAAAGTAACCCACCAGGCATTTTACAAATACTTTCTCTATCCTTTGTAAGTAAACAAAGCTGGAGTTTGTTTACTCTGTCAAATTTTTCTACAAGAAATGTTAGTGGATAAGCATCATGAAAAGCTGTTTTCATTAGTAACATAATATGACTAAAAGCATATGGTTACACAGTGTTCATACATGTAAAACTTTCATATCAATGCAGCAATATAAAACAAATCAAGGCCTGAAAAATATAACATTTGCAAAACATTTTTAGTGAGAAAAATGCACTTTTGTAACAATAGCAGAGATATTAATCATCAATGACTAAATAAGGTCAACTAAATAGCACCTTTGTTTTTCTACTCAAGGTATTCTTTACCAAGATTACCTAGGTAAAACCCAAAGACAACAAAATATATACGAAAATGTGACATTTTTAAAAAGGATTTCTAAATCCTAGATCAATTTTCAGATACATATACTTAGGAAAGCAAAGTGAGCACGGGCTCTGGAGTCAGACTACTTTTTATTATATATGTGTAACTTTAGCCAAGATATTAGTTCCTCTGTATCTCTGCTTTTCAACTCTAAAATGGGAATCCTATTAATATATAACTCTAAGGATATTATGAAGATGATGAAATAAACCATATAAAGCACTTAGAAAAATGCCTGCACATTATTATTATAATTATTTATTACACATACGCAGTTAATGATTTAATATTGTTTTTGATCTGTCTAATCAAAAACAATATTCCTTTCTTAGGCTAAATCCAGTAGCTTTTTATTAATATTACAATTATAGGTCACATAATAACATTTTGGTTAAGGATGAACCTCATATATGATGACGATCCCATAAGATGATAATGGAGCTGAAAAATTCCTAGTGATGTTGCGGCTGTTGTAAGATCGTTTCCAGTGCATCACCTTTTCTACATTTAGATAGATTTAGATACACAAAAAACTTGCCGTTGTGTTAGAATTGCCTACAGTATTCAATCCAGTAGCATACTGTACAGGTTTGCGGCCTAGGAGGAACTGGCTATATCATATAGCCTAGGAGTGTAACAGGGCTGTACCATGTAGGTTTGTATAAGTAAACTCTATCATGGTCGCACACAATAAAATCACCTAACAACACATTTGTCAGAATATAACCCTGTCATTAATCAATGCATGACTGTAATTACTAAACAACTTCCACTGGTTTCATCAGGAAAATATATATTTGCATTGACACAGCATAAGACTTAGAAACAAGTAAATTTTAGGCTTTATAGATCATTATTATTTCCTCCAAAACAGCGGTTCTTAATGGAGGCAATCACCCTTCCTCTCCCCGGAGATATCTGGCAATGTCTGCAGACATATTTTGTTGTCAGAACTTGGTGTGGGGTTGGGGGATTGAAGGGTGTGTGGGGGGCGATGCTACTGGTATCTAATAAGTAGAGGCCAGAAATACACATCAAGGAATTATCTGACTCAAACTGTCTATAACGCAGGGATTGAGAAACTGTGTTCTAAAGACCCAGCTCTGGACTAAGAATAAATGCTGGATTCAAAAGACAAAAGGAAGGAAGGGATACAATTAGATAATACAAATAATATTTATTGTAGTTAAGGAAAAACTGCTGAGATTTCCCAGATTCGTATACTCTCCCGCATAAATTTCCCATCTCAACAATAAACCAATTTCATTATAAAATACAACATTCTGTTATATACTCACTGACAATAATGGTTAAGGACCCCAAAGTAGATGATACAAAAAATGAAAAAATAAACAAGCCTCACCAAGCCTGGGAGACACTGCCTCAGGGATGATAGAGATAGAAACTGGTAAAAGTGAAAGAACAAACCACAAAGTAGGGCAAATGAACTTCAGAAACAGAAGAAACATGCCAGTTTTCAATTTCCATAAATTCAAATTAATTTTGGCATTATGTCAATGACTACATTGAAATGGATCTTAAAAGGCCATAATTCTACTCTCAACGGTCACAAATATGGAATACATGGTGGGCTGTTCATTTCAATAAACAAAAGAACAGAAAAACAACATAGTACTATGACCCTGATCGAATATAACATACCCACTTTCAAGCAGTGCCTACTAGTAACAATCAACATTTTGGTCAGGCACAGTGGCTCACACCTGTAATCCCAGCACTTCGGGAGGCAGAGGTGGGCGGATCACCTGAGGTCAACAGTTTGAGACCAGCCTGGCCAACATGGTGAAACCCCATCTCTACTAAAAAAAAAAAAAAAAAAAAAAGCCTGGTGTGCTGGCACATGCGTGTAGTCCCACCTACTCTGGAGGCTGAGGCAGGAGAATTGCTTGAAGCTGTGAGGCAGAGGTTGCAGTGAGCCGAAATCATGCTACTACACTCCAGCCTGGGCGACAGAGTGAGACTCTGTCACACACACAAAAAAAGCAAAAAGAAATCAACATCTTATGTTGAGTCATATAAAAATACTGATTGTAAATTTAGGGTGAGTTTATACATTTTAAACTGTGGTGCCCCTATGTAAGCCAAAAATGAACATTTTCTCTGTCTACATAGGGAAGAAAAATATGTCTAACACAAACAAAACACTATAAATGTGAAAACAGCACTATTTAAAATAAGCTAAAATATTTCTTGGCAGGTCTCTTCCTGCGGCTGGATTTGACAGTCGAATTGTAAACCTATCAAAAACTAGTTTGTGTAATGAACAGACACAATGTTAAACACTGAACTGCTGGAGCACTATTCAATTAACATAATCCGGGTAGTGGAGAAGCAGAACATGTTAAACTTTCAGACAATATGCTGGCATTTAGCCTATGTCAAAAATTCAAGGCAGAGGTCTTCCTTCCTCATTACCATATACCTTACCAGCCCACAATAGTAACCACATTAGAAGCCCACATTTCCATAAGCGCTAGACAGTGCTTAAAGAGGCCCTTAGCTATAAACATACTTGATGAAAGCAAAGCAAAACAAAAAAATGTCCCACTGGTCTTGCTCCTTTTTGGGAAAGAGACAGAGAGGAGAGAGGAAAAGAAGATAAAGAATTTTAAAGTTTCAAATATATTTAAACTTCCTATTTTTCTTTGTAATAGTCTCAGGTTAAAAAAAATGTTTTAGAGATGTCAAAATGTAAAAATTCTTGATGTGTTTAATACATATGATTTTTATATATCAGGAATTTTCCCTGTAAAAAACTAGAAATGACTACTTTTTTTAGGGGTAAAGACTTCTCTGAGCAGTAGGAAATCCTGCCTTCATCTCCTTTACTGAATTGCTTACTGAATAATTATAGAGAATAATCAGGTTTAAGATGTAGCTTTTCTACCAAAAGTGGAGAAAACCACTTTATGTCTCTGGTTAGCATGGAAAAACTAGCATCAGTATTCTTATTTCCAGAATACAAGAAACAAAATTTAACTTTGCACACAAAGAAATATACTGCCTTTAAAAAAGTAAATTCAGTAAACTTTTTTTGTTCAGTTCCCTTTTAAAACATAAATTCATAAGTTTTTTGATTGGGTTATCCGAGAGTACACAGCTTACCCTGAAATCAGTGCTCACAATCAGAAATAAAGATGAACTTAAAATGAACTCCTTGTGATGTCTTCATTTTCTACCCTAAAGCAAGTCAGATGATTTGCAGTATCTGTTACACAGGAATTTTTTTTTTTTTTCAGACATCACCCCCACAATGTTATCCATACACCTCTAGGTTAACACAGTGAACAGACTGGAGCTAATTAACTAGTTTGGCTACACAAATTCTTTTCTGCTTTTAATTACATTAACCTAATGTGACTTGAATTCAACAGACCAAAAACAAAACCGCTAATTATATTAAGGGCTTCAAAGATGATTTCAAATTGCTAACCACCAAACTGTCATAGAATTTATCTCATTTCCTTTAATATATTTTACATGCAAAATCTGTGCTTTACTAAAAATACTATTTAAAAATACATCAAAACAATGAATAATAGAATATTGATTATAATGCTAAAAGAGAAATATGTTTCAACTAATACAGATAAGACACACATAGGCATCATCATACCAATAAGAAATTATGCAGTACTAAATTTTTACAATTTTCTAAAAGATTAAAGGTTTGAAAATATTGATTTACAGTAGTAAGGGCTTGACGAGTGGGATTCACATGAAGAATGAAGTTGTCTAAAGCACCTGAGTTTAGAAATTATTTTTTCAGAAAAAAACTTGATTCTTTACCACCAACCCGTTTTCATACTATTTTGCAAATTAAGTGAGATGAGAGGTTTTGAATGATAGTCTAGCGTATCATCCTTAAACAATTCACCACTAACTCTCCTTGAGCAGAATATCTCTTCATAGAAATGCTGTCAATTCTGCCTGGATCTTTGACCTAGAGAATAGAGAGCAAGCTGTTGTGAACTACAGATGTGCCTGGCGTGGCTTCTTAACAACAATGAGATGCAGGTAACCCAGATGGCCAGTCATAGCCCCCAGACATTCCCCTTGGTGAAATCAGCTGCAGTACAGTTTTAGATGATCCCTAAGGACTCCTTTCAACAGAAACATTTGAAGAAGAGTCACAACAATAACGGCTTTTCTTTCTTTAAATTTTGGCATCAAATTAGTAACAACAACAACAACAACAGTAACAATCCAGAAAAAATAACTTGTTTGAGGAGGGTGCAGAGAATAGGAGGAGGTAAAGTAATACCCATTACTTTCCAATCTGGCTACAAGAATAATATCAGCCTTTAATGTTAGACAGTTCAGATTAAAACATTCATATTTTCTAATGCATGCCATCCTATTTTTCAAAAATAATCATGCTTTATTGCCTTCTAATTAAGCAAAAACATTGCTAGTACCATAATTATTTTGTACAAATGACAGACAAAGAATTGGATAATCAATCCCAAAAGTATCATAGTAACATAAAAATATATAATCAAGTAAAATAATTCATATAATTCAGATATTATATAATATAAAAGAAAATACAGTATTTCTTATTTTATAATATTTCCTTGTCATAGTCCCAGGTAGGTAGTGCAAAAAGAATACTTTAAAAAACTACATCTCGGCCGGGCGCGGTGGCTCATGCCTGTAATCCCAGCACTCTGGGAGGCCGAGGCGGGCGGATCACAAGGTCAGGAGATTGAGACCATCCTGGCTAACACGGTGAAACCCTGTCTCCACTAAAAATACAAAAAATTATCCGGGCGTGGTGGCGGCACCTGTAGTCCCAGCTACTCGGGAGGCTGAGGCAGGAGAATGGCGTGAACCCAGGAGGCGGAGCTTGCAGTGAGCCGAGATCGAACCACTGTACTCCAGCCTGGGCGACAGAGCGAGACTCCGTCTCAGAAAAAAACTACATCTCTTATTAAATAATTTCATGTTTTTGTTAACTATGGTTTAATTATATTTCTGAACATACACATTAATAATTTTGTCTTTAAGACCTACATTTTAATGTAGTTAGCTATCAGATAAAAATGTAAATTGTTCATAAATCGATTCAAAACCATCACCATCAAAAATCATTGATAGAGAGAAACTTATATTTACTGATCTAGTGACCAATACTTCTAAGTGTAAGAACAAATTTCAAGAAATTCATTTTTATATATTCTATAAACATGTATATTTTATATATTTATTTGTACTAATCTCACAAAATAATTTTAAAATTCTATGTATTTATGACAAAATGATTTTATATTTAAATATCAAAGCAAATATTTTATTTTAGATTAAATAAACAATAAACCTCAGCCAAATCACAGTTCTTCTTGGTTAGCAAAGTTTATTAAAGATTTTTTGATCTTTCTATTTTTTATAAAAGCTATTGATTCTTGCTTCATTTTCCCAAAATTTCTTACCTCCCTCTATTCCTATTTTCTTCTGGTTCACAGAGCCCTAAAAGAGAGAGAAAGGGGAAGGAGGAGGAGAAGGAAAAGGAGGAAGGAGAAATGCATTATTTTAATTATTTCCCACTCGAGTCTCTTGATTAGATATGATCTGGTTTCATGCTGTGCGTTCACAGGCTGTCGGGTAAACTTGTCTTTAACTCAAGACCAGTCCAATATGAACTCATAACACAAAATGACAGCACTGTACCCCAAGATGGATGAAACTAAGGAAAACAGATTGTATACCAATATTCATAAGATTTTGTTTTTTCTTCTAGGTTATAAAAAAAAAAAACCCAGATTAGTCAGCTTTCAATTAAACTGTAAAAAGTACCTAGATTTTACAAATTATTCACTAGTCTATTCTCAAGTGAAGGGTATTTCATCATTTACAGCCTACTCAAAGTGTAAATAATGTTCCTGGGGTTTGCACAAAAAATGTTTTATATAACAAAAGGACACCGGGGCAAGTACACACACATTGTAAAGAAAATATGAGAATGATAAATTGAAAGCAATCAAATGACCATTCTAAAAATTCCTGGTGACATAAAAAAGGACAGCATTGCATGAAGAAAAGCCATAACTTGTTTCAGGTCTTTCAACTACTCTCTTAGGAGTGGAATTGAGAGGAAAAATAGGCAATTAGGATCTCTCCATTGGCGTCCCATATTTGCCTGGGCTACATACACACAAGAGAACATGATCCCGTTTCATTTGTTTCCTGGTACACTTTACAATACCATTTGAAAACCAACATGAATTCAGCCAGGAGTTTAAACACACTTGATCATCAGAGAGAAGCAACAAGAGACTTATGCAGAAAAAGCAATTATCCCAGTGGGAACACGTGGCTCTTTGCACAGCTTGGTGAGCTGCCAGCTGAGAACACAGGCCTGGGAGAGTCCCCGCCTAGGACTCTGGCAGCTGCACTTCTCTGCTATTTCCATTTCTCCTCCTAAATTTCTCATTTCTTCCTCATAACAATTGATAAATTGGTAGTTGGCTGTTTGCTGCTGCAGAAGCACACCTATGATAATTTGATTATAGACTACATCAGGAAGAGCTGTGTTGCTAATTGCACGTAAGTGGGAGCCACCCTGCAGACAGACATAGTTAAAGGAAAGGATGATTTTCTTTGTGAAAGTATAAATTAGTATCTTGCTCTCTATCCAATGTATATCACCAGAGATCCTTTTCATGATTCCTAATTTTAATAAGTAATAATAGAAAGAAGTAACACAGCCCTCTTTAAACACAACAATTTTGCTTGCTTAGGTGTAGCTCAAAGACAATATGAAGCCTTGGGTATGGCATTTTTCTGCTGGACACCCATTTTCCTGGGCTAGACAGAGGTACGTAGCCTAAAGCAATCAACCAGGAAAGCCCCTTCTAATTTATAGTATTAACCAGGAACAGACAACTGCTGAGTGCTGATGAAATGGAGAGCAGATGAAACAGTGAAGGCTTTTTAGCAGATTTCCCCAGGTGTCTGGTTCCCAAATTATTAAGACTAGAACCCCAAAGTGAATCCTATAAAAGGAGGCAATATAAAGAGTGGTTTTAGCCTTTGCTAGCTATCTTCTAAAAGTAAGAAAGCTAATTGATTTTTACCTCTATGAAAATTCTAGGTAGATTACATGGTAGCATTCAGCCTTAATATGAAAAATTGATTTAGCTTATAGCTATTAAAGTTAATGTATTATTTCCTTCACAGGTCTCATGAAACAGTGTCCTGCTGTTTTAAAGGTAAAAAACAAAGTCTTATGGGCAATTTTCACTTTCCCACAAAACCAGGTTTGCTTTTTATCACCTCTTCCAACCATCTGGCTCTAATTCTGAATTTACATACAGTCACAGCTAAGACAGCCTGAAATAAAAATCTACAAGGGAATTATGACTATACTCTAGAAATAAAGATGACAAATGTTCATAGTATTTGAGGGGAGAAAAGCTTATTTTCAAACTCTTGGCTCTTTTGAATTACAAGTACACCAGCTGAAAATACTTTGCCAACAGTAAATCCCTTTTCCTCTCTCTGGGTTCTTATACTTAGCTCTATAGTTTGGTCCAGTGTGAGAAATTCCCTCACTACCAAATGCTTGCTAAGATAAAGCCTTTTCCAGAGACCACGTATAACTTGTTACCCTTGAAATTTACATTGACTTACATTCTGTAGAAGACTCATAACCATGGCAAAGTCAAATCAAGGTTGGGTATGCAAGGGATTCCTTGATATAGATTGACCAATTTTACTTTACAGAAATGCATTTTTTATTCAAAAATATAAACAGCATTTAATATTACTAATTAAGATTCTACAGAAGAAGAAATATTCCTAAAATAGCTACAAATTGAAGTAAACACTCACACACATTCTGTGGTATTTTAATCCCAAAGAGTCAAAGGAGAAAAAGAAGAGCTTGCAAGTGACAAGCTTAATTGATTAATCAGAAGTTAGGGCTCATCAGACCAGGGTAAGAGATTCAATATCCATATGGCCAGTTGCTTCACCCTCCTTTGTTGAACACGAGATTATGCTAGAATGTAGCTCACTCACTTGGCAAATTTGTGCCTCATTTCCTATGGAAAACACGTTCAAAACATAAATAAATCCCATATCTTCCAACAATACACATGTTAACATGAATTAAAATATTTCTACATACATCCTTAGAGGAAGCAAGTAGGCTAATTCTTCAATGTGAGGAAGAAAATACGACCTTAGAAAGACAGGTCTGACCTAGCGCTTAAAAAGGAGCTTTCTGGTGGGCTACATTAAACTTCAAAATTATCAATAGGTACTTTTGCTATTTCCTGAGAACTAATAATTAACTCATGGACAAATAAGAAATAAAAATAAACTCATCCTGACCATTTCTATTTCTATAGTTATTGGTGAAAACAAAATAAAAGAGAAAATGATCTGTGTAAAGAGTATTGTAAAAACTGTTTGGAGGGATATTTATTTGGAATGTTCTTTCTTAGTCATAAATGGTTCCATTCCATAGCCAAGACAAAAGCATGCTGAACAGAAAATGTAATACAAACGGTATTAATTGTAATAAGGGATATGAGTGTTTTATATGGCTTCTAACCTACGTCTAGGATATACTGTTGGAACTTTGAGCTGAAAAATCAGAATCTTGTGCATCCTAGGTTGCTTCCATATAAACCGATCTTAAGAGTTCCAGCATTTAGGGATGGGAAAGCCTGCACTAGAAGTTATATCAGTCAGTGTGAAGATTAAAGAACAAAGTAAAATCAATGAAAAAAGCTTGATCTGACATTTCCTGCCTTTCTTCTGCATAGAATATATGTTCTGTGATGGCAAAAACTTTCTCCTAGTTTTAACATTTAAAAACACAGCACTTACATAGAAAGTACACTATCAGAATTGTTCACAATCTAAGAGATTGGACATACAGAATTCTTATGATTTCAGTCATCTCTTCTGAAAAAAAATGCTGAATATCTTCAAATTTATGTGAAAAGCACACTATTTTATACTGCATTATAGCAGACAAATTCAAATTCTGACCACTCCATACTAAAATAACAAATGTATTTAAATTCTCTGGTGTTTCTATAGAAATTTTAAAGAACTTAAGAATTGCAAAAGCTTAACATCTGAAAAACATTATGTCCTGTGTGTAAACCGCTTTTGACAGTTCTTCCTGCAGTACACGAAAAATGCATCAGTGAATCTGTGGTCAATTTAATAAATGTGCCAATGTATTTAAGCAACAATCTGTATTACTGGTATTGTTTTAATTAATGAGAACTGTGATATACCAACACCAGCTATATACATAGCATTGTTACATGCATTATTTTTAACGTCGAAAACATTCTCACAAGGTGTATTTTCCTATATTTTGGATTAGAAAATTAAGGCTCTGAGAGTATCAAAACTTGCTCCAGATCATTTGGTAAGTACACTGAAGCTCATTCTACATAGATCCAAAGTAAAGCTTCTATAGAGGGCTTTCTTTGAGATAGAGAACAACAGCTTATATTTTCTTTGCTTCTCACGCCATAAACTACAAATTCACAATATTTTTAAAACGTATAGATCCCCAAACTGAATGGCTGGAAGAACAAATAGGTGCTATCCATGGACCTCCTTAAGCATATTACATTGAAGTTCCCCCTTCCAGCACACCCCATATTTAAGCCTAACCAATCTGGACATCCAACCTAATGGCCATTAGTCCATGTAACTGTCAGCAGAAAAAAAACAATGTGTATGTTTACATTTCATATTTGCATGTGTTGTCTGTAGGACTAATGTTGTAAGGTAAATATCCCACATACATTTCTATGAAGAAGAATGCCTCTTCTCTTCCCATGCAAACATGTGCTTATTATCATGAATGTTTAAAGGTTAATCAGAATATTTATAAGCTTCCCTAATAAAGATGGGGAAATGTGGCATGATCTTTTATATACATGATGCATGGAACAATACAGTGATGTCATATATCGAGGTGAGAGAAGAGTGACACCATGCATGTGAATAGGCTAAGGAATAAGAAATCATGGATTCCTTAGTAAATTGTACTCTATCCACTCAAAGAGACAAATTTACATTATTTCCAGCCAGTATTATACAGATTAAGCTCAACTGCTTTTGAAATGTTCCCATACAATATGATGCTCTTAAAGGTGACTTAAACAAAAGCCTGTTTCTAATGCAATAGGCTTTTAAAGCTTTGTGATCACCTCGATTTGTAAGATTTAAGAAGAGTAAACCTGTACCATCTGGTAGTAATTTTGTTAATGCACAACAGATTATTTTACAAGTGTACAATTTATCATATTATCAAATTCTTTGGTTTTAAGGAGATAAAAACTGAAGTGGTCAGATGTTACCAAGAGCTGTTTGGTTAAAGCAACTAACCTTTAAACAAAAGAATTGCAGAATCAGCATTTGATTGAGGAGATATTAGCCTCACCATAAAACTTAGAATTATTCTTTGAGAGACAATATTTAAATAAAAGTGATAATGTGGGCAAGATGAAGAAATAATGTTAATCTTCACCAATTGCAAGTAATGAAAAGGAAATCTCAATCCCCTGTAAAGTGATCAGATTAAAAATAATTGAAAACTAAAAGCCTTAAGAAAATTTCTTTGATTTCTGCATTTTGGACTCTGTTTTAAGGAAAGGCTATTGTTTACAATATCTTGTAAAATCAAATGCCCTTTTGAATGTACTATTTGTTTTTTTTTAAAGATTACAATTCATTTTGCTTGATGTCCACAGAAAGAAAAAAATGCCGTCCATACTATCATAAGCAATCAGAACGATTACAAGCAATTAGAAAAGTAAACTTTTTAAAAATAGGGAATTACTAAAAAGTATTGATATTTAAATATTTTTTCCAAATTAAAGATAAAATGTATAAACAATTCTTTGAGATAAATTCTAAAACTATATTTTAGAGAAATATTTCATCTGATTAATGGAACATTGAGAATTAAATAAACTATTTAGGACATCATCCATGAACCCACAAAAGATTGTGCCTTTAATTTGGCAAACTACTTTAACCTATAATTAAACAAAGTGCTCCCTGACAGTAGTAACATCCCACTAGTCCTTGGCTATTGGGAGAAATTTAATGGCCTGATCAGATATATCAAAGTGCCTGGAAACTGAAGAAACTCTAGCTGCTTGTGTAAGCATATATTTTAAGAAAAAAGTAAGAGAAGAAACAACATTTGCATGTCTGCTTTCTATGCTGGGGTGGCAACCTAATCCAAAATTCCTATTGCAGGTTTGTTATTTGACCATGTGTGTTCATTTTGTATCATTTTAATACAGCACTTCTGCTTAATATACTGTATTATTTTGAATTATGAAGTACAACTTTCTTTTTGGCTGATTACTCCAATTTCTGAGACACTTTCTGCTTTCTGGAAGGTCTATTTTGACTAATAGATCATGGATGCTAACTAGCAGCATGCAACCATATCAGGTTTCATCTCAGTGATTTTCAAGAGTTGGCGGAATTCCATGTGGAAGGCAGCATAGGCATACTTGGTGAGGCAGTCCTCTATGTCATCTAATGTTACTTTGACTGAAACTAACATGTGAGTGGAACTAACTTTTGGAAAAGTATGCAAAACTGTTTTGGGTCTGAGTGTGGTGACTCATGCCTATAATCCCAGCCCTACAGAAGACCAACCTTGGCAACATGGTGAGACCCCACCGCCACAAAAAAAAAAAAAAAATAGCTGGATATGGTTGCACATACTGTAGTCCCAGCTACTCACATGGCTGAAGTGGGATGATCACCTGAGCCCAGGAGATTGAGGCTGCAGTGAGCCATGTTCACACCACAGCACTCCAGCCTGGACGACAGAGAGATACCCTGTCTCAAACAAACAAATAAAACCAAAAGACTTGTTTTTTGGGAAATCCATTTGGGGGAAAAAAAAAAAAAAACCTCCAGAATCATCTCAGGAGATTTAAGAGAATACTAACAAACAGTTTGCAACAGTCAAAGTAGGATAGCATGTCAACATGGCATGATATCAAAACTGAGGACTTTAATTCATATATAAGTTCATTATAGTACTTAGATGAAACTTGAAAATATATAGTATATTGTTTCCCAAAAGCACCAGAGATTATTTGTTGAACTAGAAAATATTTTGTCTGGCAATCTTTGGTCTCTACTACCTTACCTCTGCATCTAAACACACTGCACCCCGACTATGGTCCTGGAGTCAGTTTACGTAAAGATATAAGCACTTTATAAGGAATTAAAATTATGTCTCAAAGGACCTGGACAAAAATGGGCATGCAGATTATACATTATAAAGCCCATAAAGGTATATATCTTACACATTGAGACTTATATATTGATGTAAACCTATACATTGATCAAAACAGGATATACTACAGTTTTACAAGTGTTTGGTTTTTTGATCCACGAAATATCTCATTCAAAAGGTTTGCTTTAATTTCTGAAGTTAAATATCTTTCACCTCTCCAAGTTATTAAATTCAGTGTAGAATGAACATGAACTGAAAATCAAGACAGGAGAACTTAAAATAACGCTTTATAATGAGGCTGTTATCAACAGTCCTCAAAATACTTTTGACTACTGTGGTTTGATTCTCATAAGGATCCTAATAAACAGGCAAAGAAGATATCATTATCTGAATATTTTCAACAATTGACCAGACTTGACCAAGGTCTGGTTGTTAGGGCAGTTTCAAAAATGTGCTTTGGACATAACAGACCTTTCCCAAGATGGTCATAGATTAAGCTTAACTTACTATTTAAATTGCTGCAATTTATTTTCTTTTTTGAATGAGATTGTGTGACAACCTCCAATATTCAGTCATTTAAGATGAATTTCTATATGTTCGTAATAACATGCAGAATGTACAAAATAATTAAATCAACATAAGGCCATCCCCATACCTAACGGATAAATAAGCAGGGAAATTTATTAAACCCTATATATTTAAAATACTATTTTCAATGCTGTTACCAAGATAGGAAATACTAAATTTAGAACACAAAACAAATGGAAAAATTATATGAAATAAATCCATGAAAACCCTTTGTTGTTGAGTTTTTTGTTAAGATATATCGTAATCAAATTTAAGTGTCATTTTAGATGGGTTGATCAGATCTAGTCTGTCAGGGGAAAAATCCCAGGAAGAACTCTTACGATGGGAGACTCCACACTAATCCATTATGTGACTCAGCGTAAACCAACGGGCTTGGCATCTATTTCTCCCTGAAAACGAAGGACCTTGCCTATTCACAATCTCTCAACTCAGCTCCATCTCTAAGATTCTATATCAGTATGTCACACTTATAGCAATGTATTTACTCACATAATTAACTTGTGTAGTATCTCCTATTTTTAAGCCAAAAAAAATCATGTTTTAGAAAAAAGAAATGGTGTGGATGATACTCTCTTCCCATTTTGTCGGAGAGTAAGATAAGAAATACGTAATTGTATGTGGAAATAAAATTAACAAAATCATATATATTCAAATTAGCAACTTTTCATTCCTGAGTACCCTAAAAGACTAAATTTCTGACTTATATTTCATTCATTTAACACTTTTTCGAACACATGAGCTTCGAACATAAGACAGACATGAGGAATACAGGTGGACTTTCATATGTTTTATGTGTATTAGATAAGTAATATATAAATCATAATTTAGAATAGATTATAAGAGAAGTACTTGGTAAAAGGAAAACAAACAGATAACAGGAAGAAGAAATCTAGTGTGGGTATTTGGGTGGGATTTTGCTGATGGCTCCTCTGAGGAAGTTGTCTTTGAGATCTGAAAAATGAGTGTGTTAGACAAAGTGGGTAGAAGAACAGAACATTACAGATAGAAAACCACATGCCAAGACTCTCATATATCGGTATACCAAGCTGTTGGCATGCAAGCTTTCAAATGCACATGTAACATATGAATAGTGAAAAGACAGAGCAAGAACCCAATGCTCACTGAAATTATCTTTTTAATTGTATTGTCATCTAAACTAATTTGTGTGCCAGAACTGAGAATGCTTTAGTTTACTGCAATCCTTTCAAAAGAGTGCTTGGACTTCACAGGTAGGTGTAAAATGCTTGGCTTTCTTTTTTCTAGTTTCAGGGTCCAAACATGATAAGTGTATGTGTAATTATTTAAATAAAATTGCAAGTGTGTGGAAAGTTTCAGGATGTTCCTTGAGAAGAGAAACCAGCCTTTCTTAACCAGTACTTTGCATCTGAATCACATAATTTCTCAATTCCCCTAAGGATAATACGTAACTAGAACTGTTCTCGATGCATGGGAAAGAAGTTGATTCATTACACATGGTGGGTACCTTTAGGGCATTAGGACAGAATTCTCCTGTGGAATAACCAGTTGATGATAGCATTGCCCAATAAAGGTACACATAGAACTTGAATCAGTTTCTTAATTTCAGTGTTAGTCTAAACACTTTACTTACTCATAATGTTCACCCAAAATACCCCTAGTGATTCTGTGGCAACTGAAAATTCTCACAGTGGTGAATCAGATATAGATAGAAGTACAGGCAGAGGAGATAGAAAGCTGGATCTTCGTTCACATACATTTATATCATCTTCTTGCTTCTTGAAGAAAATTGGAATTGTTATGGCATGAGTAGTTTTGGATTTTCCTTTTCCATCAAGATTTAGATGACTAAATATATTCAGAGTTCAAATAGGTATACTAACAACAATAATAAAGAGAACACCATTACTAATAGGTATTAAGTGTGTCACCATTTACAATGACATTTAACATGCATTTTCTCGCTGAATTCCCTCAACGACACACTGAACTAATCTAGGTATGATTAGACAATTCATTTCACAGATGGAAACAATGAAATGTATAGAGATCAAATGTCTTCCATAAGATCAGGCATTTAATAGGTGTTGAAACCTGAAATTATAATGTGGTCTTATAATGCCCAAGCCTATGCTTTGTTCTACTAATCCCCAGTGTTTCAATTATTAAATATAAAAATTAAGATAGACAGGAAAAATTATTTTTAAGTCATTTATTCAATCCAATGACTGGTACAATAAAGTTGTGTTGACTTACCATATTTAAATCCCAAATAGAAAATTTATTTTGGAAAATAAATAGAATACATAATATGCATTGACACTTTATGTAAGATGAACCCCAAAAAAATCTATTTCAGGTTTACTACTCAGGTTTCCTTTGACCTTCACACAACAGAGCTATGTATTTATTTTGCAGAAACAGAAATTTAACTTCTTAGGGAAAAGGGGCTTTATGACATCAGCTGTATTAAGTATGTTAATTTCCTCTAGGGGAGAGGAGGGGAAGAGGAAGCAAAAGACATTGAACAATGAAAGAAATTGGAAGAGCAGACGAAAGCACTAATCGAAGGAAGGGAGGAGAAGCAGATGGCGTAGGAAGGAGACATGTGGGAATTGGGAGGAAAGGAAGCAATTGGCAAGGAGTGGGCTGAATGCCAAATTTGTGAAGGATCTGAAGGGCACTGGGGATTTGGATGGGATGTGAGTCAGCTGCTTTTTACCAAAATATCACACCAACAATGGAAATCAAAGAAACCTACAAAGACACACAGGAAGCAGAAAAGGACTAGGAAAAGACCTGATGACATACTCCATTCTAATAATTTTACCTCGTCAGCATGGGAATGGGAAGCGTTAAATAGTTATTTTTGGTTTATTGGTTTTGTTTTGTTTTTTACTGCATAACTAAATTGTTCTCCTATCTTCATTATGGATTTTCAAAACTTTAACTTGCTTTTGAAAGAAATGATACAGATAAAACCCTTCTATATATTTTAGCTATTTTTTACTTACCTTATATAAATGTGATTTGTTATTCACTATCACTCATACACAAAACAATTCGTTTAAACCATCTAGGATTACAGTGACCAACTGTCCCCATTTTCCCAGACCTGAGAGATTTCCTGGGAATAGAATTCTCATTTCTAACACCAGGACCATCCTGGGCAAACCAGAATGGTTGGTTTTCCTAGGTAAGGTAAAAATCTTAAGAAAAAACTACTAAATATACTTGTTCATTATGCTAAAGCATACTGATGCTGTAAATTTTTTTTCTACCTTTTGCAAAGAAGAATGGATAAAATCTTAATTCAGCTATGCAATAAGTAGATGAAATGAAAAAAATAGTTACTGATTGGATAACAGCTTTGATGAAAATAAATATCTTACAAACAAATTCTTTCCCCATCATCTAAATTATTTTTTCAATCAAGTAAAAACAGTTGTAGACATAGAGAATATTTGTGGCATGCTACTGTAAGGACAGTAGGAAGAAGAATAAACAACTCAGCATAACTTATCTCAAGGAATAATATAAGTCATTCAAAAATGCTTAAGTCACAAAGGCTCATATCAGCTCAGAATTTGAAGCATGAAAAGATGAGTGTCTTTTAAGCTCTTCTTCTTAATAAAATGAAATAATTCGGGATAAATGATCGACAAAGGTTATCATGAAGAAAATATTTTTGAAATTTCAGAATTGAGTCTAGGCAGAGCTTAATATTTATACTGTGTTGCTAATGTGTTAGTTTTTACTGTATTTTATTATATCTATACAAAATTCCCCAGTCACTACATTAATAATATTTTACTTAACTCAATTTTTCATTTGTTATATAATATCTCATAATTGCTTACTTTTTTCAACAATAACTTTTGAAATGTGTGCAGCTAATGATATTAGAACCTGGCTAACTCACAATTTGGACTGATAACTACAAAGCATATTCAGTTGAATAACTTACTGATTTATAATATCCTTTTCAACATAAATCCTTCTTTTCCTAAGTGGCAAATGATGACAGTTAATTGTTTTCTTTAGATAACCTCTACTATCTTTTTAGGTAAGACTTCTAGTCTTCAGAATAAATAATTTTAGGTTGTCTGAGCTATAATATTTGGCCAAATTTGACCATTTCTGTGTCATCTTTTAAAAAACTACTCAATTTTTCAAATTTAAAAACCTTTGTTATGTTATAGATTTCAATACTGAACATAATATGGACTAGTTCTTGAACATGCCAAACCCCGGTTTCAAGACCACCACAACTTCCATTCTGTGAACTAATCTCTCCAAATCATTGAACATTAAAAACAGTACTTCATAATGGAAACTAAGAGATACTGTCATCCTGAGTCAAAATTTGCACTGATAGCATAGCAGAGTTGTTATATATGTTGCAGAATCTATAGGACCCTATAAAAAATGTTATGAGTCAAAAAAATGCAAGTGCCCCCTTGGTTGCCCTCTCTTCCCTAACCAGCCAATTTAGATGTAGTGACTGCATTAGCAGAATTTTTAGTATGTAACTGACAAGATTGTTGGCAGGATTAAATGGGTGAATATACATAAAGTGCTTGTAATAGGACCTGGCACACAGCAAGTGCTATAATAAGTGCTTACTATTATCATCATCATCATCATCTCCTTCTTCTTCACCTTCTTCATAAGACTAAATTGACAAGTATAAGTGTACCCTAATGTAAAGAAAATAGCTTAGGCACTGTGTTTTCAAGTGGATAAAATGAGATGATATAAAACATATAATACATAGCAAGTTCTTAATATGCAATAGCTATTGTTATTATTCTCTCTAAAAATTGACATTTATTTAAATTTAATAAAATAAAATTTAAATAAATTTAAATAATTTTTATTTAAAATTTTTCAGATTAAAAAGCAACTTATTTCTTATTTTTCTTTTTTTCTTTCTTTCTTTCTTTCTTTCTTTCTTTTTTTTTTGAAACAGGGTTTCACTCTTGTTGCCCAGGCTGGAGTGCAATGGCGCGACCTCGGCTCACTGCAACCTCTGCCTCCCAGGTTCAAGCGACTGTCCTGTCTCAGACTCCCGAGTAGCTGGGATTACAGGCATGCACCATGACGCCTGGCTAGTTTTTTTGTATTTTGAGTAGAGACGGGGTTTCTCCCTGTTGGTCAGGCTGGTCTTGAACTCTGACCTCAGGTGATCTGCCTGCCTTGGCCTCCCAAAGAGCTGGGATTACATGCATGAGCCACCGCGCCTGGCAAAAGGAACTTTTTTCAATTGACTTTCATGACACACTTATGCAGAAGAGCTAAATACAAGGCCTTAAATCCTAACTTGCAACATTCAATAAACATATCATATATACTATGAACAGATATTGAAAATATACTATTGTTTCTGTAAATATTCATTTACTAATCTAAAACAAAAGGTTTAATTACTACTTGTCAATTAGCAGATCTCATATAAATACACAAAAGTATCATTTTCTGTTAGTATAATGGTATTGATTTATGATCTTATTTTTAACATATATTAAGATAAACTATACAGTTGCTCTTGTCTCATCAGTTATCACCTAGGTACTATTAAATACCTTAATATTTTATTTCATAAGCACATTTGTTTTTATGCTTGTAATAGTCAATTAAATAAATTTTATTTATAAGCCATCCTCCATAAGAGATCAGCAATTTCATCTCTATGCCTGCAATTCCTGCAGCTACCACCAGGTTCATTTTATAGAAATCCAATACAAAGTATGAGAAATTGATGCCTGGAACTTGGTGCAATTGTCTGTGACCCAAAGAAACTGTGCTAATTTATAACAAACTTACTTTTTTGCTGAGATAAAAATATTAAAATTGTCTAAGAAAACAAACATAGAATAAGTGGCAAATTTTAAAACAAACAAACTAGGAAAATATTTGTGATGTCTACTTTAAATGTTTTAACTTTTTCCTTAATGAGGAAGGCAATTTTAGTTTTTAGATTGAACAAAATAATTATTTTTTCAATACTTGGTGTTAACTTTTTCCCAATCTTAGTATTTTCTTTTTTCCACCCTAATAAAGTATCTTGAACTTAAATGCAATATTTCTAAAAAGTAGTGAAATTTTTAAAAATCGCTCTTTGTGAGGTATTTTCAAAGACATCCAAAAGAACACTTTAGTCCTCCGATTCATCTGTATAAGAAAATTTCATTTATTAACAATGATGGATATGATTAAGTCTCAAACACATGAAGTAAATCAATTTAATCTAGCCTACCAGTTAAACTACTTTTATTTCTGACTCTAAATATAAATACTAATGTCTAGAAAAGAAAGAACACTAGAGACAAACATCATTTAAGGCCTCTTTCAAATGATTCTAAGAAATATGTGCCAAAAAAGTTCTAAAAGACTCTCCTATCATGTAAGAGAATAAGAAAATGTTATTTATATATTCCTGGTTTATAATCATCCAGGATCTAAAATTTGGCTCAGAATCCAGGTCAATGTAAGAAGAAATGAATTAAGAACTTAAAAAAAATACAGGTGCAGCTATAATTCAACTACATATTTCCCCTTTTTGTAGGGTGTGTCTTTGTTCTCACAGCTGGGAGAGGTGTACTTTAAATTTTCAACAAAGAAAGCCACCACATTAAAGAACTCTAGAAATTCCTATAACCAAAACTGTAGCAATAAGCATGCAATCTTCAATTGTCTTTCATAACGATATTATGTGCTTTAATCTTCTGTTCATCTGCACTCAGCACATTTGGCAAAGTACATTAACAACAGAGATGAAAACACTCATTTGAATACAAAGCTTAGGAAAGAAGAATCACGTACAATGACTAATAACCAACATGTTTTAAGAATTTATTTTCACTATTAAAAAAAAAACTGGAAATAATGTCATGTATTCTGTTTATGTTCTAAGTTTTTGTTTTAATTATTCAATTTCAGTTTTGCCTAAAGGAAGAAAATAAAACAAAAACAATTATGATCTACATAAGATCAGTGATTTTGAACCCAAACTGCTGATTTTTAATGTATTCCTTTTCCCAAATGTATAAATGTGCTTTTTACCTCCAGTGTTTTATCAGTTCCACAGTCATAATTTATACAAAACACACAGATGGTCTTAGAAATAGTAAAAGTTTCAGATGTTACAACTTCCTAGCATATGGAACACCATCATGGATCATCATTTTGGCAGCATGTAAATGATTTAAAAGTTATTTATATATTAACATCTTGGCATCATTTCATAGTCATAGGTTTTTACAACTTTAAACTGTTTGATTCCTTGTTGTAGGTGGTTCTTACATTGACTAGAAGCTACTGATGGCGTGGGGGAACTGGTGCTCTTTAATTAGAGGACAGCATCCCCTTAGACAGCAAAAGTAAATGAAGATTCTATAATAAATTACATATTTTGGCATAAGCAATAAAATGTCATCTAGTTCACTATATGATACATCAGGGAGTTCCAAGAATTTTTAAAAATCAAATTTATTATAGTGATTTTAAATGGTGAATGTCACAAAAAATTAACACATACACAAGCATACACACAAAATATAACCTTTAAAATTAACTGAGATCTTTCAAAACGCAAGACTACAATCACCATTATTTTTTATCTAGTGTATGGAACATGACATTAAAAAGAGTCGTCTATGCTCTGTGTCTAGTTTTGATCTTTCCAGTCTGTCTTGAACTGTTCAGTGAGGTCTGAACCCCCACCCCTCCCCTGAAACGGCTCTTGTCAAGGTCATTTATGACTGCTTACCAAGTTGTTAAATCCAGTGGTGAATTCTTAATCCTCATCATTACTCCATCTACCAGCTGTAATTGACTCAGTCACCGACACCTCCTTCAAATCGTCTTTACTTGGCGGCCCTTCTAACTCTCCTCCTTTCTCAGTGACTGCTCCCTCTCAGTTTCCACTGCCCTTTCTGCCTCTTCTCCATGAGAACTAAGCATTGAACCGCTTTGCCTTTCTATCTGCAATCATTCCCTTGGTGATTGCAGTCTCCTGTTTTAAATAACACGTAAGAACTGATGACTCCTATATTCATCAGGATATGCTATGCTATATGTGCTAAAAAAATCCTCAGTGACTTAATCAACAAAGATTTATTTCTCATTCATTTTACATGTCCATCTTGAGACGACAGGTGTGGGGTAGAAAGTTCTACACATAACTCAGGGGCTCAGGCTCTCAGGGTGTCTTCCACGTTGCAGTTGCACTACCTAAATAAGACAAGTAGCTTCCTTGGTTGCAGAGTGGTAAAGAGAGTACTGGAGTATTTAAACCACTAGTATTTAATTTCTTTAATTGTCACTCACAACCCATGAAGCTGAAAAAGTCAAACAGGTCTGCCGGACAGCAAAAAAGCTGGGAAGTAGAGTGTTTCATCCGCCAGAAGGACGGGAGAACTGCATAGTAATGAGTACTTGTATGCCTACCACGATGTAATTTTTTCTCCAACCTTAACCTCAATTCTGAATTTCTGACTCATGTATCCAACTGCCTATTTGACAATTATACTTGGATATCCAATAAGCATTTCAAAATTACCATGTCTAAAACTAAGCTCCTGATACTTCCCATCCCAAATCTTCCCCTATAATCTATGGCATCTCAGTTAATGGCATCTATACCATTTCAGTTGAGCAGGCCAATTAATTAGGAGGTCCTTGACTTTTCCCTTTTGCTCACAAACACATCCAGTCTGTTAGCAAATTCTGTTGGCTATTGCTTTGTAGTATATTCAGAATCTAGCCACTCCTCACTACCTTCCCATCCTAACAGCCTGGTTCAAACCACCATTTGTCTCTTACCCAGATTACCCTGAGAGCTCTTAGTGGTTCTCCCTGCCTCTACCATTGCCACGTTTCAGTGTGTTCTCAAGAGAGCAGAGGCTTCCCACCTTACTTAGAAGAAAAGCCAAACTATCTACAACACCTGTAAGAGCCTACGCAGTTGGACAATTATTAAATTCATAGCCTTTTTAAAAAGGCTACCCCCTGATTGTATCTCCTATAAATCTTTACTCATTCTGTTCAACCAACACTGATTTTTTACTCTCTAGTGAATGCGTTAGGTATACCCCACCTTAGGGTTTTTCTATTTAATATTTTATCTGCCTAGAATACCCTTTTTCCAGACACTTGTATAGTTGATTCCATCAATTTTTTGAGGTTTTTATGTGAGGCATTCTCTCTAATCAGCCTATTTAAAATTTCAATCCCACCTGAACCCTAATGAATTCATCTACCTCTTCACTATTTTTAATAGGACTTACTAGAGTTTAACTTACTGTATGTTACACTTATTTATTTTGGTTTTTGTCTGTATACTCTTTCTCTATTTTTATAGGATTTATTATAGTTTAATTTACTGTATATTACACTTATTTATTTTGGTTTTGTCTGTATACGCACTCATAAAATGTAAGCTCCAGCAGAACACTCACTGAGTTTTGATCAAGTTGCATCTCCAGGGCTAAGAATTTTGTTGGCCGGGCGTGGTGGCTCATGCCTGTAATCCCAGCATTTTGGGAGGTCAAGGCAGGCATATCATGAGGTCAGAAGATCGAGACCATCCTGGCCAACACGGTGAAACCTCATCTCTACTAAAAATACAAAAATTAGCTGGGTGTGGTGGTGCATGCCTGTAATCCCAGCTACTTAGGAGGCTGAGGCAGGAGAATCGCTTGAACCCAGGAGGCAGAGGTTTCAGTGAGCCGAGATCGTGCCACTGCACTCCAGCCTGGTGACAGAGCAAGACTCCATTTCAAAAAAAAAAAAAAAAAAAGATTTTTGTCACTAACTTATATTAAACATGAATAGGTTATCAGGAAAGGCATGAGGGAAAGTCAGGGATGATAATGGTTTTAATGTGTTTGAATAAGTAAGGAAGGGAAAGAGGAATTATAGATAATGGTCATTAAATGATCTAGAATATATTTTTAAGGGCAAAGTATTCTTACCTTCATTGTACATGAATCCAAAAGGAATCTGTTATCACTAACAAGAAAAGCATTTGTTTCTTCGCTCTATTTCTCCCATGCTCTTTCTTGACTTCATTTCCAAAAACCAATGTTTCCCCATACAGTTACTTTTGTCATGTGACTCTGCAGCACCTCTTATGAGCAGAACCATGTCATCCTCACACCAATCCCAAGAATTACAGAAATCCTTTGGGAGACTCATTCTAATTCAGATTTACATGAAAATAAAATGCTTAATTTTCTTTCAAGGTCTCTAACACCTGGTCTAACACAACCTTCTCTACTTTTCTCACTATTAATTTTTTCCAAGCTAATCTACTAACCAGGTGCTGAGAAACAGTGCAACTACTAATTAGGTTGTGCGGTCTACATTATAACTTTGCTCTTGTACATCTTCAGCAGTGACCTTTTCCTCACACATACATTCTCCTAGGGAACTTTAAATCTTGACCAGCGAATTCACAATGGACAGATATCAGTGCATGCTGAACAAAGAGAATCGTAAAGGGAAATATTGAGCAACCACAAAATCAATGAGGGCTTGGTGACTGAGGTGCTTTAGCCAACATCTTCCAAGACAAAACAAACAAAGAAGTCATATAGAATCACGGCTGTCAAGAAGAAAACGCATCTTGACTTCATACAAATCACATATAATTTCTTACATCAGAGCAGGAATTTGAAATCCAATAATCTCATCATATGACTTCATTTTATATTGAGATAAATTCATCATTAACCACCTTTCAAAATAAGATTTTATTTTTCAGAAACAATATTGAACACTATAGAACAGAAAAGCACTTTTAAAAATGAGAAAAAAACATAAAAACATCCTGAAGTGGCTTAAGAGGCCTTCTGGAAACATACTAAATAACAGATTTTCTTTAATAAACAGTTTTTACTATAACACATGGAAATTTTATAAGCCCTGAGTTACGACAATAATTAAGTCATACATAAAAGTGTTAACTCTGAGACACTAAAACAGGAATTATAGTTTTTCTTTTACTGATCTCTAAACACCATGAATTTTCCTTACTTACTTTCATGTCAACACAGAAAGAATTGAAATATATATTTTTTAAAAGAAAAGCTGAACATGGGAGCTGACGCAAGCCTTTATTGAAAATAATCTACTTCATTTTTCTCTTTTTTCTTTGGTAAAGATACACACAGTTAGACCAACAAATGTCCTCTGCTGTTGAATTAAATACTCACAGTTATTCTTTCATCTTTATCATCCAGTGGAGAGCCATCTTTCTTCCATGAAATGGTGGGCTCAGGATGGCCTCGTGGAGGTTGGCATTCCATTACTGCAGGCTCTCCTACTGCAACCATGACATCCGAAGGG
This sequence comes from Homo sapiens, assembly GCF_000001405.40. NCBI lineage: Eukaryota > Metazoa > Chordata > Mammalia > Primates > Hominidae > Homo > Homo sapiens. Next base: position 78,746,876 of record NC_000003.12, read on the forward strand.
TTTTGTCTGAAGTCATCCCGAAGTACTGTAGGAACAAGATTAAATCATTATACCCAAAAGTGATAGATACAGTCCTAATCTCTGAACTTCAGCAGGAGACATTTATTATAATTATAATAAACTACCACTAATAGCTCTTGCAATACAGCTTTAAGAATCTATATCTACTTATAGACATCTGCAATTTAATAAAGATATTTGACCTTAAACATACACAGAAGGGATAATTTGATATTCTTCAGAGGCCAGCAGGCGCGTGTATTCCGCTGCTTAGTGCCCTCACAGTTAGTATTTGGCTCATCTTTAACTTGCATTTCTTTTCTGCCTGCTGCCTACATTTTTCTCAGCCATGTGCTAACCAATATAACTGAATCCTCCTTTTATCTATATGATGCCACAGGATAATGCTTTCTATAATTAAATGAATTACATATACATGCAAAGCTAAATATTAAAAGAAAAAAATAAGATACTTCTAAGCATGAATTTAATTGAGCAATATTTTATAAATATATAAAATTAATGTATAAGGTTATATAATCATCATAATTTAAATATGCTCAATATAAAAACTTTAGACATATCTACAAAGCCATTACATTGAAACTCATTGTGTTTTTCCATGATTACTGAGACTGTTAGAAGGCACCAATATGGATAACAGCAGTGCTACCAACAGCATCACTTTTATGTTCTATGTTTTTGTTGTTTTTTTGTGTATACTATCTCATTAAATCCTTAACCTATTCAGAATGAGAGATATTATTAATTCTAATTGTACTACTAACATTAGTCCCATACTGTGGAGGAAGAAACAATTCACTATTGTAATTTCAACTGGATACTAATATAATATTAACATACTGTAAAACAAGCAGTATTTTGTAACTGTTAGAATTAAATGTGGAAAAGAAACCAAATACATATTCCAAAAATAGCTCATACAGTAAAATTGTCCCCAGTATCTTGATAACATCAAGAAATCATGAATTATGTGGCATGTTAGTCTTAAATACAACTCTGTTGTATACTAGACATGCAATCTTGAACATAACTATTTAATACTTTTGCTTCCCTTTTCACAAAAGAGGGATGAACATATATATACTTCAGTACAAAGTCCAATAGTTATCATTCCTCCACCCTGCTTTCCTTGATCTGATGTGTAGTAGAATGTGAACCATTTTGGTAACCTAATTTAACATGGTACTGAAAATGTTTATTAGTATGTTAAGTGCACAGATTTGGATTGATAAATGTTATTTATCTTTTAAAACCTATTGAATTGGGCTGGGTGTGGTGGCTTACGCCTATAATCCCAGCACTTTGGGAGGCCAAGGAGGGCGGATTACCTGAGGTCAGGAGTTTGAGACCAGCCTGACCAACATGGAGAAACCCTGTCTCTACTAAAAATACAAAATTAGCCAGGCACAGTGATGCATGCCTGTAATCCCAGCTACTCCGGAGGCTGAGGCAGGAGAATTGCTAGAACCCAGGAGGTGGCGGTTGTGGTGAGCTGAGATCGTGCCATTGCACGCCAGCCTCTGTCTCAAATAAATAAATAAATAAATAAATAAATAAATAAATAAATAAATAAATCCTATTGAATTTTTAAAAGAATATTTGAATTTAATATTTATTACTATAATTTTGTACTGGAATGGACGTCTTTCCATTCCACTGGCATTTAAAAGTGCTTTCATGGATGAAGTACTACAGTGTAAAAAACTTATGCTCAAGCTGTTCTTTCAAAAATCACTCTTAAACTTTTTTTCAAAACCTCAAACCAGTTTAAATTTTTTCCTTCCTCAATTCCAACCAACTAGATGTATCCATTCGAGTAAGTTATCACATCCATGAAAAAAATCCCCATTTTCTAATCTGAATATTAAGACAACTTGGGCACGGCATGACTATGTTAATATTTGGAAACTACTGCTTCAAAGAGAAGACCTTCTTTCTTATCTTTGGAAAGAACAGTAAAAGGAAAAGCAAAATAAATCTGATCTCGCCAAACTGTTTAAATTCTAACTTCAATACTATTCAGTATTAATAAAATATATAGACACAAAGGTAAACCTTGTTAAACTGAAAACTCCAGCTACTGTTACCACATAATAAAAGAACAGAGTATAAAGACTTTCACTATTTATAAACTTATATTATTATTAGGTGTTAAGAATGTAACACAAATAAAATATAAGGCCTGCAGAAAAAGCAAATGGATTGACCTTGACAGGCAGTATGTGCCTTTGCTGGATCACATTATTAATCAATGATAACATCTCTGAAAAGGTTAACACCTTTGAAACACCCAAAAGTAAAATACTTTTCAAATAAAAGTAAACAATATGCACAATTTTTCTCTGTGGCAACCTTAAAACCAATTTGGTAATGCTATATCTTATTTACAAGCTGAATCATTTCTCAAACCAATGAATAATAAAATGTCTTGCAGAAATATCAAAGGTCTAAGTCAGATAAATCAAGTTTTTCTTAAATATTTACTATGTTATTTGGCCTTTTATAATATATAATGAAAAACTAACAAAATGTAATCCATTAAAAACTGTTGCTTAGATAATGCTCATATGATTGTTTTTGCAGCTGTAAAGCATAAAACTTCAGTATTGCCCATGACTATGGCAATTCTGCATAAAGTTATGAATTTAATATTTTTCTTCTCTCTTCTAAAACTAATTTTTCTTTCTTATACTTATCCCAAAGATTTCCTTTTGGGGGAAAATAATATGGTGCCACCTTATAAAACTATATGAAACTTTTAGTTAAACTGTCCAGTTTTCAAAATTCATGAGTACACTTAAGTCATCACAATAAAAATGAAATTCAAATGATTTGCAGCATTTTGGCAGAAAAACCAAAAGCATCCATAAGTATTCCCAGATAAATCTTTTGAAAAGCTTCTCCTTTTCTCCTTTAACCATTTCTATTAACCAAAGTATATATACTTTTAATGTTTCTTGATTTGAATCGTATGAAAATTTTAATTTGGAATTGTCAAAAAGGTCTAATACTAATTTGAAAAGAGCAAGTAGCATGCATAGTGTATCCAAGTAGATATCACCTAAAAAGGTATTAAATCAGAGTTCCCACTAAGATTGTAACAATATAATGTTTCTTTCATATTTGTGTAGTTTTATTTTATGTGTATAGTTAGGTACATATAATTTAACTCAACAGCATTTCATTTTTTATTCTATTAAATTAGAGGAAACATACATTTCATTAAATATTTGAATCCTAGAAGGTTTTTTCTTTAAAAAAAAGTGGTTCACTGGGCCGGGCGCAGTGGCTCACGCCTGTAATCCCAGCACTTTGGGAGGCCAGCAGGCAGATCACGAGGTCAGGAGATCGAGACCATCCTGGATAACAAGGTGAAACCCCGTTTCTACTAAAAATACAAAAAATTAGCCGGGCTTGGTGGCGGGCACCTGTAGTTGCAGCTACTCAGGAGGCTGAGGCAAGAGAATGGTGTGAACCCAGGAGGTGGAGCTTGCAGTGAGCCAAGATCACACCACTGCACTCCAGCCTGGGCAACAGAGCAAGACTCCATCTCAAAAATAAATAAATAAATAAATAAATAAATAAATAAATAAATAAATAAAATAAAATAAAAAAGTTCACTAATTGTACAAAACATAACAAAGCATATAATCACTACTTTTTGAAAACTTTACATCAATTTTAACACAATTCTCAAAATAAGTAAACACGTTTTCAGAAAAGAATTCTAAAATTCAGTGGTGTCTTTGCAACTTATCTGGGTAATATTAAGATAGGAAGCAAAGCAGAATAAAAAAAGTTAAACAGAAAGTGTTCCAAGTAATATGGAGACTTTACTACTTGCAAAACAGTCTTTAAGTGCATTGAGGAAATTTTAGAACTGAAACATAACATTACAGAATGGGCAGAGATCTTTGACAACATATAATCAATCCCATAAACAGAGACAACCAAGTCCCAGGAAGCTTTGCTTGTGTTATTTATGAGAAGGGGACCAGAAGAAAACCCAGGTATTCTGATTACCAGTGAAGCATTATTTTTTGTTGTTTTGCTTGTTTACCACGTGACTATTGTAATGTAAAAATCCAATTGTTCTATCTAATCCATTGTATTTCCAATAAATTCACTTTATTATTGCAAAAGGCTTGACTTATGGCGATTGTGCATCACTGCGCTACAGTCTCACCACTATCCAATCTTGGTAGGCTCAAGTGCTCAAGTGAAATTTGAACAACTCATTGTGAATATTTGTGAACTACATACAATGCCTTTACCTACATGAATCATAGAATCTCAGTGCGGTTAGGGGCTTGATAGATGTGTGATCTGCACTTTTTTGTTTTAGAAATTAATAAATTAAGGCTCCTCGGGGGAGAGGAGCATGCCACATAAATAGTAATAATAATAATAATAATAATAATGTCAGCAATATAATAATGATGTTAGCAATGGCTGATGCTAATTGAACATTTACTGTGTAAGGAACCTTAGTAAGTAACAATTCATTTAATACTCATAACAAGTCTATGACAAAGTGAATGTATTGGTTTTGATTCACAGGTGAGGAATTTGTAGGATGCAGTGGCCAAGCTAGAATATAGAACTCCAGTATGTAAAGAACACTCCTCTACCAAGTTGCCTGCCTATCTGGTCTTAACATAGTGTTCATAATTCTAAATACACAAGTATCATGATATAATTAATATTTCAGACTCATTCTATTGTAACATAAGTGAGAAATTTCCCTCCTGACAATCATATGGCTATCTTTGAATATATTCTGCATTCCTGTGTTTTTTCAGATTATTTTTCTTGGAAGAGGACACTACATTTTCAGAATAATATTGAGAATTAGATTTCATTATTCATAACACATATGATGTGCTAATTTTTATCAATGCTTCCTTTTATATTTCAACCAGAAAATGATTGAAAAAGCTGTATATTAAGAAGCATTTTAATTAAATATGGGCAATTTAATTAGAAGTGGGTATCTTGGGAAAAATAGGGGAAGATATTCTGCAGTCCTGGGATTTATTTTTTTCTACTTCCATTGATAAAGACTACTTTATCAATGAAATCTTGCAGCAAATAGTAACCTCTTGTCAACTAGGAAAAAAAATAAAATGAATCCCTTAAAAACTAAGGTGTATTGGAGGAGAAAATAAAGACGAGGTAAATAAAGACAACTCTATAAATGCTAAATAGCAACCCATTTCTGTTGCCATGTACCATTTTAATTGTTTTCAAAATTATTACTCACATACATAGTCATAGTACAGAAAATATTACTTACTTTTATGACACTCCTAGTTCCCTGTCTGAACACCAACGTCATGCTGATGTAAATAAGTGTAATTTAATATCAAAATAACTATCATTCTTTCATTTAACACATCTGCACTGAGCACATACTTTGTGTCTGGCAGCTGTGCTATAACTCTTGTATCTTCCTTGCAGTGAAGTATATGTAAAATGTTGACGTCTGTCAAAAAACATTAATATTCACCTTTTTGGGAAACAGTAATACAATAGGGTCTTATTGCAGGTTATTTTGAATTAAGAGATAAATTTTGAAGGCTGGATCAGAAAGCATATCATAAAGTCTTCTATAACTATTTTCAGTCTTACTTTTTAGCTGACAGCACTGCCCAGAAGAACGAAGTGCTGTTCTTTGTACAAATGTGTGAAAAATTTCTTAATATTTATTAAATAATTTCAAACTTTAAAAAATATTCCAACAAAAGGATAAATGTACAGAAAGATAAACCATTGAAGAGGAAAACTAAAATAATAACAAGTAAAATAATATTCCATCAAATATTATCCATCTTACAACACCATCTTCTAAAGCTAAGGAATTTGTTTCTAAAAAAGATGCATGTGAACATCAATTCTGTATAAAGTTTCCTAAAGGTACTCATTTAATTTTTAAAATTTGACACTGAATATATCTAGGAATATTCTACAATAAGTATGTCTTCTACTTGTATTTTTCTTATATCATGCAACTTTGTTTTTAAACCTTAAATTATGCTTTGCTTAGGACCCTGGAAGAAAATATGCTGGTAGAAGCACTTTTGAAGATTGGACAAAACTCTTATGTCCTAACCTAGGAAAGGAGTACTTTTATTCAAAAATTGTACATTCTGAAAATCTGATATAGCGGATGGATGGCAAATATCACTCAACATTATATGATAACAACGTAACATGAATGAACACAAGGCATTGCAGATAAAATGAGAAGAATTACCAGAATAAAAACAATTACTAGCAAATTGTTTATTTACATACTGTATGATGGAGAAGCAAGCTAACTTAAATACAGTTGTATGTTTCTGCAATCTGCTGGGCTGTAGAAACGGGGCCATGTTGTCTCTGGTCTTTTAATTGTTAGAATTACATCCAGATTGGGTTCAAGCTTAAACCACATTCACATTTTGCAGAAATATGAACATCATAATGACACTTCCTGTACTGCCGTGCAAAATACTCCCTAGTGCTTATTCCAACAGCACTAAGTCTTCAGGACAAAGAGAAGGTAAGTTTGGCATAGTAGGTTTCAGTTAAAATTTGTAATGTGTTCTAGAGAAAAGTGTACATCAGTAAGGATCAATTTTTTTTTAATTTGACTTTAAGTTCTGGGATACAAGTGGAGAGTGTGTAGGTTTCTTACATAGGTATACATGTGCCATGGTGGTTGGCTGCACCTATCGACCTGACATCTAGGTTTTAAGCTCCACACGCGTTAGCTATTTGTCCTAATGCTCTCCTTCCCCTTGCCCTTCTCTGCCCCTCAACTGGACCTGATGTGTGTTGTTCCCCAACCTGTGTCCATGTGTTCTCATTAGAATCAACATTTAAATAGTTAATATTCAGTGGACTTGAAAGTCTGGTAGATCATTTTAAAATGTATCACCAAAGTAAGTCAAATGGCTAAAATCATATGTTCTAACTTAAAGTCAGTAACTTACTGTATGTTTGCATTTTATACACTTTAAAATAACCTATAAATGATAGATTTATTTTAAAAGTTCACTTTTTACAGGACATCATTTTATACAGTAATATTTGTAGATGTGTTTATTTATGAATCAGAAACAGAAGTCTAGAATGTCAGAATCACAACACAGATTCTTTCACTATTCTGTGATTTTAACAGGTACGTTCACAATGACTCAGTTATTTCCATAAAAAACAGAGAGTTTTACACTCTATCTTGATAGGGTTATTATGAAAGCTAATTATTTAATGTTTATACAGGACTTGCCATTTATATGGTGCATTACATCTGCAAAGAAGTATTGCTATTAGTCACTATGTAAGGAATTGCCAAATTTCTCAGCTGCCAGTACAAATGGAAAGGAGGACAAAGAATGCCATTGATGAGGGTTTTAAAGTGCCAGAGCAAAAGTCACACTCAGGAGTAGCCTGGCAGGGTTAAAAAAACACAGACAAAATGAGGATATCTGAGCTACGGGACCCTGATTAGGGCAAGACAAGCATGCATTCTTTCTTTTGTAAAATCCAACTTTTTATGTAGCCTTGCAGCAAGAGTCCTCAATCAAAGAAATATGCTTCTGTATTTATTGCCTGGCTCTTTGTATCTGAAGGTCAGCTCCATGAGAACAGGGAATTTGTGATTATCCCCTAGTATTTCCAGTGCCCAGGACAACATCCAAGACACAGGAGGTATCCAGTAAATGTTTACTACACTTTCCAATATGCTAAGTAGTAGATTTTAAATGGTGGCTTGCATTGGCGGGAGTTCTATAGTTGTAGTGCTTGGGGTATAGGGAGGTAGACACACATATTCAAATAAACACATACATATACAACTATAATTGTGATACATGTCATGAAGGAAGGTATAGGAGGCTGTGTGAGAGAATAATGAGAAACATAATTTAAATTGGAGGTGAGGGAATAGTAAGGAAGTAACAGTTAAGGTGAAGCCTGAGTAATGAGTAAAACTTATCCTCGGGAAGTGCATTGCAGGCACAGGAAATACTTCAGGTGAGGAAAAATCCTGGTACACTGGAAAAGCCTTGGATGCCGTGTAGTGGTACCGGTGGAGAGCAAAACAAGACAACCTTGGTAGGGACGACAGGGACCAGATTTGCTATGCACAGCAGCCATGAGCAAGGGTAAGCTTTTATTTTAATTCCAATGAGAAGCCACTGGAGTCTTAAGCAACATAGTGTTATAATGAAATTCTCATACTTCAGTGTTCATTCTAGCTGCTCTGTGAATGAAATGGAGAGGGAAGTAATAATGGACGTGGAGGCCAGGTGTGGTGGCTCAGCGCATAATCCCAGCATTTTGGAGGCAGATGCTGGAGGATGGCCTGAGCCCAGGAGTTGGAGACCAGCCTGCGAAACATAGTGAGACACTGTCTCTACAAAAAACAAAATGTACAAAATTAGCTAGGCATGGTGGTGCTCACCAGTGGTTCTGGCTAGTGGGGAGACTGAGGTAGGAGGATCGCTTGAGCCTGGGAGATTGAGGCCACTTTGAGACATGATTGCACTACTGCATTCCAGCCTGAGCAACAGAGCCAGACCCTGTTTCAAAAAAATAAACAAACAAAAAAGGAAGTATAGAGACCAATTAGAAGGCTACTGAAGTAATTACAGGTAAAATGGTGATGGTTTTATACCATGATTATGATACCAGATTTGACACAATAGTGACAGATTGGAGGTACCTTTTGTTGGCAAAAATCAAAATGATTTATTGAAGGGCTGAAGTTGACAGAGAAAGACATTAATAATAACACCCAGGTTTCTAATCTGAGTAACTGATCATGCCATTTTCAAGGTACAGGAGAATAGGTAGACAATATATAAGTAAATCCTTCTACGAGGAGGAACAACAGAACAAAAGATATCCTTATTTTTTAAAAAATTTAAAACATGATTTGAGAGTATAGAGTCTGATATGAAAATTGTTTCATTGGTTAAAAAATATTATGGCTTTAAATTCAGCCCTTGATTTTGAGCTATTTGGATCTATATGCTACCATATTTCAAATCTTATTTGCTAACTGATAATATTCATTGATCAATGAATTCATACTTTAATTTTGGGGATGACAAATTTTAATCTAGTTTGATCCATATCATGTATTTTTTAACTGAAAAACTCAAATACATCTGATACATTCTAAGTTTATAAATGTATATATACAACATATGTGGATTATATATATATGTATGTATAATACAGACACGTGACATACATGACCGCTAGTCATTGATATACTGTGATGGTAACACTAAGCACCAAATTATGGTAAAAACAAAACAAAACAAAACAAAAAACACTCAGTTATTTTGATTGGAAAATGAAAATAACTCAAAACGTGGGTCATTTCCAAGGACTGCCATAAATTAAGCTCAATAACATATTAAATCAATAACAATAAAATGAATAACACACTAAAGGATATGATAAATCAATATTTAAGGACACAAGAACTAATAACATATTAAAGAATATTCTACAATTGGAATGCACAAAAAGTTCACAGCATTTCACTTTCACATATGTAAAGCATATGTAAAATTCCCTGCAATTACACTGAATCCCAAAAATCTTATGGATTTTGTGATTCACTTAATCATTCATTCAATAAAAGTACAACACACTATATTTGGTGATGGTAGCTAGTAAGATAAACAAGACAAAGTCTCTGCTTTCAGGGCACTTATTTCAGAATTTTTCTCTCTCCTTTGTGTGTGCGTGTGTGCATGTGTGTATGTGTGTGTATTTCATAGCATGCTTTGTTTAATTGAAATTTTAGATAAAAGTCTAATATGCAAAACAAATAAAGGAGATACTATTTTACTTTTCCACCTTGGGCTATCCTGCAGAAGAGTTCATTCAGGTCTAGTGGTCCTGAAGAAAAGGCTCAAAAGTCACCAGTAAAAAACAACAACATAATGTGAATAACAGCTCATATAGAATCATAACTTTTTTATTTTTTATTTTATTTTTTTGAGATAGTTTCACTCTTGTCACCCAGGCTGAAATGCAGCAGCACAATCCACAATCTCAACTCACTGCAACCTCCGCCTTCTGGGTTCAACTGATTCTCCTGCCTCAGCCTCCCAAGTAGCTGGGATTACAGGCAAGCACCACCATGCCCAGCTAATTTTTGTACTTTTAGTAGAGACAGGGTTTCGCAATGTTGGCCAGGCTGGTCTCAAACTCCTGACCTCACGTGAGCCACCTGCGTCAGCCTCCCAAAGTGGTGCGATTAAAGGTGTGAGCCACTGCGTGTGGCTGAGAATCATAACTTTAATCTTAGTACAACCTTCCCTACTTCCACTCCCACTCGCAATTGCAAATGAGGACACATAGGTGATGCAAGGACTCAAGGTTGCACGATGAGTGATCGAACACAACCTGAAACAGATGTTTTCAACTTTTATTTTCATAAAGACACACATATCTTTTAAGTGCCTGAAAAAGACTAGAGTGTTTTCTAATTTAAATATTTTCTGGGAAACAAAGGCATGCGCACATGCACACACACACACACACACACACTCACAAACTCACACTTCTTTACCCTCTCAAGCCCACAATACCAGCAGTTAAATAGGAGAAGGATTAAAAGGAGTTTTCAAATTTTACGGAGCAGGGGTGATAATGGTAACAGTCTCAAGGGGGAAGAATCCTCACAGTTTAAAATGATCTCATTAAAACCTCCCTAGTAATTGGGAAGAACTAGAGAAAATAGCTATTGAATTGAAAACAAACAAACAAACTCTTCCCACCAATGTATCTTTGTGAAGCATAATTAAGGTTGCCAATTATAACATCCCCTCCCCACACAACCCAAAGGAATATTTCAGTGATAGAAAAAACCAAGTCTAAATAGCATACACAGAAACACATGAACTAAACAAAGGGATCTTTAATTGGTGACAGTCTGCCCTAAATCACTTTTATTATTGCTGAACATAACGTTCAGATCTGTTAATTCCTTGTATCTTCCCCTATCAGAGCCTGTCTTTGGCTTCAAAATAATAATGCCAAATACCTAACAGGGCTCTGAATCTCCAAGGAAAATAACAAGCATGCGATTGTGTAGCTGCGTGAGCTGTGTTTTCCTAACAAACTACAGAGCCCTTGGGAGAGTCTGCTCAGCCATCAGCTCTGGCAGACAAAGTTTAAGACCTCCTCTGGATGATAGCTAGAATCACGCTAACAACTCTGACTTAAGGTACTTGAGATTAAATTAGCAGAAAGTGAATCATTTTATTATTCTTATTAATGATGCTATCTTTTCCAGTAATTGTTTTATGTAATTATAAAATTCATTCCTCACTGGGGGCAGTGGCTCACGCCTGTAATCCCTGCATTTGGGAGGCCGAGGCAGGAGGACTGCCTGCGCCCAGCAGTTTGAGACCAGCCTGGGCAATACAGTGGGACACCTGTCTCTACAAAAAATATATATAAAAAAATAGCTGGGTGTGGTGGCACAGGCCTGTAGTCCCGCTACTTGGAAGGCTGAGGTGGGAGGATTGCTTGAGCCCAGAGGTCAAGAAGGCTTCAGTGAGCCATGGTCATGCCACTTCACTCCAGCCTGGGTGACAGAGTGAGACCCTATCTCAAAAAAAAAAAAAAAAAAAAAAAATCCTCCTCAGGACATATTGGAAGCCAAAGAAAAAATATTGAACATGGCAAACAATTCAATAAAAACAAATACTACTCTCTCAAAGTGAAGATCTTTAATTATTAACCATTACTAAATGTTATTTGTGTGTGTGTTGATTGTGTCTATTTTTAATATCAGTTCATGGAAATAGAGTGTTTACAATGGAGGAAATTTTTGTGCTACAGAAGTCACATCTTCAGCAACCCCTCACCTGAACCTCTCACTCTCAGTATCAGCTGAGTTTACTATATACAAAACACCTGCAATCAACAAGATGGCTAACCCATGTTCTGGAGAGTTACACATTGCCTGTGAGGCAATGGGAAGAAACTCTGGCTCTTTTCCTGTTACCCCAAATCACGCAGAGACAGAGGCTGAAGTGTTTCCACCACCAGGAACCCACCTGCGTGGCCTAGGAAGGCATTGCTGCGAGAGCTGTGATGGACACTAACACTGCTTTGCAAGAGGTGCTGGAGAGCGCCTTCATCCATGAGGGCCTGGCGTGTGGGATTCGTGGTGGCGCCAAAGTCTGAAACAAGGGCCAAGCCCATCTTTGTGCTCTTGCAAGCAAATGTGATGAGCCTATACGTATGTCAAATTGGTGAAGGTTCTTGTGATGAACACCAAATCAACCTGTTAAGGCTGATGACAACATGATACTAGGGAAATGGTTGGGTATCTGTGAATCTCACAGGGGAAAACATGTAAAGTGGTTGGTTGCAGTTGTGTGATAGTTAAGGTCTATGATAAAGAATCTCAGGCCACGCATGTCATCAAAGACTACTTCAAATCCAAAAAAAATGAACAAATAGAACACTTAAAAAAAAAAAGCGAACGAGAGAAATAAGCTATGGTTAAAGTTGCCCCTCCAAAGGTTCTATTTTACAGCATAAGAATTGAGTTAAAAAATAAAATCATTTTGTGCCATTTTTAAGTGCATCCAATAAGCTATAAAGACCACCATGATTTGAGGCCCCCTCTTGTCCATTTAAATATATGTATAAATAGCTGTTTTTTCAGTTGTCAATTTTATATTACTCATTTTTCTCTCAGAACTTCTATTTCCATTTTAATTCCCACCGAATTTTATCCTCATGCAGTAGGCTTCTGTCTGACAGATTTGTTGTTTGTTAATTATTGTAACACAGTTCATTGCTTTGAAATAAGGAACTGTGGAACATTTTCTATTTTTGCTGCCCCAGAGGTCTTCACATCTCTGAAAATGCACCATAGAAAGATCGAGGCATCTAAACAGCATGCCTTTTAACGTAAAAAATATGCAAAAATGAAAGGAGACATATCAAAGGGGAATTCCACAACAGGACATTTTCAGTCACCTCAGTTTTAGGAATGATATCTATGGAGAGTGAGAATCTGGACAACATAAAACTACCACGCTGATGTGGTTTGACTGTATTCCCACGTGTTGT